>NC_000018.10:54537528-55787528 GCF_000001405.40 Homo sapiens
CTGCCACCACAACTGCAGGCACTTCCATTGAGACTACAACCACAACAGCCATTACTACCACCTCTACGGAACCCACCACCACCACAACAGCCAGCCCTGTAACTGAACAGTCTGCCACCACAACTGCAGGCACTTCCATTGAGACTACAACCACAACAGCCATTACTACCACCTCTACTGAACCCACCACCACCACAACAGCCAGCACTGTAACTGAACAGTCTGCCACCACAACTACAGGCACTTCCACTGAGACAACAGCTACAACAGCCACTACTACCGCTTCTACTGAACCCACAATGACAACCAGAGCAAGCACTGCAAGTGAACAGTCTGCCACCACAACTGCAGCCAGGGTCACTGAGACTACAACTACAACAGCCACCACTGCCATCTCTACTGAACCCACAACCACAACAACAGCCAGGACTGTAACAGAACAGTCTGCCATCACAACTGTAAGCACTTACACTGAGACTACAACCCCATCAGCCACCACTACCACTTCTACTGAACCCTCAACCACAACCAGCCAGCAGTGCAACTGAACAGTCTGCCACCACAACTGCAGGCACTTCCACTGAGACAACAACCACAACAGCCACCACTGCCACTTCTGCTGAACCCACAATGACAACCACAGCAAGCACTGCAACTGAACAGTCTGCCACCACAACTGCAGCCACTGCTACTGAGACCACAACCACAGCAGCCACCACTGCCACCTCTACTGAACCCACAACCACAACAACAGCCAGCACTACAACTGAACAGTCTGCCACCAAAACAGTAGGCATTTCCACTGAGGCTACATCCACAGCAGTCACCACTGCCACTTCTACCAAGACACCCACCATGACAACCACAGCAAGCACTGCAAGTGAAGAGTCTGCTACCACAACTGCAGCCACTGCCCTGAGACTACAATCACGACAACCACCACTACCACTTCTACTGTACACACAATGACAACCACAGCAAGCACTGCTACTGAACAGTCTGCCATTACAACTGCTGACACTTCCACTGAGGCTGCAACTACAACAGCAACCACTACCACCTCTATGGAACCCACAACCACAACAACAGCCAGCACTACAACTGAACAGTCTACTGCAACAATTGAAGGTACTTCCACTGGAGTTACAGCCACAACAGACACCACTGCCACAACAACTGGGGGTATTTCCACTGCAGTTACAACCACAACAGACACCACTGCCACGTCTACTGAACCCAGCACTACAAACTCCAGCACTGCAACTGAACTGTCTCCCACCGCAACTGCAGGCACTTCCACTGAGGCTGCAACCACAACAGTCACCACTACCACCTCTACTGAACCCACCACCACAACAGCCAGCACTGTAACTGAATAGTCTGCCACCACAACTACAGGCACTTCCAATTAGACAACAGCCACAACAGCCACCACTACCACTTCTACTGAACCCACAATGACAACCACAGCAAGCACTGTAACTGAACAGTCTGCCACCAGAACTGCAGGCACTTTCACTGACACTTCTACCACAATAGCCACCACTGCCACCTCTTCCGAATCCAGTAGTAGAACAACACCTGGCACAGCAACTGAACAGTCTGCCACAACAACTGCTGGCCTTTCCACTGAGACTACAACGACCACAGCCACCACTACCAACTCTACTGAACCAAGCACTACAACAGCAGCCAGCACTACAACTGAATAGTCTGCCATAACAACTGCAGGCACTTTCTCTGAGGCTACAACCACAACAGCCACCGCTACCAACTTTACTGAACCCACAACCACAACAACAGCCAGCACTGCAACTGAACAGTCTGCTACAACAAGTGCAGGCACTTCCACTGAAGCTACAACCACCACAGCCACCACTGCCATCTGTACTGACCCTGAAACCACAACAACAGCCAGCACTGCAACTGAACAGTCTGCCACAACAACTGCAGGCACTTCAACTGATACTGCTACTGCAATTACCACCACTGCCACCTCTGCTGAGCCGGGCACTACAACAGCCAGCATTGAAACGGACCAGTTTGCCACAAGTGCAGCAACTTCTGCTGAGTCTTCAACCACATTGGCCACCACCACTGCTTCCTCAGAAATCACCACTTCAATCCAACAAGCCACCTAATTGCCAGCACTTTTACTGAGGCTGCCACCATGGTGAGCACTACTACGTCCTCTACTTGATCTACAACACCAATAGCAACCAGTATCTCCATTGAAACAGCCACCATAATAACATCAGGCCCTTCCACTGTGGCTACAATTACAACAGCCACCACTCTCCCTTCTACTGTACCCATAAGCACAATAGTAGCTAGCACTGAAACTAAACAGACTACCACAATGACTGTGGGTACTTCCATAGTGGGTACAACCAAAATTGCCACTGCTAATGCCCTCACTGAGTATACAACCACAATAGTAGCCATGATGCCCACTGAACAGACTAGTGCAACTGCAGGGACTTCCACTGAGTCATCAATCACAATGATCCCAACTCTGCTTCTACAAAATCTTCAACCACAACTACAGCCACCAGTTCACCTGAACTGACCACCACAACAACTGCAGGCACTCCGACTCAGGCTACAACCACAAAATCCCCATTACTACTTCTACTGAACCCACTACTCCAACAGCATCCACCACTTTGACTGAACTAAACCTGGAAAACAGAAATAGCCACCATTTTTACTACGGTCATTACCATAACAATCATAGGCAGCATTTCTACTAGCCTGTAAGTATAAGAGCCAGGACAATTGCTTCAAAAGAACCAATTATCACAACAGCAGCCATTCCTTCAATTTGACCACAAACCACACAACCATATATAGCACTTCAGCTGAATTTAACAGAACAACAACATGGACCTCATCTAATGAGTGTGTAGATGCAATTGGTAGTGCTACCACTTTTTTTTTTTTTTTGAGACAGAGTCTCACTCTGTTGCCCAGGCTGGATTGCAATGGTGCCACCTCTGCCTCCTGAGTTCAAGCGATTCTCCTGCCTCAGCCTCCCAAGTAACTGGGACTACAGGCATGTGCCACCACGCCTGGCTAATTTTTTGTATTTTCATTAGAGATGGGGTTTCACCATGTTATCTAGGATGGTCTCAATCTCCTGACCTCGTGATCCACCCGCCTCAGCCTCCCAAAGTTCTGGGATTACAGGCATGAGCCACTACACCTGGCCTGCTACCATTTTAAATAAGCTAATAACCACAACAGCAGCTGCTACTTTAACCGAAGTTACTATAAGGACACCTACTGGTAGCACCTCATCTGAACGTGTCAGCATAATTGTGAGCACCATTTCTTAATCCAAACTTATCACTGTAACTTCAAGCTTTGTTCCTTCAACTGAATACATTACTGCTATCACAATTATCTTTTCAATTGAGGCCACAGCCATGACAACCAGGTTCATATTAACTGAGTCTACGACCATTGTAACTTTTTACTGAATCTACTATCATAAGATTAACAGTTTCACTCATTGGTATCCACAGTGGCCAAAACTCCCACTTCAGTTAAAGCTACAACTACCTAAATCATCCAACAACTTTAACTCAACCCTGAATTACTCTCATATCAAATGAACCTACAAATGACTATTACTTTAACAAAATCATCAGGCACTACTACCAGCACTTTAATTGAATTTACAACCCTCACAATAGCTACCTCCAACTCAGTTACTGAATCTATTCTGTTTTCTGATACAACTAAAACATCATCTTTAACCTCCACTGACACCAACTCAACTAAATGAAAGCCAACACATACACTACTAACTCAACTGACTCTTCGATCACAACTCCCTAGCAATGTCAGCTCAGTTTACAATCTCCATGAGCATCATTACCTGTTAATAGAAAATGCAATTACAGTTTCTACATAATCTGCTATCATAATACTGCCAGCTCTTCCATGGCCCCTTCAAATGAGTCCCTTCATAGCCACAGCAACCATGCCACATCAGCAAAATGTGCTACTCCCATGACATCTACTGAAATTTCACAATAGAGACCACATTTCTACTCTATGTACTCCTACAACAGACAAAACTTTACTGAACCTTTTAGTACCCTATCACTGGAATCTACAAGCATCACAATTTCTATTAGCATGTTATTCAAAGTCATTCAGTGCTTATTCATAAATGCAACACTATCATTTTTTTCTAGTAAATTGACTAAGTCAGATTACTACTCTCACTTGACAAAAATGACAACTTTCTAATGACCTATTCCTGGGGCAACTGTGGTTAGTATACCTAGAAATTAAATCCTAACATGTACTATCCTCATTCCTACACCAGATATACCAGATTCTGTATCAACCATCAATACCATAGGGAATTCTATGGCCAGTATCAGTGCCAACATATAACTCCAAAAACGTGGGGTTATAGTGGTTACCAGAAACAACCACTTCTAAAACAAGACTTACTTATTGACCAGTTCAGCTATTACTACCATGACAATGAAGTCATTTTCATGCCTACACTTAGATTTAAAAATATGACTTAGCAGACCTGAACACTTAACGTGGAGTTTTCCTATTTTCTCTGTGAAGTTTTAGATAATACAATTTTTATACAAAGTAAGTTCAATCTATTTATTTATGTTGTAAACCTGTTCTGATTAAATAAGTTACCAAATATGAATATAGTCTTTTATTATTCCAAAGATTTAGTGCTTAATACATATACTCCTTATGTAATAGGGAAAGAACATTCTGTATGGTGAGGGTATATTAAATGTATGAAGTACCACATTTCCTCTTCAGATTGTGTGCAATTATTTCCATTTCATTATTTACTGTTTAAATTGTTTTACTATTTAAGTAATATTTCTGAATTTGTTCTCGCTATTTTTGGTTTTAAAAATTTATTTTCCGCTGTTTTTTCCATAATCTTGTACAGTCATTCAATTAAAAACTTTGAGTGACAATTTACTGTGTGCCTGCTATTTGCTGAAGTACTGAAGAAAATTTAGGAAAAGAAAATAGAAATGCAGGCCAAGCACAGAGGCTCACATCTGTAATTCCAACATTTTGGGACCCTAAGACAGGAGGATTGCTTAAGGTCAGGAGTTTAAGACCAGCCTGGACAACAGGGTGAGACCCTGCCTCTATAAAAAATAAAAAAATTAGCTGGGCGTGGTGGTGCACACCTGTAGTCCCAGCTACTCGGTAGGCTGAGGTGAGGGGATTGCTTGGCCCAGGAGCTCAAGGCTGCAGTAAGCTATGATTATGCCACTGCACTCAAGCCTGGGTGACAGAGCAAGTCTCTAAAAAAAAAAAAAATGCAGATAAAAATACTTACAAATTTGGGTTCTGTTATTTAGAATTCTTGGTAATTGACAGATTTAAATTAATGTTGATGGTACTTGCATTCCAGTGCAGTTCTACTGAATCAAAATCATCAAGGATGGGCCAGAATTCCATATTTTTCAAAAAGTGTGTAGCCAGGGCTCATAACTACCCAATGAAGCGTTGAACTCAGGAGGACATTGTGACTTGTTACAGCTTTTGGATGGTGTTGATGAGATTGATATAAATCATCTAACAGTTTTTAAGCACTAAGAAAATTCAATCACTTTTTGGTGTTACTGCTATGTATAAACAAAAGACGGCGGTATACAGGCACTTCACTTGAGCACGTGGTTGGGAGTGGGAGTGAAAATGCTTTATTTACCAAAAAAAGTGTTCTCAAGAAATTTAAAACAAAGATTTTGATAGCCTTTATGCTACTTAGAAATCATATTTAACTTTTTTTAATGTCATTCCTATAAAAGCGTTTTCCCCCCATTTTGCTAGCCTGCTGCCATTATATGCAATTAATTTAACAAAACTGTATTCAAGTGCTTTAATTCTATTTCTTTCCTTTCTTCATTATATTTTCAATTAGTATTACTTTATTATTAAATGTATCACTGATTAAACTTTTCTCTTTCTGCAAATTCTTTCACAGTAAATTTTAGTAAAAATTATAGTAAAATAAATTTTATTGGTTGTAACTTTTACTATTTTCTAGTTCTACATTTCTGCTGCTAATTAGGATGAGAAATGTTCCAGAGTAAATTCATTATGTAAATAAATACAAGTTTGTTTTTTTAAAAGATAGAAGATTTTCCTAGTTTAACACATTGTAGGTGCTTAATAGATATTTATTTAATGCAGTTGACCCTTGATCTCTGCTCAGTCTAAAATCTGCATATAACTTTTAACTCCTCAAAAATTTAACAACTAATAACCTACTATTGACCAGAAGCATTTCCGATGACATAGTCAACCAACACATCTTTTGTATATGTATTACAGTCTGTATTCCTACAATAAAGTAAGCTAGATAAAAGAAATTATTAAGAAACTCAGAAGGAAAAGAAAGCACATTTACTATTTATTAAGTGGAAGTAGATCATCATAGACTTCTTCCTTCTTGTCTTCATGTTGAGTAGGCTAAGGAGGAGGAAGAGGAGGGTTTGGTCTTGCTTTCTCAGCGTGGTGGAGATAAGAAATTTGCAGCACAGTTCAATCCCATGACATTCAAGGGTCAACTATGAGCATGTAAATGCATCATAGGAAGGCAATATGAGGTAAACTTTCAGAGCCAGGGACCTGGCCTCTATGTTTAACCACTATATGTACCTGGCAGCCAGTAGATAATAAATATTTGTTCCACAAAAGAAAATAGTGATCATTGTAAGAATTTATTACCAAACTAAGATGACTAGAATTGGAATTACACTGTTACCTCAATTTTTAATCTACTTTTGTTTATGTTAATCTATTCCTATTAGTATTAGTATTAGTTTTCTAATTTTTTTAGTTGAAGTACAACATATTAGCAGAAAATGCACAAATCATAAGACACAACGCAATGAATTATCACAAAGTGAACACACCGACATGCAAATCAAGAAATAGAACATTATCAGCACTTCAGAAACTCTCATGTGCCATTCCCCAATCACCACTTCGTTTTTCTTCCCTGCAAGGTAAACACTGTTCTGATTTCTAACACTGTTAATTACTTTGTCTGATTATGAACATAGTAGAAATGACATGGTATCACAGGAACTCTCTTCATCTGTCTCTTCATCTGGCTTCTTTGACTCAACCTTATATTTGTGAGATTCATATATGTTTTTGCTTATACCAATGGTTCCTAGTGTTAGGTACTGATCCATGTGGCTATCCAAAGGATCCTGCATCATTTATTTAAAAGGCTATCCTTTCCCACTTCTCTGCTGTCTTACCTTGTCATAAATCACATCTGCCCTTTGACTCCTATTATCGTGAATTTGCTTGATTAATTTTCCCTGTGTGTAACCAAGGTCCCATTCCATGACACTCCTGCCACTCCTTCAGTGACACAGATGCCCACTTCATGCCACTCTGCTACAAAACCCAGCGTCATCTCTCATAACATCCGCTGTAACCTGTTCAGCCTCTGTCCTCCTAGAGCCATTCTGGCCCTTTTCACTTTCAAAGCAGATGCCTGCTTTGCTCTGTCCCACCTAGTGGGCTTTAGGGCTGAACAGTTCAGAAAGGGAAGGAAAAAGAAGAGAAAGAGAAAAAGTAAAAGCAAGAGCAGAAGGTTTTTATGTGGTTTGAGGTTATCTTATTTTCTCCATATGAAGTTGGCCTCAAAGTTGTCAACCTAAAGAAAGGAACTGAGGCAAAATTAAAATAAGTAGAGAGTTTATTTGGACCAAATTTGAGGACTGCAACCTGAGAGACACAGATTCAATTTTCCCTGAATATATGCTCTAATTAGCAGCTATCAAAAATGAGTTTTTAAAGGAAAAAAAGAAAGCAGTTCCTACATTGTTCATTAAAATAACAAACTATTGATTGGCTATAAGTTGCCTTCATGAGATATCTTTATTTAATCTTGTGAAGATACTGAATGTAGGTCACTCTCATGTGATGACATTTTAGGTAATTTATCAGCTAGTCTGGAAACTGTAAGGAAGAAAAGAAAGAAAAAATGCCTTTAACAATTGTCCCTGGGCGTGGATTTGATGGGGTAGGGGGAGGGTGTAGTGGGTGGTGGGGGATGGGAAGTCCTGTCCTGACTGAAGTCTCATATTCATGTTTCTCTGAACCTGATCAATTTTGCATACCTCACACAGTTCACACTGCTCTGAGCTACTCTTCTTTCTCAAACTCTTCCTGTTGATAAGAAAATTATCAATCAATTTTTCCTGCTTTGAAGAAAATCTATCTTTTACTCTGGTTGCTTTTAAGATTTTCTTCTTTGTTTTTGGTTTCTTGAAGTTCAAGTGTGATCTCCCTCTGTCATAGTTTTACTTGTATTTATTTAGTGATGAAGCTTTTATTGATTTATATTTCAATGCTCTTTAGTTTTGGGCTTAATGTTTTTTATATTAGTTTGAAAAATATGAAATCATAATATTTTCCAACATAACTGCTTCTGCTTATCCTCTCTCTTCCCTCTTCTGTGATGGATATATTTAAATCATGTCCATTTGGACTCATACTATTCCCCCATTTTTTTGTCTCTGTGTGCTTCACTCTGTATTTTTTCTGATGCATCTTCTAGTTTGCTAATCTCTCTCCTTAATTGTATCTAATTTGCTAATAAAGCCTGATATGATTTGGCTGTGTCCCCACCCAAATCTCATCTTGAATTGTAGTTCCCATGAACCCCACATGTCATGGGAGGGATCTGGTGGGAGGTAATTGAATCATGGGGGCAGTTACCCCCATGCTGCTGTTCTCATAATAGTGAGTGAGTTCTCATGAGATCTAATGGTTTTATAAGGGGTTTTTCCCCCTTTTGCTCGGCACTTCTCCTTGCTGGCACCACGTGAAGAAAGATGTGTTTTCTTTCCCTTCCACCATGACTATAAAGTTTCCCAAGGCCTCCCCAGCCCTGTGGAAACTGTGAGTCAATTAAACCTCTTTCCTTTATAAATTACCCAGTTTTGGATACTTCTTCATAGCAGCATGAGAATGGACTAACACTGTAAATTTGTACTGGTAGAGTGGGACACTGCTGTAAAGATAGCCAAAAATGTGGAAGTGACTTTGGAACAGGGTAACGGGCAGAGGTTGGAATAGTTTGGAGGGCTCACAGGAAGACAGGAAAACGTGGGAAAGATTGGAACTTCCTAGAGACTTGTTGAATGGCTTTGACCAAAATGCTGATAGTGATATGGACAATGAAGTCCAAGCTGAGGTGGTCTCAGATGGAGATGAGGAACTTGTTGGGAACTGGAGTAAAGGTCACTCTTGCTATGCAAAGAGACTGGTGGCATTTTGCCCCTGCCCTAGATATCTGTGGAACTTTGAACTTAAGAGAGATGATCTAGGGTATCTGGCAGAAGAAATTTCTATGTAGCAAAGCATTCAAGAGGAAGCAGAGCTTAAAAGTTTGAAAAATTTGCACCCTGGCAATGTGATAGAAAAGAAAACCCTATTTTCTGGGGAGAAATTCAAGCAAGCTGCAGAAATTAACATAAGTAAGGAGGAGCCACATGCTAATCACAAAGACAATGGGGGAAAATGTCTTCAGGGCATGACAGAGACCTTCACAGCAGCCCTTGATGTTAAACCACAGGCTTGGAAGCCTAGGAGGAAAAAGTGGTTTCCTGGGCGGGCCCCCCTGCTCTATGCAGCTTTGGGACATGGTGCCCTGTATCCCAGTTGCTTCAGCTCCAGCCACAGCTAAAAGGGGCCAATGTACAGCTCAGGCCATTGCTTCAGAGGGTGCAAGCCCTAAGCCTTGGTGGCTTACATATGGTGTTGGGCCTGTAGGTGCACAGAAGTCAAGAATTGAAGTTTGGGAATCTCTGCTTAGATTTTAGATGATGTGTGGAAATGCCTGGATGTCTAGGCAGAAGTTTGCTGCCAGGGCTGAACCCTGATGGAGAACCTCTGCTAGGGCAGTGCAGAAGGAAAATGTGGGGTTGGAGCCCCCACACTGAGTCCCCACTGGGGCACTGCCTAGTGGACCTGTGAGAAGACAGTCACCATCCTCCAGACCCCAAAATGGTAGATCTGCCAACAGCTTGCCTTGCACGCCTGGAAAAGCCACAGACACTCAATGACAGTCTGTGAAGGAAGCTAGGAGGGGGGCTATAACTTGCAAAGCCACAGGGGTGGAGCTGCCCAAGGCCATGGGGGTGTGACCTGGATGTGAGACATGGAGTCAAAGGAGATCATTCTGGAGCTTTAAGGTTTGATGCCCCACTAGATTTTGGACCTGCATGAGGCATGTAGTGCCTTCATTCATGTAGGCAGTAACTAACTTGCTTTTGATTTTACAGGCTCATAGGTGGAAGGGACTTGCCTTGTCTCTGATGAGATTTTGGATTTGGACTTTTGGGTTAATGCTGGAATGAGTTAAGAATTTGCGGCACTGTTGGGAAGGCATGATTTTGTTTTTAAGTGTGAGGACTTGAGATTTGGGAGGTGCTGGGGTGGAATAATATGGTTTGGCTGCATTCCCACCCAAATCTCATCTTGAATTGTAGTTCTCATAATCCCCACGTGTTGTGGGAAGGACCCAGTGGGAGGTAATTGAATCATAGGGTGGTTACCTATCTGCTGCTCTTCTCATGATAGTGAGTTCTTACAAGATCTGATGGTTTTATAAGGGTTTTTTTCCCCATTTTGCTAGGCATTTCTTCTTGCTGCCACCACGTTGCTTCCCCTTCCACCATGATTGTAAGTTTCCTGAGGCCTCCCCAGTCCTGCAGAACTGTGAGTCAATTAAACTTCTTTCCTTTATAAATTACCTAGTCTTGGTATTTCTTCAGAGCAGTGTGATAACAGACTAATACAAAGCTGTAAACCAAAAGTATTGGAGGTGAGGCTCATTCAGTTTAGAAAGCTTATTTTTGTCAAGGTTAAGAACATGTTCATGACATAGCCTCAGGAGGTCTTGATGACATGTGCCCAAGGTGGTCGAGGTATAGCATGGTTTCATACATTTTAGGGAGACATGAGACATCCATCAATACATATAAGAAGTACATTGGTTCAGTCTGGAAAGGATAGACAACTTGAAGCAGGGGCTTCCAGGTCACAGGTAGATTTTCTGATTGGGAATTAGTTGAAAGATTTATTAGTAATAGAAAGGAATGTCTGGGTTATGATAAGGGGTTGTGGAGACCAGTATTTTTCAGGCAGATAAAGCCACCAGGTAGTAGGCTTCAGAGAGAATACATTGCAAATGTTTCTTATCAGACTTAAAGAGTCTGTTCTATCAGTAATTCCAAAAGGGAAGAGGGTATAATGAGGCATGTCCAGCTCCCTCCTTCCCATCATGGCCTGAACTAGTTTTTCAGATTAACTTTGGAATACCCTTGGCTGAGAAGAAGGTCCATTCAGATGTTGTGGAGTTTAGAATTTTATTTTTGGTTTACATTCTCCCCCTTCTGTCCAGGATTTGCCAGAATCAATGCCACGGAACTTTTACTTTGTCTCACAGTGTTAACAGGGTGGCATGTCTGCCTGCCATAGGCCCATCCTGTGCCTCAGTGGGACTCCCAAAGGCCAAGGCACTTAGAGCCAAAAGACTTATAGCCAATGAAATTTTTTAGGCCAGATAGGAATGGATGTGGACAGGCATTCATTACCCCTCAAAAATTTTAAAGTAGTATAAAATCCAACAAACAAAAGCCAACAGCAAGGTTAGAAAATTGACTTTATCTTTAACTTCTATGCATTGAGCTACCATAATCTTGGTTTTGGTCACAGACTTATAGGAATTAGCTATAGAAAACATAATTGTTATTGGCCAGGCACGGAGGCTCATGCCTGTAATCCCAGCACTTTGGGAGGCTGAGGGGGGTTGATCACGAGGTCAAGAGATAGAGAATATCCTGGCCAACATGGTGAAACCCTGTTTCTACTAAAAATGCAAAAACTAGCTGGGCATGGTGGCATGTGCCTGTAGTCCCAGCTACTTGGGAGGCTGAGGCAGGAGACTCACTTGAACCTGGGAGGCAGAGGTTGCAGTGAGCCGAGATTGTGCCACTGCACTCTAGCCTGGCAACAGAGCAAGGCTCTGTCTCGAAAAAAAAGAAAAAGAAAAAGAAAACATAATCATTATTAAAACCTTTTACACTAAGAAATTTAGGGCTTTTGTTGTACCACAATGCTTTTTGTGGTCTTTTAGTAATTTTGTTGTAAGATGGCTGATAAAATTTAAAAATATATATATATGCATAAATTTCATAGCTAGGAGTATTATACCCAGAAGGCTTTGTCATGAGGTATCATTATATCCTCTCAGTAATAATTTTCTTTCAGTTATATGGGAAAGAGAAAAATTCTTTATGGTTGGGGTGGATGAAAAGGTGCCATGCACATAATAACACAGGAGGCAAAGCCCATTATTTTGCCAGCTGTTTAGACATCTGTGTAGCTCATCCTTGATTTGGAGGATCTGAATTAATTCCAGCCCTCAAAACTGGCCCTTACAATCTCATGGACCCACCTCTTCCAGGATAGTCCTGGGCCTTAGGTGCTTGTATACTTTTAGCAGCAGTGCATTTGCAGTGAAAAATAGATTGGGCTCAGTGGGATTCTAGATGAGGAAAATTTACAGGCTTTGCCAAATCATCTCTAGTCTTTGGAATATCATGATTCTAGTTTTCTCAGACCAAGTAAAACTATGGGAGATAAATAATATTAATAATTGGACAATTAAAAGATAATGTACGTGTCAGAACAGAAAAAGGAATCTATTCCATTAGAACTCCAACTAAAAATGTGAAGAAAATTATAACCTGGTGCTGTGCTCTTTAGATGATTATTGTAGCCAAGAAATAATTCATTTTTCAATCTGCACTCAAAAGTCAGGGCTAGAATCTAGTAATATGTGGTACAGTTTTCCTTTGAAACAATTTCCTTTTTTAGCCCTCATTTTCTACTAAAGAGAAATAATAAGACCAATTTGTGTGCAAAATAAGTTTTAGGCTTATTATACTTGGCTTGATTATTTGCATAAAGTGCAACAAGAATTGATTGGCCATATAGGCTCTTTTCAAGTTGGCTTTGCTGGAACTTTACCTGAAAATGTGTTAGTCCAGTCAAACCCTTGGTAAAATAACCAGCGTCTCCAATTGTGACTTGTTTCAAAAGAAGGGATTCTTACTAAACTTATGCAGATAACTATGTTGTCATAAAATCAAAATATTTATGAATAGCTTTTGGATTTTGGAATTTAGAGTATGATCCATCATCTAAATTCCACTGGTTACTTTTGCTTTTAGTAACTGAATACAGCCCTGCTGCAACTCCATACCATGGGTGACCACATGGCCACCCAGTAGTCAAAGGTTTCTTATTTCCTGCACTTTTATTTCTCTTTATTCATTAGTTTTATTTATATTTTTTCTTTTATTTTGAAGCAACCCTTAAATAGTCAATAAATGAGAAAAATTACATTTTCTTTAGCAAAAACTACATATTCATGTTTTTATAAACTTACCAAAAACACATTTTTTATTTCCTACTGTTCTATTAGCAACCCTAATTCCCATAGGAAAACCTAGTATTACTTAATTTAACATAGCATGACTTTAAGAAGATTTTAAACTACTGGAGAAAATTGAGATTTAATTTAACAAATTAATCTTACCAAAGATTGCTAGTCATATGAACTAAAAAGCATCTGAGCTAGATTCTATTAGTCTGAGAAGCACTTACTTTTGTTTTTCAAGCCAATTGATTAGAGCTTTTTCATATAATGGGTAGTGAAATACCACTTCCACATGACATATAAATATATAGATATAACAAACACACAGACAGAGGCAGATCCTATAAGAGTTTGCATTTGCCATTTGCCAGTTTTCAAAAATTTTCCCTTACTTTAGACTATTAATTAAAAAAAATTACACAGTAGCCAACAAAAGTGGGAGAGAGTTACCATCCCAGGCCTTCTAAAATGGAGAAAGAGCTGAAGCAGCAGGGTACAGCAGAAGTTGAACTTCTGAGGTATCAATCTGAAGAATTTTAAAAAGAAAGGGATAATAGATTTTAAAAATTAAAAGCTTCTTGCAATTTCACTGAGTAAATCAAATTATAAGAAAATATAGTTCTAACCAATTCTTTAGTTTTATATTAGTGTTCTTTTAATATCAGTCCAATTTTTAGAAAGACTATTTGTTATAATTTCCTTTAACTATGACCAACTTAATCACGTAACATTTTTATAAATTCCTTCTTTCAATGAACCTTATTATGACTTACACAGACCATTTGTGATATGCTTGGACTTTCTGTTTTGTTCTAAACATCTCTCTTAAACAACCAGTCATTTTATTTTAGGTCAAAATTTACTATGTGATTCTTTCTCATAACCTTTCTTATCAAAAATATATCTTTATATCTACAACCTTCTTTGTATCTCTTACTTCCTGTTTCCTTTTACCTTGCTTTATAAATAACCTCTGAATTAGACAAAAACATATTTTTTTAGATAGTTGTTTTCATATGATTTCTTAAACTGGAAATGACCCAGACATTGAATAAATATCTGTAATTTAATTTGATATGTTTAGATTCTAAATTATGTGACAATTTTACTTATATGCATTTATTCCATTACATTTACTTGATTAACTTATTATTATTTTTTAATAGTTTACCTACATTATTGATGAAAACTGTGATAGTCATCATTTAAAGTTTTTTCCTTGTTAACCATTTTTATAGGCTGTGAATTTTAGATGTTTACCTAAATAACCTTAAGTTAAATATATAGGTATTTTACCAGTAACTCAGGATTTAGATGTTTTTATTAAACCAACTATATTAAATATCATATTTATCAAACATTTCACAATCAAAGATCATTCTGTTTTGGGCTGGGTTTATAGTTTTATAGTCCTTATGGCAAATTTTGATAACTTATAGTATTTGGCAGGGATAAGTATGAACCACTTGATCAATAAGTAGAAATGAAAATGCTGACAGTTCTTAAGACATTTCTAATATTACTTTACCAATACTTTTAAAACCAGCTTATTTATTAAATATTTTACTTAAGTCACATGAACTTGTAAAGCATGTGGTCTTATTATTTAGTTTTATGAGTATTCTTTAACTTTAAGACAATTTGGTACTTTGTGGCCAAATCGCAAAACAAAATACATGTACATGTGTACATGTATGTACACATTAAACACACACATACATGCTCATACAAACTAAGATCCTATAGCTTTTACTTTAGAGCTCTAGGCATGGGATACTAATACAAACTCACTGGTTTACAAAAACAATAACAAAAATTAAAAGTTGCATTCAAATAGTGGGTTTTATCTCAGTAGAACAGTAACAGCGGATTTAAAGCAGGCAGAAAAGAAAATAAAGAAATAGACAACTTAGGAACTCTTTAGTTGCAGGTCAACCCCTGGGCTCTGAATTTTTCCTTGATGTAATTTGTCCATCAGTTTAAAATGTGCACAAAATGACCATAATATGCAACCAGCTGGAGTACTACAGAACCTGGCATGCCCTCAACCTTTTCCATTTTACACAAATACTTGCAAGTAGAAGCTCCATAAAACCAATGAGGTGCCCAAAAGGGGGTCCTTCTCCTTGTCTTTCCTCATTCTGAGATGGTATGTTTCCCACATTTTTTTCTTACAAGGAGAAACTGAGCTGTAGCCTAGGGTTTAGTGTAGTGGAGAGAAGTGTGCTGATTGAGTAGAACTCCACAGTGTGTCACTATTGTGTCATTTCTTCCCTCTTTCTCTCTCCGAAGGGCTAGCACCTTTAAGAGGTTCTAAGTATAGAGTGACCAGCTCTTATATGTGCTTCCTGGACAAGCCTTTTTAATTTTGGTGGAGTTTCCCTGTAGGGCCACTGCACTTTGCAGGGAGGTCAGCTCCCTGGACAATCCCACTCGGGCCCACTTGGTCACCCAGGGGCACCTTTTGGCTGGGAGGAGCAAAAGCCCCTTTCTCTTTAGAGCTGAGGAACTCAGTTTCTCATGTATCTACAAGAATGACAGTTCAGTTCCTCACACAAATGTACAGACATACCAATCGAGATTAATTTTGAGAGACAAGGCAATGGAGAAGACCCTTTAGAATGCACCACCAAACTCGACTTAGGATTTTCAACAACAATTTCTTAGGAGGGAAAAAACCCAGCTAAGACCACTTTCTATAAACTGTCCTCAGCCACCCCTAATGTTGTAGTTCTTGTCCTCCTTTACACACACCAAGGTCAAATCTTCTCACAATACGAGGTAGCCTCTGATACCCCCACAAAGCCAAAGAGGTCAGTTAATGCAATACAAGAAAGCAGGGCTGTAGACCTAAGAAGAATCTGCCCATGACTCTTGAAACTCCACAAAGAAAACTGAACATGCCCCAAAGGGGTGAGCGGCACCTTTATTCTGAGTTCTCCTTTTTTTTTTTGATATGGAGTCTCACTCATTTGCCCAGGCTAGAGTGCAGTGGTGCTATCTCGGCTCACTGCAAGCTGTGCCTCCTGGGTTCGCGCTGTTCTCCTGCCTCAGCTTCCCGTTTAGCTGGGAATACAGGTACCCGCCACCATGCCTGGCTAATTTTTTGTATTTTTAGTAGAGATGGGGTTTCACTGTGTTAGCCAGGACGGTCTCAATCTCCTGACCTTGTGATCCACCTGCCTCGGCCTCCCAAAGTGTTGGGATTACAGGCGTGAGCCACCACGCCCAGCCTATTCTGAGTTCTTTAAGGAACCTGAGTCATTAGAAGCCTTATCTAGATTTTTTTTTTCACTTGATACTGAAGATGGCCAAGAGTGAAGGAGGAATAGGGCAGAAGAAAAGTAAATGAAAGAACAATTTTTTTTCAAGAAAGGAAGTGAACAGAGAAACCAACTGGATGTTTTTATTTTTCAGTTGCAAGGAATTTTAGCCAATTCAAAGGCCTTGTTCTCCATAATTTGGAATTCCTAATCAGATTTGACCAAGTTGGGTAGAGCCAGTCAAATCCAAAGGAAGACCAGAACAACAGCAAGCAAAACAAAAAAACAAACAATGATTACTTAGTGCTCTAATGTTAAGGAGAAATTAAGAGCAGTTGGTTGTCAATTTTAACTTTTAGTTATTTAGGAGAATTTTCAAGACAAAATCCCAATTCAGCTACTTACCCAGGAATGGGGCCCAGGTTCAAGACTGCTATCTACCATCCTAGCAGCAGGGGGGAAAAAAACCCTCAAATTCACCTTCCCTATTGGAAGTGAGCTGAAACTCCAGAAAGCAGTTGCCTCCTCTCTATTGCCATGGAAGCAGGAACAAGCGCCTTCCTTGTTGGAAGTGAGTAAAACTCCAGAAAAGGAGCTGTACAGCTAAATAAACTTTAAATCTCAACCAGATTTTGGGAGATTGGGGATTCTATGGAGAAGGGAGCTCCCAGGCTCCAGAAAATTGTCCTGTTGTTTTGAGCAATAAAGATAGCTCAAGCTGGTGCCAGGCACTGACAGGAAATTTGTCAAAGGTCAGGAGCACCTCTGCTCAGAATCCCTTTGAGGTTGCCAATTTGTAAACCAAAAGTATCTGAGACAGGTCTCAATCAGTTTAGAAAGTTTATTTTGCCAAGATTAAGGATGAGCTTGTGACACAGCCTCAGGAGGTCGTGATGACATGTGCCCAAGGTGATGAGGGTAGAGCTTGGTTTTATACATTTTAGAGAGACATGAGACATCCATAAACATATGTAAGATGTATATTGGTTTGGTCCAGAAGGGCTGGACAACTCAAAGCAGGGGCTTCCAGATCACAGGTAGATTGAAGGATTTTCTGATTGGCAATTTGTTGAAAGAATTATTATGAATAACAAGGTCTGGGGCCTGTAAATCCCAGCTACTCAAGAGGCTGAGGCAGAAGAATCCTTGCACCCAGGAGCAGAGGTGGCAGTGAGCCAAGATCGCACCACTGCACTCCGGCCTGGGCAACAGAGCAAGACACTGTCTCAAAAGAAAAATAAAGAAAGGAATGCATGGGTTGTGATAAGGGATTGTGGAGACCAAGAATTTATCATGTAGATAAAGCCTCCAGATAGTAGGCTTCAGAGAGTAAATGTTTCTTATGACTTAAAGAGTCTCTTCTCAGTCATTCCAAAAGGAAGGAGGTTATAATGAGGCATGTCTAGCTGCTCCCCTTCCCATCATGGCCTGAACTAGTTTTTCAGATTAACTCTGGGATGCCTTTGCCAGGAGGAGAGGTCTATTCAGATGGTTGGGCAGCTTAAAATTTTATTTTTGGTTTGCAAAGCCATCCATTGAATTCTTAATATTATTTTATTTTCAGTTTTATAATTTAAATTTTTAAAATAGTTTTATGTTTCTGCCAAATTCACCTCCTTATCTTTAATTTCCTGAACATGTTAATCATAAAGATTTTCAAGTCATATCTGAAATTCCAGTACCTTTATTCCTGTGTGTCTGTTTTTTTGTATATTTTCTTTCTCTTGTTTTTCATACAAATGTTATTTTCTTACATGCATAGTAATTTTTGCCCAATATTTTTTCATGAAAAATTTATAGAAATAATTTGAGAATCTTAGAAGGATTCTCTTTCTCCAGAAATGATCTACATCCACTTCTGGCAGGCAGCTGGGTTGGAGGTGGATCACCTTAATTCAATGAGGTGTGGAAATGACTCAAACTTGAGGTTTCCTGCTTGTGAGGGTCAGTTTGTTTCCAATTCATCTCTACCCTAGTCAGAGACAGTTCTTTGGATCCCAAATAAATACCTGTAATGTTTATCAAGACCCCTCCTTTTGCATGCAGAATTTAGAATAGAAGCTCTATGAGGGCAGGAATCTTTGCAATTTTATTCGTTGCTCAAAATTCTGGTCAGGACCTGGAAGATATAGGCATCCAATAAATATTTCTTGAATTAATAAATTGATAAACGAACAAGATATAAATTACAGTAACCAGGGGATATCAATTCCTATAACAAACTGATGAAATTAAAAATCTGACAATACCTAATTTTTAGCAAGTAGGTATAAAACTGAGACCATTCCTACAAGAATGTACACAGGTAGTTTTAGAGCTTGATTTGGCAAAACGTGGCAATTGAAGATGCACATACACTTGAATCTAGCAAATCCATTCTTAGATATATAGTTTAGAAACATTTACATTCTGTTCAATGTAAAATTCTTTCTGTCTGTTCTTATATTTGAAATATTTCTTTATTTTTTAAGACAGCATGGTTGGGACATAGTAAGTATATAAATGAGTGAACAATGAAGCTTGACAGGAGAGCAGGGGTTACCCCCCTCTTAAGGTCTTACAGGTCATTCTAAGTTTTAGTGATTTCCCCTCTGAAAAGGAAATGCCATTGAGGTGTTCTGAGCAGGATAGTGGCATATTTGCTTTCATTTTAGATCAACAGTGTGGATGCTGTGTGGAAAAGGGTTTGGGGGATTGTAGAAGTGGAAATAGGGAAGACAGTTGGGAGAGTTTGCAATGGATTTGGTAGGAAGGGAGGGTGGGTTGGGTGAAAAGACTCAACATAGTGCCTAACATGCAGTGAGTGATCAATACCATGAATATTACTCTTATTGCTCAGACAATCCAGGGATATACAGTCATTTGTCCTTTACTGAGAATGGAACCCCAACCCTCAATATTTTATTCACATACAATGACCATGCTGTTTTCTTGAAGTTATGTCTTATCTCTTCTAGATTTAAAATCAAAGTTCTCATCATCTGCTTTCTCACTTTGTACATTGATACCATTTCTCTACATTTTCACAACAGCCTTTCTGTATACCTGGCCCTATCTTTATAATTTCCTTCAATCTTATAGCTCCTCTGCATTGTCTTAGCTGCTCTCGCCTTCTCTAGTGCCCTTCTTCCTCACCTTTTCTAACCTGTGTACATCAGGACCTTTAAGATCTGATTCTCTTCTCCATGCTGTGACCAGCTTCTTTGCTCAGAGATTATTTTCTTTGCTTTCTTACACGTTGAAAATCATCACTCCAAATATGTTTATTTCCAGCTCCATCCCTTGGGCCCTGCCTGAGCCTCTCTCAGGTCCTCATGGCTGAATCCACCAAACCCCCTCACCTGTAACCTCTCTCTTGCCCCAGCGTCTGTCCTAGTCCCAGGCAGAACTGGGTCAAAGAAAATAATTATATTAGTGCTACTGCCCCTTATCTTCTGCTGTTGGGCAGGGGTGCTTCATACTCATCTTCTGCCACCTTCAACTCAGATTAGGTGGCAAATCCCATACTCTGACCACTGTGACAGCACAGTCCTACCCTGACATTCTGCTCAAAACTTTCCTTGCTGTGGCCCTGAGTGGGGGCTGAATGTCCCAATGCTGATTCCTGATTCCTGCAGTCCCACTGTGATTGTAGGGTTAGAGCTGTCCCCAGCTCCCACAGGACCTCAGATTGGACAACTCCATCATGGCCCTGCAGCTTTTAATCCCTTTTCTGTGAGCTAGTTTGCAGCGTCTGATAATTAGAGGATCCCTTTTGTATTGCTGATGAATATCTGGTTGATTCCCACTCATTTCCCAAGAGTGCTTACAGCCATACTTTGTTCTTTTCAGGCCTCACCCCTGGAGACTAGGTCTTTTCCATAAACTTTACCTCCAAATGCTAAAGACCTGCTGACTCCTACAGACCTTAACTAAGACTGCAAGACCTGCAGAGCTCTTGATAGATTCATGATTCTTGTACTCGGTGAGAGGATGGGCTTCTCCAATGGGGATGCCTTAGTGCTGATCATCTGTTTAAATCTGGGTTGGAGATTGGAGTGTTTGCATGGATAGGAAGCCTGGCATCTTCAATTAGATTTGCTAAGCCATTGCTACTACTTACAGCCTGGATGCCTGCAACTCCTGCCCCATGGATGTTCTATTTCCAGCCCTCAACACTACCTCTGTTTTGCTGCCCTGTCTTGTGTTAATAACATCTAGGCATCCCTGATGCATTTGAAGATAAGTCACCAGTATCTTTATTTTTTTTTCAGTGTTTTTGTTTGGTCCCTTTGAATGATTCACTTCTAAATGTCTTTCATTTCTAATTCACTTTTCCCATCTCCCCTCAATATACTTTTCAAATATCAACTTTATGGAGATATAATTCACATATCATAAAATTTGCCATTTTACAATGTATACTTTTTCTTCTCCTATTATTAACAAAGGTGTACAATAATTATAGAATGACCTTAATTAAATGATTGTTGGATAAGTGAGGTAACCTCAGATTCACACACTAAACTTAGCTTGTGAGTCATTGAGTGTTTCTTTAAGAGTTGATGTCTCATCAACACATGGGGATAATAATCTTTCCTTCTTAGAGGGGTTATAAGAATTAAATTATGAACAGAGAGGTGCACCTACTTGTTAAGCACATATCTTTTTATAGTGAATTTATTCATTCTGAATGAGGGAGTAAAAGACAATATTCTATTGATAAAAACACATTTGACATTTTTAATCTAATGTAATGTGGAATTAGACAAATTACTCATATGGGTCAAAATGTATTTTTCAGCTGCTTGTTTCCATTTTGAGTGGTGCTAATTGTTATTATTACAATTGTAATAGTACTGGCAAGTGTGGAAAATGCTGCCCAGGTGTTAACACCCATTTAGGAGGCTGCAGTAACATTTTGCAACAACAGATGGTGCTATTCATTTCCTTACCTCTTCCCCATTAAAAATAACTGACTTAGGTAAAAGTCAAATTGTAATTTTTTTTTGTAAGAAGTTTTTTTTTTTTTAAAATTTGAGTAATGAGGGGGCATGTTTGTGGTGCTAAAATAAGAACTACCATTTAGAAGAATTTTTAAAATTTCAACTTTTATTTTAGATACAGGGGATACACGAGCAGGTTTGTTACACAGGAATATGGCACGATGCTGAGGTTTGGTGTATGGATCCTGTCACCCAGATAGTGGGCATAGTACCTGATAAATACTTTTTAAACCCACAGCCCCTCCCTCTACCATATAGTAGTCCATTGTTTCCATATTTATGTTCGTGTGTGCTTAATGTTAGCCCCCACTTGTAAGTGAGAAAATGCAGCATTTGGTTTTCTGTTCCTGCATTAATTTTGCTTAAGATGATGGTCTCTAGCTCCATCCATGTTGCAGCAATGGACATGATTTCATTCTTTTTATGGCAGCATAATACTCCATGGTGTATATGTACCACATTTTCTTTATCCAGTCTATCATTGATGGACACCTGGGTTGATTCCATATCTTTGCTATTGTGAATCATGCAGTGGTGAACATATGAGTGCATGTGTAGAATAATAATTTGATTTATTTTGGGTATCTCTCTACAAAACAGAACCCGGGGCAATAAGTTAAAGTTACTGAGAAGACTTTGACTCAACATAGAGAAGAATGATCTAGTAGTGTAGGTCAACTCAAGAGAAAATGTTGTACTCTAGAAAATGAATGAGCTCCTGGTCATTGTAAGTTGACATAGAGTCTGGAAGATAGAGTTCACTTTTGTTCATTGGAGTTTGATCATATTTCTAGGTCCTTGTATCTAAAATATAATTGCATACATTTTTTAAAAGCAGACTATTATCCATAATATAATACAACTACTTTGAGAGGCTGAGGCAGGCAGATCGCTTGAGCTCAGGAGTTTGAGACCAGCCTGGGCAACATGGCAAAACGCTGTCTTTACAAAAAATACAAAAAACTAGCTGAGCATGGTGGTATGTGCCTGTAGTCCCAGCTACTCAGGAGGCTGAGGTGGGAGGACTGCTTGAATCCAGGAGGTTGAGGCTGCAGTGAGTGTGATCATGCCAACTGTACTTCAGCCTGAGTGATAGAGTAAGACCCTGCCTTAAAAAAGAATACAACTACTGTTACTTAAAAGAACTTTTACATTTGTAATCAAAAGTCAATTATTATATGTATTACCAACTGCATTAAGACTAGAATGTAAGCTCCAATAACACAAGTACTTAATCTGTTTTATTTATTGCTTTGTAGATCATTATTTCTCAGAAAAACCTGACTTGTATTACATTTTCAATAAACATTTTCTGAATGAATGAAGAAAAGACACTATCATTAAAAATGCATTTGGCATTTTTAATCAATCATTCAAAACATTTTTCAGCTGCTTGTTTCCATTTTGAGTAGTATTAATTATTATTATTACAAGATACTATCTAATTTATTTTTCATTAATTTTAATCTGTTGAAAGGACATTCTGTCACTGGTATTAGAAGTTGAGTAAAATAAAGAACCACTCTTATTCTTTATGATAATTACATAAGAGAATGTATAAAATTTTCTTTTTTTTAACTTCTACATTTAGTGATTTTATGCAAAGCACTCACTGAATTAATACCCATCTGAGAAGGTTTTTGAAATTTTTTTGCACCTCTGTGTATTTTTATGACTTTTCATACATTAAATTAATTGAATAATACTGGAAATATAGTTATCACTAATTGCACTATATTTTAAAACCTCTTGTCTGGCTTGTTAGTTACTATGCCAATCAAACAGTTAAAAAGGGAACTAAGATAATCTCTTTGCCTGAATATTGTCAAAAATCAGAGAACTGGAGCTGTCACATTGGTCTCAGCCAATGAATGAACTAAGTTGCTTTAATTATCATCAGACCATAATGAAATTTCAGCCAAGGGGTTTGTGTGTGTGTGTGTTAGTCAAAATAGAAAACAAATTGACATAGCATTAATAGATGAACCTAAAAGAGACCACCAAGTTTCTTTGGCTAAAGAATGGCCAAATATCAAAGCACTTTCACTACTTTACTAATAAGTGTTTCCAAATTCTTTTGGCAAAAAAAAAAAAAAAAAAAAAAAAGAAAGAAAAACCAGAGTGGAAGTATGTGACTGTGAAGGCGGTGGGATATGCAACTGCAAGTGGCATCATTTTCACAATCTAAGGTGCAAAAAAATCTAAGGTGCACTTTTGCCTCTGGTATTGGGAAAAGTGACAATCCTGGATTTACCCATACATTCTTTGCACATCATATTAATCTGGGTATTCTATTCTGAATAATATACTAATACCTGCATAAGAAATATTCTTTGACAATGTAGAGATCAGATGAATTTCGCAGTAACATATTTTCTTTGGTACTTCGTAATTGAGTTTTGCGACTGTGTAATCAATTAGGCATTTTGAAAGTGGAATGTGCCAGTTATTGTACAAGCATCAGAAATAATTTATTCATCTGTAGGCTATCAAAATAAGGTGTAAATACAAAAGAATGCTTGCAAAATTTTATCTATGCTGTGGTTATTGTGCCCCAGGGCCAAATTAAGATAGTATCTCCTCCCTGCTGTAATATGTTAGTGTACTACTAAAGATGTAATTCAGCTGTTATAAAAGTCTACAGTGCTGCAGTAATTCTTCTTTATGAAGGTTTTAGAGGTTCAAGCTTTTTTCACTTTGCTACTCTGTGATTCATAGGATGTTGCCTTGATCTCTTTAGTTGACTTACACTATTAGATTATTCTTCTCTATGTTGAGTCAAAGTCAACCCATAAAGAGTAAGTAAGCTGATTATCATACAATGCATTAACCATCCTCTTTCAGGAGTGACACATCATAAAGGATGGCGTCCTTCCTTCCCAGCCCTCTCCTGCTCTGATTATAGCCTCTGTCCTCTGTTTGGCTGAGCTCAAATTTCTTCATCTTTCTTAATCCTGTCACACTCATAACAGTGCCTTATTATTTTTTATAGATGAACAATCTGATTTATTATACACAGAGACATATCACTTCTTTATTCCCTATAATAGAGCATGAAGGCCTTGAGGCGAGATAGAGACCACACAACGCATGGTGATCAATTGCAAAATACTTGATCTTTCTTAACTTTGTCTTGAGCTTGGACTCTGGTATTCTGTCAGAGCATTGAGTTACTACTAATACAGAACGTGTCTTTGCATGGGGGGTTTTAAATGGTGGTTTTAGTTGCAGGCACTCCAGGATTAGCAGGAGAAAATTGGATGATAGAACTTTCTGAACAGTTATTGTGGAAAGTCTCCACACCACTTTTGGTCTCAGTAATTTTATTTCTAAAATAACTGGCAAGGTTGCTTTTGGTAAGCAATTTGTTTTCTTTTAGCTCTGATCATCTATGACCCCTTGTTTCTATACCTAATAGAAGCTCTGTTGTGGTATATCTTCATAGGATGCACCTATGCTTGAAATATGGGGATATTTAATAAATATGCATCATAATATGATGATAACAGATGATGGGTGATATTGCCTCATAATATTAATAAAGTATATGAAATAATAAAAGCTAGTGACCTGACTGGATTTAATTACTTTGAGAGATAATTTTATTTAAAGACTATATTTATTCCTAAAATAAAATGAAAATTTTGATTTATTCAGTACAAGTCTTGTTTTAAATATTGATC
This sequence comes from Homo sapiens, assembly GCF_000001405.40. Taxonomy (NCBI): domain Eukaryota; kingdom Metazoa; phylum Chordata; class Mammalia; order Primates; family Hominidae; genus Homo; species Homo sapiens. The sequence continues at coordinate 54,562,946 of NC_000018.10, forward strand.
TTCTACTAATAATTTTATTACATGTCACAAGACAGTTCAAAATTTTTAGAATAATTTTGCTTTAAAAATTCAACACGGCAGCTTCTTTTTCTTCCCATTTGTTCCATTGTTTTGTCCCTGTAGACAGTCCAGAGTCCAAACAACCATGAAGCTCATAGTTCAGCATGTCAGTTTCTACTGATGTCACCAGTGGGGCTTGCACCAATATCAATGCTGTCTGCATCAGTCCAGGAACCCCTGAACCCTCAGAACTCCCAGACAGACTATTCCAGCAGGGCCAGATAATGTTTATGATAATATTGCTTGTTTCTCCAGTGATACTTCCGTGGCAGTACTCCTGGCTCAGTATTTATTGAATGGGTATATGTATATAATAATATAGGTATTATATATTAGGAATTATATATATATATAGAGAGAGAGAGAGAGTGTGTATATTTCTATAAAATGATGTGTGTGTATGTATATATACATATGTATACACATATATGTGTGTATGTATATATACATATGTATACACATATATGTGTGTATGTATATATACATATGTATACACATATATATGTGTGTATGCATATATGTGTACATGTGTATAATATTATCTAATATCCAATATATATATACACACACATATATATCCCATATATATATGGAATGGGCAGGTAAACTAAGCTCAAGTAGCAAGATAGAGGTATCATTGTGCTCCAAGACTCTAAAGGCCTTGCTCTGTAGGAACCTGCCTCTTGCTGCAATCCCAATCCAGCCTCTGAGTCAGCCTGACTGTCCTTTCTTTACCCCTCTGGGCTCTGACTTCTTTTTTTTAAAAAACTTTTTATTATGGGAAATTTAAGACATGCAGAAAAGTAGAAGAAATAGTATAAAATAACCTCATATTTATATCATTCAGCTTCAACAAGTATCAACATTTTCCCAAATGTGTTTCATTTATCCTTTCATTCACTTTAGGTCCTTTGACTCGCAGGTAACTCAGCATACTTCTCTATCTGGTAAGGACATTTTAAAAAACATCACCACTTTTCTGTTACCATACTTATAAAAATTAACAGTAACTCCTTAATATTACCTAATTGCCAATCTATATTCGAATTGTCCCTATTATCCCCAAAATTATAATTTTTGGTTTTAATGAGGATCTAAATAAAGTCTACACATTTCTTTGATTGTTATATATCTGCATCTCTTTTAGTCTAAAATAGTTTTTCCTATCCCCCTCCCCCTCCGTTTTTTTTAGATGGCATTGATTTGTTGAAGAAACTAGGTCATTTCCATGTAGAATGTCCCACATTCAGGATTGGGTTGGTTGTTTCTTCCTGATACTTTTTGACTTGTTACTTTATCCTCTCTATTTCCTGCAAGCCACAGGCAAGAAAAATATATAGGTGATGCATTCTACATTTTACTGCACACAAAGTCTGTTTTTTCCACTTACTGTGATGCTAAGTCTGTAGATTCATGTGGTATCAGGCTGATAGCACTATCATAAAGTTCCTTAACTCTTCCACATAATAGCTTTAGTATCTATTGATAATCTTTACCTAGATTCACTTTTGTTTTCCCATTAGGGGTTGGAAACTGGTGATTTTCTGATTATATATTTCCCTCTACAATTATTAGATAGAGATCTTTGACAAAGATGAACCAGCTGTTTTATTACCTTGAAACGCAATCCTTAAAGAAAGGACTGTAGAAATATTTCAATATTTCATTTTATTTATTAATTTTCAAGGAAATGAGCTTGCTGGTGCCATAGCAACCTCCAGTGGTGAACCGTGAGGTTTGATTTTTAAGAGTCAATGTTATCATTCCTTTTTTCATGGTTTAATTTTTCCTTCTGGCCACTTAGGAGCCCCTTCAAGTTGACTCTTTTGTCTTATTGGCAAAATCCCATTAATCTTTGACAGATCTCTTGCTGAAGGAAGGAATGTCCTAGGAATATCATCTTGTACTTTACACACCTCAGACTTATAATTAGCTACCTCTCCAAGGACTACAAACTTTCCTTTGCCCTCCTGATTCTAATCTTAGCATCTTTCTTTTTGTTTTTGTTTTGCTTGGTTTTTGGAGACAAAGTCTCGCTCCGTCCCCATGCTGGAGTGCAGTGGTGTGATCTCAGCTCATTCTGCCTCCTGGGTTCAAGCAATTCTCATGCCTCAGCCTCCTGAGTAGCTGGGACTACAGGTGCTTGCCACCATGCCCGGCTAATTTTTGTGTTTTTAGTCGAGACGGGGTTTTGTCTTGTTGGTCAGGCTGGTCTTGAACTCTTGACCTCAAGTGAGCCACCCATCTCGGCCTCCCAAAGTACTGGAATTACAGGTGTGATAATCTTAGTGTTTTTAACCTTGACTTAGAAACTTTACTTTGTTTCCCTGTGTTTTTCACTTTGGTTTGTTGCCCAGACTCAGATCTCCCACATTTCTGAACTCCTGCCATGTTGCTATATTTACTTCACCTCACAGCATGACCCTAAGCCCTGAACCCGGCAGAAAATTGCCATTGCTTTGTGGGTGAGATGTTTGGCAGCTCGGTTGGGTTATCCTGGCTTTGAATCCACCCCTCCTCTTTTTCCTGCTATTATGGAGCATCTTCTGGAGGGTCTCGGTCCTGGTCCTTGATACAACTTTAGCAGAGCTGAGGCAATGTGGATGTTGGAGTGAGCTTAAAGAGAAGTAAGAGGATGTGTCTCCTTGTCTGCAAAAGTGAAATAAAACATTTTGATTTTCAAGCTGAAAGTTATCTTAGCTACCATTTAATCCAACCTCTTCATTTAATAACTGGAAATACACCTTCAGGAAAGTTGAATATTTTGCTAGAATTTATACAACTAGTTAGTGGCTGAGATGAACTAGTATCAGGCAAACTTAGAAACTTCTACTAAATATCATAGTTTTGAGACTTAAGAATGCTTGATTTTTTAAAAAGCCTATTCTTTTCCAATTATCATGCTGTCTATCCACTTAATAATAGCAAAAAAGATTTGTTGCCATGTCATGATAATCATCAGTACCAACATAATCATAAGCGTTTTATAGCATGTGCTAAATCCCGGAGAGTGAGATAAGAACTTTACACATTTATCTCATTTAAGCTGCACAACAACCCCATGTGCCAGGTTATATTATTATCCTTATTTTACAGATGAAGACTGTGAAGAGCAGAATTGAAGTAACTTGCTCAAGGCAACATTGTAAGTGGCAGAGCCAGGTTGGAAGCCAAGTTGTTTGTGGCTCCAGACTCTATGCCGTCCAACCACCATGTATTCAGCCTCTCACTTGAACAGCTCTTTATAGTTCACAAAGCTATTTCACCCACATGAATCTTTGTGCCCATATTATATGTCTACTAGCACTCCTGTTACTAATTTTACAGATGAGGACATAGGCTCAAAGAGGATAAGCAATTTTCCAAGGGAAAATAGCTAGTAGCTTGTAGAAGCTAGACTCTCCTAAGATCTGTCTGAAAATTGTCATGCTGACAACTCCTAATATGAGCTGAAGATTTAGCAGATGAATATGTTTTGTCCAATAATTTAAAAGTAAGCCACTGGAAGATTCCTAGGGAGTCTACTTAATGGAAGAATTTTGGGTTTTAATAGGCTCAGAAAGGAGAAAATTTTTATCAGGAGAATTTAGGCAATTCCTTATTGCCAATATAAAGTCAACAACCTACCTGTGTACTGATCTTTGAGGATTTTGGTTTTTTAGCAAGATTTTCTTTGTAAGATTCAGACATAAGTATAAGAAAGGATTAGAGTTGTATGCAAGTTTCTTTACTCCAGTGGTAGGAAAAGTTTAAGACATTGCTCAGGATGAAATGTAGAAATTTAACTTAGTATTTATTATGAAAAAAAAATAATAGTGACATTTACACACTTTTGGTGAGGCAAATTACAAGTAAGTGGCAAATTATAAATAACAAGCACTAATTAAAATTATAAAGAAGCAACAATGACCTTCATTTTTCTTGAAATGTTTGATTTCATTTTTACTATTTTTATTTAAATCATTTTTAGGTGACACAAAATATATCTAGTGACTACTCTTTGTGGAAAATCTTTCTTATTTGTCTCTTATCCTGTGTAATAACAGCAGCAATTGGAGTGTTCATTGTGTGCCTGGTCAATAAATATGAGGACAACACTGCCTCCATTATTATCCATGTACCCCTAGATGATGTGGAACCTAGAATAATCATTCCTGAAACAACCACACTGCCTATCTCTTAATCTACAGTGACCACCACAACAGAACTAACTACGTCAATTGTACACACAACTACCACAACAGATAATTCTAAAATTTCAACTGAACTTATGACCATAAGGTCCTCTACCATCATGTCACCTGAACCTGCAGCCAACACAATTTCAACCGAACCTACAAACATAACCCCAGTAACCTTCACTTCAACGGAAGCTATTACCATAATGGAAACAATCATCAGCATTTCAATGAAATCTTCTACTATAATGGATAGTACCACCACTCCAACAGAATCTATCACTTCAACTGAGCATAATAGCACCACAACAGTTATGGTCATGTCAATAGAAGTTATACCTAATGTTACTCCAACAGACCTTACAACAATAACCACTTCAATGGAACATACAACTCCTGAAGCTACAACCATCAACACACACAAAAAAAAAACAAACACACAAAACACCTGCAACAACACAAGGACTTCCTCACAGCAAAGAAACTTTTATTACTACTTTTAATTATCCCATTGTTTCATCCCCCACTATCTTTTCTACTCCTGAGTTTATATCTATGCCTAGCTGATTCTTTAACCAACAGGAATATTTCACTGGAAGTTTATCACCTTTTGAAGGGCAAAAGGACAACCATTTGGTCCCTCATCAATCTTCCATCACTATAATGAGATAAAACCCACATTGTCTTCTGCATTCATTAGACCATTTCACTAGAACTGAAATTTTAATTTAAAATGTTTGTCAGTTTTCTTAAAGTTTCTGATTATGTAACTTGCCTAGACAATGAGCCTAGTTTGCTATCTAAAAAGCCTTATCTAAGAAAAGTATGATAAAATCTCATAATAAAATCACTTTGATATCTGTTGGTAATATTAATGCATTTATAGGGTGAACTTTCAATATAGGAGTGTGTTAAATAAATATAAATAGAATATTTCTAATTATTGTATGTTTTCCTATGTATGCAACACAAAAAGGTAGTTATTTTCTCCTAAGGTTGGCTTTTTGCATATTATATTGACTGCTACTGCTAATGCCACTAACATTATTGTGTAAAGAGCTTTTTCTATTTTTAAATGGAAGCATTAAATACTGAAGAAGTAAAGAAAGAAAATAACAGTGCAGGATAAGTAATATGATTATTAATATGGACTTTTATTGTTTAGAATTTCTGCCAACTGATGAGGTTAGAATGAATACTTACAGTGGCCAGGCTTCTCTAGAAGCCTATGGAACCAATGAGGTGGACCAGGAATATATTTTATAAATCCGTAGATATTAAAGAGTTGTTAACAAAATTAGTTATTGAGACATACTGTAAAAAATGTTAGCCTATAAAGAATGGACTCCTATTAAACATGATTTCATTCTGGCAGGGGTTAAGGGGGAATATTTTCCTTACCATGTAGTAAAAAAGTATGTATGATTAAGGAAAAATTTTTAAACAAATATTTTAATATCAGCCATGCTAATTTAAAATATTTAAAAAAATTCTTCCATGCCACTTCAACAGGATATTGTTTTCAATATTTTAGTTTATTTCCCATAATTATACATAGTTAAAGGTGACACAATCCATTTGGATACTTTAATCTAGATTGTAATCATGCAAATTACAATTCTCTTCGAGTCATTTAATTAAACAACACACACATACACAAGCTTACTTTAAAAAATGATAGTAAGATTTTTCTCAGCTTGACATGTAATAGGTGCTTAATAAATATCCATTACATGAATGTCTACCTGCCCACATATATAAATAGATAAATGTTAATTGACTTGTATATTAGTTTTCTATTACTGCTGAAACACATTATGAAAAACATAGGGGCTTAACTCAACACAAATTTATTATTTTTAAAATAAAACAGAGATAATAAAAGTTATTTTCTCTGGAGGACAGTCCATTTCCTTGCCTTATCCTGCTTCTAGGGCATGCCAAATGCCTCCCGGGTGGGAACTTCCCACATATAATTTGTAACTACATGTGTGCATCTTCTATTTATTTAATACCTGGGTAGTATTCCATTGTATAAGTATGCCATTTTGAGAACCATTCACTCTTTTAGAGGCTTTAGACTATGTCATTTTACTTCTGCTTCTTCCAGTAGAATTCCCTAAACTAAAGGCAGGGAAAAAAATTGAGTAGTTTTTAAAAGATCCTATGTTTTTCTTTTAAATTCAGAATCAACATACAAGGTATAATATAATGTCCCAGCAATGCAGGGATGTCACTTGTGTGTTTATTATTGAAAATTTACAGATTAGCATGATGCATGGAAAGTAAATAATTTTTAATGAATCAATTATTTTTAAAAGTTATTTCTTTATATATATTTATTATTATACTTTAAGTTCTAGGGTACATGTGCACAACGTGCAGGTTTGTTACATATGTATACATGTGCCATGTTGGTGTGCTGCACCCATTAACTCATCATTTACATTAGGTATATCTCCTAATGCTATCACTCCCCACTCCCCACACCCCACAACAGACCCCAGTGTGTGATGTTCCCCTTCCTGTGTCCAAGTGTTCTCATTGTTCAATTCCCACCTATGAGTGAGAACATGCCGTGTTTGGTTTTCTGTCCTTGCGATAGTTTGCTGAGAAAGATGGTTTCCAGCTTCATCCATGTCCCTACAAAGGACAAGAAATCATCATTTTTTATGGCTGCATAGTATTCCATGGTGTATATGTGCCACATTTTCTTAATGCAGTCTATCATTGTTGGACATTTGGGTTGGTTCCAAGTCTTTGCTCTTGTGAGTAGTGCTGCAATAAACATAGGCGTGCATGTGACTTTATAGCAGCATGATTTATATTCCTTTGGGTATATACCCAGTAATGGGATGGCTGGGTCAAATGGTATTTCTAGTTCTAGATCCCTGAGGAATCGCCACACTGACTTCCACAATGGTTGAACTAGTTTACAGTCCCACCAACAGTGTAAAAGTGTTCCTATTTCTCCACATCCTCTCCAGCACCTGTTGTTTCCTGACTTTTTAAGGATCGCCATTCTAAATGGTTTGAGATAATATCTCATTGCGGTTTTAATTTGCATTTCTCTGATGGCCAGTGATGATGAGCATTTTTTCATGTGTCTGTTGGCTGCATAAATGTCTTCTTTTGAGAAGTGTCTGTTCATATCCTTCGCCCACTTGTTGATGGGGTTGTTTTTTTCTTGTAAATTTGACTTCTTTGTAGATTCTGGATATTAGCCCTTTGTCAGATGAGTAGATTGCAAAAATTTTCTCCCATGTTGTAGGTTGCCTGTTCACTCTGATGGTAGTTTCTTTTGCTGTGCAGAAGCTCTTTAGTTTAATTCGATCCCATTTGTCAATTTTGGCTTTTGTTGCCGTTGCTTTTGGTGTTTTAGACATGAAGTCCTTGCCCATGCCTATGTCCTGAATGATATTGCCTAGGTTTTCTTCTAGGGTTTTTATGGTTTTAGGTCTAACATTTAAGTCTTTAATCCATCTTGAATTAATTTTTGTATAAGGTGTAAGGAAGGGATCCAGTTTCAGCTTTCTACATATGGCTAGTCAGTTTTCCCAGCACCATTTATTAAATAGGGAATCCTTTCCCCATTGCTTGTTTTTGTCAGGTTTGTCAAAGATCAGATGGTTGTAGATAGGTGGTATTATTTCTGAGGGCTCTGTTCTGTTCCATTGGTCTATATCTCTGTTTTGGTACCAGTACCATGCTGTTTTGGTTACTGTAGCCTTGTAGTATAGTTTGGAGTCAGGTAGCGTGATGCCTCCAGCTTTGTTCTTTTGGCTTAGGATTGACTTGGCAATGTGGGCTCTTTTTTGGTTCCATATGAACTTTAAAGTAGTTTTTTTCCAATTCTGTGAATAAAGTCATTGGTAGCTTGATGGGGATGGCATTGAATCTATAACTTACCTTGGGCAGTATGACCATTTTCATGATATTGATTCTTCCTATCCATGAGCATGGAATGTTCTTCCATTTGTTTGTGTCCTGCTTTATTTCATTGAGCAGTGGTTTGTAGTTCTCCTTGAAGAGGTCCTTCACATCCCTTGTAAGTTGGATTCCTAGGTATTTTATTCTCTTTGAAGCAATTGTGAATGGGAGTTCACTCATGATTTGGCTCTCTGTTTGTCTGTTATTGGTGTATAAGAATGCTTGTGATTTTTGTACATTGATTTTGTATCCTGAGACTTTGCTAAAGTTGCTTATCAGCTTAAGGAGATTTTGGGCTGAGACGATGGGGTTTTCTAGATATACAATCATGTCATCTGCAAACAGGGACAATTTGACTTTCTCTTTTCCTAATTGAATACCCTTTATTTCTTTCTCCTGCCTGATTGCCCTGGCCAGAACTTCCAACACTATGTTGAATAGGAGTGATGAGAGAGGGCATCCCTGTCTTGTGCCCGTTTTCAAAGGGAATGCTTCCAGTTTTTGCCCATTCAGTATGATATTGGCTGGGTGTTTGTCATAAATAGCTGTTATTATTTTGAGATACATCCCATCAATACCTAATTTATTGAGAGTTTTTAACATGAAGGGTTGTTGAATTTTGTCAAAGGCCTTTTCTGCATCTATTGAGATAATCATGTGGTTTTTGTCTTTGGTTCTGTTTATATGTTGGATTACATTTATTGATTTGCATATGTTGAACCAGCCTTGCATCCCAGGGATGAAGCCCACTTGATCACGGTGGATAAGCTCTTTGATGTGCTGCTGGATTTTGTTTGCCAGTATTTTACTGAGGATTTTTGCATCGATGTTCATCAAGGATATTGGTCTAAAATTCTCTTTTTTTGTTGTGTCTCTGCCAGGCTTTGGTATCAGGATGATGCTGGCCTCGTAAAATGAGTTAGCGAGGACTCCCTCTTTTTCTATTGATTGGAATAGTTTCAGAGGGAATGGTATCAGCTCCTTCGTGTACCTCTGGTAGAATTCGGCTGTGAAGCCATCTGGTCCTGGACTTTTTCTGGTTGGTAAGCTAATAATTATTGTCTCAATTTCATAGCCTGTTATTGGTCTATTCAGAGATTTGACTTCTTTCTGGTTTAGTCTTGGGAGGGTGTATGTGTCGAGGAATTTATCCATTTCTTCTAGATTTTCAAGTTTGTTTGTGTAGAGGTGTTTATAATATTCTCTGATGGTAGTTTGTATTTCTGTGGGATAGGTGGTGAGATCCCCTTTATCATTTTTTATTGCGTCTATTTGATTCTTCTCTCTTTTCTTCTTTATTAGTCTTGCTAGCAGTCTATCAATTTTGTTGATCTTTTCAAAAAACCAGCTCCTGGATTCATTGATTTTTTGAAGGGTTTTTTGTGTCTCTATTTCCTTCAGTTCTGCTCTAATCTTAGATATTTCTTGTCTTCTGCTAGCTTTTGAATGTGTTTGCTCTTGTTTCTCTAGTTCTTTTAATTGTGATGTTAGGGTGTCAATTTTAGATCTTTCCTGCTTTCTCTTGTGGGCATTTAGTGCTATAAATTTCCCTCTACCCACTGCTTTGAATGCGTCCCAGAGATTCTGGTATGTTGTGTCTTTGTTCTCGTTGGTTTCAAAGAACATCTTTATTTCTGCCTTCATTTCGTTATGTACCCAGTAGTCATTCAGGAGCAGGTTGTTCAGTTTCCATGTAGTTGAGCGGTTTTGAGTGAGTTTCTTAATCCTGAGTTCTAGTGTGATTGCATTGTGGTCTGAGAGACAGTTTGTTATAATTTCTGTTCTTTTACATTTGCTGAGGAGAGCTTTACTTCCAAGTATGTGGTCAATTTTCGAATAGGTATGGTGTGGTGCTGAGAAGAATGTATATTCTGTTGTTTTGGGGTGGAGAGTTCTGCAGATGTCTATTAGGTCTCCTTGGTGCAGAGCTGAATTCAATTCCTGTATATCCTTTTTAACTTTCTGTCTCTTTGATCTGTCTAATGTTGACAGTGGGGTGTTAAAGTCTCCCATTATTATTGTGTGGGAGTCTAAGTCTCTTTCTAGGTCTCTAAGGACTTGCTTTATGAATCTGGGTGCTCCTATATTGGGTGCATATATATTTAGGATAGTTAGCTCTTTTTGTTGTTTGATCCCTTTACCATTAAGTAATGGCCTTCTTTGTCTCTTTTGATCTTTGTTGGTTTAAAGTCTGTTTTATCAGAGACTAGGATTGCAACCCCTGCCTTTTTTTGTCTTCCATTTGCTTGGTGGATCTTCCTCCATCCCTTTATTTTGAGCCTATGTGTGTTTCTGTACGTGAGATGGGTTTCCTGAATATAGCACACTGATGGGTCTTGACTCTTTATCCAATTTGCCAGTCTGTGTCTTTTAATTGGAGCATTTAGCCCATTTCCATTTAAGGTTAATATTGTTATGTGTGAATTCGATCCTGTCATTATGATATTAGCTGGTTATTTTGCTCGTTAGTTGATGCAGTTTCTTCCTAGCCTCAATGGTCTTTACAATTTGGCATGTTTTTGCAGTGGCTGGTACTGGTGGTTCCTTTCCATGTTTAGGAGCTCTTATAGGGCAGGCCTGGTGGTGACAAAATCTCTCAGCATTTGCTTGTCTGTAAAGCATTTTATTTCTCCTTCACTTATGAAGCCTAGTTTGGCTGGATATGGAATTCTGGGTTGAAAATTCTTTTCTTTAAGAATGTTGAATATTGGCCCCCACTCTCTTCTGGCTTGTAGACTTTCTGCCGAGAGATCAGCTATTAGTCTGATGGGCTTCCCTTTGAGGGTAACCCGACCTTTCCCTCTGGCTGCCCTTAACATTTTTTCCTTCATTTCAATTTTGGTGAATCTGACAATTATGATTCTTGGAGTTGCTCTTCTCGAGGATTATCTTTGTGGCGTTCTCTGTATTTCCTGAATCTGAATGTTGGCCTTCCTTGCTAGATTGGGGAAGTTCTCCTGGATAATATCCTGCAGGGTGTTTTCCAGCTTGGTTCCATTCTCCCCGTCACTTTCAGGTACACCAGTCAGACGTAGATTTGGTCTTTTAACATAGTCCCATATTTCTCGGAGGCTTTGTTCGTTTCTTTTCATTCTTTTTTCTCTAAGCTTCTCTTCTCGCTTCATTTCATTCATTTCATCTTCAATCACTGATACCCTTTCTTCCAGTTGATCGAATCGGCTACTGAAGCTTGTGCATGCATCACGTAGTTCTTGTGCCATGGTTTTCAGCTCCATCACGTCCTTTAAGGACTTCTCTGCATTGGTTATTCTAGTTAGCCTTTCATCTAATCTTTTTTCAAGGTTTTTAACTTCTTTGCCATGGGTTCGTACTTCCTCCTTTAGCTCGGAGAAGTTTAATTGTCTGAAGCCTTCTTCTCTCAACTCGTCAGAGTCATTCTCCGTCCAGCTTTGTTCTGTTGCTGGTGAGGAGCTGCGTTCCTTTGGAGGAGGAGAGGCACTCTGATTTTTAGAATTTTCAGTTTTTCTGCTCTGTTTTTTCCCCATCTTTGTGGTTTTATCTACCTTTGGTCTTTGATGATGGTGACGTACAGATGGGGTTTTGGTGTGGATGTCCTTCCTGTTTGTTAGTTTTCTTTCTAACAGTCAGGACCCTCAGCTGCAGGTCTGTTGGAGTTTGCTGGAGGTCCACTCCAGACCCTGTTTGCCTGGGTATCAGTAGCAGAGGCTGCAGAACAGTGAATATTGCTGAACAGCAAATATTGCTGTCTGATCGTTCCTTTGGAGGTTGCGTCTCAGAGGGGTACTGGGCCGTGTGAGGTGTCAGTCTGCCCCTACTGGGGGGTGCCTCCCAGTTAGGCTACTTGGGGGTCAGGGACCCACTTGAGGAGGCAGTCTGTCCGTTCTCAGATCTCAAACTCCGTGCTGGGAGAACCATTACTCTCTTCAAAGCTCAGTTGGAAATGCAGAAATCACCCGTCTTCTGCGTCACTCACGCTGGGAGCTATAGACTGGAGCTGTTCCTATTTGGCCATCTTGGAACCGGAAAAAGTTATTTCTAAGTTTAAGAAAAATTAGCTTTATTAAAACATTTTTCTTGAAATAGTTCAAGGAGTCCATTTCATCTATTATAAACATTTCCACTTGAGATTTTCTCCAGTTTTTATGCACATAAGTATCATCTGTTTCTGGCCCAAAACCTCACCCTCAGAGCCAACCTCAAATTCCTTAAATCTGAGATGAAAGCAGAAATCTTCACTAAGAGCAGTTGCCAGCTGGGATGTTTTCCAATACTGAGACTTTAATCTTTGCTTTTCTTTGTTTTCCGAAAGACCTGTAATTGATATCTACCGTGATGTTTACATTTCTACATGATCTCTCATGTGCTAGGTAACTTGGGAGGGGCACTAGACTAACTGACGGGAGACACGCTCAACCTGAATCCACAGGACACAGATTGTGCTACTTTTCTTTCCTAGACTTTGGGTTCCTTATCTCAAATTCACTGCTAATGGTTCATTTTAGTTCTTTCTTTTTTCTTTTTTTGTAGAGACGGGGGTCTCACGATGTTGCCCAGGCTGATCTCGAACTCCTGGCCTCAAGCAATCCTCCCACCTCAGACTTCCAAAGCACTGGGATTATAGTCATGAGCCATCGCAGGTACCTGGCCTCTTTCTTTATTTTTCATTTTTTACTGAGGGCTAACATTCATAAAGTTCATTAACATAACATGCACACACACACACGCACACATGCACACACACGTGCCCGTCACCCACATCAAGATATAGAATATTTCCAGTACCTCAACAATTTCCTCATGTCTCTTCCCCATCAACTTCTCCCAGCCCACTCTGAAATAAACAAATATTCTAATCTCTCTCATCATCTGATTACTTTTGTTCATTCTTGAACTTCATATATTGAAATCATACGTGTCTGATATCTCTCAGTAAACATAGTGAATTAACATGCAACATGTTGCTGCTTGTAATAATAGCTGATTTTTAATTATATATGTGTGTCCCTGTTGTTTAATACTGTGCCATACTTCCTTGTATCAGTATACCAAAATTTATTTATCATTTATGGGTATTTGGATTATAAATGTTACAAATAAAGGTGTCTAAATATTTCTATGCATGTCTGTTTTGGACATATACACTCAGTCTCTTGGGGATATATCTAGGAGTGGAATTGCTAGGTCATAGGGTAGATGTATACAGAGCCTTCATAGAAACTGCCAAACAGCTTACCAAAGCAATTGTATCATTTTCCACTCTCACCAGTAATAATGAGGGTTCAGTGGATCCATATCTCACCAAGACTTGGTAATGTCAATCTTTTAATTTTCATCTGTCAGTGGGTGATTTTGACCTAAGTTTTATGGGTATCTAGGCAATGAGTGCTAATGACATAAGCATTTTCCAAAAAGAACAAAACTAACCCAGCACAGTGGCTCGCACCTGTAATCTCAACACTTCGGAAGGCTGAGGTGGGAGGATTGCTTGAGCCCAGGAGTTCGAGACCAGCCTGAGCAACATAGTGAGACCTCATCTCTACAAAAACAATAAAAAAAAATGAGCTGAGAGTGGTGGTGCACACCTGCGGTGTCAGCTATTCGGGAGGCTGAGGCAGGAGAATTGCTTGAGCCCAGGAAGTCGAGGCTGCGGTGAGACATGATTGCACCACTGCACTCTGGCCTTGGTGACAGAGTGAGATCTTATCCCAACAACAACAACAACAACAACAACAACAACAACAACACCAAAAAAACCTACAAAAACAAAAAGGACAAAACTACTTTGCCTTGATTCCTCTATTTGCATAGTGTTACTTTTGATTACTTAGCCCATCAGATCAATTTATTTGAAAACTTTAAAATATTCTAATATCATTCTTGGCAAAAAACTGTTTGTGCTAGCTTTATGTAGAGTATCTTTGGATGTATATGTTTGTAGTAGCTAACTTATTTCTTAACTCCTACAAATGCCTTAATTTTAAAAAGAAATTTCTAAAAAGAGAAATAAAGAAGGTTTCTCTAAGGCAAAATGGAAGAGCTTGAAAGAAATGCTTGCCTAAATCTCCTTTAACTATCACTTTTAAGTTGCCAAAAGTGCATTAAAAATCTCCAAGATTAGGTTTATATATTACTGTGCAGGAGAGAAGAAACTTGGTAAATGAATCAACAGTTATTAATTTATTAAGCTCCCTCTAGAAAACAGAGTTGGATGCCAGGCGTGGTGGCTCACACCTATAATCTCAACAGTTTGAGAAACCCAGGTGAGAGGACCACTTGAGCCCAGGAGTTTGAGACTAGCCTGGGCAACATAGTGAGACACTGTCTCTAAAAAAAAAATTAGCAGGGCATGGTGGCACACGCCTGTGGTCCCAGCTACTTGGGAAGCTGAGATGGGAGGGTTGCTTATGTCCGGGAGGTCAAGGCTACAGTGAACCGTGATTGCACCACCACACTCCAGCCTGGACAGTGTAAGACCTTATCTAAAAAAAAAATGTAAAATCTTGTTTCAAAAAAAAAAAAAAAAAAACACAAACAAACCAGTATCTTATTGTCTCAAAAGAAAAGAAAAGAAAACAGAGTTGAAGTCTAAGAAAGTGTTACCCAAGGGATCACGCCTGTAACCCCAGCACTTTGGGAGGCCGAGGCGGGCAGATCACAAAGTCAGAAGTTCGAGACCAGCTGGCCAATATGGTGAAACCCGGTCTCTACTAAAAATACAAAAATTAGCCGGGCACGGTGGCAGGTGCCTGTAGTCCCAGCTACTCGGGAGGCTGAGGCAGAAGAATCGCTTGAACCCGGCAGGTTGCAGTGATCAGGCGAGATCAGGCCACTGCACTCCAGCCTGGGTGACAGAGCCAGACTCAGCCTCAAAAAAAAAAAAAAAGTGTTACCCAAGGGAATTTCATCTTGCTAAATACTGGGACTGTGGGACTGAAAAGTTCAGAGTATTCGGGACAGACTGAGTCAAGGCAAGCTGCTCAGGAGCCCTGGATGCCTCCCTCAGAGGAGGTATCAGTCCTGGAGAGGGAGAATGGTCATCCTAGGCTTGAAAGAAGGCAACTGGAAACTTCATCTACTTCAGAATCCTCTCATGGACTGGCCCTGAACTTTAGAGGAATGATGTCTATGGGATGATAGCAAGAGCAAGAAAGGAAATATTACATATTACCACAGTTTCCTTCTGCTAGACAGGATGCTCAGAAAGAAGCAACAATAGCTCTTAGGGGCAGGATTGGTTTTCGTGTTACTTATTGCAATTAATGAATATTTTACTTCTGACTGTTAAGGTGGGTCTTCTGTTAGTTCTGATATTTAATGTTTCATTTAATCAACACATGCATGGATGCATCATAGTGAATTTGCCATCAGCCAACTAAAATATTACTCAAGGTTTCAAATATAAAGAGCAATCACTGATCAAAAGGCAAATTAGTTTTGAAGTTAAACTTGTGATACTGGCAGCTCAAAAATGGAGAGGAAACATGGGGAATACATGGTAAATATTGACCCCTCTAGAAACCAGCCCATGGGTAACTGTTGTTCCATTTGGATATTGTGTTTATGTGAATCTTTCGCCTGGTTTTAAGAGAAAACTCTATGGCTTTTAATATAATAGAAGTAATGCTTACACAGTCTTCACAAAAAAGAATGCATAATTTTAATGGTTCAGGAAAAGGCAATTTTTTTATTTTATTTTTTATTTTTATTATTATTATTTTTTTGAGACAAGAGTCTTGCTTTGTCATCCAGGCTGGAGTGCAGTGGCACAATCTTGGCTCACTGCAACCTCCGCCTCCTGGGTTCATGCCATTCTCCTGCCTCAGCCTCCTGAGCAGCTGGGACTACAGGTGCCCACCACCATGCCCGGCTAATTTTTTGTATTTTTAGTAGAGACAGGGTTTCACCATGCTAGCCAGGTTGGTCTCAATCTCCTGACCTCATGGTCCGCCCGCCTCGGCCTCCCAAAGTGCTGGGATTACAGGTGTGAGCCACCGCGCCCGGCCAGAAAAGGCAGTTTATTAACTTCTCAACTATTCTCTAAAAATCAGAAATGTTGTATTACTCTACAGTACTAAAGGAATAGTTTAAAATGTATTCTATGTATTTATTAAACTAAAATGTTAGTATTTTCTGGAATATAATTTAATGAGTTAAAATAATAATATGCAGTTAAAACCACGCAATGCTGGCTTCAGCTACTTTAGAAAGTATTTTTTAAGTTTGGTGTCTGGGTTTTGGTATAGAATTCTTGGATCTTTGCAATTAATTCTAGAACTTTCAAAACTCAAATAATTCTGTTATCTTTGAAAACCAGAAATTAATCTTATATATGCTCTGCAAGTCCAATACATAAGTCAAGAAAATCTGGTTTATATATAGACAGCATCACGTTTTCCATACCCAGGAGCCAAACTCTTGCCTTGATAAAAGAAACAAATGTGGATATGTAGTTTGAAATGGACAGTTTAAAGAACAATTTGAAAGTGAGTGGAGAAGCATTTTTCTTCATCCAAGAGATATACCAAAGCAGAAAGTCATGTTGCTCAATAAGTATATTTGTTGAATGGTTGAACATCAAGAAAAATATTTCTGTCTCAAAAGTAGGAGATTTCCCCCTTATTTGTTTTAGTTTATGTGATCCTCAAAGATGGTCTCCAGATCTTTCTGAATCCTCACTTCTCTGATGGAATTTTCATTATTTGAAAGCACTCCAGTTAAATAAAAGATTAGTTGCCTTTGCTAAGGCATTAATTGATCATGTTGACCTTTTCTTGGGTTAGTAGTAAATTTAGATATATTTCAAATCCTATAAAAACAGTACTATACAGCACTCTAAAAATTTTACTTCCATCTGGATATTTTGATGTAATGAGGTCAATTTTGACCAATGAAATAAAGTAACACTTGAAAGTTAGATTCAAAAAGGCAAGTTACGTATTTCTTTCTTCTTGGAGAAATAGTACATCTTACCTCATAACTTTTCAGTAAATATACCAAATGCATTTCAGCTGCACTGAATGATATTATTGACTATTTTTGACCAGCTGATTAAACATTATCCTCAGCTCTCTACCTATTCAAATTTTAAAATTGACAGTCAGAACAGAGCCAGAGCAAAATGGCAGTAAAAATTATGACTTGGGCTGCAACATTTGTGACAAATAACAAAATACTCCTTCAGCAGCACTGTTTTTTCACCACTGAAAGACACCACCTGTCATGGTCTACAATGAATACTTCAAGTGAACCTTCTGCTTACCAGCACTTTAGCTAAAATGTAGCTATCACGATGTCTACTGAATCTGCCACTATTATCGTGTCAAATTAAGCTGCAACTACCACTTCAACTGAGCCTTCAATTTTTACAGCTACCACTATTTCAGTTGAATGTACACCAACAACAGAAACCAGCACATCAGCTGAGACAGCACAACCTCTATCCTCCCTTCCAGTGAATCTACTAATGAAAGTGCTAACATCACCATTCTCACAGAAATTACAATGTGGTGGCCTCCTATAAGGCAACCAAACCATTAAGTACTTTGATTAAGTTATCTTTGACTATTTCCATAGCTACTCGTAAGATAAATTTGAATCTACAATGCTATCACAGGTGATTTGTTTAGCTAACAGAAATACTTCAGCAGAGCCTGAAGCAATGGCCAACAATAACAATTTAGCCCATTTCCAAGCACCAGCGCCATGACATCAAATCCACCTCATTTGTCTTTTATACTTAACAGATCTCCATTTTATTAGAATTGTTATTTTATTTTGTAATAGTTTAATAATTTTTCTAAAATTTCAGATCATGTAATTTTCCTAGAAAAAAAAATCTAGGGACCACCCTCCAAGTAATTTGATAAAACCTCACAAGGAAATCTTTATTAACATGGTTGGTATTCATTACCAATGTTGTTTTTGTTTTTATAAAATTAAATGGTTCAGCAGTGGAAATGCAGTTTCTTACTGTTCAGAATATTTCATTTAGTATGACAATTCTCTATGTATTGAATCACTATACCATGTATGTTTTAAGTACCACATTTTGTTTCCTTATGTGTAAAATTATCTTGTTTATATAAGTTTTCTTCAGATTATTTTGCTGTTTAGCACCACAGTTGTTAGAATTAATTATTTGCTATTCTTTATGTAACCTTATAGTCACTTAGTTAAATGTCAGACATTTACTATATGTCTATCTCCCAAAATACTGAAGGAGATGCAGAAGAAATAACGATGCAAGATAATCACTAAAATAATTAACATGAACACGCTTTGTTTACATTTTCTGGATATCAAGGTTTTAATTGATTTTGATATTGCTTGGGTCTTCCCCAGGCCTACTGTACTATAACCAGCAGGAGTGCGGCAGGAATGTATGTTTATAAACACCTTCACAGCTGATTCTAATGCATAGGCAGGTTTAACAGTCATGGTCCAATCAGTAAACCAACGAAAGCATTCTGACATGCTATATCTTACTGGTGGGTTTGGTGAAGTTGATACAAACTATACAATCTTATTTTAAATCATGAAAAGAAAAAATCAATTTTTTAAGATAAGAGAAACATGAAACAATTAATACTAATCTTAATCCAATCTATGAAGAAAGAATTATATATAAATACTGTCAGGTATATAATCACATGGGAAAAAATGTTTCACTTAGATAAAGGAAAAACTTATTTTCAAGCAAAAATTGAAAAAATATATTTCAGTATCTATTAAGCTAATAAGAATTAATTTTTAACAGTTCTTCCACTTAGCTCCACAAGAATATTTTTTAAAAAGTTCTGCCAGCAATTTTAATAAAAGATTAAAGTTGTACTGAAATCTTTTAACTTATATTTTATTAGTATAAATTGCTGTTTCTTTCTTACTAATACAAATGCAATTGAAATGATCCGGCCGGGCGCGATGGCTCACGCCTGTAATCCCAGCACTTTGGTAAGCCGAGGCGGGAGGATCACGAGGTCAAGAGATCCAGACCATCCTGGCTAACACAGTGAAACCCCGTCTCTACTAAAAATACAAAAAATTAGCCAAGCGTGGTGGCAGGTGCCTGTAGTCCCAGCTATTCAGGAGGCTGAGGCAGGAGAATGGTGTGAACCCGGGAGGTGGAGGTTGTAGTGAGCGGAGATCGCATCACTGCATTCCAGCCTGGGCAACAGAGTGAGACTCCATCTCAAAAAAAAAAGAAATGATCCAAGTCTTTTCCATCTGTAGTGTTATTGTATACAGACATTTGTGACTGTATTTTTCTATTTAAAAAGAAATATGTTTTCTAATTTGTAATTTCTGTTATAAGTCAGAAATAAAAATATTCTGGAAACAAATTCAATTTTAGATTTTATAACAATAGTAACTTTCCCCCAGACTTACACTTAGTCAGTGGTCAATATGTATTTGTTTAATAAATGGTTGAGTGAATATTTCAGACCCTGGCACATCCAATCAATAAAATAATTAGCCAATCAGTCTATTAATCATCTACTCTTTATTCAAAAAAAGGCTTTGAGCCTCTACCGTATACTAACCCGTCTACTTGGCACATGTTCTGTTCTTCAAAAATGCTGTTGTCCCTCTCCTTCCTCTCTTAGAATTCCATCTGTACTCCAGGACTCGGATCAATCCTGCCTCCTCCAAGCACTGCTTGTCTCTCTTTTGAGCTATTTCTTCTTTGACCTCATATATCTTTTATTTTCCACCACATTCATTTTACTCTTAAGCTACCCTAGCTTTCATTATTCATGTTTTCCAGAGTCTTATCTTCCTACTGACATAATCATTGTTTTGGCAGTGACCTATATATTTTTTAACGTTTTTACAAAAATTTCCAATTCACAAACAAGTACTTATTATCCAGCTTCAACAACCATCAACGCTTTTTAATACACGTTTCATTGATCATCCTATACCAAGTCAGATAACAGATATACAGTCTTCATCTTTGAGGGTCAATTTTTTGGAATCACTCTTTTTTTTCTGGGCACACCTTAGGAAAACAGAAACCGGTTTAGGTAATGTAAGCAGAAAGGAATATAGTTATCAGATGCTGAATATAGCATCAGGAGTAAAATAAGGAAGACTATCTGTAGGTTTTCTCTGACCTGCTGGGTGGTCAGAGGGCTGCAGAAAACTCCTGCCAAGCCACATTTTCCTGCAGCTCCCAAACCAGAGACTGAAGGGTAGAGTGCAGCCTGTCACCATAAAAGCTACGTATTTATTATCTGTTGAAGCTTGTGTATGTCAGGAGCCCCCACTGCTGGGGTAAGAAGGGCTGGCATTTCCCTTTGAGTTTATAAATCTCATGGGAATACATCTCATTGGCAGAGCCTAGGTGTTCTGGGAACGTAGTTCCAGAATTTTAGCCCTTGGTGTAACAGGAGTACAGAGAAGGAACTAAGAATGAATGTTAACTGCCAATCCAAATGTCTACCTCATCTTCTAGAGGAAGAAAATCACTTACATCTTCATAGTTTACTGAGCAAAAGCCCATACATTACAATTATTGACAGAGTTATGATAACATGCTTAAACTCAATAATAACAAATAAAATAACAATAAAATTATACACTCTTTACCTACTTAATTAGTACTATATTTAAATATTATCTTACTCAGCACTGCTAATCATGTGTTTGAACATGTGCTGTCAATATTTTTAGCAAATCACAAATTTTTCAGCAGTTTGGAAATCAGTTTGTATTAAGGGTGATAAAATACCTTTTGACTGTGTAATCCCACCTTCTGAGAACCGATCACCTGAAAATAGCTTGGAATACAGATAATAATACCTTCCAGTATTTACATACAAGGCAGAAAAAAGAGTAAACAAAAATTACCATGACAAACATCTGTTGTGCAACTCAAAAACAAAAGAAAGACTAACAACTCCAAATTACGTATAAGTAGGGTGAAAGAAAAAGTGAAAAAAAACAGAATATTTTACACCATACACATGAGCAAGGTTAAAAATTTGACAATACTAAGTATTTATGAAAAATGGGAATATTTTTATGGGAGTGAATATTCATACAACTTTGGAAACAATATTGGAAATATATGGTAAAGTTAACAAAATACACACCTGATGATACAGAAATTTCACTTTTAATTATACATTTAGAAATATTTATTAAATATTTAAAACAAATATTTATTTAATATTTAATATTTATATTAATTAATAATTAATATAAATATTTAATAAATATGCCTAAGAATGCATATTCAAGACATATTTTAGAGTATTCATAGCCTCATTGTTCATTATGCTAATAAAAGGGAACCCAACTCAACTTCCATTATTAGGACAATAGGTTAATAATTGAATGAAATACTATAAAACGTGAAAATGAATAAAATAGAGTTACAAGTGTCCATGTAATTGAGTTGTATAAATATAATCTGGGCAACTCCACACCTGCATTGTGAAAAAATACAGTATAATAGGATTCATAGAAATTTTAAACCATGTAAACTATACTATATATTTTTGGAATATATTAAAACATTAAAACATCCATGGGAAATATAAACACCAATTAAGGAGAGTTGTGATACCTGGTAGGAAGAGAGAGAAGGGCAGGAGGGAACTGTGCTCAGGCCCAGGGACAGAGTAGCTCTCATTGCATGTAAAACAATGTTATCACTTAAACTGGGCAATAGGAATGTGGCTATTTAGCCATGGGAATGTGGCTATTTATACCTTTTTGTGTAGTTGCAATATTTCTTAATGCATTTTTTAAAAATGGTGTGGCTGGGGCATGGTATGTGATGTGTAAAATAGTGCAGGATGGGGATTCAGAGGCAGGCAGAAAGTTCAGAGACATGTGGGCCGTGAGAAGACTTTGACTTGGGGCAATGGATGCTATTTAGGGGTTTTGAGCAGGATGGTGATATAAACAGGCTAACATTTTGGAAACAGTATTCTGGCTACCTTGAGAGGAATGAATCAAAGAGGGGCAAACATGAAACTGGGAGGACCATCATATGTGGTCCTCCTCAGGTGTGAGGGTGCAATCCTTATTTCTATTTCAACATCCAATGCCCAACAAGGGACATAAAGGGCAGTTAACAGTGTGACTAGATTGTATTAAAATCTAAATTAATTTAGGGATATTTATAATATTTTCTTTTTTTTTTAACTAACACTGAGGCCATAAAACTAGTTATTCTACATCTAATTTTCATGTATTTTCTTGCTCCAAAGACTATTGTATTGTTCATTTTTCAATTCATATTTTAAAATTCACATCCTGACATTTCTTTCCTCTTTGCCTATGTAATCTAGTTAATACCGATTTTCATTCTAGCTTTTACTCTACCTCCAGACCACTCTTCCTACTTTCCCCCAGTGCCTTGCCTCTTTCTACCACTTCATGGTGGTCTTTGCTTCTCTCTTCTACAATTTCTCCTTCCTTCTCTCTGTCCATCCATGTGCACTGAGGACCTTTAAGATTTGGATGTGAACTTGCCTCTTCCAAACTGTCACCAGCTTCATCCCTCAAAGATCACTTCCTTTGCTTTCCTAATATTTTGAACACTGTCCCAGTGGTTAATTCTCACTTCCTCTCACTATCCTGCCTACCTGCTGCTCCTCACCAGCTCCTCTGAGCTGAATTCATCACAGCCTTCTTCAGTCCTGCCTTAGTTCCCATCATTGTTCCATATCCAAACCTGACTCAGGTACGAGTTCTATGAGCTGCTCCAGCTTCGTGAGCTCTCGTCTTTTACCACCCCATTCTCCATCCACAGTGAGGTGGATGAAAGGAGCCAAGTCCTAACTTTGAACTCTGAGACTGCTTGGTTTGCACTGCCCACTGTACACCGAGCCTGGCTACTGCAGCCCTGAACAGGGCTATGATGTTCCACTGCTGAGCCCTTGCACCCCACTCCGTTCCTAGGTTGAGTTGACCCCAATCTCGGGTCCAGATCTGATAACCTAGTTATGGTTCTGGACCTTATGAATCCCAGTTTCTCTATTTGCCCCATCTTTTAAACCTGACATTTTCTGAGAGTTTCATTCTGAGCTCTGATTCTAATAAGCAGTCTATCTGCCACAATTTTTTCATGAGGCCTGGATCCCTGCCTTAATCTTTTTGTGTTCATCCCTGAAAACTGTAGTCCCACTGATGGATAAACCTCAGCTCCAAAAGCTGGGGCCTTGATGTTCACAAAAATAAGGCCCACACAGCTGATTGCCGATCCTCATACTCTGTGAACGTCCTAACATTTGTCTCATGCTTGGACAGAACTTGGAGGGTCAGCAAGGATGATGAGACATGTCTCCACCCTGGGAGTTGCTAAATTCTGTGTTATTTAGAAACCTGAATTCCAGCCATCTCTGTTTTCATGGGCTGGTCTAATTCCAGGTGGCAGCACCACCCTGGCCATGCTTCCAGTAAATATCCATACCTCCCTGATGAATCTTGATACATGTCATCAGAATCTCTAAAGGTGCCAAAGTTGTATGATCTTGACAGTGAATTCAAGCTCTGAGTTGTCTTTCCCTTTTCCCCCCATCCTTCTTAGGGCTCAGTGTGGTACACACTAGACACTAATAAATGGCCACAGACAAGAAACGAATGGTTATCTTGAGAGCCACACACTCTAATCTTGAGTTTGTAAAAGGTCACTGAAAGCATACATGTGTCATCAGAAAAGTGGGGATACTACTACTTAATTCTTGTAGGTATTACAAAGATTAGCTTTGAGCAGTGTGGTACACCAATTGGAAGGGACATAAACGTTTCTATAATGTCAGTAATACTATGGTAAAATCAAATCTATGTCAGAGATTGCCTAAGGGTAGCACCTTTTCCTGTGATCCAGCAATTAAAGCTATTCTTTTCTTCTTTTTTCAAATATACTTTATTTTTTAGAGTAGTTTTAGATTCACATCAAAATTGAGTAAAAGGTACAGAGAGGAAAAATATGTTTTGATGGTCCCTGCCACATGCATAGCCTCCCCCATCATCAACATTTCCCATCAGAATGGTATATTTTTTCACAATTGATGAAGCTATATTTTCTTCTCATTCACAGTTTTAAAATGGCAGTCATGAGAGTCAGTTTACTATTTCAAGTCTTTTATGAAATAGTTTTCCAGCACGATGAGAATAAGGAGGGACGTAACTGTCTTTAAAAAATTGTAAAATTTTACACAAATGAGTGTGATAGCGCACAACTGGAGTTCCTGCTACTTGGGATGCGGAGGTGGGAGGGTTGCTTGAGCCCAGGAGTTCATGTCCAGCCTGGGCAACACAGCGAGGTCCTGGCTATAAAAAAAATGTAAAGTTTCTACAAACCCATCATACCTCATGTGAAAAGCTTGAGTTAAATATGTTTCATAATTCAAATTTTTTTAAATTTTATGAAATATGGTACATATATTGCATATTACACAACACGTGTTAGTAGCCTGAAACACACATTAATATTTTTTGTAATTGAACATATAAATAACCATGCTAAGATTATTAAAGACCCAAAATGTTCTTGTTTATATTAATTTTTACTGCCAAATAAATTTATGCCAAACATACAAATTAATTTTCAGTTTGCAAAGCCTTTTGGATTTCTGAAATTGTGTATCAGGGATTGTATATCCATATTCTGAAGAAAAAATAGTTTATTTTGGGTCTCTCCATATAGGAGGATCAGGGTGTAAGTCAGCCAGAGAGACAAGGAAAATTTTGGATCTATAGGAGAAAGAACTTTCAAACAGCAAAAGTCACCCAAAAATGGAATACCAACTTCTAGGTAAGTCATGAATTCCTAGTCGCTGTGCTCAAACACAGGTGAATTATACAGTTGCCTTTTATTCTGTAGAAGTTGTTATATATTTATCATTTATATTTATCATTATGGTCCTTTCTCTAATTCCAACATACAAAAAGCTAAAAGAGAACATTCTCTTTGATTGAACAAAAATAGTAACACTTCAAACAAATTTGAAAGTTAAAATCAAAAGTCAAGCTTTCGATAAAGAAAGAATAGACTGTAAGCAGAGGTCTTGTCTGTCTTGGTTGCTACTAATTTGATATCCAGTTTTCAGACATGCCTGTGATACATTAGGCACTCAATAAACAGTTGGGAATAATTTTTTTTTTTTTTTTTTGAGACGGAGTCTTGCTCTGTCACCCAAGCTGGAGTGTGATAGCAGATCTCGGCTCACTGCAACCTCTGCCTCCTGGGTTCAAGCAATTCTTCTGCCCCAGCCTCCTGAGTAGCTGAGATTACAGGCATCCGTCATCATGCCCGGCTAATTTTTGTATTTTTTTAGAGACAGGGTTTCATTATGTTGGCCAGGCTGATCTTGAACTCCTGACCTCAGGTGATTTGCCCACCTCAGCCTCCCAAAGTGCTGGGATTACAGGTGTGAGCCACCGCGCCCGGCCTCCAGTTGGGAATAAATTAATGGAAGACTGTGCTTTGTCAGTATAACCATATTTAAAATTTATAAGTAAACTTTACATTTGGAATTGGAAAATTCAGTGATGTAAATCAAAACATGTTTTCCTCCTGAAGTTTCTATTTTGAATAGGACTAATTTTTCTAATCCAATTTTATTGCTTAAATACTGTTTCATTACTTTTGATTCAGTAAAGGAATACTTGGTATAAGTATTGGCTCAGCTTTGTAAAAAATACAATAAAGAACATGCTAATTGTGTTGTGAAAAAAATATATGAATTTACAGAATGTTTCAGTTTTTATTCTTACTTTTAATGATTGGTTCAAATTTCTTTGGTAATTTTGACAGGGCAGTTTGGAAATGTATTGTTCAGTTTCTATTTTTTTCACAAGGATCTTTCATGCTTTTTGGGTTGCATGTCAGCATTTTACTTAGGCTTTGAAATTCTGTGTCTGAAAAAAGATGAAATATAATAATCCCTTTCCCTAAAATGTCTAAGATCACATGGCCGAAGCTGTCATGTTGGCTCTCAGTTTATCAGTAGACCAAAGAAATAATAATCAGAGCATATCAAAATTTCAGGTAAGAAAATTTTTGAGTAAGATGATTTTAAAAAATCAACTTTGACCTAGGCTTTGAGACAACAGCCAATTCACTTCTTTATTGGATGACTGAAAAACAGCCTCCTCCCCTTGCCGCCTTAGAGTGGAAAAAATGGCCAGCTATCAGAGTTCTCTCAAACACATGTCAGCCAACAAGACTTTCAGATTTCTTTTTGGTTATAAATCCTGCTCAGAACAAAGATCCTTTATTGGCGACTCTGAGAAGGTAATGAGAGGTATCCATGCTGTCTGTCATGCTAACAATCCAGGTGTGCTCTGCTTTTTCTGTTAAGGTTTAGATTGAGGCATTCAAAGAATTGTTCATAATACATGGTGAAGAAATATTCTTTGCAAAATAAAAATCTGACTTTCACATGGTATATTTAGCTATAGAACAATGTGTTGTCTCATTTTTATGTTACTATTCCTTTTGATTTTAAATTTTAAAATTTTCTCCCAAATTTTGTGGCTGAGTCATGTAACTGCTTGGCCGGTTAGAGATGGTGAGGGTGAGACTCCAGTGACAAGAATAATCTTCCACTCTTTATGCCATTGATGTAATGTGTGGATGCCATCAATAGTAATGGAGTTTCACTTCCACTGTGGCTATGTGGCTCTACTGCCAAATGAAATGTTTTTGCAGAATAAAATTGTAGTAATATTTTAAAAATATACAATTAATATATATTATTGGTTTAATTATATTCTTCTGATTTTCAAATGAATCAAAAAATCAATCAAAAAGTCTTTCAAAAGTCATTTTTAATATTATTGACACCTTCAACCCATGTTGGTCCCTTGTACCCCATGGCTGTTTGCTTTGCTTCAAGAAGAGTAAATCTTTATGTTTTTCTTTGTGTTTCACTTTTTAAATTGTGGTAAAATACATATAACACAAAGTTCATTATCTTAATCATTTTAAGTATACAGTTAAGAGTATTAAATACATTCACAATATTCTGCAACCATCACTGCCACCCATTTCCAGATCTCTTTTTATCATCCCAAACTGAAATTGTGTATTCATTAAACAATAACTCCCCATTTCCGCCTCCTCCCAGCCCCTGGCAACCAACATTCTACTTTCTGTCTCTATGATTTTGACTATTCTAGGTATGTTATATAAGTGAAATTTACAGTATTTGTCTTTTTTGTGATGACTTATTTCAATTAGCACAATGTCCTCAAGGTTCATCTGTGTTGTAGCAAATCATCGTATTTTAAACTCCTCTTTAGAACAATTTTTTTTCCCAGTTTTTCAATTCCTTGACAGCTTTCCATGTTCTTTATATTCTACAGCTTGAGGGTAAAACTTACAAGCTGAAGGTATTGAATACATTTATAAGAGAAATTTCAAAGATTAAACTTTAAAAATATTCAGAATCCAAAAGTGTCATATACAAAGAGAATAGGAATTTTTTTTTATTATGGAACTTTCTGCACTACAAACATACCTGGCACACTTTTGAAACAGTATTCTCACTTGTTGAGTGAATAAACCAATACAAGAATTGATCATTTTACAATTTAAGACAAACTAGATTTTTTGACCAAAATAAAAAAACCCTCTTCTTAAAGATTTTCAATATTCCATCACTCCTTTGACATTATTGCCTAGGAAATTGATTCTAATAGTTTTTAATGAGTGTGAATTGCTTGAGCAACTGACCAAAGAGACTTCCAGACACCAACCCAGGGACTGAAAAGGTGAAGTGTCCCTAAGGTCATGGGTACCTAAGAGGTGGTGCCAACAAGGGGAGAGAGGCTTTTGTGCTTGAGTAGAAAGCAAGCAATGATACATTTCTATCTCAGAACGTTTTTCTGGGGTCGGTCCTAAAATAAAAGGTGAGTTCCTGAATGATGGGACTAAAGAGGAGAGACGGAACAATAATGTAAGGTTTTCAGAGGGAGTAGTCACAAAAGCTTTCAGAGGAAGTACTGGTTTTCTTGCGTCTTTCTGCAGTTAACATTTCATTTCCTCCTCTAAGGTGGATCCTGTTTTAGTGAATAATTAGTATTTAGTTTAATCCACACTTGTACTGATGCATCATAGTTGACTTCCACCAGTGTTTTAATTGTTTCATGGTTGCAGATATAAAGGGCAATGAACAAATTGAAAAATATTCTTGGAGAGAAGCTTGTGATACTGGCAGCTCAAGAATGGACAGAAAGCATGGAAAATACATATTGAACGTTGAGCACTCTGAAAACCAGCCGGTGAGTGTCCTTGCTCCATTTTGATAGTTTGCCTATATTACAGTTTCATTTTCAGCATTTAAAAGCAGTTTAATCTCTTTATTACTATCTAGCCAACATCATAATTTTGCATTCTTCTCCAAAATAAAGAGCAACCCTGTATCAATTTTTGTGCTGTAACTTTCATGTTTTATTTTGCTATGTTATATATTTAGGTATTAATTTAAATATATATAGCTATAAAGTATTAGAAATGTTTCTATGGCCATAGGATATACAAATAGATCCATTTAACTTTCTATATTCACCTTCATGTAAACATAAACTCCAATGATGTCAGTGTTTATTTATTAAGTTCTGTTTTTACAATTGGATGCTTAGAATTTTTAGACCTGTCAGAACTCAGATTTCTTAATATGCTGAAAAACCAGATATTAATTCTAGATATTAATATTCCTAAGAAAGAAAACTTCCAAAAATACCTGCTCTGTGTCAAAATATGACTATTTTGTCTGCTTTTTAAAAAATATTTTTATACCAAAAACCAAGCCTTCAGTGTATAGTTATCATAATCATATATCTGTATCATATACAGATTTTATGTATCTATTTATATCCAACCAAATAATCTTTGACTTCAGAAAAGGAAGGACATGTAATGAGAATTAAAATAGTGAGTTAAAATTCACTGCCAGCAGAATGAATGAAACATGTGTGAAGAAATAGCTTGCTTTTGTCATATGGAGCTGTGGTAATCAGCCTGTGTAACTCATGAGATAAACCAAAGAAGAAAGTCCTGTTTCTCAGTAAGTGTTAATACAAGAATCCTATAGAGGATTTCTGGTTCACCAAAAGAACCAAGATCTTCACTCCCTGGGCTGGTGTCTGGAAGTCTGCTTGGTCAGTTGCTCAGGCAGCACTGTAATTGGATCTTCAAGATGTTCAGATACTCAGATGGAAAAAAAAATTATCCTTGGTCAGGTATGTATCATCTTGATAGTTTTTCTAGATAATAACAAATGTAAAGATGTTTACAAATATTAGCTTATATTGTTTTTTTTTACAGCATATATCTGGATAGCTGACTAAATATTTTACTTTATTATATTATTCAGGCATAGATATAACTATATTTTTCTCTTCAAACCAAATTCAATAATGGAATTTAAAAAGTATTTGAAGATTATAAACACACAGAAAATAAATTTTGGTGTCCTTGTTTTTCTGTTAGGGATCTAAGAAATCTCAAGTTAATCCTTATAAAGTTTGGGTAAAAAACTTACCGAATGTACTTTAGTTAAGTACAACCAATGCATTTCAGTTGCCTGTGGCCATTATTAGCTAATGCTGATTATGCTAATGCTGGTTAACATTATTTACAGCTCTTCAACTCTTCCAGTTTTGAATAGAGACTCCACCTGTAGTAAGAGTCAGAGCAACCTGACACAGTAAAATTATTACTTAGGCTGCAAACTGGGCCTAGATCACAGGTTCCCCATCCTTAGTGTAGACCCACCCATCACCTTCCTCTCTGAAAGGGCTGGGATTCTAACAGGGCCAGAAAATTCTGGGAAACTGCCCCACTGAGTGAGTTTCACTTTGTTTGCAAAGGCATTAAAATGTTCAGGTTCATCAGCCACAAGCAAATTGGATGTAATGAAAACAACAGGATCAGCACCTAGTTAAATAAGCAAGGGTATTAACAAAGATAAATTCAACTTATTCAAATTTGCATAATGAATAGTAGGTAGAATTTTGTTTATTCATATTTGATAAACATGGGACTGATATCTATTTCTTTTATATTATATTTACAGAAAAAATTAACTTAGCTAATTGTCCACTGCCAGGAGTATCCCATCTTAACTATATTTAATGACAATTTTATATTTTTGTATTTTTAATAATAATTCCTAATGGGTCAATGATTATGTATCATTCTGGTTTGACAGTTTTCATGGAACTCACTGGTTGGTTGGCCAGTAATTTCTATAACTATTAGTAATGGGTTATTAAATCAACACAAAGACAACTAGTGGCAGTAGCGGTAGTAATTAAAATACTATTACTAATAACAAGAATGATAGTTAACACATATTCAGTGGGTATTATGTGCCAGACATTGCTACAAGCATTTGGCAGTTATTTACTCAGTGATCATATGAGCAAATCTGTAAGTGGGTAATTTTAGTATTCTCCTTTTGAAGCTGATAGGAGTGGCCAAAGATAACCTTGATTCACAGCTAGAAAGTAAACGTTATCATCCTGTGAGATGAAGAGCCTTAGATCATTCTACATTATGTTTGATATGTAACAAAACTTTTGGCTGGGTACAGAAGCTCATACTTACAATGCCAGCACCTTGGGAGGGCAGAGCCAGAGGAGTGCTTGAGCCCAGGAGATCTAGACCATCCTGAGCAACATATGGAGACCCCATCGCTATGAAAAATAACATCAAAAATAATTAGATGAGCATGAAGGCATATGCCTATAGTCATTGGCTACTCAGAAGGCTGAGATGAGAGGACTGCTTGAGCCTTGGGAGGTCGAGGTTTCAGTGAACCATGACTGTGTCTCTTCACTACAGCCTGGGTTACAGAGAGAGATCCCATCTCAACAAAACAAAACAGAACAAAACAAAAAACTTTTCCACAAGATCCATAAATTCCTGAATCTACTCCTTTCTCATGTTCACTTTATCTTATCCTTCCCCTCTTTTAACACACCCCTTCCCTAAAGTCTTTCCCTGCCAACTCAGTTGTTTTCAATCCTTATTTACCTCTTTTTCTGAATAATTTACAATTATTGCATTTATTTGTTAATTAGACACTAACCTGTTTTGCCTCCCTGTTAGCAAATAGACTCCTTGAGAGTGGAGACCTGTATTGTTGTGGACTGTTTTTACATTGCTCTATGCCCAAGAGGAACCCAGCAAAAACATACTGCAAATTCGACAAATGATTTGTCTTCTGTGTCACTGCCATAGGCTTGCAAGTTCCATTGGATAGAGCATGGTATGAATTATGTAAAGCAGTCACTTTGTGTAAGAATTTTTCACTAGTATCATGTAGTATAGTATATACTACATTACTGTATTAGCATAGTATGGCATAGCATAAGAATATACTATTCCTAGTATAGTGTAGTGGAGTACATGGGCCTTAACACTGGAAGGTCTGAGCTCCTGTGCTAGCTGTTGTGTCATGATGACAAATCATTTCAACTCTTTTCACTTCAATATTTTCATTTCCAAAATGACCTGAACAGGTTGTACCCAATAAGATGCAAGGACTTCAGCTCACCATCCTCTTCCTTATAGAGGCTTCTTAATATATGCTCCACATACAGCAGCTTGCAACATAAGGATATTCGATCCATTTATGTAATATCATGAGGAAGAGGATACACATTCCTGAACTAGAACTTTAGTAGCCTACCAAAATTAGTTAAAGTATAATATATAATAATCTGTCTAGATTTTTTTATCTTCAGGGGATAAGAAAACATTTATTCCTTTTAAAAGTCATACTCTTAGGTACTTTTGATAGAAGAATTTTATTTTAGCAACTCAACACCATGGTTTCCTAGGCTTCCTACTCACTTCCACTCTGCCTTTGTAGCCAATCACACATCCAAATGACCAAGAGGCTCACAGTTCCATATGCTGGTGTCTACCTTCAAATGATATAACCAGTGATGTCTCTCCCAACTTAACTGGGGTCTGCGTGAACCCAGGAATCCTTGCACATTCAAGATGTCTACAGTCAGAATCCTGTAACACACAGGTAATGTGTAGCACGGGAGCTTTTATTCAAGTTGGGATGTGCTCTATATGGGCATGTACTTTGCCTATTCTTTCCCAAGAAATGTACTTAATTACTTAATTCATTTATATTTGTATTAAGCATTTGCTGTATTCTCAGTATAGGTACAAGTCACTGTGAGGCAATTCACAAGAAAATAAATATTTGCTAGTCTCTGTTTTCCAAGAGCTAACATTCTAATCGGGGACTCAAACATCTATAATAGATAGAGAACATACATGAAAATCAAAGGAATAAGTGTAAGGTGCAAATGCAAGGTTAGGGAGGGGCAGATGAATAAGAATGTTGGCAATATTAGGGTTTAATTCACCATTAGACTCTGATGGGAGACTGTCATATTTAAAGTTTCATGGGTCCTATTCTTTTGGCGATCACCTTATTTTCTTACTCTGTGCAGCCTCCGAACCTGTGTGTGGCACTTTCTTTAGCTCCCTGGGTTCTGGCCTCTGGTGTATACGACCTTAACACAGAAACCTTACTGTTCTCTGGAGCATCTCCACTAGCTTTGGAGACCAGACTCAGCTCTCCTTGGTTCCTGACCTCATGTCCTGTAGGCTGAATGAACTTTACCTCACGACTGTATCTTTAAGTCTTCAGCCCTTGTATAGAAATTTAACATTGACTATAAATTACCAATATGGCTTGGCAGTTTGGTTTGATTCCCCAGACTCTGGAATTCCTTCCTTTCGCTGCTTAGTCTTGCTATAGAGACTCAGTAGAGAGCCTCTGAGGCTTGTTTCTTGATTCTGGACAAAACAATATGAACTTTATACTGTTTCTGGGACAATGTGAAAGAGTAAGCTCAGTAGGATGGAGTTAGAAAATGTTTCTTCTTGTTTGCAGAGGTAAAGTAATCCATATCAATCATGGAATTGAAGGAGGTCTTCAATAACATTGAGTCTGCTAGCTCTTTTTTTTATTTTTATTTTTTATTTTTTTGTTTTTTTGAGGCAGGTTCTCATTCTTGTCACCTAGGCTGGAGTGCAGTGGCACAATCATGTCTCACTGCAGCTTCAACCTTCTGGGCTTAAACAATCCTCCCATCTCAGCCTGCTAAGTAGCTAGGACCACATGCATATGCCACCATGCCTGGCTAATTTTTTAATTTTTTGTAGAGTTGAGGTCTTGCCATGTAGCCCAGGTTGGTCTCAACCTCCTGGGCTCAAGGGATCCACCCGCTTCAGCCTCCCCAAATGCTAGGATTACAAGCATGAACCTCCATGTCCAGCCTCTGCTGGTTCTTAAACTTGACTGCATATTAGAATCACCTGGGGACTGTTTAAGACCAAATCAAGTGCCTGAGCCCCACCCCAGACTAATTAAATCAGAAACTCTGGGGGGTGGGGCCCATACAACAATGGTTTTTAAAAGCTACCCAGATGAATCTAATGTACAACTAGTGATGAGAATGACTGATCTAGTCCCATTAAATCATTTAACAATTAGGGAAAATATGGCTCAGGAAAGTTTAGAGAGTTGCTAGAACTCATACGGTTTTTGCCAGAAGGGGCCAAAGCAGGAGGAGAACTTAGTTTCCTTTTGTCTGATCATGTGCATTTTATTCCACTAAAGGGCTCTTTTTAAGTTTGTGTGATGCAGTATTATAGACTCCTCTCCCAGATGTACACAAGCCTTTTTGCCACTTTCTTTTCTTGAACCTCCTTTTCAGTGCTTCCCATCAAGGAAAGAGGACGTTATTTGTCCTAGGGCTAACTTGATCTTAGTGGCCCTCATTTCCCTGGCCTTGGTGACCATTGCCCTCATTCCCTGCTGTCTTTGTGTCATCAGGCTTTTCATGAAACTCTAGTCTTCCAACAAATACCATGGCACATATTTTGTAATGTTTCAGACCTACTGTATTCTGTCTGAAAGGTATGAGTTTTGTATTCTATTCCTGGAAGATCTTGCTTTCATCCAGGTAATAGTGAAATAATCTGTTGGACTCCAAAGCCCTTGTTTCTAAATTCTAAATTCTATATTATACTGCATCCAAAACAAAAATAATACTTTTGAAAACTAGTGACTTTATCAATGTTATTTTTAATCTTCTCAACAACAATATGAGATGTTGTTCTCACATTAAAAAAAAGGTAGGGGTGAGAGAGGAAAGAATAAGAGGAATACAGAGGATTTTTTAGGGTAGTGAGACTGCTCTGCATGATACTGTAATGGTAAATACATGTCATCATATAGTTGTCCAAACCCATAGAGTGTACACCAACAAGAGTGAACCCTAAAGTAATCTGATAATGGTATATCATTGTAGGTTCATTAATTGTAACAAATGTTCTACTCTGATGGGAGAAGTTGACAACTGGTGAGGCTGAACATGTGTGAGGGCAGGAGGGATGTGGGAAATCTCTGTATTTCCTGCTTAGTTTTGCTGTCAACCTAAAACTGCTCTGAAAATAAAGTCTGTTAAAAAGAAAAAAGACAAATGGAAAATAGAATAAGAGAAGATGAGATTTTGCAAATTTGTCTTTCTTCTAATGTAAGGGACAGCAGACAATTATTTCCACCTGCATGAAAACATGGACTTCAAGCCCATCTTTCAGAGACACATAGTGACTCAAATGATGTTAACCCAATAAGTTATAAGTAATATAAAAGAGATGATAAATTACAAGCATTTTTGTTTTTCATTGCTGATATTTTTATATACATGCTTAGGTAAAAGAATATTGCCGCAATGACTGGTCTATGTGGAAAGTCTTCCTGGCTTGTCTCTTAGCCTGTGTGATAATGACAGCAATTGGAGTACTTATAATATGCTTGGTGAATAACAAAGGATCGGCCAATTCCTCCATTGTTATCCAGCTATCCACAAATGATGGAGAGTGTGTGACTGTCAAACCTGGAACACCCTCTCCTGCTTGTCCACCTACAATGACCACCACTTCAACTGTACCTGCAAGTACAGCCACTGAATCTACAACTTCAACAGCTACAGCTGCCACCACTTCCACAGAACCTATAACTGTTGCACCTACCGATCATTTATAATTTGAACAGCCATAGCCATCACTTCAACTGAAACTTCAACCTCTACCACTTCAACTCAGTTTGCAACTATAATAGCTACTCCTATCACTTCAAGTGGAATCATGGCTGCAGTCACTTTAACAGACTCTATAACCGTTACAACTTCAACAAAATCAAGTCCTACTTCAACTTAAACTTACTTGACAACTCAAATAATCACCACTTCGACCATCTCTTTGACTGAATCAACAACTACATTCCCTTCAACTGAATCTGCAACCACTTCCACTTAACCTATAACTACTGTAACTTCTACTTAGCCTACAGTAACAATGCTCATCACTCTTTTCCAACAATGTATAATCTCCACCTATTCATCTGAGGACTAAGCTCTGATTTTTCATCTTGCCCAAATTCCTTTCTAAGGGGTATGGGGAGTCATGCCCTACAAACCATAAATTCTCATCAGATGGGTTTTATTTAACCCTGTATATTGTGACTTACTTTCTAATCTGACTCTGGCATAACAAGGGAAAAAAATCAAAATGTTTTACCCCAAAATATATTTCCTTGCCATACCTTGAAATTGTCCTGCAAAGTCTCTTGTGGAGAAACTCCACATTCTGTAGAGAATATCCTTTCCCCTTTGTTTTCCTTCCTTTCTTTCCAGATCCAGGAGATAATCAACTAAGAGCCAGGCACCCTTTTAGGTCTAATAAGAAACACTTTACAACCTGCTCTCTCTCTGAAGTCTGCTTTCTGAGAGATTCCTCTGCACAATAAAACTTGATCTCCACAATCCTTTATCTTAACCTGAACATTCCTTTCCATGGATCTCAGGTCTTCAGATAAACTAAACCAATTGTCAACCAGAACATGTTTAAATTTACCTATAGCCTGGAAGCCCCAACTTTGAGTTGTCCTGCCTTTCTGAACCAAGCCAATGTATTTCTTAAATGTATTTGATTGATGTCTCATGTCTCCCTAAAAATATATAAAACCAAACTGTACCTTAGCCACTTTGGACACATGTTCTCAGGACCTCCTGAGGGCTATGTCATGAGCCATGGTCACTCATATTTGGCTCAGAATTAATCTCTTAAAATATTTTACAGAGTTTGACTCTTTTTGTCAACACATCCGAACCTGCAACTACAAATGCCACCATTACCACTTAAAACTTGATAGAACTAGCATCAGTCATCAAAATAACCTGTTCTATATTAAGTTAACTTTTAGTTATCACCAGTAATACTAGCCTACAACTACTCGCCACACTGGCTCTTCCCCAAAATTGAAATTGTACAATATGTGAGTCTAATTCTTGCTAACATAACATTATTGCCTACATTAAAAGCTTCTGCAAAGCAAAGGGAATGAAATGAAAAGGCAGCCTGCAGAATAGGAGAAAATATTCGAAAATTATATATCTAATAAGTGGTTAATATCTAAAATATATCAGGCATTCACATAACTCAATAGCAAAAAAACAAATAACCTGATTTAAAAATGGGCTAAAGATTGGAATATACATTTTCCCAAAGAGGACATACAAATGGCCAACAGGTATGTGAAAATGTGGTTAACAGCACTAACCATCAGGGAATTTAGAGTTAAAACCACTATGAGATATCACCTCACAGCTGTTAGTTTGACTATTATCAAAAAGTAAAGAGATAACAAATGTTATTGAGGATGTGGAGAATAAGGGACCCTTGTACACTGTTGGTGAGAATGTGAATTAATAAAGCCATTATGGACAATAGTATGGAGGTTCCTCAAAAAATTAAAAACAGAACTACCATATGATCCAACAATCCCACTGCTGGGCATGAAATCAGTGTCTTGAAGAGATATCTGCACTTCCATGTTCACTTCAGTATTATTCACAGTAGTCAAGATATGGGACCAATCTAAGCTTCCATCAGTGAATGAATGGATAAAGAACATGTGATTGAGATATATATATATATATATATATATATATATATATATATATATATATAAAATATTTGTCTATATTCAGACTTTTAAAGGCTGAATAATATTCCAATGTGTGTGTGTGTGTGTATACACACCATAAATTACAGCAATCAAGAGTGTTATATTGGTAAATGGAAAGAAGCATAGATCAATGGACCAGAATAGAGAATCTAGAAAGAGATCTACAAACATATGGTCAATTCAACTTTGACAAATGTCCAAAGGCAATTCAGTGGGAAAAGAATAGTCTTTTCAATAGTTGGTGCTGAACAATTGAGCAATCTTATATACATACATACATATGTACATGTGTATATAAAGTATATGTACACACATGTACATATGTGTATATATATATACACACAATTTATATATATATGCACACAATTTATCATATATATGATACATATATACTATATATGTATGCACGATGGAATACTATTCAGCTTTTATAAAGACGAAAGCCTGACATTTGCAACAACATGAATTAACTTGGAGTCTATTATGCTAAATAACATAGACCAGACACAGAAAGACAAATATTGCTTGATATTACTTACATGTGGAATCTAAACTAGTCAAACTTAGAGAAACAGAGAGTAGAAAGGTGGTTGCCAGTGGATGGCGGATAGAGAAAATAGGCAGATACGGGTCAAAGGGTACAAACTATCAGTTATAAGATGAATAAGTTCCAGAGATCTAATGGACAGTATGGTATCTATAGTTAATAATAATGTATTGCATACTTGAAAATTGCTAAGGTAATAGATCTCAAGTGTTCCCAACACAAACACAAGAAAAATGATAATTATGTCAGGTGAAAAAATATGTTAATTAGCTCAATTGCGGGAATCATTACAAAGGTATACTTATATGAAAACACCATATTGTATTCCTGGGAATTGCTGTGTTTATGAAAAAAAATAAAACATGTTTTCCACCATAAGTATATAAAATATACAAATTTTTCATCAATCATATCTTAATCTTTAAAAAATAAATATCAAAAAAGAAATATATTAATATATCAGTAAATATAATAAAAATAGATTATATTCTCCACCAATAAAAATAAAAAATAAGAGAATCCATAGAATCTTCAAAATAGCTTCTACAATTAACAAGTTGAGTAAAGGTGTAGGATGTAAAGTCAACAGACAAAAATCAATTGTATTTCTGTGTACTATTAGAGTTGCTAGTACCATTTACAATAGCACAAAACATGATATGCATAGATATAAATCTAACTGAATATGTGCAAGAGCTATCTGCTGAAAACTACAAAGCACTTTTGAAAGAAATCAGAGAAGACCTAAATAGAGAAATATACTGTGTTAATGGATTGGAAGAGTCAATGTTGAGATGTTCAGATTTCTCCACATTGGTCTGGAGTTTCAGTGTAATCCCAATCAAAATATCAGGAATATTTTCTGTGAAATCAAGAAACTGGTTTTAAACTTTATGTGGAAATGGGAAGGAACTAGAATAGCTAAAACAATTCTGAAAAAGAAAAGCTGAAAGAATCACAGTAATGATTTCAAGACTTACCATAAATTACAGCAATCAAGAATGTTTTATTGGTAAGTGGAAAGAAGCATAGATCAATGGACCAGAATAGAGAATCTAGAAAGAGATCTACAAACATATGGTTAATTCAACTTTGACAAATGTCCAAAGGCAATTCAGTGAGAAAAGAATAGTCTTCAATAGTTGGTGCTGAACAATTGGGCAATTTTATACACATACACACATATGTACAACTGTCTAATTTTTCAGTGTATGTAAATATGCATATCTTTTAAAAAGATCCTTGACTCATGCTTCCCACACTTTCAAAAAGTAACTCAAGATAGATTATAGACCTAAATGTAAAACCTAGGACTAGGAAATTTCTATAAGAAAACATAAGAGAAAATCTTTGTGGTCTTTGGTTTGGCAAACATTTCTTGTATTTGATAACAAAAGCACAATTCATAAAAGAAAATATTATAAATTGACTCCACCAAAATTAGTAACTTTTCCTCCTCAAAAAACACTCTCAGTAAAATGAAAATTTGACCTACAAATTGGGAAAAATATTTACAAAATATCTAACACTGGACTTATAGCTAGAATATATGCAGAATTCATACCAATAGACAAAAAGACAACCTATTAAAATAAGCGAATGATTTGAACAGACAATTCATCAAAGAAAACATATGCATGGCAAGTAACTACACAAAATGATGCTCATCATTATTAGTCATTAAAACCACAGTGAGACATACTGCACTATTATAATAGTTAAAAAAAAACAAAACAAACCAAAATAAGAAACCTTGACGGTAAAAACTACTGAACAGCAAGTGCTAGCAAGGAGCAGAGCAGAGTGGCTGGAACTGATTAGCACTGCTGGTGGGAAGGAAGGAAAGCATGAAAACAGGGAGGAAGGAGAGAAGGAAGAAAGTTGGTTCATTGGTTGGAGTAACCTTACCAGCAGGGTTTAAAGGGACCTTACTGGAATCTACTTAAGAAAGCCATGGCAACATCCCCCGATGGCAGCATCTGTGAGGCTCTTAAAGGTAGGAAGAGAATCTGAGTAACCTTAGCTACAGATAAAGGAGCATGGGGTTAATGAAGGGGCAGAAGTATTTGACCTTGTCAGCCTCTGGGGTAAGGAAAAGACTCCTGGATATGTTGAGATTGCTGGTAGTGCTAAGGACATTAGTAGAGTTTAACAGGGTCTTCAGCTACAGAGGGGCTGGAGTGAAGCTGAATACAGCACCCACCCCAAAAATTGTACATGCCCCTCATACAGTGAAGACCATATGGGTATAGCCCACCAGCAAAGGGTGAAGCTGTCTGGAATCACAGCTAAACCACTTTTGCCTTTGTTATCCTTCTTCCCTGCTCCCAACTGGTGGGAGCTAGAGTTTATAAGAGAGAAGGGGAAGAGGTGACTCAGATAAAAGATTCCCACACCCACTATGATCTGTGCGCTATCCTTGGTACATCCTCAGTATCTTAGAGATACTGGAGAAAATAATATGGACCCAGATGGAGAAAGGAAGGAAATGAGTAGTGAATTGAATTTGAGATTAAAGGATTTGTTTTTATTTTTATTTTAGTTGGTCAAGATTGGGGCCTAAATGCCAAAATAAGACTGTTAATAACAAAAGAAAGAAAAATTATAGACTGGCTAAAGTGTCATTAAGCACTGTGTTACCCATTGGCAAGGAGGGACTCAACATTGTATAGTTTTGATAAAATATATACCTAATTCATGTGTAAATTATACAAGCTTAGATTCCCCAATACATGGTTAGCTACACTAGTGGATATTTTTAGCTATTAGAATAATCTAAGTTAATCACAAAAGCTATGTACATTGAAAATCCCATTAGCTGAAACTTTAATTTCAGAAATTGGGCTAACCCATAATTAAATTTATAAAATATATTGATTTTACCTCTTTTTAAAAACTCATTTGAGACAGGGTCTCATTCTGTCACCCAGGCTGGAATGCAGTGGCACGTTTGTGGCTCACTGCAGCCTTGACTTCCTGTGCTCAAGTGGTCCTCTCACCTCAGCCTCCTGAGTAGCTGGGATCAGAGGCATGTGCCAGCATGCCCAGCCAATTTTTTTGTATTTTTTGTAGAGATGGGGTCTCACCATGCTGCTCAGGCTGGTCTTAAACTCCTGGGCTCAAGCGGTCTACCTGCTTCGGCCTCCCAAAGTGCTGGGATTACAGACATGAGCCCCCGCACCCAGTCTTCTTTTTTATTTATTTATTTTTTAATAATGTAATCTTTTTTAAAATTTTATTTTTTTATTTCAAAAGGTTTTTGGGGAACAGGTGGTGTTTGGTTACACAAAAAGTTTTTCTTTTCTTAAATATTTATTGAACTCCTGCTGTGTGCCAGATACTGTTCTTTATTTTAAAAAATTTTTTTTGATTTCCATAGGTTATTGGGGAACAGGTGGTATCAAAAAGATAATCCACCACGATCAAGTGGGTTTCATACAGGAAACAGAGCAAGCTATTTCTCAGAGGCAACTAGATTGCATAGACCCACGATATTCATTCCAATTGTTTGTTTTTCCTACTAATCATTCCCCAACAGAATTAACAGGACAGATGGCCCCAGGGCTACGCTTCCTAGAGTGGGTTTTTTGCTCATATACCGGGACCAAAACACTATCTCGCTATGTCCAGCTAGTTAGTAAAGTCATCTATACAGGCTGCAGATGATGCAAATAATTGCTAGGTTATGACCCTGATGTCATAAGAATTCCCTTAAGTAAAAAACAATTCAAAGCAGTCCTGCTCCTACCTCTAGACCCTCAGGATAGCACTCTCTGATTATGCGGGCTGTATAGAACATGGCCTTCCTGCTGACAAACTACTTCAGTTCTTATCTCATATTCCTGTAGCTATGCCTACAAAGGTAGTTCACACCCCCATACCTAACGCTTTAATGCTTTTTACCGATGGCTCTGGTAAAAATGGAAAAGCAGCTGTCTGGTGGGAACCACATAACTCCCTCACTCTATCTGGATTTACTAGCACTCAAAGAGCTGAGGTTGGAGCCCTAATATTAGCCGTAGAAACCTTTTCCACTCAGCATATCAATATTGTTAGTGACTGCTTACTCTGTTTATTTATTACAGAACCTTGAGACAGCCCTCATTAAGTCCACTCTTGAGCCCACCACTCTGACTGATCCCTCACATCTTCCCCTTTTCTGTTTTTTGCATCAGGTCTTGTTGATTGAAGAGTACATATATGTGCAGCAACGGGTTTGTCAGGTGTAGCGGCTACAGCTCGTTTTCCAGCTTTGCATCCTAGAATTAGTAAATAACATGAGACAAACATGAGTATAATCAGTAATATTCTTTTCGAATCAAAGAGTGGTCCCCAGGAGTGGAGGTCTATCCAGGAGAGGATAGACTCTTTTTGCAGTGGCAGTTAAATATTGAGGGGAGTTCAGGGCTGCATTGTCCTTTTGTATAGAAAACAGGTTTTGTAACTTGTCAGTAGTTATGCCCAAGGTGGGGTGAAGCCAGTTAATATCGCCGAGTAATTTTTGATAATCATTTAAGGTGTGTAAGTTGTTAGTATTTAATTTAACCTTCTGAGGTCTTACTGACTGGGAAGTTAGTATGTATCCAAGATATTTCCAAGGAGAGGACATCTGTACTTTTTCAGGTGCTATGATTAAACCTCTTAACTGTGAATTCTTTTTGACAGAGGCATATAGACGCAAAAGTGTTGGCTCTGTTGGGGCTGCCAGTAAGACATCGTCCATAAAATGGATGATCTTGCAATTAGGAAATTCTTTTCTACTGGGAATCAAAACCTGATTTCTATGATACACATAGTAGGACTGTTCAGCGTTCCTTGAGGAGTACTTTCTAATGAAATCGGCAAGCTGGCCTTTCATTATTGATAGCTGGTATTGCAAGCGCAAATTTTTCTCTGTCCTGTTTTGCAAGGGGAATAGTATAAAAACAGTCTTTTAAGTCAATAATGACTATAGACCAATCTGGAGGAATCGCCGTGGGGAAGGGAGCCCCTGTTGAAAGGGCCGCATGCGTTGCAAATTAGCACTGATAGCATGTAGGCCGTGCAAAAATCTCCATTTACTAGACCTTTTGGGAATGATGAAAATGGGCGAATT
Organism: Homo sapiens; assembly: GCF_000001405.40. Classification (NCBI taxonomy): domain Eukaryota; kingdom Metazoa; phylum Chordata; class Mammalia; order Primates; family Hominidae; genus Homo; species Homo sapiens. The sequence goes on from NC_000018.10 coordinate 54,605,771, forward strand.
CCAAGGGCTGTTTGATGGTTCTATATGGCTGGCTTTTAATTGTTCCTCAACTAATTCATGGGCTCTTTGTAATTTCTCTCCCTTTAAAGGCTACTGTTCTACCCAAATAGGATTTTGAGAGAGCTACATCAGGGGTAGGGGAGGAATAACAACAGTGGCCATTATTAGAAGGGGGTCTGCAGAGTGACCCCCCCATTTGGCTAATAGGTCCCATCCCCAAAGATTAACAGGGATGGGCATGATTAGAGGTTGTATAATAACATAAGGACCCCTTCCCTGGAGCATTGCAGCTGTTATGTTTTGCCTGGCCAATTGATTTTGGTTGGCTTGTTGTCCACACAATTTATCAAATTCTGCTTTCCAGAGGAGGTACTGACTGGCTTCTAAAGTTGTTTTAGCTAATACTGACCAGTCCCATGGGGTTATATGGAAACTGTCTGCCATGGCCTCGATTAATCCTTTCATATATGGGCTAGCGGCTCCGTTTTCTCTAATGCTTTTCCTTATCTCTTTATAAGTGTCAAAAGTAATGGGTTCATATACCCAATCGCCTTGTTGATCTTGCATCACCGGGCAGGCCAAGAGCTCCCCTTCTAATGCCACTCGCCTAAGACAGGGTCCCATAACTGTAGTGTATCCCTTGTCTTTTTTCCAATTTATTTGGGGAGGGGGGCTCCAGAGAAACCTCTGTTTCCTCTTTTATATCTTTACCCAGTAATGGCAGGGCTGAGGGAGGAGGAGGAGGCAGTAAGGTAGGTGATGCTTCCTCTTCCCTTCCCTTTTTAGGCTCTTCTGTGTAGAGCGGGGCCAAAGCAGCCCTAACTAATGCCCATAACATTAAAGATGTTACTGGGACCTGTTGCCCTTGTGCATGATGTTGTTTAAGATTTCTCCACACTTGTTCCCAGAGTTCTAGGTCTAGCGTGCCTTCTTCTGGGAACCATGGGTTATTGGAAACAACAGTTTGCATTAGGTCCCTTAATTGAACCTGCGAAACTGAGGCTCCACTAGCTTTAAGCAGCTATTTCAATACTTTTATATACTGTTTCTGTCAAGTGGGTAACTGTTGTCCCATGATGAAACCCTAGCTTGAAAATTTCCCCGAACATGGAAAGCCCGACTGGGCATCAATGACTTACGGACGGCGCAGACTCTTCACCCTCATTTTTGAGGGTTCCATTGCAATCCGTTGTAGTGTTTCTCACAGCAGGCACCAGCTGCCAGGTCTGTCCCACACACCCTGGCTGAGCGATGGATGAAAGGAGTACTCAGACACAGGTATGCAGTGTAAGAGCTGCTAAGGGACTTGCCCGCACTAGGGGCTGAAGAGAGAGCAGACTTGATAAGCTAGCACTGCATGGTTTTATTTAGTACAGACATAATGCCGAAAGCCTGGAGCAAACACAATCTGCAGGTAATTAACATTATTGTTCCCCCTTACAGGGAGCAGTCGTGCGTGGATGGTCAAAGGTGGGTTTCTGGACAACATGGGTAAACAAGCCTATTGAGATAAATTCCCCTGTTATTTCCTTGTACCTGTGTCTCACCCTCTGCCCCAGGGTAAGAGAACAGCTGCCTTCAGCTTATTGTCCCCTGAAACTTTGCAGAGCCTTCTGACCTTTCAAAAGGCCTGCTTCTTTCCCTATAGCTTCTTCCACCACTCTGACAGATCTGCCACACCTCTTTTGAGTTCCCACAGAGGTAATACATGCCACACCACAGTGGAATCACCTGCTTGAGTATCAGTGTCCTCTCCAGGCTGAGCTCACTGGCTTTTAGCTCTGAATCCACAGCACTCAGCATATGACTTTAGCTGGCACAAATCCGATGTCCGTAGGTATTTGTTAAATGAATGAATAAATGAATAACTGATTATCTTTAATGAATCAAGTCTTGCCAACTAACTCACCTCTGGTGAAACGCATTATGCAACAGTGTTAAACAAACTAAATGCAAAATGCCAAAGTTTCGCATTACAACAGATCTCTTCATTTGTCCGACTAGAAATCGAAACTAGAAGGTGAAGTCACCAGGAAATGTTTGCATGATTATAGAGCCTTTGTCAAGTTCCAGTCATGGTTGAGCGGAGAATGCAGATTGTGAGCAGGATTTCCAGTTCAAAGAAAAACCTGGATTTTCTGGAGTAAAAACGTAACTATAATTGGAACTCACCTAGTAGAACTTATTTACGCACTACACACAATTAAAATTGCCAAGTCAGCCTACTTCCAATTAGGAAGGGGATCTTCTTACCCCATCTTTCTACTTCATTTTAGATGAACTGTCTTCTCAACTCATGCTGATAATTTTTTTCAATTTGTTTACTTACCTATAACTTCTCAAAGAAATGACAGCTTCTGACTTAGTAAATGTTTAAAGTGAAACTAAACGGACAAAAAGTCATGAAAGGTGACCATGGTTGTCAGTGAACCTCCATTTTGCCACAATTCTGCAAATCTGTTAAATGAGAAAATGGGGCTAGATAATTTCTGTGTTCTCATACATATTACACTTCAATTAAACAAGAAATAATTGAGTCATTCCACGAATCGATAGGCTGGAGGAATGCTTTTAAGTAGGAAGCTGACAAGTAAGCTATAAGTTTGCTTTCTTTTTTCCTTTTCAGTAGGAGGTAGGATACCTTTACTCAAACAATGTTTTGGGGCTAAGAAAAACTGTACCTGAGAGATGTTGGGAGGAACAACACAGCACTGAAAGTGGTTTTGGTGGTTGCCACTAGAGTTTCCTAATAATTTTACCAAGTGGTTTGAACTTTTGCCAAAACAAATGATTCATCTTCTTCTCTTTGGGAATTGTAATATATGTCAACAGTAACACACTAGTATGTTAATGGAAGAAATTTTATATGGATTACAGAGTCATTTTCTTGTGAGGAAGGCTCATAAGAAAGAAATTAGATATTTTTTCAGTCAAATGTTGGCACGGTTAATATTATTGTTTTATATAAATATATACTCCGAAAGGCGTAGCATACAATGGGAAATCATAATTACTGAATTGAATTCACTGCTGGATAGATGTATCATAGTTAACTTAGTGTTAAGTCCAATATTTCTTGAAATCTGCAACTATAAAAGGCATCAAAGTAACAAATATTTCTAGAGTTGGGATTATGAAATTGGTTGCTACGGGTTGGAAGGAAAATACAGGACATAATCCTACATGTGCTAAACAACTTCACATCTAAACAATGAGTAGTACAAATATTTTTAACTCTCCATTAACCTGAGCTTTCCACTTATCATCACCTGTCTAGCTTTCTGATGGTAAGTCAAAATATTTTACAATGATTTTTACTTTACTTGTATTAAGGTTAAAATAGCCATAATTTCATAGGGAAATGCATTTTTAATATATGAACTTGCTGCATGATTAAATAGCTTAGGTACTTTATTAAATTGCTTTTCTATTTCAACCATTTGAGAGAGGCTATTTTTTTCAGAATGCAGATTCAATGCTGCATTCCCACAGTATTTGCTATGCAAACATAACCAGGTAGAAGATAGAATACGTGATTTCTGAGAACAATTTCCTGACAGTTCTTCAGGATTTAGCTAAGTTCTTACATGATAGTTCCAAATTGAACATAGTTTTCACAGCCTAAACAGAAAACTTCTTAAGAAACAGCTGGTTTATTACCAGTTTATTATGAGTGGTGCCACATGCAAGGCATACAGTAGAACACTACTGCTTTTCCTAGATTTTCTTCTAGAGGAGCAGCAGAGTGTATCTGTTCCTATAATCCCCCGTGTAAACCACATAGGAATGATCCTAGAGTTGAGAGGAAGGACTGTTTTCTCTAACAGTTGAAATAAGATCACAATGCAATACCATCTTACCTTTACGAGAATGGCCATAATTTAAAAAATAAAAAATAATAGATGTTTGCATGGATATGGTGAAAAGGGGACATTTTACATTGCTGGTAGGAAGGAAAACAGTATGGGGATTCCTTAAAGAACTAAAAGTAGAACTACCATTCAATCCAGCAATCCCACTACTGGTACCCACTGGGCCAAGTGGGAATGTCTTGGGGGTTGAACTCCCTGCAAAGTGCAGTTTGCATTTTGGAATGGGGAACTACAGGAACTACAGGGAACCTCCAGCAAAATTAGTTTAAAAAGGCTCATCCAGGAAATGCATGTAAGAGCTGGTCACTCTGTATTTCGAGCCCTCTTAAAGGTGCTAGCCCTTCAGAGAGAGAAAGAGGGCATAAATGACTTGGTGGTGACACGCTGTGGAGTCCCACCTACAATCAGCACACTTCTCTCCACTACACTAAACCCTAGGCCACAGCTCAGTTTCTCCTTTTATGAAAAAAATGTGGGAAATGAATCATCTAAGAATGAGGAAGAACAAGGAGAAGGACCCCCTTTTGGGCACCTCGTTGGTTTTATGGTGCCTCTACTTGCAAGTGTTTGTGTAAAATGGAAAAGGTCGAGGGCATGCCAGGTTCTCTAGTACTTCAGCTGGTTGCATATTACAGTCATTTTGTGCACATTTTAAACTGATGGGCAAATTACATCAAGGAAAAATTCAGAGCCCAGAGGTTGACCTGCAGCTAAAGAGTTCCTAAGTTGTCTATTTCTCTATTTTCTTTTCTGCTTGCTTTAAATCTGCTGTTACTTTTCTACTGAGATAAAACCCACTATTTGGGTGCAACTTTTAATTTTTGTTATTGTTTTTATAAACCAGTGAGTTTGTATTACTATCCCATGCCTAGCACTCTAAAGTAAAAGCTATAGGATCTTTGTTTCTGTGGGCATGTATATGTGTATTTATGTTTACATACATATATTTTGTTGTGTGCTTTGGCCACAAGGTACCAAATTGACTTAAAGAATACTCATAAAACTAAATAATAAGCCCAAATGCTTTTCAAGTTCATGTGACTTAAGTAAAATCTTTAATAAATAAGCTGGCTTTAAAATTATTGGTAAAGTCATGTTAGAAATGTCTTAAGAACTGTCAGCATTTTTGTTTCCATTTATTGATCAAGTGGTTTCGTACTTATCCCTGCCAAATACTCTAAGTTATCAAAATTTGCCATAAGGGCTATAGAAGTATAAACCCATCTAGCAATTCTACTACTAGGTATCTACCCAGAGGAAAAAAAGTCATTATACACAAAAGACACTTGCATATGCATGTTTATAGCAGCATAATTCACAATTACAAAAATATGAACCAGCCCAAATGCCCATCAATCAATGAGTGGATAAAGAAATTGTTATATATATCTATATATAACTATATAGATATAACTATACATAGTTTTATATATATACACACACACACACATATATATATATACACACACGCATATGTGTACACGAAATGTATATATATACATTTCTTGGTTCCCAACCAGGAAGCAAGGTGATTAACGGACGGTCGAGGCAGCCCCTTAGGCAGCTTATGCCTGCCCTGTAGAGCATCTCTGCAGGGGACTCTGGCCAGGTTGAGCTATGCGGATCCTAAGAGCACTTCCTAAGAGCGCTCCCAGATAGGTATTTGCCCCGGTGGAATTCCTCGTCAGAGTAGTGCACAGCAGGCCCCCGTTATAGTTATATATATAAAACTATACACACACACACACACACACACCATGTAATACTACTCAGCCATAAAAAGGAATGAAATAATGGCATTCGCAGCAACTTGGATGGAGTTGGAGATCATTATTCTAAGTGAAGTCACTCAGGAATGGAAAACCAAATATTGTATGTTCTCACTTATAAGTGGGAGCTATATATATATATATATAGTCATATATATAGTCATATATATAGTCATATATATAGTCATATATATATATAACTATACACACAGACACACACACATACACCGTGTAATACTACTCAGCCACAAAAAGGAATGAAATAATGGCATTCGCAGCAACTTGGATGGAGTTGGAGATAATTATTCTAAGTGAAGTCACTCAGGAACGGAAAACCAAATATTGTATGTTCTCACTTATAAGTGGGAGCTAAGCTATGAGGACGCAAAGGCATAAGAATGATATAATGCACTTTGGGTACTTGGGGGGAAGGGAGGGAGGGGGATGAGGAATAAAAGACTACACATTGGGTACAGTGTACACTGCTCAGGTGATGGATGCACAAAAATCTCAGAAATCACCACTAAAGAACTTATCCATATAACAAAAACCACCTATCCCCCCAAAACTATTGAAATTTTAAAAAAAGGAAAATGATGACGTGACAAAACCAGTTCACTCAGTCTTATCACTGGAAGTTCTATACCTTTCTTATTCTATACTCCCTTCTATAGCTAGGTTATACGAACTAGACTTCCAACAGAGCAAGAAAAATCTGCAAAACAGCTGGCCAAGAGATTCTGTTTTTTTTTTTAAATGAAATATGTCTCATTTGTTTTTCAGTTTTCACCCCTGGGCAAGTTGAATAATCTGTAAAGACTGGCAATAAAACCAAAGTTCAGAGAGGTTAGCAATTATGCATATTGACCACGTTGGAACTATAAGCTGACTGTGGTTATTGTTCTAAAGTTGAGACTTACAAATATTTAATCCCCAGTGCCAAGCTCATAATACATGGTTAGGAAATGTTTGCTGAACATGCTGAATTAGACCTTGACTCATTCTGTCAACATCTTGTTATTAATATTTGGAGCCCTGGGACATCAGGCCTCGGCTTGTAAGTCCCTGAAATTGCTTTTACCAGATGCTCCTCAGAACCTTGAGCTGGAAACTCCACTTGCCCTACGAGCCAAGTGAAGCCTTCTCATCACCAATCCTTGACCCAGCTCCCATCCTCGTCTTGTTCTCTACTTCCTCTTTCTTAGTTCACCCTTCAATTCTTCCCTTCTTCCTAATCTTTCCCTCTGTGCCCTATGGGATCCCTATTACCAAGTAAACAAACCCTCCTATGTCTTCAGTCTCTTTAAACTATGAGTCCACCATCTTTTTGCCATAATGGGAGCTGTCTTTTTCCATAGCATGTTTCCTTTTGTCTTCTTTAGTGACTATTTCATATTTTGGTCAGATTGAGGCTGGCAGTGGGAGGTAAGGGAAAGGTGAACTTTCTAGTTTCCCATTGTTGCTGGCAAACTGTAACCTATCTTTCCTCATTAAAATACACATGATTTGGAGCTCTTGCTGTTTGGTTCTTCCACCACCTATCCTTCCTTGTTATCATCATCATTCAGCTCCCAGGCACTTCATTTGACACCTGCTCAGTCCTTTTCCCTACTCAACTCTTGCTGTCATCGCAATTCTTTTAACAACTTTAATACCAGTGACTATCACTTTATGTACTTCGTGACCATCTAGTCTCCAATAACCCATACCCCCACACTAGACCTTGTCATCTCTAGGAATAGCTCCCCCATTAAAAGTTTAAGTTTTAATTTTGTACTCTGATCACAAATACCTCCTTTTCTGGATATCCTTTCTCCTGATTTCCATTATGCTTTTTCTTAGACATCCATGAGATCACAAATCCTCTAAATTTTTTCCCCAAAACTCATACTATTTCAGGCATGAATCCTGCCCTCCCATGCACCACTTCATGGTCGGCACATTGAGTGCCAAGGGTCACATTCCTGAACTGGACAGGCACGAGTCAGTTGACTGAATTTCAGCTGACCAAAATCCAAGTCGCTCAAATCCAGTTTGCCAAGTGACCAATTCATAAAAGGACAATTCATTCCAGTTTTTCAAAATTATTTTTGACAGTGTTCTTGTCTCTGTTTCTGGAAAAAAATTCCTTTATCTTCGTGCTATAGACTGAAAATCTGTGTCCCCCACAAAATTCATATGCTGAACCCCTAAACCCCTAATGTGATGGTATTAGGAGTTGGGGCCTTAGGGAGGTTATTAGGTGATAAAGGCAGAGCCCTCATGAGTGAGATTCATGCCCTTATAAAAGAGACCCCAGAGACCTCCTTCACCCCTTCCATTATGTGAGGAAACAGCAAGAAGACAGCCATTTCTGAACCAGGAAGCAGGTCCTCACCAGACTCTGCATCTGCCAGTGGCTTGATCTTGGACTTCTCAGCCCCTGGAATTGTGAGAAATAAATTTCTGTTATTTATAAGCCACCTAGTCTATGGTATTTGTTATAGCAGCCTGCATGGACTAAGACACTGTCCCTCTCCTTTGTCTCTGCCCAAACTCTGCATTTGAGTTAGGAAATTTGCTTCTGTTGAATTGGTAATTTAGTTATTTAGCAAATTGGCTTCACTAAATGTGCTTTTTGATAGAAATAATTCTTTTTTGAATGGTCCTGCTTGCCCAAAGACTACCCACACACTTCTCTCTGGCATTTTGGGTCTTCACTCTTGTCTCCTTGGCTTTCTTAAGCCTTGGTCAGCCTCAGTATCCCAGGATGTCTCATGGGGTCAGACTAACCTCTGGTGTCCCTATGAAGGATTACCCCAAGTCTTTCTGCAACAAGTGCTCCAATGGTCTCTAGAGTCCACCCAACTATAGCAGTGCAAGTGGCGTGTCTATAGTGACCACCACCACACCCAAATTCTGTTTGCTTCAACCACAGCACTGAGGGAGTCACAGTGATTAGACCACACTACATTTTCCACAATATATATCGTCTCTTGCTCTGGGGGCTTTGGGTACCCTCTACGCCTACTCTATTCCTGGAAAGAGGAATTCTGAAACAACTTATGACATTTAAGAAGATCTTGGTTATTACTGGTGGGTGTTGATTTCACCTGTAGGTGTAGCTTTTTTTGAATTCTTTTTTTTTTTTTTTTTTTTTTTTTTTTTACCAGTGAGACCTGAGACTTCTTGTAGTACCTATTTCTCCCTTTTTTGTGTCTCTTACTCTCATTAAGTCAGAATGGTGGCTAAGCCTCAGGACCCCTGCCACTCTAATATTAAAGCAGTTTACATTGGCTCTGTCCTTCATTTCTAGCTCTTTGTGGGCTTTCTTCTTCTCTGGCTCACTGTTCCCTCCCTTTCCCTCTCTTTGCTCTGAAATCTGCCATTTGGTGAGAGCTGTATGAGTGTTTCTGCCCCAAGCATGGCACACTGATGTTCTAAGAAGAGAACAAGGAGCCCAGGAAAGGCACTGAGAAGGAGTCATTGAAGAGGCAGGAGGGGACGGGGGACACCTTGGTGTGATGAAACCAAAGGTGGAAGTTATCTGAAAGGAGGAGTCCTCAATATTGTCAAGTCATCAAAGATGGCAGGTGCCAATAGGGAAAAATATATTTAATTGCTTCCAGCTAGCTTCATTCATTTTTCTGCAAAGGACGTGATCCTCAGCAAATTAACGCAGGAACATAAAACCAAACACCGCATGTTCTCACTTATAGGTGGGAGCTGAACTGAGAGCACATGGACACAGAGAGGGGGATAACATACACTGGGGCCTGTCAGGGGTGGGGTGGGTGGGGAGAGAGAGCATTAGGAAGAATAGCTAATGCATGCTGGGCTTAATACCTTGCTGATGGGTTGATACATGAAGCAAATCACCATGGTACACATTTACCTATGTAACAAACATGCACATCCTGTATATGTACCCCAGAACCAAAAAGAAAAATTAAAAAACATAGTTGGATTTAGCAATGAGGGAGTCATTAAGAAAATAACAGAACATTTCAGGGACATGTTGGATGGAGAAGCCTGTAACAGGATAGAAGAGTGGGTGGAAGGAGAGGGGGACAAAATGCATTGAACTCTGTTTACAAAACTCCAGACTGTGAACAGCAGGAAAGAAACAGAGCAATGAAAAGAGGGTGAAGGTCTAAAGTAGTATCTATTTTTGTTTGTTTTCAGACGGCAGAGACTGAATGTGTTTGTTGGATGAGGGGAGGGAGTGAATTAGAACATTTTTGCATCTATGTGTTATTACGACTTGACTATCATTGAATTCTTTGTACAGAAGATATTGATTCGGATCTACCATTCAAAAGCATATTTCATTCATATATTTATTCAATAAACATTGATAAATAATCATTGATTATTTATTATGTGATAAACACTATTATAGACCCCACCCCCTCATGGAGCATATAATCTAGTGGTGAAGACAGAATTTTTTTAAAAAATAAGAAAACTCTACAGATTGTCAGTGGAGGATAAGTGCTATGGAGAAGAGTAAAGTAAATAAATTGAGGGGATTTCAGAGTGGTTAGAGGTGCTATTTAATGCAGGATTGTCAAGAAAGGAAGAGACCTAAATAAAGGAGCAAGCCACATAGACAACTGTGGAAAGTGTTCTACTCAGATGGAAAGTGTTCTACTCAGAGCCATCAGCAAGTGCAAAGGCCAGTGTGGCTACAGCAGAGTGAGTGAGAGGAAGGGTGGGAAGGGAAGAAGTTGGAGCAGAGTGAAGTGGTGGGCAGATTGTGTAGGACTTTGCATACCATTAAAAGGTTTATATATAATTATTATATAGGTTCTATTATAAGTGAAATGGGACTCCATTAGAGAGTTTTAGCAGAGCAGTAACATGAAAATAATTATTCTGACTCCTTTATAGATGTGAATAGATGATAAAGGGGCAAGAGTATAAGCAAAGAGACTAGCTAGGAGAGAATTGAAATAACCCAAGTGAGAGATGATTCAGACCTGGACTAGGATTGTAGCAGTGGAGGTGATAAGTGCTAGTATTTCGGGCCTATTTCACAATAGAGCCATCAGAATTCGCTGATGGACTGGTTATGGGATACAGGAGAAATATGATGGCATCCCATGTTTTACCTTGTTCAACAGAAAGGATAGATAGATTGTCATTTACTGAAATGAGTATAGACTTTGAGATTCTTCTCTTCCCTGTGGTCCACATCTGGGAAAGCTGATAAGAAAGCCTGGGTGCCTCCTCTTTTGCACTAGCAGGAAGTTCAAGCCATGCATGCAGAAACTGTCACTCTGACATCACTCCCTAACCACAGGAAAGCCAGACACCTTTCTTTTCTTTCTTTCTCAAGCCATTTTCAGGCCTGCTTGCAACCCTGCAGTGCTCTCCCCAGAAAGCCTCATTATGTGAGTAGTAAATCCCTTCAAACCCTCCTGACGTGTGAGGTCCATCTCACCTATGAAGGACATCTACAAAAGAAACAAATCAGTTTCATGGGCTGGGTAGGGAGGATGAAAGGAGGTCTAAGGAATTTATTTGGTGCAAATAAGTTTGAGTTGCCTGTTAGATATCAGGATGAAGTTGTTATGTCTGGGTACATAGATACAAGTGTCTGGAGTTTAGAAGTTAATCCTAGGCTTTAGATAGAAATTTGAGAGTCATTAGCTTGTGGATGGTTCCTAAAACCACAGACTGGAGAGGGTCACCTAGGGAATGAACATAGAGCCGGGAGAGAGTACAAGAACTAAGCCCTGGTACTTCAGCCATTAAAGGTTATAGAGGTGAGAAGGAGCCAGAAAAACCTTCTGAGAAAGAGTTTGTGCCTTGTGACCCAGGAGGAGAATCAAGAAAAGTGGTGCCCTCAGAAGCCAAGTGAATATATTAAATGGAGAAGGGCAGAGCCATCAACAGGGTCAAACACTGTTGACAGGTCAATGTGCCCTCTTTCCAGAGAGATTTCTTCAGTAAAAAAAAGAAGAAGTGTTTGAGCAATGGAAAAAAATTACCATCAATAAATTTAGGACAACCAACCACAAAATTTTGAAGGATTTTGCACATATTATTTCATTGCTTTCCTTTCCTTTATCAAGTCTATTGACACATTGTTTATTGATACACAACTACTTGTCTTCTGTTTGTTGGATGGTTGACTTTAAATAATAGAAACCTTCTGTCAGTGTCTCTAATTTGGCTTAACTTGAAAATATTTGCGTAGGTGGATGCTGTATTGGGCCACCCAGGCATCTTCCCAGATTGAGATACCAGCAAGCCCTCCCTCTGCTGACTTTCCAGGACTGTCTTACAAGGCAGGATGTGAGGTGTATGGCTGTGAATATGGCTTCCCTCAGTGGTGGGTGATGGTGTGGATCATTTTCCTGAGCTGTTTGGCTGCTGGGAGGTGTGCCAGCTCCTCTGGGTGACCCAGCAGCCATGAGGCCCACCAACCCAGCCAGAACTCTCCCTGGCTGTGTAAGACTTTCATTCCAAAGCTGACAAAGCAGGGCCCCTCTCCATTTATCCAAGGCTCTGGGATGTACCAGGCCCCTCTTCTCCTCATGTTATGCTGCATCTTCTTCTCATTTTATGCTTTAGAGGGGGTCTTCCCAGAGCTTATGTGAACCAGGCCTCTTTGATGTTATCCTGAAAGACACAGGAAAATCTTCAGGGTGGAGTGGGGAATGAGGAAGAGACCCTTGGGGTAGACTCTTCCTCTTCCCTTCTCCACTCTATTCATTTCTTCTACAAAACAAGGTCCCAAAAGGGGAGTGTTTCTTTCAAGTGATGGCACTGAGAATAGAAAATTAAAGTGAGGCAGAGTGACTTATTCTTCTCACTAAAAAACATAGAACAGTCTTCAACCCTCACTCCTGCTCAGAGACCCTTACAAATTAACTTATAAATTTGATAGTTCTTTCCACACACAGAAGTCATTGATTTTCTCCATTTATATTGTAAATGCCGGTGATTCTAAGGGTATATTAATTAATTCATCCATGTGTTCAACTATGGAACACTTTTTTGACCCTGTTTTAAGTGTCAGCTGTATAATAGTAATCAAAAGAGACAAAGTTGTTGACTTGGGGATATTACATGCTAGTGAGGTGGGCATATCACAATCTCAGATGGAGACACCTGTCTTGTATGGGACAAGCAAAGGTTGGAACCAGTATTCCCGCCGGTGTAAATCTGAGTTTTGCCAATACTAGCTTTGTAATCTTGGGTGCATTATTAGCCTCCTGTGTAAATCAGTGATAATTATTGTATCTCATTTGGTTGTTGCAAGAATTGAAGCACTGAGAACCCTGAGCAAGAGTTTTGCAGACACAAAAAACACGCAAGAAAAAGTTTGACATATTCAGTGCCCTAACACAAAGCTTGTGTGGTCAGAGTTATTAAGTGGAAGGAGATGAATTGGGAAGGAGGCAGCACTCAAATTATACTGAGCCTTTATAGATTTCATTTTCAGTGAAACGTAAAGTTGCAAAAGGGTTTTATAAAGAGTCTGCTTTGTGCTTTAAGATGATGGCCATTAGCTTCCTTGGAAAGACACTTTACAACAATAATCTAGGATCAATACGAGAGATAAAAATTTATTTAAGCTTCAGGAAGTGATGAAGGTCACATTTTTATTGTCTAGTTCTATTTAACATCAGTTTATTTGGGTTTCCCTGATTTGGTTTATTAAGCTAAAAATCCAAAGGTGGAATCTTTGGCAAATGTCTGTTTAGTATAATTCATACAAATGTGCCTCATTGTTAATTTATAGTAGGTTCTTAATCCTAATTAAATACTTTATATGCCTCCTAATTGTATTTTTGAAAAGACAATAGACAACTCCTAAAATACGTTTGGGTTGATTGTAAATCACTGTATAATGAATATAAAAATAAGGCAGTGTGTTGTAAGCATTGAGGGACCAGTGAACAAAGAGGTGTGTGCTTAACAATTGGCAGCGTCTAACTTAAAGAGGATTTTTCTGTCCTGAAAAGGGCCTTAATCTATTCGATTCATCATATCAGTTAGAAAACATGTATTGAATGTTAATATTGTGAAGGTCCTATGCTAATCATCTTTTAATTTGAAATATTTCTAATATAATGCATTTTATTCCACAAGCACTTATTAAATATTTCCTATGTGGTAAGTGTTGGTAATTTGAAAGAGAATATGAAATGATGAACTGAGCATTTCAAACCTGGGTAATAAAGACTGTGGAAGCAGCAAGCCCCAGATGCTGCAGACACACAGGGAAGAGCAGCAGCAGCCCTAGAAATGGATGCTGGCTTTTGACTAAACAAGTCTGGAAATAAATTATTTTTGATCCCAGTATCATTTTGATCCCAGTCATCTGGTAGTAAACTTTTAGTGACCATTGTGGAAGGCTGAATAATGATGTCCATGTCCTAATCCCTGGAACCTGTGAATATTACCTTACATGGCAGAAGAGACTTTGCAGATGTGATCAAAATAAAGATCTTAAGATGGGAAAATTGTCTGGATTATGCAATGGGCCAAATGTAATCACAGGGCTTGCTATGAAAGAGAGATAGAAGAGTCAAGAATTAGTAGCAGGTGGGATGACAGAAACAAGAGGTTGGAGTGATGTGAGGGAGAGGCTGCAAGCCAAGGAATGCAGGTGGTCTCTAGGAGCTAAAGAAGGTAAAGAATTTTTCCCCAAGACTCTAGAAGGAATGCAGCCATGCCAACATCTTGACTCAGTTCAGTGAGGCTGATTTTGGACCTCTGACCTCCAGAACTGAAAGCCAATAGATTTATATTGTCTTAAGCCACTAAGTTTGTGCTAATTTGTTACAGCAGCAATAGGAAACTAAAATGCCATGGTCTCCACTGGTAGTAGTGGTGGCTATGATGAACATTTTTCCAATTAGCTAAGAACAGGGAGGGCAGGACAAGAGCCCCTTCTCTGAAGGGGGTCTCACTACTACGAACAAGGGGACAGGAATATTAGTAAATACTTTGTTTGGGGAATCTTGTAAACCAAAAATCCCCATGTTTTTTCTTTCTTTCTTTCTTTCTTTCTTTCTTTCTTTTTTTTTTTTTTTTTTTTTGAGACAGGGTCTCTCCTTGTTGCCCAGGCTGGAATGCAATGGTCCAAATATGGCTCACTGCAGCCTCCACCTCTTGAGCTCAGGTGATTCTAACACCTCAGCCTCTAGAGTAGCTGGGAACACAGGCACACGCCACCACACCCAGCTAATTTTATTTTTTGTAGAGACAGGGTCTCACTATGTTTCCCAGGCTGGTCTTGAACTCCTGGGCTCAAGCAATCCTCCTGCCTTGGCCTCCCAAAGGCCTGGGATCATCGGTGTGAGCTACTGCAACTGACCTTCCACATTTTATTTCTGCAAACTGTCATTTGTAAACATTCACTCTCATTTGTTGTTGGTGGTGGTGGTAAGATAACACATCTGTCTGACTGCCTTCTGGGTAATCTTGCCTTTTTATATAACCTTGAAAGTCATGGCAGGGCAAGGCCAAAGAGAAAAGTTCATATAATGATACACAGTATATGTCGGAGATATATCATTAATTTAAGTATATTTATTTGGGCTGGGTATTTCAAGGAATACAAAGACAAACCTATTATTAGACACTGCCTTTAGAGGATTTTCAGTTAACAGATGGAAATTACATATGCTCACAATTGAGTTTTAGGGAAAGCAAGACAAGCTGGAGTCAGCTTGAGGAGATTGAAGAGTGCCTAATGAGGGAATCTGGCCTTTATTGGTAATGGGAGGCCACTCTGTCTTAATACCTATATTTATGGCTTTTCCCCCTGGAAGCTGTGCGTAGGATGGATTGGGGAGCAAAAAGAGAAAAGACAGACAGATTCACTAGGACTTTGTTGAAATCACTCAGAGTCATGGCAGTAGAGATGGAAAGGAGAAAACACAGAGATCCGAAGTCAAGGAGTCTTTGACCCAGTTAGTGTACGACTGAAAGAAATATCACATCCTTTGATGCCTGGTCAAGTTTCGAAACCATATGTGAAGTATCTGGTGCATAACATAGAAAACTGTGAGAAGAAAAAAGAGCACTGTTTGTGAAGAATAGGTAACTGGAATAGATGTAATTCATTTCACATGGCCCCGAAGCCATGACTCCTACCTGATAACTTTATACCCACCTCATTCCTGAAACTTGTTTTCTTAATCTTTTATCACTGACATGCCCATTTCACTCCTTTTTGAACATTTTACTCTTTTTGTCTTGTTTTCTGTCCTATCGCTCTTTTCTGCCCTTCCTTTCCAGCTGTGATTATTTCTCCTTGTTTCTTGACCATTTAACCAAGCACATAAACTATTGTGATTTCTAAGCTTCTGTTCTTTGTCTATTGCTTTTCTGACTTTATATGCTCGCTTTGGTCTAACTTACTGATTTTTACACTGTCATTCTTTCAGAGTATAAAGCCATCTATCTGTGGCCCATTTCATGGCTCTAATAAAGGAATCTCAAGCTGGGAAATAATTGCTGGGATTGGTGAATTACTGTGGACAACAAAATTACCAGCTTATCCAGAATGTGGTAATTTATAGAGCAACTTATGACATTTCCAAATGTCTCTCAGGAATATGAGCCATCCTGTACTGGGGCACTGTCCAGGACTCCTGGCTATTGGGGATTCCTACCTCATGTTATAAGGAAATATAAATGGCCAATAAACATCTCATCCCAAGATGCTCAGCCTCATTAATTACCAGGAGAATGCAAATTTCTCAGTCATACTGTGATAGTTTACACTCACTAGATTGGAAAATATTTTTCTTCTTTTTTTATTGTTAATTATTACCTAGTCTAAGATGAAGAATATTTTTTAAATCCCTGTAAATCTGAAACATTGGCAGTGATTTAAAACAAAGGCCATTTTTATGCACTGCTGGTAGGAATGCAGAATAGCACAAACAGAAAAATATTTTGAAATTTCCCAGCAAATTTGAAATGGGCATACCCTGAAACAGAGAAACTTCATTTCTAGGTTTATATACCCTAGAGAAGTACCAGGAAATATGAACAAGGTGTTCATAGAAGCATTGTTTATCTTAAAAAATATAATGAATATATTAGTCCATTCTCACACTGCTGAGAAAAACATACTCGAGACTTGGTAATTTATAAAGGAAAGACATTTAATTGACTGACAGTTCCACATGGCTGGGGAGACCTCATAATCATGACAGAAAGTGAAGGAAGAGCAAAGGCATCTCTTACATGGCAGCAGGCAAGAGAGCAGGTGCAGGGGAGCTGCCTTTTATAAAACCATCAGATATCATGAGACTTATTCACTATCACAAGAACAGCATGGGAAAAACCTGCCCCCATGATTCACTTTTCTCCCACTGGCTCCCTTACACAACACATGGGAATTGTGGGAGATACAATTCAAGATGAGATTTGGGTGGGGACACAGCCAAACCACATCAATGAAATAAAGGCAAGTCCAGAAACACACTGTTTGATATCTTTACCATTTGTGTCTACAAAGCTGCACAGTTATGGAATCTAACCAGTTATATAACCAATTATTATTGGTTAAGCTTATAAGCTACAATATATGTCGACCAATTTCCTAAAGCTCCAGTAAAGTATAATAGTTTGGATGTTCATAAGGGAAAACAGGGAAGTAATAAACAAATAATTTAAAGTGTTGGCTATGTCTATGGGGAGGGAATATTATCTGGGAGGCGTATTCTGGGGCTTCAGTTGTATTAGTAATTTCTGTTTATTATGATGGGCAATAGACATGTAAGCATCTTATCATTATTTTTTTTTTACTGGTAAATATTCTTTTGGTGAATGCCTAGAAAAATCTAATAATTTAAGAAATGTAATTACCCTTTTACATTCCCCAACTCATGCCACTATATGAAAATAGACTATTTGATTTACTTTGGGTGGGTGGTTTTAAAATGTAGTTGTAGTTGTCAGAGCAATGTCACAAAAGTTCTAGGTTCTATTTTCACAGGGACTTTAGCCTTCACTTGCGGCTGATCAGCACAAAGCAGATATAGCCATACAAGAAATTACAGGATTGAAGACTCCTATGAAGATAGCAGAAATGGGAAGTTTGAAAACTTCATTATAAATAAAGCATTTTATTGGGTGGTCAGAACTCTCAGAGTTAAAAAGTGATACTGAACATGCGTGTACTAATTAAATTGTGTACTCCAAGTCTGTTAGTTACATGTATTCTCAAACAAAAGACAGACTGTTTGTAATGATCATAAACTACATATTTACAGAACTTTGTAACCCTGAGCCAGTAACTTATCAGTTAGTCACCTGGTATTAATTGAGTTCTTATAAATTGTGCAGTTGGATACTAACCACTCAGGAAATTAATCTCAAATAATAGACCTGGCCCCCATCTTTGAGGAACTAGCATTATCATATTTATAATTTACAATTGCTTATGCTCAGTCCTAGGGCAGAGCTGACCTGGGACTGTACTATGTGCAGAGAAAGAATTAAGAGTCACAGGATAACAATGCAGAAATGCAGACGAGAATTAAAATGAGGAAACATTTTCAGAAAAAGGCAGTATTAAATAAAAGGCAGTGGTAGCCAGAATGTCCAACAACCTTTACTTGTCTTGGGCTCTTGATTAAATAGAAAAATTAGCTCATAAGTAGGTTAAATTATTTGTAAGAAAATGAGCAAAATATTGTATGATGGAAAAATTCAGATATACTATAAATCGGCAAGGAAGAAAAAAAAAGAATGCAATAAATGTTCCAGGAAAATTGATTAAATATTTGGGGAAAACCAGAAATTGATCTCAAATGTGTTAATGAGTTAATTAATGAAAATCAAAATATAAAAATCAGAAATAATTATTTTAACCTCAATGGTGTTTAACATTTCTGTAAGTAAAAAAAAAAATCTAAAAAACAACAGGAAAAAAACTATTGGAAAAACATTTGCCAAACATGGGATAAAAAAAGTCACTGATATTTTAATATATAAAGTGCTCTTTAAAGAAAAGAATAGTGAACCACAACAGTTAAACTACCATGAAACGTAAATATAAATAAAGCAAAATATATATATGAATAAGCATATATGAATATATAAATATGAATACTTTATAAATACAAAATGAATAATATGTAAATAGTTACTATGTTCACTCTCAGAGTTACAAAACAAAGGAAGTGACCACACACACACTTACATTTTTTTCCTGACTCAATTAGCAAAGTCTGACAAAATGGCAAAAGCAAGGGGACACAGTGAGTAGGGTAGTCTTATTACATTGTTAGTAACAGTGTAAACTGGTACAATTTTCTTTATTAATTTGGCAATATTTATCGAGATTTTTTAATCTAATTAATTCTACTTTTAGATTGAAACCTAAATAACCAATGAGACATTTTGCATTCAAATGTTTCACAAATTAATGAAAAAGCGATAAAATAGGCCAGACAATAATTTGGGGTCAGTGAGTAATGGAAACTGAAGTTCCTAGATTTAAAGTAGAATAATGAGTTTGGCCTCATATACAGATGCTCGACTTCTTTTAAATTTTCAAATAGTGGTTATAGAACATTATTTCAAAGCTGAGGTACAAAAGAAATCTAATGAGATCATATGTTACCTCTTACCTTATTTATATCAGCCTATCTTCTACTAAGTGATTTGTCTATTCGATTCCCTTGTGAAATCAATCAATTTGCCAGTTCGACATGGGCTTTTCAATTTAGAGTAGAAATGAAATTTCTGCTCTGCAGCAACTATTGGTTAACCTGAAGAAAATTTCTTAAATTCTTTGAGTCTTGGTTTCCTCATCTATCATATGAACCTAATAATACTTTTTCAGGAGCTTTTGTACCCATCACAGTTTCTGAAAAATAAATATTTCTTCTGATTAGTAGAAGAGCCAAATTGCTTTCACAGGAGCAAAAAATTACATATATAACATATATAATAATATATGTAAACTATTCATAAGCATGGATATTCCAGAGTCATTAATACTTTAATAAATATGTGTAATGTATAATAAAACTTCATTTATTCCAGGGTGTTCTCACTTCTATTATTTGGCTTATCATTACTTTTTTTACTCTACTTAGCTTCCAGATAATTTTCTCAAAATTCTGCATTTCTCTATTAGGGATTTCATAAGCAAGTCAACATAGCAATAGGAGAGAATCAGAAATTCGTCTGTTCTTATGATTTCCATATGATCATCAGAGCTAAGAAGTGCCATTATGGTACCAATATTCATGCTCTGTGGGCAACATGTTTTATTTCCTTATACTATTATCAACTGCTTTGAATAGTTGACATCTCTGGGATTTACAATTGGCTTCATAATTGTGACTTACAGATAAACTTTTCACCTCAAAGATAATTTACAACAGAATCCAGAAACAGAATATTTTCAGTTTTTCTAAGGATCTTGAACAATAATCTCTCTCTTTATTTCCTCATGGATAAAGCTAATTAAGCCCAAGAAATATCATCACAAATCCAGATCAAGACTGGCTGCTATGCTCTAGTGGTCTCCAGCTGATATAGTTTGAATGTGTCCCCACCTAAATTTCATATTAAAATGTAATCCCCAATGTTGGAGGTGGGGTCTGGTGGGAGGTGATTTGATCATGGAGGCAGATTTCTCATGAATGGTTTAGCATCATCCCCCTCAGTACTATCCTAGTGATAGTGAGTGACTTCTTCTTAGATCTGGTTGTTTAAAAGTGTGTAGCACCTCCCTACTTTCTCTCTTGCTTCTGCTCTGGCCATGTGACCTGCCTGCACCGCCTTCACCTTCCACCATGATTGTAAGCTTCCTGAGGCCTCCCAAGAAACTGAGCATGTGCCAGCATCATGCTTCCAGTATAGCCTGTAGAACTGTGAGCCAACTAAACCTTCTTTCTTTATAAATTACCGTGTTGCAGATATTTCTTTATAGCAATGCAAAATTGGACTAATACTGACTGCTTTCAACTTGCAGTAGCTTTCCCATGCAGTAGCTTGGGAAAAGGAAAAACCCTATTCTCTTGCCATCTTTTCTGAGGAGCAGTGCTTCAGTCTTTGATGGTTAAAGCGGACACCAAACTTTTTTTTTTTTTTTTTTTTTTTTTGAGACAGGGTCTTACTCTGTCACCCAGGCTGTAGTACAGTGGTGCAATTTTGGCTCACTGCAACTTTTGCCTCCCGGGTTCAAGCAATTCTCTGCCTCAGCTTCCCAAGTAGCTGGGATTACAGGGGCCCGCCGCCATGCCTGGCTAATTTTTTTGTAATTTTAGTAGAGATGGGGTTTCACCATCTTGACCAGGCTGGCCTTGAACTCCTGACCTTGTGATCCACCCACCTTGGCCTCCCAAAGTGCTGGGATTACAGGCATGAGCCACTGCACCTGGTTGAGACCAAACTTTAAAACAGAACAAAACAGCTTAAGTCTTCAGAGCTTAGAACAGACCATAAAGTTTAAGGTTCAGGTTTAGGTTCAAGGATTGACAGGAATTGGTATACTTCCTGAATTAGCAAAGAAACAAAGCAAAAGATTTACATAAACTCAGGGTACACAATCCCTGATACAAAGAATGTGGCTTCACGGTGCCAGCCTGTTCCCTGCTGAGAGGCTCCAAAGTCAAGTGTTCTCAGCACCTTCTGTGAAGTGAGGGGCTGAAACTCCAGGATTAGAAGTCATTGAGAGTGTGTTGAGAGAGGGAACAAACATCAGTCAAATATCAATTCTAGTTATCTAAAAGCAATTGTTCTGATTGCCAGACCACAGGTATATCATCTAGTTTATTTCTGTTTTATTTCTTACCATGCCATCAAGCCTTGAAAATGGAGGTTTCAGTGCACTAAACCTAATCAAACAGCAAAGGCACACAGGAATGGAAAGATACTCCATGTTCATGGATTAGAAAAATTGATATTGTAAAAGTACATACTATCCAAAGCATTCTACAGGTTTAGTGCAATCTCTACCAAAATTCCAATATCAATCTTCACAGAAATAGAAAAGCTATCCTGAAATTTGTGAGAAATCACAAAAGACTTCACATAGCCAAAGCAATCTGGAGCAAAAAGAACAAAGCTGGAGACATCACAGCACCTAATCTCAATTTATATTACAAAGCTATAGTAATCAAAACAGCATGGTACTGGCATAAAACCAGATACATTGACCAATAATAGAACAGGATAGGAAGTCCAGAAATCAACCCATGCATTGATGGTCAGTTGATTTTTGACAAAGTGCCAAGAACCCATAGTGAAGAAAGAATGGTCTCTTTAATAAATGGTGTTGGGAAAATTGGATATCCACATGCAGAAAAATGAAAGTGAATCTTTATCTCCCTCTATGTACAAGAATCAACTCAAAAGAAATTAAAGACTTAAAGCAAGACCTGAAACTATAAAACTACTAGAAGGAAACCTAGGGGAAAAGCAATGGTCTGGGCAATGATTTCTTAGATATGACCCCAAAAGTACAGGCAACAAATGCAAAAATAGACAAATGTGAATTGCATCAAACTAAAAAGTTTCTGTATGGCAAAGAAAACAATTAACAAAGTGAAAAGACACTGGGAGAAAATATTTGCCAATCATACATCTCATAAAGGCCTAATATGTTTTAAAATAAACAAGCAACACACACAACTCAATGACAAGAAAAAATTAGACCTGTTAAAAAATGGTGAAATGTCCTGAACAGACATATCTCAAAAGACATACAAATGGCCAACATGAATATGAAAAAATGTTCAACATCACTAGTCACCAGGGAAATGCAAATTAAAACCAGAATGAGAGGTCACTGCACATCTGTTAAACTGGCTGTTATCAAAAAAGTGATACTATCTCAAGAAAAAAAAATCACAAATATTGGTGAGGATGTGGGGAAAAGAGAACCCTTGTACACTGTTGATGGGAATGTAAATGAGTGTAGTCATTTTGGAAAGCAGCAGGGAGGTTCCTCAAAAAACTAAAAATAGAATTATCATATGATTAGCATCCCAGTTCTGGGTATATATCCAAAGGAACTGAAATCAGTATGTCAAAGAGATAACTGCACTCCTGTGCTTATTGCAACATTATTCCCAATAGCCAAGATATGGACACCACATAAATTCCCATTAATGGATAAATGGATAACGCAAATGTGGTATATATACACAATGAAATATTATTCAACCTTAAAAAAGAAGGAAATTCTGTCATTTGTGACAACGTGGATTCACCTGGAAGACAGTATGCTAAGTGAAATAAACCAGACACTGAAAGACCAATGCCACGTGATCTCACTTATATGCGGAATCTAAAAAAGTTGAACACACAGTAGTAGAGAGTTGAATGCTAGTTACCAGAAGCTGTGGGTTTTGAAGAAGATGGATGGGGGTAAAGGAGATGTTAGTCAAAGAGTACAAAGTTTAATTAGACAGGAGAAATAACTTATATTGGTCTTTGCATAGCATGGTGACTATAGTTAATAATGAGTATGTATATCCATATATAAATAAAAATATATATAGTTAATGTAATGTAGATTTCAAAATTACTAAAAGAATAGGTTTTAAATATTCTTACCCCATAGTAATGATAAGTATGTGACGTGATAGATATGTTAATTAGCCTGATTTAGCCATTCCACAAGGTATACATGTATCATAATATCACACTGTACCCCATAAATATACACAATTATTTGTAAATGAAAAATTTTTTTAAAGGCAATGGCTTTTTAAAAAAGCCTTCTGTATTATTTGTCGAAGAGCTGCTATGAAGACAGAGGAAAGAAAGGGTATTGAAAAAAATTCGAAATGACTTGTGTATTAATTTCATTAGACAGACCTTACAAACATCTACTAACAAGTTCTTATTTTTAACATGTTATTTAACGTGTAATATGTCACACATAGAGAAATTTTCATGTGTAGTTAATATTTATTGAATGAATACACTCAAGTTACCACCACTAGGTCAAAACAGAACATTCCAGAACCCCAGAGCCCTTCCATGTTTTGTCCAGCCCCAATTCGGCTTTTCTCCTTCCCCTGAGAGATAACCACCACCATGAGTTTTGCCTTAATCAATTCCTTGTTTTTCTCTATAGCTGCATCACTTATGTGTGCATCTCTAAACAAGACAGTTTCATTTTCTATTTTTTGCACTACATTGTATTTATGATATTCATGCTTGTTGATATGTTTCTCAATAGTCCATCTATTTTAATTGGTGAAAAGTATGTCATTGTCTAATTATACCACAATTTATTTATTCATTCTGCTGTTGATGTGTATTGGGGTCATCGTTTTTTAAGTTTACAAATAATGCTATTATGAATATTTGTGTATTTATGTCATACATCTTTTTCTATCATTTTTACTAACAATGTTTTGATTATTAGTTTTTAGATTATCTCCTCTAAAGAACACTCAATGAGATTCTGTTCTTCCATCTAGTCTGACAATCTCATTTCCAAAGGGAACATCCACTTAATCCATATTCAATGCAATGATCAATATACTTTAGCTCTAACCCTCCATCCTACCTTGTACCTCCTAGTTGTACACTTATCCAATGCTATTTTTTCTCTCTCTTAAACTATTTAAATGTTTTAATTTTTAAAAAATGTTTTAAAAAAGAATGTTTCTTTAAACTATTCCATCTTCTGTCAATTCTGCATTGGGCCTGCCTCTCATCCTAATGGCTTCTTGAGAAATCATTGTGTGTGTATTCAACTGAACTCAAAATTTTTATCTTCCTCCCTTATAACATGAGAACCTTCAGATACTTCAACTCCATGTACTCCTCTTCCAATTTACAGATCCTGGCTGTCATTTGGTACTAAATTCCATCATGTTTTATTAATCCCTTATAACATTATTAATAATTTTTTATATAGTCAATGTTTATCTACTCACATATTTGATACTTTTTTTGCTCAACTTTCTTTTTTATATCTCAACACTTCCAACTGAGATTTCTCTCCATCTGCATTTTCTACCATTTTGCATTTCTTTTAGTGAGTGTCTGCTGGTGACAAACTTTCTCAAATTTTGTTTAACTAAAGATGATCTCATTTTAACTTTTTACTTGATGGATATTTTTGCTGAGTAGAGAATTCTAGTTTGGCAGTAATTGTTCAATTCACTACATTGCAGATAATTTTCACTGTCTTCTGACTTTCATTATTGCTTTTGAGAGGTCATATACCATTTTAATGAAATGTAGTAGGCTGATTTTTTTTTTTTTTTTGAGATGGACTCTCACTCTGTCACCCATGCTGGGGTGCAGTGGCATGATCTCGGCTCACTGCAACCTCCGCCTACGGAGTTCAAGCAATTCTCCTGCCTCAGTCTTCCGACTAGCTGGGACTAATAGACAGGCGTGTATCACCATGCCCAGCTAATATTTGTGTTTTTAGTAGAGATGGGGTTTCGCCATGTTGGCCAGGCTGGTCTCCAACTCCTGGCATCAAGTGAACCACCCACCCCAGCCTCCCAAAGTGCTGGGATTATAGGCGTGAGCCACAGAGCCTGGCCTAGGCTACATTTTTTTTTAAACAAAAAGGGTGAAGCTAGGATCCCGATGCTAACTTATGAAGATATTTTGTATCATTCTTTTATACTCTAAGATTTAAACCACAAATAATTTAGAATTATAATATGACAATCCCAAGTTATCTAAGCATTACATAGTAGTAGGTTCAGATACAATCAGAGCAACACTAGCTTAATCAGGCAGGGTGTGTTTTGGCCATGAAGTACAAATTAACAAGTAGCAGTGACCTAAGCATAAAGTCATGTATTGTTTGCTTAATAAGAAGTCTTGAGGTTTAAAATTCAGTTATATTCTATTTTTCATGAGTGTATCTATTACACACAAAAAGACAGGTCTGCTCTTGAATGGGGATATGAGTATAAGTCTATTAATATTTTGGAAATACACATCACTAACTCCTTATAAGGGGTTGGCTTATAAGAAATAGATGGCTAAGAAGGATCTTTAAAGTCATTTTTTTCTTCATTCTGTATTACAATGCCACTCTGATAGAGTCAGAGAGCATCAACTCTAAGGTGAATATGAAATATCACCTCAATTTTACATGCTTTATTGTGTACACTTTCTCTTGTGAGGAGTGGAAGAAGTACCAAAGACATTATTTTTTTCCCTTAGTCCCTGCAGATCTAAAATATTAAGATTCACCAGGAACATTGTTAATAATTACATAGCCTAAAGCAAGATATAATGTCATAAAAAGCAGACAAGATTTATCTTGGCTAATCCTTAATTCATGTAATCAAGAGCTACTGAAGTGCAATTATCTCCTATTTTTATCTTTAACTTTAGCTAAAACCATTTTAATTAGCTGTTTTCCTTGTCCATCCCAATGCAGCCACTGACTTCAATAGTACAGTAGATTTTATTCACCATTCACCTAAACTTATCATGGTCTAGTAATATTGTCTTATCATTGGACAGTTTTGAAATTATTGATTACCATAATCCTTCTGTTTGCTTAGCCATAGAATTCTGCAATATTAATAATCAAGGATTGCCTTTGTGGGCTTTTTTAGAAGCAAAAACTAAATTCCTAACCTGTGAGAAATCAAATTTCAGTGATTTCAAATAAGTTCTGTGAAATAAGGAGGGCAAGGCCTTACATTTGTCAGAATCCTAGAATCATTCATACAGATGAGATCATTTTCTGCTATTGTTTTTTTGAAGGTAGCAGATATTTCTATTACTTTATCTCTACCTAACATAAATTCTGTACTTTTGGGTTGAATTTGGAAGTTTTTCCAGAAAATAAATAATTGTTAGTTTACATAATCCACACTGAATAAATACACAATTATTAACTATTTCCTTGCTTCTAATTCACAGAGTCAGAACAGACATTTTTGAAGTGGCATTTGAGATACCAGCATCTTCAGAATATATGGAAAACATGCTGTGGATATTGAACAACACAAGGCTGATCTGGTTAGTACTGTAAATACTGTTTAATTGCCTTTATGTCTAACATTCTTCCTTTCGACATTTAACATTGAAAACTTCAAGAATATTAAGTTGCATTTTTTATAATGTTGGCTATTATGGGATTATGAAATCTGAGATGTTAATATCAGTAATCATAGTGCTGAGGAAGTTATCAGTATACCAAACAGTGCTTCCACATCATTTGAGAATTGTGTGTTAGAGTTTTTGCTTGAATTTTGATATTTATATCAGAAACCTACAATAAGGTATCAGCAGACAAAATTTTAGTAGATGATTTAAAATATGTTCATAGCAAATACTAACAATATTATTTTTATTTCTATATATTTTCATTTGATAAAAATATTTCTGATAATTCCTTCCTTCCTTATTGTGACCTATTTATATTTAGAATAGCAATTATGGAAAATGTCTCATGGTGGGGATACTTATGCTTAAAATGTGTTACTTCGATTCCATATGAAATTTAAAGTAGTTTTTTCTAATTCTGTGAAGAATGTGAATGATAGCTTGATGGGAATTGTATTGAATCTATAAATTACTTGGGGCAGTATGGCCATTTTCGTGATATTGATTCTTCCTATCCGTGAGGATGGAAATTTTTCCATTTGTTTGTGTCCTCTTCTTATTTGTTTGAGCAGGGGTTTGTAGTTCTCCTTGAAGAGGTCCTTCACATCCCCTGTTAGCTGTATGCCTAGGGATTTTATTCTCTTCGTAGCCATTGTGAATGAGAGTTCATTCATGATTTCGCTCGCTGCTTGTCTATTGTTGGTGTAAAGGAATGCCTGTGATTTTTGCACCTTGATTTTGCATCCTGAGATTATGCTGAAGTTGCTTATCAGTTTAAGGAGTTTTTGGGCTGAGATGATGGGGTTTCCTAAATTTAAAATCATGTCGTCTGCAAACAGAGACAATTTGACTTCCTCTATTCCTATTTGAATACCCTTTATTTGTTTCTCTTGCCTGATTGCCTTGGCCAGAACTTCCAATAGTATGTTGAATAGGAATGGTGAGAGAGGGCATCCTTGTCTTGTGCTGGTTTTCTAAGGGAATGCTTCCAGCTTTTGCTCATTCAATATGATATTGGCTGTGGGTTTGTCATAAATAGCTATTATTTTGAGATATGTTCCATCAATACCTAGTTTATTGAAAGTTTTTAACATGAAGGGCTGTTGAATTTTCTCAAAGGCCTTTTCTGCATCTATTGAGATAATCATATTGTTTTTGTCTTTGATTTTGTTTATGTGATGGATTATGTTTATTGATTTGCATATGTTGAGCCAGCCTTGCATCCCAGGGATGAAGCCAATATGATCATGGTGGATAAGTTTTTGACCATAAAGAGGAATGAGATCATGTCCTTTTCAGGGACATGGATGAAGCTGGAAGCCATCATCCTCAGCAAACTGAGGACACACATACAGGAACAGAAACACAGGAACAGAAAACCAAACACTGCATGTTCTCACTCATAAGTGGGCGTTGAACAATGAGAACACATGGACCCAGGGAGGGGAACATCACACACCAGGGCTTGTTGCAGGGTGGGGGGCAAGGGGAGAAACTTAGAGGTTCATTCAATAGGGGCAGCAAACCACTATGGCACATGTCTACCTATGTAACAAACTTGCACGTTCTGTGCAGGTATCCCGGATCTTAAAGTAAAATAAAAAAAAAAATAAGCCTTAAAAAATAAAAAAAATAGATATGTTCAAATGTAAAAAAAAAATAAAGACAAATGTAAGCACCTAAAAAAAGTGTTACTCTGCTAATGTACAAATCATGCTTCTGAAAATCATAGAAACAAAGTTATAAATGTCTTAGACATCAATCAAATGTATTTTCTTATTTTACAATTGAAATATTAGGAGGCCACATAGCTAGTAGCAGACTCAGAAATTACACTCAGGTTTCTCACATAGAATCTTTTCATTATAAAAAACTAGTTTTCAGACAACTTGACTATTATATTCCCAAGGAAGAAAACTAATTTTATTATTAACTTGAGGTTATAGACAAAATAAAAACTATGACAGGATTTGATATAACAACTGTTTTTTTTTGAATTAACTGGGTTTTTATTATTATTATTATACTTTAAGTTTTAGGGTACATGTGCACAATGTGCAGGTTAGTTACGTATGTATACATGTGCCATGCTGGCATGCTGCACCCATTAACTAGTCATTTAGCATTAGGTATATCTCCTAATGCTATCCCTCCCCTCTCCCCCCACCCTACAACAGTCCCCAGAGTGTGATGTTCCCCTTCCTGTGTCCATGTGTTTGTTCTCACTGTTCTCATTGTTCAGTTCCCACCTATGAGAGAGAACATGCGGTGTTTGGTTTTTTGTCCTTGCGATAGTTTACTGAGAATGATGATTTCCAATTTCATCCATGTCCCTACAAAGGACATGAACTCATCATTTTTATGGCTGCATAGTATTCCATTGTGTATATGTGCCACATTTTCTTAATCCAGTCTATCATTGTTGGACATTTGGCTTGGTTCCAAGTCTTTGCTATTGTGAATAGTGCCACAATAAACATACATGTGCATGTGTCTTTATAGCAGCATGATTTATAGTCCTTTGGGTATATACCCAGTAATGGGTCAAATGGTATTTCTAGTTCTAGATCCCTGAGGAATCGCCACACTGCCTCCGAGCTACCGGAGGAACAAGAACTCTTTTGCAACTTGAAATTTGTATTTGTGACTAGATTGGGGATTCAATAATTAGGTCACAATAAACTGAACTAACATTTGCCTCATATGTCTTTTTTTTTTGAGATGGAGTCTTGCTCAGTCACCCAGGCTGGAGTACAGTGGTGCAATCTTGGCTCACTGCAACCTCTGCCTCCTGGGTTCAAGCAATTCTCCTGCCTCAGCCACCTGAGTAGCTGGGTTTACAGGTGCCTGCCACCATGCCTGGCTAATTTGTTTTTGTATTTTTAGTAGAGAGAGGGTTTCGCCATGTTGGCCAGGCCAGTCTCGAACTCCTGACCTGAGGTGATCCGCCCACCTCGGCCTCTGAAGTGCTGGGATTACAGGTATGAGCCACCACGCCCAGCCTGCCTTATATTTCATGAGAGCAGCAAAATGTCATTGCTTTAACACTATATACACATAGTTTTATTTCCTTTTCCTTTCTGTAATATATTAAATATGACTTATGGTGTTTCCCACAATAACAAAGCATTTATACAATTTAGTCCATTAAGTCAAGTACCTAATTATACTAAAAACAAACAAACAAACAAACAAAAAACAGTGAGATAAACTTCCGAGACTGTGAAGGAAAAGAATAATAGAACTTCCGATTTTTCAGTAATCTGACAATTACCTCTTTATATCCCCCCAAAAAAGGGGTAAATATGCTTTTTTTGGACAATTGTTTATATGAGTGTTATTTTCTTATTTTAGAGCATTTGGAAAATATAGAAAATTACACAGAAAAATTTTTTTTAATTACCCATGCTTCTACCCAGAGAAAATCACTACTATTTTTTTCTTCCCATTCTCTCTCTCTCTCCTTTCTCTGTCTCTCTCTTTAATCTCATATAATTTTATTCTTTTCATTGATTTATTTTGCCACATGAAATTCTTGTCAAATTACTTAAGGTTTTCCTCCAAAAATTCTATAAAGCTCTTAATTGAAATCCTGGAAATTTACAGTTTATATTACTGAAACTTTTTATGAGAGAACATTTATTTAAGTTGTATATTTTGTTCCTCAGTAAAGTTTTATGGGTTTTTTAAATATAAATCCTATGGTATTTTATATGCTTAGGCATTTTATATACTTCATTCCTCCTGTGACTAGCAACACACACACACACACACACACACACACACACAAACACTTGCTATTACACTGTATATCGTTTTCATATTTTTATAACCAGCCAACTTAATGGGTTCTTACTACTTTTAATAGACTATATGGTTGATTATTTGGAATTCCAATGGCAGAAAATCATATCATCTGCAAATAAGGATAATTCTGTCTTTACATTTTCATTATTCGTATGTCCTAACTAGGACTTCCAAGAGAACATGACGTAATAGTGGTGGTAATAGACATTCTTCATGCTGCCTTGACTGTAATGGGATGCCCCTGAGGTTTCACTGTTAAATATGATGTTGGCCATTGTTTTGAGATAAACATGGTGTATTAGGCTGTTCTCAGGCTGCTAATAAGGACATACCCGAGACTGGGTAATTTATAAAGGAAAGAAGTTTAGTGGACTCTCAGTTCCACGTGGCTGGGGAGTCGTCACAATCATGACAGAAGACGAAGGAAGAGCAAAGGGATGTCTTACATGATGGAAGGCAAGAGAGTGTGTGCAGGAGAACGGTCCTTTTATAAAAGCATCTGATCTCATGAGACTTATTCACTATCATGAGAAAAGCACAGGAAAAACCCACCCCTTTGTCTAAATTCCCTCCCACTGAGTGCCTTCCATAACACATAGGGATCATGGGAGCTACAATTCAAGGTGAGATTTGGGGACACAGCCAAACCATGTCACATGGTTTACCACATTTAGAAATTATTCTTACATTTTTAGTTTATTGAGATTTGTTTTGTCTGCTTTTATCAGGCTCAGTGCTGAAATTTGTTAAATGATACTTAAGCATCTGTTGAGATTATCATTTTATTTTCCTTCTTTGATCATTTCATGTGAAAAAATGTGTTTGTATATTTTATATCATTAAACCATTATCAAAGTTTCAGATTCTCCTAGAACTTGGTTATTTCTTTAACACACGTATTTATATCATTTTATATTTTTATATGCTTATGTTCCTGGATAAGATAAACTTTCTTCACCCTTAACAATCAGGATTTGTTGGCTTGATTATCTATTTATTTATCTATAGTTCTCTATAGATAAATATCCAGTTACCCGGAAATCCATACTGTTCAAATGAAAGAATACACTGTGGTTGTAGATTGCACAATGTAGCCTTCCGGCCACAGTGGGTAAGGTTTAGGGGTTGGGGAGGAGGTGGAAAGTCCTCAGTAGTCTTTGGAATAATGGTAAAATGGAATAGGCAGCCCCTTCTCCATCAGATCCTCTGCAGGGCTCCAGCTGCCACTATGCAATCTCCAGACAACACCTGGGCTCCAGGTCCCTAATGGTGCATCAGTGCTGCAGCTGCATTCTATTCCTTTAAGATCCTGCTCTGCAGCAGAGCGAATATTTTTCTATTTTTACATATTTCTAAACTCGATGGAATTTTTTAGTTATGTTTCCATATCCAGATATATTTAATAAATAATTTTATAATTACAAAATCTTAACATGTAATGTGAAAATTATAAATAATTGACAATGATCCAAAAAAATCCTGCAATTTTCCACCATCCAAAGATAATCAATCTATATGTTTTGATATATCTTTCCATTATTTTTCTACGCATTAGGACTAATTAGAAAATTTAATTTATATTGAGATGTTAGTAGCTAAGAAAAACTTAATGTAATATATTCCTGAGGCAATCTATTGGCATTGGATATGAAGCCTTATTGCTTTGTACAAAGGAGGAAGAACTAAGAGGGAATGTTTTGTCTCATAAGCTGTGGACAAATGCATGTATGTATGTGTGCATGTGTGTGACAGAGAGAGGGCTGAAAACTTTGTTTTAAATTACAGCATTTGAAGTGATGAAGAATGTTAGTCTTATTCTAAATAAAATCAGTTACCTAAGTCATCACTGTGTAATTTGCTGAAATATTCACCTTTCATAAACCCTTGCAGGTTTCAGCAAAACCCTGGTCACTCTTGAAAACATTTATGGTGTGTCTATTGGCCTAATTGCCACAACTCTTATAGTTCAGGTCTTGTATTTTGTCCACTTTGGCAAGCCCACCAGTGACACTGCCGTCATCATTCATGCAGACAGAAAGTCCAGTCATGCCACCTGCCTCTCTGGTTCTATCCCCCATCTCTTTCCCCATCATCCCTTCCTGGATCTGAGAGCACCCTGCATTCTGCTCCTGTGGCCAACTAAAGCTTCACTACCAAGGTAACTCATCTGCTATGGTGACAACGAAAACCACAACATGGGGTGGCGAAGTTATCACTGAGTACAACAGCTCACATTTTTGAGCCCTCAGTCCTTCTTGAGCCAGATCAACAACCCTTCTTCCAAAGGAGGCATGCCCGGCTTCTCTCCTCCCTGCCACCAGTTTCCAAAGCACTTAGCTTCCTGAGATCTCACCCTCTTGTTCAGTTCTTTGCTGACTTCCTAAATGGTGATGACTCTGCCTGGCACCCACTTGTGTTCAAATGATTGGAAACAAAAAATTCCAGCTGAGCCTGGGTGATTTATCCAGGCTAGGGCACAGAATATTCTTTTTACCTTTCCTATACAACCAACGTCACTGATCACTAATGAGGATGTAAACAAATGAAGAGGCTGCCAAGTGCACCCTGCCCTATTGAGCCGTCTGCATGGAGGTTCTTAAGTCAGTATCTACCATCCAGCCACTGCTGATTATCTCCCAATCTCATATACTTGACTATTTTCAGCATTTGTACACCAGTAGAGAAAAAAGCGAATGTTCAAGTGAGGTAACTGAAAAGCATGATTTATTAAACACCTATTGATTTTTACAGAGGGGTTCCCCCATTGGAGAAATCAGAAAACAGTGATCAGTGAGGGTGGGAATAAAGAAGGAAGATTTCAGCAAAAGGTTGAACATGAGAAAAGGGTGAAGGTTTGGATTTAAGAAGTAATTAACATGCAAAATGAGAACACCAAGGGAGTTTAATAGATTTAAAACTAAAGGCACACTCAGAAAAAGACTTGAAATGTTAACCAGTGACAGATGTATATGTATCTGCACTTTCTCATTGATATTGTCAATATTATCTTCTATACTTGACATTTTGCTTAATTTCTAAACTACTTTAAACTGCTACTTAGACTTTATACTTCACACTGTAACTCTGAGAACACATTGCTTATAATTTGCTGTGAAAGGCAAAACTTATTCAATGCTACTTATATTCTGAGTGCTTAATACTTCCTAGAAGTATAATTTCTCAGTCTGGAAAAGACCTCAAAAATAAAGAAACCTGCCCACCCTGTCCCCAAGCTTCTAATTCCATAGAAGGAGGAGATTGTTCCAGAGAAGGGGTGCTCCTAGCCAAAGACCCAGACCAAATGAATTGACACTAGAACCCACATCTCAAGCTTACAACATCTGATTTTCTTTTGCACACCATTAGAGATTCTGCACAGGTTCTAAAAGCTTTGTTTTGTGTTTCAGCATTTCCCAGAGCAAAAGATTTTGCATTCTATATAATTATAGGTTGGTTTGCTGCAGTCAATAATAGGCCATTTAAATTAGCATAGTCCTTCAGGCCTTGTTGAGTCATTAAGCTCTGCAAAAGAAAGATTAGGAAGGTGATCATTCTTTACACATAGTTGTTATTTATGGGGAGTTACTATTATTTTTTAGACACTGGTAAATGTAGGAATTTGAGTCTTTGAAGAATAATTTTATATTCATGAAACATTATTTGGTCCACTAGTAGAATTTAAGAATGATGAGGGATATTATGTAAATTTTAGAAAAGAAATTTAATGAAGCTCTAGATAAGATTAATAAAATACAAGGGAGTAAGTGTGCCTACATTTTTCCCCAGTATTTTTTTGTGCTTTGATTCAAATGTTTATGAAGAAGAAAGCTTAAATTCACTAGGTTCAATGCGCTTTCTTATCTAACTTAAGTTTTGCTTTGTAATACAAAAGTTTAAAACATTTTTTTAAAGACCTAAATTTACTGCCAATAAAGAATAATAAACAATATTTTGTATTCTAGAAGCCATTCTAAATAACTTGATGATTGATAAGAGCCGTTCTTGTCTCTTACTTTTAGTGATAATACCAAATGCAGAATGGTCATATGGAAGGATTTCTTTGTGTTTGAGGAGTACCTTTTTTTTTTTTCAGGCAATTTCCTAGGTTAAATGTTGGGTTGGAGGAGATTCTAATCATAGCTCACTGTAGCCTCGACCTCCTAGCTTCAAGTAATCCTCCCACCTCAGCCTCCCAAGTCGTGGAGACTATAGGTGCACACCACAACACCCTACTAAATTAAAAAAAAATTTTTTAGACATAGTGTCTCACTCTGTTGCTCAGGCTGGTCTCAAACTCCTGGCATGAAGGAATCCTCCAGCCTCGGCTTCCCAAAATGCTGGAATTACAGGTGTGAGCCACTGTGTTCAGCCATATTTATATTTTCAAAAATTGATTCACTAAACTTGAATGATAGTCATATATTTTAAATCAGTCCAGAAGTTTCTCTATTTAGAACATTTTCTACAAGCACTTTTGTGAGTCCATCATTTGTTCTTAAATCCAAGTAACTTCATATGGGATTAAAACATTCAGTTTTCAAATATACTTCCACCAAATTAGAGTATATAATTTATGCTTTTAGATGTTTTACTGAAAAACGTTCTATTCGGCATTTTGTTTCCAAAATCAGCCCATTTATCTACACTGAAAACCTGTTGTAACCAGTAGCCCTGTTCCCTGATGATGTCCATGAGTATTTTAGGGAAAACTTTTGGACATGGTATATTACTTAACATATATTTAGAAGGTTTATTACTTAAACCAATCACTTTGATACGCAGTTTCAAAAGCTTCTTGAATCATCTGTACCTTGTAAAATGTTCTAATTTGTGGACTTTCATCTGCTTAGTCCATAAGTTCTTTAATAGCTTCCTAGGCTTCTCATTAATTGCTGTGATAGTGAAAAACATTTCATACTGGTGTTTTTCTCAAGTCAAGCATGATTCCATTTTGCTACTCACTTGCTGGCTTTTGCAATGGCATCATGAGAGCATCTTCCAAGTTTTCCAGTCATCTATCTGTCATTGAAAATGATCCCAACCATCCAACAATTTCTTCCTAAAGTCACTTGCAACATTTATCATTTTTCCCACCACTTTGAACTTCTTGTTGTTTCTTTCATTCATGTTTACTTCATATAAGTCTTTCTCTTCATATCGCTTTTGTGCTTATCACACAAAATGAGTTTAAAAACTGCCTACAGTATACCTCAAGACAAAGCACCAACAACACAAATGGAGTAAATTGACAGCAGAAAGGAGAAAGCGAAATCATTGTGCCCAACAGCACATCATCTTTTCCAGCAGCAGAGTGGATGTGGTTTTGCTCCAAAGTGTACTTTGATTTGTAAGAAATATGGTAAGCACAGGTGCCTTTGTATCAGATGTGTTTGTTTCTACATTTGCATCTGTCCTAAATGGAAGGCATGGGCTTATCTTACAAATAAACAAGAGACCCCAAATCATAGCTAACTACTTACTACACCAAGGACACCTGTGTTTGTTAAGATAAGGTTCAGCTATAATTAACAAATGTTCCTGAACAATAGTGAAGTTACAGAAGTTATAGAAAATAATATAGAGGAGTTTCTCCTCCAGACACATTAAATGACTCATGGTAGTTGGTTCGAGTTGGAAAAAGTTATTTCAATATCATCAAAGACATAGACTCCTTTTTCTTACCACACCACATCCTCCACACATAGCTTCCATTACATAGTTCAAAATGGCTGCTTAGGCTCCAGTCACTATGTCTATGTCCAGCCAACAGAAAGAAAGGGGGCTGAAAAAGTTGATCCTTCACTTTAAGAATACTTCTTAGAAGTTGCATACAACAATTCTATTATATCTCATTGCCAGAAATTAGTCATACAGCCACACCTAGTTGCAAGGAAGGCTGGAGAATGTAATAATTATTCTGGATGTGACCAACTAAAATCAAGGATTCCATTTAGAAGGACAACAGGGAGAAAGAATATTGGGGGACAACCAAGAGTCTCTGCCACAGTAATTAAATCCAAACATTTTTAGAGGAAGAAGCATTTCACTCCAAATTCCTAATCCCTTCAGAAGCCCCAGGTACTCTAAAACTCTTTTATAAATATTCTGGCAATAGCAAAATTCTAACATGTCTAAAACTTGGGAGTCAATTACAGCGTCAAAGGGAGCTGGCCTCAGGTACCAACCTGACTGCCTGTGGATTCATGTCTCTAGGGGGTTCACCTGGCACAAATGAGCATCAAGAACCCTGCCCTGAAGGAGTAGTCCATGCCCTCTGCTTTTGTTTAGCCCCACAGAGCCCAGCCCTGTGCCTGGAAGAAATATAAAACAAAGCAAGCATTTGCTGACAACAGCACAGAAACATCAGGTAGGAAGAGACATTAGAGATTAGCCATCTAAGCTCTTCTCCTTTCAGATGAAAGGACTAAAACCTTTGGAAAGCTCTGGTTATGCGCAGGCTCAGTGTAAACGAATTTTCTCCTATGATCTTGCTTGACAGTCCATTAGTTTTTCTTCTTTCTAGGTCTCAAAGGGTTTTATGTTTATCTCTCAATATATTGTATAAAGTAATGTAGAAGTTAAAGTATACAAACTCTAAAACCAGGCAGTCAGGATTTGAAACCTAGCTCTCTTAGTTACTATGTGACCTTTGGCAAATTATCTAAACTTTCCTTTTCTCAGTTTCCTCATCAAGTAGCAATAAAAAGACTACCTATTTCATCGACCTACTGGGAAAAGTGAATAGATTAATAAATGTAAAGCACTTAGGACAGTGTCCTGGCATGTGGAAAATGTTCAGTAAATGTTAGCTAGTGCTGTCACTGTCAATCAATCTGAAAATAATGGTAACTTCTTTTTTTTTTTAGCTTTTATTTTAGGTTCAGGGGGATGTGTACAGGTTTCTTATATAGGTAAACTCATGTCACGGGGGTGTGTTTCCTGATCTTCTCCCTCCTCCTAACCTCCAACCTCAAGCAGGCTCTAGTGTCTGTTGTTCCCCTTTTTGTGTCCATGAGTTCTCTTCATTTAGTTCCCACTTAATTTGCTGAGGATAATGATCTCCAGCTCCATCCATGTTCCCGCAAAAGACATGATCTCGTTCTTTTTTATGGCTGCATAATATTTGATGGTGTATATGTACCACATTTTCTTTATCCAATATGTCATTGATGAGCATTTTGGATGATTCCATGTCTTTGCTATTGTGAACAGTGCTGCAATGAAGATTCACGTGCATGTGTCTTTTATGGCAGAAAGATTTATATTCCTTTGGGTATATACCCAGTCATGGGATTTCTGGGTTGAATGGTAGTTGTTTTGAGCTCTTTAAGGAATTGCCACACTGCTTTCCACAATGTTGAACTAATTTGCACTCCCATCAACAGCATTTGATAATACAGTGTTGAATAGCTCATGTAATTTATTGAATACTGTACTGAAAGTGAAAAATAAAATGGTTGTATGGGCAATCAAAGTACAGTTTCTGTTGAATGTGTATTACTTTCACACCAGCATAAAATTGTAAGTCAAACCATTGTAAGTTGGACATTGTCTGTATAGAAATCTCTCACCTCCTTGATTGTTTACATCTAAATATTTTTCATGTTATTGTGGATGAGAGTGATTTCTTAATTTTTTTCAAATGATTTGTTAGCCTAAAGAAACATTATTGATTTTTGTTTGTACTTTGCAACTTTACTGAATTTGTTTATCAGTTCTAACAGTTTTTTTTTGTGCAGTCTTTAGTTCTGACAGTTTTTTTGTGTGCAGACTTTTAGACTTTTAGTCTTAAAAGTCTTTAGTCTTTGATTAAAGATCATATCATCAGCAAACAGACAATCTCACTTCTTTCTTTTCTATTTGAATGCCTTTTCTTATATAATTGCTCTGGCTAGACCTTCCAGTACTATGTTGAATAAAGGTAATGAGTGTGGGCATCTTTGTCTGGTTACTGATATTAGAGGAAAAGTTTTTAATCATCAAAGAAATGCAAATTAAAACCACAATGGAATATCACCTCACACCTGTTAGAATGGCTATTAGCAAATAGACATTTTGGTGAGGGTGTGAAGAATGCTGGTGAGGGTGTGAAGAAAAGGGAATCCTTGTGCACTGTCTGTGGGAATGTAAATTAATAGAACCATTATAAAGCACAGTGTGGAGGTTCCTCAAAAAACTAAAAATAGAACAGCCATATGATCCAGCAATCCCACTGCTGGATATATCTCGAAAGGAATTTAAGTTGATATGCAGAAGAAATATCTGCACTCCCATGTTCATTACGATGTTATTCACAATAGCTAAGATGTGGAAGAGATCTAGGGGTCCATCATCAGAAGAATGGATAAAGAAAATGTGAAAAGGTGAGCTCACAGAAGAACGGTAGTCACCAAGGGCCGAGGAAGGGGTGTGGTTGGGTAAAGGGAGCTGTTGATCAAAGGATACGAAGTTTTAGTTAGACAAGAGGAATGAGTTTTAATAATCTATTGCATAGCATGGTGACAATAATAAACAATAATTCATTGCATATTTTAAAATAGCTAAAAGGGTAGATTTTAGGTGTTTTCATCACAAAAGATAAGTATGTGAGGTGTTGATTTGTTAACTAACCTGAATTAATCATTCCACATTATAAGCACATATCAAAACATCACACTGCACCCCCAAAACACATACAATTATTACTTGTCAATTAAAAGTTTAAAAAGAACAAAGAAAAAATCCAATATTATCCTGCACCATGATATTTTTCAGTGACTTTAAAATAATCTATTGTAAGGATGCAGTGTAATTTGACCAATTCCCTATATTTGGGCATTTAAGTTGAATCCTGTTTTTATGGTACTTAAAATACATATATTACAATAAATATCTTTGAATTCATTAATAATTTTAACATAAGATAAATCCTGGTAACTAAAAATTTCTGGGTTCAAGTGTATGTACATTTATAAGACCTTTAAAATATTTTACCCAATCGTTCTTCAGAAAGGTTATACAAATTTACTTCCCATCAACAATATGGGTGTCTAGTTTCTTTACACCATTGAAAGAGTATTGTTTTAAATTCTCAACCAAATGGATATAAGATCAGTTCAACATCTATTGTCTTAAGTTTTTAAAAATTTTATAACTAATGAGATTGGACGTGTTTTCATGCTTATGTTATTTCATGTTTATTTATCACATGTATTATTGGATGGAACTGTGTTGTTTATCATGTCTTTGGTCCATTTTAATGGGTTCTTTATCTTATCTTATTGATTTGTAAAAGAATTTTAAATATTGAAAGAATAAACCTCTTGCCTGTCATATATGTTGCAAGTACTTCCTCACATTGTAATTTATATTTTTATTTATTTATAGTGCTTTATTTTTATTTTTATTTTATTTTATTTTTTTATTTCAGAGATAGGGTTTCACCATGTTGCCCAGGCTGGTCTCAAATTCCTGGGCTCATGAGATCCGTTGACCTCACCTACCAAAGTGTTGGGATTACAGGCATGAGCCACCATGCTCAGCCTAGTTATGGTGCTTTAAATTAAGAAGTATAAAGCTGTTCTTATCTACAGATCTATTTTTTTTCCTTTTTTTTTTTTTTTTGTTGTTAGTGCTATGCCTCTAAAATCTCTTTCTCTAATACTAAAGATTACATCAATATCCACATTTTTTTCTCCTTTAAAGTGCCATTTTTATTGCACTCTTTAATCCATTAGAATTTATTTTGGTGGGTTTTATAAAGTTCAATTATATCTATCTATCTTTCTATTTATTTTTGAGGCATGGTCTCGATCTGTCATCCAGACTGTGGAATACAGCAGCATGATCTCAACTCATTGCAACATCTGCCTCCCAGGCTCAAGCAGTCCTCCCACCTCAGCCTCCTGAGTAGCTGGGACTACAGGTGCACCCCACCGTTCCCAGCTAATTTTTCTGTTTTTTTTTTTTTTTGTAAAGATAGGGTTTTGCCATGTTGCCCAGGCTGGTCATGAATATCTTTATTTTTGAAGAGCCAGAAGTTTAGGGACTTGGAGATACCACAGGCAAAGTTGCTGCATGTAAAGTAGATGCTCTGCAGTGGAAAGAGGTGGGAGTTCTGTGTTCTGGTTTGCCCAAGTGTATGTGGTAGACACGTTCCTTAACCTGTCCCTCTGAGTTCAATAATGCCTGCAGAGTTGTCATGAGGATTAAAGGAGGTGACACTTTGAAAAATAGGAATGGAAATATTGTTTTCTTATATTAGAGGATTTGGGATGGTGAAGAGGATAGGGGTATGCAACTTCATTTTTCTTTTGCAAGCTTAATTCGAAAGAAACTTCTTCAGGTAGATAAGAAAGGTGAAAGGTAATGAAAAATTGGGGGTAAAAAAATAAAAGAACTCATGTGGTTCTTTTCCTCTCCCACGTTCCTGTTTTGAGCATGGGAATGATTTGGCTGCATCTTAAGAGATCTTTGGCCTCTGTGTTTTCTCTGGTACTTCTACCATGACTATTTAGGTGTGCAATACTATAAATACAACACTAAATTGAATAACTGCATTTTCTATTGTGTTATTTGAGGCTCTCCTCTACTTGCCTCCCCTTCTGCTGCCACAGCTCCTTTGTCAACGTAGAGGTTTTGTTTTGTTCTTATAAATCACCTGCCAATATCAAGTGATAAAGAAGGTATTAAAATATGTATTGAACACTCAATATTTGTAATTTGGCAACACCAGAAAGAGATTACCTTTGAGAAACATTGAAAGTATTAAACAGGACTTTCATAAAAGTGTAAGCAGAGTTAAATATATTTCAATTATAAGGATATATATCTTTATTATACCCAAACAAATGAGTTCAGTTGGTAGATTCTCTTATGTAAAATCGTTTTATGTTATCAAGGTACATACCACCCCCTTATGTAATGATGTTTTCCTGAAGTTTTTGTTTTTTTACTTCTATGGATATCAGTCCTTATTTTTTTTTTTCCAAAATGGAAGAAATGCTATTAGTGTCAAGCCATTTCTTATGTTTAAATAGATGATCTGTGCCCTGAAAAAAAGAAGAAAAATTATATGAGGAAATATTGTAAGTTTTACTCTGCCAGTAGGTGTTTCTGAAAGCAATAGGCCTTTTTGAAAAGAACACCTTGAGGGAGAGGGGAGACATCTGGTGGACGCCAGTTAGAAAGAAGGCAAAAGAGTCACCGGGTAAGAGGCCCTAGCAAGGGGGTTTTAATTTATGTATCTTTGTAAGATAATACTGGCTAAACAAAAGTGGCAGAGGAAAAGGATATTAAAGACCTTAATATTTACTGATTTGCCTTTGTTAGCAAAAGTTAAAATTATTTTAAATGAGATTGAATTTTAACTATATATATATATATATTTTTTTTTTCTTTCTTTCTCTGGCTAGCTAGCACCTGTAATGTTTTTGTTACCATTTTTAATCCTTGACACAAAGATGAACACATTTTTCAGAAAATAAAGCCAATGACTGGCTATTCAAGGATATGAGGAATAGCTTTCTCATAATCTATTGTTATTTGCTATTGGCAATCTCTATCAAAGTTTAAAATGCACACAGGAAAAAAAAGCAATTCCACTTTGAGAAAAGTATGACACTCATACACTGGGAAAAGTACACAAAGGTAAATGGAAAGCCACATTCATTAAGCATCATTTGTGAAAAAGAAAACCCTAGAAACTACTTGGATTTCCATTGCTGGGAGAGTGATTACATACTTTAGAGGATGTCAACATAATAAAATGTAACTGTTAGAAAGAGTGAGATAGATCTATGTTATCATTAAACTATTTTCTGAAGAGTAGTATAGTAATAAGTCATTTGTATAAAAAGAACATGTACGCATGTGAATTTGTTTAGAGGCTTACAGAATACATATTTGGCTGACTGTTGAATGACCACGAGTTAAATATCCATATTCAGATAAGGCTGAGGCTAAAGCCAAACATCATATTAAGAGAATGCATTTGTGGGATAAAAGAAAATTATGATATTTTATTAAATCTGTTAATGATGAAATGTTTATTATTAAAATTCTAATGGAAAATATTAGAGTTCGATATTGTAGAACAGATAAAATAAGTCTTAGTATTGACACTGCTAAGTTGCTCTGATAGTCACTTTACTACACATTTGTGATACTAAGGAGATATTGCCTTCTTTTCTCTTCTCTTCTTGTCTCATCTCGTCTCTTCTCTTCTCTTCTCTTCTTTCTTTTCTTTTCCTTTCTTTTTTGACATGGAGTTTCGCTCTTGTTGCCCAGGCTGGAGTGCAGTGGCACAATCTCTGCTCACTGCAACCTCAACCTCTCAGGTTCAAGCAATTCTTCTGCCTCAGCCTCCCAAGTAGCTGGGATTACAGGCATGCACCACCACACCTTGCTAATTTTTTGTATTTAATAGAGACGGGGTTTCCCCATGTTGGTCAGGCTGGTCTTGAACTCCTGACCTCAGGTGATCTGCCTGCCTTGGCCTCCCAAAGTTCTGAGATTACAGGCGTTAGCCACCACTCCTGGCTGATACGTGCATTTTCAAACTGCACATCTTATAATTTAATTTAACCTCTGTACAGCAGACTATAATTCAGGATAAGTGTTAAGTAATCCATTCTCTAAATAGATCATTGTATCTGGGTTTAAAACTGA
This sequence comes from Homo sapiens, assembly GCF_000001405.40. Lineage (NCBI taxonomy): Eukaryota > Metazoa > Chordata > Mammalia > Primates > Hominidae > Homo > Homo sapiens. Next base: position 54,648,891 of record NC_000018.10, read on the forward strand.
AAGTTCATAGCAATAATTTTGCAAGATTTTTGTATAAATTTTAGGTGCCATAGACTTAAAACTATAAGGAAGTGCCTTAGAACATTTTTCATGAAGTCTGTTGGTTTGAAATTTAAATGGTGAGAACAAAATAGGTTTTGGATTTCTCATTTTTCTTATTCTGATTATTTCTCTTTAACTTATTTAACATTTTTATTATGTCTTGATCTTCAATCAAGAGGAAATACTGTAAGTTTTACTCTGCCAAGACATAATAAAAATATTAAATAGGTTAAAGTTTCATGCTCATGATTTTGGGTTTTTTCCATCAAGAAATTTGAGAAGTAAAATTGACATATTCCTTTTAATTTGTTCCCTAAAGGATGTGAATAATTCTCACAAAGAAATTTTTCTTCAAAGACTTATAGCCTAACTGGAATTACAGAGCTAAAAATTAAAATGGATCCATTAAGAGTATACATTATGAAAACTAGATAAAGCATATACTATTTTACAAACAATAATATAAATTACTATGCTATCATTATATTAGATATTTAAGAAATATTGAATGATTAAAGTATTTAATTTATGTACATTCTAAATTAACAGAAGAAACATAAACTGTAGACATTCAAAGCTTGAAAAAATTAGCTGGGCATGTCATGTCCCTATAATCACAGCTACATGGGAGGCTGAGGCAGGAGGATCACTTGAGCTCAGGAGTTCGAGGCTGCAGTGAGCTATGATCATGCCACTGCACTACAACCTGAGTGACAGAGCAAAACTTCTCTTAAAAAAAAAATGCTGGGCCGGGCACGGTGGCTCACGCCTGTAATCCCAGTACTTTGGGAGGCCGAGGCGGGCGGATCACGAGGTCAGATCGAGACCATCTTGGCTAACACGGTGACACCCCGTCTCTACTAAAAATACAAAAAATTACCCGAGTGTGGTGGCAGGCGCCTGTAGTCCCAGCTACTCGGGAGGCTGAGGCAGGAGAATGGCGTGAACCCGGGAGGCAGAGCTTGCAGTGAGCCGAGATAGCGCCACAGCAGTCCTGCCTGGGTGAAAGAGCGAGACTCCATCACAAAAAAACAAAAAAAAACTAGAAAGAAGTTTCAAATTATTCTGGTACAATTGTTAATTTTTCAAAAATTTACTTACTAAGCCCTTTTATAAAAATACAAGTTAATAAGTCCTCTCAGAATTCTTTCAAATAATTTTATAGTTTTGCAGTTATCAGTAGGAGCCAAAGCTGAAAGTTAGGATGCAGAGAGGGATTGGCAGGGCCAGATGAGCAACTGAAAGACCAGTTGTGAGGGAGAAATACTCGGATCCACATCTCTGAGCCAGGGGGAAGGAGTGTGTGTATGTGTCTACACACGTCATACACAGCAATAGGGCAGCAGTAGGGGTGAGAAATGAGGAAGGTGGTCAGTAACAAGAGAATAGAGAGCATATGCTGAAAAGCAGCAGGAGCACCTTAAAGATGATGTGGACATGTTATCTCTGAAAAGGTGTAATGTTGACTGGGCACAGTGGCTCACGCCTGTGGTCCCAGCACTTTGGGAAGCTGAGGTGGGTGGATCATGAGGTCAGGAGTTCGAGACCAGCCTGGCCAACATGGTGGAACCCCATCTCTACTAAAAATACAAAAGTTAGCAGGGCGTGGTGGTGGGCACCTGTAATCCCAGCTGCTCGGGAGGCTGAGGCAGGAGAATTGCTTGAGCCTGGGAGGCAGAGGTTGCAGTGAACTGAGGTAGAGCCATTGCACTTCAGCCTGGGTGACAGAGCAAGACTCCATCTCAAAAAAACCCAACCAACCAAACAACAACAACCAAACAAAAACAAAAACAAAAAAACAAGAAAAGGTATGATGTCCTAAGTGAAGGGTTCTGGGGAAAATAACTCTATCTCCACTTCTGTAGGCTCCTGCAGGTTTTGGATATCCAGTTTGGATATTAGGTGGCAGCTCTTTTTCCTCCTGTAGGGGAAGCCAGACCTTCCCTGAATCCTATCTTTCTGATAATCCTATCTGAAAATGATCTTGGAAAAAAAAAAAAAGAGTAGAGAGATACTACTACAATTACTTGTGGAGAGAGGGTTGTGGGGTTCTAGGTCATCCAGGATCTGGGTCAGGAGCAGACACAGCCCCTTCAGGCTTAGGAAGAAGATTAGTTAATCAGCCAAAAGGGGACTGATGACTTGAAACAAGCAGTCAGGCACCATGTGGATGGAAGCAAAAGTCCTTCAATTAAATAAGACCTTTCCCTAGCTTAACCAAGAAGGAAAATAGGTTATTAAAAGGAGAAAAATTTACTGCATTTGTTGCACTTATGTGACACACAAAAAAGAAATTTTAGGCACCCCTTTTCATATTTGCAAAAAGTTACATTTTCAGGGCTTTCTACAATTTCATTCACATTTTACAGACTTCTATTTGTCAAATATAATTTAAATAATGTCTGTTTTCATTGGAAGAGAAGTTACAATTCAGCATAGAGTGATTGAATATTTCACAGCATTTCTCTAATGCCTTTAAATAATAATAATAATTATTATTATTATTGGGATGGCATCTCACTCTGTCATCCAGGCCGGAGTGCAGAGGCATGATCTCGGCTCAATTCAACCTCCACCTCCAGAATCAAGTGATCCTCCACCTCAGCCTCCCAAGTAGCTGGAACTACAGGCATGCACCACTATGCCCAGATAATTTTTGTACTTTTAGTAGAGATGGAGTTTTGCCATGTTGCCCAGGCTAGTATTGAACTCCTGGGCTCAAGTGATCTGCCCATCTCGGCCTCCCAAAGTGCTGGGATTACAGGCCTGAGCCACTGTGCCCAGCCTCTAATGCCTTTTAAAATGTCTGTTTATGTTAATATGAGAAAATAGGGATTCTAATAAAAATTATCATTGAATTTCTCTTAAATAGAAGTCACCACTAATTATCTCAAATATTGAAAAAAAATAAGAGTATTTCATCAAAGATGGAAGCATGCAAGTTCTGTCCTATCTTCTTCATAAAGAATGGTCACTTTTCAGAAGTTAGCCTGAATCCTTGAAAAATTATTCCATGCTAATATAGAAGACTTTGAATTCATTCTACCTTAAGCTTTGTAGAGAGTGCTTAAGAAAAAAATCCGTGCTTATGTTTTTCTGGCTGGGTGCCTTGGCTCACACCTGTAATCCCAGCACTTTGGGAGGCTGAGGCGGGCGGATCATGAGGTCAGGAAATCAAGACCATCCTGGCTAACACAGTGAAACCCCGTAACTACTAAAAATACAAAAAATTAGCTGGGTGTGGTGGCGGGCGCCTGTAGTCCCAGCTACTTGGGAGGCTGAGGAGGAGAATGGCTTGAACCTGGGAGGTGGAAGTTGCAGTGAGCTGAGATCATGCCACTGCACTCCAGCCTGGGTGACAGAGCGAGACTGTATCTCAAAAAGAAAAAAAAAAATCTGTGCTTATATTTTTCTATATGGACTTTAGCCACTTTCTGAAGCACCTTGATAAAGGAAGTAGGGTGGCACGGTCATTTCCTAGCCCAATACGTCGGGATAAATCAGAGAAATGCAGGACATCACACCACCACAAGGATGGTGGCTTCAATTGGAGAGCGGTCATGTAAATAAAATACGACCTTTTAAGATTCTGTAAGATGGAATGGAAAGTACACATTATGTATTTGGCATGAAGCACATGGATAATTGTTCAAATTGTGAATTGAACTACAACTGAACTCACTGTATTTTTCACAGAATTGACTGTGATTATCCAGATTTGGTTGTTTGGCAGATATTTTCTCAAAAATGAAACTGGAATTAGGAAGCAACTGAAAGTATTTATGACCAGAAATTTTTAAAAATTAACTTTTAAGTGAAAATTTGAATTTTGGAAAACTTGTATCCACCACTGTGTGAGCTACCGTTTCTCACAATATAAAGGATTTTCTTTTTTTTTTTTTATACTTTAAGTTCTGGGATACATGTGCAGAACGTGCAAGTTTGTTACATAGGTATACACGTGCCATGGTGGTTTGCAGCACCCATCAACCTATCATCTATATTAGGTATTTCTCCTAATGCTATCCCTCCCCTAGCCCCCAAGCCCCATACAGGCCCGGGTGCATGAGGTTCCCCTCCCTGTGTCCATGTGTTCTCATTGTTCAACTCCCACTTATGAGTGAGAACATGCAGTATTTGGTTTTCTGTTCTTGTGTAGGATTTTCAGATGAGATTGGTGGTGATAGTCACATATGCTTTTTAAAGTATTCAATAATAAAATGATGCAACATTTAAAAGATCTGCGTAACTCGGTGAGCAGATATTTTCTAAGTAACCTAACTTATCATGTTACAAAATCAAACATGGGTAAAAGATCCATTGAAAGATGCAATATAGAGCAATGAAATTTAATATAACAGCGTGAAAAGTTCAGTGATAAGGGTTTCAGACTTTTCACATGGGTTCTAATCTTTAAGAAATACCACCTGTGGGGTTTTGGCATATTTAGAATTGCAGAACAGTATCCACAATAATCTAAAATCCTTATTTATACTTATTTAAACTACTTCTCCATATTTCTAAGAGCCAGATTTTCCTATTTTACTTCAACCTTTTTACTTCAAGATTCAAGTGTTAATCTCTGGCAAAGACACACCCAGAAACAATACTTTACATCCTTCAATCCAACCAAGTTGACACTTAATATTAACCATCACACTGCTCATCTTTCAGGATGGACAAAGCTTCCCTTCAACATTCTCAAGGAGTTTTCACCTCCATATTTCTAAGAGTCAGATTTTCTTCATTTTACTTCAACCAAAACAGCATAAAAGGCACATCAAATATAGAGGCGTCCATGAGAATCCAGCTGTCTTTTATTACTCTGGACATTAAGGAGATTTACAAACACTCTCCCTCTATTTTCTGTTTTGTTTTTTCAGAAATCATAGTTATTGTTAATGAATAATGATATTACATATGTTAATAAGGAATGGATTTATATTATTATTTTAAACTAATTACATATTTTCATAAATTTTCCATCTTAATTTTTATTATTATTATTTTTTTGAGAGAGAGTCCTGCTCTGTCACCCTGGCTGGAGTGCAGTGGCATGATCTTGGCTCACTGCAACCTCTGCCTCCTGGGTTCAAGTGGTTCTCATGCCTCAGCCTTTTGAGTAGTTGGGACTACAGGAACGCACCATCACGCCCGGCTAATTTTTGTGTTTTTAGTAGAGACGGGGTTTCACCATGTTGGCCAGGCTGGTCTCGAACTCCTGACCTTGGGTGATCCGCCTGCCTCAGCCTCCCAAAGTGCTAGGATTACAGGACTGAGACAGCCATCTTAATTTTTAACATGGTGAATTGGAGCGCTATAATGCACATAAACAAGAGCACTTTAGAATCCTCAATAAACTTTAGGGTGAGGAGATCTTGAGAACCACTGCCCTCTGCACTATCATTTCTCCTTCTCCTGACCCTCCAAGGGGCCCTGAATGCTGCCCAGGTCTCCAATCTTCCTCTGTCTCTAATTCCACCTGTGATGAACATTGGTTCTTTGATACGGGGAGGGTACGTGTTTCCATAGAAGCTGGAAGATGGCACTTAATACATTTTTTTCTATTCCACTGTAGCATTGGCAACGTTCCTCCAAGGGCTTGCACACCTTTTCCCACCTGGAACATTCCTTTTCTTCCCTCATCAAATATTCCCTCTTCCCAATTCTTTACCTTCCTACTTCCTGCTTGTATTAGTCAGGGTTCTCTAGAGGGACAGAACTAATAGGATATATATATATATATATGAAAGGGAGTTTATTAAGGTGAATTGACTCACACGATCACAAGGTCAAGTCCTACGATAGGCCATCTGCACGCTGAGGAGCAGGAAAGCCAGTGGTGGATGGGTCCAAGTGCCAAAACCTTAAAAGTAGGGAAGCCAACAGTGCAGCCTTCAGTCTGTGGCCAAAGGCCCAAGATCCCCCAGCAAACCACTCATGTTAAGTCCAAGAGTCCAAAGGCCAAAGAACCTGGAGTCTGATGTTCAAGGGCAGGAAGCACCCAGCACGGGAGAAAGATGAAAACCAGAAGACTTAGCAACTCAGTTTCTCCCACCTTCTTCCGCCTGCTTTTTCTAGCCACGCTGGATGCTGCCCACCCACATTGAGGGTGGGTCCTCTTCTTCCAGTCTACTGACTCAAATGTTAATCTCTGGCAACACCCTCACAGACACATTCAGGAACAATACTTTACATCCTGCAATCCACCAACTTGACACTTAATATTAACCATCACACTGCTCATCCTTCAGGGCAAAGCTTCCCTTCAACATTCTCAAGAAGTCTTACTTGACCTGCCAAAGCAGCATGTTCTCTTTTCTTTTCTCTTCTCTTCTTTTCTCTTCTCTTCTCTTCTCTTCTCTTCTCTTCTCTTCTCTTCTCTTCTCTTCTCTTCTTTCCTTTTCTTTTCTCTTGAGACAGGTTCTCACTCTATCACCCAGGTTGGAGTGCACTGGTACTATCTTGGCTCACTGAAACCTCTGCCTCCCTGGCTTAAGTGGTCCTTCTACTTTAGCCTCCCTAGTAGGTAGGACTGTAGGCACACGCCACCATGCCCAGGTAATTTTTTGTATTTTTGGTAGAGATGAGGTTTCACTATTTTGTTCAGGCTGCTCTTGAACTCCTGAGCTCAGGCAATCCACCTGCCTCAGCCTGCCGAAGTGCTGGGATTAGAGGCATGAGCCACCATGCCTGGTCCAAAGCAGCATTTTCTTTCTCCTTTTTGCTGGTCTAGCACCCTGTACCTCTCTCCTTTTATAGCGCTTATCACCTGTATTTTTTTTTTCTGTTTCATCATCTACGTCCTCTTCCAGGCTGCTCTGCTACAGTAATGTAAAAACACAAAATATTAAACAGCATATGCTTGTCATATAGTTTGATTTTACTCAACAATTTTATGTTAATTATCTTTCTGTGATGTCACTGGTTTAATTCTTTAACTTCACTGGAATAGAAGTGGAGTTATAGTTGGCTTTACTTATTAGTCCTTATTATTCAGAAAGTACTCAGATACTTTATCTTGGCTTTTCCCTTACAGGTCTATTGGTAATAAAAGCAGCACAAGTTTAGTTTTTTCTAAGTCATCAGGGACCATTTTTTACCTGGTAGACCCCTATTGTTTCCCCCAATTCTTAGAAATTGGTATTGACGTAATTAATATTTGAGAATGACCTGAGTGAATCCAATTGCACTGCAACATATTTCCTAAGTGATGTTGCAAAAGCAGAATGTATAATGTTGAATAAAGTTTATTCAGAAAGTTTTTTATTTAAAAAATTCTGATTATTAGCTTTGGCCTTGCCCAGGGGGTTGGATTTTTTTATTTGAAACACTCTATTTCATGCCCTTCCAAATTTCATACTCTATAGACTATAATAGACATCATAGCCTATTTAGCAAGTTTCATAGAGAATTATGTTTACACTAAGAAATATATAATATTTTAATGTTTAACTTGTATTAATTACATTTATTTAAAATATTTAGTACCAGAACATTGCAGTTTGAAATTCTGCAACACTACATTTAACATTCTTCTCACCATTACTTCTTATTCCACCTGGAGAACTATGCTTATGTGCCATAGCCTGACTCAAATTACAACTCCTCTTTGATGTCTTCTATTTTTGGTATGTGCTCACCCAGCACTCATAGATATCTTTATCAAAGCATGTGTCATAGTACACTGCTATTCATTATTTACATGTATATTTTCCTGCTGGTCCATAAGCTCTTTTGGGGAGGGATCTATTCATGTTTATAAAGACAGACCTATAACAGGCATTTGCCAGATTAATAAATAAAAGAATCCCCACTTTTCCTCATGCTGACCCAAAATGTTTGAGAAAAGGCAACTACACTAGATTGCCCAGTATTATTTGCAGCCAAAGTTGCCATGCAACTGAGTCCTAGTAAGCAGAAATGGTGCACACCACTTGCAAGTTGAGCCCCTGAACATCTCCCATGCACACTCCTTGGTGTGCTCTTCCCTTCTGACTGACTGGGAAACCCTGCTGTAAGCTTGGAGTGATTTGTGATGTCAGAGTTAATGTAGCTACTCAGCCCTCACCCCCATTGACTTAGAATACCACCCCCACCCTTGCTGTTTCATGAGTGAGAAACAAACTTATATCATGTTAAGTCATAATGTGCTTGCAACTATTTTTTATCATAGCCTAATTAGCCTACCCTAACATATTGGTTGAAGAGATATTGACTGTCTGAGTTAGTCCTCTTCCCTAATTCAGACCAAACTATTCATCCAATTTAATCCACTCATTCAGCCTGTATAAATGGAGTATCCACCATCTCTGCAATCTCTGTTGCATGCCAAAGATGTAATAATGAATAAGAAATACATGGATCCTGCCTTCATAGGCTGTAAAGAATAGTGGGAAAAACAGAAAGAGACAAATGATCAAAACATTAAGAAACAACAAAAGCTAAATGTTTTTTAGTCATGGTAACTTCCGCGAAGGAAACAAACAGTATATGAGAATAGAAAATAAAAAGCATGCATATGAAGGGTTTTAGATGGGGGGAGATTCAGAAAAGACCTCCCTGAAAGGGTGACATTTAAGCCAAAGCATAGAGGATGAGAAGGCCCATGGACGTGAAGTTTAAAATCATTGTAGGCAGAGGGAGCTGCATGCAAAGGTTGTAACATGGTAAATAACTTGGTAGGTCTAAAGCACTGAAAAAGCCAGTGTGGCACATGGAACAAGAGATGATGTTGGGTTGAGCAAAGCTAAACTTCATAGCATTTTTCAACCTTCTGAATGTGCCAACATTCTGGCTCCTCATTTACAAATCTACTCTCAGACGAGCCAAAGACAAGGATATTTGCATCCATATTCTGTTTGCTTCACCCAATTATTTTGTCCTATGTAGAGAGACATTACCGAGGATGAAAAACACCAGGGTCAAAAGCCAAAGTGGCCCAATGTATTTGAGTCTATTTTTTTTTCAATTAAGGGCCATCTGAATTACTACAGAAATTTTCTAAAACAAAAAAAGAATTTTGTTCTATAAAAATATTTTTTACTCTGTTTTGTGTATAGCCACATAACTTTACTGATCAAAGTAAATCATTCAAAAATATGAGTAAACACATTCTCTCTTCTGTGAATTACATCATTCAACAATATAGCATTACAATTTATTGATAGAAAATTATCACTCATTTTAATGACTTTATAATTATTCTTATTTGATTACCCAAAGATAATATCACACATCTAAGACATTGAGACTGAAAGTAATAATTGTATTCTTCATCATTTTCTTAAATGTTCTAATGACTTCCCGTTTCTACAATATCCATTTCAGTGATTTTCTTAACAACCATGTCCAACCTAAGGTTAGCCTCATTGCTGCTGTGGCAAATTGTCTTGCCAGTAGCTACTTGTATAATTATCTCCATTGACTCCTCATGGTTTTATGCACAATGTTTTGCCTAAGGGATTCTTCCTTGAACGTTATGAGTTAAGTATACCTACTATAAAAACCATGGGATATCATTTAAACAGCTTTATGTAGACAGAAAAGGCAATCTTCCATCCTGGAAATAGACCCCAGGCTTCTTCCTATTAACGAATCTTACCGATTGATAGGGACAATTTGGAAAAGCATTCAGTGGGTTGTTGGGCAAATTCAGGATCTACAAAGCTTTCATCCCAGCATCCTGATGAATTGGGATGCTGATTGCCTCAGGGTGATGCCACTGCTTTCAGTTTGCCCTGAAAGTGAAATCACCATACATAAATAGAGAGACTGCATTGTCCTGCCCAAATTATTTCTCGTTAGCTTTACTTTGTCAATGGCTTATTCCTTGGGCTTTAAAGTCACACAGACTCCAGTAAACACCTCTCAATTGTGTGACACCCAAGGAAAGCAAACATCCTGGGTTTCATTCATTTTTAATACCATGGTGTACTAAGAACTGCTTCACTAAGGTAAATCAGAATTTTGTTTCATGCATAATTAGAAAATCCAGGAATCTACATCAAAAGTAAATGAAATAATGTAACATGCTTTATGTGAAAATTTAGCCCTGTGCCAGGCACACAATGAGCATGTGATTAATGGTAGCTGCCACTGTTATCTTTGATATTATCATCTCTTACAAAATCTTCTTAGAGACTGATTGTAGGAACTTCAAACCTACATTAATCGATTCATCAATTAACAGATGTTTTATAGGAGCACAACTTGAGTAATTGCTAATTCAGTAGCTAGCCAAAAAATGTTATAATAACTTAGAGAGGTAGAGTTCACATAATGTAGATAAGATTCCATACACACACACACACACATACACACACACACGGAGTAGCATTTAAGGCAGAATCTAAAGGATATTTCGATTTTTCATAGGCAGCAAGAGTGTGTCTTCTGCCCATCCGTCCCCAAATTATATTTTGTTTTGAAAAATTTCAATCCTATAGAAATGGAAATAAGCAATATCTATTTACTCTTGACCTAAATTCCTCACTGTCATTATTTTGCCATATTTTCTTTATTGTCAGTCTTTTTATTTTTGTCTTTTGACTGAATGATTTGGAAGTAAATTGTAGCTAACTTAACATTTGACCCCTTAATATTTCAGCATGCATCTCCAAAGACATCATCACAATATCATTATTCAACTCAAGGGTATTAAAAACACTGCCATAATAGCATCTAGTGTACAATCCACCTTCAAATTTTCCCAACTGATACAAAACTGTTAACAGTTTTTACTTTTTGGCCCAGGAAACAATCAATAAACAAGCACATAGTTGTTAAAAGAGTTATATGTTAAGTCCCAGATGATTCCCAAGCAGATAGAAGTTTTTAATACAGTTTTCTACACGTGGAAGTACGGGTGCTTCATTAATCCCTAAATTAATCATTTTGGGTAGTAAACAAATCCTCTTAGTTGACTTCTCATTTGATGGGACTTTCTGGAAAAATCAAGCAGAAAATTAAAGCAATTACTCATACAGTTCACTTTCTAAAGAAAAAAATCATGTTAATTTTCTGATAATTGAAGAAATAAAGAGGTAAAAAGGCAGGAGGGGACAAATGATTGCTTTTCCTTTAATTATCTGCCTAATTGCTTTTATACTCCAAGATGCCTTGTTACTGACGATCTGGACTTAGCATTACACTGGGAATACAGGGGGCTCATAGGTGAATATTGTTTTTGTACATTCTGTCATTAATTTGAAATAGTTAGAAACATAGAGACACATTTCTTTGTTTGGCCTGCATTTTTGTTTATAGCACATAGATTACACATCTTTGGAAATAAGTAGATTAAGTAATAATGTTCCGCAGCTGCTGAGTTATTAGCCAAATGTTCACCAAATGGGATCTCTCATTAGGAATCGTGAACAGGTAATCTTTTTTGATAAATGAACTTATAATTCTCATATCCATTCTATAATACACAGATTTCTCCTTTTATATTGGTTTCTAATGTCTTGGCACATAGGATGGTATATTTGATTTCCACTTTTAACCGATGTGAAATCATTACTGACACTTGATTAAGCTGTTTTTCAAAGTGGCATGAGGACCCACTAGGAATTAGATCATATGGGTAGAAATACTTTATGAATTTTATGCATTAAGATTCAGATTTTGGCCAGATGCTGAATAATCAAACCTATCATCTCAGCACTTTGGGAGGCCAAAATGGGAGGACTGCTTGAAGCCAGGAGTTCAAGACCAGCCTGGGAAACAAAGCAAGACACTCGTCTACAAATTTTTGTTTTTAATTAACCAGGCATGGTGATGCATACTTGTAGTCCCAGCTGCTCAGAGGACTGAGGTAGGAGAATTTCTTGGGCCCAGGACTTCAAGGCAGCAGTGAGCTATGATTGCACTGCTGTACTCCAGCCCAGTCAACAGAAAGAGAAAAGACTTAACATATTTTTCTAGTTTTAACTTCAAAGGAAAGTCACATCTTCCAATGAATAGTTTGATAGCGTCACCATTATGAAAACCCAGATGATAACTGTTCTCCACATAAAAATAGTTCATATGTCCTTATTTAACCAAAGCTGCTGAATAGAAGTTAAAATTAAGTTAAAAATGAAAACGGGTGAAAGCATTCATGTTTTTCCTGACTCTGAGCTAGATTGTTTCAGGATCTAAACTGCTCCCTGCTAGCAATTCAGGCACTTTGGGAGAGTGCAATCTTTTTCTTGATAAACTGAGAGAATTCCAATATCTTCCTTCATTGCAACTAGAAAAAACGCACATCATTTAGAGGAGTTAATCAATACACCTGCAGCATCTTCATTTGTTTTCATCATTAAAACACTATTGAAATTGGAAACCTCATACATTGCTGGTGGGAATGTAATGGTGCAGATGCTCTGGAAAATGGTCTGGCAGTTCTTAAAAAGATCTAACATACAGCTAACATATCACCCAGCCATTCCACTCCTAGGGATAGTCTCAAGAGAAGTAAAAACATATGTCCCCACAAAAACCTGTATGATCATTCAAAGCAGCATTTCTCTTATTAGCCAAAAATGTAAACAACTCAAGTGTCCATTAACTGACAAATGGATAAATGTGATTTTAAAAATCCATACAATGGAATATTATTCAGCATATGTTCCATGTCCATCATACACAGAAGCTAGAGCTTCTACTCCAAACGTCCTCGTGGTGGGACACTAGCTGATGGTATCTTAAATATGATCTCCATTGCAGAGACCCCCCATGGGTCTGATACCAGCAATTAATGTTCAGGTTTTTATAGCATAGGGTAAGAACAATTCTTGATGAAACCAAGTGATACTATTTTATTGTCCCATAACTAGCATCCTTCAAATGACCAAGATACACAAGAACCCTAGTCAAAATTCAACTATGGAGTTCTTGGTAACATTTTGTGATTTTATCCCTGAGTTTGTTCAACAGAGTGTTACATCGTCAGGAAGAGTTGTGAACAATACTTACATTCGAGGGTAAAAGATAAAAGATCTAAGGTAATTGATACTATAAAAGTACAAAGTACCCACTGACGTGTAAAAGCAAATTCAACTGCTTGGCCACTTACTGTAATTACTATTCATAAGTTCTTCTAATTGATTGGAGCTGAACATATGGGTTTTTATTAATACTTTTAACTTTTGCCTTTTTTAAAGAGAATAATTCAAAAGATCCCTTTTCTATGGTTCTACATCCTTAGAAGATTATTTTCTTGAGTCACTTGGCTATTAGTCTTATTTCTCAGCAAGCAGGCTTGTCAGTTCCATGTTTCTAAAGCTATTTAATTTAAAAAGCAGTATAATTCTGTCCTTGAGTATCAAGTTGAAACTCAGTTCATTAAATGCCCCTGAAAATTATAATATAAGCCAGGCTGAAGACAAGTGAAGGCTACCTACTCTGAAGATAAAACATATTTACTTTAAAATGCTATATTGGATATCTCAATAACTTTAAAACACAAGTGTTTCATGACCCACCAATTACACTTTTAGGAATTTTATCTCAAAGAAATAATCTGTGAGATGAGAAATGATTTTTGTGTAAGAATATTCAAGCTAGTGATACCTATATTGAAAAAATAAGAAACTACTAAAATGCTCATCAAAAGGAGATTAATTAAATAAATTAACCTATAGTATATAGAAAATATCCTTGCCAAAAATGGTATTGTAGAAAAATACTTAATGACATGGAAAAGTGAAGAAAGGAGCTTAAAAAACAGTATCGTAATATTGCCTTAATTTTACATGAAATCATTCATTTACTTATTCAAGAGTGTTTATTGAATTCCAGCTATATGAAATTTAATCTGATGGGCCCTGGGATAAAATGCAGACAGTATGGGAAAAATAGACTGATACAGATCAGATGTCAAAGTTATTATATGGTGGCTGTGTCCTCACCCAAATCTCATCTTGAATTGTAGTTCCCATAATCCCCAATTGTCGTGGGAGGGACCTAGTGGGAGGTAATTGAATCATGGGGGCAGTTTCCCCCATGCTATTCTCACGATAGTGAGTAAGTTCTCATGAGATCTGATGGTTTTATCAGAGGCTTTTTCCGTCGCTTGGCTCTCATTCTTCTCTCTCCTGCCACCATGTGAAGAAGGACATGTTTGCTTCCCCTTCTGCCATGACTGTATGTTTCATGAGGCCTCCCCAGCCCTACTGAACTGCTAGTCAATTCAACCTCTTCCCTTTATAAATTACCCAGTCTCAGGTATGTCCTTATAGCAGTGTGAGAATGAGCTAATACAGTCACCATTAATGGTTAACTCAACCCAGGTTTCTAGAGTGTTAGGAGTGTATTATTCCCACAGGTTTATTTGCAAGGATTTCTCCACACCAATGCCAAGTTCTCATTGGATGGTAGGACTTCTTATGTCACAGCTAGCACCAAGAAAGAAATGGAAGAGCAAATGATAGCCCCCTCCCCTCCAATTTCAAGCAGAAGCTGGAGAGAAAGGAAAGGATGAGATTAGAGCTTAACTAGAAGGAAAAATTCCTGTAACTTTAAGGAAATCAGCCTTGTTTTGTAGCAGGCCCTATTCTAATTGCTTTACAAGTATTAATTCATCTAACTCATAACAACTCTATCAGACAGAGGGAATTGAGGCACAGAGAGATGTAATCAATTTTCCAGAGGTCACACAACTTAAAGTGGCAGGCTAGCTAGCTCTTGGGTTCATGATATAAACCACTACATGGTACTACATGGTACAACCTTTCTACATGTTAAGAACTGAAGAAGGAGATTTGAGAGTGTTGTTGAAATGATTGTAAATGGAAAAGTAAATAAATAAAACTATTTAATGACTGGACATCTAGCAAGTTCAGACTAATCTGACTGGAAATGTGCACATATAAGCAAATGATAATGCATGCAAATATACACATAAAATTATTAGAGGATGTTCACCCAAATATTAACAGCAATTATTGCTGTGAGACAGGATTATGATTGTTAGTTTTTCTTTGTATATTTCAGTATTTCCCCCCAAATTTTCTACCATGAATAAATATAATACTTTTATATACTAATTAGTAGAAATACAATAAAAGCTCATATAAATAATCACAAGTTAAATCTAAATTAAAACATACCATTTACCACCTAATTGCTTTTTCTGTTTATAATTCAAGTACGAGAATTTAATGAAGTTAGCACATTCTTAGGAATTCTATTTACAATCAGTAAAGGAGATAGAGAGTAGAGAAAAAGAAATGACTACCAGCAAATTCCATGACGTAAAGTTCATGCTTTTCTTTTTTTTTAATTTTTATTTTATTATTATTATTCTTTAAGTTTTAGGGTACATGTGCACAATGTGCAGGTTAGTTACATATGTATACATGTGCCATGCTGGTGTGCTGCACCCATTAACTCGTCATTTAGCATTAGATATATCGCCTAATGCTATCCCTCCCCCTCCCCCCACCCCACAACAGTCCCCAGAGTGTGATGTTCCCCTCCTGTGTCCATGTGTTCTCATTGTTCATTTCCCACCTAGGAATGAGAACATGTGGTGTTTGGTTTTTTGTCCTTGCGATAGTTTACTGAGAATGATGATTTCCAATTTCATCCATGTCCCTACAAAGGACATGAACTCATCATTTTTTATGGCTGCATAGTATTCCATGGTATATATGTGCCACATTTTCTTAATCCAGTCTATCATTGTTGGACATTTGGGTTGGTTCCAAGTCTTTGCTATTGTGAATAGTGCCGCAATAAACATACGTGTGCATGTGTCTTTATAGCAGCATGATTTATAGTCCTTTGGGTATATACCCAGTAATGGGATGGCTGGGTCAAATGGTATTTCTAGTTCTAGATCCCTGAGGAATCGCCACACTGACTTCCACAATGGTTGAACTAGTTTACAGTCCCATCAACAGTGTAAAAGTGTTCCTATTTCTCCATATCCTCTCCAGCACCTGTTGTTTCCTGACTTTTTAATAATTGCCATTCTAACTGGTGTGAGGTGGTATCTCATTGTGGTTTTGATTTGCATTTCTCTGATGGCCAGTGATGGTGAGCATTTTTTCATGTGTTTTTTGGCTGCATACATGTCTTCTTTTGAGAAGTGTCTGTTCATATCCTTCACCCACTTTTTGATGGGGTTGTTTGTTTTTTTCTTGTAAATTTGTTTGAGTTCATTGTAGATTCTGGATATTAGCCCTTTGTCAGATGAGTAGGTTGCAAAAATTTTCTCCCATTTTGTAGGTTGCCTGTTCACTCTGATGGTAGTTTCTTCTGCTGTGCAGAACCTCTTTAGTTTAATTAGATCCCATTTGTCAATTTTGTCTTTTGATGCCATTGCTTTTGGTGTTTTAGACATGAAGTCCTTGCCCATGCCTATGTCCTGAATGGTATTGCCTAGGTTTTCTTCTAGGGTTTTTATGGTTTTAGGTCTAACGTTTAAGTCTTTAATCCATCTTGAATTAATTTTTGCATAAGGTGTAAAGAAGGGATCCAGTTTCAGCTTTCTACATATGGCTAGCCAGTTTTCCCAGCACCATTTATTAAATAGGGAATCCTTTCCCCATTGCTTGTTTTTCTCAGGTTTGTCAAAGATCAGATAGTTGTAGATATGCAGCGTTATTTCTGAGGGCTCTGTTCTGTTCCATTGATCTATATCTCTGTTTTGGTACCAGTACCATGCTGTTTTGGTTACTGTAGCCTTATAGTATAGTTTGGAGTCAGGTAGCGTGATGCCTCCAGCTTTGTTCTTTTGGCTTAGGATTGACTTGGTGATGCGGGCTCTTTTTTGGTTCCATATGAACTTTAAAGCAGTTTTTTCCAATTCTGAGAAGAAAGTCATTGGTAGCTTGATGGGGATGGCATTGAATCTATAAATTACCTTGGGCAGTATGGCCATTTTCACGATATTGATTCTTCCTACCCATGAGCATTTGTTTGTATCCTCTTTTATTTCATTGAGCAGTAGTTTGTAGTTCTCCTTGAAGAGGTCCTTCACGTCCCTTGTAAGTTGGATTCCTAGGTATTTTATTCTCTTTGAAGCAATTGTGAATGGGAGTTCACTCATGATTTGGCTCTCTGTTTGTCTGTTATTGGTGTATAATAATGCTTGTGATTTTTGTACATTGATTTTGTAACCTGAGACTTTGCTCAAGTTGCTTATCAGCTTAAGGAGATTTTGGGCTGAGACAATGGGGTTTTCTAGATGTACAATCATGTCATCTGCACACAGGGACAATTTGACTTCCTCTTTTCCAAACTGAATACTCTTTATTTCCTTCTCCTGTCTGATTGCCCTGGCCAGAACTTCCAACACTATGTTGAATAGAAGTGGTGAGAGAGGGCATCCCTGTCTTGTGCCAGTTTTCAAAGGGAATGCTTCCAGTTTTTGTCCATTCAGTATGATATTGGCTGTGGGTTTGTCATAGATAGCTCTTATCATTTTGAGATACATCCCATCAATACCTAATTTATTGAGAGTTTTTAGCATGAAGCGTTGTTGAATTTTGTCAAAGGCCTTTTCTGCATCTATTGAGATAATCATGTGGTTTTTGTCTTTGGTTATGTTTATATGCTGGATTACATTTATTGATTTGCATATATTGAACCAGCCTTGCATCCCAGGGATGAAGCCCACTTGATCATGGTGGATAAGCTTTTTGATGTTCTGCTGGATTCGGTTTGCCAGTATTTTATTGAGGATTTTTGCATTAATGTTCATCAAGGATTTTGGTCTAAAATTCTCTTTTTTGGTTGTGTCTCTGCCCAGCTTTGGTATCAGGATGATGCTGGCCTCATAAAATGAGTTAGGGAGGATTCCCTCTTTTTCTGTTGATTGGAATAGTTTCAGAAGGAATGGTACCAGTTCCTCCTTGTACCTCTGGTAGAATTTGGCTGTGAATCCATCTGGTCCTGGACTCTTTTTGGTTGGTAATCTATTGATTATTGCCACAATTTCAGAGCCTGTTATTGGTCTATTCAGAGATTCAACTTCCTGGTTTAGTCTTGGGAGGGTGTATGCATCAAGGAATTTATCCATTTCTTCTAGATTTTCTAGTTCATTTGCGTAGAGGTGTTTGTAGTATTCTCTGATGGTAGTTTGTATTTCTGTGGGATAGGTGGTGAGATCCCCTTTATCATTTTTTATTGCGTCTATTTGATTCTTCTCTCTTTTCTTCTTTATT
Organism: Homo sapiens; assembly: GCF_000001405.40. Taxonomy (NCBI): domain Eukaryota; kingdom Metazoa; phylum Chordata; class Mammalia; order Primates; family Hominidae; genus Homo; species Homo sapiens. The sequence continues at coordinate 54,667,091 of NC_000018.10, forward strand.
AGTCTTGCTAGCGGTCTGTCAATTTTGTTGATTCTTTCAAAAAACCAGCTCCTGGATTCATTACTTTTTTGAAGGGTTTTTTTATGTCTCTATTTCCTTCAATTCTGCTCTGATTTTAGTTATTTCTTGCCTTCTGCTAGCTTTTGAATGTGTTTGCTCTTGCTTTTCTAGTTCTTTTAATTGTGATGTTAGGGCGTCAATTTTAGATCTTTCCTGCTTTCTCTTGTGGGCATTTAGTGCTATAAATTTCCCTCTACATACTGCTTTGAATGTGTCCCAGAGATTCTGGTATGTTGTGTCTTTGTTCTCGTTGGTTTCAAAGAACATCTTTATTTCTGCCTTCATTTCGTTATGTACCCAGTAGTCATTCAGGAGCAGGTTGTTCAGTTTCCATGTAGTTGAGCGAGTTTCTTAATCCTGAGTTCTAGTGTGATTGCATTGTGGTCTGAGAGACAGTTTGTTATAATTTCTGTTCTTTTACATTTGCCGAGGAGAGCTTTACTTCCAGGTATGTGGTCAATTTTGGAATAGGTGTGGTGTGGTGCTGAAAAAAATGTATATTCTGTTGATTTGGGGTGGAGAGTTTTGTAGATGTCTATTAGGTCCGCTTGGTGCAGAGCTGAGTTCAATTCCTGGATATCCTTGTTAACTTTCTGTCTCATTGATCTGTCTAATGTTGACAGTGGGGTGTTAAAGTCTCCCATTATTAATGTGTGGGAGTCTAAGTCTCTTTGTAGGTCACTCAGGACTTGCTTTATGAATCTGGGTGCTCCTGTATTGGGTGCATATATATTTAGGATAGTTAGCTCTTCTTGTTGAATTGTTTCCTTTACCATTATGTAATGGCCTTCTTTGTCTCTTTTGATCTTTGTTGGTTTAAAGTCTGTTTTATCAGAGACTAGGATTGCAACCTCTGCCTTTTTTTGTTTTCCATTTGCTTGGTAGATCTTCCTCCATCCCTTTATTTTGAGCCTATGTGTGTCTCTGCACATGAGATGGGTTTTCTGAATACAGCACACTGATGGGTCTTGACTCTTTATCCAATTTGCCAGTCTGTGTCTTTTAATTGGAGCATTTAGTCCATTCACATTTAAAGTTAATATTGTTATGTGTGAATTTGATCCTGTCATTATGATGTTAGCTGGTTATTTTGCTCATTAGTTGATGAAATTTCTTCCCAGCCTCAATGGTCTTTACAATTTGGCATGATTTTGCAGTGGCTGGTACCGGTTGTTCCTTTCCATGTTTAGTGCTTCCTTCAGGAACTCTTTTAGGGCAGGCCTGGTGGTGACAAAATCTCTCAGCATTTGCTTGTCTGTAAAGTATTTTATTTCTCTTCACTTATGAAGCCCAGTTTGGCTGGATATGAAATTCTGGGTTGAAAATTCTTTTCTTTAAGAATGTTGAATATTGGCCCCCACTCTCTTCTGGCTTGTAGAGTTTCTGCCAAGAGATCCGCTGTTAGTCTGAGGGGCTTCCCTTTGTGGGTAACCCGACCTTTCTCTCTGGCTGCCCTTAACATTTTTTCCTTCATTTCTACTTTGGTGAATCTGACAATTATGATTCTTGGAGTTGCTCTTCTCAAGGAGTATCTTTGTGGCGTTCTCTGTATTTCCTGAATCTGAATGTTGGCCTGCCTTGCTAGATTGGGGAAGTTCTCCTGGATAATATCCTGCAGAGTGTTTTCCAACTTGATTCCATTCTCCCCGTCACTTTCAGGTACACCAATCAGATGTAGATTTGGTCTTTTCACATAGTCCCATATTTCTTAGAGGCTTTGTTCATTTTCTTTTTATTCTTTTTTCTCTAAGCTTCCCTTCTTGCTTCATTTCATTCATTTCGTCTTCCATCACTGATACCCTTTCTTCCAGTTGATCATGTCGGCTCCTGAGGCTTCTGCATTCTTCACATAGTTCTCAAGCCTTGGCTTTCAGCTCCATCAGCTCCTTTAAGCACTTCTCTGTATTGGTTATTCTAGTTATACATTCGTCTAAATGTTTTTCAAAGTTTTTAACTTCTTTGCTTTTGGTTTGCATTTCCTCCTGTAGCTCGGAGTAGTTTGATCGTCTGAAGCCTTCTTCTCTCAACTCGTCAAAGTCATTCTCCGTCCAGCTTTGTTCCGTTGCTGGTGAGGAACTGCGTTCCTTTGGAGGAGGAGAGGCGCTCTGCTTTTTAGAGTTTCCAGTTTTTCTGCTCTGTTTTTTCCCCATCTTTGTGGTTTTATCTACTTTTGGTCTTTGATGATGGTGATGTACAGATGGGTTTTTGGTGTGGATGTCCTTTCTGTTTGTTAGTTTTCCTTCTAGCAGACAGGACCCTCAGCTACATGTCTGTTGGAGTTTGCTAGAGGTCCACTCCAGACCCTGTTTGCCTGGGTATCAGCAGCAGTGGCTGCAGAACAGCGGATTTTCGTGAACCGCGAATGCTGCTGTCTGATCGTTCCTCTGGAAGGTTTGTCTCAGAGGAGTACCCGGCCGTGTGAGGTGTCAGTCTGCCCCTACTGGGGGGTGCCTCCCAATCAGGCTGCTCAGGGGTCAGGGGTCAGGGATCCACTTGAGGAGTCAGTCTGCCCGTTCTCAGATCTCCAGCTGCGTGCTGGGAGAACCACTGCTCTCCTCAAAGCTTTCAGACAGGGACATTTAAGTCTGCAGAGGTTACTGCTGTCTTTTTGTTTGTCTGTGCCCTGCCCCCAGAGGTGGAGCCTACAGAGGCAGGCATGCCTCCTTGAGCTGTGGTGGGCTCCACCCAGTTCGAGCTTCCCGGCTGCTTTGTTTCCCTAAGTGAGCCTGGGCAATGGCGGGCGCCCCTCCCCCAGCCTCGCTTCTGCCTTGCAGTTTGGTCTCAGACTGCTGTGCTAGCAATCAGCGAGACTCCGTGGGCGTAGGACCCTCCGAGCCAGGTGCAGGATATAATCTCCTGGTGCGCCGTTTTTCTAAGCCCGTCGGAAAAGCGCAGTATTAGGGTGGGAGTGACCCGATTTTCCAGGTGCTGTCTGTCACCCCTTTCTTTGACTAGGAAAGGGAACTCCCTGACCCCTTGCACTTCCCGAGTGAGGCAATGCCTCGCCCTGCTTCGGCTCATGCACGGTGCGCTGCACCCACTGTCCTGTGCCCACTGTCTGGCACTCCCTAGTGAGATGAACCTGGTACCTCAGATGGAAATGCAGAAATCACCCGTCTTCTGCATCGCTCACGCTGGGAGCTGTAGACCAGAGCTGTTCCTATTCGGCCATCTTGGCTGCTGCTCCTCAAAAGTTCATGCTTTTCTGTTTCACCATGGTGTCCCCAGGAGTTAGCCCAGCACCCAGTGCAAACCATCTCCCACAAAGCCACGTGGCCTTTGTGTCTCCATGGCCTCAGTGGCTCATTTGTGATGGTGAACTGCAGTGCCCAGTACACATAGTGGCAGCAGTGGTAGAAGTGCCCAGGAGGCCCCTAGGTATCCAGCAGAGATGGGGCTAGCTTAGACGAGAAACAAAAAGGCAGAGAGCACGATGGTAACTGAATAAGAGACCATGGGGATCTTTCTGAACCCTTTAGAAGGGGTGCCTATTTCGGGAAGCCGAGGTCCTGCATGCACAACTAGGGGCACAAATGAATTGATGTCAAGGGATTACCATTAAGGTTACCCTATCTTTATACAACAAAATGGGTGCAAGGTAGCAAATGCACTGCTTGCAAAGCCATCTGGTGTTTGACTATGCATTTTGTAGCTGAATATCATCAACCTCCAAATAAGTTAGTGGAATATTTCCAGATAAGTTAGTGGAATATTTCCATAGGCTAACACATACAAATATCCTGACCATTACCTGAAACCTGGAGCTTTTGTCTAACATTTTGGCTTTGTGTAACTATGTTATAATACTTCCAGTTTTATGATTTAATTTACAAGTTCAATACCTTCTACAAAGGTAGCTCTAAATGCCAGAAAACCCTAAAGAAGTGAAATGTTTTTATATTCATCTCCCCCTACCAGCCCTTGGTCAAGAATAGTTATAATTATCAGTTCAAATTATATAAAAATTATTGCTCCTGGAATTCTTTTTCATTTTTTTTGTTATTGCTGTTTAGTAAAGTCTATTTCTTCATAAATACTAAGAAAATCCAGGCCTTGGTCAGATAGTGGAATTTTAGTGGAATTCAGATTAGTGCAGTTTAATCATAAGAACCATTTACATTTTCCCATTTGTGTTAAGTTCTAGCTATTTGCCCTGCATATAGAGAATATAGAGTAGATAGCTTTCAATATCATCTTATGTGTAATTTAGTGACTTTGAGACTAGATGTGCCTGTCTGGAACAACTGTCTCATTAATCATTAGGATTCTTGGATTATTTTCTTGACCTGGTATAGTCATTGTCAGAAAAATTTTGGCAGTTGTTTAGTGCCATCTAGTGGGCACTTTCTTGTGAAAAACAAAAAACTCTTATTTAACAGAAAGGATTGTTGCATTTTATTATTTATAAAATCATGGTATGCAATATTAATTTCAGATTTTATAAATTAGGATATAATAGAGCTATCAAATGTTAGAATTGTTTACTATTGCATTAAATAACTTGTTTTTCAATTAGCTAAGAAATACATTAAGATTGCCCAAACCGCTTACACTCTTTTTTATTGAAAAAAATTGAAGTTTTCAAACCTAATTGAAAACTCCACAACACATATTTCTCATTAATTCAAAATTTTAAATTATTCTATGCAGAAGAAGTGAGTTGATAGTGCCATTAAGTGTACAAGTGTTAATAAAGAATGTAATTTCTTACCAAATTACTTAGTTTAGATAGCATATGATTTACTACAAATAAATATTTCAGGGAAATAATCTAGCATATTTTAGCATAACAATCATGATGGTATTTCTATAAAATTTTGTTCTTCATTAGTTTCAGAAACAGAATATCAGAGTATATTTTCCCATTATTAAATAAAATTTCTTTTTAAGTAATCACTTTTTCTAGCTCAACATAGAATATATGTGTGTGCTTATTGGTCAACATCATTTATTGAATAGCAGGTGCTGCGGAGTGATAAATAGATAAAAAACATCTTTGGCAATGGTGCTAGCGCGTGAGCACAGTTGAAAATATAGTGGGATGCAAAAAACTAGAGTTCACACATATTAAAATCTGAAGCCTTTCTCTTAATTGACAAGAACTTGGTAATAATGAGAGCTACGCAATGTTGAGATGACTTGTCTTGTGAGATATGGATCTCTCTTTCACTAGATGTGTTCAAACAGTAGTTGCATGATGATGATGATGACAATCATGTACCAAGAACTGTTCTCTTTCTTTTCATGAATTATATTAACCCGTTCCTAATCATGAATTATGTTAACTACCAATTCACATGGTAGTATTCATCATGTGAATATGATTAACGTGCCCTGTTCTCAACATAGCTAAGAAGATAGTCTTGCAATATTTTTTGCATATTGCAGTACGTATTCTCATGCTCAATTAGATTATTTAAATCATAAATGATAGCTTTCTCACTAATTTCCTTCAGACTCTGACAGCAGAAACAGAGGGTGAAAGACAGGGAAGCCAGCAGTGATATGATTCAATTTCCCAAGAGCCAAGTGGTAAAAGGACTTATGATAAGATTTTATTTCATTTTATGCAAATTAAATAATAAGACATTTCTTTCTTATCTGAGTCTGTATTTGCAAAATGATACCCATCAGATGGGTACTATATGTCAAAATAGAGAAGTTAAACATTTAAGTTGAAAATATTATTTGCACCGAGGTCAACTTTGATTTCAACATCTGATAGATGAGCAGCAAGGCCCTCTATTCAGGACTTTCCCACCTGTTTAGACTGAGAGGACTGAAGAAGCAGAGCAAGAAATCTGTGCTCCTGAGGCTAAGGGTCATAGTAGCATGGGCGTGCAAGGCAACAAAACAGGTTGAACAAACAAAAGAAGATGACGCGGGCTGAGCAAGGCATGTGTGTGTCAGGGGTCAGGCCAAGAGAGAGACTGTCAGCCACAAATGCCTGCTTCCAATCAGCATGATTAAGGGTCTCAGGAATGGAAGCACAGGCAATTAGAGAAGAGTTTTACCTATTTTTCACCTTCTACCCCATTAAGAGTCAGTCTTTAGCGATTCTCCTGAAAACATCTACAAAATGTAACCAGTGATATTCAAAGGCAATGACTCCCTGACGTGGACCTTGGCTGATACTAAAAACCACAGCTCAGGGAGGCACAGGAGTGGGATTGGAATGAGTTCCCTTTCATACCCATTAGCAGTTGTCTAGACTTTGAAATTTATTCATCAAAAAAAAAAAAATAGCAGCACTGTGTTTTGTTTCTAGCGGTATTAATAAAAAATATCTTCTGATACATAGTTCACAAAAATATTAGCCTATCACAGGCTGCAGAAATCTTTTTCTCCTTTCCCTGAAATAGATAATATAATTCTATGCTCTATAGCAGGACTCCTCAACCCCTGACAGTTCATGGCCTGGTAGGAACTGGGCCGCACAGCAGGAGGTGAGCCACGGTTAAGCAACCAAAGCTCAGCTCTGCCTCCTGTCAGATCAGTAGTGGCATTAGAGTCTCATAGGAGTGTGAACCCTATTGTGAACTGTGCATGTGAGTGATATAGGTTGCACCCTCCTTATGAGAATCTAATGATAAATGTAATGGGCTTGAATCATCCCGAAACCATCCTACCACCCTCCCATCAGTGGAAAATTTGTCTTCTATGAAACTGGTCCCTGGTGCCAAAAAGGTTGGGGACCACTGACCTGTAGGGAATCCTGGCTTCAAAGAGATTATTTTGGGTGGCACCAAGAGCAATCCTTGTCTTTGTTCACACAGTTGCTGGGCTATCACACCAGCATACACAGAGTTTCATCCTCCCAACTAAAATGTTGGAAGCGCTTACAGATTGGCCCGTGGTTAGCCAAGGGTGAAATAGTGTTTGCTTCTTTGTGGAAAATTTCCACTTCCTAGGCTTGGCATTTGGAGGTCTAAGTCAAGAGCATTGATTTCACAGCAGTGGGCTCTTTACTTCTAAGGCTGTGTTTTACTCATGTTGGTTTGTCATTGGATGGGCTCCCAGTCTCACTTGAAAGCATTTCTGCTGAAAATAATAATAATCTTGGCAGAGCATAGACTAATATGGCTTTTAAAGATACATCTCCAATCTCTCCTACACCATGTCTTCTCTGATTCTTGCAGCCAAAAGTGGCCACTCCTTCCTCTAAATGTCCATGCAAATCTGTTCGTACTTCATATGTCATTCACCACATTCTAGTTATATTATACCACAGTATAATTACTTTTTAATATAGCATAGTGTTTAAGTCTGATTAAAAAACTTGGGCTCTGAATTCATAGATATTTGGGTTTGAATCTTTGCTCAGACACTTGCAGGTTATGTGACTTTGGACATGTTGCCTGACTTTGTCTCACCTGTAAAATGGGGATAAAGAGAGAATGTAGCCCTCAGAGTAGCTGTGGGAATTAATGAGAATTAAGCATCTAGCACAGAATAATTGCCCAATAAATATTAACTTTTATTATCTTCTCTCTAATTAACCTATAAGCTTTTTTTTTAAGAGCAAAACACATGTTTTATTCAACAGTGTACTAGTCTAGTAGCCCATGGCATAGTGTCTTACACAAAGTAAGCACTCAAAAGTAATTTTGAATGGATAAGAGAATGGCGAGGCCTCGAGATTATGAAACATGAAAAGGAGACAGGAAGAGAAGCTCATGAAGGAGCCTGTATTAGTCCATTCTCTCATTGCTGAAAGGAACTACCTGAGTCTGGGTAATTTATGAATCACTTGAACCCGGGAGGCAGAGGTTGCAGTGAACCAAGATTGTGCCATTGCAATCCAGCCTGGGTGAAAGAGTGAAACTCTGTCTCAAAAAAAAAAAGAAAAAAAAGAAAAGAAAAATAACTTGTCCAAGGTCACATTGTTATTAACAAGCAGAATTGAGCTTTGAGTGAAGTACTTGTTCTATGACACTCTCCATCCAACTAAACTTTGCCTTCCATATTTGTTGGCTTATTTTGTCCTGGGAAGGACTGTGTTTCTAGAGCACAGACTTTTCTCACCTTGTCTGAGTCCTTAACATCAGCCTAAGGGATGCTGTGTCACACAAGGCCTAACATGGTCAGTCAGATTACTCAAGGTCTAATTTGGACGGCTGCATGCTTAATCTATTCAATCCTGTGCTTAATAGGCCATTAAAAGGGCTGACAACACAGTCCCCAGAATGCCTTGGAAGATTCATTAGTCACACACAGGGGCTGCTTTTGTGCTTCACACAAACAAGGCCATCTGAGAAAGCAAAAGAGGATAACATTTTAAATCCTCTATTCCTACACTTCATTTTTTTGTTTGCTTTTACCTTTTGCTGATTTTCCCTTCGGACATAGGGAACTTTTTTCACATTCTTTAGATCCTAGGCTCTGCCCCAAATTTATCTCTGCCAGAATTCACCTAGGTATACATTCAAGGAAAGAACTAAAGTGAAATATGATGAGCAGTTTCTAAGTACTTTAACTGATATGGTGTATAACAAGTATTTTGAGAGAGATCTAAATTTAAAAAAATACACCTAGCATATTATGTTATGCTACTTCATTAAAAATTAGAGACAAAATTGAATTCCTATTTATACACGCATACTGTATCTCTCATACCAAAACTAAGACTTATAAAGATAAATATTAGTAAATGTTAATCCATGAAAGTCTTTCCATTTTCACATGGAAAAGACACAATAAACCAAAGTCAACAACAAACCGGGAAAAAAATATTTTCAACACATAGAAAAAAATTTTAAATATTGCTTACATATAATGAGTACTTACAAATTAATAAGATTTTTATAGGCACACACTAAGAAAGAGTAACAAAGGACATTGATGTGCTTGTCACAGAAGAAGTCTATGTAATGAATAAAAACAGAGGGTAAGATACTTGACCTCATAGTTAAATATATAGAAATTGAAATAAAAGTGATATATTTTTATTACTAGGTTTAGACAAATTTTCTGAAAATTAATGACTTTTTAAGAAGACATAACTATTTGGTATTTGTGACCCCACTAGAAAAGGAACATGCCTGTAAGAACACTTCCTGAAATATACACTAAAAAGTAAAGTATCAGCAGACTCTGCTACTAGCTTTGCTCATTGGATGTGGAGACATGAGCTCTCTTTCCCGCTATGTTTCTCCACCTTCCAGCTATTCCTAGAGAGTTGGCCATGAGCCTCAGTGGACACATGACCTAGGTCCTCAGGGGTTCCCAAAGGAAATTTGAGTTTTGAGGCATTTGAAAGAGGAAGAAATATCTCTTCCTCTGAATTTTTTTCCAAAGGAGATAAGTAGATATTTTAACAAAGGCATTTCAGTCAATGAAAGGTGGTGATTATGAGAGAGGTTCCAATGACAGTTCTGCCACTTATTATCTGAGTTACTCTGGGAAAGGGCCTTATTTCCTCTAAGTGTCAAATGTCCAAATGTTTTTTATACATTCTGAAAAAGTAGAGCAATCAAGAGTAATAAACCAGGTAATAAAACATACTATCAAGAACTAATAATTAAAACAGTGTGGTACTGGCAGACAGAGACCCATGCGAAAGCATATACAATCTAGAAAGAGATTCCCTCCCCTCAATATAAGAGTTCAGTAATAAAGATGGGATCTTATACCAATAAGCAAAATGTGAACTATACTTAATAAACAGCATCTCTATTTAACAGCAATCTGGGGAGGGGGGAAGCTGCATCCATACCTTATACCTTACACCAGGATAGGAGAGTTTAATTTTCTGAGTTGCCCAAAAGAAAAGATCCATAGTTACAGACACTAGGGGTTTTCTTTCTGATCATCTAATGGTAAAATCCACAGTCAACAGCCTCACCCTCTAAGCAATGTACAGAAAGCTTTTTTTTTTTTTTTTTGAGACAAAGTCTTGCTCTGTCTCCCAGGCTGGAGTGCAGTGGTCCATCTTGGCTGACTGAAACCTGCAACCTGCACCTCCCAGGTTCAAGTGATTCTCCTGCCTCACCCTCCCAAGTAACTGGGACTACTGGCATGCACCACATGCCCAACTAATTTTTTGTATTTTTAGTAGAGACAGAGTTTCACTATGTTGGCCATGCTGGTCTCAAACTCCTGACCTCAAGTGATCCACCCACCTTGGTATCCCAAAGTGCTGGGATTACAGGCATGAGCCACCGTACCTGGCCTCATACATTCTTTTAATCAAAAAATATAGGCCTGGTGTGGTGGCTCATGTCTGTAATCCCAGCACTCTGGGAGGCAGAGGCAGGCAGATCATGAGGTCAGGAGTTCGAGACCAGCCTGGCCGACATGGTGAAACCTCGACTATACTAAAAATACAAAAATTAGCCAGGCATGGTGGCACGTACCTGTAACCCCAGCTACTCGGTGGGCTGAGACAGGAGAATTGCTTGAACCTGGGAGGCGGAGGTCACAGTGAGCCAAGATTGCGCCACTGCACTCCAGCCTGGGTGACAGAGCGAAACTCGGTTAAAAAAAAAAAAAAAGAAATAGAAATATATACAACATTAACTATAAGTTTTATGAGGACAGGGCTCATGTCTGTTTTGCTGACTCACGTCTGTTAAATGTGTAGCAGAGGTCTTGAGATATGTGAGGCACTCTATGTCCTACTTGTTGAATGACTCCAGAGGCAAGAGGAAGAATTAATTGTGGCATTGTGAGAAGAGAAGACTGTCCATCTACTTTCTGGATTTAGAGGAAAACTGTATAGGAGATGATAGATGATAAAAGAGATAGAGGCTCATAGCAGAGCTGCGAGAAATGGAGAAAGACCCTCCGTAGAAAGATCATAACCTCTGCTTAACGCTTTGTGTCAAAGAACCCTGTCCTCTCAAAAGGAAAATGAGGGGAGATCCAAATCTGGGTAAATATAGACTGCATTTAGAAGGGATGAAGTAAATATTATCTGTATTGCAAGCAAATATTTCCTAAACATACTTAGCTTAGAAAAAAAAGCAGCAAGCAGCAACCAGGTGACAAATGAGTACTATGGTAGGTTTTTACATTTATGTTTATCTGTGTATATGTGTGTTTATATATACATGTAAATAATGAAAAACATATAGCAACCCTTTGCAGTGGTCTTCCCTGGAAAATGGCAGGATAATGAGGGGTCTGAATTTTTACAATGTGCATGTGCTTTTATAATCATCAAAAACAATAGGAATCCTTTTTCATGGCTAATACTTAGGGAAATATGATCAATTCTAAAATTAATCTAAGTAAACCAAAGGAAATGTGCCTTTTCTTTTGTGTGCCTCTTCATTTCTCTTCTGCAAATCAATATCAATGTACTGTTACTCTTCAGTTACATGGTAATGGAGATGTATTTTGTATGAAATCTGCTAGACAGATAATGTTTCTTCTCTTTGGTTCCAGCATAAACGTATGCTTTCTCTTTGTGTGGGAAAGGCCATAGGAATAAATCATGACTCTTGCGTCAAATAGCTAGGCCTGTGATGACTTAAGATCCAGGAATTGGCCAGGTGTGGTGGCTCATGCCTGTAACCCCAGCAGTTTGCGAGGCCGAGGCGGGCGGATCACGAGGTCAGGAGATCAAGACCATCCTGGCTAACATGGTGAAACCCCGTCTCTACTAAAAATACAAAAAAATTAGCCAGGCGTGGTGACGGGCGCCTGTAGTCCCAGCTACTCAGGAGGCTGAGGCAGGAGAATGGCGTGAACCCGGGAGGTGGAGCTTGCAGTAAGCCGAGATAGTGCCACTGCACTCCAGCCTGGACAACAGAGCGAGACTGTCTCAAAAAAACAGACAAGCAAATCCATGAATCACCTCATATGTTCCAAATTCATTCTATAATTGATTCAAAATTCAAGTATTGCACAGCTCAGCTAGGGCTATTGTTCTCCACAATTGTATTTGGGGTTAAAGTATTTTATGGAGTGAAACCTAAAACCACTAGGCCTCCAAAGATGTCCATGAAATATAAAAATACAGAACAACAGATGCACAGTTCTAGAAAAGTAAAAATAGGCTTGCAAAATATTAACCTATCACAAGGCAGGGATGACCAAAGCCACCATCCCTTTCTGTCCAAGGGGTCAGCTTCTTCTAGAGCAGAGCCCAATAGCCTTGGAGACTTACTACCTGATCTTTCCTCTGAAAAGTAAGCCTTAAGTTCTCAGCTTCAGATGTGATTCTAAGAAAATGTCTCAAACAAGTATTTCTAACCCTTTTCATAATTATTGCCTGCTTCCCAAGTGATAGAAAATAATCCATGAAAAGATTGGAATGGCATCTACATATTTTTCTAAGTGGGCTGTATTTGTGAATCTCCCTGTTGGTGCCTACCCTCCGCCTCACTTGCTGGATTTAACAGAGTTGGCTCTTTGCCATTGACTGTCAGAAATGCTATAAAAAACAGTAGAATGCCTGTGATGGGAAGATTGGACTGTGAGTACATCAGTCCCTCCAGACTTCCAATTAATCGTCCCAGGTTTTGGACAATATAGTTGTCTGCAGCATTGAATTACATAGCACTTATATGCAATGCTGAATAGTGCTGTTGAGCTAGGATTCCTTATGACACAGAAAATAATCTCTAAAAATCCAGACCACAAGAAAAGAAACCAACCAGTAGATGTCTCTGTGGTGCTTCAGTTGATCATGTTCTTGCACGATTAGCCACAGATGTCTGTGGGTTTGGAAATGCAATGATATGAACATTTGTACCTTTTATTTGGGGCAAGTAGGGGGAGAGACCAAGTGCCCTAGAAATATATCAAAACTCTTCAACAATAAGTTTTTTATACTTTCTGAAAATAAACCTAACATCTGCACGTCTATCTTTTTAAAAAGTGTGTTTTACTTACAAAGATAAGCAAATATGAAACTTTCAAAAAAATTTGTAAAATGTTCACATTAGTAAATTCAGAAGTGTGTATCCAGGTGAAAGAAGTTTATGCTAAGAAAAAATACTTCATTTCCTATGAAACAGTTCCAACCCCTGAATAGCAGAGGAAGTGGTTCTATGGAAGGGAACAGGACAGCAGTAAAGAATGTCCAACAGTACAGACGACTCGGAATTCTGGGGACCACTGAGAACTCATGCTTCTACCTGTTTTACCTTTTAAACATTTTCCTGCTCACCCCAGTGGTGGGCCCCTGAGATGGAGCTTGGAGCATTGAGATGCTGGGTAACTGTCCTTGGGAAAATCACATGCTACTAAAGACTCTCCCCAACCCTCTTTAGCATGTCAGGATTAAGATTTTCCGGATTTTGCTAACACTAAAGCAATCACCCTGAATTCATTTTGTAAAGAATATATTTGAAGCAAAATCATTAGAGAGAAGGATTTGCCTATCACAAGGCAGGGATGACCGAAGCCGTCATCCCTTTCTGTCAGAGCTTGCCTGCTCTCTAATAATATAAGAAAATTTTAGAAATACATGACTCACTTTAAACAACGGGTATATTTCTGCGTAATATAGACTTTTTCCTCCTTGTGAATTTATCATAGAAACAATACATATGTAAATTTAGTTAAAAATATCTGTGACAATTATCTTGTGTGGTTAAAATCTTTTTCTTCATTTAGTCAAGGGAATAATAAACCCCTAATATGTCTATTCTATAGGTGTAAATTTTTAAATCAATTTTAAATTGATATTTTTATTGAGATGATTATAGATTCACATGCAGTTGTAAGAAATAATAAAGAAAGATTCCTTGCACACTTTACCCAGTTTCTCCCAATACTATAATTTTGCAAAACTATACCAACATAAGCAAAATAGCGATACTAATACAACCCCCCAATTTTTTCAGATTTTTCCAATCTTACTTGTACTCATCTGTGTATACTTAGTATGTATGCACATGTGTATGTGTTTAGTTCCATGTAAATTTATCAAATGTGCAGTTTTGTGTATCCATCACGTACAGGAGAGATACTAAACAGGACCCTCCTGTGCTTTTGTAACTGTTCAGTTTTAATCACATCCACCTCCCTCCACCTGCCTCATAGCTCACCTCACTCCCATCAAACCTTGGCAATCATTCATTGATCCTCCATTTCTACAATGTCTTCATTTCTCAGATGTTATATGAATGGAATTATACAGCATGTAATCTTTGGAGATTGGCATTTTTGGGTCAACATAATTCCCTGGAGATTCACTCAAGTTGTTATGTATATCCGTGGTTTGTTCTTTTCATTGCTAAGTAGCATTCTGGCATATGTATATACCACAGCATGTTTAACAACTTACCTTTAGAAGGACATGTGGACAGGTTTTGCTTTCACAAAGAAAGTTGCTACAAAGATTCATAGACAAGTTTATGTATAAACTCAAGTTTTCGTTACTTTGGGGTTAATGCTCAGGATTGTAATTGCTGGGTCACAGGGCATATGTAGTTTTTTTTAACAATTTTCTAAACTGTTTTCAAGAGTGTTGTATCATTTTAAGTTCCTGCCTACAATATCTGAGTGATCCCGTTTCTCTGCATCCATGCCAGCATTTGATGTTGTCACTGTTTTTCACTTTAGCTATTCTGATAGGTGTGTACTAATTCCCTGTTGTAGTTTTAATTACATTTCCCCAATAGTTAATGCTGTTGAACATCTTTTCATATAATTATTTGCCATACACTTATTTACCTCTTCAATGAAATGTCTGTGTCTTTTGTCCATTTTCTAATTGCAATTATTGTTTGGGAGTTTTACTATGAGTTTTGAGAGTTTCTCGTATATTCTAGATACTAGGCCTTTGTTGGGTATGTGGTTTGCAATTATTTTCTTACAGCTAAAACTTATCTTGTCATACTCTTCATATGAGCTTTTATAGAGCAAATTTTAAAAATTTTGGGTCAGGTGCGTGGCTCACGTCTGTAATCCCAGCACTTCGGGAGGCTGAGGCAGGCAGATCAACCTGAGGTCAGGAGTCTGGGACCAGCCTGGCCCCATGGTGAAACCCCATCTCTACTAAAAAAAATACAAAAATTAGCTGGGCATGGTGGTGGGCACCTGTAATCCCAGCTACTCGGGAGGCTGAGGCAGGAGAATTGCTTGAACCTGGGAGGGGGAGGTTGTAGTGAGCCAAAATAGCATCATTGCACTCCAACCTGGGCGACAAGAGTGAAACTCCATCTTAAAAAAAAAAAAAAATTTTTTTTGAAGAAAATGTATCCATTTTCCCTTTTATAGATCATACTTTTTGGCATCATGTCTAAAAACTCTGCCTAACCTTATATCCCAAAGATTCTATATTTTTCTAAAGATTTTATAATTTTTCATTTTATATTTAATTCTATGATTCATTTTGATTTAATTTTGTATAAAATATGAGAGTTAGGTCAAGGTCCGTTTTTTGCCTATGGATATTAAATCGCTTTAGCATCTTTGAATTGATTTTGTACCTTTGTGAACAATAACCTGAGCATAGTTGACTAGGTCTAATTCTTGGTCCTCTGTTGTGTTCCACTGATCAATTTGAAATATAAATTCTATTGTCTAAGTTTTATTAAAATCATATATATATCTATCCTCTCCCCTCTCCTTCTCCATATATTAACATTTTTATTCATCATTTCACATTCAACTTTCATGCTCTCCCCCATGTCTAAGTTCTCTTTCAGGGTTGATGATTAATCTCCCTATAGTAGCATAACTCTTTATGTATCTCTTCCAGGGTTTATTTAATTTTAACTTGTGTTTTATAATAACTTTTGTTATTTGTAGTCAAAGAGTCATACTTCTCCATTTCAAACTTACTATAAATCTACAGTAACAGAGACAGAGTATTACTGGCATGTCCCAGTTTTTAGAAACCCCTAACTGAGATCTCAACCTTTCTGCATCATTCTCTAATCCTCACATGGGAGATCTGGCAAAGTTTTCCTTTCAAGTGAAGCTATAACTCAGAGCCTTTGAATTAGAGACCAATCTCTAAAGTGAAATCTAAATCTGTTTTTCGATGTTCTTAGCTAAGATGAGAGAAATTCTGGCACCTGGGCACACGATGATCTCGAGTTTTATTGTGTGCTATCTTAAAGTAATAATTTTGAGATTAGAATGTCTTGTTTTGTTTTGTTTCCACCCTCTGGTCTTGATAGTCATAGTGACTTTGAAATTGGTTGACCTTCCCAGAACTCCCTCTTGGTGTGGTACATGGTCTCAAGAGATGGATGGTAGGTAACATGGTTGACAGTTTCTCCACTGCTCACCTAAGGATGCTATTTTTCTTTCCTAGGATATAGCCAAAGTTTCTCTGTCTTTGACCCCATTGTGATTCTGTAACTCATCCCAAACATTCCAGAATTCTCTAAGGGAGTGTGCTTATAATGCACATTATGGTCCTAATTTCTGTATCAATTAAGATCTTTTTTAGACAAAGAAATTGATTCTATTAAATTAACACCAAAATAAATAAGAAGACTGGATCACTAGAAAAATTGTAAAAACTAAGAACTATGTGCTTAAGTCTTGGGAAAGACAGGAACCAGGGCAGTGGTAGGAATCACAGTAGAAAGAGCTCTCTAGAATTTCTCTCTGGCACATTGCTGTCAGAAGATTGGCTTCACTCATCATTCATCCCTGTGTGTTGTGCATGTTTTCAAAACTCAAATAATGTGTGAGAGAAACTCCAAAAAGCCAGGCTTAGATCATGTGCACCCCTGTGGGGTGGTGGAAGGGGAACGTGAAGGGACGGAAGCTTGCTAGGATGATGTAATTTGTCATTACAGACTTCATTATCACAACCGTATAACGATCATTCTTAAGCTTAATTATTTGCCAGAATTTCAGTTATTTTCTTAGGATGGACATCTGGAAGTCAATTTGCTGGGCCAAAAAGTTGGGAAGTAAAATGAAACTATGATTTCAGACTTTTGATACACAACAGTTACTCCCAGAAAGGTTATACTGGTTTATCAAGCTTCAAGAAGTACAAAACAACCATTTCATCATGTTTTATGAATGCTAGTTATTACCCTTTTAAAAACTGGCAGTTTGGTAGGTTAGAAGTGATCTATTTTTTGTTGTTTGATTTAGTGCTAGCATAGAATAGTCCAAATCACAATGTTGGATATTTAAATTTTTCTTTCTTACATTTTTTCAGATTTTTGTTAAATAATAGGGGGTTTATTTTCACGTGTTTAGAAAGGAACCTACATATTTAAATAAATTAAAGTATTACATTTAATTAGGTTTTAATGGTAATTCATTGGGGGGGAATACAAATAATTTTAGCTTTTAACATATTTAATTGTTTAGTGCAGTTTCTCAAATGACCACACACAACTTGTAGCTAGTTTTATGTTTGAAGGAAGAAGAGTTACTAATGAGTGCAATTTTATCATTGAGCTTTTGACCTTAAGTGTGGAAAAATTCCAGAATATGGTGTAAAATCTAGAGGAAAAGTCAGTAAGTTATGTGTGATTCTTAAATGTAATTGTTTTAGTGCTTATAATGCAATCTACAATTAAATAATCAGGTCAAAAATGAACATTGCGTAGTGAAAAAATGTAAGATTGAGAAGTCTTAACTGGTTGTCCATGAGACTCATGCCAACATTTAATAATTAAAAAAAAAAATCCTGGGAGACATCAAAAAAAAAAAAAAAAAGGCTTCCTAAAGAAGAAATCAGATAGAAATCAAGCGTAAAAATCTAAGGCCTTGTATACTATAATAGTTTGTCAAAACTCAAGATTCAGGGTTACAGTTGAGAATGTTGGGAAAAAATGAGATTCAAATTGTGGTAAAAACAAATAAAAAACAGTAAAACAAATCATCCATGTGAGGGAAAGCACATGCACAGTAAAACCGCCTCTCGGGACTGGTTGCATAGCAACCAAAGAGGGCTGCGGTAGCAGGAAAGTTCTAAGCAAGGAAGGCAGCAGGTCAGCGGTCCTGAAGTGGCAAAGGAATTTCCACAGAACAGGGCAGCAGCAGCATTTCTGAGAAAAATTACTCGACAGGAAGATCCCTGAGGTTTTAAAGGAGAATGCAACTATGGATACGAACCAAAAGAGATCTAGTTGCTGAAACATCTCTCTTCACATTTCCCAACATTTTATTCCACGTCTAAAAAGCCAAAAGAAAAAAATAAAATAAAAAGAAGGAAAAGAACCATTTGATATTTTCAATATCAAGTAATACACACACATACACACGCCTGGGATCACTGCATTTGCAATCTATTCAATAAATACTTAATAGTATTCTACTGTACTTTATTGCAATGGGAGCTGTACAAAGAAATATAAGGTATGCCCTGCCCTCCCCTCGAGAGGATTGTAACATAATTGGGAGAATAAGGCTCCAACAGGTGGGAAGTTTGAATAAGTGATAAAAGGGAAAGGGGGCCGGGCGCGGTGGCTCACTCACGCCTGTAATCCTAGCACTTTGGGAGGCCAAGGCGGGCGGATTGCCTGAGCTCAGGAGTTTGAGACCAGCCTGGGCAACACGGTGAAACCCCATCTCTACTAAAATACAAAAAATTAGCCGGGCATGGTGGCGTGCGCCTGTAGTTCCAGCTACTCGGGAGGCTGAGGCAGGAGAATGGCGTGAACCCGGGAGGCGGTAGCTGCAGTGAGCTGAGATCGCGCCCCTGCACTCCAGCCTGGGCCACAGAGCGAGATCCATTTCAAAGAACAAAAAAGAGAGAGAGAGAAAGGAAAATGAACAAACATGCATGGAGTGTTCTGTGTACTGTGCTAATAACTTTTCATACGTTTTTTCATTAATCTTTATAATTATTATTTGCATTAGTGTATTTTTAACCCCGTTTTGGGTCATGGATACCTTTGACAATCTGATGAAAGCTATGTGCCCTCTACAGAAAAAAATGAAAAGATGTACACATAGAAAATATTGTTTCCAATATTCAGGAGATTTGAGGACTTGCTGAATTTCATCCATGAATTTCAAGTTAAGAAATTCTGCTGTTAGGCTTATGGACCATTGCTCTCATTAATTAAGGATAAAAGTGAGCCTAGCAATTTACCTGCCTAAGTTACTCTATAAAGTCATACAGCAAGTAAGTAATGGATTTGAGGCTCAAATGCCTCTTTTATTACACGTAAGAAATCTCTCTAGTTAATATGTCAAACTATACAAGGAAATACATATAAAACTTACTTATAAACATTGCCTTGAACATTGCAGAATGTATTAGAAACTTTGCAAAAGGCTCTAGAGTATCTCTAGGATATTGTTACTGTCTCTTTGACAGATTGCCTCTTTTCCACTAGAGCTTTCCTCTATTAAATATTGATGAAAGGGCCAGGTGCGGTGGCTCACGCCTGTAATCCCAGCACTTTGGGAGGCCAAGGCGGGCAGATCACGAGGTCAGGAGTTCAAGACCAGCCTGGTCAACATGGTGAAACCCTGTCTCTACTAAAGATAGAAAAAATTAGCCAGGAGTAGTGGTGCGCAACTGTAATCCCAGCTACTTGGGAGGCAGAGACAGGAGAATCGCTTGAACCGAGGAGGCGGAGATTGCAGTGAGCTGAGTTCATGCCATTGCACTCCAGCCTCGGTGACAGAGTGAGACTCTGTCTGTCTATCTATCTATCTATCTTTATATCTATCTATGAAAGCTTTCTGGAAATTTTAATTACACGTTTTTGAGATCAGTATCTGTGAATGCTTTTTTCCACTCCAAGCATAAGAAATGCATATACACCAGTTCAAGTAGGTAAATCAGCCAATTAATTAAAGAGTATTAAAAATAAATATAAAGGGATATTTTATGTGAGAAAAGGAAATATGCCATACCTGTAACTAAGAATGGAAGACCTATAAAGGGACCAAGAATCCTTCTCTCACACTTTCCTTCTTGTAATTCTGTGGCTCTCATCTCTGCTCCTCTGAACCCATGTTGAACAACAACTGAACTTAGCTCCCAAATAATCTTTGTCTCAATTATAAACACCTGGCATATCTTTATAATCTCCTTAATTCCAAGTTTTACTCCAATATCCGTAAATAGATAATTTTATTTGTTCATTCTGGGTCAGTTTTCAACTCTTGTCTAACCAGCTATCCTTAGGGAGGGGGGGAAATGAACTAGTAGAAACATGATGCTAGGGACCCATCCTGTGTGTGTCTAGGAGATGGGGGGCATTGACTTCAAAAGGTTTCTATGAAGAGCCAGATAGAAAACATTTTAGGGTTTGTGGTCCAGATAGTCTTTGTCGCAAATACTCAAGTTTTGTTGCAGCACAAAAGCAGCCAATGCATAAGCAAATGAGAGCATCTGTGTTTCAATAAAAAGTTTATTTGTGGGGCCAGGTGCGGCAGCTCATGCCTGTAATCCCAGCACTTTGGGAGGCCGAGGCAGGTGGATCATTTGAGGTCAGGAGTTCGAGACCAGCCTGGCCAACATGGTGAAACCCTGTCTTTACTAAAAATACAAAAAATAGCTGAGCGTGGTGGTGCGTGCCTATAATCCCAGCTACTTGGGAGGCTGAGGCAGGAGAATCACTTGAACTCAGGAGGTGGAGGTTGCAGTAAGCTAAGATCATACCACAGCACTCCAGCCTGGGTGACACTGTCTCAAAAAAAAAAAAAAGTTTTTTTGTGGTCATTGAGGGTGAATTTCACATAACTTCACATATCACAATATATTATTCTTCTTTGGCTTGTCTTTCCCCAACTGTGTAAAAATTTAAAAACCATTCTTAGCATGCAAACCATACAAAGTATGCCATATTTGGCTCATGGGTCATAGTTTGCCAACTCTTGGCTTAGCACAAGAAGAGCTTACTTCTTCCTTATAAAGTTTTTGACGTGCTGTCTTCCATCTAGTGACTTGGAGATCCATAATTTCCTCATCTTTCAATGTCCCTATTTCAGCATACAGCTCCCAAAGTCACTGCAGCAAGGAGAAAGGAAGAATGAAAGGAGAACACGTACACTTAACTGTCTTGACCTAGAAGTGATACACATTACATATTATTGTTCACAGTTCATTGGCCAGAAATAGTCATGTGACTATAAACTAATTACATGGGAATTGTAGAATGTAGGGCAGCAGATGAGCTTTGTGGTGAGTAGCAACTCTCTAGCCACAATATTAAACCAAATGGTGGTCAATAATTTATGGCTATCAATCAAACTTCTTCCAAGTTTTGCATTCCTCTTTATTTATCATTGTACAGCTAGATGCAAACAACTTCAGAAAACTTTCACCCAAATAATATTATTATACAAACTAAAGAATTCTGGCCAGGGATGGTGGCTCATGCCTGTAATCTCAGGACTTTGGGAGGATGAGGAGGGCGGATCACTTACAGTCAGGAGTTCAAGACCAGCCTGGCCAAAATGGTGAAACCATGTCTCTTCTAAAAATACAAAAACTAGTGTGGTGGTGCTCACCTGTAATCCCAGCTACTTGGAAAGTTGAGGCACGAGAATCGCTTGAACCTGGGAGAAGTTGCAGTGAGCCACTGCACTCCAGCCTGGGTGATAGAGTGACACTCTGTCTGAAAAAAAAAAAAATAAAGAATACAGACATAGTATAGTAAATTTAATTAAAGTTTAGGATAGAATTCATTCTCATTTCTTAAATTCTTTGGTAGTATATTCTAAGTTTATTTTTATTACTACTTTATAAAATGCCAAAATCTGTTCTTTATGCTCATCCTATCATTGAAACACTCCACATCTCCAGCTCATTAAGATGATTAGAAAACATCTTCTATTACTCAGTTCTATATACCACTCAAAATGCCCATGCAGGCTGGGGCATGGTGGCTCAAGCCTGTAATCCCAGCACTTTGGGAGGCCGAGGCGGGCGGATCACGAGGTCAGGAGATTGAGACCATCGTGGCTAACACAGTGAAACCCCATCTCTACTAAAAATACAAAAAAATTAGCCGGGCATGGTGGCGGGCGCCTGTAGTCCCAGCTACTCGAGAGGCTGAGGCAGGAGAATAGCGTGAACCCGGGAGGTGGAGCTTGCAGTGAGCCTAGTTCGCGCCACTGCATTCCAGCCTGGGCAACAGAGCGAAACTCCGTCTCAAAAAAAACAAAAAAATGCCCATGCAAAAATTATGTTCACTTTTATCATGTAATAGCTCCTGTATTTTTCCTATTAATTTATGTTAAACTTTACCTTCTTTTTTGATTAATTTAAATTTTTAATCTGCCTGGTAATTAAAGTTCTCCATCAATTGTTGTCATCTCACTTATCATCCCAGTATACAACTTTAAAATTACATAGCGCACTTCTTTACCATCTCTGTTCATTCTTCATTTATTTCTCTGTTGTTCTACTATGTAAAAACCTTCTTCCCACCACTGTCATCACCTTCTGACATTACTCATCTTACATTTTATTCAAATAAAATTTTATATTTCCTTGCTCTCTGAAGTCCTACTGGATTAGCTGAACTTTATGGAACCTGTTCCTAATCTTGATTTCCTCACACCATTGAGGATCTGAATCATACTATTATGTACTTACTATTATAGTGACAGTGACGTGCAGTTTTATGTAATTTCTTTAAATCTTATTTTTGCATTTAGATTTTAGTCTTCTAAATGACAGAGACAGTCTGTTTCCTATTCAACACAAAATTATTACATAAAATTATTTTTGAAATTCATCAGTCATTATATAAGGGGAAACAAAAAGACCATAAGATATTTTAGTATTTAACATTTTCAGAAATAAAAATATTATTAAATGTTATTTACACATATTGCTGAATTTGAGAAGAATTGCTTTTCATGAGTCGGTTACTGAAAAATGCAATCTAGAAGACAGATGGTCAATGCGTTATGGATGTATTCCAAAAGCACTGATAATCATTTAATTTAAAGCTTTACTCACAAGCAAGAGCCCAAACCTGTCTATGCACCATTTTATGGGGAACATTTTGCAGCATTGCACAAATATTAAAGATACAACAGACATGTCATTTTAAAAATGAAGGGTTATAAAAATGAATAGGCACTCTTCTTCATGGATTATTTTCGCTTTCTTAGGAAGTAAAGTTGTGATCAGAATTATTCATTTCGTACATAGAGAAGACAAGAGTTACAATGAGGTGTATCCAGATGATAGCTTTTGTGAGAAGAGAAATAGCCCAGAAGGGAAAGTATAGATTATAGCACAAGGAGGATGACTTAGTAGCCCAGCAACGTGCTGCAGAATCAGGGGCTGTAAATTGTAATTACAACATCTTACAACGGTTAGTGCTTTTCCAGCTGAGAGCTCAAAGTATACCCAGGCTAACAACTTGGTACCAAACCGAGTCATTCATCCTCAGTTCAGTTGTTTACAAAATGTAGATGAAGTAATGACGTACTAACAATTATACGGATAGCTTCAACATAGAAGAGAGATGAAAAGAAATTAATTCAGGATGTGAGCAAGCCTGGTGACTCAATATCAAAATGAAAGAAACAAGAAGAAATATAGGAAATACAAAAAAATCCTGCCTCTAATTCTCTCTCTGATTTCTAAAAATTCTCTCAAATTGCTTCAGAAACTCATTTCAATGACTTCTAATCATGTAATTTCAGAAACTGTTAGCTTTCAAACCTCTTAGTCCAATAGAAAGTAGTTTCAAGTTTTATAAAGAATCACACGGAGAATGCCTTTGAAAGTCATTTTAGATTTGCTTAAAATATAGACCTGCTAAGAAAAACATTTTATACAAGAAAAATAAAATACTGATTTTAAATATAAACAAATACCTCCCATTTTTGCATATTTGTGCTGTAGCAAATGAAAAGCACTGAATTTAGGACAAACACAAACGAAGAAACTAGGTTAAAACTGACATTGATTGACTCCATACCTTTGTTTCCTTGCTTGTTTTTAAATTATACATTGGGTCGAACATCTTTGCATATATTAAATCTTTTCCAATATTTAATCATGGTGAGGGTGATGGAATGTCTTATTCATTTACTCAACATTTATATATTAATTTACTGGAGCTTTAGTATCTGCCCAAATTAGGGATCCTTCCTTCCATACTCTGGCCAGGAATTACCATAGTTCTCTTCATCACAATGAGAAATAAATTATAGACAACAGAAGACAATAATCTCTTTTAATAATAATGGTGAAAGCATATTTAAATATTTCCCTCACTGTTTTCTGGCCTTTATCTGGATATTTCCCTCACTGTTTTCTGGCCTTTATCTAAAGGTGAGAAACTTCATGCATTTATATTATCTTGGGCTTCAGAACCAGCATACATTCTCATAAATAGGGTTCAGAGAAAGAGCAAGAATTTGCCCATTTGTCTACAACTAAATCCCTATAGGTTCAGACTGCCTTTCCAGCAACCCCAGGTGGCCTTCTATTCCATCGTTGGAGCTTATCAACCAGGACCATGACCTCCCTCAGGTGAAATTCCACCAGATCTATTATTTCACTTAGAGAAAAGGGGACAAGTCTCCTCTTAAAAAAAGAGCATTTGAGACTGAGAGGAAATTATTTGAATACAGGTGCAAAGTGGGAATATTTATGTTTGTGATGTTTGAAGACCAGTAGTCATTAGGTTTTGTGTAAAGGAATGTTATAAGCATTGGTTAGGAAAGTAGGTTCACACCATTTTTTAAAAGACCTTAGATGCCAGATTGTGACATTTAAAGTTTTAGCTCCCCAATAATGGGGAGCCACTGATGGTTAATGAGCAAAAGGAAACAACACAAAAAATGGGTACATTAAGAGGAAGTTGAAAATACATAGGGTAGATTGGAGGTTTAGGAGACTAAAGGAAAGAATAGTTAGGAGCTATTTCAATAGCAAATAAGTGGAAAAGTGTTTTTTTTTTAAAAAAGGAAGATAAATACAAGAAATATTATACATAGGAAATCAAGCAACTCAATATAATTTCTTTCCAAACCCTTAGGAGAATAATGTAACCCACTTTCTTCATTAAGACACTAAACATATTTAATCTTTTAACACTTTACAATCATAATTTAATACATTGAGTAGTAAAAAGAATTATTAAAAAAACTGACATAGAATGAATCAATTTTCCTAGTTTATTTCAGTGATTTTTAAGTACTGTTTATAGTCTTCACATTTTATTTAGTCAAAATAAAAACAGAACCAGATGATTATGTTCCCTATAGCTGAAGGCTTGGCAAATTGTCATACCGACAGGGTTGGTTTTCATATGGCTTAGATGTTTTTGAAGGATGGATAGGGTAAAATTTTACAATCTCTTTGAGCTCTATAAATCTGTGAAACTCTAAACAAAAATATCACGAAGTATTAGGAAGAAAAGAACGAAGAGAACAAGAAAAAAAACAACCTTGATTTCATTCAGTAAAGTTCATCTTTAGCATATTCCTTTTGCTAATGCAAGAAAATGAGGAAAAGGAAATTTATTTTTTAAAGAGAGAAAATAAAGAGCATTTAAAGTAAGATAGAGAATGAGCTTTCCAGTTTGTGCTGGCTAAATCCAATAACCATTTTCAATTTAACACTGAAGGCAGATTGTATCTTTTAAGTCCTGTTTTTGTATTCTGTACAGTGATGGGCATGTCTCTTTCTTTAGTTGTCAGGATAATGAATGCTAATCTGAAGATACTCTAAGCTATTATTTTTCCAATGCATTCACCTATGCCTTCTGTGTATGCCTATTCACTGTAGTTATCAGTCTTATAGTCAAGTGATGATGGATTTCATTTATAAATGTTGAAGTGGAATTAAGCTTTATAATGTTAGCTGGGAGTGATAAATCTCCTCCTGGTAATATCATGTCGTAAGAAAGCACTGACTTTCCTGATGAAATTTTATAGATGGTTAATGTTCTCATTTTCTGGTGTTTTTACCATTTTACTACATCTGACATTTTACTAATCTTTTATATTTGTATTGCTTTTCAAAGATTAGATAAGACAAAACATCATAGAACATCTTTGTCACCTTGGAGTCGACAGGTTTCTTAATCAGGGCACCAAAAGCATTAAGCATGAAAGAAAAAAAGATAAATGAATTACATTAAAATAAAAAAACTTCTCCAAACAATATCTTTAAAAAGTTAGGAAAAGCAACCCAAAAAATGAAAGCAGATTTTTATATATATATATATATGTTGATATGTTTATATATTGCTTATAATATATAGGTATATATAATATATAATATATATGTGTATGTATATATATATTTGAAAAAATATAAATAAAAACAAAAAACCCTGATAGAAACATGGACAAAAGACTTGAACAGATACTCCATAAAAGAGGATATTTAAATGTCCTTTAAATCTGTAAAAAGGTGCTCAACTTTATTAGTTATTTTTTTTAAATGCAAGCTAAACCACAGGATGCCATCAAGTAACCACCAAAACGGGCAAAGGAAAAAGGCAGATAATACCGAGTGTCAGCAAGAATGTAGAGTAAACTGAACTCCATCCACCACAAGTAGAAGTGGAAATTGACAAAAACCACTTTTGAAACATGCTTGGCAACATCTTTCTCAAGAAGAATACATGAAAAGCTTGTAGCCAGTAGGTCCACTTCTGGGTGTTTCCCTAGCAGAAACGTATACCTATGTTCACTCACCAAAAGACGTAGAAGAGTGATCAGTGCAGCTCTACCCAAATGACCATCAACAATAGAGTGGACAATACATTCTGGTATGCACATCTAGTAGAAAGCAATGAGACTGAAAAATCTGAAACTGCAATAATAGTGACTCAAAATCATAATATTGAGCAAAGGAGCCAGGTACAAAAAAATTACAGTATATGATTCCTTTTATATAAAATAACAACATAGGCAAAAATAATATTAGTTGTAGGTGTCAGGATAATGATTACCTCCCGTAGTGGGGAGGGGTGGAGAGTGTTTCTCTTTGGAAGGAAACAGGAGAAACCTTCTGGAGTGTCACTAGGGTGCCACAAATAAAGTATGAGAGTGAGTATCCCCATTCTCTTGTTACTTAAAAACATAATTAATCTCACTCTCTTGTTACTTAAAAATGTAATTAATCTTTTGAATTTTGGACAGTGTGATACACAAAACATGATTTTAGTTCATTTCAGTTAGAATGGCCCAGATTTATAATGAGGTTGAGCATCTTTTAATTTATCTTATTACCTCCTCTTTTGAAAATTTGCTGTTCATGTAATTTGACCATTTTTCTATTAGGTGACCTGTTTTTACTTTCTTTAATTTGATACTGTTCTGTATTAATTATGGAGGTCAATCTTTGCTCTGATTTATAGTTTTCATTTAAATTTGTATGTATTTAAAATTTTTATTTATCAATCTTACAGTTTCTGTGTTTAGTGTATTGCTTAGAAAAACTCTTTAGATTATAAAGATAATCCATTATAGTTTCTTTGTATTCATTTCTAGGTTTTTATTTACTTAATCTATTTGGATTTATTTTTGTGCCTGGTATGACATAGATATCTGATATCTTTTCCCTAAATGGATAGCCAATTGTACCCACACTATTCCTTAGTCTGTCATTTTTCTACTGATTTTAAATTCTACCTTTGTCATAAATAATATTTCCATATTATGTTTTCATATATATCTTTCTTTTCATGCTGAGTTGTTCCACTGTGAAATTTGTAGATTATGCATCAATGCCACACTTTTACAAGTTATTCTAGTTTTATGGTGTGGTTTGATATTTAATAGAGAATTAGCAAGGGAAAGCTAATTATTCTTTTCCAAATCAGCTTTTAATTCTCATAAAAATACTTTTGGTAATGTCATATTCATTGGCCTTATGTTTATAGATGAATTTAGTGAAACTTATCCCTATAATGTTAAATTCTTTCAATACAGGAAGTTAGTCTCTCTCTATTTCTCTCTCACTGTCTGTTTTAATTGGGTCTTCTTTTATGTCCTTTAATAAAGATCAATACTTTTCTTCATGAATTTCTTCATGTAATTCTTCTCATTTCTTCATGCTCATTTCTAGTTGAGTTTGTACATAGGGATTTCATGTATTTTTGTTGCTATTAGGAATATCCATCTTACATAACATTTTAATCTCATTGGTTACTGAGGGTTTATGGATCTATTTATTTAGCTTCTCTAACTGACCGATATCAAACCCACACTCCTGTCTTTACTTAGCTATTCCATGTGACTGACTTCAGGGCCTTCACACCCTGACCTGACTGTAACTATTATTCAAGCCAAGTTCCACCTCTATCCACTCATCCTACACATCCTTCTTAGACTCCTTGCCGTTTTCTCCCATGTCTGAATCAATGCTGCATTTGTCTCAGAGCCATTTGTTTAATATTTAGCATATTACCAAGCTACATGATTTTACAAATATAAATAATGAAGAAATAGTTTTAATAACAGAATAACAGGGAAGGGGACCTGAAAAGGAAAGATTCAACAAAGAAACAGAGCTGTCTCCTGGTGCACACCTTCTCCTGAGCTCACCCACCACAACTCCCACCTTAGGTAGCAATTTTAAAATTATAGTTTTTTATTTTTATTTTCATTTATTTATTTTTTTTGAGACAGAGTCTCACTCTGTCACCAAGGCTGGAGTGCAGTGGCGTGATCTTGGCTCACTGCAACCTCCGCCTCCTGGGTTCAAGCAGTTCTCTGCCTCAGCCTCCTGAGTAGCTGAGATTACAACGTGCCCACCACTATGCTTGAGTAATTTTTTGTATTTTTAGTAGAGACGGGGTTTCACCATCTTGGCCAGGCTGATCTTGAACTCCTGACCTCATGATCCACCCGCCTTGGCCTCCCAAATAAAATTGTTTTTTAAGGGCCCCACCTTAGGTAGCAATTTTAAAATTATATTTTTGGTGTCATACTAACACATGTGACTTTCAGTGGACAAGGAAGAGTTGCAAGAGAAAAGTTGTTTCCTAACATTGTAGTTTGAAAAATTCTATAGGAGGTATGGCTGAAGACCAGTAGAGAGAGTGCTTCTACTAGTTCCACCATGATCAAATCATCCATGGCTAAACGTCTGTGAGAAATCAATCTGCAGGTATAATGAAATAATTCAGAGTCTGAAGCTTTTATTGTATTGGCTGACTTTCACTTCAGTCTACTTTTGGGGAAAATTTTCTCACTATTTTATAAATAGTGAGAAAATTTATGTAAAATATGAGTTTATGCAATAAAATAGGAGAATATGCACAACAAAATTGGGTGATAGTCATAAAATTCTAATTAGATATGTTTTCTTTTCTTGTGGCATTTTGAAGTTTTAGAATTGAATGGGTAGTTGATCCTATTCCTTTAAACTAGGGTCTTTTCTGACCTTATTTTGAGGTTCAGGCAATGATTTCTCTGTTTCTGTGAATTAATTGGGCATTTATACCTGAATTGCTACAAAACATATAAGTTCTTATCTCTTGATAGGTTTTGGGGGCAACAGAGTCAATAAAATGTTTGTCTCAAAAGACAGTGATCTGTGTACCAGGATTTAAAGTAGATCTTTCAAGGTGGAAGACAGAAATTGGGTAAAGTTTGTGACAGAGCATTTTAGGCTTGGTGGGTCCATTGAGGGATGGTCTTGAATAGAATGTTGATAAATTGTTGTGTTATATAGCAAGCTGTTTGCCCAGATGAGCAAACTTTTCCTAGACAGATGGGTTTGCAAGAATTTTCTAATGTAAACAGAGACTTTAAAAAAATTGGTTTAATTTTCTAATGTAAACAGAGACTTTAAAAAAATTGGACCAGCATTTTTCCAGAACAAATAGTCGTTATGTTGACACAAGTGTTCTTAGTTCCCAATCCTTATGGTTGAGTTGTTTTCAGGCAGGTGATGTTAATTCACATAAAGCAGTGTAGCTGCAATAAGCTAACTAAATAAGGCAAATTTGGAATATAGAGAATATTGAAAGATGCTGAAAAATTTGCTTGTTCTTCTGAGTGTTAAATTTAGTGTCAGGATAGTGGACATTGCTACTATGAAGCTCTTTGGCAATATCGGAGCCCTCTTCAGTTTGTTCTTGGGCTTCCCTGTCTCCCAGATACTCAGCTACTTGTTCTGCTTTGGCAGTTAAAATATAAACCAACTCCATTTGGGCTGTAGTGTTTCTGTTCCCTGTGGCTTCCAGTGCCACATCTAGAGCCACTGGCTCCTACCAATACTTCTAGGCAACACATCACAGTGCATGGGATTCGTCTTCCCCAGAAGATGCCGAAGTGGCCAGGTGACACAACCTGGAGGTGTAGGAGAGAGTGAACTCCCTTCATGGTAAACCTCAAGGAATGATAGAAAGAGAAACAGATTGGATCCAGCAGTAAATCCTCTCTTCCTTGCTCTGACATACTATTTTGAGGCATGGTACAGATGTCTGGAACTCTCTTACTACACTGAGCACATATATTGCTGAGTGGCTGTCTTGGTCCCTTTGAGCTTTCTGAGAATCGGTGGTCAGCTTGATGATGCATCATTGTGCATTTGCTTTCCATCTTTGCCTCCCTCATTTACCATTTTAAAAATTCTTACTTCCCAATAAAGCATTTTCCTTCCCAATAAAGGGTTTTCCTTCCCAATAAAGCATTAGTATTTAAGCCTTGCCTCAGGTTCTGTAATATTTTCTAGGAAACCTAGGTTAATACATTAACCTTAAGCTACTAAATCTCACAGTCCTCAGTTTTCTTGACTGTAAAATGAAGGGATTTACCTAAATTATTTCTATGATCCTTTTCAGCACTGATATACCATTACTATAATTTAGCCACTAAAATTTGTGTGCAAAGAAGTATGATAGGAAGCTGACTCTGGTAGCACACACCATCAAGATTGTTGGAAGTATAAGGAAAATAAGCTAAAGCAATCTGGGGAGAACAGGTACTTGCAAAAAGGGCTGTCCTGGTCTGATGACTACTATAGCAAAGATGATTTAATCCTGGCTCTCAGAAAAGTCACTGAAATTGCAATATTGTAAAAATAAATGTAGAAAGGAAGATTATGTAAAAATTCATGGAAAACACATGACTGATGCTGACAGTCATTGAAAAAAGGTGGGCTTCATGAATTCATTAATTCATGCTGACCAGGACATGCTGTCTACTTTGCTGCCAGACCACTGAACTCTAAGGGAGTTCTAATTAGAAAATAGCATATTTTTCATATTAAGAAATTCCTTATTGAACAATGAGAACATATGGACACAGGAAGGGGAACATCACACACCGGGGACTATTGTGGGGTGGGGGGACGGGGGAGGGATAGCATTAGGAGATATACCTAATGCTAAATGACGAGTTAATGGGCGCAGCACACCAACATGGCACATGTATACATATGTAACAAACCTGCACGTTGTGCACATGTACCCTAAAACTTAAAGTATAATAATAATTAAAAAAAAAAGAAATTCCTTGATAGCTCAATGACTTCTAAGAAAATTGAATTCCCCAGGATGTTGATTTGGGGTCTTCCCAGCACACGTAGTCTGTATACGCCACTGAATAATGAGGGTTCAGTTTTGGGTAAGGAGGGAGGTGTCCAAAAAGATTTTCCAACTAAAAAACTTCCAGTGGCAGCCACAGGGCATAAGGTAGGCTTTTTGGTGATGGGTTTAGAATGTCTATCTGAGATGCTGCCCTTCATTCTCTACATAGGGTGCATAGAATTCAGATGCTCAGAGATGGAAAAGGTCTCAGATATCACCTAATTGAGCCCCTTCACTTTACTAGTAGGGAAAAAGAAGCCCCGAGAAGTGAAATAACTTATGCAAGATTACACAACTGGACAATGAATGACCCTAGAAAAAAATGGGTTGCACAAATTGTTTTTTCTCCACATTTTACAAAAGAATCAAAGTAAAGCCAATGTTCTGTAAAAAATGCACAAACATACTAATATACCATGATGGGGAAGTTTTTACTTCCTCCAATAACAAAGGCTTCTTTACCATCGAATTCAGTTATAGTCCATAGATAATATTAAGTATGAACAGTATACTTTCTTGTCCCTCTGTCGTCTGGAACTTTGCAAATAGACAAATCTTTACCACTATAAAGATATGGCAAAACCCGTGATCTAGTTAGGGTCTAATGTAATGAATTAAAATAGAGAAGTCCACACTGCTTCTCAATTGGCCAGGTCAGCCCCACACCATAGATCATCTATTCAATGAAATGGACAAGCAGGAACTGCCCTTGTGAAGTATAATTAGAAAGAAACAGATTTGTCCCTGGTTGACTTGAAGTT
Organism: Homo sapiens; assembly: GCF_000001405.40. Lineage (NCBI taxonomy): Eukaryota > Metazoa > Chordata > Mammalia > Primates > Hominidae > Homo > Homo sapiens. The sequence continues at coordinate 54,699,273 of NC_000018.10, forward strand.
CTACTACTGTGTCTTGATGTATTATGAGGTAAGTATGTTGTGCTAATAATTACCTCTTTTTCCATGAGTAAGCTGTAGCAGCATTGATGTAATAGGTTATGCGATACTATTGAATACCTGAATCTACCATTCCCTGGTTTTTATTTCAATGTTGCATAAATCACAAGGTATTGAACTACCTTAATACTCTCTATCCTCTATTAGGGTAATACTCAGTTCATTCACCGAGTTACTCATTCGATAGTAATATCTCCATCTTGTGGAAGCCACAGCACAATGAAGATTCAAGGAAAACAAAGGCTCAAAGCACATAGTGATGTAGTGTAAAAATAAACAGCAAGATAAAATACTTTCAGGAATCACTGTGTAAGAAAATATTACATATGACAGGTACAGATAAAATAGAACTCCTATGGAGAGTTGTTAGGAGGGAGATAACATTTTCTCACTGATGGGATGAAGAAAAGTAAATGAATGACTTTCAACATAGGCCTTGAAGAATTGGTGTGATTTGAATGACTGCGCAGTAGGTATTAGGGTAAATGATATAAAGATATCTTATGCACATAGAATGCACCACAAATGTATAAGGGCTTAAAAATTCAGACTAGTAAAGGAAATTAAGGTCAGAAAGGCAAGTTGAGGCTGATTTAAAGAGTATTAAAAACTAATTAAAGGAATTTTAACTTTATTCTGTAAGCAATCTAAATTCATTGAAGATTTATGAGCAGGAGGATATGGTTTGGCTGGGTCCCCACCCAAATCTCACCTTGAATTGTGATAATCCCCACATGTCAAAGGCAGGGCCATGTGGAGATAATTGAATCATACTGTTTCCCCCATACTGTTCTCGTGGTAGTGAATAAGTTTCACAAGATCTGATGGTTCTATAAATGGGAATTCCCTGCACAAACTCTCTTGCCTGCCGCTGTGTAAGATACTTTCCTTATACTTCCAACAGTCTTGACTTTGCTCCACCATCACCTTCTGCCATGATTGTGAGGCCTCCCCAGCCACGTGGAACTGTGTCAATTAAGCCTCTTTCCTCTATAAATTAACCAGTCTCAGGTATGTCTTTATTAGCAGTATGCGAACAGACTAATACACAGGACATTAAGGTAATTAGAACTTTTTAAAAAGAAAACTTAATCTGGCACAAGTATGTAAAGAAAAAAGGTGAGGAAGATGTGACGGTAAGAAGTAGACCAGTAAGGAGGCTACTTCAGTGGTATAGTCTAGAGGTAAAATATGCCAGAGTGAGGAGGAGACTGACGGTAGAATGCTAAGAAGCTGGTGTGAGAAAAGATCAGATGGGAGTAGTGAGAGAAAAGAGAGCCAAGGCCTATTCTTGGGGAAATTTCCACCAGTAAGATACAAGAGGAAGAACACCTAAGGAGAAAAAGAAGGAGCAGAGGAAAAGCAGAAAACTGGAGGGCTTTGGAACCCAAGAAAAAAGAGAGCCAGAAAAAAGGATCAGTAGTGTCAAAGGCCAGGAGAGGTCAAGTAAACGAGGCATTCTCACTGTGACTAAGCAGCAATGACAGAGCAAAGGGTCACAAGGAGATGCTGAAAGTGTCCATGCAGAGGATTTGGATGTATTCTTTCCAGAAGTTTGGCTGTGAATAGTGGTGGTGATATCAATGGGTACAACCTTCTGGAAGAAAATGTGGCCAGCCCACATGCTTAAACTCTTTACACAGGACATGTATACTTTGATCCAGCAATTTCATTGTAAGGATGGTGGCAAAGATTAAAATATATAATACTGAGGAATTGTTAATTTATAATACATTCATAAAACAATACTATTAATAGATAGGCACTAAAGTATGTCTTTTAGCAAAGTTTAGCACTTTTTCTGCAAAGGCCAAATAGCTTTATGGTACAATCTCCATCACAACTACTCAACTCTGTTGCTAAAACTTTGGTTTATATGTAAACAAATAAACATGGCTGTGATCTAATAAAACTTGGTTTACAAAAGCAGGTGGCAGGCTACATTTGACCTAAAGGCCATGGTTTGTCAACCCCTTTCTTTGAAGAATATGTAGTGAGTTGAAGACAATATGACAATTTAAATAATTACAATTAACCATGTGAGAAATGATAGGCTTTCCAAATTAGTGAAATAAAACATGGCATGTGTGTATGTGTGTATACCAGTCTTTTAAAAAAGTGTATCTTTGAATATTGGCATCACGGTGAATTTTATTTCTCTTTAATGCCTATTTATATTATCACATTTTCTACAATAACTATTTACTCCTTTTTTGTAATCAGGAAAAATGCTATTTTTATATAAAATTTTGTAGTAAGAAAAGTAAAATGAGATTACAACTGAAATGGTACCTTAAATGATGGTTCCAAACTGAAAACCCAGCAGGTCTTCATCGTTGGAAAATTCCATTGATACATGAATTCTGAATTAATGGTGCATAACTTTAAAGCCTTCTCCATGAGCTCTGTCTGTTGGGGAATTTGCAGTCTTGGCAAGGCTAATCAACACTTGCTAATTATCAAGATCAAGTTTTTTCTTGTTGTTGTTGTTGTTTTTCTCTAGATGAAGTCTTGCTCTGTCACCCAGGCTGGAGTGCAGTGGCACGATCTCGGCTCACTGCAAACTCTGCCTACCGGGTTCAAGCGATTCTCCTGCCTCAGCCTCCTGAGTAGCTGGGATTACAGGCACACACCACCACGCCCGGCTAATTTTTGTGTTCTTAGTAGAGATGGGGTTTCACCATGTTGGCCAGGCTGGTCTCGAACTCTTGAACTTGTCTTCTGCCTGCCTCAGCCTCCCAAAGTGCTGGGATTACAGGCGTAAGCCACCAAACCCGGCCCAAGATCAAGTTTACAAGGACCATCTTCCTAACAAGGTGAGAAGATAATGTCTATGATAGCATTGGCATTAGTATTTCAGAGGTGTTCACACGCCGAACTCCTCCTCCCTACTACCATCCTAAAAACTTTCAGAGCTTTCTTTCTGTTTCTCATTGTTCCATGTTATTCCACGAACTTGCTGCTTTTAAAGCCTTTGCACATGCTCTTTCCTCTGAGTGGAATAGGGCTTTGCTCTCTCATTTCTTTTTCGAGAAGGTAAAAATTATTTGTTACCTACAAAGGATTAATACAAGATACACGTAAGAGTTAAAGTATAATAATATAAGGAATGCCCGTAAACCCAAGAATTAGATCATTAGTAATAAATAGATTGCTTGTCGTGCTTTACTATCCCACCTGGGAAGTAATCACTAGCCTAATAATCCCCTGCTTTTTTTGAATACATACTTTTATCCCATTTGCGTGTATGTTTAACTTGTTGTTTAATTCTGCTAATTTAAAAAAAATTTCTATAAGCATTGTATCGTATTTATTCTTCTGGGATTTACTTTTTTAGTTAACATCATGTTTCCAAAATTTGGTTGTGTATAGTTTAAGGTTCTACATTTTTACTGTTGTATATTATTCTACATTTTTACTGTTGTATATTATTCTTTGTGTAAAAAGAGTGTTGATGGTTTATTTAGTCTCTTTTTCATGGCTATTGGAATGTTTGAGTTTTTATTACTCAAATATTGTTCTCATGAGCATTCTTGTGTATGTCTCTTGGGTATTACTCCATGAGCAGAATTACTGGATTATAGGATATTTGTTTTAATTTCTTTCATAACGTTAGGGTGAATCAGACTTTCTGTTTCTTTTGAATCTGTTTTGGTAAATTATATTTTTCTATGCATTTGTCCATTTTCAAGTTTCCAGATCTATTGGCATGAAGTTGTCCATAGTGTTCTCCTGTTACCTTTATCTGCCATTATCTGTCTTTATTGTTTTTTAAATTTTAATCAGGCCTAACTGGCATACAGTAAACCACACATATTTAAAGCGTCTAATTTGCTGGGGGTGGCAACCATGGGGATGTGCTTCTCACATCTTCTACTGCTAGGAAAGTGAGCGAATGAGGACACCAACACTGGGCTCTGAATCCATTGCTGTGTTTGTGCCAGGGCCACAGTTCCCCAAGGCTGCTTCTTCCACCCAGGGACCAAGTGCAGTAGGGAACTGAGATAGGCCCATTCCTGCAAGAGGCAGCACTCTCCATCAGCCTTGCCAACCTTTCTTAGAGCTCCACTCGAGTCCATGACCTTCCTGTCTTCCATCCTGCTTTCTTCATGTTTCTCTCCCCCACACTTGGGTCAGTTCTGCCACCTGTCTGCAGGCTCTCCCAGCCTTCCCTGGATGTTTCCTCCAACTCCCTTGCAGTATATTACCCCAGTAGATCTCTCATGATCTGGTCCTGTCATGGTATCTGTCTGCTTCTGTCATGATATCTGCTTCTTGAGGACTCCACTTGACACCGACACAAGTACACTCTATGAAAGCATCACCACTCTCGAAACAATGAGCACATCTATCAGCCATTGTTTCCCAAAGTCTCTTTTTGCCCCTTTGTAATCCATCCTTTCTTCTACCCTGTCATCATGCAACAATGGATCTAATTTCTGCCACTATAGATTAATTTCCATCCACTGGTAGTTCATAGAAATGAAATCATACAATCTGTGCCCTTTTAAAAATATGGTTTTAAAAATTCAGCATAATTATTTTGAGATTCATTTACATTGTTGCCATCTATCAATCATTAATTCCTTTTTACTGCTGAGTGGCATTTTACTGTACAGATATGCCACAACTTGTTTATCCATTGTTATCCATTATCTAGTTTGCTTATTATATAAAAATCTCTTGATGGAGATTAATGTTGTGTTCCATTTTCAATAATCATGATGAAAGTTATGATAATGGAAACTAAACTGAAGTTAGTTAGTTTAAAGTGAAACTAATAAAAGTTAAATTGAAACTGAAGTTGCTAAGAAAATTCATATATAAGTCTTTGTATAGTTTTTATCTTTCTTGGACAAACACCTAGAAATGGAATGAACAGCTGGAGCATATGAGAGATGTATGTTTAATTTTTTAAGAAACTGAAAAGCTTTTTTCTAAAGTGTTTTTAAATGTTTTTTGTGCCTTTTCTCTCTTACGTTACATAAAAAAATAACTTTTGACTTTGTTGATTCTCAGTACTATTTCTTTCTTTTTACTACAGATTTCTTTCTTATTTCATTGATTGCTTCTCTAATATTTACTATCTCCTAGCTTGATTTTCTGCCTTATTATTTGCTAATACAAGAATTTAAGACCTGGAATTTATCTATCTCTAAGTGTACTTTCATGGAATTCCATACGTAGTGTTTTCTGATTTCCAATTATTTTAAAACTTATGTTGTGATTTAGGTTTTGACCTATTAATTTTTGAGAAGTGTGGTTGTATTTATGAACTGTACAGGAAAGGTGTATTTATCATTTTGTTCTGATATATATATATATATATATATGAAATTGCACTCTGGCCAAAGAACATGGCCTCTGTGATACTGATTCTTCAGAAATTTTTGTGGTTGGGCATGGTGGCTCATGCCTGTAATCCCAACATGTTGGGAGGCCAAGGCAGGAGGATCCCTTAAGCTCAGGAGTTCAAGACCAACCTTGGTAACATGGTGAAACCCCGTCTCTACAAAAAAATACAAGTTTTTGCAATTTGAATTATGACCAAGCACATGATCAATTTTTTTTTTTTTTGAGTCAGGGTCTCACTTTGTCATGCAGGCTGGAGTGCAGTGACATGAACACGGTTCACTGAAGCCCCGACCTCCCACACTCAAGCAATCCTCTCACCTCAGCCTCCTTAGTAGTTGGGACTACAGGCATGCCCCGCCATGCCCAACTAATTTTTGTATTTTTTATAGAGATGGGGCCTTGCCATGTTGTCCAGGCTGGTCTCAAACTCCTGGGCTCAAGTGATCCTTCCTCCTTGGCCTCCCAAAGTGCTGGGATTACAGGTGTGAGACACTGTGCCAGGCTGATCTATATTGAGAAATGTAATATGTTTATATGAGAAGAAGATACATTCTTTGTTTTTCTTCATATCTACTAAATCAATATTTTTTTATGTTGGGTCTTTTCGATTTTTATAACCATTTTATTGGCCTATTGATAAGTGAGAACTCTTTGTGTTCCTATTTATTTTTGCTCTACAAATTTTCTGACTATTCTATTCATGACGTAGAACTTTCTCTTCTTGATCAATAGATCTTGAGATTATACATGTCATCCTAAGACATAATGATACACTAAACTTTTCATCAGCATATAGTCATCTTCTATATTCCTATAATGTTTCTATCTTAATGTCTCTTTAATCTGATACTAACAAGCCATATCAGCTTTATTTTGGTTAGTATTTGACTGGTTTATATTTTACTTTATTTTGTTTTTGTTCATTCAAAATACCTGTGTTCTTATGCTTTAAGCAATATCTCTTGTTGATGATATAGAGCTGTATCCTTTTTTTAAAAAAATCAAATCTGATAATCTTTGTCCTTAAAATGGTGAGTTTAGTATGTTTATTACTATGGATATTGATCTATTTGTACTTGTTTCTTTTGTGTTACTTTTGCTTTGTAATTGTATGACTTTTTCTAAGCTGATGCATTTTAAGGAATTGTTGAAGTTTATTGCATTTATGTTTATCTAATTTTATTTATTCCTGTCATTTGATTGAATGCATTCAGTGTAGATTTTACTCTTTCAGTGATTACCCTCAAAATTTTATCATGCATATTCTCTTTAAAAATTTGAATAAACCTAAACATCTCTTATCCTTCCAAACAATAAAATATCTGTGGAATAATTTAATTTGCAAAACTCCCTTTCTATTTGCATGCGATTTAATTCTTCTTTCTTAGCTCCACAAATTAGACTTCATTGTCTGCTTTTCCCCCCATGAATATACAGCATAATTATAATTTAATTTGCCTATCATTCTTTATTGTATCTCTGATGTTCTCCTTGAATTATTTACCTATTTATGATCCTTTAGAAATTATCTTATATGGTTCTCTTTGTGTTATCACATGTGGGTGTTTATACACCCACATTTTTAAATCTGTAAAAGTCTTTGCCTCACCCTTATTCTTAAAGGATTTTTTTTTTCTGGATATTCGATTCTGCATTGATCTTACTGTCATTTGACTTCCACAGATGCTGTAGAGGAATCTGATCTAATTTTAATTTCTTCATAGGTGATCTGTATGTTCCCCCCACTTTTAAGAGCTTCTGTCTTTGATGTTAAGTAGTTTCACTATGATGATTCTAGCTGTGAATTTTTATTGTTATTGTTATTGCCATATATCCTGCTTAGTGTATGTTGTGTTTTCTAGATCCATACAGATTCTTTTTAAGCTTTGAAAATTTAGATCCATTATCAAATTAAATGTCGCTTCTCCACTTTCTTTAATCTTTAATTTTGGGCTTTTCACTAGATGTATTTTTGAGTTTCTTATTCTAGCCTCTATATCTCTTAATGTCTCTCATTTTCTACATCCTTATCTCTCTATATTGCATTCTGGATAATTTCTAATGATATATATTTCAACTCATGTAGTCTCTCTTCAGCTAAATCTACTATGTTATTAGGTTGATGGATGTAGATATTATTTCAACAAGTATCTTTTTATTCTATGAAACACCATTTTTCCTCAAATGCATGATTATTCCTGGATTATTTTTGCTTCATTGGTCCGTTTATCATCATATTCCTTATTTTTTTAAGCATGAAATACACAGCTCTTCTGTATTCTGCACCTAGTTGTTTCAAATCTCAGTACTTGATCATTTAAATATGGTATTTTGAACATTTGAGTGATTCTCTCTTATTGTGGCTTTTTTGTACATTTGGTGATATTTATTTTTATTTTTGTTTTAAGTTCTGGGGTACATGTGTAGGATGTACAGGTTTGTTGCATAGGTAAATGTGTGCCATGGTGGTTTGCTACACCTATCAACACATCACCTAGGTATTAAGCCCAGCATGCATTAGCTATTTTTCCTAATGCTCTCCCTCCCCTCACCCACCCCACAAGATGCCCCAGTGTGTGTTGTTCCCCTCCCTGTGTCCATGTGTCCTCATTGTTCAGCTCCCACTTATAAGTGAGAACATGCAGGGTTTGGTTTTCTGTTCCTGAATTAGTTTGCTGAGGATAATGGCTTCCAGCTCTACCCATGTACATGCAAAGGACATTATCTCATTCCTTTTTATGGCTGCATAGTATTCCATGGTGTGTATGTACCACATTTTCTTTATCCAGTCTATCATTGATTGGCATTTTGGTTTATTCCATGTCTTTGCTATTGTGAATGGTGCTGCAATGAATATACGTGTGCATGTATCTTTATAATAGAATGATTTATATTCCTTTGGGTATATACCCAGTAATGGGATTGCTGGGTCAAATGGCATTTCTGGTTCTAGATCTTTGAGGAATCCTCACACTGTCTTCCACAATGGTTGAACTAATTTACCTTCCCACCAGCAGTGTAAAAGCATTCCTATTTCTCCACAACCTCGCCAGCATCCGTTGTTTCTACACTTTTTGATAATTGCCATTCTGAATGGCAGGAGATGGTATCTCATTATGGTTTTGATTTGCATTTCTCTAATGATTAGTGATGTTGAGCTTTTTTTGTTTGTTGGCTGCATGAATGTCTTCTTTTGAGAAGTGTCTGTTCATGTCCTTTGCCCACTTTTTATTGGGTTTGTTTTTTTTTCTTATAAATTTGTTCAAGTTCCTTGTAGATTCTGGGTACTAGACCTTTGTCAGATGCATAGATTGCAAAAATTTTCTCCCAACCTGTAGTTTGCATTTGGTGATATTTAATTGTGTATTAATACTTGATTTTAGTTATTGGGAGTACTGAGTTTCTAAGTTGGGAATTGGAAAGAATTCCTCCAGAGAGAATTTTTTCCTGTCAAAAGAAGGACTTCAAACCAACACCTATCCCCAGGATACCTTCATGCATATTGCAGATGACCTAAAGACCAGTTTGCAGAGAGAAGAAATGCTTTGAGCAACCTCAAAGAAATGCTTTGAGCCTGGGGTAACCCTGCCCTTTCCAGGCACCCATTCCTGTCACTTGCCTACGGGCTGCTCCTTATTATCCTGGCATGGGCTTATGTAATTAGTTTTGTGTTTCTTATTTGTTTCATATTCAACAAATATGATATCCATGGGATATCCATGGAGACTTCTTTGGTCACCTGTGAGAACACTGCTATATCAGAGAGAGAGAGAGAGAGTGTGCTTGCATGAGATAGTGTGTGTTTTAAGGTTTTTGTTCCTGATAGTAAAGTGGAAGTTGAATACCATTATTACAGTTTAACTGCAGATTAATAAATCATAACTAAATTTTAAAAATGAAATTGAAAGGAATAGAAAAAATTAGTGTGGATTGCAGGTAGTAAGGGCTATAGTGTCATTGTTAGAAAGTTTTGTTTAAATTTTATATATGTATATGTTTGCATGGGTATGATAATTTAAAATATTTGGTATATATTTGTGGTTACAAGAAGGTTTGCAAGCTATTGGTTCAGAAGTCTTCCTCTTTTGCCTTCCTTTTTTCACCTAATTAACTCTCTCCCATCTTTTAAATGTCAGCTCAGATGTTACTTGCTAAGGAAAGCCTTCATCATACTCTGATAGATTTGGTTCTATTGTCAATTGCTTTCAAGAGTCATTTCCCTTTACTTTCAAGACTTCACCTCAGGTTGTAATTGAAATTTCACAGTGATATTGTTTGATAGATGTCTGTCTCCCACAGCAGACTGTGGGCTCCATGAAAGTAGACTGTCCATAGCTTTGTTCATCCTCATATTCTCAGTGCCTAACACAATAGTTGAAACATAGTAGGCACTTAATAAATATGTTTTAAATAAATGAATGTATCTTCTCATGAAATCTTCCCATATGATCTCATTTTAGTGATACCAGCAATATTGGAACACCCCATGGGGTATGATGAGCAGACTGAGGGCATCTTCTTTCACTAGATGTGCAAGCTCTTCTGTGAATTAACTCTTTAAACCACAAAAGCACATTCCTAGTTTTCAGAAAACTGGGACATGATTGAACACAGTTGGGATAAAAGGGCTTCCCCTATTGAAACTCACAGCAGCTCAAAGTAAAATTTGACAATTCTTTTTTTTTGAGACAAAGTCTCTCTCTGTCATACAGGCTGGAGTGCAGTTGTGGGATCTCAGCTCACTGCAACTTCTGCCTCCCAGGTTCAAGTGATTCTTGTGCCTCAGCCTCCTGAGTAGCTGGGATTACGGCCATGTGCCACCATGCCTGGCTAATTTTTTTTTTTTGTACTTTTAGTAGAGATGGGGTTTCACTATGTTGGCCAGGCTGGTCTTGAACTCCTAACTTCAAGTGATCTGCCTGCCTCAGCCTCCCAAAGTGCTGGGATTACAGGAGTGAGCCACCGCACCCGACCGAGAATTCTTTTAATAATGACCTCCAGTTTAACCCTTCTAATAGTGTGAATGCCAGGTACACTAAATGGTAGAAATATGAACTGGGGTCTTCCCAGAAACTTTCTGCTACAACTTCTTGTGAAGGCAAGAGAAGGCTTAGCTGTAAAGAAGCAATAAGGCATATTCACTACATATCTTTTAGCAATTATTCTGCAATCATGAAAATTCTGAAGAATACCAAATAACTTCAACACCTTTAACAAAGAATTCAGTGAAGATGAAAGTGTTTTGGAAAGTAGATTAACTAATTATTGATATACCATAACTGTTACAGTAGATAGCGAGTCAGGCATGAGCGGGGCAGGAGAGCCTCTGCCTCCCTAGGAATATCAGGCAACCATCAGGTGATGGCCAAGCAGTTATTACACTGCTTCTCTAAAATAATAATTGGTCACTGCTAGTGCGAGGGAAAGGCAGTCTCCCAGTAGAAAAACCTGAAACTGATGGTCAATAGGTTCCTGATAAGATCTCAGGAGTTGGGCGAGTGGGCTCAAGCATGCACATTAAGAGGTAAAGTGACGGAGTTGAACTGTTCCTCGTAGGAACATTCAGCTGGTAAGGGAAGAACGCCTCAAGTGAGTATGCATACAACTCCAGTAAACACACTGTGCATAGGGCCCCTCCCAAGTGCTAGCAGGCCACTGTGCATGCAGACAGCCCACCCCAAGGCAAGAATCAGGGGAGAAAGGAAACAAGACCCCAGAAGTATGCCAACATATAAAACCCCAAGTCAGAGGTCAAACTGTGCACTTGATCTCCCAAGCCACCTGCTTGGCCCTCTTCCAAGTGTACTTAGCTTCCTTTCATCCCTGCCCTAAAACGTTTTAATAAACTTTCACTCCTGCTCTAAAACTTGCCTTGGTCTGTCACTCTGCCTTATGACCCCTCGGTTGAATTCTTTCTTCTGAGGAGGCAAGAATTGGGGCTGATGCAGACCTGTATGGATTCACCACCGCTAACATAACCATATTCATTTTCCATCATGTTTTTATGACAACTAAAAGCTATATTATGATGATGATGATGATGATGATGATGATGATGATGATGAAGTTCCTCAAAATGGGGCTTTGTTATGTAAATAATGAAAAAGTCACTGATGGCAACTGATGAGATTATTTGTGGCCATTTTTTGGTCTTCATTTTCATAGACTTTAGAGAATGTGTTTTCAAGATATTCTCAAGGTGACCTTTCCTTGGTAGAGCATACCTTGCATGCCATTAAATATACAGACAAACTGGGTATGACTCCTTCAGTCTGGTTAGGAATTTTTGTGTAGAGCTCTCCTGTCTATGTACATTTCCTGGACTCTACTTAGCCTATTGGCAAAGGTGCTCTACGCTATGTGTTTAAAAGCATTTATATTAGATGACACTGCTTTAATTTATATTACATATAGTGAGGCAAAGTCCATGTTAAGTCCTTTCCTTGTGCCATTATAAATGTTTAATTTGGTTCAGGACAGGAAGGCTACCGAAGTTATATCCAAACAAAGCATATGATGTATTACAAGGGAAGTCTGATGTGATGAGGATACCACCTTGGTCATTTTAAAAAAATGCTAGTTACATTAGAAAGCATAAGACATACACTTTAAATCTTTTACCTCAACTTAAAATAGATAAATGTTAACTTATTTGTCACTCTTTTACAATGAGGACAAGTTCTTTCCTTTGAGTGTGTATGAGTATCAAGTGTCTATAATTTCTAGTTTTAGTTCTGTTAAGTGGAGCAAGAACACAAAACCCTTGCAAAGCCATCTGAATACATAATTCTCTATTATTTTTGTTTGTTTGTTTTCAGACACAGTTTCACTCTCGCTGGAGTGCAGTGATGCAATCTTGGCTCACTGCAACCTCCACCTCCCAGGTTCAAGTAGTTCTTGTGCCTCAGCCTTCCAAGTAGCTGGTATTACAGGTGTGCACCACCACATCTAGCTAATTTTTGTATTTTTAGTAGAGACAGGGTTTCGCCATATTGGCCAGGCTGGTCTCGAACTCGTGACCTCAAGTGATCCACCTGTCTGAACCTCCCAAAGTGCTGGGATTACAGGCATGAGCCACCATGTCACAAAATTTACTTTCAATCCTCTAGAATATTTTGGGCCCATAGCTGATTTGGCAACAATTTATTTTAGCGAATCATCTTTATCTAGTTGTTACAAAGCATTACATTTATTTTTCTTAGAAATAGTAACTCTCTTTTGCACTCATATCTTATCAGTATAAACACCTTTCAATTCAATTATATAGTTACACTAAAAATACATCCAACACTAACAGCTTTGGTACTATACGCTAATGAATCTTGGTTTACGTGTAACTCAAATAGAGTGGAAGAACACGGACATGCTTGGGAGTAAACACTAGCCTTCTACATGTGTGGACATCAGTCAGCATGTTTTGTTGAGTAGATTGGAGTAAGTCGGTTAAAATGAGGAGCATTGGGACTGGGGGTGAGGCAAAAGTGATGGCAATGATGATTTATTGAAGCTTCTTTAAAAGAGCTTTACTCTATCTACAAATATGAATTATTCTCAGTGTTGATACAAATAACATAGTCACACAAGATGTTGAATATATTGTGGAATTCAAATATTTAAAAGAACGGTGGGGCTGGTAAGAAATGCATTTGCAATGTAGTATAATGTAGTATAGTTTCATCTCATATCTTTTTCTTAGATGAGTCATGTTACTTGGTGTTATTATTCTAAGCATTTGATCACCCCAGGTCATGAAAAGCATGACACACTTGTTTTGAGACAGAAAATTTCTCTTACTACATGAATCCAGAAAGCACATGATTCACATTTTATATGCCTTTGAAACGGGAAATGTTCCCTTGTTCCCCTAGCAGGGTGTGTGATGGGGGTGTGGCTCGCTTCTTCAGTGCCTGCTGCTCAAAACTCTAGGGGAGCCCAGAGACAGGCAGGCTGTGGGGCTCCAACCTCACTGCAGTGTCTAGGCATGAATGTTTATAGCTCCTGAAGCCCCAGTGGGTTTGTGTTACAGGGTGCTCTCTTGGTTTGCTGTCTATAGGCAGCTTATGTTAACCAGCTCAATTAGACTCTACACCTTGTCACAAGGACAGAGGGCATTCTGTATCCTGGGTTCTTGCCTTGGTGTACCAGAAGAATCGGATCACAGGTGGGCTTGGAGAATGAGTGCCAAGTTTTATTGAGTGGAAATAGCTCTTCACTGCTGGATGAGCCAGAAGGGAGACGGTTTTCCCCTGGAGTTGGGCCGCTCAGGCACATGCCAAACTCCGCCTCTCCTGCAGGTGGATGGCCTGCCAGTGTGCCAGCGTTTGTTGGTGTGCTCTTCTGCCGGCATGCTCCCTCCGTGTCCTCTTGATGTCCAGCAGCTTGTCTTCTTCCACTGATGTTTTCCTCTCGCCCTCCAGCAGCTTTCATCTCTGCCTTGCTAGGGTCTCAGCTTTTTATAGGCCCAAGAGAGGGGTGTGGTGGGCCAGGGTGGTCTTGGAAAATGCAACATTTGGGCACAAAGGCAGAAGTGCCTGTCCTCACCTAGGTCTGTGGGGCTAGGGCCCTAGCCAGGGACCTGCCTTTCTCTACCCAGCATTTCTCTACCCTCCTCCTGTATCACCTTGAAGAGGTAGAGGTTCTGTTTTATTTTAATAACCACCACAATTTATTTAACCATTCCTTGATCCACGTATAGAATATTCATGCTAAGCACTCTGCATGTATGATCCTATCTAATCCTAAACAAACTCTTTGCAGAGGTATTATTACTGGATTATACTTATGAAGAAACTGAGATTCACTTTGTAAAGTTTCAAAGTGAAAGAAGCTTGAAAGTCATTGCTGTTATCAATGCTGCACATCTCCAGAGTGGCAGCCTTTGGCTTTATGCTACTAAATATAGTGGTTTCCTTTTCTAAAAAGAAACACTTTTTTTTTTGTTTTGAGATGGAGTTTTCTTCTTGTTGCCTAGGCTGGAGTGCTATGGCATGATCTTAGCTCACTGCAACCTCTGTCTTCCGGGTTCAAGTGATTCTCCTTCCTTGGCCTCCCGAGTAACTGGGATTACAGGCATGTGCCACCACGCCCGGCCAATTTTGAATTTTTAGTAGAGATGGGGTTTCACCATATTGGCCAGGCTGGTCTTGAACTCCTGACCTCAGGTGATCCAGCTACTTCGGCCTCCCAGAGTGCTGAGATTACGGGCGTGAGCCGCCGTGCCCGGCAGGTTTTCTTTTTGTAATGGGGAGCTATTCTGTGCTAGGCCTTTAAATGTAGTTGACATGGGGTCATCACAAGAAGCCTATGAAGTACTACTTATTAAACTATATGGAAGCACAAAGTGTCAGATTTAAATCCAGGTCTGTAGTCCCAAAGTCAGTGATTATCCCACTCTATTCTATAACAGATACATTTGCATATGGCACCTGACTGCCACAATTCACTAGCACGTGAGTACACATAAGGTCACATATAATTGATAACCAATCCCACAGGATCTGAGCCCCCCTTCACCGGCTCATCCATGAATTCCAGCTCCTTACAATGTCCTTCACTGCACAGTCATCTTGAAAAGCCACAGACTGGTCCAAGTCACACTGTTCTTATAGTCACCATTGGCTTTTGGCAAGTTGAGCCCAAGATCTGTGATACCAGCACCCCCCTTTACAAACCTGGGCACTGTGACACAGCTGTCCCTGCAGAACCAGCAGTTCCTGACCTGATGGGGGTCCCCAGTGATTCTTCCAGGCACTGAATCTCAACACACCTGTGTGAGCCAAGCAGACTGAAAGGGAAGAGGATAACAGCACCCACACATTTCAAGTTTTCTCAGGGCCAAAATACTACAGAGTTTATGAGCTATCTATCTTAGTCAATTCAGGCTTCTGTAACAAAGTGTAGACTGGGTGGTTTATAAACAACATAAATTTTCTTTTCACAGTTCTGGAGGCTGGAAGTCCAAGATCAGAGTGCCAGCACAGTCAGGTTCTGCTGAGGGTTCTCTTCTGAGTTGTAGGCTGCCCACTTCCCTTTCGATCCTCACATAGCAGAAAGTGGGTGAGAGAGCTCTTGCGAGTCTCTTTGATAAGAACACTAATCCCACCCATTAGCGCTCTACCCTCATGACCTAATCTCTCAATGACCCCCACATTCTGAAACCATCACATTAAGGGTTAGAATCCCAACATATGAATTCTGGGGGGACACAAATATTCAGTCTATTGCAGTATCTTAGGGTTTTCAGTTTGTATGGAGTCTTTTTCTATTACAATCATGTCCATCTCAGTCACAAAGATCTACAAAGACCCACCACTCCCCTCTACCCGCAGGTCCTGTGGTGAGGTCTGTTTCCTCAAGCTGGGATCCTTCTGATTTATGGTGACATGTCTCTCAGCAGCCTCACTTTTCTTCTCTCCACCTGGAGTCATTGCACAGATGACATGTCAGTGTATGTCTGAGGCCCAATCATGGACATAGTGCTTTGTTTCTCAGGGAGCTCTCCAATATTATAAAAATCAGTAGCTACAGAGAAATGCTTAATGGTGGGGCATTGCCTCCCTCACACACTAGCCACTCCCCTTCTGCAGTCCAGCCCATTCACCACTTTGTAATAACAAGGATCTAATTGAGGGTACATTAGTGTCCTTTGGTGCTGATCAACTTCTTTAAAAATAAAAAAAGTCTCATTTCAGAAAACATGCTGAATTAGGAAGAAGTGGAAAGAAGTGCAGTGGATAAGCAAACCACAATCCTCAGGCCTCAACGAGGCATTCTTTCATTGATCACTAATCACTCTGGGTTCACCTGACTCTAGTCATCAACATGGCTCCCTAGTCTTGAAGTTGTCCAACCACAGTCAAAGCTGTTTGACCTGCACATGACAAACAGGTTGATTTCTGGATCCTTAGATCCTATAAAAACATCACTGTCCCTTGTGGTTGGGTTCAGTCTCACCCCATGCCTTTTGGATCTGTACTTTTTCCATGAGAAACACTAGCCTTGAGTTCTCCACAGCAAGAGTCTTACCTTGATTTTTTCTCTCCTTCCCTCAGAAGCCCTGAGCCTCAGCCTCAATGGCACATTGCCTTGTTATGGGCTGATATACCTTGTTACTGCTACTACACTTCATCCTGTGGTCTGAATGCCTGGACCACAAGGTATGAGCTGCCCTCCCTGCTCTGGAAGGCAACCATCTCTTGGTGGAGAGGAACACTCTCCTGATGACTACTTGCCAATGTGAGGCTTTGATCCAGGGCCTACAGTGCCCACATACCTGTACCTGTACTCCCTGTCTTCACCTGTCTTAGTACTGGTATTTACTCTGCTAACCAATCTTACTAGAGTTCACTTTCCATATTCTAGTCCCTTCTGTACCAACCTGCCCACTGCCACCTGAACTCTATGTACTCTGGGGAAAAAAAGAAATCAGTTGGGTTGAATTCTCAAACCCAATTGCCCAGTTCCACTCCATACTCATAACATCCAGACATAGAAGCCCTTAGCAAATATAGCATATTCTGACTTACATTGTCCATTCTTTTATGGCAAGTATTTTATGTACATGTAATTATTTGATTATACACATACACTAATATTTTTCTCTATATTTAAATTATAAGCTCCTGGCTGGGCACAGTGGCTCACACCTGTAATCCCAGCACTTTGGGAGGCCAAGGTGGGCAGATCACTTCAGCTCAGGAGTTCAATACCAGCCTGACCAACATGGTGAAACTCTGTCTCTACTAAAAGTACAAATATTAGCTGGGCATGGCGTGCACACAAGAATTGCTTGAGCCTGAGAGGCAGGAGGCTCCAGTAAGTTGAGATTGCACCACTGCAATCCATCCTCAGCAATAGAGTGAGACTCCGACTCAAAAAAATAAAAAATAAAAAATTATAAGCTCCTTAGAGGCAAACATATACTTAGCACAGTCCCTTATTAAAAGTAGTTGTGCAGAGAAGTATGCTAAATTGAATTTAATCACTTACAAGATTAACTTCTGTACCCGTATTCTATAGTGTAATTTCTCAGCTTACTGCCTCATTTATCTTTTCACAAATATTTACTGAGGGCCTGTTGCATGCTGGGTAATCTTCCAGGGGTTACTTTATCAAAGTCAATAGAGGCTGGGCATAGTGGCTCATGCCTGTAACCCCAGCACTTTGGAGGCCAAGGCAGGTGGATTGCTTTAGCTCAGGAGTTCGAGACCAGCCTGGGCAATATGGTGAAATCCCATCTCTACCCAAAATACAAATAATTAGCCAAGCATGCTGGCACACCATTGGTCCCAGCTAC
Source organism: Homo sapiens (assembly GCF_000001405.40). Taxonomy (NCBI): domain Eukaryota; kingdom Metazoa; phylum Chordata; class Mammalia; order Primates; family Hominidae; genus Homo; species Homo sapiens. Next base: position 54,716,980 of record NC_000018.10, read on the forward strand.
TCTGGAGGCTGAGGTTGGAGAATTGCTTGACCTGGGAGAAGGAGATTGCAGTGAGCCGAGATGGCACCACTGCACACCAGCTTGAGTGACAAGAGGAAGACCCTGTCTCAAAAAAAAAAAAAAAAAAAAAAGTCAGTAGAACAGATTCCTTCACAGATACTACATTGCAGGGGAGTTCAACAATAACTAAATTACAAAATATAAATGTCATGATGGGGAAAAGGTGGGGGGAATGAATAGAGAAAGATGAAGAGTGGCGTTTACATGAAGTGACACTTGAACGTTTTGTCTCTTTTATAGAATAAGTTTCTGGAGGTCTCAATTTTGTTTGTTTTTGCATTTATTTCATTTTAAATGTTTGAACAGCATAAGCTACTAACGGACTTTTTAGGCTTTTAGCAAACACTTTTTGCAAATAGTTACGTAAATATATCAGACTTTGAAAACCTCCTACTTCTTAATTTTTTTCCCTTACACATTAAACATGGAAAAAAGAAAACAAAACACATGGATTTTAGTAGATATAGGATATTATCAAATTAGTTTTCTTTTTAACAGCCCTCTGGCTTCAACATTTTCATGAGCATCATTTATTTAACAGACAAGATCATCTATAATCCTTTTTGGTTTCAACAGCAGTGTCTGATTGACAGTAGCAAACTCTATTTACTGATCATTTTTCCCAAACCCAAACCCCACTGCCCTGATGCTTAGCTGGCTGACATCCCTGAAAATCTTTGGTGATAATCATTAGAAGAATCACCAGAAACAGGGAGGCTCTTTGGAGCTACCTTGTGTGCTAACCTGGCGCAGGCACTAGGACCGCCCAGGAGCCGATAGGCAGCCACGCTTCACAGCCTGTCAGAGGGACTGAGCCGCCTTTGCTGTTACACAGGAAGAGAGCAGGCAGCATCAGTATCGGCTCAGCATCCTTCCCCCTTCTGTTCGATTAGAAGGTATTTACTTGCTATTTATCACTCAGGCTTTGAATACTGTCACGTGCCTTTAGTGTTCCCTTAATATGATGCTCTGAAATGCTGTCCAGCACCTATTGGGTTACTATATTATTTTATGTTAATTTCCACAGCTGATCGAAGCAACAGTGCCATAAAGAAATGGGCTAGATATTTCCAGAGGCTGCAATCTGGAGGCGTTTGGAGGTGTGAGTACGTTGGTCACAGATCTCTAATGTGTTGGCTGTATTAGTCGTGTCTCTTGACCTTCCTCTTCTTCGTTGAAAGAGCCAATGTGAGATGCCATCTGCATATTTCATTCATAAAGGAAATGCAACTAGATGGTGACAGAAACCGCTAATGATGGGCCTGAAACTCTACTTTGGAGTGGCTGTGGTTTCCTCTTCCAGCCTGTGGGTTTGCAAGAGAAGCTGGGTTTGCAACTGAGTTTGAATGGGAAAGAGATTTTGCTCAGGGCTGCAGACTGCGTGCATGGATTCTGCTTTCTGTTTTCAAAGCTCAAAGACTGTCCTTTCTAATCATTGCCATGGTGCAGTGTTGGAGTCTTTTTATGCTTTCTTTATTTCTGCAAATACTCCTATCATAGATGTAGACTGCCAGAAAGCTATTAAGTCATTTGGTGCCCCACAGTGTAAAGCCACTGAAGAGAAATCTAGTTTGCTTTTTCTTAACCATATACCATATACTTTTTCCTGACTCAATACCACAGCTAGTAGATGGCACACAGAAACATTAAAAAACAATGCTAATCTAAGATTCTTTTTTCCTGTTCAAAAATAATTTTGATTATGCATGATAAGAGAGTAGTTTGCTATTAGAAAACCCAAATGATTATGATTTTATGGGGGAGATGGAAAATTCTTTTTGAGTATTTTACAAATCAATTGAAGGTGCTTTTTAAGAGCCTTGGTGCCAATTTTATGCATTCAAGGCTCTTTTAATACTTTAAAGCCTTCCCAAACTGTTAGATGTGGTTTTGACCACAGTAATTAGTTTAAATTTGTATACATTATGCCAAAATGTAATAGGCAAGTGTATTCATAAATGAACAAAATATTGAGTTCTGCTAGTGGACAATTCATGGTAAGATAAACATGTAAGATAAAATTCATTGTAAGATGAACAGTACCAACAAAATTTATTTCAGGAAAGAAAATATTTAACTAAGACACAATGCAAGGCATCAACATTAAAAGTGTGACTTTAATGAAAAACATTTGTTAAATAATTTTTAAAATACTTCTAATGGTTCAAAAAAGTATATGTTTAAGTTTCTTGTATTTGATATATTGAAATATCCTAAATGTGATTTCAAAGTGTTTAGGTATCAAAGTTTTGAAAATGTATCTATAGTTCCCTTAACACTCTTTATTTGGTAAACAAAAGAGGGGCAGAGGATATGAGGGAGAAAGAGACTAAGTTTTACTTTACTGTTTTTTAAATATTTTGAATATTCTGATATAATATTTACTATATAGGTATGCTACCTATACTTTTTAAATGTAACTAAAATTACTAATGATTGTAATTATTAACTTGCAGTATCTGTAGCAAATGAAAATAAATATATCGAAAACATGTTTATATTGCTATATAACATTTCTTAGGCAGAGAAAGTCATTTTTTCTAGATAGTGATTTGCTTCTGAAGGAAGTTAGGGAAATTAGATTGGGGGTGGTAGTAAACTTTCATTAGTTTCTGGGCAAAAGTAATTTTTTAAACCTATTTTTGCATTGGTGCACCTACAATTTATTTTCAAGTTTGTGTATATTACATATCTTCATAAACTTTGTGTTATTAAAGTTTTCTCCTTTCTCTTTTTAAAATGCTTCCTATATTCCAAGTCTGTAAAGATGACTCAATTCTTCAAATTAAAACTTAGTTTTGAAAATTCCTACCCATCATATAATGATTTGCAGCCTTAAACTTCAGTTTCATGTCAGACTCATCATTACACATGTCTTGTTAATAATTTTAAATAACTTCATTTTATGTTAAGTATAAAGATTCATTGAATTCAATGATGATAGGGGAAAAAGTCCCAAGAAGTATGTTTTTATTCAGAATTTGACAGACACACTTTTCAGGACATGAATTTTGAACTTTCTTCCTGAATTTAAGTCCTAAAATTAAGTCCACTGGCTTGACCTAATCAAATGAAGACAGTTGGCACAGTGCTTAGCAGAAGTTCAGAATTACTAGCAAACAAATGGGACTTAAGCTAAGAAATAAAATGTAAAGGCTAAAATGAATTTGTTAGAATGTACAATCACTACTTTGTCAATGAGTTTGATGCCTGAGGTTATCCCAAGGCCTTGAAAAGTCTTGCAGCCCAAGAGATTCAGGTAGATATCAATATTATACAGATTTACTTGGTAGTGTTAAGGTTGACATTTCTAACAGATGGATTTTAACATGCATATTTTTAGCAAAAATAGTTCCAATAAATAGTAAATCTCATTCCACCGATTTCACCAACAGCAGTACTTTTCCATCCAAAAAGACAGACAATATTCCCTAACAGAAATTCTTTCATGAATAGAATACTTAGACATTTCTAAAAGACAGATTTTACATTATTTCTACATAGAAAAATATAGCATTTACAGTACTAAGCCATCCAGAAGAAGCTAACATAAAGGAAGAAGTATCAGCAAAATTATTCTAGTATTGCAGTTTGCTTTTTCAAATTTCTTTTTCTGAGCATCTGTATAAGTAAGAAAATATATCTCCTAGTAGAAACCACAGAAAAATGCAATAAGTCATCCAGGGACCAATGGTAGACCTGTGGGAGACAGTGTTTACTGAATGGATGAGAAAAAGAAATGTGGAAGAATAACAAACGGTCCTTTTTTATTTGTCATGAAAGATAATTCCAATTCTAATATGAGTTTTTAAGAATCTGTTGGCCACATACACATGCCACAATAAATAGGAATTACATGTAACTTGAGATTTTCCCATTATGATTTCCCCTTAAATAAAAGACTTAAAGGAAAGAAAATGAGAGTATGTAAGTGATGTGTCATCTCCACATCAGTTATAGTTGTGTGAACTGGGAGGCACAAATTATGTATTTTGTTGGAGTTTGGCCAAAGGGAAAGTTATTATCCATCATATAGTTTGGGAAGAAGTTTTTCTCCAGAGAAAAGGTTTTGTTGTTTCCAGAACTGGATGTTACTTATAAAGAAATAAGTTTATAGATATGCAGAAAGCTTTTAAATATATGAGATTCAGTTTTTGAGTGTAAAGGACACATACGCAATGTGTTCATACATTTGTTGATATGCAAGTTTATCCAAAACATTGCTTTAACTTGTCCCTCCTGGTTGACACAACTATAACTGATGTGAACATGGGAGACGATTAATATACCTTCACTCCTTTTCCCTTAAATATATTAGTTGATAGGGAGGAAGTTAACGCTAAGGAAACTTGTTGATAAATATTAATCATGATTTCACAGATGTTTAAATTGCAAATAAGATTTGCTCTTTCACATAATAGTGAACGTTGGAGTTTGCAGGCTGGAATCAGTGTAACATTTTTTGGACACAGCAATTAATGTCTTTGAATTATTTTTCATTAATATGTATTAATGATCTCTTGCTGTATTGCAAGTATGGGAGTTGGAGCAGTAAACAAGTTATGTCCCCCCTTGCACAGTTTCCATCATTTTGTGAAGGAATAGAGGCAAAAAGCAAGCAATTAAATATTATTAACCAAATGCATTGTTACTAAAATTATGTTGTTATTATTACTATAATTTATTGCCAATTAAATAAACCAGAATATATCTGATGAGTGCTAACTGGAAAATTAAAAGAGGATACTGTGATAAGGAATGGCTTTGTGGCATTTTCAGTTAGGGTTGTTTGGAAGACTTCCTGAAAAAGTGATGTATCATCAGGGATCCAGGTGAAAAAGTTAGCCAGATAATGAGAGGCACGGTGCTACAACAGCAAGTGTGTGGATTTAGAAGCAAACCTGCTGCAGTTTAAATCCATTCTGTGTCATTCTGAAACTTTGAAATCTTGAGAAATTTACCCTTGGAGCCCGTTTCATAAAACGTTATAGAATTTTGACAAGAGGAAAAATGAGATGATATATGTTGACTTTCTATGACACTATGGAAGAATTTAATTTCCATGATGACTTACGAAGTGCTACAACTTTATGAACTAACTCCTTCAAATACTTCATCCAACAAACAAGTATTTGATTGTTTTACCACTCCTGTACCGCTTTCTTTAAATTTTTTGGGTGAATTCTGTCACAGAGTTGAGGGAGAAAAGACTGGCACTTCCACAGACAACAGAAAAAGAAAGAATTGTTTCCGAATCTTCTAAAGAGCAAGCCTCAGCTAGGATCTTTGTTAGATGCAGATGTTATTAATTTTGCTTATTTCCCCAGAAACCACCAACACACTGGTTGATGGGTGTTGATTATGGTGCTGCTCCTCTCAGGCAATGCTGTAGTGAGATGACTACATCCACGGAGGTTAGACATAGCCTCTGGAAGGACTGTGCTTACTGGGCTCAGCCCATCACATCCCACTTCTTGAGAAGTTGAGTGCGATGCACATGGCATTTCATAGTGCACAGCACAGCTTTCAGGCTCAAGTAGAAGAGGCAATTGATAAAGATCAGTATTTCTTTGATAAATTTATGGATAAAGAAGGTAGTTCATTGATACTTGGAGAATTCACATCTAAAGATGCTTGGGGTTTTGTCATCTCATAGGCGTGCAGCCATGAAATACATACCTGCACACAAACATGCACATGTATTCCCCCAAGCAACTGCTATACATTTTTTTAAGTAGAAAATTGCTATGGTGTGATTTTAAGTATTTTCCTTCTATTGTTCTTGACACTACAGTTATGCATAGGATCAAAATGGTTCAACAATATTTTTCCCCAGTTATTTCAAAGGAAAACCTTCCTCCTGGAGTCTATCAGCTAGCTGTATTTGAAGCTACTTTATCAAACAAAAGTCAAAACAGAAAACTAAACTAAATTTTTTTTTAAATGGAAAAGTCTGGCATAGAAAAGAGGCATGGTTGGGGGAAAATGTCTGTGATGGGTTTGGACTTGATTGAGACAACTTTCCAATCTTGTAAAAGAAAATGGAATTCCCCTGAGTGGCAGCCACAGACAAATTGACATGTTCAGGCTAAAATGTGTCCTTGTTCAGAACCAGGAAAGAGCAAAGGCTCTTGCTGGGGATAAAATAAGCAGTGGGAGAGAGGTGGGCCAGGAGTAAAACTCAAGTTTATGAGACCTTGTGCTGCTACTGTTTAAAATCTACCTGCGGCTCTGAGGTGCCCCACCGGCGTGTTATTGGAGATGTAACTTGATCTACTTGGGGCCTATTCTTTATTGCTATGTATTGGGATTGGGTTTTATGATAATCAACAGTATCAGGTAGTTATTTTGTCATTTTCTTCAAAAATTTATCTATTATTCAACTATTATGCTTGGAACAATTCTGGAACTTATGTTTATTGCAAATAAAACATCAGAAATGTGGAAGGAATAAGTGAGTTCAGGAGGTCTACTAATCCCACATATAGTATAATCCTGAATATAAGTAGTAATATTGACTGTAAATAATAAAAAATTTTATTAAGATTGTATAATTCTGAGAGAAACAATAGATAGCTAGAGAATTAGATAGACATAGATAGATAGATAGATAGATGATACGTAGGTAGATAGATAAACAGATAGATAAAATCCCTAGTAACACATCAACATTTAAAGACAATCTTCAAGGTATGCATCTAGCAGCTTGCATAATTTTTCTCTCCCACATTTTAATTCAGTCAATTGAGTACTTATTTAAAACACCAAATTATTTACAACTTTGTTTTAATTATGACAACTATGATTCCTTCCAGTGTCACTACGAATTAATCTACCAGTAAATGTCATAAAGCAATAAGGGCAACAGGTCATGAAATATAAATATATTTTTTCATGTAAATATTTATTTGCAAAGACGAGACTATAATCCAACTGTTGGATGGCGCCAGAACCATGGCATAGTGGCCAAAATGTGTGCTCTTTAGGGAACATACTTTTATAAATTCATATTTGGTTTTTCAAATGTGATTTTAGTGGTGAGGAGTATCACGTGTGTAAATGTGGGGAATTTTTATTTACATCAAAAGTTGGATGTCAAAATAAAGGTAAAACTGGCTGAGTCTCACAAAATATTAATGAAGCAGGAAAAATTTTAAAAATTTTAGAAGCATCCAAAAATTCAACCAGGTCAAGAAAGACATGACTTAGCAACAGCATATATAGAAAATTACTTAGTAGTTTGAATTCTCAGTAAACTCAATGTGAGTGGACAATGCAATGTGGCTACTAGAAAAGTTAATGTTATGTGGCTACTAGAAAAGTTAATGCATGCTTAGGCTACACTAAAGGGAACAAGGTATCTAGAACATGGGAGGTGACAGCCCAATAATACCGTATTACTGGCTGGGTGCCGTGGCTCATGCCTGTAATCCCAGCGCTTTGGGAGGCTTAGGCAGGGGGATAACTTGAGATCAGGAGTTCGAGACCAGCCTGGCCAACATGGTGAAACTCCGTCCCTAATAAAAATACAAAAATTAACCAGGTGTAGTGGTGTGCTCCTGAGGTGGGAGAATTGCTTGAACCTGGGAGACGAAGGTTGCAGTGAGCCGAGATCACACCGCTGCATTCTAGCCTGGGTAAGAGAGGTATCAAAAACAAAAACAAACAAACAAACAAAAACCTACTATACTACTGTATTACTCAGTGATTCTGTTTCCAGTTCTGGGCTTCTCACATTAGGAGGGCTCTAGATTCATTAAAAACCATATCAAGGAGGTTTTTAAGAGGATGGAGAAGTTTCAAACTTTTTCAAAGGATGAACAGAGGATATTTTGTTTGGTGAACAGAATGGTTAAGAGTAAACTTGATTCTTACTTATGATCTGTTGTTAACAATTTGAATGCTATTACATGAAAGAGGAATGAGACTTGTACTTTAGGGCGCAGTAAGAGAACTTTTCTAGACCAATAGTGGAATCTCAGTGAGAGCTCAGTGGACCTCATTAGGGATGGTGACTCCTGTGGCAGAGAGGTGTGTTTCATGGCAATGTGGTGCAGAGGGAAGAATATGGTTTGAGGAATCAGATAGATCTGAGGGCACCTCTAAAGGGTGCCACTTATGACTTATCTCTGTGATCTATACTTTAAAAGAAAAATGGAAAGAGTGCCTTTCAAGGTTACCAGAAAGATTACATGAGATAATATATGTAAAGCACTGAAAACAATAGGTATCCTGTAAACGTTAGTTCTTTTTTTTCTTCCTTCTGTCTCTGGCAGTGATTAACCTTTGAGTGAGAACCATTTCAGGGTGAGTTTACTAAGGATTCAAGTTTCCAAACAGTGACTGAACTACGTGACTTCAATGTACCTTACTTACCTCATTGAAATTCCATGTAAAAACTTAATACTGGATTACTTTATAGGAGTTGTGTAAGTTCTTTAAAAGGTAATGTTTGTTGCCTGTATTAGTGCATTCTCATTATGCTATAAAGAACCGCCCAAGACTGGGTAATTTATAAAGGAAAGAGGTTTAATTGCCTCACAGTTCGGCATGGCACGGGAGGCCTCAGGAAACTTGCAGTCATGGCAGAGGGCACCTCTTCACACGGTGGCAGGAGAAAGAATGAGCCTAGTGAAGGGGAAAGCCCCTTATAAAACTATCAGATATCGTGAGAACTAACTCACTATCACGAGAATAGGACGAGGGAAACCACCCCCATGATTAAATTATCTCCACCTGGTCTCTGTCACGACATGTGGGGATTATGGGAATTACAATTCAAGATGAGATTTGGGTGGGGACACAGCAAAATCATGTCATAGTCTATGCAATGTGTTCATAAACACTAGCTTATAGAAAATGTAAAGAACTCTTTGGAATCTAACTTGTTATGGAAATCATTGGTGAACCAGCTGCATAATAAAGTGAAAGAAGATAGCTTCAATATATTGATACTTCATGACAGCTCATCTATGAGACCTGCAGATGTCCTGAAAGTTAGAGTGGAACTAATTTAAAACATTTCACTTTACATGAAACAGACTGTATTTTTATAAGCAAGGTCCAATATACTATAAATCTACTTTTTAATGTTAAGTTGAATAATAATTCAAGTAAGAAAGACTCTAGACCTACTCTTTCCCCCAAGTTACTCAATAGCCTATCGTATTTTAAATAAAAACTCAAGTATCATAAATCTGAGGGTTGCAAAGTATATTTAGTATTCCAGTTTAAGTTATCTAGGTGATACTGCCATTAAACTGATGACGACAACATTAAGAAAAAGTGGTTGGCCGAAGAGAATTTTGAATACATCTCACACTGAAGTATGACATCATTTTTGCTTGTTTTCAGGTTTCCAAAAATTCATGATGTTTAGCAGTAAGATTTTCCCCACAGCCTGCCTTTTAAACTAGCCTGAGTTATGAACATCTATCACACAGACTCCATCACTGTTCTTCCTGTTCGCTAACATTCAGCAGAGTTGATTTCAAATTGTTTCACAAAAAAAGCCCTGTTAGGAAGTAGATTTCTAATTTCACACATGATTAAAAGTAAACACACAAAAAGGCCATTTTACCCATATTTTGAAGGGCACATAGGTTTAATTCTACAGTAATAATACTGGAGGAAACATTGTTTTAGGTCCTTGTAAAACATATTATGATTTATATGATTTTCTTTGTATAAACACTTCTACCTTCAAATTGTGTCATTAATTTTACAGTAATTTCATTTATTCTGTAAGGGCAACTCTACCTTTTCAACCATTATGCCAGTTTTGAAATATATCTATTTCGTAAACAATCTCTAGACTGCTAATGGGTTTTGCATGTTGGCAAGGATACAGCAGAATAAATAATAACTAAAAATCCATGTTGACCTGTTGTCTTCATTGTCATATCAAAATAAGATTTTAGTTTTTTAAAGAAAGAGTTTCTATTTTTGTTTGTTTGTTTTGAGACAGAGTTTTGCTCCTGTTGTCCAGGCTGGAGTGCAATGGCACAATCTCAGCTCACTGCAACCTCCGCCTCCCGGGTTTAAGCATTCTACCTCAGCCTATAGCTGGGATTACAGGCATGTGCCACTATGCCCGACTAATTTTTGTATTTTTAGTAGAGACAGAATTTCATCATGTTGGCCAGGCTGGTCTTGAACTCCTGACCTCACGTGATCCGCCTGCCTCGGCCTTCCAAAGTGCTGGGATTACAGGTGTGAACCACTGTGCCCAGCCCAGAATTTATATATATATATATTTTAAATCTGAATGTGTTAAATACAAATTGACACAGAACAGTAGAGAGTCAGGTGTATATATAAAATGAAAAGCAAAATGTAAGTCTAAGACACAGAAAATTTTGGAAAGCTAACTTTGATTTCAAATTCAACTTCCTAAATATGATTTGGGATTTCCTTAGTGGGTGAATAAGGGCAGGCAATTAAGGTCCATTCTCTTACTTTTCAAGAGCTTCAGTTCTGGTAGTGGGGTGCCTCGGAGGCAGATAGCAAAAGTGTATGCATTAAAACAAGTTTTGTGTAAAGGATTTGTTAGACAAAAAACCAAATATTTGTGGGTGAGTTCTTAATACTAAATAAAGATAGTTGTATATTGTTTTAAACAAATTTAGATTTGCCTTTTAGATATAATCACATGCATTACTATAAATTATTTTTTCCTTTTAATATAGTCAGGAAAAATCCACAGCATTTAGCAACAGCATACCTTTGGATAAAACTGCTTATAGTTATATGTTTCGTTTCAGCATCAGTGAGAAAATATACATTATTATGCCACCGTTTAAAATGCTGGTGCTCCTTTATTTTATATAGTGTTTTATTGCTTCATATGTGGAATATTAAAATCACCTTAACAGCTAGCCGGATGAGATAATCACACTCCACGCTACAGCTCCCTGACTACAGCTAAAAACTCTGCATAAAATACGGCAGGTTTGAAGGTCTCTGCAAGGGCTCTGAAAAGTGGATAAGAATAAGAGGACTTACACGAAAGCCAGAAATAGAGGGGAGACTGAGCAGTACATTTCCTGGGGTTTTAATTTATATTTTGTATATACCAACAGGCTCCAGATCAGTCTAAGCTGCAGAGCTTTGAATAGGAACACACCAAAAAAGCTCCAGAAAAATTCACTTCCTCTGGCCAGAAGATGGGAGTGGGGTAGGGGTGGGGAGGCTACAGAAAAGCCTTTAGACTCTTGGCCATCTCCATCCAAGTGTCAGCAAAGAACTAGCAGCCCTCCCCTCCCTCTCATGGGGGTGGCGTTGGGGATGGCAGCCTCAGTGGGGTGAAGTTTTTGTTATCTTTTACTCTTGCCCCCCTCAGCTAGAAAGACAATCTCAGACCCTGAGGGGTGAAGCCCATGGTAACTGTCAGTCCAGAATCCTCTACCTAGCAAAATTAAATCTCTCAGAAATAGAGCAAACTGGGAAAATTATCAAGTGAAAACTAAACAAATTCATCACTAGTAGGTCTACTTAAAGGAAATACTAAAGGAAGTTCTTTGAGTGGAAGGGAAATGGTTAAAAGGGGGAACCAGCTGGCTGTGGTGGCTCATGCCTGTAATCCCAGCACTTTGGGAGGCAGAGGCAGACTGAGCACTTGAGGTCAGGGGTTTGAGACCAGCCTGGCCAACATGGCAAAATCCTGTCTCTATCAAAAATACAAGAAGTTAGCCAGGCCTGGTGGTGCACACCTGTAATCCCAGCTACTTGAGAGTCTTAGGCAGGAGAATTGCTTTAACCAGGGGGACAGAGGTTGCTGTGAACCAAGATCACACCACTGTACTCCAGCCTGGAAGACAGAGTAAGACTCTGTCTCAAAAAAAAAAAAAAAAAAAAAAAAACCCAAAAAAAAAAAAAAAAAAAACCACCACCAAAGGAAACCTGCCTACAAATTCAGGAATTTTTGTTTAAAAATTAGTAGAAATCTTAAATATCTGAGTATACAACATGGGCTATTTTTCACCTCTTATATTCATTATAACATATAAAACTATTAAAAACAAAAAGCATAACATTGCCTGATGGACTTTTTCACAGGCTGACGTAGTTACCTGTGAAAACTGTAACATCAAGGAGACAGTCTACGGGTACTTATTTATTTGTAAAGTTTCTATTTATTAGTGCTATTTGGAATACAAAATATCACTCTAACAAGATTAGGGAAAATTAAAAGGGAAGCATAAATACAAGGGGCCTAGAATGATTAAGTTTAAATATTTACCTAGTAAGAATTTCGAGATAAGAGACTAGGGAGAAAAGGAGAGGAGTGATATTCTAAGGGTTAATGACCAAGAGCTTTCCTGAAAAAGGCCGGAAGGAAGATACTAAGCACACTTAACCCCAAGAAGGATATCTAGAAAGGAGCCTACATCCTCAATATATTAGAGTTAGATTGTGGAACACCAATGACAAGATAAAATTTGAATGAGTTTAAAAGCAAGGTGGATGGAAAATGGAGGCAATCGTTTGATTTATAGCATTCTAAAGTATCTTGTATTGCTTGAGAAAAGGTTAATTCTGTTCATTAGCTTCAGACTTTGTTAAGACAAGTGTGTTATAAAGTTTTTGAAAAGGAATAAGAGGGAATTTTTAAAGCCTGATTAACCCATAGAAAGCAGGCAAATATAATAGTAAAAACAAGCAAAACAACAACAAAAACTTAGTAAATGGAAAGCACAAAATAAATCCACCATCAGAGAACATGATACTATAAGTGAATTAATCTAATCAACTTTAGATTTAAAAAAATAATCCACTTATGTGCTTCTTATAAGAGATACCCTTAAGACAAAAGGACAAAAAAAAAATGTTGAAAGTTAAGACCAGCCTCACATTAGTGATTGTTCAGTTAATACCATTTGCCTTAAATGACTCTCGAAGAGTTCTAATTTGCTGAAGACTCTTTTTCTCCATTTGGTATAATTTGCTAAGGAAAGATGCAATAAGAAGTGATAATTTGGGTTTTTTTAGGTAAACTCATGCTCACCAGTTTACTTAATATAAAATTTTCTGGTCAGAAAATATCTCAAAAAACAAATTTATATATTCATAATTCTAATTGTACATTGTGTTTGGGTAAACCCAAACAGAGTGAAGAGGTTGTATCTTTTATGACGTTTTAGTCTGTCACGTACATCACTGTTTCCATAGATTTAGGAAGTGCTCTTGTGTTTAGTTTTTATTTTGCCCTGAAGACGTTATCTGGACTTATAACTATGTTCAAGTGTATTTGGAATGAAAAATTAACCATAAGTTCCGAAAAGTTGAAAAACAGGTGCTGACATGGACTGCGCCTTCCGACAAATGCATGGTTCTCCGCCAATGCCCTCCCGTCATCAAGTCCTCCTCACTTGACAAGTACAATAAACTGTCATCATGCTATAGTTATTAGCGTGCTGCATTTACTTCTTTTTTATTTTTTAATTACCTATATGATATGGTTTGGATGTGTGTCCCCTCCAAATCTCATGTTGAAATGTGACCTCCAGTGTTGGAGGTGGGGCCCGGTGGAGGTGTTTGGGTCACGGGGGTTGATGCCTCATGAATGGCTTGGTGCCCTCCCGTGGTTATGAGTTCACATGGGAGCTGGTGTTGATGGAGCCTGACTCCTCCTCCTCACTCTCTCGCTCCCTCTCTTGCCATGTAATGTGCTGGCTCCACTTCACCTTCTGCCATGAGTAAAAGCTTCCTGAGGCCTCACCAGAAGCAGATGCCAGCACCAGGCTTCCTCTACCTCCTACACAACCATGAGTCAAAATAAACCACTTTTCTTTATAAATTACCCAGTCTCAGATATTCCTTTATAGTAATGCAAGAACGTACTAACACACTACATGAGTTTGTTTACATTGTTACTGTTTTTCTCTCTGTGAAAGCTTTTGAGAATCTAGAATTGGGATAAAACACATTGTCATTTTTGCTACTGAAGTAATAGTCATATGTATTTTTTCATTTGAAATTATTTAATTTGGCAATAAGGATTTTAGGAATAAATTCATATCACTAAATAAGGGATAGGTATAATACACAAATGTCTAACAAGCAGATATGAAATGAAGGCTGGAATAGCAATAATCATAGTAGGGAAATAAATTTTAAAGCAGAAAAAATTTAGGATTTCAAGGGACTGTGAAATAATTGTAAAAGTTGTAATTCATTAGTTCAATATATGCTGAACCTGTAAGTACCTGAAGATGTAGCCTAAAATGTATTAACAGAATATATAGAGCAACAAAAAAATGGGCAAATCCATAGTCATAGTGAGAGATTTGACCAAAGTTCTTTCAGAAACTGGGCAAAAATTCATAATGATATAGGAAGTTTGAACAACACAATTTAAATCTCAATCCAATGGATGCATATGAAATCTTCACCCAATCTGCCAGGTGTGGTGGCTCATGCCTGTAATCCCAGCACTTTGGGAGGCTGAGGCGGGCAGATCACCTGAGGTTGGGAGTTGGAGACCAGCCTGACCAATGTGAAGAAACCCTATGTCTACTAAAAATACAAAATTAGCCAGGTGTGGTGGCGCATGCCTGTAATCCCAGCTACTCAGAAGGCTGAGGCAGGAGAATTGCTTGAACCCGAGAGGCAACAAGAGTGAAATTCCATCTCAAAAAATAACAACAACAAAAAAAGAAAGTTATTCTTTTTTAAGTATACATACACATTCTTTTTAGGCATAAACATTTACAAAAATGTACTAGGTTCCAACACAAAGCAAGTCTTAACAAATGACAAAGATCAATGTCATACAATTAACATCTTTTACTCACAATGTTAAAAAATTATTTTGTAGGCTATTTTAACAGAATCTTAGGACATAGAAATTTGTATGACCTTTAACAGACTGCTTCAATTTCTGTCCGTGATAAGTTTTAGTTGTTTAAAATTTCCCATTTGTCTAAATTCAAACTAGATCAAAATTTTATTTCAGATCTTTAGCAACTTTGCTGTCAGTATAAAAAAGGTGGGAAGACATACTGAGTATTGTGTAAGCTCTCTGATAAAGAATGACCATTTTTTATGTCTTGGCAAGAAGAAAACTCTAGGAAAGATATAAATCTTGTCTCATTCTATGTGCATATCAAAAGTTATCTATCTAAAGAACAAATGGCTCAATAAAAGAGTGATTGCTCCTGGCAAAGTTATTTAAATGGTACTTTTTCATTTAGAATGGATCATGATAGTTGATATCACAATGAAAAGATTTGGTGTATTCCAGGTCTGAGTTCTTTTCAGAATGTTCAAGTTTATTTCTTTCAATAATACTCTGCCTCTGTTAATATATTCAAACTTTACAGTTTTGGAATATATAAAGTGATATTTGAAAGAGACATTTGAAATCTTGGCCAACATCCCCAGTTTAGAAATAAGAAGCCTGAGATTCTAAGTGGTCAGGTGCAGAGTCCGGTGTCACAACACATCATTACTGGAAACAGAAGCCATGGCTTATGATTCTTAACCAGGTATTATTGTACCATAATATAGTTTTGTTAAAATATAATTTTAAAAGAAAAAATAATAACTCTCAGGAAATATATAATCAACATGTGTAAAAGAATTTCTTTAGCTTATTAGTTAATAAAGAATATCAGTAAGATATAATGACTAGTTCAGAGAGCATTTAAGAAATTAGATATTAATCATCAATTTTAAAAACAAATATTAGGATAAGATTGCTGAGTTAAAAATAAAAGGTATTGAGGTTTTCTGTTCCACCAGACAAAAGTTATTTATATTTCTACAGGACCAACCTCTATAGGTTAACAAGCAACTTCACCAAATCTGGGACTTTTAATCAATAGTAACCTTGATACAAACTAAATCCCTTCCCTTAGACAATCCTAAGTGGCCTTTTCCCCCATATGTTATTGAAACAACTTTCTGCTCATCTTTTACCTTATTTTCATGCTTTAGATTAGATCAACCAACTAGGTCTATATGTCAAATTCAACTCATCACCTGTTTTGTAAATGAAGTCTTTTTATTTTTTATTTTTTTAGAGATGGGGTTTTGCTCTGTTACCCAGGCTGGAGTGTGGTGGCATGATCATAGCTCACTGTAACCTCAAACTCCTGGGCTCAAGCAATCCTTCTGCCTCAGCTTCCCAAGTAGCTGGGACTATAGGTGCATACCACCATGCCTGGCTAATTTTTAAAAATCTTTTTTAGAGATGAGGTCTTGCTATGTTGCATAGGCTGGTCTCAAACTCCTCAGCTCAAGTGATCCTCCTGCCTCTGCCTCTCAAAGCACTGGGATTACAGGCATGAGCCACCATACCCAGCTGTAAATGAAGTCTTCTTAGAGTCCAGGTTTTATCTGATTATTTCCAGGGGTGCATCCATAACATTAATTAATCATACAGTTCTTATTGAGTTTGCTCTGCCAGTGTAGAACTCTACAATATTGAGCAACTACTGAGGTCACAAAATTCACTTCTGTCTAGAAATTTTCAGAAGGAACTTGAGTTAGACTCTTGATCTCTCTTGTTCTTCTTTTCTAAGGCTAGGAAACCAACCCCAAAACATTCCGTCCACTAGATTTTTCCTGTAGTACCTATAAATTTAGGTGAAATCTTCTGTTCTAGAGCCCCCCCCCCCCAAATTTGCTAAGCTCCTTGGCCTTCCAGAAGTTTACTTCTTTCCTATTCCCTGTCCTAGGACTCTAGAAGCAGGTCCTGCATCAACTCACATATGTTCCTTAATGGTGAGTTGCTGCCATACTTGATTAAATATGAATCCCTCTCAAATATGGCACTCCAAGTGTAGATTTGGTTGCTACAGTGATTTAGGCGGTTAAGTTCTGGTAAAAATAGGCAGAGATTCTTATCAATCCTATGCAAATAACTTATTACCTTGGAAAGTAAGAAGAGTCTAAAAATATTTGGTTCCAAATTTTGAGTGAGTCAGTGACACTTAGGTATCATTTAGAACATTTAAGTTTACAAAAGCATAATCTACTAAGGAAAGGGTTAAAGATAGCTTAAGAAGAAAGATAGTGGTTCCCTATATACTTACTAAAAGCAGAAAATTAAAACAATGTCAGCCATATTCCAGACAAATAATCACAATTAAATTTTCCTCATGAGCTCATTTAGTCCTGGTGATTAATTTTTCTTCTTGCCTTGGATCTGAGGTCAGCGGTCTGCCTGTGTGTAATACGTCTGCTAGTGGACTGAAAGGAGCCTAGGAGATGATGACTCACTCCACTGTAGAGTCGGAGAGTTGTCTAAGCCATGAGAATTTGGAAACCTATCCCTAAGAGCCTGTTCTTTGCAGAGTACTTGATACTGTCTCTTCTATGAGACTCTGGAACTGTCTTTTGTGCCAGACACCAATTCTAGCCTATAACTTAGAGCAGAGACTTCAGGCAAGCACCAAGAAGCAGAGATCTATTTGATGATGAGACTGATTGGCTGTGGTTAATTTATTACAATAACCAATAATATAAGGACAAAGGACAGTAAAATCCTCCCATAGGTTCTCATAATGACTTGATCAATGTTTTCTCTGAAGGTAAGATTAGATTATGGAAGGCACTGAAGAATCTCCAAAGCCTTTTTAAAAAGCACATAATTTCTGATATATTTATATGAATATTTTAGTTATATAAATAGCCTAAGGAAGCCTGGGCATCTCTTTTGATTTTATTATTCTTTCCACAAATCTCTTGGAATGGTATTGAACAAATTAGTAAATATGAAGCCACCAAACAAACCTAAGTATTTCTAGCATCTCTCGTTTTATAAGATAAAAGAACAAATTTCTCAAGTGCCCTCTATGAAACCTGAGAAATAATTCTGTGGGTGAATTTTAGGGGATCCAAAGCTGAAATATAATTTTGAAATTATGAATCTCAGACAAACATAAATGTACATATGTGAATAATTTTGTATAACACATTAATTAATAAGAACTAGATTTATGATTGGTTTGGGAAAATGTGAGAAATTATGTGTATCTAGACAATTTAACAAAGATTTGTTAAAACAAAATTACTGAGTCACATTATAAAACTGGCCAATATCTACCATAAATCTTTGGCATTACTTGTTCTGCCAGGCAAAAATTATTTGCATATCTAACAGACAAAACTCTACCAATTAACAAGTAATTTTACAAAGACTAGAAACTTTCATTAATAACAAAAAATGAGACAAACTAAGTGCATACCTGTGCTGTGCTGTCCAGTAAGGTAGCCACTAGCTATTGAAACGTGGCTACTTAAATGTAAATTTAAATTAATTAAAATGAAATATAATGTAAAAAGCAGTTCTTCAGTCACACTCTCCACTTTTCTTGTGCTCAGTAACTACACTTTCTGAGGCTACCACACTGTACATCACAGAAATTTATCTGGGACAGAGCTGTGCCTATCTAGACGATGCATGGGTGACCATGGCCCTTATATGATATTACTGGAACATGCTGACCACATTTTTGCCTTATTTCAGATAATTTTTCTGACACTTTTTTTTTGAGATGGTGTTTCACTCTGTTGCCCAGGCTGGAGTACATCTCAGCTCACTGCAACCTCCGCCTCCTGGGTTCAAGCAATTCTTCTGCTGCAGCCTCCTGAGTAGCTGGGATTACAGGCACCTGCCACCATACCCAGTTAATTTTTTATTTTTTTATATTTTTAGTAGACAAAGGGTTTCGCCATGTTGGCCAGGCTGGTCTTGAACTCTTGACCTCAGGTGATCCACCCACCTTGGCCTCCCAAGGTGCTGGGATTAGAGGTGTGAGTCACCACTCCCAGCTGACACTTTTGTGATAGAATTTATAACCATTTAAAAGTAAAATTAGGTAGTAAATGCCTGTTGCATGAAAGGACTTTTCATATATCAGGACCATGCCAAACTGGATAATTTTATGAGTAAACCAAATGATACATAATATTTTTGGTAGTGTCACATTTTAAAGAAGTGGCTTTAGAGCAACACACACTTTAAAAAATGTATAATATTACCAAAATATAGTATGTATTACTTGGTTTACTTGGTTTCATAGGGGTTGATTCAGTTAACCTCTACAAAACCATGCAAGTTGGGATATTTGTGAATGGTCTGATAAAACTGAGTAGGGTCAAAATGGGAAGATGTGAGGTAAGGCAACCGCAGTATCTAAGAAAATTTGTGCTGCCTTTTGCTTCATGTAGAATTTTATTTTTCTATGCTCGATTATGATGAAACGGAATTGCTGCAAAAGTAACTTTCGTATTCAATAGAACCTAGTTTTATAATAGCACCCAATAGTGCAGTAAGGAAATACAACATTATCTAATTGGATGTTATTAAAATGGAGATAGTTAACTTTATAATAAAGAACTACTTTACCATGGTTTTCTCATTAGCAAAATGAAAGTCTTATTTCCTTGAATTTCATTATTGTTGTAAATTTCTTCATTTAGTAAAAAAAAAAGGCTATTAATAGCTATTAGGTGCCTATTACATGAACAAGATAGAAACAGGGTCTTCCCATCTGGAGGGTGCAGACTGATAAGGAAGATAGAAAATGAATAACTAATTAATAAATTGCATGAAGAAGTACAAAGGGAAGCCTTCTTTAGTCTCTGGGTGTGTGTGTGGAGGATGCAGTCAAGAAAGTCATCTCCAAGAAAGTGATATTTCGATAAGACCAGAGGATAAGTAGGAATTTTCTAGGCTAAGGGGGGTTTTGGAGGGAATTGAGTGAGGAATTTCAGGAAGGAGATATCATGTAGAAAAGCCCTGACAAAAGAGATAGCATAAGCGTTTGAGTTTTTCATTGGATAGGACACTGCTGGAGTGTCGTATGTAATGGCAAAGTTTGAACAAATAAGCTATGTTTTGCCAAAGAGAAATGTACACTCACCCATGGGATGTAATAATGAGGAATGGGAAGTCTTAGGGACTCGAAAGAACAGTTTTTAAATGTTATTTCCTTTTGTGGCAAAAAGAAAGAGAACAAATTGGTGCAGATTATCTTCATACATCAAATTGCAACAGAAGACTGCATAAGTAAACCACCTCCAAATGACATGCTTCTCATTCACAATTGCTCAAAATGATTCTCTCTGTGGAAAAAAAAACTACTTACATAGTCATGGACTTTCCACAAAGGTCAGTTTCGAACCATATCATAGTTTACTCATTCACTGTTGACTCTCTGGGTTGTCTTATGCACACAAGGCTTCTTCCCTGGATGGGTTAAGAGTTAAATCTTGGATGGGCTTATTGACTTTAGGCATCAAGAAGAGAAAGAGGCTACTCCCTTTGTCTAGAATAACAACCACAATTTTATTGCCAAAAGTAACTCAACCTTTATTTATAGTTTCAGTTATAGGCCATCTACATTAAGATACCTAAATAACATTAAATTTGATTGCAGAGTTTTATATTAGCTAATGAGTAGATTGATCAAAATTTAATTTTGAAGTTTATCTGGTACATCTTGGCATCATCTCTCTTCCTTTCCACATATCTCTTAGGATATATTTATCCAACTCTGTTAGAAATACGTGTTGCTGGGTTTGGCATCTTTCTCGAATGTGAGCACAAAATAATCTTTGTATTTCCAGCACTTACTGCAGTGCCTGGCAAAGAGAGATGCTCAATACATGTTTATTGAAAGAATAAACAAGTGAAAAAAATGAATGTGAACATAGGAGAAAGGAGAAATCTTTAAATGACTTTTTCTCTTAAATAAATGAATTTTTCACTTCAAATGGATGTGACCATATCTAAATTATTTGACTAAATAATATTGAAGAGGCAAGATTTTTCAAACATAAGAATATCAATATAATCATTTATAATATGTTCAACTTTTATCGAACACCAACTAGGTTCAAATCAGCCATAAAAAGAGGTGTCAGACATACTTCTTGCCTTCTAGAAACTTGTGACAAAGTTGAACAAGAAAAATGTGTGCTTAAAAATGTAATGGTCAATGTAGAAAATATATGCTACCTGCTGAATGGGTACAATAAAAAAAGAGAGATGCCAGACTTCGGAAGGTAAAGAGAAATCACAGGTTTGTAAGAGAGAAGAGCCTACGTATTATACTAGACTCCTCTGATTGTTCTTAGATGACTAACCACTGAGTCATAATCTTGTCTTTCTGCATATATTTCTCATTATTTATTTTATAGCTGACTGCCTTTGAATACATTGCTTACATTTTCCACATAAGAATAACTGGAAAAGAGGAGGAAATGAATATTTGTTGATCACCCATTGATATGGTTGGGCTCCGTGTCCCCACCCAAATCTCATCTCAAATTATAATCCCCATAATCCCCATGTATTGAGGGAGGGATCTGGTGGGAGGTGACTGGATCATGGGGGTGGTTTCTCCCATGCTGTTCTCGTGATAGTGAATCAGTTCTCGTGAGATCTGATGGTTTTTTAAGTGGCGGTTTCCTCTCTTGCTGTCTCTCTCACTTGCTGCCATGTAAAACATGCCTGATTCCCCTTCCACCATGATTGTAAGTTTCCTGATGCTTCCCCACCCATGCAGAACTGTGAGTCAATTAAACCCCTTTCTTTATAAATTACCCAGTCCCAGGGAAGTTCTTTACAGCAGTGTGAAAATGGACTAATACACCTATCATATCCCAGACATTGCAATCAGATTTTTCCATAACGTACCTCTACCTTAAATCCCTTTTTAGAACATAACCACATTCATCTGTTTTTTAATTTGATCTGCACCTTTTGCTAGTTGTGGAACAAAACTTACTTGAATGTTTTTCATGAAACAATTTTGTTATAATATACTTTACCTAAAATAAGCCTCATTTATTTTAATTGTACAACTCAATGAGTCTTGAGAAATGTATATCTCTGTGTAACTATGGGTGTCTTCAAGATAGAGAATATTATCACCCCCCAAATTTCCCTGATGCTTCTTTGCAGTCAACCCTAGCCTTGGGCTGCCTTTAATATGCTATTTGTCACTGCAAGTTGATTTGCCTTCTGTGGAATTACATATAAATGCATCATACAATATGTATGCTTTTGTGTATGTCTGCTTTCACTCCATGTCATGTTTTTGAGTTTTGCTGTGTGTTGTTTCATTTTAATTTATTAGTACTCAATAGTATTCCACCATATAGAAATACTACCTTTTGGCCAGGTGTGGTGGCTCATGCCTGTAATCCCAGCACTTTGGGAGGCTGAAGCGGGTGGATCACCTGAGGTCAGGAGTTTCAGACCAGCCTGGCCAACATGGTGAAACCCCATCCCTACTAAAAATACAAAAAGTTAGCCAGGCGTGGTGGTGGGTGCCTGTAATCCCATCTACTTGGGATGCTGAGGCATAAGAATTGCTTGAACCTGGTAGGCGGAGGTTACAGTGAGCTGAGATCCTGCCATTGCACTCCAGCCTGGGCAACAAGAGCGAAACTCCATCTCAAAAAAAAAAAAAAAAAGAAAGAAAGAAATACTACCTTTTTAAAATCCATTCTCCTGTTGATGTACCCTTAAATTCTTTCTTTCTTTTTTTCTTTCTTTTTTTTTTTTGCTGCTATGAATAAAGTTGCTATGACCTTTGATCTTCAAATCTTTGTGTGGCACATTTTTATTTCTCTTGGTGAATACCTAAGAGTGGAATGGCTGAGCCACATGCTAAGTGTACATTTAGCTTTGTAAGAAGCTGCCAAATTTTATTCCAAAGTGATTGTTGCATTTTACTTTCTCCAGTACAAATAGTTTCTCCACATTCCCATCAGCATTTCGTATTCTTAATATTTTTAAGTTTAACCCTTCTAGTGGGTATGTAGTGGTATCTCACTGTGATTAATTTGCATTTCTTCGAAGTCCTAATGGTATTGAGCTTCTTTATGTGAGCTTATTAGACATTCATATATTTTCTTTTGAGAAATGTCTACTCAAATCATTTGCCCATGTAGATGTGTAAGAGTTATCTATATATTCTGGATACAAATTGTTTGTAAGATATATGTATTGCAAATATGTTCTTCTCTCATTCTGCAGCTTGCCTCTTTATTTTCATAACAGCTTAATTTGATATAGTCCCACTTACCTATTATTGTCTTTTATGGTTTGTTCATGGTCTGGTAACAAGTTCATGGAGGAAGAATTCATCTCATGGCTACAATTATTAAAATTCAGTTACTTGATTGATTCTGGATAAGGCAGTAATGTTAAGGATCTTCCTATAAGAATGATTATTTCTTATAGTTTCTATTAGCTCATCCCCAGATAATGAAACAATTCTCAGACATTGTCCTCCTAACCCCTTAGATGTCTAAATAGAAAGAGTTATAGAGCCTCAGGGATATGAAGGAAATGATGAGTCATTCTTGCAATCCTTACGTTGAATAAACATTTTAGTATTCAGACCATTTTTTCCAACACAAATTTCCAGAACCTATTTTTATTAAAGAGAGCAATCTAACGTAACTCATCTGGATATTAGAACAAGAAAGGAAATGAGGACCTTCTTTCCAATGTTTTATTTATAGGATACCTGCCTGAGTTTCCACAGCTTGACAGTGGAATGTCTCCAGTCAACATGTCACTTTCTCTCAAGTAGAATCATGACCTAGGAGTGGCTAAAGTGGTCCTGTTGGCACAGTGAGAGCTTTCTAATTAGTTAGATCTAGGTATACATGCTGGATCAGCAACTTTGGCAAGTCTCTTAAAAGTTCTGAGCCACAGCTTCCTTCATTTGTAAAATGTAAAGCTTGGGATATATAAGCCAGTATATAGCAGGCTCTCACTAAGTGATAGATAGACATAGACAGATGATAGATAGATAGATAGATGATAGATCGATAGATAGATAATATAAAGAATGAAATGAG
Organism: Homo sapiens; assembly: GCF_000001405.40. NCBI lineage: Eukaryota > Metazoa > Chordata > Mammalia > Primates > Hominidae > Homo > Homo sapiens. Next base: position 54,740,872 of record NC_000018.10, read on the forward strand.
GAGATTTTACTGCTAGTGCATTTTTATTAACAGAAGAAAGGAGGCTGAGAAATTGATGAAAACATATGACAAGACTAAAACTTGGTCTTTATTTTCAATAAACTCTACCTAGGTTTTTGGTCATGATGATAATCTAATAACCTACTTTCATAAAAAGCATTTATTCCGGAAGTCATGGATACTAAATAGTGTCCCTAGCATACAAAACCTAAGAGGCAAGTGGTATCACAATAATTTTCAAAGATAAGGTAAAATACAGTTAAATGTTACTAAGACCATATCTTCCTATGAGACCCTTTAAATTTTGAATTAGTAAATCAAAACTTGAAAAATACAAAAGGACAACATTAGAACACTCACCTACATTCCTCCGCCCATCCCACCATGTCACCCACAGCCCTGTTCCTTAAAGCTAAAGAGGTTTATCACCTATTCAGTGTTTCCATTTGCCAATACAGTCAAAGATGAATGTATATTATTTCCTCCCTTTTGTCACAAAAAAGTTAGTATACTAAGTTCACTGTTGTGCATCTGGCTTTTAAGAAATATAGTGGCCATGAGAAGCTACTAAGAATCATTCCAATCTTATGTACTGTGCTGCTGAACCAAGAACTCTAAGCTCTTTTTTTCTTCTTTTTTTGAGACAGGGCCTCGCTGTGTTGCACAGGTTGGAGTGCAGTGGTACAATCTCAGCTCACTACAACCTCTGACTCTTGGGCTCAAGCCATCCTCCCACCCCAGCCTCCCAAGTGGCTGGGATTACAGGCATGCACCACCATGCCCAGCTAATTTTTTGTTTGTTTGTATTTTTTGTAGAGAGAGGGTCTCACCATGTTGCCCAAGCTGGTCTTGAACTCTGGGCTCAAGCAGTCCACCCACCTCCATCTCCCAAAGTGCTGAGATTACAGGGGTGAACCACTGTACCTGGCCTCTAAGCTTTCTTTAAGTAAAAAGTGACCTACCTCCTGGCAATGGCTTAGTTCTCCTTTTGCCTAAGCTGGCAGTAGGTAAGAAGTCAAGGCCTCTATAATATCTGAAGACATAGTCTAGAGTTAAATACTTGCAAAAACAAGCTCTGAGGATTCTGACATTCTACCTTCTGGCAAAATCAGTCTTAAGGGGTTTGTTTTGGCCTGAAGGCTTGTGCTACAAATAAAAGTATATTTCAGTGTAAAAGTTAATGCAGCTTTTCATAGAGGAGTGAATGTTTTCATATGCAAAGCTTGAAAGGGAAAGAGAATCTAAAGCAGTCTTATTTTTCTGATTAGGACAAATGACCAGGAGAAAGCCTTTAAGGCAATTGTTTGCAAAATGACTTAATTATCACCCTGGAGGAAACTGTAAGCCTCTTGTAACACTGTCCTTCAGGAAACTTACAGGAGAGACCTTTCTGGCAGTCGTAATGGTGGGTGGAATACAGTGTTGAAGTCATTATCGTACATGCGGTTTATTTGATGATTAAATTGCCTGGAAGCAGTTTCATCTTTCTGAGTTTATAAGCATCCTAGCTTGTTTTTCAAAAACCTAAAAGTACATGTACATGATGTTACTTAAATCTATCAGAACGGAAGGCAGGAGGAAGTTGGGGTCAGTCATACAAATGTTATAAAGTATAAGGTCATTTAAATCATTTGTAATTTATTTACTAAGAATACATTTGCTATGTCTGCAATAGATTGGCCTTCATTTCTGTGTTTTGCCTCTGCTAATAATCAAGTTTATTTGCATTTTCTGAGTATAAAGCAAGTAATTATGAGAACAAGTGCCCTGAAGACAGCTGAGTGGTAGGTGTAAGGCAGTCTGGCTTCCAGATTTTCTATGTTTCTAGACTGTGAGACAGAAAACAGCAAATCCCTGGAGTCTAACCACAAGGAGGATGCTGCCCACTTGCATATGAAGACCAAAAGCTTCCAGTTGCATAACACTGTGCTTTCCTCTGTGGATGTTGGCCATATCCCAGGACCTTGATAATAGGGCTCATGACTCCTAAAGTGTGCAGGAAAGCCTTGCAAATTTTGCATCTATGTCAACTCACCCTGTGAGGTCAGCTTTTGGCAGGATGACCAGACCATGTACTACTTTTGGAAGCCTGCAGAAGTTGCTGGCAATCCTCAGAAGTGTGTCTTCCAATTTGGAACAAGATTTTCAAGCCTAGATAGAAACAGAGAAGATCACTTTTCTTCCTGGTCCTGTATAACATAATCTCAAGCATTCTTGGACACCCACTCTTATTGCCTAAGCCAATGATTTTGTATCTGGTCCTTAATTCCACACTACTCTGCAGCATCTCATTCAGCTATTGTGCTATTTAGCTTTTACATACTGTAGTTTTCAACATTTTGTGTCACTGTAATTTTCAGCATTTTATGTCACTATATTAACATAACTGAATTAGAAGCTCTTTTTGTGGTGGTATTCTATTATTCATTCAGCCCATATTGATTGAGTTCCTACTATGAATCAGATCCTCTTCTAGGGGCTGATAATAGAGTTCCTGTTATCTTGGAGCTCCAGACAGTACAATGCAAATATGGAAATGCAGCTATAATATGTCAGATGTGAATAATTAATGAAGATCAAGGGCCGAGAGAGTAGGAGCTGATTTCCATTGAATCATGAGTGAGGAAAACTCAGTCCATGTGGAACTTAGGCAGAGTCCTGAGATCAGTGAGGGAATGAGCCATTCAGACAATAAATGCGGGAAAAAGCACCTAAGGCAGAGGGAATGATGACTGGTGGATGCCTGGTCCTTGCATAGCAGTGTGTTTGTCACATTCCAGGAAGAGCAAGAAGGTAAATATGGCTAGAATAAAGAGGGAGAGAGGAGAGTAATAGGAGGTGAGATCAGATACACAACAAAGAGCCAGAGTGGACAGAGCGAATCAGCTCATAGATCCTTGATAGAACTGTGGCCTTTATGCCCAGTGAGATGAGAAACCCTTGAAGAGGTGGGAAAAATAAGAGACATGCTCTGTCACGTGTTAATGGTTCACTTGAGTGCCCTTAGGAAATCGACCGTAAGGGAGGTGGGGAGAAGCACAGACCAGTTACAGAGATATCACATCACAGTCCAGACAAGAGATGTTAGTGGTGAAAACCAGTGCCTAGAGGAGTGATTCTGATGTAATTTATATCCAGCAATCATCCCTCGAGATAATTTGGGCCAAGCAATTTGCCTGAATCTGTTCTTTTTACCATTGTACTAACTTATTAAAATCAACAGTGAATAAATGTTATATGAAGAAGATAGATTGATTTCATTCATTGGAAAGTGTGTGAGCCATGGCTACTTGTATATCTCCTAGGTAGCTCATATTGGACCCATTCAAAATGATTAGCAGATTTGGATGCTTAATATTTCTTCTACCTTTCCTGTCTCATTTTAGGGCAAAGTTTTAGTTATTTATTTTTATTTCAAAATGTGATAAAGAAATCTTCTAAGAGAAGATAAAAACCTGTTTTTATTTTCCTTTAAGATTTGGGCTATACTGATATTCTAGCATTTTGAGGCTTAGACAATAGGTGACTATATCTCATCATTAGCAATCTAGACCCAACAGCTTGTTTCTTTTTGAAGGAGAATATAGAGAGGGTCAGGCCCAAGGCTATCTGAGGAAGAAAAATATTTCAGAAAACATTCTTTTCATCACATACACACAAATGACAAATGTTTGGGGTAATGGATATGATAATTATTCTTATTTGATCATTACGTATACATTGTATACATGTATTGAACTATCACAATATACCCCATAATTATGTACAATAATTATGTGTCAGTTAAAAATAATAGTAGCCTTTCCATATTACCCAGAGAGGGTCCATATGACATTATTCTGAATTCCTCTCAGAACTTAAAGGGAAACTTTTACAATGGCCAGAACCTGTGATGTCCTGAACATGAAAGAGGAGGATGTCCTCAAATTTCTTGCAGCAGGAACTCACTTGGGTGGCACCAAGATTGACTTCCAAGTGGAACAGTACATCTGCAAAAGGAAAAGTGATGGCATCTGCATCCTAAATCTGAAGAGGACCTGGGAGAAGCTTCTGCTGGTGGCTCATGCCATCATCACTGTTGAAAGCCCTGCTGATTCAGTGTCATATTCTCCAGGAACACTGGCAAGTGGGCTTTGCTGAAGTTTGCTGCTACCACTTGAGTCACTCCTATTGCTGGCCACTTTGCTCCTGGAACCTTCCCGCACCAGATCCAGGCAGCCTTCCAGGAGCTGCGTCTGCTGGTGGTTACCGATCCCAGCCTCTCACACAGGCATCTTACACTAACCTGCCTACCATTGCTCTGGGTCACACAGATTCTCCTCTTTGCTGTGTGGACATTGCCATCCCATGTAACAACAAGAGAGGCCCCTCAGTGGGCCTGACATGGTGGATGCCAGCCTGGGAAGTTCTGCATAAGCATGGCATCATCTCCCGTGAACGCCCATGGGAGGTCATGCCTGATCACTACTTCTACAGGGATCCTGAAGAGATTGAATAGGAAGAGCAGGCTGTGGCTGAAATTCCCAGGAGGAATTTCAGGGTAACTAGACTGCTGCATATCTTGAGTTCACTGCTACTCAGCCTGCAGATACCTCTGGGCCCACTCAGCAGTTCCCTACTCAAGACTGGAGCTCTTGGCCTGCCACAGAAGCCTGGTCTGCAACTCGACTGCTCAGGCCACCAGATGGGTAGGAACAACCACTGAGAGGTCTTAAGCTGTTCTTCCACAGACTCTAAAGCAAGATGGAAATAAGCTTGATGAAAAATAACCATCAGCTTCTAAAAACATTAATAAAAATAAAAGCAAAAAAATTTTTAAAAGAGTCATTAGAAGCATTCACACTGTCAATCAGTAAATATTTATTGGGATATGTATTCATAAATATTTATAAATATAAGTATTTATAAATATTTATTATTTATATATAAGTATTTATAAATATTAAATATTTATATTTATTATATTATATATTATTATTTATAATATTTAATAAAATAAATATAAGTATTTATAAATATTTATTAGCTACACTGCTGGCCAAGATAAATAGATACAAAGATGGATACTGCAGTCTGGTTGATGAAATAGCAACTAATATACAGCGATGCCAATCACAGGATACAGATATGCAGGATGCTATGAAAACTGAGAAGGGAGGCGGTCTCACTCTATATGGGTGAAGCATGCCACAAGATATTGATATGTGAGATGAAGCTTCAAGGAGATGCAGGTGGACAAGGAGGTGCACTGACAAGTTTTAGTCTTTGTTTGAGAAGACTGAAATTAGTAGGGATTCCCTCTAAAAATGAAATAGTCCACAACTGAAGAAAAACTTGAAGATTACGCCAGTGTCATCAGATGGCAAGAATATCCATAAGTTAGATCTCAGGTATGAGGTAAGACTCCTAATTGCCGGTCGGATGAGACAAAAATCAGGAAGTTGACTTTGGTTTCTGGACGGTAAGAATGTTACTGCTATTGGGAGGATTTGTGGTAAGACCTGAGCCCTCAGTGGTGTCAATAATCTTTAAAGACTTGTTTTGAAGTATTGCTACATGGGTCATACTTTATTCCATGAAAAGCTTCCTGAAATATTGCAAGCATTTTTGAAAAACAAATTTGGCCTTATTTTATACAGATCAGAGATGCTTGTAGATATAAGAATCTTACAACTTATTGTTTTTATGTAGTTAACACTCTTTTCGTCTTTGGAGGCATTCAAGCTTACTATTAAGATAGAGAGGCTGGAATAAATCAGCTTTGATGCAGATTCAGGCTCTAGTACCTACCTGCTGTCCTTCTTTACTTTAATTAGCCTTTGTTTTGTCATCCAAAAAATTGAGAGAATAATAGTGCCTTCATCACAGAATTATGATGGAAACACAATCAGTATATGTAAAGCACTTAGCAAAATGGCTGGTGTGTGTTAAATACTTAATGCATAAGATTTCTTATTATACTCAATCCACAATTCACTTTTTGTATACTTGCATTTCATAATGATTTGGCCTCAAGTAACATACTAACTTATATAACACAAACCAACCTTTATCTAAGAATTCTGGCTTAGGGGCTATGATGAGAATATGCTTCCTGATAGTGAAGAAAAACAGTACAGAGATTTAATGTTTCCCTGTAAATAAAATAAAATCAGTCTCCATGTATCTAAAAAATGTGTATCTGCTTTGGATTATTTTATAAAGTTTTGCCAGGCAAGACCAAGACAGGATTTTTATGTTTGGCTTTGTTACACCCCAGCCTACTCTCCATAGAGCAGGACCTCCTCCCCACAATCTCCAATCCTATATAGCCTCAAGTTTCTCCTCAACTGCCTTCATTTTTGCTTGTGAAAGAAGAAATCTATCTTGCGTAACTTTTTCTGTCCCCTCCTGATGATGAAAATTTGCCAGCCCAATGTCTCACTCTCCATATTACCTTATAGAAGAATACTAGTTAATATAATAGTGATTGTTAATATCTATGGCCTACTTCCAAATGACGTGGATAAACTAGCAAAGTCCTTTTAATACATTCATTTTGTTTTAGTCTTAAATAGATTTAAACAAAAATAAAAACCTGGGTAATACCAATGCCATTTTGCCATGGATATGAATTGTGAATTGAGAAAGATGGCTGATGATGCTTAATGAATGACCACAGTGGATAATTCAGTCTGAGGAGTGTGAGAAGACTTTTAAACAAAATCTGAATAATAGGTCTTGACATTTCAGTGCACATGTGTTTGTGTGTATGTGCCCACCTGCATGTATATGAGTTCATTTAAATTCTTTTGCTTCTCATACTTTGCCTACCAAATAATTATGATTTTCCAAAATATGCGTGGGTTTCAGAGCCAATGTTAGTTATTAAATTGTGTAATTAGAACTTTGCAGCTTGAGTATTTTATGTTCTCATAAAGATTTTGTGCATAAAGACTTTATTAAATGTTTCTCGGCTGGGCTTGGTGGCTCCTGCCTATAGTCCCAGTACTTTGGGAGACCAAGGAAGGCAGGTCACTTGAACCCAGGAGTTCGAGACCAGCCTGGACAACATAGTAAAACCCCATCTTTGCAAAAAATACAAAAATTAGCCATGCTTGGTGATGTTGCTGTTGTCCCAACTACCTGGGAGGCTAGGGTGGGAGGATGACTTGAGCCCAGGGAAGTGAAGGTTGCAATGAGATGAGATGGTGCCACTGCACTCCAGCCTGAGCAATAGAGTGAGACCTTGTCTCAAAAACAAAAAACTAAACAAAAACAAGACTTTCTCAGTGGTTGATCCTATTCTATTTAAAATTATAATATTTAATTATATCTACAAAATCATCTGAGTTCTCTTAAGAATTTACACATTTCCTGTGAGGATGGTGTGATAAAGATATAAGCACTAAAGGGACTTTGGAGTGCTCTGTAGAAGTCAGAATGATTATTGTCGGAATTTGATGATATAGATTCTCCCAGAACCTCACAGCAGTTCTCACTTCTATGCCTTAACACACTGGGATTCACTATGATATATGTCACAAATAATTTCTTATTAATAAAATACAACCATTTCCAAATGAATCACTCAAGTTTACATTGATTTAAAACTCCCTAAAACAGTGTGGTCCTCTTGAGTGTGAAAAAAGGCAGTAGTTACAGATATTTTGTGTAAGGCTTAAAACATGGTCTCAGACTATAGTGGGACTATGAGTCTCCTGGGGAGGCTGGTAAAATGCAGATAGATGGACCCAACCTGGGTTGAGGCACAAATTTGCATGTTTAATGAGTAACTCAGGTGATTCTGACACAGATGCATAGACATTGCATTTTCACAAACAGTGGTGATGGGGTCAAAGGAAAGCTTCCCATCTGTCCTTTATAGGTTCACTGAAAATGAACTGACAAAAGACAGATTAATAGATGAAAAAGGTATACAGCATTTATTTTAATGCATGTGTGGACACAGAAGCCATACCCAAAGTATGAAACTCAAAGAGGAACTAAATGGTTGAGGTTCACATATGCTCTTCATAGAAGAAAGGTGTACAGACCCAGGAGGCAGACATCATTTTGTAAACTATTCTCTGATTCTCTGTGAAAGATGGATGGGACAAATTATGGAAGGTGAGGGGCAGAACACGGGTTGTCTTATTATGCAGGTAAAGTTCCCCAGGTAACTTCTGGGAGTTGCCCTTAGAAGAATAGGTGAAAAGACTGTCTGGGCATGGTGATGACTCCCAATCTCTTTTCTTCTTCCTTGGTGTGATCCTTCCTGGTTATCTGATGAGGTTTCTAGGGAAGGGGCCTTAAGACAATCGCATTTCTTTTGCAAAGAATCTTCCTTAGATAAGAAAATTTCAGAAAGAGTCCCTTCCAGTGATTCTGGAAAGAGGATCTGAGAGACAGGGAGGTAGGGGAAAGTCAGAGAGAGAACTTGGTTCTTAGGCTTATTTCTATGGCCTTTCCATTTTCAAAGCACTCGCATGCTGAAACGCCAGGTTTTGGAGAATCATTTTCTGAGCCCCAGTGGCAGCTTGACTTCACCAAAGGCATTCCTTCCAGCCCAAATCCCTTGCTCTAACTCTCAGTCTGTAAGACCTGCTGGGGTATATCCTCAGCCAAAGGAGTTTTGGCTCACAGATCCTAACTCCTTACGACAGGTGCCAACATCTGGTAATTCCTAATGAGTTACCCTCCTACTCAACTGTATTATCAGAGATTGCAGAGGAGTTCTCTAGATTGTGTTTCACTTCCACCTACAAAGAAAACTGAAAAACAATTTTTTTATTTCTAAAAAGAATGTTATATTTTTTAAAAGCTACTGAGTGGGATAAAAGAGTCCAAAGAAAGCTACAATTATTAGCGACTTATCTTGAGATAAGGAGAGCTAATACAGAAGGAAGAAAGGAATAACATTTTTCTAATATTCATAAGTGTAAAATAGAGGCTTTGGATTTGGGTGGGGGGTTGGTTGTTTTTTTGTTTTGCTTCAAGCTCTAATAATGTTAGCTGTGTTTTATACTGTCAATTAATACCTGTTAGTAATTGTGCTCTTTGTTTTGGACTTTTAAAAATAAATACTGTTTAGAAATCCATAGAGACAAGCTTTTAAATATACCTACTGTTATTGAATGGCTCATCATTGATATTTGGGATTTTGCATCAATTAATGTCATAATTTCAACAATTCTGTACTTGAACTAAAAAGATAAATGACTCATGCTATATTTATGTGCAACAGAAGTTCCAGTTTTCCTCAGTAGTCACTCTAGTATGTCTCTGTCCATTCATATTTATAAAGGGAACTGCTTCCTTCCATTTTTTATCAATTAAATTAATGATCATTTTCAGAATCTTATAATGATCCAGCGCTAGAATATTAGAAAACAAATATTCTATTTACAGTCAGCAATGTGAAGATGTAACTATCTCTTGAAATGTTAGGAATCTTTGTTTTTTATTTGCTTGAGTACAGAAGGATAACATTACAAATTTTACTTGAATTTTTAATGTTTAAAGTTTTAAATTGCACTGAACAACTGTATAGAAATTGGACCTTCCTTCCTTCTTCCTTCTTTTCCTCCTTTCTTTTCATTGTCACTGATACAACACCTATTCATCGTTAGTCAATTTGGCTAACACTAAAGAAACAAAGACCCAGCCTTTGACAGCTCTCCCAGAGTTAATGATTAGTTGCAGAGACAGAGGAAGGACACAGTAAACCCAACAGAAGTTAGTAAGTACTGTGGAAGCATCAGATACTGAGTTCCCTGAAGGAATTCATTCATTTTTTGAGTGCCAGGCTCTGTCTTAGTGCTGAGGATGCAGAGTACATTCACCGAATTCAAGACACTCAGGTTATAGAGAAGAATGATTAATTATAATACCATGTTATAAGTCTAATGATAGAAAATTGCACAGAATATTTCAAAAAGCAAAGAACCCATAAGTCAATGGAAACAAGGTGCCATTTTCTGGAAGAGAATGTAACAGAAATGAGTCTTAGGTGATGGGCAGGAGTTAGTCAAGCAAAAAGCAGAAGGCCACAGGCACAGGTTGCAAAGCATGTCGGAGAGGAGCAACAAACAAAATGTTACTTCTGGGGAATTGAGTTCTAGGCAGAGAGTAGAAAGTTGTAAGTGGAGAGGAAGGCAGATGACAGTCTGCAGAGAGGCCCATGGCCACCTGAAGAGAAAGGACTTTATCCTGCCCTCGAGAGACACTGAAGTTAAGAGGGCAGTCAGACAGCTTTTTACCTTTTACACTCTGGCAGTTTTATAGCCAATTGGTTTAAGAAAGACAATACTAGGAGCTTGAGGCACTGGAGTAGTTCATATGAGAGGGGAGGGACAGGAGTGCTGAAGAGGATGGTAGCAGAGAGATATAAAGGAGGTGAGGTCTACAGCACTTAGTGGTTGGCTGACAAGGGGAAGTGATGTAGAGGGGGAAAGTCAAGAAAGACACCCCAAGTTCTAGCTTGGTTGACTAGATGGAGGCAGTGCTAGTGACTGAGAATTTTGGAGGTGAAATAGACATGAAGAAAATGATCAATTTGCTTTTGGACACATTGATTTGAGGTCCCTGTGTAACCTTGGAGGAGCCATCACAGGTAATTAGATATTTGAATGTAGGAGTCGGCATATGAGAAATTAAATAGACTTGGGGGTCACAGATTAAAGGGATCGTTGAAAAACTCTTTTGAGTTTTATTTTGGACACAATGAATTTAGGAAGTCATTGGAATGTAGCAATGCCCCTACAAAACTCAGAAGTGAGGTTGAGTAAAAAACCAGAGCATATTCATGGACTCTATTTCTCTGAGAATACACAAAGTATGACTGACTAGGCAGGTAAATCTACCCAGGTGCTGGAGGAAGATGTAAGAGATATAGGGAAATCGATGAAGCATAGAATAAAGAAGCTCCATAAGAAATTGAGCATCGCATGTATGAAGTTGTGGGAAAGCAGTTGAGGAGATGACACAGTCATTACAGAACATACTGAGCCAGGAAACTATAGAAAATACTGAGCCAGTTCCTGAAATAAAAATTTCTCTGGTTATCATTTCTCTTGGGCTACAAAGTCACAATTTACACTAGCTGGGGTTTCATAGTCCTCAGTGGCCGCAACAGGCTCATGCCCTTAGATCCAAATTGCGGCGTTATGGTAAGGAGCTAGTTCTTCCCGTCACAGAAGTTATTACTACTTGCAGCCATTCAATTTAGCACATCATGACATACAGGTGTGCATTTTTCTGTACTTGCTTTGCATGTAAATTGAGGCAGTGGTGAACATGGTGGTGAGCTCACTTTTTTCAAATTTATTTTAAAATTGTAAGCTGACAATTTATAATTTTCTATATATGGGCACTAACTGTCACATTAAGCCATAGCCTTGGTTCATTCAGGCTTATGGGTGGTGACTCTCAAATCTGGCTACCAACTGGAATCATTTGAGGAGCTTTTATTAAAGACCGATGAAACAATCCATGCTCCAAAGATTATGAGTTAATTGCTCTGGGGTGGGGCCCAAGCGTTTGTAAATTTTAAAAGTCCCCCAGGTGATTCTCATGTGCAAACAAGATTGAGAATCATTGCTGTAAAGTAAGAAAACACCTGCTTTACCAAATCAGAGTAGCTGCGAATAAATTGAATAAAATAGGGAATGTGTGGGAGAGTGTATTCACATGGTGGGGGCATTGAGGAGTGAAACAGCAGAGTCCTAAGAAAGCAGCAAGAAAGGTTTTCTATTTGGGGTTTGTTTGTTATTTTTAACATTTAAAGTTACCTGTGGAAGGTAGGCAATTGACTGGAGCAGTAGGCAGCCTAGAAGTTTCTGTGTTCCTCCCAGCAGCCAGGAGGTCTATGAAAGTCCCTTATCAGCAGAGCAGAGATGCGTGCTGTTGTGGCCATTCTACAGGGCATTCATCCCACCATGGAAGAGTTCCACCAGCTGCATATTTATAGTTGCCTGCCTTGGGGAGTCTGCCCCTTTTTCCAAGCTATCCACTTGGCTGTCTACTTTTTGTGTCTATCTCCAGAGAGATATAAAGGAGGTGAGATCTGTAGCACTTAGTGATTGACTGATAGAGGAAGTGATATAGAGGAGGAAAGTCAGGAAAGACACCCCAAGGTCTAGCTTGGGTGACTAGATGGAGGGCAGTGCTAGTGACTGAGAATTTTGGGGGTGAGATAGGCATGAAGAAAATGATCAATTTGCTTAACATTGATTTGAGGTGCCTGTGTCACCTTGGAAGAGCCATCACAGGTAATTAGAAATTTGAATGTAGGAGTCTGGGCATGTGAGATATTAAATACATTTGGGGGTCACAAGATTAAAGGGATCATTTAAAAAACTCTGAGTTTAATTTGGACACAATGAATTTAGGAAGTCATTGAAATGTGGCAATGCCCCTACAAAACTCAGAGGTGAGGTTGAGTGAGAAACCAGCAGCATATTCATGGACCATTTTTCTTCCATGCCTTGTATTCTAGTACCTTGTTGAATCTGCAGGCTTAACTAGTTAATCATTGTTTGGCTTTGGGCAAGTTATTCTAATTCCTCTACTTTCTATTTCTTCATCTGTACATAAGTTTGCTGTGAGGGTAAAATCAGATAATACATCTAATGTACCCATCTCAGTGGTAAACAGATTGTAAGCCCACAGAAAAAATGGTGATTTTCCTTTTTAATGGCAGCCACAATAAAGTAGCCAGTCCTCGTGTAAATCAAGTGGCAGTGCAGTTCTACGCATGATTTATAATTTATTTTGTTATTTGTTTTCTTCTTCACCCAGATTTTTCCCTAAAACAAAAACATGTCTATAAGCTTTCACAGGTGCATTTAATGTAATGAACAACAGAAGAAATAAGAAAGATACCTGTGTATGTTAATTGCTTGGTAATTTGTACGTAATTTATCTCAATGCATAATTTATGTCACTTATCACACCCAGTAGTTTTGCCATTTTATAAAATAGTAAGTTAATTTCCAGCCCACCGGAGCCATACACACTCACACACTTGGGGTTTAGAAGAAATATTTATACCAGCAGACCCAACTGTTTATGGATTCTCTATCTCCACTTAGAGACATTAGACCAAGAAAATGGTGCCCTGTTTACAGAATGAGGGTTGAACAGGACTGTTCTTTTTGAATGTGTACCCTTGTTTAAAAAATGCTTTATAAATTGCATTAATGATATGGTTTGGCTCTGTGTCCCCACCTAACTCTCATCTTGAATTGTAATCTCCAGGTGTTGAGGGAGAGACCGGGTGGGAGGTGATTGCATCGTAAGGGCAATTTCCCCCACGCTGTTCTCGTGATAGGGAGCGAGTTCTCATGAGATCTGGTGGTTTTATAAGTGGTAGCTCCTCTCTTGTTCTCTCTCTCGTCACCACGTGAAGAAGGTCCTTGCTTCCCCTTGCCTTCTACCATAATTGTAAGTTTCCTGAGGCCTCCCCAGCCATGGCTAACTGTGAGTCAATTAAATCTCTTTCTTTTATAAATTTTCCAGTCTCAGGTAGTATCTTTATAGCGGTGTGAGAACGGACTAATAGAATTAGCTATATGAATATAAGTTGTTATTGTTAGCAGAAAACGTTCTTGGATCTAGTGCAGAAAGGAATTCAAGGCAAATTGCAAAGTACAGTGAGAAGCAATTGAGCTTTATTGAAAGCTCCTCCATTACAGAGTAGGGCGTCCTCAGAAAGCAAGTGGAGGAATGCACCGTCTTTGTTTCAAGTTTTTCTTATGTACGGATCTTGTCTACGTAAAGGTAAACTAAGCTGTAACTATGTGTAGGTGGGCTGACAGCATGACAACATTTATCATTTTGTTGATTTAAAGAAAACTATTTCTGACATTTTAATGTGTAAATACATCAAAGCATAACTATAATTATCCTGAAAGCATATATTGTTATGAGTATTGGGACATCTGGACTTTCTGTTGTTGGAGTTTATCCTTGTAGGTATCTTTAAATTGTTTCCTGAGTTGTAAATATCTTATAACCATGTGACTGGCAATAAATGTGCCTTGCTAGTTTTGAGGTGGAGTTGATTTTAAAATGGTGTCAACTCTGGCTCTCCTAGGCTCCTGCATCCCTGACATTATTGCTATTAGGATGATGATTTATTGACTCTTCTGTGAAAGAAAAAGTTTGAAAATAGCACATTTTCAGAACACAGCATATTGCTCTGTTGGCACTTTGGAAATGCTTGCTTACTTGCATTTTTAAACATGTCACTTAAGGCTGGGCACAGTGGTTCACACCTGTAATCCCAGCACTTTGAGGGGCCCAGGCAGGCGGATCACCCGAGGTCAGGAGTTCAAGACCAGCCTGGCCAACACGATGAAACCCCGTCTCTACTAAAAATACAAAAATTAGCTGGGCATGGTGGTGCACACCTGTAGTCTCAGCTACTTGGGAGGCTGAGGCAGGAGAATCACTTGGACCTGGGAGGCAGAGGTTGCAGTGAGCTGAGATCGCACCAGTGCACTCCAACCTGGGCAACAGAGCAAGACTCCATCTCAAAAAATTAAATAAATAAATAAATAACTTAAAACTTTCACCTGAAAAGGGTTTTGTATTAAAAAATAGTTTCTCTGTGGCATCAGGTTTAAGGGAGAGTCTCTAGAATTCTTCTCCTATGTGACAATGACAATGTAATCCTCACAATTAAAGGCCATGATAAATTACAAGTAGGTGATTTCCCCTTCCAGGCACTTTGATATTTCACCCTTTTCAGAGCTAAGGAGAGGTCAGATAAAATAGGCCAACAGTATGGTCTGCATCAGATCACTACTTTGCAGTAATTTTATTGTGCAAATGCCTCATCTGACACCAGATCTCCATCTTTATTAACATTTAGTTTGAATTCCTGGAAGGAAAAATCAATAATAGCAAATGCCCCTGTTTTAGCACAGCCATCAGAGTTCCATCAGTCAAATGAATGTGTAGGAAAATCATCTTGGTATCAGTGGGCAATGATCTTATTAAACTATTGCACAAGGGGAAGCTGAATATTACATAGAAAGCAAATACCAGCGCCACCAAAATCTGTCCTTTGTCACAGCCATGTTTGAAATAAAGAAACAACCAGCAAAGACTTCAACCTATTAATAGTAACTGTTTTGATTGGCTGTTTCAGTAGGGATATAGGTAGTATTTTCTATCTGCAGTTTATTTGTGTCTCTATACAAAAGTGAAAACATCTATCACTGAATAATAAAGAATCATAACTGAGTAGTATTATCGACCTACTGAAAAAGTATGAGGTGATAATTGATTTTTCAGCTAGGTCATTCTGTGA
The DNA here is from genome assembly GCF_000001405.40 of Homo sapiens. NCBI lineage: Eukaryota > Metazoa > Chordata > Mammalia > Primates > Hominidae > Homo > Homo sapiens. The sequence goes on from NC_000018.10 coordinate 54,756,170, forward strand.
AACATGACCTCCATTGTACAAAAATCAACAGGAAAGATGAAGGAATTACCCAAAAGTTTGCCTGTTCTGTACCAGTGATATTTCCTTAGGTAACAGAAGGACAATGTGAAAGTACTAATTTACATTTCCTTGGAATCATTGCCACCATTTCAGTTGAAACTGGAAGCATTTCCTTTCTATTCCACATTGTACTTAATTAGGTCTCCCACATTATTTAAAGAGCTCAACATTGATATCCTGACTATAGGTTCGATTCTTCCTGCCCCTAAAATACTGCTTTTCTACCATGTTTTTTTTCCTCCAGCCTTCTTTAGCCCCTAGGAACTTACCATACTGTTATTCAGAGCTACCAATTCAATGTGGAGAGTATAGTAATACTACAGCTGTAGTATTCTGAAGAATACCACAGAGCTGGTGTTGATGAACAGGAGCCTACTGTGCTGTCTTCTGGACTTGGATGTATTTATGAGTCTGGGCAGGGCTAGCAACAAGCCAGACTTTGATGTATATTTGTCTGGTTTACCTTAGTACTGTACCAGATATTTATGTTAAATGAATATGGATGAATGGGTAGAAGAAGGCATGAAGCATGAAGGTGACAGATACAGGAATACATTACTAAGGTCAGTTGAGAAACTTCATTTGACTTAAAAGATGATGAATTTCTGTACCTATCATCATAGTACTCATCAGGTTCTTCCTTTATATCTAACTAAAGTTTCATATTTCATCTTAGTTAAAAATGTATAGGGTAATCTTCATGGAAACAGATCAACCAAAGCTATTCCACTTGGCAAACAAGTGGTATGGGGTTCAGATAGTATGACACCTGCAATGATCGCTAGAGGTCTGGATAGAGCCAGGACACAAATGTTCAGAGATCCATTAGGCTCAAGGTTGCTGGTCAATGAGAGATGGAGACCAGTGGTCCTGGTTTCAGAGCAGGAGTAGGCCAAAGTCTCAATTAGGAGACAGACCCAGATATTAGCATGCCAAGCATAAGCAGAAAAGGAAAGTGTACAGGTAACAACCATTTAAAAGGACATCAGAGTCAGACAGAATAGGGGACCCTGGGAGCCCATGGATTCCCAAGCCAGTATCAAAGAAAGTCAGGATCAAAATGCAGAGATAAAATTTGAGCTCTTGAGGGCTCAGGAAAAAAGCTATTGCTCTAACATCAGAGTGGCTCTAACCTCTGCTGGATGTCTGTTGGACATCAATTAGAAGACTATTTCCTTCTAAACTTCGCAATTATCATACCTTTTGACTATAAACTATTTCATCTTAATTTGAGAAACAACAATTGCATAATAGTAACAAAGATGGTGTGAAATTAAATCAACTCTTTCATGAGAAAGCTGTTGATATCTAATTTTATTTACAACCTCTTGTATATATAATGAATTGTTATATGTGTTCACTAAGAACTGAATATGAACAAATTTGTATAAATTATAAAAGGGACAATGTAATTTATCTCTAAGGACCAATTTGATAAAATTGGGACAAAAAAGATTACTTATTTTTCTTTGTAAACACTGAACAAGATAGTTCTAGTTGAGATCATTCTAGTACAGGACAATAATAGGTTTTATGGGACTTGAAGTTTGTAAAATTTGAGAAAGCCTCTTTGATTTAATTATAATATAATTAATTATAAATACAAAATTAGGTATGAAAACAATCTTTCCAAATGACAAAAATCCCAGAAATTACAAATTCTTTTAAAAATTGACAAATACAAAAAAATCACAAAATCTAGAAATATTTTTATTAGTAAATTATCTGGCATGCCTCTACAATACTTGCTTTTCTTTTTTTGAGATGGAGTTTCACTCTTGTTGCCTAGGCTGGAGTGCAGTGGTGCGCTCTCGGCTCTGTTGAGTATTAGGTGTAAGATCAATGCTGTGCTTTGTAACCTAGGTTTTTTTTAAGCCTGTATTTTCTAGACAATGTGTTGCCCTCTGTTAGATAATAACCAAGTGTTTTTCAATTCAATATCTAGGTAGAGGTATGACAATTAAGATTGTTGTCAATTCCCTGGTCATTTGATGCAGACACTGCCTTCACTGTAATTTAAAAAAATATTCAGTAACTTCTCATTCATTCCATTCAATGTACTTAATACTTACCTGAGCCATTATGTTTAGGGCATTGTGTTAGTAACTGTGGATGATATGAAGAAAGGCCGTAGAAAGGTTTTTCCTTTGAAGAACTGACAGTCTCAATTAAAGAGATTAAACTAGCATCCAAATAAATGCAGTACAAAATTTAATAAGAGAAATACCCAAAGTGTGTTTTAAACAAAATGTTAAGAGGATACAAAAGGTAGAAAAATATATCAGGTTTGGGAGAAATCAGGAAAGACTTCATGTATGAAGGATCATCAGAGATGGCTTTTAAAGGTTGTGCAGTTGGTAGACAATGATGTCTCTCTCTCCAGCTTGCAAGCGACCAAAAACAATTAAAAAAAAAAAAAAAGGAACAACGACAGAGCTAAGAGACCCTACCAGACTTTAATACCAAGTTTTGCCAGGAATTCTGAATGAATAACTTGCTCTCAGAAAACCTCCCTGAAATGAAGGCATTCGATGGTGATTCTAATGAGCTCTGTAGTATGCTGAAGTGGGAGCAAATGCCAGACCAACAAACAGGAGACTGGGTGTCTTGTCCCTGAGCAATCACTAATTAGCTTTGAGTCATTTAACTTGCACAATCCTGGGCCTCATTTAAAATGAGGTTGAGGGATCAGAAGACTTCAAACGTCTCTCTATAGCTCTGAAATTGTATAATTAGCACAAACTCAACCCCAATTTCTATTATTATATTCTTACAAGAAGTAAAGAAACATTTCCTTTTAATTTTTCAAAGTTTTGTATTCTATCAGTGAGAAACACAGTAGAACACACAGTATTTGGTCAATAAGCACATGTTGAATCACTACTAGTGTCAAGAAATACAGCCTGCAAAGTGGAAGTCACTAACTGGTACTGAGAAAGTTAGTACCATCATTGTCTACCAACTGCACAACCTTTAAAAGCCATCTCTGATGATCCTTCATACATGAAGTCTTTCCTGATTTCTCCCAAACCTGATATATTTTTCTACCTTTTGTATCCTCTTAACATTTTGTTTAAAACACACTTTGGGTATTTCTCTTATTAAATTTTGTACTGCATTTATTTGGATGCTAGTTTAATCTCTTTAATTGAGACTGTCAGTTCTTCAGAAAACCTCCCTCAAATGAAGGCATTCGATGGTGATTCTAATGAGCTCTGTAGTATGCTGAAGTGGGAGCAAATGCCAGACCAACAAACAGGAGACTGGGTGTCTTGTGCCTGAGCAATCACTAATTAGCTCTGTGATACCGACAGAAGGCAGGGAAATACTGGGTAGAGGAGGGCAGTCCCTGGCGAGGGCCACACCCTCAAGCCTAAGACTGTGGCCTAAAGTGAGAATGTGCATTCCTGTTTTCCCATTCAAATGCGCTGTTTGGCCCACCCCTCCCCACCATCCTGTACCCATAAAAAGCCCAGGCTCTACTGGCAGAGGGGCAGCAGAGTGATAGGGAAGAAGAGAAGAGAAGCAGCAGCTGGGTGTTGGAGAGGAGCAGCCTGACTTCAGAGGTACAGCCTGATGGCTGGACTTCAGAGAAGAGTCCAGCCAGGGACAGCCGTTTAGCCAGTGGAAGACCACCTTCCCACTCCATCCCCTTTCCAGCTCCTTATACCACTGAGAGCCACTTTCATTGGCAATAAAATCCTCTGCATTTACCATCTTCAATTTGTTCCTGCAACCTGATTCTTCCTGGACACCAAACAAGAGCTCGGGATACAGAGGACTGTCAAACCGAGCTGTTAAATACATAAGCCATATGCAGACAGCAAAGCTAAAAGAGCACACTGTAACACACACCCTCTGGGACTCTGGAGGTTGTGGATACCCCCCAGAAGCTGCCGTGGGGGCCACACAAAGTTCTACTCCTGCCGGTGACCAGAAGCACTCATCCCAGCCCCTGCACCCACTTACCTATGATCTCCCCATCCTGTGAGGTGTTGAGAGTTGGGGGCTGAGTAAATGTGCCATCCCCTTAGCAAGTCCTGTGAAAGGGTCAAGGGAACCATCTCACTTCAGATGTAAATTCAGAGGGATAGGAATACAAAGATAACTAGGAATGCTGAGTGAAATATACTACATATCTAGGTAGAGGATGTAGGGGAGGGAGGTGGGGATGTAGCTTATAGACAACTTGAAATTTTATTCTGAGTGAGGTGAAATGCTATGAAGGGTTTTATATACATAATTTAGGAAATACATAATTTAAAGTTTTGAAAATATCATTTTGGGAGCTAATAGTCCTTAGGGGTCAAGGATGGAAGCAGGGAGGCAGGAGGCCATTGCTTTAGTCCAGGCAACAGATGATGACTTGAACTTGGACATGGCAGGACTATAAACATCTTAGTGAAAGGAGAAAAGTGTGATGTGCAAATTGATGCTACAGGGTAACGTAACACAGAGAAGAGGTGAGATTCAAACCAGATCATGAAAAGGGGAAGAACTTTAAGTGGGCAGGATGGCAATTCTCTTCAGGCAGAGCTCAAGAGGCAACAATGAGGATGCCATGTTTGGTGGGACATGGAGTAGCTGTACCTGAAGCCCTGGATTCTCTCATGGAAGGGAGATAAAGCATTACAGCTAGATGAAAGGTCTTTGAATAATACTCTTAGGAAATGGGAGAATATTCTTTAGATCATATATAGGAAGAGATCATTGTTGAATCAATGGGAAAGGTCTATGGAGGGGCAACTGTTAAAGGAGAGGTATTCTTTTTTTTTTTTTTTAACTGAATATCAAGATATTTGCTTGAGAATCTGATATCACAAATGGGATAATTTATAGTATTTCATTTCCTTCATTCTCCCTGCATGCCCTGTCTCTCAGAAGTTATAATTTGGGAAGTAAATCAAGATTTCAGCTTAAATTGATACCAGAGCACTCAGAAGTTCATACTGAGCCCCATTGTAGTTTTTCAGGCTGAGCTCAACTCCTTAGACTCTTTAAGATGTAAGTCTTTGCTTTCCTTTTAGATAGGTGAGATCAGTTTCCTTCCCTAAAAAGAAATATTTTCACTCAAATAGATAGAGTGAATCAAAATATAGAGTTGTTACAGTCCTAAAGTTTGCATGAGAAATTCAACACATTTATTCATCTCTGCCACATAAATGCATTTCCTATCTTCAGTACAATTTATCTTCAAAACTTTGCTCTATTTGAATTGCAACAAAATATACTAAGCTATGGGTATTTTTAATAGAAAATACCAAACAGTAAAACAGGAAATGTTACCCTACTTCCCTGCTTACATACAACAGTTATAAACCTTCATCTCAGTTTATCCTCTTTTCACAACAGACCCAAGTAGGCAATAACAATCACTGGGCTGCCACATAGCCCTTTCTCTTCCAAAAACCAATGCTTCTCTTATTTCTAAAGTAGTGAAGAAGAAAAACTCAAGAGGCAATAATCCAATGTGTCAATAAATCTCATTGGCTCTATTTAAAAATCTAAAATAGAAGCACTTGTGTGTTACCAGACGATGCCTCTGATGGATTGTTGATATCTGAATGGCCTCTTAACTGCTCTGGCTGCTTCACCCTTATTCCCTGTAGCAGATTGACTAGTGTCCCTCCAAAATCCATGCCCACCCAGAGTCTCCTAATGTGACTTTATTTGGGATTAAGTCTTTACAGATGTAATTAGGGTAAGAATTGAGATGAGATCCTAATGGATTAGGATGGGCTCCAAATCCAGTGGCAGTGTCCTTATAAGAGACAGAAAAAGAGAAGATACAGAAACACAGCAAAGAAGGAGATGTGAAGACAGAGACAGAGATTGGAGTAATGCGTCTACAAGCCAAGGAACAACAGAAATTGGCAGCGTAAGATAGATTCTCCCTATGAACCTCCTCAAGAATATCCCTGTTGACCTCTTGATTTCACACTTCCGATAATTCTGTAGTTTTGTTTTGTTTTGTTTTTTAGATGGAGTCTTGCTCTGTTGCCTAGGCTGGAGTGCAGTGGCACCATCTTGGCTCACTGCAACCTCCACCTCCTGAGTGCAAGCAATTATCCTGCCTCAGCCTCCTGAGTAGCTGGGATTACAGAAGTGTGCCACCAAGCCTGGCTAATTTTTGAATTTTTAGTAGAGACGAGGTTTCACCGTGTTGGCCAGGAAATTCTGTAGCTTTAAGCCATCCAGTTGGTTGTAATTTTCTACGGCAGCCCTGGGAAATGAATACACTCCCCCATAGTCTAACTTTATTTCCTCCTACTCCCGCTCTTGTTCACTCTGCCACATTGTGCACTTTGCAATAAGTTAGGCAATCCAAAGCACAATCCTGACTTGAGCCTTGACACTTGCTATTTCCTCTCTTGGGAGTATCTTTCCTTCAGATGTGTGCTAGGCTTTCTCAGTAACGTCTTTAACATTCTGAAAGATTACTTGTCTCTGAGGTCTTCCCTGGTGATCTAATTGAAAAAATCACATACCTTCCTCCTCCCCAACACACCGGGCCCCACTCCTTATCTGTCTTCCCTGCTTTATTATTCTTCTCAGTACCTACGACTCAGACAAATATTTTACTCCTCCATTCGCATATTACAGCTCCTTCCTCCAGTTTGCAGGCTCTGTGGCCAGGGATTTTTACTCTTTTGCTTGCTCCTATATCCCTCACACCTGGGGGGTTCAGTGTGTGTCACAATGAGTGTACCCAGGCATAAAGGAATAAATGTGTAAATTAAAGAAATTTATTTTCCTTCAAATTTATTTTTACTTAATGCATTCATTCATTCATCAAATATTTATTGAGTCTCTAAGCTCAAGGCTTTGATGAATATTAGGGTTTTTTAAAGCAACGCTTAAAGTTTTAAGTTTTCTGAAGGCAAGGAAAACTTTCAGGAAACTTATAACTTCAAAGAGTAAATAAATAATATAGACAAAAAGCAGTAAGGGAGGGTAAGGGAAAGCAATCTAAAGTGAGAGTATTATGGTTCACATACTGTGCTGGTATTTTTAGTGTTTGAAATATTTTAATGTATGTTAATAAATTCATCATTTTATATATATGTCTATGTGTTTGTTTATTTATTTATTTATTTATTTATTTTTGAGAAGTCACAATACAGACCAATGAAGGACAAGCTCCTTCCAAAACCATAAATTGCTATAGAGCCCAGGGAGGGAGAGGCCATTTCAGACCAAGTTGTTGCTTTTTGGAGGAGGTGGTATTTAAGCAAAGCTATGATGGGTTGCATGATTTTGGTAGGTGGAGATTATCAGTACATGCTCCAGGGATAGCAAATAAGATCATGGATGTAACAGATGTGCACTGTGTCCAGGTTTAGTGGGAGAGAAGCCTGGAAATACAGGCTGAAATATTCTGCCTATGGTACGATGTGAAGTGGATTCCTCTAGTTCTGTTCGAAGGAGAGAGAAACGGGTAGGAAGAGTCTCTGCCATTTGAATGTATTTGAAAAACTTTATGACTCAGGTTTTTATCCTTAAATCCCTGTGCCTTACTTGTTTCTCCTCCCCTGGGCACATCCATTTTAAGTACTAAAGTCCCACACTCAATTCAGGACTCCAGCAAGTGTCTGGTCTCAGTAGAAAATGGCAAATCGGATGAATGAGAGATATGATGGAGCCTGGTTTTCAACTCTTGGTTTTGCTAAGGGAAGAAGTATTGAGAAGGGGAAACTTTCTAAGTTCTCTTTCCCTGGTTATCTGTGGAATTTGTCACCTCTAATCAAGCCATCTCTCTGCTAGCTCTGACATCTGAACATTGCTCTTTCTCATGCACACATTTCTTTTCAGGAGACTATTCTCTGTCTTGCCCATTATATATACTTATGAAGCAGTAGTTATTGATTTTTATTTACTGCAGCTTGTTTATGGATACCTCTTTCTTCCTCCTAGCTTTCCCTAGATGTCATTGACCCTGTGTTTACCATCTTTGCATTGCCTCATTGTGTCACAGAGCCAAGCACAGACCAGACACCTAATGAACACCCATCGAACTGGGCTAATTTCTCAAGGAATAAGTATTGTTTTGCTACTTCAACTCTCATATCCATATGGGTAAATTTCAACACTCTATCTCTGACCAGACTTTGTAATTCAATTCTGTATCTCCTGAAATGCAATATTGTAAATATTGTAGGAATTAAAGTCTTAGCCATACTCCATGTTGAGTGTGTGTATTTTAAAGCAAATACCTGATATCTCTGCCACTCACTTTTCTCGTCTGCACAATGGGAATGATAATAATCATATCCATATCTCATTTGGGAAATAGGCTAAGATGGGAGAGTAGCTCTTTGAGTAGTTGTCCCTTCCCTATGCCACCGTTAGGTGACAGAACATCTCCCTTTGGATATTTGTCATTATTTCCCAACACAGAATCCCTCCACCAATCCTATTCTCTCTTAGAATTTTCCTTTCTCTGTGACTGACACTACAACTATCTTAGGTCTAAACTTGGATGTTGTTTTTCCATTGTCCCTTTTATTTCATTGTTCCTCAGGCTTATTGATTCTTCTTTCAAAATGCATTTCAAATTTATCTACTCCAGGGAAGGTGTTTGTCCTAAACTCCAAACTTTGTCTTCTAACTGCCGCATGCTGTCTGTGGCATCTCACAATTGAACTCCCACCAAACATCACCAATCAGAAATGGTTTTGAAAAAGACTGCTTGTGTCATTTTACTTCCCAAGCAGAAATCCTCCAGTTCTTATCCACTGTGCTTCTTTTATTCACAATCATTTGTTATTTTAATTAACCAACATTTTTAAAATTCCCGTTTCATGCCCAGGCAGGTTGCAAGATGCTAGGGATGAAAAGGAAAAACAAAACAAAAAAAAACAAAAAAACAAACAAGCAAAAAAAACCAAAAAGAAAACCACATGACTTTGGGAAGATTCTGGAGTTCTCATTAGCATAACGATTTTTACATTCTGCTTAAATTCCCCCAATTCAGTCTTTATTTTGCTCCTGGCTTCAAATGATCCTTCTACCTCAGCCTCCCAAAATGCTAGGATTGCAGGTGTGAGCCACTGTGCCCAGCCCCTCTCTGATCTTAATTTCCCATTCCCTGGAGCCCAGTGCTCACCCTCACTCCTGTCCCAGACACCCTAAGTTCTATATTCCCAAGAATAACATGTTTCATTCCATTTGACTTCAAGATATTGTTCGTGCTGTTCCCTAACCCAGAATGTCCTTCATTTGTTAAGCAAATATGCATTGGTCAACCTTGTGCCAGGCACTTTGATTTCTATATGTCCTTCAGGATCTAATTTAAAATTTGCTTTGTTCCAGTTAAGCTCAAATTGAAAATCCCAATGCCTTCATTTGTACCTTATGGAGACACTGGACACTGAATTATTTACTGCCTTAGGGTTTTGCTTACTTGTTGCATGTCTTGTTTATACCTAATACAATTATAAACTCAAGAAATCTAGAGTCATTTTTAACTTCTTATATCTCCTTCTTCCTTTCCTTTCCCCATACCCACTTCAACCACACAATTAGCTGCCTACAGGAAACATTTTGTAAATTCTTTTTAGTAAAACAAAGTATTGAAGGAGGAGATATTTGCCCACACCCCATTGCTCACTGTGATAAGGCAACTTACTAATGTTTGTTTTGTGGGAGATTAGTTGTTTCAGAAACTTAGGTACACACAAGGGCTTTCACATTCAAATATGTTTGGGAAATTATGAGTTAATTAAAGTTAAACCAGTTTGTTTACAGCAGGACATTAATTTCTTCTAGAAGAAATTATAGATTTCCAAATTTATTTTGAAAACACCAACTTTTTGGCGAAGACACATTTTTAGAATGAATGGTCAACAATCACACGTCCAGAATTGCCTGAGAATTCCTGGAGTTCAGTCTTAGATTTGTAATTGTTACATGGAATAACACATGGCTTTCTTCCATCTTACCACTTCATCATCTTCATGGTAGACCCTCCAGAAATAATCAAAAGCAGGAAATAATAGAAACAAATATAAAGCAAAGTCAACAGGAAACACAGTAAATGGAGTCATTATGGATTAATGAAAGGACAGTCATGGCCCTGTAAATCGAAGCTAAAGAAGTTGTTTTGCAGTTGAGTAGAAGCAGGCAGGCATATGCAAAGAGCACCAGGTTAGGATTTGGGAGACCTGGGTTTCATTTCTGGCTTTGCCTTCGGTTGCCTTAAAATTTGAGCAGATCATTGAATGTCTCCACATCTCCTTTTTGTTTTTGTTTTTTTTTAAGTTTTTTTGTTTTTTGTTTTGGTGTGTTTTCCCATTTATTTAATGAAGAGATTAGATTAAATACGTGCTAAAATACCTCCTAGATCTAATGTTTATGTTTCTGCAATGCAGATTCTTAACATTTTAGTCGGGCTTCACCTCTGCATACCAATCTGTGAAATATGCCTAAAGACATAGGCGTAGTGTATGAAATATTAGAAATCTATGGTGAGGAACTCCTGAAAATGACTGGTTGATGTTGCATACCCCTCTGGTAGTTTATGTGCTGGTTCCCCAGAGATAATGAACTCAGGTTGTTAGTTGTGAAATGTCATTTCTGTTATTCATTCTGAAGTGAGGAAACAATGGCTGCCTAGGGAATTTTTAATGTGAGGTATGGAGCTAAGTCATCACTAATGCATTGTAATGTGACTTTTCTAATGGAGCCTTGTGGAAGATTATGACTGGTTCAGTTTTGCCTCTTCTTTAAATTGTGCCAAATGACAAGAATGCAGGCATTTGGCCAAAGCTGACCAGGAACTTTTGAGGACCATCCAATTCACTAAGTTTGTGATTGATCACAAATTTGAGTTCTAAACACATAGGGAAGAAGGTGGGGAAACTTTAGTCAATTACAGGTTTTACCACGCTGGGAACCAAAGATTTTCCTTTCTTTTATCTTGCATTTTAAACAGATTGCTTACAGGAATGAAACACCCAAATACTTTCTCCATTTGCTCTCCTAAATGTTTGCTCTAATACTCCTAAAACAGGTTTTTGCTTGGGTAAATAACATGGAAAGGCAAATAACTCCACATACAACTGTTTACCCAGTGGCTCATGCCAGTGTGTGGTGGGCAGTATTGATTTTTCTGGAGTTATACAGCTCTTCTAACTAAGATGGTTAAAGGTCATAGTATAGTTATCAGGTGAGGTAATGGTCATGAGGGTATTTAATTGCCATAGTTATTCAACTGTGTATTTTTGAGATACCACCAGTAGATGGTGATTAATTAGTGGCTCTTTTTAAAAACAAGATACAACTGAAAATAATATAGGAAAGAACTCTTTGTATCAAGGTGTTCATAAACACAATTAGAAAATCACTGCCCTTTTGTGTTTTAGATGATGATCGTGAATAATAGTATGAAGTCAATGATGTTGATTATCTTCAGTGTTTATCTTATTTAATATACACTTATTTCATTCCATGTGGTCTGTCCACAACCAGCTGAATTCAGACCTTGATTATTTTGCCTGTTTCCCACAATTCACACAAAATAAGCATAAATGCCACCCTTGGCACATGGAATGCTGCAATAATTGTATGACTGAGTTCTGCTTATTGTGTGGACTCAATGAAGTCAGCCTATCTCCAGCAAGTAATCAGATTGTAAAGGGATGTTTGTTCCATAAAGTTGCCTAGAATCATCTCAGGGAGTGCTTGTGTTGGAGGAGGTGGTGGGAAAATTAAATAATGATCAGGGATATAGTAATAAATAAGAGATAGTCCCTTCTTCCAAGAATCTCCGGCTAATAGAGACTTGGAGAGGAAAGATGGGGAAAGCAATAATTACAGTACTGTCTAGTAGGGGCCAATGCAGAGGAGAGACAAGGAAGATGTGGGGGGAGTGGATGGATACCTGGAGGAGGTAAAACTTGGGCTCGAATTTGTGGGATGAGTGGAAATTTATTAGGTAATTAAAGAGGGAATCTTTTCAGATATAACAGCAAATCAAAAAGAGGGGATTAGAGAATGAGGTGTGTTACGGGAACACAAAAATGTTCCTATGGATAAAGCACAAAGGTGTTTGTAAAATGTAGCGATATGTGGCTTGTGGCTGGAAGCAGCAATATGTGGCAATGGCTGCATGGTGAAAGGTATTGAATGGCAAACAAATTTTAATTTAAAAAAATCATTGTTTGAAGGTACCGAACAGCCATTGGTAACTTGCAACTTTTTTTCCTACTCTTTATGTATAGATACATAATTTTCATATGTACTAAAAGTGGTCATATGCAGGCTTTCCTTATTTGATTCCACCTTTGCCTCTTTATTGTCATCACTAAACTACCTTCTCAAGGTAATCAATGTCAGCAATCTAACTCTCATGTTTTTCTCAGGATTTATTATCTTTTCTCACACTGCCATGAATAAATAGCTGAGACTGGGTAATTTATCAAGGAAAGAGGTTTAATTGACTCACAGTTCTGCATTGCTGGGGAGGCCTCAGAAAACTTAAAATCATGGTGGAAGGTAAAGGAGAAGCAGGCACCTTTGTCACAGGGTACCAGGACGAAGTGAGTACAACGGGGGAAATGACAGACACTTATAAAACAGTCACATCTCATGAGAACTCACTCACTATCATGAGGACAGCATGGGGAAACTGCCCCCATGATCCAATTAACTCCACCTGGTCCTGCCCTTGACATGTAGGGATTATGGGGATTACAATTCGAGGTGAGGGTTGGGTGGGGACACAGAGCCAAACCATATCATTCCACCAGGCCACTCCCAAATCTCATGTCCTTCTCACATTCCAAAACCAATCATGCCTTCCCAAAAGTCCCCCAAAGTCTTAACTCATTGCAGCATTAACTCAAAAGTCCACAGTCCATAGTCTCATCTGAGACAAGGCAAGTCTCTTCTGTTTATGAGCCTTTATAATCAAAGCAAGTTAGTTACTTCCAAGATACAATGGAGGTACAGGCCTTGGATAAATAAACCCATTCCAAATAGGATAAATTGGCCAAAAGAAAGGAGCTACAGGCCCCATGCAAGTCAGAAATCCAATAGGGTAATCCTTAAAGTTCCAAAATAATTTCCTTTGACTCCACGTCTCACCTCTGTCTGGGGCAGTCCACTGTGTGTAAAATGCCATCTGATGATTACATAAGAACATCTTTTTTAAAGTATATTTCTTCACCATTTCAATTTGATCTTCTAGAAATAGCCTCTTTTATTGTTTGTCCATCTTGTTTTTTTGTTGTTGTTGTTGTTGTTAATTTTTGAGAGCTCTTTTCTATCCTCTGCAACAGTAATATTTATTCAAAGTCTATGATTTGGTCTATTGGTTTTGTTAGCAGCATATTTTCCCATACAAAAGATCTAACTTTATCTGATATCTTTTTGTTTACACTATTAGGGTTTCCAGTTGTGGTTAAGAAGGACTTCCATGTGATTGCTTAGATATTCTTGCAATATTTTAAGGTTTTATATACATGATTAAGTTTCTAATCCATGTGGTATTTGTTTTTGTACTATATAATGTAAATCAGCAGTCTGATTTCATTTTTTTTCTAGTTAAGTAGTCCCTTGGACCAACACTATTTACTTAATAAACCACATTTTTCTCCACTGAATTTAAATACAACTGTTATCATATGCTAAGTTCTTCTTCTTTTATTTTTTATTTTTTGCTTGAGACAAAGTCTTGCTGTCTCCCAGGCTGGATTGTGCAATCTTGGCTCAATGCAACCTCAGCTTCTTGGGTTCAAGTGATTCTCCTGCCTCAGCCTCCTGAGTAACTGGGATTACACGTGTGCACCACTATGCCTGGCTAATTTTTTGTATTTTTAGTAGAGACTGGTCTCAAACTCCCAACCTTAAGTGATCCACCTACCTTGGCCTCCCAAAGTTCTGGAATTACACGTGTGAGCCACCACACCCAGCCATCATACAGTAAGTTCTATGTTCTAAGACAGGGGTTGCCAACACCTGGGACATGGACTGCTACTGGTCTATGGCCTGTTAGGAACAGGGCCACATAGCAGGAGGTGAGTGGAGGTGAATGAGCAAAGCTTCTTCTGTGTTTACAGCCACTCCCTGTAACTTGCATTACCGCCCAAGCTCCACCTCCTGTCTGATTGGCAGCGGCATTAGATTCTCATAGGATCATGAACCCTATTGTGAACTATGCATTTGAGGGATCTAAGTGTGTACTCCTTATGATAATCTAATGCCTGATGATCTGTCACTGTCTCCCATCACCCCCCAGATGGGACCATCTAGTTGCAGAACAAGCTGAGGGCTCCTACTGATTCTACATTATGGTGAGTTGTATAATTATTTCATTATCTAGTGCAATGTAATAATAATCGAAACAAAGTGCACAATAAATGTAATGGACTTGAGTCATCCCAAAACCACCCCCCAACCAACATGGAAAAATTGTCTTCCACAAAACCAGTCCATGGTGCCAAAAATTTCGGGGACCGCTACTCTTTGATCTATTTCTAGTCTCAGTTCTGTTTCTTTGATCTTTTTTTTTTCCTATTGCTATACCACGTTGTTTAATAGCAGACGTATAGTACTTTCTAGTATTAGATAAGGCATATCCCTTTCTGTTTTTCAACATTTTCTGCAGGTCTTTTTATTCCATTATAAACACCAGCATCATTTGATTCAATTCAAAAAATCTTTTTGGGGTTCGAATTAGAAATGCATTATATTTATATGTTAATTCTAGGAGCAGAGACACTAGTTTTTCTCATTTAGGTTCTGTCCCTTTCTTGTTAAACTGGAGGGTCTTCAGGAGTGGCTAGACATGAACAGATGTGTATTTTGAAGGCTCCATGCAGTATGAGGATGGAAGATGGATTAGACTGCAGTAAGATGGGGTGAGCAAGAGAGACCAATGTGTATTTTTTGCCACTATCCAGAAAATGCTGACTTCTGGCTAAGGCAGTGACAGTCAGTTTGGCCAAGAAGGCACTGAAAGAAGAGTCATTTTATAGATAAAATGAACACTAATTGGTTTTCATAAACAGTTTTATTGAAGCATTGATATAAAAAAACTGCACATGTTTAATGTATACAATTTGGTGAATTTGCAATAACATGAGTTTGTAACAGAACTTGTGTGGAAGTTGAAGGATACGGAAGAGTCTAATGTCTCAGGGTCTTGGCTAGATTGCGACTGGACTCATATCTGTGCCATTCATGATGAGAAGTCGAAGTGAGGTAAACATTTCTAAGGGTAGAGCAACAACGAGCCCAACACTGGACACATTCATTTTGAATTGCCTAATAATAGATGGCAATTTGGAAATCTGGAGCTGAGGCAAGAAATCAAAGTTGGAAGTACAAAATGGTATTATGGTGATAGAGCTGATAGTTTAGTGTGTGTGTGTGTGTGTGTGTGTGTGTGTGTGTGTGTGTGTGTGTGATGGCTCTAAAAAGACTTTGTAAAGTAAGAAAAAAGTTCATCAAAAGAACTCCTTCACATTCTCTTTAAAAACTCACATTTGACTTCATGAGTGGCAAGGTAGTAGGGGATATTTCTACTTATAAAGAAGCCAGGCTGAGGAGAAATCTTCACTCAGTTTTTCCAAAATCATTAGAAGAAAGGACTAAAACCCAAGCAGCCTTGGATACTGTGATCTGAAGACCCCAAGCAAGAATGAGGATTTGTTTTATTTATGATGTTGGCAAAGCCTACTCACTACTTTAGGCAGTTAAGAGAAAAATATATCATCTCTATTACTTAATGGAATAAAGAGTTTCACATTTGAACACATTGACTCACACACATTCAACCTACACAAACACACTGGTTTACTGAAAAGCTCCTCTTTAATTTCTTCATGTTGCTTTTGCTTTTTGGTGAGCTGCCATGTTTATTTCTAATGATGAGTTTCTTTAGGGAATGTGTCTCGTCACCTCTAGTGACAATATTATCAGTATAGTCACATAGAGGTCCTGGATAGGGACTGCTTTGTTAAATGACATTTGGCAACTGCCTGATGAGGTTTAGCCAATTTCCATGCCAGATATTTAGTAACATAATGTATCATGGGTTAGATGCCAATGGTTCTTGGACCATTTCCTCTCTGTGCTTACATGCTATGGACCCAGGGGGTGACTAACAAAGTGGCACACTTTATTCATCTGTGAATAACAGCATGTGCAAATGAAGACTGGGAATTAGAGCTCTCCTGCCTCTTCTGGAGAAAAGAGAATGTTGTGGTGGCTCATCCTTAATTCTGTATTGGCCTCTAGGCTTATCCATGTTGATTGTTCCTACGATTCCACACAGCAATTTGAATCAAAATGTGAGATCTTTCGTTTTAATCGTTATATGCAGCCAAATTTCAAATAGACATCCAGTGTGAAAACAAGAGACATTTTGCCTTTAACTAGTTACGTTGACTTAAGACAGTTAAAATCCTTACTCCAAACTCAGTCTCTTTTATTAATTATTTAAAAAACCCTTAAGATGTTATATTTAATATTGAATCTCTTGCATAATCAATACTATAAGCCATGCTTCTTATTCATTCACTTATTTAACAAGTTTTCATTAGGGATATGCTTGGTATAATCATCAGGCTAGGTATGGTGATTATACCTACCTTGTATATTGCATTGCATGCTGTCCTTCATGGTTTCATCTGTTTCCTCCTTTCTTTGTACAACTTTCCCTTTGCCATCTGGAAGAATAATATCAATTTGCTTCAGAATTTAATTCGGTGCTCCTTTCACACATTTCTTACTCCATGACTGTGTTTACATGCACTTTCAAATCCACTGTATTTTCAGAATGTTTTTAAAGCCATAGATCAATTGCCATGCCTATACTTCTTTTTTTTTTTAAATCTTCACCAATCCTTTTTTGGTTCATTTGGCAAAGGCCATCTCATATTTCTGTCCTGAATTTAATTAAATTGAGCAGACATTAGCTTTGAAATTTCATTTTCTAAAGCACTAAAGGAAATAAATGTTTTTAGAGTCAAGTAAATAGTTAGAGTGATCAAAATTTTCCTGTTACTAAGGTCATCATTCAATACAGGGATGCCCATTCTCTTCAAAGATGCTCTTGATGTACCTTCTAAATGGAAGCTCAGCAACCATGGCGTGCTGCCTTGGTGAAGGGGCTGTAGAGGCAGAGTGGCTGCACCAAGGGTAGAGATGAATTTGGCCTGGTTTTCCCAAAAGGAAACAGACCACAAAGCTTCTGCAAAGGAAAGGGACAGAGGTATTGCCATGGTCATGAACCTTAGTTTCATTCTATGATGCAGTATGATAGTCTTTACTCTTTCACTGTGAATTTTGTCACAGGTAGTCCTATCTTCCAAGCACATAACTCTGCGAGGCACTATCTTAGGTGTTATAGATACACACGAATAAGAAGGATTCTTTGCCATGAGGATTCACATTCTAGCAGAGGACAGAGAGACATAAAGCAAGAGACAATCTACTTTCTTTTTTTTTTTTTTCTTTTGAGACAGAGTCTCACTCTGTCACCCAGGCTGGAGTGCAGTGGCATCATCTCGGCTCACTGCAACCTCTGCCTTCCAGGTTCAAGCAATTCTCTGCCTCAGCCTCCCGAGTAGCTGGGATTACAGGCACCTGCCACCAGACCCGGCTAATTTTTGTATTTTAGTAGAGATGGGGTTTCATTATCTTCACCAAGGCCAGGCTGGTCTTGGACTCCTGACCTCATGATCCACCCGCCTCGGCCTCCCGAAGTGCTAGGATTACAGGCATGAGACATCGCGCCCGGCTGAGACAATCTACTTTCTACCACCAGAATAGGTTAGTTAATTTAACTAAATACAACTTCTATTTTTTTTCCTATTATTGTCTTCAAATAATAACCAGAGACGCCTTCAAGAAACTATGCAACTGAATAGCTAACACACACGGCATCCCTGCCAATTTGTACTCTCAACCAGCATTCTACTCTACCTCCTCCAACAAGTGATGGTAAGAGACAAAAAATCATGTATTACTATTCAGAAACAATTATAACCCTAGAAGGCTTGATTTTAATGTTGGGAAAATTTTCCAAAAATATTAGCATGTTAATAGGTAACTTATATTGAGTATCTATTCTGTGCCAGTCACTGAACCAAGCACTTTTGATGTGTAATCTCAATAATCCTTCCAACAACTTAAAGAAGGTACTATTATTTTTCCATTTTATAGGTAAGAAAACAGAAGCTCATAGAGATAAAGTAACTGACTCAGGTTACATGGTTTTCAGGGTAGAACCAGAATCCAAACACAGAGCATTTGACAGGCTTTGAAGCCAGTTCTCCTGACTACTGTTAAGAGAGCTTAACCTCTAGAATATCCTCATCCTCATTAAAAACTGGCAGTAAAAATGTAAGCAACTGATGATTGATGCTTATTGCATTTTAGAGAGATAGCTAAGTCTTTCATAAACACATTCCTTTTAATTCCCTTTACAATCCAGAGAGGTCAAGACTGTTCATTTTCACTTTTGTTTCTATTCTGTAATAAAGAAACACTGTTCAACAATTGTTTAAGCCAGTAAAATAGCATCTTTTCTTTTTTCTTGGTCATTCTCTATCCCATTATCCTGCTTTGTTTTCTTTACAGAACTTTCCTGTATCTGAAGTAGCTGATGTTTATTTGTATATTCTCAGCCTCCCCTCACGGGATCAGAGGCTGCTTGTGTTTTGTTCACTGCTGCATCCCCTGAGCCCTGAGCCTAGAACTATACCTTAAAAATGCTTGGCACCTAATTAATATCTGCTCAGTGGATGAATGAATAAACACAAAAAAAGCCTGTGTGCTGTCGGGAGCTATCAGTCACTGCTTTTGCATCCTGGGAGGAACTTGGCCTCTGTCCTTCCTACTGCTTCCTCAGAGAGCCTGACCTCAGAACAGGTGTTCAGCTTCTCATCCAGGCACAACTTGGGACTGTGTCTCCCCTTCTTTGGCGTGGCATCTTCCTAGAGGCCATGACCACAGCATCAACATAAAACAGCTCTGAAATCGTGTAAGGCCCAGAAACAATGTCTGGCAAATCCTCAAGCTCCCATTAGCTAAATGATAGAATGGAGCAGCTGCGCTTCAGACCTTATTCTTAAATCTGGAATTGATGCCAAATTAACAATATTCCAGCCATTACTCTTCCAGAAAACAGGGTAGATTTCTTGGCCTAAGTTTTGTCCTCTTGGCATCATATTGCCAAGGAAAATGTGTCCAGAGATTTGTCTCCAAAAGCCTGCTGCCTCAGGCTACAAACCGGTCATTT
Organism: Homo sapiens; assembly: GCF_000001405.40. Lineage (NCBI taxonomy): Eukaryota > Metazoa > Chordata > Mammalia > Primates > Hominidae > Homo > Homo sapiens. The sequence goes on from NC_000018.10 coordinate 54,775,479, forward strand.
CATCATGCGGAAACTCTTCCTATTTCTGTCAATTGTCATGTTTTGCCTCCTGGCCTTCAGGATGCCACTAATGTATATGTACCAAATGGAGTCTGACCCCAGAATAAATATCTGCTGCAGTGAATTGAATCTGACATATGATGTTTCCTGCAATCTAACTTTGTCTATCTCTTCATCAACTTCTATATCCCTCTCCCATGAAACTACTTGTAATTTCCTCCACATCTATGCTGCCTCAACTCAGAGCTCTTGCTCATGCTGCTGCCTCTTCCTGAAATGCTCATGAAACTCCCCTCTTTGTCACCTAGCCAATTTCTAATATTCCCCAATCTCTTGCCAATGCACCGGTCACTCATATCAGCTCATGGTCAGCCTCGGCACAGTCATTCAACATCATCCACCTACTGGGCGTCTAGGTGCCTTGCAGTGCACCAGGCACCAGGAAGTGTGGTGATGTCATAAGATAATCATGGGAAAATTATAAGACTTGCTGGCATCTCCACCAAAAATCTCTTGTGGAAAAGATGCTGGAGTTGTACAAAAATCAGAATGTGTAGAATCTGCAAATTCCTGTGTATAAATCCTATTTGTTTGCAAATTAAATTGAATTTGCTTGGCGGTGTTTTTTGTTGTTGTTGTTGTTTTTTAAGAAAATGTCATAGAAAGTAGCCTGTTAGTGTTTCTGATGAGGAAAGAAATTTGCCCATAATCCTGGAAATGGTCTCCTGCTCAGGCAGGCAAAGCCTGGCTAGAGGCAGAGATGCCTTCCATCCCTTCCGCACACTTTTCTATTCCACCCCAACTACCAAGTAAACCAAACCTTTTCTGAGGCCTCAATAAAATCAAGCCTCTGACCTTCAGGCAGAAAGCAGGAGCAGCCTGATTCATATTGAGTATTACTGAGCCCTGCGTTGTGTAGGCAACAGGGATCAGTAAAGCCCAACTGGCTGGGGGTTTCCTGAAACCTCCATCTCTTGTGGTTGAATGAATCATAATAAGGACAATCCAGAAGAGAGTAGTCATCACTCATTTTAGGAGATTGCAAAACCAGCAGTGCGTAAAACAGACAACTTCTTTATCCTCACAGAGGATAGATTCTAGTGGGTGCTGCCATGATACCCTGTGCAGATTTCTGTGTGGGCCATGTCAACAATGTTCTGCAGTTGTTGGTTTGTGTGTCTGCCTCTTGGACTGTGAACACCTCTGGAGTCTTATTCAAGTTTATGACCAAAATGCCTAGACTATCTCCAGCACCATGTCAGTCACACAGTGAAGGTTTGATGAATGAATAAATCTCGGGCCTGGCATGGTCAGGCATGCCCGTAATCCCAGCACTTTGGGAGGCCAAGGCTGGTGAATCACTTGAGAATAGCCTGGACAACACGGCGAAACACCGTCTCTACTAAAAATACAAAAATTAGCTGGGTGTGGTGGCACACACTGGTAGTCTCAGCTACTCGGGAGGTTGAGGCAGGAGAATCACCTGAGCCTGGGAGGCAGAGGTTGCAGTGAGCCAAGATGGCACCACTGTATTGGGCCTGGGTGACAAAACAAGTCTTGGTCTCAAAAAAAAATTAAAATAATAAATAAATCTGACCACAATAACATAGATCACACATAAAAATATGGTGCTTAGAAGCATGCTTTATTTGTATACATTCTGGGAAATGTGAGAGAAATCCTCAAATTTACAATAACTTTTTAATAAAATGCATGAAATGTTACAGGATTGAAGAATTTGAATTTTGGTCTGTTTAAGCAAAGAAGGGCATCAAGAATGGTAAATAATTAACAGTGAGTGAGAAGGAAGAGAAAGTACTTGGGCAGGACAGAGAACTTGCAGTTCTCTTAGATCTCTTGGGTACAGGGATGGGTGCAGGTAGTGAATGAGAAAATGTTACTAGAAATGCATTGACTTGAAAACTGATCCTTAGAGGGTTAGAAATGGGTGCAGTATTTCTGCAGCCCAGTGTGCATGCAAACTCCACCTGAGCTCTAGCTGCGCTTAAATTCAGTGGAGAGTTTTAGAGTACAAACTGGAAGGGTTTGAGAGAGATGTGTGGAGCAGCATGGAAATGATTTACCTTTTGTTTTAAGTAATCAGAGAAGAGAACTGCAAATGCAGTTTGTGTACTCAGGAAGTAAATTATCTGTACTCTCAGCTGCAGTTCTTTAGGGTGACTGTATTTAACATTAGCTGTAAACTTTGTTTACTACTTGTCTTAATTTTCCATTTTATCTTCTGAAACATAGATTTAAGTTGCAAAGTGTATTTTCTTATTTCCTTTATGCTGTAATAAAAAACAAGTTTCTTCATGAATTTAATTAAAATTAACTAGTTTTAAAGTACTTCTTCGGACATAATAGAGTGGCATCCTCTCTCCCCCCCCACCCCTTCTTTTTTATTTCTCTTCTTCCTTTGCTCTTAATTTAGCTCTTACTTTCACTAATTGTCTCCGGCAAAAATATAAGGAAGCAATATTGTCAGGCAATGAAAACTTTTAAAAAGTCAACTTGCTAGAGAACTCAACGTACAAGTGAAGTTACAAGGAACAATTTACAGCTTTTCATAATTATACATGTATGTGTAGTTTTTCTTTCAAAAATCTTCAGCCTAATGTTGACCTGGCAATTTCCTTCTTACCAATAAGTCATGTCTCCTTTCTCGACACACCTCATAAATAATATAATCGCCATTTCTTTCTCTAAGGTGCTCCAGGGTTAGCATTTGGGCATTTTGCCCTTAAAGCCATATTTATCATCTTTTCTCCAAAATGGCTACCTTGCCTGAATCCCAATTTCTCTTTCTCCAAATCCTCCACTGTTTCTCCACGTCCTTCAGCATAAGAATCTGACTCCTTAGCTGGAAGAGCATGGCATGAATGAAGGCAACTGATCTTTGAGTCACAAAGTTCTGCATTCAAATCTGCCTCTGACACTTGGGTTAATTAATTAGCCCTGTGAACCTGTAAAGGGAGATAACAATACCTGCAGACAACTTTTGATGAAACCAACTAACACAGGCCTTTGAATCTCTTCGCTGAGCCCATTTGTACTGAGCTTCTGCTTTGTGCCAGACAATTTGCTTGGTTCTAGGGATGAATGATTCTGTCCTCCTGGAGTATAGCATTTAGTAAATGCTCAGTAAATTGAAGCCATAAATGATTACTATTTTCTGTTTATGGCCATCTTCTGCTTTAACCCAGTTTTCTGCCCTCATTTCCTTCCTTTCCATTCTTCTTCCAATAAAAATGATCTGTGCAGGGTCTTTAAAGGCATCCTGCACTTCTTGCCTCTCTGCTTTGTTCAGCCTAGCTTCTACTAACCTAGAATCTCTTTCTCTTTACTTTCTATACAGTTAAGTCCTTTTTTTTTTTTTCTTAGACAGAGTCTTACTCTGTCACCAGGCTGGAGCACAGTGGCGTGATCTCAGCTCACTGCAATTTGCACCCCCAGGTTCAAGCAATTCTTCTGCCTCAGCCTCCTGAGTAGCTGGGACTACAGGTGCGCACCACCACACCCAGCTAATTTTTGTATTTTTAGTAAAGACAGAGTTTCACCATGTTGGCCAGGATGGTCTCAATCTCTTGAACTCATGATCTGTCTGCCTTGGCCTCCCAAAGTGCTAGGATTACAGGCATGAGCCACCGTACCTGGCGCAGTTAAGTCCTTTCACACTTCAAGAATTAGTTGGCTCCAATTATGTCATTCTAGATTGTTTTAAATAGCGGTTATTTCTTCATCTTCAAAATTTTGTAGCTGTGGTCCTCACCATTGAGCAATATAAGAATCAACCAGAGAGCTTATTGATGGTGCCATTCCCAGGTCCCATTTCCACATATTACATTATATTGCAGCCTACTTAGTGTTGAGATCAAAAGTATAGGTTTTGGAAAAAATACGAAGTCACTTCCATAGCAGAACACAATTTCTATTATCCCATTGAGAATCCCACATCCAGAGACTCGGAGGGAGTTGGACAAATCCCCAAGACTGCTCGGTGGGACACAACACAGACAGAATCCCAAGATTAATGCCTCATGTTACTAGGACATGACCAAACTCAAGTGCAGCACAGCCAGGGAGGAATCTACACAGCAACGTACAAAGGTCCAGGATGTGAAAGCTATTCCTTCAGTTGGAAAAAATAGGTCAGTGGGCTTCAGAGTGCAATTCTTCAGACCAGTGATATCAGCATCAATGGGAATTTGTTAGAAATGTACATTATTGGGTCCCACCTAAGACCTATTGCATTAATTTTCTAGGGCTTCCGTAATGAAATACTACAGATGGGTGACTTAAACAGCAGATATTTACTTTGTCATAGTTCTGGAGGCTGGAAATCCAAGGCAAGATGGCAGCAGGGTTAGTTTCTTCTGAGGCCTCTCCCCTTGGCTGTCCCCTCTCCTGACAGCTTCCCCCTCACCCTCTCTACCGTCTCCTGACTGCTTCTCCCTCACCATGTCCCCCCTCTCCTGACGGCTTCCTCCTCACCGTGTCTCCCCTCTCCTGAGGGCTTCCCCCTCACCGTGTCTCCCTTCTCCTGACTGCTTCCCCATCACCGTGTCTCCCCTCTCCTGACAGCTTCTCCCTCACCGCGTCTCCGCCCGTCCTGACAGCTTCCCCATCACCCTGTCTTCCCTCTCCTGACGGCTTCCCCCTCACCCTGTCTCCCCTTTGCTGACTGCTTCCCCCTCACCGTGTCTCCCCTCTCCTGACTGCTTCCCCCTCACCGTGTCTCCCCTCTCCAGACAACCTCCCCCTCACTATGTCTCCGCTGTCCTGATGGCTTCGCCCTCACCGTGTCTTCCGCATCCTGACAGTGTCTCCCCCAACCTGAAGGCTTCGCCTCACCGTGTCTCCCCTCTCCTGATGGTCTCCCCCTCACTGTGTCTCCCCCGTGCTGACTGCTTCCCCCTCACCCTGTCTCCCCTCTCCTGATGGCTTCCCCCTCACCGTGTCTTCCCTGTCCTGACAGCTTCCCCCTCACTGTGTCTCCCCCATCCTGATGGTTTCGCCCTCACCGTGTCTCCCCTTTCTTGATGGCTTCCCCCTCACTGTGTCCTCGCGTGGCCTTTTCTCTCTGCACTTAAATGTCTGTTTCCTAAACTCCTTTTCCAGTAAGGACACCATTCGTATTGGATTAGAGCCAACCCACATGACCTCATATAACTACCTCTTTAAAGGTCCTGTCTCCAAATATGGTCATATTCTGAGATATTGGCAGTTAGGATTTCAACATACAGATTTGGGGGAGGTGGGACATAAGCCCATAACACCTACCCAATCAGAAACTATGGAGAAGGTTCAGTGATCTGTTTCAACAAATTCTCCAGGTGATTCTGCTGAACACTGAGGTTTGCAAACGACTGGATAAACCACCTGGGAGGTTGGATAATGCTGAGCTTTGTACTGGGAGTAGCATATAGGCTAACAGCTCATTAGTAGTGTTCTACATAGCCTTATATTCACACCCATGGTTATACCAATGCCTGCGGGTCTGGGAGAAGTACTCAAATTATTAGGATCATGCTGGGCATGCACAGTGTGGGTCTCTTCCACCCACTGGGTGAGGCTAAGCTGGTTTCACCTTAGCTGCCCTGCATTATCTCTGACCTCTAAGGCCCAGTGACAGCCCAACTGGCCAGCTAGCTGTGGCTCCCTCCTACTCACCAAGCAGGAAGCAGAAATACTCAGCCACTCCATGCTGCTACCTGATTGAAAGTATCACAATGCAGTCTTTGTCTCTAACATTAGTATAGAAGGCCAAACTACCTGTCCACTGGCCTTTCTGCTTGGGTTCTTAGTGTCGGTTTTCTCTGACAACTGGAAGAGAATAGAGGGCAGTGGGTGAGGAGAATGGAGCCTATCTCTGACCTTCATGCTTAGTTCAGCCAGCTTTCATTCTCGGCAGGCCCCTGAATTTGACCACACTTTATTAGTATTAGCCATGATTCAAGGTCCAGAGAGCTTGCCTAACACTATAAATCCTTTCTTCCACAAAGTCTTGGTTGCATCTAGTCCTGCCTGTCTATTTGAATATCTAATAACTTGATACTTGCACAGACTGGTCTTGAATTTGCTTCTTAAACTTTCAATTTGTGATACTAGATTTGGGCTTTTCCTTTTGCAGCTTGCATCCATTTTGGTTCTAGCTCCATCCCACATACCTTTTTCTGCAGGAGTTCCCAGTATGCTGTCCACAGGCACCATGTTACTACATTTATAGCATTGCATATAACACATGGTAGCTGACAAACTTCTTTGCTGGTTAAGCAGTAGCTATATAACCAATGAGCAAACATTATAATCAAGTGGCTGTGATATCTATTTAGGATCAAAAGGGGCTACTGATAGGACTACTCTGAAATGTTACATTTTTCTCAGGGAAATTTTTTTCACACCAAAAATTAAATGTTAGATACCAATTATACTCATAAAAATAGCACAAGTGCCAATCCTGTACAATAATGTGCCCACTAAGCTTTTAAATAAAATTTTAATGAGTTCAAAAGTTAAATGTTTTTGAATTTATTAATTATAGGGATATTTTATTCTGAAGTATAAAGAGTAAGGTTTTAGAAAGTTAATGAGAAAAATTATTTACTCTTGGCTATCATGCCTGGCAATAGTTAACATTCCATTGTGCTCAGGGTAAAGAAATTAATTACTGTTGGAATTCATTATTCTAAAGAATATCCTGCACAATGTGCAGTTGTTATTCTGACATCCACAAAGTTTATAACAGAATAGTAATATAAAGCCAACCTGATATATCATTTTCGTGTCCTGTTTACAAAACAAAATGTATTGAAATTTGACTTCAAGAAGTTACTGAATGTATTTTAGCACAGACTTGGAAAATTTAATCGTAAAGCCAAATAGTATGGTTGCAAATTGTAATGTAAAGAGGAAAAGAAATTTGAATGTAGGAGATATTTTGGATGGGCCACTATGAAATACTTTTTTTGCAGCAATAACTTAGTGCATTCTACTTACTCTAAGAACCTTCACTTCCTTCTGTTGTTTCTTCCTATTTCTTTACTTGTATAACACAACAGTAAGGTATAACCTTATTGGCTATTCTGATATATTTGTGTCATTGATGGTCATATAAATATAATGGAAATTCCAAGAAAACCTCTACAATGATTTTCAAAATTGTTATTAAGACTGAAGTTGTTCCTTAAATTCGACCATAAAACACAGACTGTTCATACATGTCCTCAGTATTTTCTGAATTGGAGTGAAGATGACCCTTGTACAATTTTAGAAAATCATGGTAACAAATCAGTAAACAATAGCTGAGGCTACCATTTGTAACTGAAAATATACCATGCAGTATTCAACTCAGTTCCATTGAAGATGTAAACATAAAGTATCAGAACCCTGTACAAAAACAGAAAAAAATAGGCATCTGACACAATGGTGGGGTCATTATGGATTTCTTAGGATAACATTGACAAGAGTCTCATAATAACTTTTTTTTTTTTCTTTGAGACAGAGTCTCACTCTGTCACCCAGGCTGGAGTGCAGTGGTGTGATCTCAGCTCACCACAACCTCCACTTCCTGGGTTCAAACGATTCTTCCGCCTCAGCCTCCCAAGTAGCTGGGATTACAGGCATGCACCATGATGCCTGGCTAATTTTTTTAAAATTTTTTTATTTTTATTAGAGACGGTTTCACCATGTTGGCCAGGCTGGTCTTGAACTCCTGACCTCAAGTGATCCACACACCATGGCCTCCCAAAGTGCTGGGATTACAAGCATGAGCCATCATGCTTGGCCTCATGATGACTTTTTAAATGCTTTTGGCAACACACAAAGATGATGATTATCATTATGTCAATTATTTTGGAGTTTGAAGAATGTATTTTATCACCTCCCCTACTGTGATTTTTATGGCTCTGATAGCCATTTGTAAGAAGCATTTTAAATGTGGTTACTTAATTAGTAAATATTTTGCTTCAGCTTTAAAATGTTAATTATGAAGCCTATGGCTTTGTGTGTGTGTGTGTGTGTGTGTGTGTATGTATAGCATAATACATAGTGATTATTCTACTTTAGATTTCTTGTTGTCATGTCAGTCTCTTAAAGTTTTAATATTACATATGATTGTAACAAACTCTAGCTTAAGGTAAGCGAAAAGGCAATTTATTGTGAGGATGCACGGGTGTCTAATGGAAACCCAGGAAGCTGGACCTCAGAAATGACCAGGAAGCAGACACTTTGCACTTGCTCCTCTCTTGTCCCTGCTTCCCTCTGGGCATAGGCTTCATTCTTCCCTCTCCGTGGAAACCATATTCTTCCACTGCAGTCTTCATGGTGGAAAATGAATGCCAAACATGTCCCAAGTTTACAGTCACTCCTCAAGAGAGCAGCCAGACTCTGGACTCTCATAATTACATAGGTAGGAGCACATTGGGCCACTTGGATTGTGCCTGGCCCTGAACACTTGTTTGTGACCAGAGGTAGGGTCAATGTTACCCAAATATGTTTGCTCCCATATAGAAATATGAGAAAGAAATGAGAGGGAGACAGTTTTCAAAGACAAGGGTACTGGGAGAGTTATCCATAGGGAGTTCACTATAGTATGCTAATTGGATCACATTACAGAAAGGCATTGCTAACCTATGGCTGGAGAGTCATGCAATTAATTAAAACAATCAAAGCAGAAGTTAGAGTGACAGGGAATGAAGGAGAGAGGCTGCTTCCGATCCCCAGTTGTAGATTGAACCAAGGAATCAAATAATATCCAAATTTCAAATTGCCATCATAACTGGCCTTCACCTTTTTGCATTCCATTTTCTTTTTTTAAACATTGTATTTTTCATTTCAGATTCAGAGGATACATGTGCAGATGTGTTACATGGGTATATTACATGATGCTGTGGTTTGGGCTTCTAATGATCACACTGCCCAGGAAGCAAACATTGTACCGGATAGATTGTTTTTCACCCCTTACCCTCCACCCTCTGTTCCCCATTTTGGAGTTCTCAGTGTCTATTGTTCCCATCTTTGTGTCCAGGAGTACTCAAGTGCATACCCAGTGTTTAACTCCCGCTTGTAAGTGAGAACATACAATATTTGGTTTTCTGTTCCTGTGTCAATTAACTTAGGATAATGGCCTCCAGCTGCATCCATGTTGCTGCACAGGATGTGATTTTGTTCTTTTTTTATGGCTGCGTAGTATTCCATGGTATATACATATCTCAAAATTTTTATCCAATCCACTGTCGATAGGCACCTGGGTTGATTCCATGTCTTTGCTATTGTGAATAGTGCTGCAGTGAACATATGAATGCAGGTGTCTTTTTGGTAGAGTGATTTATTTTCCTTTGGGTGTATACCCAGTAATGGGATTGCTGGGTCAAAAACAGCAGACAATGTGCTACTCTTAAAACATATATCAGATCATGTCATTCCTCAGATAGAATTCCTCTGATGGATGCTCCTCTCACTCAGGGTAGAAAGCCTACCATTACTTTGCCTACCTCTGCCTCACTAAATATGCCCTTTGCCCCCTCCCCTTGGTGTATGCCTCCAGCCACAATGTCCTCCCAACCTATCAGCCAGTCACATTCCTGCCTCAGGGCCTTTGTACCTGCCCTTCCATCTGGCTGAATGTTCTTTTTTTTTTTGAGACGGAGTCTCGCTCTGTCGCCCAGGCTGGAGGGCAGTGGCAAAATCTCGGCTCACTGCAACCTTCGCCTCCCAGGTTCAAGCGATTCTCTTGTCTCAGCCTCTTGAGTAGCTGGGATTACAGGTGTGCATCAGCATGTCTGGCTTTTTTTTGTATTTTAGGTAGAGACAGGGTTTTACCATGTTGGCCAGGCTGGTCTTGAACTCCTGACCTCAAATGATCTGCCTGTCTCGGCCTCCCAAAGTGCTGGGATTACAGGCATCAGCCACTGAACCCGGCCCTGGATGAATGTTCTTTGCTCTCACCTTCCTCAGGTTTTTTTTTTTTTTTTTTTTTTCCAAAATGCCACTTTATCAGCGAGGCTTTGCCTAACCACCCTTTTAAATAATTGATTCCCCCATACTGACTATCCCCCTCCTTCTTATATTTCCCTCAGTAACAACACCTTACACACAAATTTGTATACAGTATATTGATTTATTTTGTTTATAACTGTCTTCTGCCTACAGAATATAAGCTCCATGAAAGTTTGGGGTTTTATTTGTTTTGTTCCCTGTTCTATGCTCAATGCCTAAAACAGTGTTAGGAACATGAAAGGTATTAAATAGGCATGTGTTGTTCAAACATGTAATATGTATACACTGCCTAAGGATAAGGAGAAAATGCAATGCATGTGTATGAACAGTTAGGGGCCAGCGACCATGGTTGATGCTTCAAATGTCTTATTTATCAGCCATCTAAGACAAAACCAATACATAAAGATTCTTCTTATCTTTCAGTTGTGACTATAGAGGCCCAAAAAGGGAAATATTGTCCAAGGTTTTAAGCATTGGAAATGGGTGCAAAACTATGTTAGTCTGACTGATACTTTCCAAAACCACATTCTCTTTCCATGCTTTTAGCATCCAATCTGTCTCATCCTTCTTCTCCTTTTCTACTTTCTCTTCTTCTTCTTGATTTTCTATACTACTCTTCATCCTCTATTTCATCTTTTTTTTGTCTTCTGCAGAATATTTCCTCCTTCCTCAGATAATGTAATGTCTGTTAGTGAAATGTCTGAGAAAGGATGTCCTTTCAACTTTGTATGAAAATTCTTTCCTTGAGTCTTTCCTGAATAATTCTAACCAATTCCACATTTTTGAAGAAAAGTAACATTAACAGTCACATGCCTTTGACAACACTTACTGCCTCTCCAGACCTGTTCTTACTTTTCTTTCTCTGTGTCATCTCACACAGAGAGAAAAGAATGGAAGTTCACGGAGAACAGCTGGGACCCAGGCTTTATTTCTGTCTCATTCCCTGATGATACCCTAATGTGCCACTTTGGTTAATACAAATCAGCAATAAAATAGGACACAGCTGTCTGAAAAGTGTCTCATCTGAAATATGGAAATCCCAAGATGCATGTCTTTCAATACTTAATTAAATAGCATTTAACTCTAGACACATATTTTGTGTCTTTAACATATGCAGTGGACATGCATAAGAATAGTCTTTAAATTATTCTATAAGTTCTTTAAATTATTCTGTAATTATTCTATAAGTCATTGAAAATGTTAACATAATACATTTGAGAGATTTAAAATCACTATGAAACCTAAATGTTCAAGTAATTATTTTTGAAAAATCTCAGAAACATATTTATCTGGAAATGGACTATCTGAAGTTTATCAACTGCAACTGAAAGAGGTGTGTTGACAATTAAATTCAGTTCAATAAGCTATTAAGCGATAAACATGGCCTTACAATTTATTGCAAGGTGTTTGCCTCCTGAATAAGACTATTTAAGCACATCACTCTGCATGAGCAGACATTAATAAAGTTCTGTTTTGCCTGTATGCATCAATTAATAAGACACTGAGTTAAGTTTGCTTGCTTTCCTTAATTCATCATGACCAAGGCAATTTAACAGTTCAAGACACAGTGGATATTCTGAATAGTGAAGCTCGGAAACCTCCCAGTACTAAAGACGGAGTGATAGATATCACCATCTGAATTGTCATTTGGTCTCAGTCCCCATATCTTGGCTCAGTTCTCCGAGGTTGGCTCCATGGACAGGCAGTTTCTTGCCTTGTAGAGGTACCAGCTGCCAGCTCGTCCAGGTTTATTTCCTTCTCATGCAGAATTATCTGGAGTTGTAGTTCACTGCTTTTGAGACTTTCGCTCTGGTCACGTGCCCACTGTTGATTCTGGGGAATGTTCTCTTTCCTACAGGAACCACGTGGTCTAAAAGTGAGCAAAGAATCATTCTCCAAGTATAACTATAGTGTTGTTATTTTCAAAAGGGGAAGGAGCTCTGAGTAAACCAAAACAAGAGACATCTTTACTGCCCCATGGGAGCTTCTAAAGTAACTCTCACAGGAAGAGATGGAAAGGATCATATTGTTTCCTGTTCAGAGAGAAGGCCTTATATCTTGCTTAGCAGGCAGAAAATTTGACTTCTCAGCCTATGCAAACACACACACAAACACAGAAGCAGAGATAGAATTTTTAAAAGATAAAATCTAAGTAATAGCAGTAATGGCATCAAACTTTAAAAATATAATAAAATGCAGAGAAATCTTTAAAAGTCAGTGCAAGCTTTCAGAAGAAAACACTGACTGGATTAAAAAAAAAAAAAAACCTTCTCTAACTTGCCAATCACTAGTGAGATGGTCCAATGAGGTTTATGAAGAATTTATGGCTTTGGCTCCATATGTACATGCCTAAGTTAAGTGTTCATCACTTGTGCCATATAATTTACTCACACTGATTGTTTTCAAGTCAACTTAATTGGCCTAAAGTTCCAGTAAAAGATTCCACTCAAGGAATGTTGAAGCAGAAATATCTGAATCTACATGGTCCCTGGTTGTCACTCAGAACTTGCTATTGTGGCATCCAAGAAAAGATCAACTTTGAGTGTGTTGCTAGCACCAGTTATGTACATCAATGTTTTTGGTATATCTCTTCCTGTGTCCCTCCTTGCTTTACTTTCTCAGCAAGGCCAGACAAAAAATAGAGTGGAAAGAATTAGCCCAGACTGAATTTATACAAACTCAAATGGGAGAAATTTCATTGAAAGAGGCACAGGTTTAGAGACTTCTAAACTCTCCAAGCATTTTAATATTTGTATGAGTAATTGCTAATTGTACATGGTACTAAAGTATGGTGATTCCACTGATTTGTGTTTTTTGTTGTTGTTGTTGTGGTTGTGGTTGTTTTGAGAGAGTCTCACTCTGTCACCCAGGCTGGAATACAGTGGCACGATCTCAGCTCACTGCAAACCCTGCCTCCTGGGTTCAAGTGATTCCTCTGCTTCAGCCTCCTGAATAGCTGGGATTACAGGTGCCTGACACCACACCCAGCTAATTTTTGTGCTTTTAGTGGAGATGGGGTTTCACCATGTTGGCCATGTTGGTCTCAAACTCCTGACCTCAAGTGCTCCTCCTGCCTTGGCCTCCCAAAGTGCTGTGATTACAGGCATGAGCCACTGCACCTGGGCTCAGCTGACTTTTGAGAACAACAAGTCTACAACTGTGTCCCTTGGAAATGCTCTAATTTTACCTTTGGTTCTCTCCCTCAGCTTTAAAGTAATATTAGAAAAAGAAAATAAAGAATAAAGGATAATAATACTTAAGAGTTAGTAACTGGAGTAGATCTCCCAACAGTGGCATCTAGGAAGAAGCTATTTTTGTGTAGGAGCCTCTGCTTCCATCCCAAAACTGTCTGTCAGGGAATAAAACATATGGATTTGGTCAGTATCTCACCCCTTTGCTCAAGGCTTGCATTGCAAGGAACTTGGTAGCACAGGAGTGGTCACTTGGATGAAGAATATGTGTGATTTTCAGTGTTTAAGAGGTCACTGAAACTGCAAACTATGAAATTCACAAATTCACGGTCCTAAGTAACTGTGACATTTTTTTCCTAATATATTTATCCTAGGTATTGTGCCTGGTTATCCTGCCAATAAAGGGAATTTTAGACACTTGGCAGAGTAATTTAATTTTTGTTGCAACATTGCAGTTGAAGAAATGTAGGCCATTACAGGCAGAGCTGTAAGAAAATTTTCAGTTCTTATTGATGATCATATCCATAGCATCCTTAAAATTATATTATGAGAATGAAAAGGACATGTCAACATTGAAACATATTATTTCTGTATTCATACCATTGGCTTTATGCTGTTTTTTATGCATCAAAATCATAAAATTATGTATACCATGGTATGCTTTTAGTCAAAGTGATTAATATTTTCTAAATTGCTATGTGGAATACCATTTAAATAACAATTATTCCTTTTTAAATACTAGGTAAACAAAATATTAGAAAGATGTTTAGATAATATTGTCCCAATAATTAATAAATAATAGAAAAGTAATATATACAAATACCATTTTGCTACATAAATATGTATGTATACATGTTCATTTGAATATATTATTATCCAAATACAGGTTTCATATGTCTTACCTCTACATTCTTTTTTCTGTCTTCCAACACAAAATAATGTTTTTTTATTTGAACTTGGTAAGATGTTGCAAATGACTACTGTTAGGAAAAAAAACAATATGATGAGTGACTTTTTGTAACTTTTACATAGGTTTTTAGATCAAATAGTCTCTGTAATATAACTAACATATCACAAGGACTGGTTATGTTAAAATTACCTTCTTCATCCTTCCTATTTCATTTTTGAAATTAAAGTTAAATACAATAAAGCAATCTGTTACTAGGACTTTTTCAAGTGAACAACCTATCCCAGTGCATTCTACATTTACTAAGGTTTTGCTTTTACCTTTGAGCAGTGGATTATTTTGATAAATTTGAGATAAATTGCTATACTTTTTTAAAACCAAATTCTGTAATTATTTTAATTGATCCATCAATTCATTCAAAATGCTGGGTTTCATAGCTCTTGTTAGTCACAGCTTAACATGAGGTAAATTCCTTACTGAAGGAAAATTAATGAAGTTGAGCAATGAATCATTGAAACCTGGTCATTCCATTGTCAGGAAAAAAAAGAGTATTTAAAGATGTTTTTATTAAAACACACACACAATTTGTTGATCTTACAAAATATTCTCTAAACATTCATCTCTACAAATATAAACTATATCAAACTACGTGTGAGGTATGGCATATTTAAGAGAAAAAAAAGATATAAACCAGATGGTTGTAAAAGTGAGGCTTAGCAGCAGTATTTAGAGACAGTATCCAGGAAACATCAAAACATTTTTCAAAATGAATGAGTGCATTTTTGAAAAATTATTCCTTTTCAAATACTCCCAACCATTTTCTCTAGCCACTGCCATGACCATACCTAGATGCATTTTGAAGGTTGACTACATAAAAGTTATCAGTGATTTAATCTTGCATGATTCTAGAATAGAAGCACAATAAGATTGTTTTGCACATTAAAGTTTAGAGAAAAAAATGAAAAATTTAGTAAACAGATTACTTTCAAAAAGCAAGGTAATTAGCATATATCTTAAGCACAATTTTCAATAAACAAAAATATTTTTTTTCTTGGAGATATTTTTGTATAAGGTGTGCACATTCTCAATATGCTATTTCCAAAATTTATTATTATAGAATAGCTATGTGTAGTATATTTTTATAGAAAGCATATGAGAATTTAGAAATCCAATTAAGTGCTATCTCTAAAAACTTTTTGCCCTGGAAAATTATGACTTGTTAAATATTGTCAACACTTTTGTAAAACATTTTAGCACTTGTAGAATTATCTTCAAGCCTTAATTTTGAACCATGCAGAGAATGACATCACTGAACTTCTTCAACTCTTCTATTTATCACGCTAGATTCAGGATAATTTTTGGCTTTTTCTAAATACAAATTTCATCCTCAAAGTACCAAAATTTTTCTGTTGCTAAGACTATTGCAAAGACACTAACAGCAATTTTAAAAGTAGAATTTTGAAAACATCTTGAACAGGAACATTGCATTAAGAAGGTGGCCCCAGATGACTAATCCAAGAAGGTATTATTTGTCATTTGGATTTTAGCATCCAATATTTGTTTTCCATTTTAATCCCTCTCATTACTTTATAGGCTTGTCTCACAATAGTGATCTAGAGCATTAAAAAAAGAAAAAAGAAAGAAGAAGAAGAAAGAAAGAGTAAAGAAAGGAAAAGAAGAAACCTCAACTCTGTATGGATCAAGTGTATCAGACTTGATTGGGTGCGGTGGCTTATGCCTGTAATCTTAGCACTTTGGGAGGCTGAGGCTAGAGGACTGCTTAAGGCCAGCAGTTTAAGACCAGCCAGGGCAACATAGTGAGACCCCCTCTCTACAAAAATATTTTTAAATCAGCTGGGTGTGGTGGAACACGCCTGTAGTCCCAGCTACTCAGAAAGCTGAGGCAGGAGGTCACTTGAGCCCAAAAGGTCAAGGGAGTCCTGGGAAGGGAAGAGTGTGATCCCTTTAAATGATACGGAAGAGGGGAAGGGAGGTGCTGGGTAGAGGAGGGCGTGGTCCCTGGCTAGGGTTCCACCTCCACGGACCTAGGTGAGGACAGACACTCCTGCCTTGACGCGCAAATATTGCATTTTCCAAGACCACTGGGCCTGCCCATCCTGGGCCTATAAAAACCGGAGACCCTAGCAGGCCGACTCACAGGCGGCCAGACGTCAAGAGGAGCATATCAGCAGACAAAGACACAAGCAGCTGGACAGAGAGAGGACATCTAGAGCGCACGCTGGCTGAAGAGCACACTGGCACATGCTGGCAAGCCAGCAGGCCATCAACCCGCGGGACGAGGTGGAGTTTGGCAGGGCAGTCGGAGGAGAGTAGGGGCCGCCAAGCTGCCCAACTCCAGGGGAAAACCATCTCCCTTCTGGCTCTCCATGGTGGGACAGCTCCTTTAATAAAACTTTGCACTCAATCTCCAAGCCCAGGTGTGATCTGATTTTTCCAGCACGCCAAGGCAAGAACTGGGGATACAGAAAGCCCTCTGTCCTGGTGACAAGGTAGAGGGTCTAATTGAGCTGGTTAACACAAGCCACCTGTAGACAGCAAACTAAGAGACCCTGTAACACATGCCCACTGGGTCTTCAGGAGCTGGAAACATTCACCCCTAGGCACTGCCGTGAGGTCGGAGCCCCATAGCCTGCCTGTCTGTGTGCTCCCCTAGAGGTTTGAGCAGCGGGGTACTGAAGAAGCGAGCCACACCCCCATCGCATGCCCTTTGAGGGGAACAAGGGAACCTTTCGCCTTTCACCATGAGCCACGGTTGCACCACTGTGCTCCAGCCTAAGCAACAGAGCAAGATCCTATCTTAAAAAAAATCAGACTCATAAGCTAACTTTGTGTGCCACGCGCCTTAGTCTCTCTACATGGTCAAATAAATAACAATCTAAACCCCTTTATTCATTTGCATAAACTGAGTAAGATTTAAGAACTTAAATGAACACCCACGTTAATGAACAAGAAGAAATATATTTATGCATGCAAGATAGTGAATAAATTGAATAGACCCTGGTTTTCTAAATAATCGTATTATTTGTTTCCTCTAGTTATTACTATAATTGCTATTACTATCTTCTTTCATATTCCAAACAAGAAATATTTTTTTCTTCACTGCTCCAGTACCTAACAGTCTCTGGTGTTAAGGAACTCGTGAAGATCTACACTGGATTACTGATGGAAGAAAATGTGTTTTACAAATTTCTAACAAAAAGGTATTCTAAAGTTCCGGTAGTACTCATAAAATAGAAAATACTCAGGTATAAGAGATTTGCAAAATTGTCACCAGTGTCAATAGCATAATACAGTCGTTCCTCAGTTTTGACTGTAGGGGAATTGGTTCCAGGATTCAAGTCCACAGTCCTCTGGCAGAGCTGGAGTATAGAAGTCAGCCTTCTGTATATACGGATTTTGCATCCCATGAATTATTTTTAATCTGCATTTGGTTGAAAAAAAATCTGCATTTAAATTGACCCATGCAGTTCAAACCCCTGTAGTATAAGCATCAACTGTAGTTTTTTTTTTTTTTAATTATTGACAGCAACATAATGGCTAACTTATGATATTATTATGTGAAAATTGAGACTATCTCAGTTCCTGATGTAAATGAAACTTGGTAAATGAATGGATATTTGAATTCTCCTTGGGCCTTTGAACAAAAATGTCTCAGCAGACAAAACAGAAACAGAATTCGTTGGATTAAAAATATTTCAACTCCAGTACTAGCAAACCGACTTAGGGAAAAGCCATTTGATCTCACACCTTCTCATTTCCTCCTCTGATAATTCTTTATCCAGAAAGAGTATCCTCTTTCATGTGATATGCCACATAATGAGAGAGGAACATAGATAGGCGATAAAGGACAAGAATCCCCACATATACTCAATCAACTTTGACAGTCAACAGAGAGAGAGAGAGATGTCCTTTTCACATGGTTTTCCCAAGTTCTCAATTAAGGGGCGTTTGGACCAGATAGTCCCTAGGATCTGTCTCTTCCAATGTTCATTTCTTAGGATATTGTGTTATGTTTGAAATAACAGCAAGTAAGCAAATCAAGTCTTGTGATGAACAAATAAAGTCTTCCTCGTGTTGCATGTTGGGCTGAAAACACCACTGGTGATTTGTAATAAATTCAGAACATGGCACACTGTAATGATCCAATCAAGTTTGAAAGTAATTAGAAGCCAGGCGTGGTGATACACGCCTGCAGTCCGAACTATTCGGGAAGCAGAGGAGAGAGGATCTCCTGAGCCCAGGAGTTCAAATCTATCCTGGGCAACATAGTGAGATCCCATCTCTATTTTTAAAAATAGTTACATTTATTCTATTTACTGCATCACAAGAATGCATATGGCATGAAATTCTGCTGTAATTGTCATGATCCACATAAAAATGCACAATCATCTGGATACTTATTAACTTTAATTTGAAAGGCAGGCTGGCTGGGGGATTAAAATTAGATTGTGGAACCAACCTGATTGGCTTTGCATCCTAGCTCTGCCACTTCCTAGGTGTGTAAGAAGTTTGACAAAATACTTAAATTTCTATGCTTCAGTTTTTCTATCTGTATGGAGATTATAAAACTAGTACTTCAATTGGTTATGAGAATTAAGTAAATTAATATATACAAAGTAGCTATTATAGCACCCTGAACTAAGAAAACACTAGATAATAGTCTTCATTGCACACTCTAGTCTTCTTAGAACTCTCTATACACTTTGAGTGCTAGGTGAACACATTTGCATATTTTTCTGAGTGTCATTATCAATGACATTTCAGTAAGATTGCATTTTTATTAAATAAAAAGTTGAGAATAATCAAAATGAGCTCCAGTGGCTGTATTAAAGGTGTGCCTTTTGCATAAGTTTGACATGAGCTCTTACAGCGTAAAAACAAAAGTCTTCAGATTTTTCTGAGAAATGAATTTCAGTTTTACATGTAGGATGATTCTCTGTCTGAGGATATTAAAATGGTTTTGACAGAGATCACATACTGATGTGTGTATTTGATCCACACAATGTTGGAAAAATTCTTGGAATGGCTGTTCCTGTTGTTTTAATGGAAGTTCACGTAAAAAATCTTAATTCCCAGCTTTTTTTGAAGAAGGAGAGACCTGACAACATGTCCAATGGCGATGATTAGCTAGCGCTGAACAGAAGTGGTCCCGTTTAGAGTGCAGGAGCAGTTTAGTTTCTGGGCTCCCCCCAACCCCCAATGTGTTTGTGTCCCTGCTTCTTTTATTTAGTACAAAATAATTAAAAATGTAAATAGAAACAAGACCAGCAATCCTGTCATATGATGCACAAATGAAGTTGTCCTCTAAATTACATGGCTGGTTACTATATATTTGTTACTTTTTTTGACTACTCCTATTTAATGTAGAGACTAAAAGCATTGTTTTCCAAAGTGAAACTTTCCATTCCTAACTGCAGCATAGCAGTCTGGTCTGTTTCCTGTCACCAGCTTCCAAATTTATCATCTTTATACCAGGATGGAAATTGAGCTTTAGAGTGATTTTTTAAAACTTTCCCACTTATGGTTAATTTTACAGAATTTGTGATGCTACCACAATGCCATCCACTGTCACATGCCTGAGGCAAGAGAGTTGAAGTATAGCTTGAGCCCCCCCACACCCGCCCTAGACTAGGAAGTAGCTGTGCTAGGCCCCCAGTTTTAATGAGAATGTCTCAACTTTCACTGTTAAATTTACCCCATAGCAACAAGGCCAACATTGTATTATGGATGTACATGTGTTACCGAAATGCCAAGGGTTTGATCTAGGTCCTCGCCACACAGAAAGCCAATCACTGAGATGACAAGTATCACCAAGAAAGGCTTTGATCAGGTGCTACAGCCAAGGGGATGGGAGATCAGTCTCAACTCCATCTCCCTAACTAACTAAAATTAGAGGTTTATGCAGCAGGGAAGAAATGTGACTATGTGTGAGAAGAGAGGAAGTAGAGAATGGTTAGGAAGCAATCATGATGAATGAAGGGCCTGGAACCTCATTTGGCTGGAAGTGATGATCTAGTAAGTTTCAATCCTTTGATACTTTTGGAGAGGCCTGGGCATCCTTTCCTGAGGAAGAAACTCAGATAAAACAAACTTAAGTTTCAAGCTTTAAAACCAGAAGGGTCAATTTCTATGTATATCCTAGAAACTTGTCTCTAAGACTATTGGGTCAGTTTTGCATGTATGCATTGTATTACAGATGAAGGCATGAGGTAAAAGCTTAAATATCACATTGGAATGAGGTGTGAAGGTAGTTATGCATAAAACCTGTATTTATCATTAGCATTTTTATTTAAATAACTTTATTGAGGTCTAGTCAACATATGCTGCACATATTTAGTGTACCATTTAATAAGTATTGAAACATGTATACACCCGTGAAGCCATCACAATAATTAAATGAATATAATCATCACCCCCAAAGTTTCCTTGTGTCCCTCTGTCCCCAGGCAAACACTGATCTGCTTTCTATTACTATAGACTGGTGAAATGGGAGAGTTTCCTCATCCCCCTTGCAAGATGTGTGACAGGGGTGGCTCGCTCCTTTGGCTGCCCCACTCCTCAAACCCCTGGAGGAAGCATGCAGAAGGGCAGGTACAGAAGCCATGGGGAGTGCTTTTGGGCTCCAGCCCCATGGCTGCATCTAGGGGTGGGTGTCTGTGACTCCTGAAGTCCAAGTGGGCATGCATTCCAGTGTGCTCTTCCATCTTTGCCATCTGCAGACAGCTTGTGCTGATCAGCTCGATAGACCCTCTGTCTTATCGTAAGGGCAGAGGACCAGTATGACAGCTGTCTGTATCCTGAGTGTTTGCCCAGTGTACCAGAAAAATCGGATCACATGTGCACTTGAAAGGTGAATGCAAGCTTTTATTGAGTGATGGAGGTGGTTCTCAGTGAGATGGGTGGGGAGCCAGAAGGGGAGATGGAATGGGAAGGTGGTCTTCCCCTGGAGTCAGGATGCCCAGAGGCAGACTCCCCCCTCTCTCTTACTCTGCTGTGTCATTCTGCCATCACTGGTTTGCCAATCTGCTGGTGTCTATTGCTCTACTCCTCTGCTCCTCTCGACTTTCACCCACTGTGTGTGTGCCCGCTAAGGTCTTGGTTTATATGGACACAGGATATGAGGGCATGGAAGGCCAGAGTGGTCTTGGAATGTGCAACATTTGCGTGCAAGAACAGGAGTGCTTGTTCTCACTTAGGTCTGCAAACACAGGCCCGAGGGTGGACCCCTAGACTGGGACCCTGCCCTTCTCTACCCAGCACTTCCCTGAAAATAAGACAA
Organism: Homo sapiens; assembly: GCF_000001405.40. Lineage (NCBI taxonomy): Eukaryota > Metazoa > Chordata > Mammalia > Primates > Hominidae > Homo > Homo sapiens. Next base: position 54,796,876 of record NC_000018.10, read on the forward strand.
AATAGTGGCATGATAGTTGTAATAAGAGTTTGGCCACACAGTAGTTGGTCCTGAGCAAGATGTAAAGACATAATTTTCTGCAACATCTGAGTTTAAGAGGAGTCATTGCCGTCTTTTCTCCATTTCAGAAACAGAGATGCAGACTTTTATCTACCCTGATCATGTCTAATGTGACTAATGCCTCTTATTCTGTCAACATCGAGAAAATATATTTCTAGTCCTGTGTAAGTGGGTGCAAATAAATGATATATGCAGAAAGGCAAACAGACATTTGAGTGCAAATGTGTGCACAGGCATATAAGAATTTGGAATTGTTTCTAGGGAATCACATCTCTTAAAATGCAAAAGTGGCCGGACACAGTGGCCCATGCCTGTAAGAGTAGCTTATAGGCACTCTTCTAGCACTTTGTGAGGCCGAGGTGGGTGGCTCACCTGAGGTTAGGAATTCAAGACCAGCCTGGCAACATGGTGATACCCTATCTCTACTAAAAATACAAAAAATTAGCCAGGTGTGGTGGTATGTGCCTGTAGTCCCAGCTACTCTGGGGCTGAATTGCTTGACCCTGGGAGGTGGAGGTTGCAGTGAGCTGAGATTGCACCACTGCACTCCAATTTGGGCCACAGAGTGAGACTCTGTCAAAATAAAAGATAAGATATAAAATAAAATGCAAAAACATCCATTTCTTTGTTCAGAATAGTCTAGTCTAAAGAACAGCCTTTCTCACTCATGGTGACAGACTAAATAAACATCTATCTGTCTTTATTTTCCAGTGACCTAAATCTGGAGTCTAATGAGCAAATATTAAAGGATTGCAGAGTGACTTATGGTCTACTGGGTCTAACCTTGGCTGCCCAATAGACTCGTCTCGGGAGTGGTCTGGGTCATTTCTGTAAACTGAGAATAGTTAACATTTCCAAGTTTGTAGATTTTTAAAGACAGTTTATTTGCATAATGGTATTTCTGAATGGACTTATTTTCTTCCCTTCTTCAAATGATACGCTCACCATCAACTTGTAGTTCTCAATACTGGCTGTGCAATAGAAATATTCAGGAGACATTGTTTTTATTCTTTAAGTATTAGTGTCAGCTCTACCCTTAAAGATTCTGACTTAATTGATTCGGATAAGTTGAATATTGATATTTTTTTTTCAAAACTCCTTAGGTGGTTCTAATGCAAGAACCGCCGTCTATTCTATGATCTAACAACTGACTTCTCTTTCTTTTTCTCTGATCTATTCTCTTTCCTATTAATGTTTTATATTGAGAGTTCATTCCTTCTTCCCATTGGTTAGCAATTCATATCCTGTTTCCTGAGAAATCACAAGCCTGGGAAGCAGCCATCCACCGTAGTGGGACTAAACATAGAGGCAGTCCTCCTCCAAGGCTGAGAAGCCAACAGGAGACCCTGAGGAATCCATGATTGAAGTGTATTCCTGGATCTGGTCACAGAGTCATAGAGGGCGAGGGCTTGAAGAGACTTCAACTGTTGCACAACTCTTCCATTTTGCTGATGACAAAACAGAAGCATGAAGGTGACAGGATCAAAGAACTAGTGCTGATGGAGCTAGATGAGAACCAAGGCCTCGGGTGCCCAGGCTTTCTCTGTCTCCACTCCATCCTGGGGCTACCCCTCTCACAGGAGAGTATTTGAGTCTCTTCACATAAGTGTCCAGGCAGAGAAAAGCCATTCCATTCAGCATAGGTGAGTCAACCTACACTAGGGAAGTTCTTCTGTGTGTGAGGCCTTCAAAGAAAATAGGAAAAACATAGACAGTAGTGGCAGCGTTTCAAAGCACTACTTAATATGAAGATGATAGGACTTGGAGATTCTGAAACTTCTAAGTTGCTAACATTCAGTCACATTCTGTATATCAAAGATGTACTAGTTGAACACTAAATACAATTATTTATTTATGACTTATTTTCATTCATGTTATTAAGAACTAATGTAGTGTATAGCCACATCTTATAAATTCAAAAGAATAATTGTCCATGTCCTAAATGTATTATTAACATTTAAGAAACTATTGAAACATTAAAATCCTCAAGGACAAAGATGAAGGCAAAAATCAAATTGTATGTTTTTTCAGCCACAATCACAAGAGGGTCACGTATGTAAGGACTGTCTTTTATTCAAATTTTCTGGCAATTTTAACTTAAAATTACTATTGTCATTGATCTCTTCCTGGAAACAATTTTTTATTTTAGGCTATGCTTAGAACGAGTTATAAAAATTAAACTTTGTGTAATATTAGACTAATTTTTTTTAACTAAAATTGTGACTCATTAACTTCCAAATTTGTGTTATTGATCATGCTAGGATCATGAGGGAAAATATAGTAAGTTTACATGATTTGTTTAGTTTTGTTTGGACCACTTCATTTATCATCAATGACAGAAAATGTACCCCTAACTTAATGGCACTTTGCTTTCACTAGTGATTTCTCTCAGACTTAAGGAGAAACAAGTAAATCAACTGGAATTTTCTTGATTCTTAAAAGACCAAGTGACATCTGGGGTTAATAATTTTGTAGGTCATAAGATACTATACTAAGTATCCCCATAGGGTATAATATGTGAACATTTTATAAATTTAAATATATATGTTTCAGATTGATTTATACATGAAAATAATAATTTCTGTTTTTTAAAAAACAATGGTTAATACTTTTATTACAAAAGCAAGGTATACTTGCAATATATACAGGAGAAAAATATCAGAATATATAATAAAATGATTTTTTTTTTTTTTTTTTTTTTTTTTTTTTTTTTAGACAGAGTCTTGCTCTGCCACCCAGGCTGGAGTGCAGTGGCGTGATCTCGGCTCACTGCAAGCTCTGCCTCCAGGGTTCATGCCATTCTCCTGCGTCAGCCTCCTGAGTAGATGGGATTACAGGCGTCCACCACCACACCTGGCTAATTTTTCTATTTTTAGTAGAGACGGGGTTTCACCCGTGTTAGCCAGGATAGTCTGTTAGCCAGGATGGTCTTGATCTCCTGACCTTGTGATCCGCCTGCCTCAGCCTCCCAAAGTGCTGGGATTACAGGTGTAAGCCACTGTGCCCAGCCAATAAAATGATTTTTTAAGGAGAATAACCGTTATCCCACCACACAGAAACAATCAGTAAGGACATCAACCAACAGGAACTTGAACTAGTGAGAACTTCTCTTTCAAAGACTTAACTAACTGTCCCTCAGCTCTTCCATCTGTTTTATTCATTGATAATATTTTGAGTTTATAAAAATATTATAATCTATCTTCCATCCATATATAGATTTGTTCATTCCCTTTGGCAGCTCTAAACCACCACACTGTGTGGTTGTTAATAAATTATATTTAACTATTGTAAATGGACATTGGAATTATTTTTAATTATTTGCTATTATAAACCATGTTACAATGAAGAGAATTGTGTATTTACTTGTATCCACCTGTTCAATTATTTCCCTAAGATAAATCCCTAGATGTAGACTTGTTCATGAAAGAACGCATACATTTTTAATGTGATTCAAAGCCTAGATTGCAAAGAACATTTACATTTGCCAGGATTGCATTAGTGGTGCTCTTCCTCCTCCCCACCAATGCTCCACAGCACTGGGCATTAATTCCTTTTTAGTATAATTGATGAAGACCATTTCATTTTAATTTGCATTGACTTCATTGTCATTACAACTATTCATCTCTTGCAACTGTTTGCCATTCTTCTTTTGAGAGGTACCTTTTGTAATTTTTGTCTACACTTTAATTGGAGTATTCCTTGCAGTACCTATTTGAAATACTGCTATAGATTACAGATATTAAGACTTTGTTCCTGCTTACCTTCCCAGCCCCAACTCTAATCTCACCAAGAATATGATGCTGTAAATTAGCCTCTTGTTTATACTAACTTTTTTCCATTGTAGTCATTTTCTCTGGTTATTACTGTTATTATAATGCCCACATTTTAACTGCTGTCTGCTCTCATGGGTGCTCAGACTTTATTATGCTGTTATTATCAGCTCATATATAATAAGTAAAGTACTAAATCTGCAATGGCAAACCATCAATCCATGGGCCAGATCCAGACCACTAAATTTTATTTTATTTTATTTTTTGGAGTTGTTGAATTTTTAAATTTGTTTTGTTCCTGTGTTTTTTTTTTTTTTTTTTTTTTTTAACAGAGTCTTGCTCTGTTGCCCAGGCTGGAGTGCAGTGGCATGATCTAGGCTCACTGCAACCCCCGTCTCCTGGCTTCAAGCAATTCTCCTGCCTCAGATTCCCTAGTAGCTGGGATTACAGGTGCACGCCACCACACCTGGCTAATTTTTGTACTTTTAGTAGAGATGGGGTTTTTTACCATGTTGGCCAGGCTAGTTGCAAACTCCTGACCTCAAGTAATCCACCCATCTTGGCCTCCCAAAGTGTTGGGATTGCAGGTGTGAGCCACTGCACCTGGCCTATTCCTGTGTTTTAATTTAGTTTTTCAACATTCTAAAATTCATCTTCAACATTTATAAAAAAAACTATAAAACTGATTTACAACAATGTATATGACTATTAAAAACCTAGACTCTTTCTCTCTCTTAAAAAACTGGAAAATCTGTCATCACTGTATCCCAGGTCACCAGCTTCCCCATGATGCCCTATTGCTTCATGGCCAGGTTCACACTTACTATTGCCCATCTAGGCCTGTTGACCATTGAGCAGGGTTCATCAGGTTCAGGCATGTTGACATTTTGAGCCAGACGATTCTTTGTTGGGGCTTGGGAAGTTGTCCAGTACATTTCAGGATGATTAGCACATCTCTGGCTTTTACCCACTAGATACTAGTAACACACACTCTACCACCCAGTTGTGACAACCAAAAATATAACCAGCCATTGCCACAGGAGGAGGACAGTGGCCTCACTGTGAGAACCACTGCCTTAAGATTTGGGACCTTTGATCTAGATTTGTTAAACCTGTGGATGATATGGGCTCTGTCAGCAACTATGGAGGTCACTTTTTGCTATCCGCTATTAAAATTGTCAGTCCTATTTTTTTTAGTGTGTAGGAGGGCTACAGAGAATTGAGGACAAGCTCTAATTTGGGTCCTGTGAGAAGGAGATGGAACAGCTGATGGACTTGCAGAATACATAGGCCAGAAGCAATCAACCATCAGGCACCTTGGTCCATCTTGTTGAGTAAGATACTTGACTATGGGATTATCTAAGCTACAAAACCTTCATTTTTGTTAGAGGTGAAGGAGTAAAGTGAGGGATCAAAGTTATTCATGGTACAATGAAATCAAGTTCAAATAATCTTTACATTGTTTGCAAATACAATCTTTGCAATATTTGCTAGAACAGAAAACACACACCCCTGTGATACTGTTAGTAGTAGAAATCCTTGGAGAAGGAGGACACAGAGGTTGTACTCCTGAGATGAGCTGAGTTTCTTCCTTTGTTCCTTTGCTTTGGACAATTGAAGTTAGCCAGTGCTTGGGGTACTGTCACTGTTGCCATAGCTTTTCCACTGGACTTTGCCCACTGGTTCAGTGCCTGCTCTTGTATCTGGTATGTGGTGATTTAAGAGTCAACGTTTTTCTAGGACTTGTTGCAGTAATCTCTTAATTTATGTCCAAGATTGCTCCTTTCTGTTTTGACTGAACGGTCAGCAACTGGGAGATTTTCTCTCAGGCCAAATCATCTCTATTCCCTCCTGAAATCTTTCAAGGTTTCTTGATGTGTGATTTTACACTTCCCTATTTTCCTAAACTGCTAGAGATATTTTCTTATTTCTAAATTCCTTAGTTATTTCAATGGAATATAAGGCAAAAGAGAGTTTAAACATGTAAGCTCAATTTGCTGTCTTGAAACTAGGAGAAGTCAGGAAAAATTTCCTGGCTAGAATGGGGGACATTGACATTATAAAGTCTAACTGGACCAGGGTCATTCTGTGAAACTTTAGGTAAGCTCTTCAACGTAGCAAGAGAATGGGCTATGTCAAGTCTTTGTCAATGGGACATGTGCTGCTTTGGAAAGGTTTTGTCGATGGTGAGTAATCATGTGAGGAGTGGCAGTTTTACCAACTCCCCATTCAGTCCTTTGCTTACATAAGCATTTTGATTTAAAGTAGTATTTATTTATTCATTCATTTATTCAGTTAATATTTATTGAGTTTGTTATAACTGGCACTGAAGCTGAAATACATGAGTGAAAAAAGAAATACAATATTTCTTTCCTTATGAATGTATATCTAGAAGAGGAAAGGAATGCTAATTAAGCAAGGAAAAAAATAAATAGCATAGTTTCACATAGTGATGATGTTTATGATGAAATAAATAAAGATAGCAGATAGAGAAGTACAGAAACTGGGAAAACAAGCTCTTTCAGATAAGGCAGTAGGAAGTCCTCCTAAGAGATGACTTTGAGCAGAATTGGGAGTTGGAAGTAGCAAGCTATGTGATGTTCAGGATGAAGTGTATGCCAGGCAGAAGGGGCATGAGGCTTGACAGATCAGAGAAAACACAAGAAGGCCAGTGTGGCCAGAGTGCAGCAAGCAAGAGGGCATGAGAACAATCCCAAAGATCCTTGAGAACAAAATGAGCAGTTTGCATTTGTGTTTTCCCCTAAACATGATCAGTAGACAGTAGAGGTTTCAGGCAGTGGAACCTGACTTACCTTATTTTTCAAAGCTCTCCCTGGCTTCTGGGTGGAGGGGGTCAAGAATGGAAGCAGTTAGACCAATCAGGAAATTACAGCGTAGTGCAAGCAAGAGATGATGGATGATGATATGCAATACATTGTGAACAGTAGAGACAAATAGAAGTGAACAGACTTGGGATATGTCTTGGAGTTAGGTGGTTCTGCTGGACTGGCAGTATGAGTTGAGCAAAAGAGAAGAATCAGAGGTGATTTCTTGGCTTTGGACTTAAGCAACTGGGGGGATGATGGAACCACTCACTGGGTTGATGATAATTTGGTTAGGACAGGTTTGGGGGTTCATTTAGGAATAGGAGAATCAATAGTTCTGGAAGTTTGGAATTTCTAGTGGTGAAATCAATGATTAGGAAAGTTTGGAGTTTTGGAAGTGACTTTATTAAATTGTCACAAAGGATCGTGGGATTAGTCCTGATGAGGGGGAAGGTGGATAATCAGTCCTGATTATTTCTCCCTCTTCTTGATTGGTGTCTTATGGGGCTCTTCCTATTAATTATGTGGTCAGTCCCATTGATGGCCTTGGAGTTTGTTAGAAATGCAGAACTATTGTCTTATTGTATCAGAATCTACAATTTAAATTCTCCATGAGATGCCTATGCACATTAAAGTTTGACTTCTAGGAAAGAGCAGCTAATCTAATGATAAGGAAACATCCAAACTGAAGGACATTCAACCAAATAACTGGTGGTATGGTTTGACTGTGTCCTCACCAAATCTCAACTTGAATTGTATACCCCAGAATTCCCACATGTTGGTCAGGGGCAGGTAATTGAATCATGGGGACCAATCTTTCCCATGCTATTCTTGTGATAAGTTTTGTGAGATCTGATGGGTTTATGAGGAGTTTCTGCTTTTGCTTCTTCTTCATTTTCTCTTGCTGCCACCAAGTTAGAAGTGCCTTTTGCCTCCTGCCATGATTTGGAGGCCTCCCCAGCCACATGGAACTGTAAGTCCAATTAAACCTCTTTTTCTTGCCATGCTCGGGTGTATCTTTATCAGCAGTGTGAAAACAGACTAATTCAATTGGCCTGTAATCTCCAACGGTGTCAAGATCATGAGGGTCAAAGGAGGACTTTAGAGTGGTTCTATACTAAACAAAAATTAAGAGCCATGAAAACTAAGTGTAATACATGATCCAGAACTGGAGTTGAATCCTTTTGCTCTGGAAGATATTTTTCAGACAACTGGCCAAACTTGAATGGGAAATGGGATCTCTGGGTGAGGTATATGAGAGTTTCTTTCTGCTGTGGTCACTCTTTTTATATATCTTTGAAAAGGTTTCTTTTCTTTCCTTCCTTCCTTCCTTTCTTTTTTTCTTTTTTCTTTCTTTCTTTCTCTTTCTCTCTCTCTTTCTTTCTTTCTTTCTTTCTTTCTTTCTTTCTTTCTTTCTTTCTTTCTCTTTCTTTCTGCCTTCCTGCCTTCCTTCCTTTTTTTTTTTAGTTTTCTGTTCCTCTTTTTTTAATTTTTGACTGCTCTCCACCATTGCATGATGTGCCCAAGCTGACAGGGAGGTTTCTGGAGGTCTCCTTAATCCAAGGGCACTCTGAGCATCCTCCCTAGAGCCTCAGCGAGTTAAGAGCCTCAGCAAAGCCTTTCCAGGGACATGAGGCACTCTGCACACTTCCCTTACACTCAGCTCTGGTTGGCATCACAGACAGCAAGTGGGAATCTTATCAAGTGCCAGGGATGTAGCTGGAAGACAACTCTCGTAGACTAAGGGGTCACTGTGGCATTCATCCGTGGGAAAGGCTATGCTAGAAAACACTACAAAAAGATTTACTCTGGGTCTGGATCTCTTTTCCTTCTGGTTTATTTATTCCTTCAAAGACTGTATAATGTTAAAACTTCATACTTTCCTTTTTCTGTGCTTGTAGAAATTTATGTCTTCCTATTTAAAATGTCAGGGTACTTTCTAGGTACATATACAAAGCACAAAAACAATGTTCACAACAATAAATGGTGGTAATTTTCTCTATATACTTAGAGAATTCATGAGCAACTTTGTCCTTTGTGATTGAAGACTTCCCTCTTTGAAAAGACTACGATCCAGTAGTGTTGATGTGAAAATTCTAGCATAGGTAATTTGTGAGTTCAGGAATCATGTGTTATTTATGTCTTGAAAGTACAGTACAGGTTCTTAAGAATCACTAATAGAGTTGAATGTCTTCTTGAGGTTAATGCATCATTCACCAAGCATTTGTTTTAGTTATTGTACGAAACTTAAGTTCCTACTTTGAAGATCAGGTTTCAGAAGATTGGATCTTATATAGAGTAATAAAAATGCCTCAGAGAAGCATTTAATTTTTATTCCACTGGAAATTATAATTTAAGTCCTCAAATGCAAGTACCACTCCATCAAAATCATACATTGATTACTCGTAAGTTGAGACAAACCCAATTCATGTGAAACCATGTGCTCATTTTTGTACCAGGTCACTCAATTGTATAGCTTCTAATTTAGCTGTTTCATCATGACCCATTGTGAAAATATGAATGATATACTTAGTCCATTTGATCTGCTTGCAACCCATGGGATTTCCTTTAAAGATATAAAACATTGTGCTAGTGCTTCCTTTTTTGTTCTGATACCCACATCCTGTGCTCTGTGGAGAGTCACAGTTTTTGAAATATGTTGACAGCCAGCACAGATAAGCAGTGTACTTAGCCTTTGGTCAAGGACTGGAAACTGGCTAGTATCTGAATCATCTGCTTAATGCAGAACTGCCCTCCTCTTAGGGAGATGCAGCCTGGTGTGTGGTATGACATGGAGCTCTATGGTGTGTTACTGTATGGGAAGCATAGGAGACTGGTTCGAGGAGCAGTCTCTCTTTTTATATCTTTTCACTTTGATTTCAAGTATATGTAGCCAAATGAATACATATATATAATATATGTTATATATTTATATATAATGATATATATAAATAAATAAATGGATAAAGAAATGGGTCCAAGAATGTTAGTAATGATTATATATGTAATTATATATATAAGCCACAATTATATATTATTTATATATATAATCACATAAATATAAGTGACTTAGAATGTTTATGTTTGATATTGTATCATAACATCTTTCAAGTGTAAAACAGGATGGTTAGATTGGCTTTCAGGATGTTATGTTAGTTACTATCAAGCTGAGATGGTTAAGTGGATGGAAAACATGAGTCATTAACACCATATTTAAAATGTTAACAACTAGCAAGAAAAACATTCAAAAAAAATTGAAGAATTATATCAATACCAACTTGCTCAATATCATACATAAACATTCTAAGTCACTTAAAGCAAAAATGAGTAGGTTTGAGTAAATACAGTTGACCACATATTAAACTAATTTTATTTTCTTTATTTTTTTATTTTTTGAGATGGAGTCTCACTGTGTGTCCAGGCTGGAGTCCAGTGGCACAATCTTGGCTCACTGCAACCAGGAGAACTCAAGAGGTTCTCTTGCCTCAGTCTCCTGAGTAGCTGGGACTACAGGTGCACGCCACCACACTCAGCTAATTTTTGTATTTCTAGTACAGATGGGGTTTCACCATGTTGGCTAGGATGGTCTCAATCTCTTGACCTTGTGATCTGCCGGCGTTGGCCTCCCAAAGTGCTGGGATTACAGGCATGAGCCACCGCGCCCGGCCTAAGCTAATTTTGAAATGCAGAACCGCTTTTTGTGGTTTAGTAAAATTAACTAGCCTTTAGTTTTAATTTCAGTATTTTTTCCTGCTCTGAGGTATCACCATCACATGCTGCATCAGTATTTTGGGAAAAAGTCTTTGCATGTCTTTATGGGCACTGACTTTGAGCATAAACCTTTCCTTGAGGGTTCAGCTTTTAGCAGTGGGCAGAAGTGTTGGACAAGCTTTAAACAAGTCCTTACCTTCTTGTTTTAAGGACATAATCTCCTCGGGAACTTGGAGCTTTACAGGATTGAACATGATAACTTGACTCATCACTAAGTCTCCAGCCTTTGACACAACCAGCTCATTTCTTAGCTCTATCAATATGCGTATCATCTGGTTGCCAGCTATGGAAACAAGCCCAACTCATTAATAGTGAATATTTATAAGGAATGACACCTTTGTGGTATTTAAGTACCATCTGTAATTTCTTGTTAGTGATGTTTTGGTAGTTTTCCTGTTGAACATTCACTGGGGAACTGATCAAGTTTACTATGCCCTTGATCTACACTTGACATGTGTAGGTAAATTCTGAAAATGGGATACTTCTGTGCTGGCAGGGGACAAACTGTGAACACCACTGTGTCTGAGCTAGAAGAAAAAAGCAGTTCCATAAACAGCATGAGACATTAAAATTTGCCTTATTACTTCATCACTTCAGGGGATATCATCTATCTCTGAACGTAGGAATCCATATTACTTGGTCTTTTAGATCTTGTTGTCTCCAGTCTGTTTGTATCTTTTGAAGCAGGAGTTAATTTTGCACTAATTATGGTGCTAAACATTGATAACACACTAGCCAGAGGAGTTTCCATAATAATAGAAGGAAGGTGTCCTTCATAAACAAAACTAGTTACATATTATATAATTTTGAAAATTAAGTTTTGTTCATTGTTTACTGCTTAAGATTCTACATATTGTTTGTAATCCTCTAGATAGGCCCAGTGGTGCTGTGGTAACACACATTCCCTGTATCTGATCAGTTTCCCTCTTACTCAGGCTTGGTACAGATGACCCTCCAGGGCAGCAGTCCCCACAGGTTGGGCCAGGATTCTAGGCTGCTGTGGTCTCATGGCATCTCCAATTCAATCCACACTCTCGTGATCACTGAGGCCCACTGTGCACCAACTCATAAATGCTTCCCCTGAGAGAGACACACATCACTTATGCACATATTTCTTTGGCCAAAACCAATCATATAGCCAAACCAGAATTCAGAGGGCAAGGAAATGTAAACGCTCATTTATGTAGAAGTAGAGAACTACTAGATGTTGAGGAACATTAGAAATCTCTTATTATCAGCCTCCACAAATAAAGATGACATGTGTCAACTTGTTCAAACAAAGCCGATATCCATGTGAGTATGCTAAAAAGGTTAGTTTACGATTGATCATTCAGTTCTTTATTGACAAATCTAAATCAATTTGTTTTCCAGTCTATAGTAAAAAATGTAAAATAATGATCATGTGTACACACACATACATATACACACATGCCTTACAGACTTCCAGTTTCCAAATTGATACATACAGTTAAAGACTCCCCATATCACTAAATGAACAGAATAAATATGAATTATTAAAAACAGAAAAATATGGAAAATAATAGATATCTAGCTGTGCTAAAAAATGAGAAGAACCTTTAACATACCAGAAATTATGAAAAATTGCAAAGGGAAAACTAAAGGAAAGCCATGCTGCTAAGATGAGGCCACAGTGAAAAGATGTAACCCAGTGTCCACAGAAGAACTTTTCCTTAGGAAAGACAGTTGACAGTGCAATTAGTACATGATCAATTCTTTGGTTGAAATTTTCCCCCATTGAATTTGTGTCACTGAATTGTATTTTCTTGAGCATTTTTCCAGTTTCTAGTAGAAAGTTGTAATAGGTTACATGATTATCTAGGAAACATTGACACCCTCCCACCTTGCCTCAGGGAATAATTATACTTTTTGACATATTGTTGTTAGATAGGACACATGACTTGCTCTGAACAGTGGTACGTGACTACAAATAGCATCAGTTTCAAGCATGGGTATTAAGAGTTTTGTCTGTTCAGTTTGTCGATCTGGTTGCTTCTGAAGTCTACCACCAGTAGAGTATGCACTGAAGAGCTGCTACCCCTATAAACCTGGGCCCCAGAGTGAGAACTATGGAGCAGACCACATGCCTCAGGGAGCACCTAGTCCCAGGAGGAGGAAAGACATGTGGGACAGACTTGAACTCAACCTGCGAGGTGAATCCTGGAAACTGGAGCACAGACTAGGTCACCTAAGTTGCAGCCAATCCACAGATGGGTGAGCAAGAGAATAAACATTGGTTCAAGCCAATGAAATTTGAAGAGACTTATTATAGCTCATTAATGAAGGAAAGTTTTAGCTAATGCATAAGTCAAAACCAAGTGTTTGGAGGCAAACCTGTTAGGAAATGCTTTAGTTAAGTAAATGTAATTGATTATAAATAAATTACCCATTTAATACAATTCCACATTTATTGAGAATCCACCTACATGCCAGAGACTATGTAAGATGCTTTTCAAAAATTAAGTATGGATGTTGTTAAACAGATCCTACATTAAGATTAATTTCTTGGAAAATTGGGCTATCCTTTCTTAATTGCTTTGTAGACAATATACGCATTCATGTACAGCTAATGATATTTTGAATTGTGCTGACTTTTTAAAAGTGTAAACAGTTATGTTTTACTGTTAAGAATTTAAATAATCATAATTTTATTATTCTGACTGTTCAGCTTTTCAGCATTTGCATAAATTGAAGTTTTGAGAACAATTGATCTGAAAATATTATTGAAAATATACCACATGAGAGCAAGTGAACATCCTCAACATATACAAAGAAGAACAAGTGCCTAGAATGTACCCATACTGAGTGAGAGATGGAAGGATAAAGAGTTAAATTAAAAGATGCTGGTGTCTTTCCTTTAAAGGGTATTTATGCCTACTTTTGTGTGTATATTTTCTTGGTAAAATTAAATTTTCAGGTTTCACAGTGAGGCCTGTCATTTGTATGCCTCCAATAAATTTGCTCGAATAAAAATTAATTCTAGGAAATATTTTGCTTTCCTAATAATATATATTTATCAGAAATTTCTACCAAAGTATGTGTCAGGTATGCAACCCTATAAAGTAGTTATTGTTATTATCATCTAATTTACATAAAAGAGTAAACAAAAGTTTAGAGAGATTGTGAACTTGTCTGAGTTAATATAGTTCTGAAATTTAAATTCAGGACTTCACAGAGTTTGTAAGTGCTCACTAAATAAATGTTGAATGAATGAATTAAAAAAAATCAGGCTGGGTGCCAAGGCTCACACCTGTAATCCCAGCACATTGGGAGGCTGAGGTGGGCAGATCACTTGAGATCAGGAGTTCAAGACCAGCCTGACAAACATAGTGAAACCCCATCTCTACTAAAAATAGAAAAATTAGCTGGGTGTGGTGGCGGGCACCTGTAATCTCAGCTGCTTGGGAGGCTGAAGCATGAGAATCACTTGAACTGGGGAGGAGGCAGAGGTTGCAGTGAGCCGAGATTGTGCCACTGCACTCCAGCCTGGGCAACAGAGCAAGACCCTGTCTCAAAATAAATAAATAAATAAATAAATAAATAAATAAATAAATAAATAAATAAGAAAACCTCTGTGAACCCTCCCCCTGCAATTGTAGACTCCTTGAGACCAGGAATCATGGCTTTTGTATGAATTCTGTTGTTAAATTATCTTTGTATCGTCAGCATCTAGTCCATTATTATTGGTTCTCGATAAATGTTACCTGAAACGAATACATTTCCTATGAAAAAATATAGCCTAATATTATAATATTAGAATCTGGATTGTTTTATTACTTTTTGGTTAGTCTCCCCATGCTTTATCACCTGAGTCACTCTTGAGAAATAAGTTTCCTAAAGTTTTAGAGGGGGGAAGAGGCACACTACATAGAGACTGTGAACTCAATAGTATCTGAGATAGGTCTCAATCAATTTAGAAAGTTTATTTTGCTAAGGTTAAGGACATACCTGTGACATAGCCTCAGGAGGTTCTGATGACATGTGCCAAAGATGGCTGGGGTAAAGCTTGCTTTTATACATTTTGGGGGATGTGAGATATTAATCATTATGTATAAGAAGTAAATTGGTTCAGTCCGGAACGGTGGGACAACTCAAGAGGGCAGGAGCTCCCAGGTCATAGGTAGATAAGAGACAAACTACTGCATTTTGAGACTTTTGAGTCTTCGATCAGTCTTTTGCTGAATGCACAATTTACACGAGAGGAGGATGGAGGAATAGTCACTTACGCTTTAGTCTGGCTCGGTGAATCTGCATTTTTACATAAACAGTAGGGCAGAGGAAGCAATCAGATATGCATTTGTCTCAGGTGAGCAGAGGAATGACTTTCTGTCCTACACCTGTGAAGATCAGCTATCGATTTACGTTGCCAGGGTGAAATTCAATGGAACTGTGTTTTAGGGTAAAGATCTTGAGGCCTTCAGGAATTTCCTTGTGGACAGATTGTGAGGGAGGTTTGTGGCTTTTTGTCTTTGCAGCTTTCTTATTTAGGAATAAAATGGGAAGCAAGTTTGCCTGATGCAGTTTCCCTTTGGCTTAATGATTTGGGGGTCTTGAGATGTATTTTTCTTTCATAAGACATTCACTCAATGCCCATATTGCAACTTCCTATCCATCCAATACTTTTTTACAGTACCTGGTATTTTTAAATGCTGAACATCTCAATGGGTTCTGAGCGAATCCATCACTCTCCTCCATGACTCCTAGTGAGGGGATTTTGTGTAAGTTTGCTCTGATAAGGTAATAAGCACACTTGCTAATGTCAAAATATCTGTTGTACCTTTCTCTTGCTATTGTCTTTATGAATGAATACCTTTCTATTAGTTTCATTGACATTTTGGGGGGTTTTGGGATGGAGAAAAGATAAACATGTTGTTGTATTAAACAGAATTTTAGAATCTGGGTAATATTGAGATCAATAGTTGGCAAACAGAAATGAATGAAGGATTTGAGTTTCCGGGTTCTCTTTTTTTGTTGTACATGATTATATTTCCTCATCTGTAGAATGAGTGGGTTTAACTACAAGAAAATTTACAGATGTTCTGGAAATAATCCTAGGAGATGTTAAATAGGAGTTTTACGAGTAAAGAAATTTTATTGCCAAATTGCTTTGGATGAGATAGGCTAAATAAAGAAGTTTCATTACTTTGGAAACCTTAATGTGTTAGTACTCATTGCAGAGACAGTAGCAGAGGCAGAATTTCCCAAAGAAGTCTGACCATGGAACTCCTTTAACACACACACACACACACACACACACACACACACACACACACACTCTTATGAATACCTTTCAGGTGTAGTGTTCCATGGAAGAGAGTTTGGGAAATTTTAACCTAGACAATTGCTTTCAAATTTTGAGATTCTATGACTCTACATTAATTAACAAGGACATTTTAAGAATTAATTTTTAATACTTTATTTCTAATGGTTTAAAGATGAAATACTAGAATAATTTAAATCGTAGTGTGAGGAAAACAAAATATATACAAGCACACATATATATGTATATGTACATCTGTACACAATATCTATACCAAATAGTTGCAAATAAAACTAATAATTCAAGAAATATTTTCCCCATCTTCTTGATGCAAATGATAATTCTGTCTCAGCCTGAGAAATAGAGTGAATAAAGAAGCATAGATTCTCTCTCACCCTCTGCAATTTTACCCCTTAGTTGACATAATTCAGAGAAGAAACAAAATGTCATGGCATAGAAATATGCTAACACCTTGTTCTCATGCTGCTTTCGGTTGTGGCTTTTCTCTGAGGTTCTGTGGTTCTTGTCTACTGCTGTGGCTGGAGAATACCCCAGCGCTGAAGGGGTTTTCTTTACTCTTTTCTGTATCCCATCTGCTTATTGAAAAATAAATAAGATAGGAGTTTCTTACCTTCTTCTATTGCCTACTTGAAGCAGAGGTAAGAGGAACATTTAAAAATGTAGTCTGCTGTGCCATGTACTAGACATGCTATGAGAAAGTTTACGTGCCTCATTTAATAATTAAATCTCCACAAGGGATTTGATATGGTTTGGATATTTGTCCCCTCCAAATCTCATGTTGAAATGTGATCCCCAGGTTGACAGTGGGATGTAGTGGGAGGTGTTGGGTCATGGGTTGGATCCATCATGAATGGCTTCGTGCCCTCCCCATGGTAATGAGTGGAAATGAGTTCACTCAAGATCTGATTGTTTCAAAGAGCATGGCACCTCTGCCCTCTGTCTTGCTTCCCCTCTCACCATGTGATACCCTGGCTCCTGCTCTGCCTTCTGCCATGATTGTAAGCTTCCCAAGGCCTTGCCAGAAGCCAAGTAGATGCTGGTGCCATGCTTCTTGTACAGTCTGCAGAACCATGAGCCAAAATAAACCTGTTTATAAATTACCCAGTCTCTGGTATTCGTTTACAGCAACATAAACAGACTAACACAGGAATAGATATAAATATGTCAATTCACCTCAAATCAATTTTTGGAAGGAGATGAGCGATATCTATACTTCAACATCCCCAGGTTATCATTTTTTTTAATGGAGAAAGAAGATAAAGTAACTTATTTTTCCACACAATGGATAATTAGTTGGTAAGGTCAGTAATGGAACTTGGATCTATGAAACTCTGATAGCCAAGCTCTTTCAACTCTAAGCACCTAACATAGTACTTTTTGTATATGTGCACATTTCAACAAAAATTGACTTTCCCTATGTATGCTGTTTTCAATTGCTTAGTTCATATGCATTGTGCATCTATTTTCATTTAATTAAGCACTGTCTTACAATAACATTTCAATAAATTCAGTCTGCTTTGAGTGGATGAACAGTAATTTATTTAACCAAATCCTCTATTGTTAGGGACAGCAAACTCTCTCTGTAAAGGGCCAGATAATAAATATTTCAGACTTGTAGGCTATGACAACTACTTTGTCACAGTTACTATTCATCTTTGCCATTGCACTGGGAAAGCTGTGAAAGATGCAGATTTACAATCCAGATTTATTGAATAAAACTATTCTATTTTTAAAACCCTACATAAATTAGTATTTGTTTGAACATTAATGTGGAAATATTTTTGATTTAGCTCAAGGGAATAGGGTCGAATGGAGGAGGGAAATCTATGGCTTTTCTTCATGTGTTGTTGTGTTGTTTCTCCAGTTGCCATGGGAAAACATTTTAAAAAAATTAAATCCCAAATAGTGATCCCACTGTATCTGAGTAAGTCAATACTCCAGAGCAGATTACCCTCCTGGTTATTTTAAAAATATTTTTAACAATTGGCAGGATATATTTCTTAGATTAGTTATATCTAATCCCTCTTCTGTAGATGATAAAAAGGCAAGGTTTGTTAAGCATATATTTTTATCTTCCCAACACAAAAATGGGATTAATAGAATAACAACCATGCCAAAATATTAATATTCTAAAACCACATTAATCTTTTGAATAGATATATTTCAACATTTAACTGAGTTAACCCATTCAGTTACTTGAGTATATATACTACAAATAGTTTTTATTGTAGAATACTGAATGAGGCTATGTTCATCAAGTTTATACGTTTAAGTGTCTGTGAACACGTTTGTGAGTCAGGGCTGAAAGGAATGTGCTGTTATTATTTTGTGTTTGGTATTTATCAGTTTTTCTCATCCTTTATTTCACAACCACCATCTCAACCCCCAACCCCACCCTAAGAAGTCTTTACAGGCATTTTTTTCCCTAATTGCCACCCAAATGAGAATTTAATAACACAGATATACTGTGTATCTGTTTATGTGCCATAGATATATCTGTGCTTCATACATAAAAAGAGTAAGATCATGTCACCTCCCAACAACAAATTTTGCCTCCCTGGGGCAATATTTTTCTCATTGAAAATGCATGGATTATAACTACTTCGATTGTTTTCCAAGGGTCAGACTAATCTTCCATGAAGTATTATTGCAGGAGTATGGTAACTATGTACTAGAGAAGGCTTAGAACAACTTGCAGAGGATCCTCCCCTGTTTTAAACTTGAGCAGAAACAGGGACCCCTTTGTGCAGACATAGCCATGTCAGACTTCTCAGCTTTCAGCTTTCATGACAAGACATCATCTTACCTCATTGGCTAAAGGACAATGATTCTCATTTAACCACCAACACGTAATGGCTATTTTCCAAATACTCCTGGGAGATACAGTCTCAAATCCCTCTGCCTCTGGACTTATCAAAATCTGTGTACCTGAGAATAGTCTATCAATTCCTTACTCTAAAATCAATTTATTGATTTAGCCAAATCTTCAAGGAGCATCATTTTGTAAACCCCTCACTCCCTTATAGAAACTCTTACTACTTTTCTTGATAATTCTTTAATAATTTGCTATTAAAGTCATTCTTCTACATTGAGGACCATTTTAAGAAACCACCCAAAGCAATTCATCATGGTATTTACTATACAAAAATTCTTAAAGTTATAGCTCATTATGTTCCACCATGCCTAGCTAATTTTGTATTTTTAGTATAGACGGGGTTTCTCCATGTTGGTCAGGCTGGTCTCGAACTCCTGACCTCAAGTGATCCACCCACCTCGGCCTCCCAAAGTGCTGGGATTACAGGCGTGATCCACCATGCCTGGCCAGTATTATTATTAATAAATTACCAGCTAAATAAATCTTTCTTTAAGTACCAAAATATTTTTGTTTCAATGTGAACATTTATCAGGTTTAAATATCGAAACCCCTATCTTTTTCAACTGGCTTAATATAGTTTGTGTATGTGATGGCACAAATTCACCAGTACAAACATTCACTGTTTTAATATGCTTAAGTGTGAGTAGCAAGTCTTTCTGGAGTTACTGTGAAATGTAGAGTTGGTTGTTCCTTGTCATGGCCAAAAAATATCAATTGTGCCAGCAAAAACACTAGTAGGTTGGGAATGCTTTCTGGTCCCCACTGACCAAATTGAGGGTATAAGGCGAAGGCCAAATCAAGAGTAGGTGAAATACGATAATAGTTGCTTCTACATCAAACATGGGGTCATAGAGTCATGGGGTTAGGGGTTGAATTCAATTTCGAGATATTTCGCAAATTTCCAATATTTTCAAAAACTTGTATTTGTAGTATTTTTAAATCAGTAAGTATATCCGTGCCAAGACGACTGAGGGATTGACATATTTGGAGCTATATGTTTAAATATTTTTCTAATTTATTGAACATTAATAACAAAATGAATGGTTTAAGCAAATATTTTATTTTTTTAAATTTGAAACAAAAGATTTAAGGATAATTTTTATCTTGACAGTGATAGTCTCAAAGAAAGTGAAAAACACTTCCAGTTAGTTGGAGAAAACAGGTTCCAAATCGTGGTTCCAAGTGTTAAAATATCTTAGAGTTAGGATCATTAAGTGGAAGTTTGGGCTGTGTGTTTTCTGATTGCCACAAATCCATTTTGTCCATTAATGAGTTGTGGTGAGGCTAAGGGCAAACCAGCAATAGCCAAGGCATTTCTGTGATTTATTTATTAAAATGCAAGACAGAGAGTTGCTAATATGTTTATCACTAATTGTGACATAAAGTCATAATATAATGACTAATGTGAAGGAGTTGTCCTTTCTAATTTTCACAGAGAAAAATATACAAATGTTTTGTATCATTATGGCTCAAGAAATGTATTTGCTATAGACTATTTTATTGCAAATCACATTTATTTCGAGAGTCTGATATACAATACTTTTAATCATTTTCACAAATCTTTATTTCTAACGTTTTACATCTCAATTTTTTAAAAAAATCAAAGTTACTGAAATTTAAAGCAAGAGATTCTGTGTTCTTTTCCTTGAAACTTTCCTTGCTAAGGATGTGAAGGTAATTAGCAGATTCATTCAGTTATTTACTCAACAAACATTCATTCTTTGGACACCTATTGTGGCATCAGGTGTGTGAAACTTTTATCAGCAGAATGAGTTATTTTAAAGCCTTCTATTTTGAACATATAAGATCAAAGATGAATTTATCACGTATCTTTGGCAGAACTTGGAGTAAAACCCAAGGCTTTAGATTTAGAGTTCTTATTGATCTTACCCTATCTGGAACTTGGGAAGACCCTCAAGTTTATAATGTATAGGCTTCCAAAATAATTATCCTACTAGGGAATGTCACAGGCTGTATGCATCACTCTGTTCTACTACCAATAAATATTTTATCATAAATCTTTTGGGCATAAAATACAAGAAACAGAATGGCTTTGTCGGAAATCTGGATTAGTTGGAGAGTCTTGCAAGTAATTTAGTAAATAAGTCTCTTAGAGCCATCTATCCAAGTATACCAAGTATTAGAATATGTATCTATTTGATTAGTTGCATTAGTTGCAATTGAAGTAATCATCTGATTAAGTTTATAGCTATTCACTGGCATTCTTGAAGACCCATCCCATCCACCTTCTACACAGTCAGTGTAGTGAACCTAGAGGAGATCTCATAAGAATCACCAGAAATTAGTGTCACCGTTAAGGACTTGAATCCTTAACGGTGACACTAATTTCTGCAGTTCTTTCAGAAAATGACTGTCCTATTGGATATATTCTCTTGAGTTGTGTTGCATAGTTTCAGTATCTTTGAATTCACTCTTCCATCACATTATCCTTTCATCTGTAGGAAGGGAGGAAACGGCAAAATAGATATGAGGTGGATTTGAGACTCCTATTGAGCCCCCATTGAAGTCGAAGTTGGTTAAGCCACAAATCCTGACTTCAATCTTTGAATTTCAGTGGCTTTCTTGTTATCCAAATCTTAGTGATAGCTTAGAGTCAATTTTCTATTATTCTGGAAATGTTCCTGTTCTCCAATGCCAATTACCTTGGCAAATAGCCGTACAATCCTTTGGGAAATTTTAGGCAGCAGACATTCTGAATGTATTTGTAATGGTATTGCAATGCCCTTCCTAAAGAGTTAGGGTGGGTCTTTGAATTAAGACAGGGCTTAATCTGGGTTTGAGTTTCATCAAACTGAGAAAACAATTACAAGCCCTCCCAGCTAATCAAACTAGTATATTATATCCTGTGCATCTATATTAATCAATTCATCCTTTTCTAAAATTGTGTTCCTTTCTCCTTGGTACAAGCACCCTCAGAATTCATTCCCATACATGTTTATCACTTTGCTTATACAAATGATGAAGTTCCATATTTTTTTTTTGGTGTAAGACTGCTTCTCCCTCATTTGGCATTTTGTTGTCCCTACTCCAGGGCATATTGGCATGGGACTAGAGCCATAAGCAAAGGCATTCAACCATGTGGTTAGTATGCCTCCACTGGAAGTACTCAGTGCTATTGCATTCAGGTCCTACACACCACCATTCCTGCCGTGAGAGCCTGACCTCCCACTTTTACAGTGGGATCCCACTAAGACATGCATCTGAGAAAGCCCCACAATCAGGAGAGAGGTTTGAATGCTCTATAACAACGTGACTAGTGTTCACCACATTTTACAGGTAGAGAAATGCAAGAAAATGAGAAGTTCTTATTAATTGTATCTTTATCCTAATCGTGTTTTTTAAAATAAATTCTCATAAAACTCATCTCTTCTGTTAAGACTCACACCAAAAATATGACTATAAAAATATATTGTTTATAATTGATTTAAAATAAATTGAATGGTTCTAGCATATTCATATTTTATATGAAGTATGTAGGGATTTTCTTCCAGCCACTCAACCTTCAGTAGCAATGAAATCTGTAGCTAAAAAAATCCATAGAACAGAAACCTACTTATTGTTTATGGCAGCAATACATATTTCAGAAGGAATTGTATGGCCGTAGTATTTAGAATTTTCACATTACTTTAAAAATAGAAATGTACTTATTATAAATAATTATATATTAACATAATTATTAATGAATATTATATACTATAAATATTATATAATTATAATTCTAAATATAATAGAATTATAAAATATAATACATAAATATAAACATACTTATTACATTACTTATTTTAGTATACTATTAGAAATATAATAAAAAATAAAAAATAATTCCTTATAGTCATATAAGCTGTTACCAGATTGATAATAAAAATTGACTAGATCATACAAAAAATTAGCTAAGCATAGTGGCATGCAGCTGTAATCCTAGCTACTCAGGAGGCTGAGGTGGGAGGATCACTTGAGCCTGAGAGACGGAGGTTGCAGTAAGCCAACATCACAGCACTGCACTCCAGCGTGGGCGACAGAACAAGACTCCATCTCAAAAAAAAAAAAAAAAGAAAAAAAAAAGAATAGATCATGTTCCACATAATTATAAGGTTTATTTATTTTTTATTTATTTTTTATTTTTATTATACTTAAAGTATAAAACTTACAGTTTTAGAGTACATGTGCACAACGTGCATGTTAGTTACATATGTATACATGTGCCATGTTGGTGTGCTGCACCCATTAACTCGTCATTTAACATTAGGTATATCTCCTAATGCTATCCCTCCCCCCTCCCCCACCCCACAACAGGCTCCCGTGTGTGATGTTCCCCTTCCTGTGTGCATGTATTCTAATTGTTCAATTCCCACCTATGAGTGAGAACATGCAGTGTTTGGTTTTTTGTCCTTGCAATAGTTTACTGAGAATGATAGTTTCCAGCTTCATCCATGTCCCTACAAAGGATATGAACTCATCATTTTTTTGGCTGCATAGTATTCCACGGTGTATATGTGCCACATTTTCTTAAGCCAGTCTATCATTGTTGGACATATGGCTTGGTTCCAAGACTTTGCTGTTGTGAATAGTGCTGCGATAAACATACGTGTGCAAGTGTCTTTATAGCAGCACGATTTATAATCCTTTGGGTATATACCCGGTAATGGGATAGCTGGGTCAAATGGTATTTCTAGTTCTAGATCCCTGAGGAATCGCCACACTGACTTCCACAGTGGTTGAACTAGTTTACAGTCCCACCAACAGTGTAAAAGTGTTCCTGTTTCTCCACATCCTCTCCAGCACCTGTTGTTTCCTGAGTTTTTAATGATTGCCATTCTAACTGGTGTGAGATGGTATCTCATTGTGGTTTTGATTTGCATTTCTCTGATGGCCAGTGATGATGAGCATTTTTTCATGTGCCTTTTGGCTGCATAAATGTCTTCTTTTGAGAAGTGTTTGTTCATATCGTTTGCCCACTTTTTGATGGGATTGTTTTTTTCTTGTAAATTTGTTTGAGTTCATCGTAGATTCTGGATATTAGCCCTTTGTCAGATGAGTAGATTGCAAAAATTTTCTCCCATTTTGTAGGTTGCCTGTTCACTCTGATGGTAGTTTCTTTTGCTGTGCAGAAGCTCTTTAGTTTAATTAGATCCCATTTGTCAATTTTGGCTTTTGTTGCCATTGCTTTTGGTGTTTTAGACATGAAGTCCTTGCCCATGCCTATGTCCTGAATGGTATTGCCTGGGTTTTCTTCTAAAGTTTTTATGGTTTCAATTCTAACATTTAATTCTTTAATCCACCTTGAATTAATTTTTGCATAAGGTGTAAGGAAGGGATCCAGTTTCAGCTTTCTACATATGGCTAGCTAGTTTTCCCAGCACCATTTATTAAATAGGGAATCATTTCCCCATTTCTTGGTTTTGTCAGGTTTGTCAAAGATCAGATGGTTGTAGATATGCGGCATTATTTCTGAGGGCTCTGTTCTGTTCCATTGGTCTATATCTCTGTTTTGGTACAAGTACCATGCTGTTTTGGTTACTGTAGCTGTGAAGAAAGTCATTAGTAGCTTGATGGGGAAGGAAATAAAGGGTATTCAGTTAGGAAAAGAGGAAGTCAAATTGTCCCTGTTTGCAGACGACATGATTGTATATCTAGAAAACCCCATCATCTCAGCCCAAAATCTCTTTAAGCTGATAGGCAACTTCCACAAATTCTCAGGATACAAAATCAATGTGCAAAAATAACAAGCATTCTTATACACAAATAACAGACAAACAGAGAGCCAAATCATGAGTGAACTCCCATTCACAATTGCTTCAAAGAGAATAAAATACCTAGGAATCCAACTTACAAGGGACCTGAAGGACCTCTTCAAGAAGAACTGCAAACCACTGCTCAGTGAAATAAAAGAGGATACAAACAAATGGAAGAACATTCCATGCTCATGGGTAGGAAGAATCAATATCGTGAAAATGGCCATACTGCCCACAATTTGACTTCCTCTTTTCCTAATTGAATACCTTTTATTTCCATCCCCATCAAGCTACCAATGACTTTCTTCACAGAACTGGAAAAAACTATTTTAAAGTTCATATGGAACCAAAAAAGAGCCCGCATTGCCAAGTCAATCCCAAGCCAAAAGAACAAAGCTGGAGGCATCACGCCACCTGACTTCAAATTATAAGGTTTATTGACATTATTTCCCAAAAGTATAGTTTTAAAAAAGTAATCATATAGCATGTGATTCTTTGCTATCATCAAACCTTAATTAGCTAGCTGTTATTTTTATTTTTTTGAGATGGCGTTTCACGCTTGTCGCCCAGGCTGGAGTGCAATGACACGATCTCGGCTCACTGCAACCTCTGCCTCCGGGGCTGAAGCAATTCTTCTGCCTCAGTCTCCCGAGTAGCTGGGATTACAGGCATGGCCCCCATGCCTGGCTAATTTTTGTATTATTAGTAGAGATGAGGTTTCACCATGTCGGCCAGGCTGGTCTGAAACTCCTGACCTCAGGTGATCCACCCGCCTAGACCTCCCAAAGTGCTGGGATTACAAGAGTGGGCTACCATGCCCAGTCAACTAGCTGTTATTCTTTACAACTTATATCATCATATATGGCCAAAAAATAAGGCAAGATAATTTCCCAAATTATACCTTAAAAAAGAGATAGTTATCTTAACATTGGAGTCCTTATAGTTCTCTTATAAGGAAACAATCATCAAATTAATTTGATAAAAGTGTACTTTGAGAAGGAAAGACATATTTGCTTGAAATTATATTAATCAATGTTAGTTTAGATGCCTGAAAAAAATACCTTATAATTGGTTAAAAGGCCAGCAAGGAATTTAAGATGATTTAATAATCATTCCTGAATATATGACATCACAGCTTGAAGTGTTTGCAGTTTAAAAAGCAGCAAAATTAACAAAAACACTGGTTTTAGGTAACAGCTTTTGGGAAAATGGAGAAATCACCATATATTCATTTGTACTTATATGGTAAGCCCATATGACATTTTATTTTGCACCTCACCGTAAAGCTACCAGCAAAGCAAATATAATTAAACATTTTATATGGATTTGCATATGACTATACTTATGTCCACACATACAATTATATATGCTAATAAATGACTATATTTATGTATGTGTATTGTCATATGACTTGTAGAAAATGAATTATTCTTTCCTATTTGCTTAGTTCTTATTTTTATAACTTTTCTTCTCTTTAACTAGTTTTTAAAATTGATTAAACAATGTTGTAATTATTTCTAAAATTCTGCTTATAGGTTTTTTTAATAAAGATGTCAAATATTCATAGACAGGATCATGGCATACCCACACTACTGTGACTTCTTGGCAAGTTAGGACATTCATCAAGGCTATATGTGAACATCACTCGTGAAATTATTTGGGCCTTTCCCACAGCATGTTCCTCTAACATAAGAAGAAAAAATTAGACAAAATTACAATAATCTCAAATGAGGTCCAAGTATATCTTCATTACACATTCTAAGAAACAGGCAACATGAGGTTGGAACTGGGAAGGTTAAGACCTCACCACAGAGTAGATGCAGTAGGTACAATTGTGAAAACATAGCCAGTTTAATGAGCAGATATCTAAAATAGGTCTTTATGAGCTACACATTTAAAGTAATTTGCCAGTAGAAAGTCTCTTAAGCATGTATATATTTCTCAAAGTTACATATTCGTTGTGAAGAAAACTAGCATGGCCTGGAAGTCCAGTCTTATGACTTGTTAGTCACACTGTGAGGTTTTCTCAAACTGGAGAAGGGTGGATTTTTATTTGTGATTAAACAGACTTCTTCACATGAACAGAAAATCAGCAGGAGGTAGGGGCACACCCGTGCATAACTTTCTGGTGAAGCCTTCCCTGCAATCGCAAGAGAAGGGTTACGAAATCTCGGATCTCATCAGTGAGGGGGTCAAGTCAAGAGAAATTTTTAAGAGGATGGTGAAGGATGAAAGGCATTATCATGACCAGAAGGTCAGTGACTCATGCTACTAAAGACAAGAGAGAAGAAACCAAATATATTTGTTGTTTAAAGCTTACAAATGCTGGTTTTCTCTTAGAACCCACCTTTATTTTTCCTTCATGTTCTGCACTGCATCCCCCATACCTGGCAGTGTACCAGGCACAAGTTGCTTAATAAATGTTTGTTGAATGAATAAATCATTGTGCAAACCTCTCAAATCTATCTTCATTCTGCATTTCAATTCACTTTCTCCACTGCTTATAGATCATTATATTAAAGTATATGCAAATACTTTAATAAAGCATAGTGTTTTCTCTATAGAACAAATATCTTTTGTTTCCTTATGTGTATTTTAAGGGTAATTTAAAATTAACTTTATTTTTATTAAGGTAATACATCTCATAATTTAAAACAAAATCAAAATCTACAGTTCTTGTGGAACAGTGCAGATCGCCTCCTAAGCCCTGGTCTTAATCCCCACAGGCAAACATTTGACTCTTTAGCAGCTTTTGTACTTTTATATGTCTAATTGGTTTGCCTATCCTGCTATTTCTTTATTTAGCAACTTTACACATTATTTATTGATTTTTGTTATGATGATTGAGGGTTTAGCTGTCTTCTCTGCACATATACACAGATAGTCTTTCCCTCTGCCATCCTCCACATGTAGTTTTATTGTAGGTTAGGGTTAATTCTCTTGTTGGCATTCCCAATATTTTTATTATGTCCAGATCTGAACAAAGTGGTATTCTATCATAATGTTTCTTTTTTCTTGCAACTTTTTGTTTCTCATGGAGTTAATAATATCCTTTTAAAATTAGTTCAGCACACTCCGTACCTATTGTATATTATTCACAATTGCCTCTGACTGATCTTTAAGACTGTAACAGAGTGATCTAACTGTGGTAACAACTCTAAAAAATCTTCGTGGCATCATACAATACAAGTTTACTTCTAGCTCATGTGGTAGTCCAATGTGTGGCAGCTGAGGTAGCCATGTCACACCCTAATTCAGGTTCATGACTTTTCATCTAGGGGCTTTCATGTCTTCTAGGGGCTTAGAGCTCTTCGTTGGTTCTTCGCATCTGCGCACTAGTAAGGGAAGAGGGGAAGTGTGGAGGATCTCAGGGGTTATTTTATGGGCATACCCTGGAAGCGATGTACATGACTTCTGCCCACAATCCATGAACCAGACCTCAGTGACATGCCTCCCCACCTGCAAGGGGCTAAGAAATGAAATCTAGTGTGGTGCTCAGGAAAAAGAGCAGAACATGGAATCTGGCGGGCACTTCCCGCTATCTACTGTATTTTCAAATGCACATGTGTATCAAACAATCTATCATTTTCTTTCCATTTTTTTTTTTCTTGGAGACATTCCTACTGCAAGCCATCTGTTCACCTCTCTTTAGGCCTGCTTCACACTTATTGCTCTGGAGAATTTATTTTACTGCCTCTTATGTTGGGCCTGCATTTTTGGGGTTTCATCTCTTCCTCTTTCTTGATTTATAAGCTTGTTTGGGGAACTGTTACTTTAAAATGGCACACAGGATGTATATTTTTTAAGTCCTTGCATATCTGAAAATTTTTTAAAATCAAGCTTGGCTGACAGTTTGTCTTGATATACAATTCTAAGTTCAAAATAATTTCATTTAAAAAATGTGAAGGCATTCAAAGAAACTTCTGGATCCATTATTGCTCTTGAGAAATCCAATGCAATTTTTTTTCCTTGTATGTGATCTGCTTTATGTCTCTGGAAGATGTTTTAGGTTTTTCTCTTTATTCCTGCATTTATTTTATCTCAGAATGATATATTTCGATGAGTTTAATTATTTGATTAATTTAAAGGATTGTTTTCCTGGACGTTTAGTGAAACTTTCGATCTCCAAAGTTCATCATCTTCATTTCTGGTATTGTTTTTGCATTGTTTTCAAATTAGTGTTTTTATCCTTTTCTGCATAGAAAGAAGTCTTTTCTAGAGCTTTCTGAGATTTCCATTAGTCAGAATTTTTTTCCATTTTTTGAAAATTTTCTGCAGCTAAATAGATTTTTCAACTTAGTCTTCTAACCCATCTGTCAGTTTTTTTGTAAATGTTGAGTATATTTTCAATTTCAAAAGATTTTTTTCCTGTTTTGTATATAAATTTCTTTTTTATTCATTATCTCTAGGAGCAGGGTAAAAAGGCATGTGTTCAGTTCATCTTGTTGAACCACAAATTACTCTAGTTTACTTTCTCCAGAAAATAAACCTCCAGTCTCCTGGAAGCTGGATTGAGCAGATGGAGGAACTTATGGTTGGTTGATTGTGTGACAGTGGGGAAGGGAACTCTGGGTCCAAGCATTCCAATATACAGACGTATAACCAAACCCCTGTGTTTACCCCACCACCTGGCCTCCTTCTATGCTGAGATTTCTGCCTCCTAGGCCTGAGCCTGCCCAGGTTTTGCAGGAAGAATTGGCTTGCTTTTTACCATAATCTCTCCTGCAGGCATGCAGTGTATAGAATCCTCTGCTCTTCCAAATCAGTTACCACGCCTGCATCTGATTTAGCTTCTTCCAAAATTCATTACAAGTTTATGTGTTATTTTATCTGCTTATTTGTCTTTGTGATTCAATAACATTTAAAAAAATTCATTTATTCTTGTAATAAAGCAGTTTGAGGAGAGATGAAATACATGTGATAATCTTGCCATTTGTAACTACACATCACCCCATGTACATTAATGTTTACCTCAGTGCCATATTGATTGAATTAGACAGATGTTATGTCTACTTAAGTTATGCTACATAAACTCCAGGTACAGGAAGATGTTATTACTATTATTATCATGACACACAATGCTGTCACCTTGTTTTCACTGGTTTTCCACTGTTTTTTATTCTGCTCTACCTCTGGTCAAAGTGGCCTTCATGGAGTGGCCAAGCAACATTTCTCTTATGTCTTCCTACTCTTTCTCTTCCTTGGAACCCCTCTTCCCAGGGAAGGAAATGTTCCACCACTCTCTGGTAGTGTCACTATGTAACACTACTGAATCTGAGCCTTGGAACCTCGGAGACAGGACCATATGTGGCAAGTCACTCCAGGAGAGCTATCCCTGCAAGAGTTGGCCCTATAAAGCAGGTGACACACTTATCTAGGGAAAGGTGGCAAGGAGAGTCATCAATAAATGTGTGTGTCAGATTTTCTTATGGCAGGAACCTTTTCTAGAAGTTGCAGTGAGGTAGTACAACACAGTGACCACTGTGAGCTCGGCATTCAGGATCAATAGACCTGTCTTCCACCTTTTGAACTTCATCACTTTGGACAGATTTACTGCGACTTTCTCAACCTCAGTTACCTCATTCTGAAAATGGAGACAATAAATATAATAGACGCCTTGCCTATTTCACAGTAATGTTGTGAAAGCCAAATGAGATGAAACTCTATTGCATACAGGAAATAATAGCTATTAGGACTAATGTCAGTAGTGAACACATGAACTAGATAAAGAATATGGGTTATCATTGTATAGCACAGAGGGTGATTTTAAGTCAATGTGTTAACAGTGGAAAAGATTCAAGGCTCTTATGTTCTTTCTTTTATTTCTGTCTGGGCCCATGGACACACACTTCTTATATACTTAGATATTGCTGTTAAATGCAAAGTAGATTTATCATAAATATAGATTCCAAGCATACATACTTTGAAAATCTACAGGCTGAGCCTCAAAGACTTTTATGCAGTAGATCCAAAATAATTTTTAGGAACTGGATCTTACTTGGGGAGAATGGAATAGATTGTTACCAAAATTATAAGTATAGCCAACACATTCATAGAACTTACTGTGCCAGGCACGTTCTACACACATTACTGATATGAAGTCAATTCTTCACAATAACACTATGAAGACATTATTATTACTCTTCTTTTCAACTTTCAAGAACATTGAAGGACATAAAATAGAACTTCTTTAATAGTTTCATAATAGAATAGACAGATTTCTATGAGACCAAAATGTTTTCTCTAATATTCCATTTTTCCACTAGTTTGCTATTGTTTGTTTTGTGTTTTGGTTTGGGCTATTCCTTTGCTCCCTTCTACAAGAAATTCTCTGGGAGCTGATAACAGCAGTGCCTCCCAGATTGTCTCTAGGGCATCGAATAAGAAACAAGTTAAGTAATTAAAATTCAAGCAGTCATTGGCATCTCGTTGTTTACTAACATGAATGCAAGACACAGGTTTGGAACTTTTAAATTTTGTTCACAGAGGAGTAAATCGGTTGTTATTATAATGTACCTAACCTTGTATTCTTACCTTTACTACCAGTCTGTAAATTAGGGATGTCTGAATGTGTCTAAAATGGAATCCCAAGATGGGCAGCCAGGATCTTTGCTTTGTGGACGAATCTAATGTGTTTAGAACACGGCATAGCACATAGTAGGTGCTTAACAAATACTGGTTCAATGCCTCCGTGTGCTCATTATCTTACTTAGTGGTAACCTATTGATCTCTGAAGTGACTTTAGGAAGTGAATTAGGGCTTTGGGAAGTGAATTTGGATGTTGCATACTGATTAATGCATTCATACGAACACATCCTAACTTTTAAAATATTAATTTCTTTCCAACGCCCTCTTTTATTTCCCGAGGCCATCCTCTGCTCCCCACTCGCAATCCCTCGCCTTCACTCCTCATAGTTAATGAGACACCCCCTCGGAGGAGAGAACGCAATGTCAGGGCCCCAGTTCTCACAGCGCCCTGGGCTCTTTGAATGAGAGACATCAAAGAAAACACAGAACAAAAATGAATAAAAATGAGCTCGCTGGTAAGGCTAGAAGCCCCACAGTGTGGAGACTTCATCCCCGAGAGGAGTGTGTTTCTCACTGCAGCAGTTGAGTCACCAGCAAGACTTGCCTGAGGTGAGCTCCGCACATCCGCGTTGGGACTTGCAGACACGCCTTCTTCTCACACAAACCTTACCCAGCCCCGCCGCCGCGGCGGACTCCGAGGGTGGTGCCACCAGCCCTGCCACTCGCAGTCCTGACGGGCAGGGGCTGCGGACCGCCCGGCCTTGGACCCATCCGGAGCCACAGGTTGGAGGAGATAAGTAGCTGTCCCCGTGCTCATCGCCCTGTGGAGCAGATCCTGTCTCCTTGCTGACGGTGGAGCCCGGGAGTTCCAGGGCTTGGGAAGGGGAAGGAAACCTCTCTGAAATCTGACACCTGCTCTCCCGGCAAGGAAACTTCGCAGGCTGGTGAGTTGGGAAGGCGGGCTGCTGCTGCTGGAACGCGTTCCCACCCACCCGGGTGCTGCAGCGCCGGCCTGCGCCGTGGGAAGTGAGGCCTCTGTGTGTGTGTGTGTGCATGTGTGAGTGCGTGTGCACCTTCGATCGCGGTTTCCAGCAGAAATCCTTGCAAAGAAGACAGTAGTGCTGTGTGCTGCACGGATGGCATGGGCCAACTCGACCTGGCTCTCCTTGAGTGTTTGCTTATCAAACAGCTGGTTACCACCAAAAAAAGCAAAAAGAAAAACAAAAAGCCTAGGCACAGCAATGCCAATTTCCTTTCATTTGCATCTCAAAAAACAATCAAAATAATGAATAAGAAAAAGCATGGATGATGATGTGCTCAGAGTTTCATTCCAGGAGGAGCGACTTAGTGAGGCAAGCCAGGAGAGCAATAAGACATTTATATGCACTTCCTTAGATGAAATAGCCACAGAGACCTTAAGAGTACTTTCTGTTTTCCAATTTTTTGCTCTGTTACTTTCGAATTCTGATCTAAGTGTTGCACCAACTAGGGTATATGTGTGCATGTGTGTTCACCCAACTGATCACAATAAATTAGCTTTCAAGACTTTCCCACCCAATGCAACATTAATTAAGCCTCTGAAAACTACTGAAGTAGGTGAACTGTAAGCAGAGACTGCATTCCTAGGAAAAAGCTGTGTTTGGTTAGAGCCTTCACACCTGTATCATGTTTTGTGAGTTTTTTATGTCAAGATGTAAAGCTAAGGGTATGTAATTCCAGTTGTTTTAAACTGCACATCATTAAATTAAGCCCAAAGTAATAACATAAATTTCAAGGTTATTAACAACAAAATTATTGTTTAATATAATACAGCTCTGAATTTTGATTTTGTTCTGTTTATAAGAAAAATGTCTACAGTTCTCAATATTTAGTTATATTCACACATATTCATTCATATATAGAATATACAGGGTTTTATGGTTATAAATTTTGAAAAGTTGAGGGAAAGGATAGACTTAAGCATTAATATAAACTCAGATATTTAAGTTTAATGAATTTTCAAGCTGCTGTAAAGTCCATATTGCAGTGATGAAGAGAGAGACATACCTGTCATGTGCCATTGCCCCTCAAATAGTTATTTTTCATAGTTTCCTAGCATAATCCTCTACCCAGATGGGGTCAGCCATCCTTGAAGGCAAGAGGTGATTCCTACCAATGACCAAAAAGGGGTAATCTTGACAGATAGTTTAATATTAATGGAGCTTTTCTGTTTCAGAATTGACTATGGCCTCTCATACAGTGTTACTGTCATTGCTTTCGAAAGGAAAACAAAACATAGCAGATAAAACTGGATGAGCCTGTTCTCATAGTTGCCAAGAAGGGATAAAGGGAATCTGTTGAATGTAAGCAAACCACAGTTCCCCTTTCTCATAGGTCATTTCTGGAACAGGCATGTTTGACCCAATAGGGAAGGTAACCCTAATATAATTGATCTTCTTGGTAGAAGATCAGTTGGTATGCCAGTTTACACTACAACTGTATGTTGGTTTCAGAATTGCTGTTCATTTATTTCACTGTTTTTCTGGAAAAATGGAAGTTATCCAAATGTCCAGGTAGTTCAGAATAGAAACCTGCTCTTTTCCCACCCTCACTCCTGCAAATTTTTGGTTAGGTTTTTGGGCTCTCAGATCAGTACGGCATGAAATATAGAACAATTACTCATATAAAACTCATCTCACAATCCAGTTTCTTCAGTTGATTCATCAAGGCAGGTTGACCAATAGTTCAGCTCTTAAGCAAGTAATTGTAATGTTGAGATGCAAGGAAATGATTTCAATAAAAACAGACAGGACAAATCAGGTGTTTCCCATGAAGAATATGTCACTTTCTAAAGATGGCTGCCAAATGGGAATGATTTTTTTTTTAAATTCATTATTAGGTATATATGGGCTTAAGTATATACTATAGAAGTAGCAAGCAGCAACATCACTATGCATAATAACATACCTATTGTAAACCCCAAATATGGAGTTGATAGTATTACTCAATTTCTTTCACACCCTTTGCAATCATTATTCATGTTCTCCAAATATTAACCTCCCATTGGCACTCCTTAAATAAGACAAACTTGTCTAGATTGCCAATAAGGAGAGTAACACTCTGTTTATCAAATGGCCAAAAAAATCTTAAATAAATTTTGTCTTTTTAACTAAACAACTGCTCAATATATTGAGATAATTAAGTTGCTTGTTCATTTGTTCAACAAATATTTGGTAAGAGTGTTATGCACTGTTCAGGGCTCTGTGTGGACAGAAGTGGACCAAAATTCCTGACCTTGTAGAGCTTATCTTTTACCAGGGAGACAAAGACCAACCTAGATAAGCAGGGTGAGTCTATGGCACAGTAGCAAGAAGTGCTCAGCAGAGAGTATAAAGCCGAGGAGGCATGCAGAAAGTGTCAGTGGCCGGTGTCAGGGAGGACTGAAATTCTAGATCAGATGCCCAGGAAAAGCCTCACTGAGATGATATTTTAATATCAATCAGAGGCAAGTAATGGAATGATCCATGTAGATATGTGGAGGAAGAGCATTCTAGATTGAAGCATTCTGGCATCTTTCAGGAACAGCAAAGAAGCCCATGAACCTGGCACAGAGGGAGTGAGATGGGGGTAGCAAGAAATGGGGGAGAGGAGATAATGGGGACAGGTCTTGGAGGACTTTGAAGGTCCTAATGAACATGTTGGCCTTTGTTTTTTATTCCAAGTAAAATGACAAAACACTATGATTTAGATATAGCCCGTTGAACATTTTTCAATAAATATTTACTGAGCATACTATGAACTTTAATATTCGTCTAAGCCCTGTGGATAACAGATGTTAGTGAGATATACGAGGCCTCTGCTGTCATGGACATTATATCTGGGGTTTGGAAAGAGACGGATAAGTAAATAAACAAATTAGTAATTCTGGAACTTTTAGTGATACTAAGAAGAAAAAATGTTAAAGGGTAATACAATGAGAGTGACCTGAAGGGGACTGTGTGATTCGGTGGTCAAGAAAAGCCTCAGGGGAGGTGATTTTTTTTTTCTTTTTTTTTAACTGAGACAGAGTCTTGCTCTGTTGGCAGGCTGGAGTGCCCTGGCACGATCTTGGCTCACTGCAACCTCCACATCCCGGGTTCAGGTGATTCTCCTGCCTCAGCCTCCTGAATAGCTGGGACTACAGGCATGCACCACCATGCCCAGCTAATTTTTCTATTTTTAGTTGAGACGGGGTTTCACCATGTTGGTCGGGATAATCTCGATCTGCTGACCTCATGATCTGCCTACCTTGGCCTCCCAAAGTGCTGGGATTACAGATGTGAGCCACCGCGCCTGGCCAGGTGATGTTTTTAAAAGATCACTCTGGCTTCCTTGAAGAGACTAAGTCGTAGGGTGACCAGAGTAGAAGAGAATCCAGTTAGGAGGCTATTCCAGTAGACCAACTACAACAGTGGCAAAGATTAGGGTCAGAACAGTGGCCACCAAGAGAAGTAGATAGATTCAGGAAACACTTGAAGGCAGAGCTGACAGAACTTACTAATAAATTGGATAAAGGTGGAGGTGAAGAAAAGAAAGAACCAAATGATCAACAGGATTCCTACTGAAGACACTGGGTAGACAGAAGGCCATTTCCTAAGATGGATAAAACTAGGGAAGAAATGGTTTTAATGGGAAATGAAGAATTTATTTGCAGCCTTTTGAAGCGTTTTTCAACATCCAAGTGGAATTATCAGCTTGGGCTTTTGCATATATGAATCTGGGGCACCTAGAGGACATCATAGCTGGATATAGAAATTTGAGAAGCAAGTGGCTATGGATACTATTTAGAGTGATATCCTTGAGGACATCACTGAGAGAGAGATTACAGAGAAAAAATTGGGGCTTGAGGACGCAGCTCTGGCTTATTCGGACATTTGGGACCTTGTATGGGAGGAGTCAGTAAAAAGCCATTCAAGTGAAAGGCAAACCGGAAGAGAGTGTCATCATGAACCTAAGCCAGGATGTTTTTTTAGGATGAAGGGTGTGGTCAATGGTGTCAGACAGGGCCAAGATAAACAGTGAGATGAGGACAGAGAAGTGATGATTGCATGTGGCGGTGTGGAATCATTGGCAGCTCGGGAAAGAGATGGAGTTCTCAATATAAGATATTCAGAAAAACTATAAAAAATTCTGAAAATAGCATTTCACCTAATTCTAAAGAGAATTGAAAAGAGGCCCCCAGAAAAACTCATGAGGCTACGTACATAGAAGCTCTAATAAATTCAATTTTTTAAAATGACTTGTAGAACAGATGAATAAAGGAAACATATAATTAGAAATACTTAACGAAGGTGTTGTCTGAGCTGTGAGCATAGTTTGAAGAAGAGTAATGCACAGTGAGCCGAAGCTTGGGAAAAAATGCTCAGGAGAGCAAAAGATTATTTTCACATTGTTTGAAACAAAGCAGTGAATAAAGAAGGGTCATCTCCCTCTTCTTTCTTTTCTTTTTTTCTTTCTTTCTTTTTTTTTTTTTTGAGATGGAGTTTCTGTTGCCCAGGCTGGAGTGCAATGGCACGATCTCAGCTCATTGCAATCTCCCTCCCCGGGGTTCAAGCGATTCTCCCACCTCAGCCTCCCAAGTAGCTGGGATTACAGGCATGTGCCACCACTCCAGGCTAATTTTTGTATTTTTAGTAGAGGTAGGGTTTCACCATATTGGCTAGGCTGGTCTTGAACTCCTGACCTCAGGTGATCCGCCTGCCTTGGCCTCCCAAAGTGCTGGGATTACAGGTGTGTACAACTGCACCCGGCCATGAATCCCTCTTCTTTCTACATGAAAGAAAATAGCCTTCAAAATGGAAGGTCTAGACAACACCAAAAGAAAATTAAAATCAAAGAAAGCTGAGAAGTTATTGTGACTGCAAATAACTTCTTTAAATGAGAAAGACTAATGGCAGAAGTTGTCAAGAGGACCTCTGTGAGGAAAGGGCATTTCAGTTGAGACCTAAAGGTTGCCTGGTTGCTAGTCAGGTGAAGGGGTTGAGAAAGAACAAACCAGACAGTGCAAAAGGATTTGCTGAATTCTTAACCTGGGAAAGAGCTTGGAGCGTTCAAGAAACTGAGAAAAGGAGTTTGGAGAATGGAAAGCAGGTGGCAGAGAGAGGCACAAAGTGAGTCTGGAGGCACCAATGGGGAAGAGTCATTGCAGAAACTAGACAAGACCAATGAAGATCAGGAAGTGCAGCAACCTAAAACTTACTTGTCAGAGCTGTTATAGAGATGACTTCTACTGGGAGGTTGAACTAAACAACCCTCAAGCTCTCATCCAAAGCTATAATCCTACAAATACAAGAACACAATTTGTTTAATATTTGATAATGTGTTCTAGATTTTTTAAATTAAGAATTGATAGTGAAAGTATAGTTATAAAATATAAAACAGATCAAAGCAAATTAAGTAGTAGCTGCCATATAAAGCAAATGTTTAATATCCAGAAAAGCAGGAAAAACGTTTCTAGGTAGCTACAGCTGTATTCAAGGATACCAAGACCCACTCACATAATTTTGGGAACAGTTTCATAGAAAGGAGATATAGACTTCATATATTGGTGGGATTTAAATCAAACCAGTAGGAAGTCTATTATTAGTCAAATATTGCTAGTGTTGAGTGGTGTATAACTATAGACAGGGCATTCAGTCTCCTTAAGGATCTTGATTTTCTCCTGTGTAAAATAAAAGGTAAGGGTTGATTATTTTAACATCCCTACTGTTCAGCTCTAGACTTGGGCAACACATAATTCTTGTTTGATGTTTACTTCCTTCCTTCTTTTTTCCTTTTCTTCCTTCCATTTATGTGTCTATCCCTCTAGATAGATGATAGGTAGAGATAGATAAATAGATAGATAACCTTAGATCTACCTAAGATTATCTTTGTTATACATAAATCTGTGTGCATAAGTGTATATATATGTGTGTGTGTGTGTGTGCATGTATGTAAACATGGAAGAAGAGATAGAAACATATGAACTCTATAATAGAGGGAAAATTTCATTTTAAAACGTTTAGGGAAAAAGCATAAGACTTTATTTTAGTCCTCTTTCTGGCTTCGTTCTAGCACATAAATTTATTTTCAATCATATTGAACTTGGGGTCAACTTAATCTGTTTTCTTCTTGTTTCTCTCCTTAACTTGCTCAGAAAAAAAAATGAGATTATGTATTAAATCTGACCTGAGGGATATACCAGAACAATAATAATTAGTAAAAGCAAAATCAGCTTGTATTATATTTGCCCAATCTAACTTAGGCAAGGTAATCAGAGCCTGAGAAGTTCATTAAATGAATTATTCAGTTCTTATGGTCTATTATTCAAAATATATTATTTTCATAAACAAAATGGACTGTTGATAAGTGTTCCTGTACATATATAAATATTAAAAATACAAAATGAAATTAGATTTTTCAGAGGGAAAGAGAAACTAGTCATGTCTTAGTGCCTTTGAAAAAGTAGACACGTTTTCTAATATTAAGAGGTGCCACATATTGACTCAGGTGCCTCCTTGGAGTAACTTAAGCCTCTAATTTTCTGGAACTTTCTCCCAAATGCTGCAAAATATAGGAGCAATGCAACCTGTTTGCAAATTTATTAATTCTTTAAGCGAACTAAAGATAGATATCACAGCTAACTGTATGGAAACTGTAATTCCCAGTCCCTATATCTATCCCTTTCTCACTCAATCTTTGATCTTAATCTTCCTAAGGTTTGTAATACCTATTCTCAAATACTGCCTCTCAAGGTTTGGAAGTAAACGCTTCTATTAGGAAGAACCTAGGAAACAACACTGCAAAACATACGTTACAGGAAAAAATTGCTGTAACGAAAATATTCTCATATTTATAACCGAGGGTTAAAACGTAATAAAACAGACTTAAATAAATAGGCCATCATGTTTGAAAAGTCTATTCTTTAATCTTCAGTTGGAAGCAAGATGCTAGTTGATGAAGCCTGCATAGCAGTAATAGTAATAAGATGAAATGAGCAACTTTGGGTTTGCTTTTCTCGTGTAAAGTCACTAGGCCATCATCAGATGCTACTTATTTTGAAATTGGCCTATACAATCTCCCCAGATCTCCTTTGCTGTATTTTATTTTTTCACTTACCTACTAGGAAAACCAAGAAGACAAAAGTAAAATGCACCCAGCAAGTACTCATTAGTATTGTTTCTGAACACGCTTAATTTGGGTGCCCTCAGGAATGTACGTACTTGATGAGAATTTATGCATCTGTGATTACAGAGCAGCTTATATTTAGATAAAGGTGAGGAGGAGATGAAAAATGGATAAAGACAGAACATACTGATCACTAGGTGCAGGTACACCAACCTGCAGGCTTTGTGTCCTTTGTAGACTTGGAGAAACCTTGCTGGGCATCTGTTTCCTGTGCAAGCTCTGAGGAAGTCATAAAATTCTACATTGCGGTTTTCTTTGGAAAGTGATTAAATGATAATAACTGAGTTGCTTTGAAGATGAATTTCCCTCAAATTATATTGTTATTCTGCTTCCCAGCAGATCTTCTTATCAAGTGTATTTTCCATGGTTCTGATTCCTTACAGTTTTCACCCTTTCAAAGTTCACTTTGACTTTTAAGGTAGACTTATGCATGAGGCCAGGGACCCAGAAACCAGTTTCCCATTCTTCAGTTCTAGATGGTGTTAGATTCTAGTGATTTTAGTAAAACAAAGCCTTCAAGGTCTAAGTAGTCCAGAGCAGTGAGGTTGATTCTTAAAATCAATATCGTAAATATTGAGACACATGAAGGTATAAGCTTGGCAACTTGAGAACAGAGAACTAACTCAAAATAGAAAAGGAACAATTAAAATTCATAAATATTAACTATATGTTTAAAGAAAGATGTTCTGTTTGCATTGCAATATTTTATAACCAGTAGAATATTTTTGACTTATTTTTCAGGAATCATGTTTTCTAAAAGTGTGTAGACATTAAAATCGGAGGATTTAAACATAAAACTGCTTTCTAATTGGTGTTTTCCACAGTAAACATGCATTGTGCATAGTCACTTGATCCAAAAGATGAAAATAAGAAATCCAAGAATTAATGACATGCTTCAAGGAGCAAAATTTCTGCCTGTTGTAGGACATTATAAACATTAGGAAAAATGTTAAGTTGGTTAAAGCTGATGATGTTATTACAACAAAAGACCTGGTCACCATGTTAAACCTGACAATACCAATTTAATCTCTGGTATAATTTTTGTCTATCTGATTTTTTGCTTAAAACATTCATTAAGTGCCTACTATCTGTCAGGTCATATTAGGTACTTTAGTTGTAATTGTCAGTAAGATATAGTTCCTACTCTTAAAGAACTTAGAATCTAGTAAAATAGAGAGTTACATGAGCAGATAATTTTAATGTAACTTGATAAGTTTTCAGTTAGTGGTTTGAAGGCAGTATTATGGTAATAAAGAGGAAGATAAATTTAAGGAGGTTAAAACTGTAGAGAGATCAGTGAGGAGTGGCAAATACAAAAGGTCTGAAATTGTAAAGTTGGAGAAGATAAGTTATATTAATATTAAAGGAATAATTAGCGAGGGTGGGCATTAACCAGACATTGGGGGAAAGGAGAAATTATTATAAAGTCTAAATTTCTGGCTGTACTAAGGCAATAGATGGATAAATAGTGGTCCTCAAAATTGAAAATCAGGCATACAAAAGGAAAGGCAGGTTGGGGGAGGAAGAAGAACTGCATTTGAGGTACCTGTGGTTATTCAATTGCATACGTTCAAGAAAATGACTCTTGAAATCTAGACCTCTCAGGAGAGGTCAGGCTGGTGATAATGACTGGGAAATGCAGGCACACGGGTGATCTCCAAAATCTATGAGACCAAATGCCATCTGTCAAGGAGGTCCTGGAAAGAAGGAGGTGGAGTAACCATAAGAGAGGAATAATTATTTTCTTTATTTTCTGCAAGCACTACTCTGCTTTGGCTAATAAAGACATTTAAGTTCTGGAAGGACTTGGGGAAAATTTAAGGTTATATATCTAATTATATATATGTGTGTATATATATGTATTTATTATTAAAATCATTGTTGTTCAATTGAAGGACATAATAAATATGCCTGTAGCTTCTGTGGGGGCAATCACTAAGTAATGTTTCCTTCATGCATAATTCTTTTCACCTATGTTCTCTCCCAACCCACCCTGTGAAAAATGACAAGTCGTGTCTCAATCAGGAATATGTTCTAGTACTAGAGATTGGGAACCCAACAGAAAGTGATTGAATCAAGTGATTCTGGCTCATTAATATCATGCTCTAATAATTGATGTACAGCCAATGTTAATTTAAGTGCAAATTAACTCCCATTCTCTTCATTTTAATTAGTAGCTTTGTTCTAGCTCTGCTGTCACTAAATTGATAACACTTTTATCCTCAAGATCTACTTACCAAAGCATAACAAAATGTATCTTGATGTTCTAAAAAAATTACAGAATAATTGTCTAGTAATGAGTATTTGTGTAGATTCCAATAATATGCAAAATATTGTCAAGAAATTGACTTGAAAAACATGTCAAATGATTGACCAAATTTAGGGAAAGTTACCTTGTCTCTTCTTCTGCCTCTTCTCTTCCCCTTCTTCATCTCCATGTTAATATTTTTTTTCTAGTCCACTGTTTGAAAAAGTTTGGGGAATATTCTATTACATTTATAAAAATTCTTTATACCACCATCTGGGTGCTTCACACTCTCCATCACAAGTATTTCTGACTATTTAATAATTAGTACGAGAACATATTGTATGCCTACTTGTTCGATTGAGATATTCTCTGTGTTCTTTCTGGATTTCAGGTGTATAACACTTTCTTTGTTATGGATCCATCATTTGAGACATCTAGTTCTGAACAAATATGTTTTTCATAAAAGCTCCCTATAATATGGCAATATCTGAGTTATTTCTGTTGTGGAGATCATAGATGGAGAACATTTAAATGACTCTTACGAGTTAGACACATACCTACAAATATTCCAGGCAAGATTTCTGATACAATCTTGTGGTCTTTAATTTTTTTTCTTAAGCATTTGGCTACTTATATTATTCACTAAACTAGTATCCAACTGCTGATCTTCTATGTTATCTCCATCTGTAAATTGATCAACCTTTCACATTATTTTGGGAAATATCAATGTGTTTTTTCTTGTGTTTTGTTAGTAAGTAAGCTAACATTATAGGGACAAATCTCTTGTTTTATAAAGAGTATATGGACTTATATGAGACAGTAATAATAAATATGGAAAAAGGATACAAATATTGCTGGAAAAGAAGTCCTCCTACAACTTATGATGAACACTTGTGAATCATTTTAAATAATGACTATTTGACATGGTTATCAAGGGTGAAAATATGCATTGATGTTAAACCCTTGACTAAAGACTGACAATAAGCAACCCCGTTTTCAGCTTCAAATTATTATCAGCAAAAGCATACATTCATTGAATATAACAGGGTTCAAGTCTAGGCTATTGTGTAAGAAAATCAAAAGTTTTAGTAATTTTGACTTTAATGGGAACAGTTTTGCAAATTCTGTTTTTTCCTACTACTGCTTTCTCTTTGGAATAAGTTTTTACATATAACTTGCTAAGATTACAAGACCTTTGTGCCATAAATAAACACAGCATGGAAAAGATGAAAGAGAGTTAAAGTAACAAACATTCTCCCATTGTAGCCATAATCTGATTCCAGTTTTAGGTAACCCAATTACCAAAATCAGGCCAAGGAATGGTTTCAAGGCACAACTGAACTAGGTAATGCAGGCAACAGTTAGGTCTTCTCCAAACCACAGGGTCCCAAGGACAAATAAATACAAGGGCAGAAAAGAAAAGGTTTCTTATCTACTAAGGTCCTATTTCTTTGTCCTGATGTACTATCTAGCACCCCCAGATGCTGAGAGTATACCTAAAATCCAACACTAATTAAGAAAAGTCTAAGAAGCAGACTGAATGGTGAGTATCTGTTTGCTTTTTTAGCAGCAAATATCACTTCATTACTCTGACTTTAAAATTACCCTGTACACATGGATCAGAAATGAATTTATACTAGAATTACAGGAGTGAATATTTTTATGAAATTTATTCCAGTGATGTTTCCAGAAGTACATTTACACTATAGCATAATGTCTATACATAAGTCAATAACATTATAAATAATAGTTGCTTTGTCATGACACCTTATTAAGGAAGAAACAAAAGATGCTTTTTTGCAG
This sequence comes from Homo sapiens, assembly GCF_000001405.40. Taxonomy (NCBI): domain Eukaryota; kingdom Metazoa; phylum Chordata; class Mammalia; order Primates; family Hominidae; genus Homo; species Homo sapiens. The sequence goes on from NC_000018.10 coordinate 54,839,992, forward strand.
ACTTTGTGAAGAAATAATATATCCTCAGATTCTCCTACTTAATTGGAAATAATGAAGCTTTTTATAAGGCCAAACATTCTCTATGGCTCCTAAAATTCTGTCTGGGCAAATAATGTTATGACTTGTCTATTTTATCATGAAGGTAAGATTGTCTTCTTGAGTATCTTTCATATTAATTGAGGGTAAAGTTCTTTCCTTGTAGTACAAATCATGGGTAAAATTAATCTTTCTTAGAACTTTATTTCAGAGCCCATCTTTCTTTCTTTTGATGTTTTTCTACAATGCTTAGTGCCATTTTGCAGCCCCCAAGCTAGGAAATCAATGATTTGTTGGCCAGTCTTTCTGATAAATTAATTTCTGCTAAAGTAGTTATGACTAAAAACAGCTATAAATTACTGTTCCCAGTAAATATATTTGCTTGTTTACATGTAACAAAAATCCAAAGTCATGCCTAATATTAGAGGCTCCAGACTTAAAAATAGAGTTGTACAAGAAGAATTTGGGGCAAAAATAACTTTATCAGTAAAATCTAATGTGACCCAAGTGGATGGCAGTGCTATGACCTGGAATTTCTGGAGCAGCTACTGCTTTAAATATTCCATTACACTGGCAGATTCAGGGTTAAATAAATAAATATTTAACAAGTTAAATAAATGTTTTGATCCATAGTTCTGAAAATATGGTCACTATCCTCTCTTGTAGAAAGGGCCTTTTGTCTTCCTCCTGTAGAGTTTCTAAGTCCATCCTCAGGAAGGGAATTTCATAGAATTTGAGGCTCATTCACCAATACTGTCAACAACACTTGACTGGGTATCTTTGACAATAAGTTCTCAGTTTCCCACCTATTTAACATCTAAAAGTACAGATAGCCAGCTGGGCACGGTGGGTGGCTCAAGCCTGTAATCCCAGCACTTTGGGAGGCTGAGGCAGGCGGATCATGAGGTCAGGAGTTCGAGACCAGCCTGGCCAACATGGTGAAACCCCGTCTCTACCAAAAATACAAAAATTAGCCGGGCATGGTGGTGCACGCTGTAATCCCAGCTATTCAGCAGGCTGAGGCAGGAGAATTGCTTGAACCCGGGAGGCAGAAGTTGCAGTGAGCTGAGATCACATCATTGCACTCCAGCTCTGGGTAACAGAGAAAGACTCTGTCTTTGGGTGGCGGGGCGGTGGGGGGTTTGGTGAGAGGGGCGGGAAAAATACAGGTAGTCCTCCCCATCCATGGGTTCATTATCCATAGATTTAGCCAACTGCAGATAAGAAGTATTTGGGGAAAAAAATAAATGATTGCATCTGTCCTAAATATGTACAGACTTTTTGCTTCTCATTATTCCCTAAACAATATAGTATAACAACTAGTTACATAGCATTTACATTGCATTAGGTATAAGTTATCTGCAGATGGTTTAAAATATATAGCAGAACATTATATGCCAATACTATACAAGGATTTGAGCACATGTGGATTTTAGTATCCACCGAGGGTCCTCGAACCAATCCCCGATGAACACTGAGAAACTACTGTATATGTAAGTAGATTGAGCTGGTGAATTGGCAGATGCTGTGGTAATTCTGCAGACTAAAGTATTAGTAACTGATCAACTAGCCTGAGCATTTTTCCATCGAGAATGGTGACATTATTTTCTAAGCCAAATTTAGCCAACTACCAGGATAAGAGGTGGGCTTATAAATAACTGTAGGTTCAGCAAACAGGTCCACCGTTGTAAACTAAATGGCCAAAGTCAAAGATATATGATAGCAAAAGATCTTTTGGTTGATTGCACCTTAATAATTTTAGAGTAATCATTAATGCTATATTGCCTCCTGAGTCATTGCCTTCAGAAATAAGACACCAATATACTATTCAGTCCAATTTCCAGTCCTCCAGCCTACAAAAATAGACTCAGTACATAGAATAAAATGGCTCACAATTAAGGATTTAGACAATTCACAGGGATCACAGACAACAGCTTGACTCCTTAAAAACATCTTATTGATTAAGCTAAATGGAGTCCAGTATTTGCCACATGAACATGTGTGTGTGACTGTGAAGGAACAAGTTAGGTCAAATGTCTAATGGCAGAAGACGGCTATGTGAGGAATAGCTCTAAACTAAACTAATTCGTTCATCACAGGGAAATTTAGTTCTGGTTTTCTATCTGTACTTGGCTTATCTCCAAATGATAATTTCAAGTCAGAGAAATTTAGAAAACGAATGTGGAATTGGTTTTCCCACTTGTTTGTAAGAAAAGATATGTAAACAGTTTCTTGCTTATTCTAGCACAAGGAAAGCCTAGATCAGATAAAACTATTGATATTCTTAGAATTTATGGGTTTTTCTTACAGAATCGCTAGAGGACTTAATGAACTGCACCAAAATAGTTTCCAGTCTTACTTCAAGGGCATACGGTTTTGAACTATTTTTCAGAAAAGATTTCTGTAAAGCTTTATGTATAAAAGAAAATTTGTTTTAACATTTTCAAGTAATTTTAAGCATAACTAGGTTTATCAGGACATTCTCAAGCCCATCAAGTTTAGAAGATAATATCAAGAAAGATAAACAAGATAACCTTATATATTAATAGGATAGGTAGAAATCTTTTTCCTATGCGTCAAAGCAAAAATCAAAACATTGACTAAAATAAATTTTAAGACACATCTTGCTGTTATGTCTTATCTATCTACTCTCAAGAACAAAATGCTTATTTAAAAACATTCTTAGTCTGCAGGGCTGCTGCAACTAATTTCACCCTCCATCCACTAGTTTCAGACAAAAGTATTTGTTGCAAGTTTCTTGAATTTATGCAATATTATTATTTTTGAGATGGAGTCTCATTCTGTTGGCCAGGTTGGAGTGCAGTGGCGGGATCTCGGCTCACTGCAAGCTCTGCCTCCCGGGTTCATGCCATTCTCCCACCTCAGCCTCCCTAGTAGCTGGAACTACAGGCACCCGTCACCACGCCCAGCTAATTTTTTTGTATTTTTTAGTAGAGACGGTGTTTCACCGTGTTAGCCAGGATGGTCTCCATGTCCTGACCTCATGATCCACCCGCCTCAGGCTCCCAAAGTGCTGGGATTACAGGTGTGAGCCACCGTGCCTGGCCAATAATATTATTTTTTAATGGACAGGCAACATAAACTTCTATAAAGTAAATCACTGTCTTTCAAATTCATTTGTACCATTGTCACTGGATATTGTGTCAGCAAGGAACATAACCTGCATGGAATTTTTAGTAAAAATATCTCTGATTGTTGAAGTTCAAGAAGGCACTACAATAAATTACAATAAATTAATGCCCTGTAGAGTTGATATTTGTTAAAGCTTTGTGGTAATAACATACCTATAAGTTTAGATTTTCAATAAAACTCTTTTTTTTTTTAGCAGTGCCAGCCTATTCTATATTAAGAAGATGCTTCTTTCTGACTCACTGCAAAGAGAATTTACACTTGAAGAGTCATTTTTAAGAGTGTCAGGAATATATCTGCACTCATCTCTGCTGTTTCCTCTCCTGATTCTCCAGTGACTAAGGGTGATATTAAACACATTGAACAACAACTAGCACGACATCTGCTGATCAATCAAAATAAACCACACTGGTGTGTTCCGGCTGCATATCAGCTGGGCCAAGGGTCTGATGTCAACCTATTATAAAAGAAAGCAGAGCAAACTGGCCTATTTGGAAATCAGATGCATTCTAACTTTCAAGTCAATCTACTTGATTCTAACACTTTAATGTATCATAATAACATGAGGATTATTTCTATTCTTCTAAAATGGAAAATGTTAATATAAAGTCTTTTCTGAAATGTTTCTTCAAATTCTATAAAATTTGGCCAAATAACAAGATCAAAACATTTAACATTAAAAATCATGAATATTTGGGCAACGGTCCCTCCTACACTATAATCTGTAGGTTGGTTACCCATCCAAACAAGTTTAGGACCACAGTCCAAACAAAGGACAGGAAGGATAAGAACCACAGAACTAGAAGAAAAGCCATCCCATAACTCTGAGATGGCTGCAGGGAGGAGGAGAAGGGTGTCATATTAATCAGGGTGGGGTCTGAGATAATAAGGGTGCCACTTCGAGAACTGAGCAAAGTTCATGAATAAAACACAACATATAGATATAGTTTTTCAATATATCAATATCTTCTGAGGGATATAACTGTGGGAAGAGACAGTGAATTAGCCAATCACCCTGACAAATGATTATGAGTTAAAATTTCTAAGGAGGTCTGTGGTGCAAATAATCCTAAAAATTTTCACTAAATGGAAGATCTGTGAGGGTTAAAGTTGAAGGCAATCCCAGTACAGACAGAAAATTTACTGAATTTTCACTTCATGAACTAACGTACTTTTCATTTTGAGTTACTTTTATCTCTTCTTTCTTTCTTTCTTTCTTTCTTTTCTTTTCTTTTTTTTTTTTTTTTTTGATACAGTCTTGCTCTGTCGCCCACTGGAGTGCAGTGGCACCATCTCGTCTCACTGCAAAAACTCCACCTCCCGGTTTCAAGTGATTCTCCTACCTCACCCTCCCGAGTAGCTGGGATTGCAGGCATTAGCCACCACACCTGGGTAATTTTTGTATTTTTAGTAGAAATGGGGTTTCACCATGTTGGCCAGACTGGTCTCAAACTCCTGACCTCAAATGATGTGCATACCTTGGCCTCCCAAAGTGCTGGGATTATAGGTGTGAACCACTGTGCCTGGCCAAATTTAGGTCTACTTCTTACAAAATAGATCCCTGAGATACTGAGAATCTACTATGTTGCAGCATCCTAAATAAATGAGCTGATCTGCTTCTTTTGTCCTACAAATTTCACATGTTTATTTTCCAGCCTGCCTTTCTACCAGTTTTCGCTGGTTGGGTGTCTTTATGTGTGGGTGTTGCTGTGAAAATGGAGGTATAGGGAGGGAGTTGGCTCTTTCAGGTTTAATAAAGTTTTTCATCATCAACACTAGAAATATGACATCAGGTTTCCTTTAGAATCTGATGTGTCGACTTTTACTAACAATTTGGCCAAAGCTTCTTATGTATTAGGCTACTTTTCTCTAAGACGTATTAGCATCACAATGCCCACTCACATGGCCTGATGTATTTGTCTAAGTGTAGGGTAAAAATCCATTTAGGACCTGTCGCAGTGGCTCATGCCTGTAATCCCAGCACTTTGGGAGGCCGAGGTGGGAGGATCATCTGAGGTCAGGAGTTTGGAACCAGCCTGGCCAACATGGTGAAACCCCGTGTCTACTAAAAATACAAAAATTACCCCGGTGTGGTGGCTAATGCCTGTAATCCCAGCCACTCAGGAGACTGAGGCAGGGGAATCACTTAAACCCAGGAGACAGAGGTTGTAGTGAGCCAAGATCACGCCACTGCACTCCAGCCTGGGCGATAAGTGAGACTCCATCTCAAAAAAAAAAAAAATAAAATAAAATCTATTTAGGAAGAAAATACGTCCCTTCGGATACCTCTAGCTAAGCAATAATGAATATAATAAAAGGATCATTGCAACAGAAAAAAAAAAGAAAATTGTGAAATAAGTTAATACCGTCTCGTTTTTAGCCTCACCTTGTTTTTCCTAGTCTGTTCCCAGGGCCCTGAGTCGCTGGTTGGACCCCCTGACTGCCCCCTGGAATATGTTTGTCTTGTCTTTGCTCTAGCCTTTTGCATATTGCTACAAGGTTATCCAAGTGTACTTTTCACCAGTTCCATTCCCACAGAACAGAACCCTCCTTTCTGTTAACCTGCTATTCTAATTGTTGTAAATATGTTAATTGGCCAAAATATAATATTAATTTTGAGATAACATACCATCAATCCTTTTGATTCACTAATCATGTATTTGCAAATCTGCCTGCTTAATAACATTTATTTGTGACCCCAGAATCAATACCATGGTGCTTTTGTAGTCATTTGCAGGCATATACAGAGTGGTAAAAGTTTGAGTCATCCAACTTGCATATTCTCAGCTGAGGTCAAACAAGTTGGTGCTGTACATTCTTGTTTTAGCTCTCATATTGTAAACAAGTGTCCTTTTCATGATTTATTTAATGTTTTTCACATTTTTGTCCTTTCGAGTGGTGGTTTCTCTGTTTAAAATGTCCCCCATGGTCAGCGCTTGAGGGACTGTCTAATGTTCCTAAAGGCAAGCAGGCTATATGTGCCTTAAGGAGAAGATACATAGATAAGTTTCGTTCAGGCATGAGTTATAGTGCTGTTGACGATGAGTTCAGTGTTAACAAATCAACTATATATTATATAAGATATCTTTAAATGAAAGCACATAGAAAACAAGGTTCTGTTTTGCTCAGTTGATGAAAATACTGGTGGCTAGAGGCTCGCAGGAGCCTAATCCCATTTCCTCTAATAACAATGGCTTGGTATTCACTAATTCAGTGTTTGTAGCAACTTTATAGAATGTATAACTCCTGTGAATAACAAGAATGAACTCTATTTATCTCCTCCCATGAAATAATTTTCAATCATTTAGGAATAGAGATAAAAATGCAATCAAATACGTAAAAGAAGAATAAAAAACAAGCAAGAACCAAGCCAAGTCTAGAAGTAGAGAGAGTTAAAGTAGTTGAACCAGAGAACCTTTGATACCTACCACATTTGAGCCAAAAAACTGACCTCTGAGCTTCCAGGCAATAGAGGCCAAAAAAGAAGGCAATGAATATCATAAGCTTTTCTTATAAGGCTAAAGCAAATATATCAGATTTTTGGGAGAGACACATTTTTGTTTTCTATCAGTAAATTCTAAGAGTAACTTTATGCCACAAAGCACATAATGGCAATGTTTCTCATTGTAGTTTTATAAATAAAATAGAAATGGACTTCACATGACTTTTTGTTTGTTTGTTTGTTTGTTTTGAGACAGAGTCTCCCTCTGTCACCTGGGCTGGAGTGCAGAGGTGTGATCTCGGCTCACTGCAAACTCCACCTCCTGGGTTCGAGCGATTCTCCTGCCTCAGCCTCCCAAGTAGCTGGGATTATAGGTGCCCGCCACCACACATGGCTAATTTTTGTATTTTTACTAGAGACAGGGTTTCACTATGTTGGCCAGGCTGGTCTTGAACTCCTGACCTCAAGTGATCCGCCCACCTCAGCCTCCCAAAGTGCTGGGATTACAGGAGTGAGTCACCATGCCCGGCCATGACTGCTTTTTAAATTGACAATAATGAAGCTCAAGGCACTGATGCTATTTTTGTTGCCCTATGAACACATTCCTACAGGGATCTGAAGTTTTGTATGTTTCTGGGGCTCTGACATAAAATACGTTTCTACTGCACATGTGAAATTATCCTAATGATGGAAATACCCAGTTCTCTGGTAAACTGGAAGGGGAGATATGTTTCAGTGAGCTGCTGTGTTGGTACCTCTAAAACCATTCCAAAAAGAAGACATCTGCATTTGCCTACAAATTGAAGAGTCAACATAGGGCAGTCCAGAAAAATGAGAATAGTCTCCAACCCATTATAGACTATCCCAATTAGGAATATGATGTTAGTTAGAAGTGTTGTGTTAATTATGACGTTAGATGTATCTGAAACTCCCTTCTCCAAGTCCTTGACTCTTTTAAATACCTATGCTCATTTTAATTTGTTAATTTATCTTACTACTGATGTTAAAATTTTCTGATATTATGTGGAGAAACATACTAAATGTAGGTTCAAATAGTGAGTAAACAAACGTTCAGAAAAAAACAGAAGACTGAGTAAAAGCTTATCAACTCATTTAAACCTCCCCACATATTTTATGGATTGGCTGTTGATGCCCAAATTTTTTAGCTTAATTTGTCCTGATTTTCCAAACATGGTTATTAACACATTTGGGACTCGTTTAAAAAAAGAAAGAAAGAAAAAAAAAACTTCAGCCAAATTAAATTTAAAGGAGTTTAATTGAGCAATGAACAATTCACAAATCCCTTAGGCCCAGAATCACGCAGATTCAGACACTCCAGTGCAGCCACATGGTGGAAGAAAATTTATGGACAGCAAAAGGAAAGTGATGTTCAGAAAACGGAAGTGAGGTACAGAAACAACTGGATTGGTTACAAGCTCTGTGTTTGCCTTATTTGAACAACGATTTGAACAGTTGGCTACATTTGATTGGCCAAACTCAGTGACTGGCACAGGTGTGGGATATGGTCGGTTTACACCTCCACTTGTATAGTTCATGATGTACAGAGAAACCTTTAGGCTGAACTTAAATATATAATGAGGCAGCTTTAGGCTAAACTTGATTTAACAGACCTTTAGGAATACACATTCTGGAAGAGTGAATTTATAAAAATAAATGTTTATGGCTGTCTCATAACTGCATTATCAGCAATTTTTGCACTATAGAGATTTTTATGTTAGGTCTTGGTCCTTTATATCATTAAAATATTAAATAGGAAAAATCATGGAATTTATTCATAAATAGATGTACATCTATTTCCCCAGACTACAGGTAAAGAACTATTTGGGTAAGAATGGGCTGCTGACCTGCAAGGAGAAAAATGAGAGCTTCAGTTTAAAACTGTCATAGTTTATAAAAGATATAAACCATTCAGTTCCTTTAGTTTTTAATATTTAGAAGAGTAAACAAAAATTTGATTCAATTAAATGTAACAAATACAATTAAATGGAGATGCAATTTGATTTATTGAAAATAACATGATTTTAATGCAGATTAACTGTAGGCAGTACCTTACCAGAATATAATGCATTCTGGAAAATATCTACTGACTCAAACATGTAAAACCATAAAAAGATTTCATGGTATGGCGGGGAGAGGGGATAGGAGGGGTGTCTGTTCCCAGGGAGCTAAAAGTAATGTAAACTCTTTAATTACTTGCTGCTTTTAGACATAATCTTTGATGACATAGATCTAGCATGTTATACATATTCTTTCATTTTGTTCTTTCAAAAAAAGTATCACTTTGATTAGAAATAAATAAGAAATAGAATATTCAAATAATGGCTCAAACACTGCAATAGAAAGACAATGATATGGACAAATGGAGCCATCACCAGGCCAGCAGAACGTCTGGGATTTCATTTTAGATGTTGAGTCCTGAGCTGATTTTTCAAAGCATGGATTTGGCATTGTAATGCTGCCAGCTCAGAAACGTCGATGTAATGGGAGAAAATGTATGGGGAATTCAGGGCCTGCCTGAACCTCCATGGGCCCAGCCTTGGTACACTCGGGCTAGAGAGATCTGTGAAGGGCTGTTTCACCTCCTGGTGACCACTCCCACACCGACATTGGTTGGAGATCCTGCCAACTATCCAGGGAGCCTGTGGATCTCTTTCCAATGGGATGCTAGCTTTTAGTCAACTGTTTAAAAAATTATTATCTTTAACAGCTCTTGAAAGATTAGCTTTCTATTGCCATTTCCAAATCTTCTTTCCTCCCACTCTGCACCAGCACCTGCACTATAAAGAAGGTAAATTGGCCAGGAGCGGTGGCTCATGCCTGTAATCCCAGCGCTTTGGGAGGCCGAGGGAGCGTGGATCACTTGAGGTGAGGAGTTCGAGACCAGCCTGCCCAACTTCGTGAAACCACTGTCTCTACTAAAAAATATAAAAATTAGCCAGACGTGGTGGCATGCTTCTGTAATTCCAGCTACTCAGAAGGCTGAGGCAGGAAAATCTCTTGAACCCAGGAGGTGGAGGTTGCAGTGAGCTGAGATAGTTCCACTGCACTCCAGCCTGGGCGACAGAGCCAGACTCTGTCTCAAAACAAACAAACAAAAAGAAGGTAAATCACTAGGGGATATATAGAAATTATATGATAAAATAGACTTTAGAAAAAACCTTTTTGAAACCATTTACAAAAGGAAACTGAATAGACCTCTGACACTCTTGTCTCCAATAAGCTGTGAAAATAGTACTGGTTCCATCACTTAAGAGGCATTCAGCTGTTCTCTGGTAAATATTTACTCATACCTTTAAAAGGAAAAATTAGCTAAAGGTAGGCTCGAGTTAGAAACTTAATCTAACTAGTTAAATCCTTTGAAATTTGGCAAAATTCCTCTTCACACATAAACCACTTAATACAAAACCATGTTTTGTATTAAGACCCCCAAATCTGAAGGGCAATTAGCCAACTCCTAGATCATCTCATGTTATATCCTGTCCAAAAATAAACAAACTGGGCTCTGGCATATTCTAAAAATATCTTCCTGTCTAAAAAAACATTTAACAGAGTTTGTCTAAGAAGCAGACTCCCAATTTTATTCTAAATATAATTATATTTGCATATATGTAATTTACAAACAACTTTCCTGGAACACAAGCATTACACAAAGTGAAGTATACCTGTATATTTATTTAAAAGCAAACAAACAGGATATATATATATATATATATATATATACATACATACATATGTTTAGTTTTTTTCTTGAGACAGAGTCTCACTCTGTCACCCAGCCTGGAGTGCAATGGTGCAATCTCGGCTCACTGCATCCTCTGCCTCCCAGGTTCAAGTGATTCTCTCAGCCTCCCAAATAGCTGGGACTACAGGTGTATGCCAGCATGCCCAGCTATGTTTTGTATGTTCAGTAGAGATGGCGTTTCACCATGTTGGTCAGGCTGGTCTCAAACTCCTGCCTCAGGTGATCCACCTATCCTGGCCTCCCAAAGTGTTGGGATTGCAGGCGTGAGCCACCGTGCCTGGCTTCAGAATGTATTTTTTTGCCAGTGTGTCATGTTTCATAGCTCGGTGACTGATGAAGGGACTTATTCAGTGCTTTTCCTTTATGCACTGATATTTATTTTATTAATTTTAAATTAATAAAATATTAATTTAAATATTTTTAAAATTATTAAAAATATTAATTTTCTGACTCTTTAGGAATACATATTCCTAAAGAGAGTGTTGTGTTGTGTTGTATTTAAAAGAAAAGGGCTGTGGATTTTGACAGACCTTCAAACCTCAGGCCTCCTACTCATTAGCTGTGTGGTCTTGGGCAAATTATTCACCCTGTCTGAGTTTAAGCCTTTTAATTTGCAAAACCTCTGAGGATTATTTTGAAGATTCAATTAACTAATATATGAAAGTGCAATGCAACAGGAGGTTGCTAATATTAATTTGAGTTATAGTCCGGCAACTCAACAAGTGTTTGTTAATATTCTATATATATCTACACTGAGAAAATCAGACTGTAATAGCACCAAATATTTGGGCAAACTTCTATTGGTTTGGTTTGCTAAGTGCATCACATGTATTATTCATTTTGTCTCTCTATATTGATTTTTAGCTCCTGTTAGAAATTGCTTATTTTTCAACTTTATAATAGTGTTTGTTTTAAAAATATGTAATATGTTTATGTGATTCAAAATTCAAAAAGCACCAAAGTGTACAGTAGAAACATATTTTTCCTCCTTGTCTCCTGCCATAGTTCATCTACCCAGAAGCAAACCTGCAAAATCTATCTTATGCATATAAAAACATTTAGGCGCAAATATAATTCTTTTCCCTTTTTTTGCACAAGAATTAGCATACTATTTAGGGTTGCCAAATGAAATACAGGACATCAGTTAAATGAGCAGTATTTGGGACATATTTACACTAAAAAATTAATTGGTGTTTCATCTGAAATTCAAATTAAACTGGGTGTCCTGAATTTTATTGGCTAAACCTGGCATCAGTAAATTATTATCCACCCTATTCTGCATCTTGTTTGTCTGCTTTTTTTTCTTTTTTTTCTGCATTGGAATCATCTAAAACTCTGTTAAAACTCCCAGGCCCAAGCTACACACTCCAAACCAATTTCATCAGAATCTCCAAGGATCATTCTTGGGCAACAGTATTTTTTTCTGTGATTGTGTTAAATTGAGGAATAATTTAACAAAAAAAGCACCCATTTTAAGTGTACCATTCAATGAGTTCAATGACAAATCTATACACCTCTTTTTACTTAATAATTATTTTGGTGATCACCCAAAAATCAGTTCTTAAATTGTAAACCCTTTAGAGCAAGCTTTGTATTTTATGCTACTTTTCTTCACAGGACTTGAGCATTCTGTGTTTCAGATAAATACAGGTTGACTAACAACAGAGTTCTTTATTTCAGTCATTATTTAGGTTTAATGCACAAAATGAGAAATGTTATTAATGAGTTTTTGCAGTTGCAACACTTGTTACAAAGAAATGCAAAGGTTGCGAAGAAATAGTTGCAGACACTACTTAGTACCAAGAGATCATTTCCACCTACTCAAGATCTCCCCACTGGCTAAGTGGTACGCCAGGTGCTTCACATACACTGGATGACCCTACAAATCCCTACTTATATAGGAGGGATCTGAGGCCCAGGTTAAAGAAATTGTTCAAGCCACATAGCTAATATTGAGAGGAGCTAGGATTCAAACCACATGTTTAACCCCAAATTCTTAGTAAGGATACTTCTCAATATGGCATAATTTTGAGATTCCACCTTTCTTCACACTATTCAGAAACTCCTATTTTTAATTTGGAAAATGGTTGAGAACAGCTGTTTCTGTTTCTCAGCAGATGCTTATCTCAGCCAAAATGCCTTCTTGAGAGAACCAATCAAGAGAAACCAAACAGGTCAAATTTCTTTAGGCTCAAGTTTCTTTGATCTGTATTAAAGCCTTTACAAGGTAGTTCTGGATTTTGTGTTTGTTGGTTCACATGCCTTGGATCACCTGAGCATGAAGGCTTATTGAAAGAAATAGTTGAAAGGATATAATTATAAGTTGTGATTTCAGGGGAAAGGAAGTAGTGTCTTTTGCTAATGAACCTTATTGTTCCCCTCAAGTTGTGTGTATATCATATCCATGTCTTGATGTGCCACTAAAAATGAAAGAATTGACTTAAAACACTAAGGGTGAATATCTTGTTTCTGCATATGCCAACTATCTTGTTTCTCTTCCTTTATGGATGTGTGTTTTGAAATGCAGGATGTAGACACAGACCACAAAACCATTCTAGTTTCTGCAGCGGAGAACGCAATATGAGTATCTGTCTCAAGGTCATTTCCTGATAATATTATCTTCCAGTAATTTGAGGCATAGGTTCAGGGAGGAGAGTAGGACGGAATTCTATTCCTGGCTTAGCTGTTTTCCTCTGTCTCCATCTTTAAAGCAATTTTGAAAGTCTCTTGCATATGGTTGATGTTCAGTAAAGGTTGGATGAACTGTCTTGACGTTCTTTTTGAAAACTGAGGATATGCTGTGTTCCGAGTAACTTGGCAATGTGTCAGTGAGGGCACAATTATGAGTCAGAGACCATAGAACTGCAATGGGATCTTAAATTCTTTTAATTTTGGCAATCTCAATTCATCTAGAAGCACCTTTAGAAGAGCAATTGATCTTGAAATCTTAACATTCATCAATAAGTAGATGAGAAAGAAGTTTATAAAGTCATTGAATTTCAGAGAGAACTTGATGCCTGGCAGTCTATGGCAAGTTGTGGACTTGCTTTATGTATATATATATATATCCATGAAACCACAATTTGATTGATTCCAGTAGTTTTGACTTGGGTCTTGGCCCAGAATTCAAAAGATAATGCTGTGACAGCAACAAGGAAATTGTAAGTATAGTTTTCTCTAAGTACTGTGAAAGGAGAAATGGAAACTAGGTTAACTACTTAGTGTTTTGCTAATCCTATTAATCGGTATGAAGTTTCTTGATTCTGTCTTTTTTGGAAGTATCACAATCATGCATGCTTTACATACAGTGGGGTTTTTTAATGGGTATTACTGTTAGTAATTCCCTTCATCCACTTTTGGGTGGACTACCTGTTATAAGCTTGGAATGATGTGTAGCTTTTGTTAGTTTAGAAAATTCCTTTTTTTCCAGCCTAGACCTTTCATTATCTCACATCTAATGTTTTTTCACCTCACATTATCCTCTTTCTTCCACCCTCTATCATTTGTATTTTTTTGTGTAGCTTTTTGCCTGTGGCTTCTTTTACATCTAGAATCCAGTAATGCCAATATGTCTTTATAACTTCCAGATGAACAATTTAATATTCCTCCTTTACTCCCCACCATTTACTGCATCTTGTTTCAACACATAACTTTAGTTTTAGGGATTAGTGAAAGTACAGATTATTGTATATTCAATTAAATGCCACCGGTAAGGGGCAGAGAGGTTTCTTCCAGGTTAATTATTTACATTCGTCTTTAGAATCTCAAGAGTTCAACAAACGTGGGCTGAGACCAGTTAAAATACAGATATTTAGAAATTGTTACAATATCTTTAGAGTCAGCCAGGAACAAAATTGTCAGAAAGGGAAGACAGGGGCTTGACTTCAGATCCTCCCACCCATCCACATACACACTTTTTCGTTCTTAAGTGTCTCTCCGTGTTCCTATTGACTTTATTCTAGTAAGCTTCTAGTTCTCCACTTTCCCATTTAGGATTTTCATTGGTAGAAATATGTCCCATTCCAACTCTTTCTTTGTGTCTTTTCCGTTAACCATTCAACAAATATGTTGTGCCTCTTTTTACCAGCTACTCTGCAAATCAATGAAAGGCTTAGTTTAGGTGGTTGTGGGAGTAATGAGATTAAACATAACCTTTATTTTAAAAACATGTAGAGATTAAAAAAATAATTAAGTGTGAAATTTCCTAACCCACCATTTAGATCTCTATAATACAGGTTCTGAGAACTCAACATAGCTGAAATTTGTCCGCAAGCAGACCTACTTTCAGAGTCCAGTCCCTTACAGAACGATTAATTCATCAGCTGCTGAAGAATCAAGTCCAAATAAAATTAATGGTACCACACAAGCTTCATCCTTTAGTTTACATATAATGTGAGTTATTTATATCCTTTAATGATAATGTTCTCTTGAATTTTCCTGAAACACTAGCCATATTTATCCATTTAAAACAGTGGTCCCCAAACTTTTGACACCAGGGACGGGTTTCATGACTATTTTTTCACAGACTGGGATTGGGGGATGGTTTCGGGATGATTCAAATGCATTACATTTGTTGTACACCTTATTTTTATTATTATTACCTTGTAATATATAATGAAATAATTGTACAACTCACTATAATGTAGAATCAGTGGGAGCCCTGAGCTTGTTTTCCCGCAACTGGACTGTCCCATCTGGGGGTGATGGGAGACAGTGACAGATCATCAGGCATTAGATTCTCATAAGAAGCGTGCAACCCAGATCCCTTGCATGTGCAGTTCACAATAGAATTCATGCTCCTGTGAGAATCTAATGCTGCTGCTGATCTGACAGGAGGTGGAGCTCAGACGGTAATTTGAGCCATGGGGAGCAGATGTAAATACAGATGAAGCTTTGCTTCCTCACTGGCTGCTCACCTCCTGCTGTGCAGCCCAGTTCCTAACAGGCCACTGACCAATGGGACCATGCCAAGGGTCCATGGCATGAGGGTTGGGGACCCCTGATTTAACATGATTCTTGCCTTCATTTAAAGTACAAATTATTTGTATTATATAATATATATCATCAAAGGGTGGTGTCCAAGGTGTTCTGTTGCTCCATTAGCAGCCTTGGATACAAGATAGAAGTAAGCATTTGAGCCAATGATTCTCTTGAGTGGAGTTCCCTCTTCAGTAGTCTTACCCTTGAGCACCTAAATAAGACCCGTTCCAGTACCTCATTAAAATCCCCAACACATATTTTTGCTGAGCATGGTTCTGAAAACCACAGAAGCAAAAGTAGGTGTTCAGTAATTTACTGTCTTAAATGCAGCTATTGATAGGGTTCAGTATACTATTGAAAAGTATATACTCATTCATCAGGGTCCCTTAATTCTATAGCTTTATATTTGTGAGTTTTAGACTGGGTTCTTCTTTAGATTCAACATACAAGGTACCTTTGAGTAAAGATGCTTTTTCTTATATAAAGTGCAGTATTCAGTTTTCTAATATGTACACCCTGAAGTTCTCCAAGACCAGTCATCTTTATTATACAACCACACTGAATTAGATCCAACAGGGCATATATTAGTGTTGTCAGCAACATTTGTTGAACACTTATTTTGAGCTAGACCCTAAAGTAAACACAAGACGTGCAAAGCTTCTGCCTTCCTAGAGCTTGCACCCTAGTGGGAAAAGCAAGTGATAATGAACAAGAAGACAGACGTCAGCTGGGGAGAAAGGCTATAAAAAAGAATTAAAATATGGGGAACCCACAGAAAATGAATGGGAGCCTTCTTTAGATTCAGGGTTCTGCAAGATCTCTCTGTAGAAGAAAAATTTCAGCTGAGAACTGAATGACAATTAGAAGTCAGCTTATGAAAGTCGGGGAGGAGGAAAAATTCAGGTAGAGAGAACTGCAGTGCAAAGGCCCTGGGGCAGGGTGAAACTTGGTTCCTTCAAGGAATATAACAAAGAGGGCAAAGAGTATTAGTAGAGAACTAGCCAGAGCCAGATCATGCAACATTTCGTAAGCCAGACAAGTGGCTTTAGGTTCTATTTTCAGTTTGATAGGAAGCCACTGGAAAATATTAAGCAGAACAGTAATGTGGTCTGACTTAGATTTTTAAAAGATAATTCTGCTTGTTATGTGGAGAATGGATGGGGCAAAACTGGGAGCATGGAGACAAGTTAGGAGGCTCTTATTAGTTGCAGTGACCATGCAGTTTATCCAAAGCAGGGCCTTTCAGAGAGTGAAAGTGGGTGCCACTAACAGAACAGGGAATGTCAACTGGGCCTGTGCTGAGCAGACCAGGGCATGTGGCCATTTCAGCTGTTACAGTGGTCTTGCTGGAGAGAGAGCTGTGGAGCCTTTTAGGATGTTTCATGTAATCTTCACAATAAACTCTGTGCCCAATGCATATTAGCACCTGATAAATGTTTGCTGGGTGAGTTAATGAGTAAATCAGTTAATCTGGGGGAAGATTAGTATCTTTGTTTCGTAAAAGAAACTATGCTACAAGCATATTGTGAACTCTAATTCCAATGATAAAACCCACACTCTTTCTTTAATTTCTTACCTAAGATGTCATAATTGTTGCTTTTCAAATGTTTTTAAACTACTGTACATGCATTTCCATTTTCTTCCTTCATTTTCTTCCCTCTCTTGGGTTTAGGGATCTACATGCAAAGGTTTCATAAATGTGTTTGCTGTACTCATTTTTATCAAAGTCAGGAACCAGAGAGACCATTAACGATATACAGTTCCCAGGAAACTTTTTGATCTTTCTTTTTGAAGCATCCTGTTCCACATTTAATGCCCAACCTCATAAGGTCTCCACCTGGGTACTCTGTCAGAATTCATTTAACAAGTCTAATGGTATGTGCTGTCTTACCTACCCACTCACACCTTTTACAAAAAACTCTCTCCTCTGTTCTCTTCTGCCCATCCGGGAAATAATTCCACCTTACTTCCAGGTAAAGAGACCTACGAATCATTTCCATCATATTCACCACACCCTTTAGAGGTACAGTAGCTTTTGCATGTTGGATAACTTTCATCAAATTATCAATAAAAAAGAGCATCTCACTCTCCTACTTTGAATTATGAATATTAAAAAATTTCAAATTTGTATGATTTATACAATTTGTATTGTAAATTCTATATATTTCTGGCTTACTCCATAAACATTCAAAATAGGCATATCTTCTGACATGATCAGGTTAAATAGAAGCCTGGCATATAAATAGAAGATGTGCATGCACGAGCTTAATGATGGGTGCATGCTTGATGTGACTGTGTATATTGTGTATGCTCACGTGTTCATGTGTGTGCATTCATGTGTGCACATGTGGGCAGGCATGCAGACGCAATGTGCACATGCTCTCATTATGACCCTGCTCATCCTCTATAATCCATAAACCTGATATAGCCCAGTAAATGCAGTTATGCTTCAGAAAAAAATGTTGCAGCTTGCATCCTTATACTCATTCCTCCTATTTTATCCTATTTAGATTGCTTAAGAAAATATAAACCTATATACCATGAGATAAAGGATATTCAACAAGAGCATCTTCTCTTTAGTTAGATTTATAAAACTAGTTTCCATTTTAGATCCCAGGGAAAATCAGCTCTTTCAGATGATGTTGGAAGATTTTAAAGTTTACAACATCATAGTCCCAACCTTTGCTTGATTAGGAGGAAGCTAATGGACCTTATATTAGCCTGTATTCGTCATCGTGTAAATATGAACTAGTTGATTAACTACCGAGTAATATTATCAGAGAAGGACAGTGCTAACATTCTCCTAAAATATAAACTCTCTCATAGTCACATACAATGATATATTCAATTTAATGTATTCATAGAGCAAATGTGAAGCATTTCTATTTTGTTATCCTATGCGTTAGAATTTATATGCTTGAAATTTAATATGTAAGCATTTAGTTTTCATAATTATGCCTTTTGTTGTAAGAATAACACCTACCAAAATGGGCTCAGCTTCCAGCAGGAAAACTGTTTTTTTTTTTTTTTTTTTTTTTTTGAGACGGAGTCTCGCTCTGTCTCCCAGGCTGGAGTGCAGTGGTGCGATCTCGGCTCACTGCAAGCTCCACCTCCCGTGTTCACGCCATTCTCCTGCTCAGCCTCCCGAGTAGCTGGGACTACAGGTGCCTGCCAGTACGCCCGGCTAATTTTTTCTTTTTTTATATATTTTTAGTAGAGACGGGTTTCACCGTGTTAGCCAGGATGGTCTCGATCTCCTGACCTCGTGATCCCTCCTAAAGTGGTGGGATTACAGGCGTGAGCCACTGTGCCCAGCCAGGAAAACTCTTGAGTTTAGCTATTAAAAATCCCCTTCTCTCTGCTCCACTGCTTGCAGTTTAGGTTATTGGAAACTTATAAAATAAAATTTGGATTTGGATTTTCCTTTTTAAAAATTAGCAGAAACGAGTTAGGAAGAGCATTCTTTGACACTGGAGGAGTAGAATGATTCTCAAGAATTTGAGACTGGACCGTCAATAAACTGGAAGTGTCAGATACGGCAAATCTATTCTTTGTGAATGACAGCTTTTTGTGATCTTTTTTCCACTAAAATGTTAACATTTACCTTTTAGTGTTTGACTTAATGTAGTAAGTTATATGTGTCTTTTTGTTCAAAAATATGAGAAACTAACACGTCACTTTTTAATGGAAATTGCCATATTTTTTCCTGGCCAGGAGTAGGCTTCAGGGCAGTGACTTTGCAGAGATGAGATGTAACATACCCCAGTCTGTGTCCTTTCCGAGTGCCACAAACTCCTTGTAGATCAAATCTGGAAAATACAGGCAAAGCTATTTCATAACAACTGTCTTATAACAAATCTTAATGTGTAAGAACTACAATTCTTGATGTTTATTTTACTTTATTGCTGAATTTGTGATTCTTTTTCAGGAAGAACAGTCACTGTGAATATGAGTAGTCAACAGGATATGTTTCCATATGAAGGTCCCTGTCCCAACTTAATGAAAAGTTGAGCAAAAGTATAATGCAAAATTCTAAGTAGCAACCTTTTTATAAGTGTAATTTCATCAAACCATCCACTTTCAAATATTTCATAACTTTTATCAGCCAAAAATTTCAATTAACCAAAAAAAAAAAAAAATCACCTATTCGAAAGCTAAAGAATATTGTAGAATTGGGAATGGCACTCTCTGTTGTCAGAACCTTAGCAGGCTCTGAATGAGGCACCAAGAATCTGCCTTCTGCTCTGTTCTGATTAAACTTTAAAATGCACCAAACAGCAGGAAAGGTGGTCATAGCTGTAAATGTCTTTGTGCTAATGATGACTTTTCTCACTAGTAACAGCTGGGGAGTGAAACTCGACAAAGACAAAATTATAAATGTTTTATATCGGAAAACACTAGGTGAGTTTGAAACGTGGTCAATCGATTAGGTTACTGCCAAGAAGTAAACAATAGACTCATTAAAGCTGTAATTAGCCATTGTTGACATATTGTATTTTTAATCAGAGCTCCAGTAGGGGATGAAGTGGCTGAAATCATCTAGTGAAATAATCTAGGGCTTTGTGAAGTAGAAGTAAAACCAGATTTTAAAAACTCAGCCATGCCTTTCCCTTGGGATTTCTATACCACCTTTGTTCTGATGAAGTTGGTGACTTCAATTAGGCTAGTAAGTAGCCTATAATAATTGATTAATTGTTTTGTGTTTTTGTTACATTGGGTACTTGTCAAAAGGGTTTTGTGGCTCCCTATTATTTGGCATATCAAGAGTAGAGAGGAATTCATGGTGAATTCCTCTTCAAGGCAGGGAGCCAGGTATGTTACATACTCGCGACTGCAGATAAACATCCTAAGAATCAAGGGTTAAGTACTTTTTCCTGTAGTTGGTAAATGGCTAAAATTGAGCTTCTGAACTCAGGGCTGTGGATTCCAATGCCTGCCTCTTTCCATGATACCATTGACAACAATGATCCTTTGGATCCCACCTCATCTGCCACGGCCCCCTAAAGCTTCTGCTTCCATCTAAGCCGAATCTCCTGTAACCAATGACACTCGTGCACATTCTACCTCCAGAACCACCACTCTCCTCATTCCAGCTCTCCCTCTCTCCTTTCCCTATCAAACTCCAGCTTTCATCTCATCTCCTCCATGAAGCCCTCCTGATTATTTCTGCCCACCCCACCAAACATCCCTTTATGAGTTTTTCCTCTCTCCTCTGAACTCCTCTGTCAGATTTACAGCCCTAGATTTTCTGAGGTAGAACTCATTCCAAATAAGTTAGCGGATGAAGAAACATTTTCCCCAATAACATAAGAGTTAAGAATCATATGTAATTGCCTTCCTTATTTTCTGTTCAGCTTCAAATCATGCACATCACAGAAGGAAAGTTCCAAGTCAGAGATTTTTATTTCTATAGGCATCTATGTAGGGTAGAAAGAGCCTGGTGAAACAAACAAGCACCTTCTTTGGACTAATTCCATGCTCTGTAGATATAATCTCCATTTTCCAGTATTTATTAAATTCATAAAATGCTTCTTGTAAAATATCCGCTAAAACAATGAATAGCCAACATTCTTTTTCTAAAGAGATCTTGGCTTTTCCTTGGAATCACATGGCTCTGTGAGTTATCTAGAATTATATTTAAGTGAGAAATTTTTAATAAAATGACACATCTTATTTTCATAGATATTTGCCTATGAACCCATAGATGCTATCTAATTCAACTTCCCCACATCTCAGGGAGGCAGAACTTGTGGGCAGATATTTTGATTAGTTTGCCCTTTCTCAGATAATAAAGCAAAGCAGTGGAACTTTGGCACGACTTCCTCAAAGCAGCAGCCAGCTAGAAAATGAACCCAATTTGCAAGTAATAGGCCAATGTCAGAAAACTTAGTAAATCATTTTATTAAACAAGCCATATCTTTAATTTAAAACCAAATCTTTTTCTTTATGGAGACATTGTTTAGGAGTAGAAACTTCAATTTGCATATATACATTTAATATCCTTTCATATATCACATAACTCTACAGAGAAAAGGGATGGATTATCTGCTTCACTGAGGGTGGCATATCATTTTCATGATAAGGGCAATGAATCGTGCTGTGACTGGTGCTGTTTAGCCCATTGAATCAGGCGCCTATGGTGGGAAAGGAATCATCTTCCTAACTAAGCACTGTCTTAGGAAAAGATATGTCTTTATGAGTGTGGTCTACTCTTCTAGTAGCTGTAGAGTGAGACTTAGGAATCATTCATTGGCAGTGAGGAGTTTCTGGGCTAAGAGGTAGGGCAGTGCTTCTTAACCCTGGCTACATGTTGGAATCATTAGGGAGAGTGTTAAAAGGTACACATGCTTTTGTCATATCAGAATTCAGATTTACAATACTTAAATTGGTGTATGGCCTGGGCACTGGGGAGTTTTTAAAGCAGCCAAGTTTGAGAACCACTGAGTTAGGAAAACCCATTTTCCTGTCTTGGTGACTGATCTCAAGGAAGGCATTGGCCTCTTTGTGTGTATTTCCTAGTCTGCTCAATGGACATTGGTTCTGCTTCATCGCATCACAAGTGTTTTCAGTCTTAGAAGAGACATATGTGAAAGATTCTTTCAATATACAGCTTTACAGAATTTCAAGCAATTTACATTTATTTTTCTTGTTCCCTAGCTGGAGTCCTGGCAGAAAGGATCTAGGAAAGCATTTAAAGAAAAAAAAAAAAGCATGACTGCCTTAGAAAAATTGAGTCATGCACCAACTTAAGAAGACAAGCAGAAAAATTTTTGAAATCAAATGATAAATCTTTCCAAAAATTCTTGAAGTGAGTTTATTTAATCCAAACATTTATATAACATCTCAGCGCATCTGTTTTGAGTGAGTAAAATTATAATATTTTGGGGGCTACTTCTAATTTTCAGGGAAATTTAGAATGTGTGAGGGAACAAAATCGAATGTAGTGGGGAAAGCATATTAAGGACATTTATAACAGTTTTCAGCAGAAGGAGAAATCCGCAAGCTATGTGCCAAGCTTTGCTGACAGCCATCAGTAAGGAGAAATCACTCTTAACTGCCACAGCATCAAATTATTAATAGATAAATGGGCTCCTTTCTTGACCAATGGGTTTTCTACACTGGAATTGGGTGCTGAAGGGGTTTACAGAGTCTCGAGATTCTGGAATAGTGGATGAGGATGGAGAAAAATGGTTTTCAGACCTGGCTGCTCTTCTGCTGATTCCTACTGGAATACTTAAGCTTCCGCTTGTCCAAGACCTACCTGCCTGAAGACACTCTGTTTCAGCTTATCCAGAGAGTCCCTCGAGTTGGTATTTGTAAACTTCACAGGGAATACTGATGATCCCCAGTGTGGGACCCACTGGATTATATACACACTCCAGTTCTGATCCAGGATTGCTTGGCGGTGCCTGGATCACCAACCTGCGCTGCTGTTTCTCAATGATTTTCAATTACTCAGTCCTGATCTGTGAGCACATGTGCACAGAAGATTGGCTGTTGGAACTTTGTCAAATAACAAACATTTCTATAAATCATAAATTACTTTATTTGTGAGAAATTATTTCTGAGAATTATTTTTTAGTCAAGATTGTTTTGGCTATTCTGTGTCCCTTTCATTTCCATAGAGTTTTTAAGATCAGCTAGTGATTTTTGCAAAAAGGCAACCAGATTTTGAGGAGGAATAAGTTGAATGTGTAGTGTTGTGGCATTGTTTTAAAGATTAAATGTGTTAATCATTAGTATTTAGTGCTTAGACTAAATGATAATAGACTCAGATGATAATAGAATAATGATAAAACAGTACCTGATTAAGTATATATGTGATTAAATACATAGATTATTAAAGGTACATATGATTGAATATATACAACTATATCAGGCCCTATTGTATCATTTTCTATTATCATTTGAATTGTCTCAAATATTCTTTTCTAATTTTTGATAGAAATGTATTTTATGGCCTATAGATAAAATGTATTCTATAGGCAATTTCCATTTGGTTTCAGGAGGGTATTATTGTTTGAATATGCATGATACTTACTAGTAAGTTACTGCAATGCAAACAAGCATTGTGGAGGTAGGCCTGAATAATTATTGTAAGAGAAAATATAATATTCTTATCTTGTTGGGGTTTTTAATAACAGCTTTATTGAAATATAATTCATGTATCATAAAATCTACCCTTTTAAAGAGTACAGTTCAGTGTTTTTTTAGAATATGCACAAAGTTGTGCCACCATTACTATTTAAATCCAGAACACGTTCACCCTTCCCCACAGAAACCCGTATACATTGGCAGTCATTCCCCAATCCTCCTCTCACCAGCCGCTGGCAAAAGCGCCTATACACTATGTCTATATGGATTTATCTATTCTGGGTATTTCATATAAGTAGAATCATAAAAAATTTGGCCTTTTGCATCTGATTTTGTTACTTTAACATAATGTTTTCAAGGTTTATCCATATTGTTGTATGTATAAGCACTTCATTCCTTTCTGTGAAGAATAACATTGAATTGTACATACATGCCACATTTTGTTTACACATTCAGTGGATGGACATTTGGTTTGTTTATAATTTGGGGCTATTATGAATAATGCTGCTATGAGCATTCATGTACAAATCTTTGAGTGAATATATGTTTTCATTTCTTTTGTGTCTAGACCCAGAAGTGGAATTATTGGATCATGCATTAAATCTATGTTTAAAGTTTTGGAGAATTGCCAAACTGTTTTCCAAAGTGGCTGCTCCATTTACATTCCCACCAGCAATATAGGAGGGTTGCAACTTTCCACATCCTCACCAACACTTGTTACTGTCCATCTCTTTATACCCATCCTTCTGGGTGTAAAGTGGTATCTCATTGCAGTTTTGACCCATACTTTTCTAATAACTAATGCTGTTTTGTCTTCTTTTCACGTACCATTTATATGTAGTCTTTGAGAAGATATCTCTTCAAAGCCTTTGCTCATTTTTAAAGTTTGGTTATTTGTCTTTTTATCAAGCTATAAGAGTTCTTTATGTAGTCTGGATATAAGTTCCTTATCAGATATATGATTTGCAGGTATTTTCACCCAGCCTAGGGGTTGTATTTTCCTTTTTTTCATGGTGTCTATTGAAGCACAAAAGTTTTTATTTTTTTTTCTTTTTTTGAGTCTAAGAAATCATTACCTAATCCAGAGTTATGAAGACTTACTCTTATATTTTCTTCTAAGAGTTTCATAGTTTTAGCTCTTATATTTAGGTCTATGATCCATTTAATTTAATTTTTCTATAAAAGCTTCTTTGTTGAAAGGACTATTCTTTTTCCCATTTATTTGTCCTGCCACCCTTGTCACAATTGACCATAAATGTAAGAGTTTATTTCTAGATTCCCAGTTGTCTTCCATTGATCTATTTGTCTATCCTTATGCCAGTGCTACACTCTCTTGATTACTGTAACTTTGCAGTAAGTTTTGAAATTGAAAAGTATAAGTCCTCCAACTTTATTATTTTTCAGTCAAGATCATTTTGGCTATTCTGTGTCCCTTTCATTTTCATATGAATTTTAGGATCAGCTTGTGATTTTTGTGAAAAGGCAAGTAGATTTTGAGAGGGATTAAATTAAATGTGTAGTGTTGTGGCATTGTTTTAAAGACTAAATGTGTTAATTATTAGTGTTTAGTGCTTAGACTAAAAGATAATAGACTCAGATGATAATAGAATAATGATAGAACAGTACCTGATTAAATATGTGTTATATATGATTAAATATATATATGATTAAATACATGCAAATACATCAGGCACTGTTTTATCATTATTCTACTATCATTTGAGTTGCCTCAAATATTCCTAATTTTTTATATTTTTGTTAATTTTACTGCAATGGCCTTTTGTGTGTGTGTGTGTGTGTGTGTGTGTGTGTGTGTGTCCTTTTTCTCTTCATAGTTACAATTTGCTTTGTTTGATAAAAACTTACTAGATTTATGTGGAAACTATGTTAGTTGGTACCTAAGAATTGCCAAGGTATACCTGTCTGGGGAAATAACCATGAAATTCTATACCATAATGTTGTAAAGAACTATCTATGAAGTTTCCAGTTACCCTTTATGGATTTCATGAGGCCTTTAACCTAAGAGTAATCTCTTAAGGTGCACTATTCCAACCATAAAAGAGTTATTCTTCTTTTGGCTTAATAAGCTGTAAATTGGACAAGGAGCCAAATTTTCCCCTTCCTTGTCATCAATGTGAGCTGAAGGTTGGTATGTGGATATGAAGCAGAAGTTCTTTGATCCATTTGCTATTTGATTTTAAGACAAGTTAGCATCCACACGTCTTCTTTTGAAGAATTTGGAGGGAAATGCCAAAACTACACCTTAGAGTTAAATAAGCTAATGTTAAATGTTCATAACTTTGTTTCAGTGGATACAGAAATACTGAAAATGAATATGCAATAAACACTTCAACTATAGGCCAGTTCACTGAAAGACCCTCTCAGCTGTTTATCAGGATATATAAGCAGGATGCCTTCATATGGTAATTATATGGCTGTCTTTCAAAACTGGAATTTATAGGTTGGAAGTAAGTTATGCAGGATATCAGATTTGAAATAGCAGTTCTGTCCATGGCCCTATCCTAGCTGTAACAGTAGCTATGCTTTAATTTTCTAAACTTTAAAAAATAAAGACAGATACCTCATGCTGTATTATCAACATTCTGGAAAGTTTTATCAGTGAGAGTTTTATCAAAAACAAAAAAAAAACAGAATCACTATGAGTGTGTTTTGAGAGCCCCCAGCTAAATTAGGGTTCCAATCCCAGACCTGCTAGCAACACTGTCCTAAAGGGAAATGAAGAGCAGCTGGACTTGGACTTGAATGTTTACAGTGTGACTCTCAGGGGATCCTGGTGGGATCCTTCTCCTCCCCGCCTCCCCGCCTCCCCGCCCCTGCCCCCCGCGCCCTGCGCTCCAATATGGGGTCTCGCTCTGTAGCCCAGGCTGGAGTGCAATGGCGCTATATCTTCTCACCGCAACCTCCGCTTCCTGGTTTCAAGCGACTCTCCTGCCTCACCCTCCCTAGTAGCTGGGATTACAGGCATGTGCCACCACACCCGGCTAATTTTTCTGTATTTCCAGTAGAGACGGGGTTTCACCATGTTGCCCAGGCTGGTCTCAAACTCCTGGCCTCAGGTGATCCGCCCGCTTCGGCCTCCCAAAGTACTGGGATTACTGGCGTGACCCACTGCGCCCGGCAGGGATCCTTCTTTTACCTGGCAGACAGCCAGATGCCTAGTTGTCCTACCTGTGACGGGGAGGGGAAGAGAGGGCAGGGGTCCCTCAGACAGGTAATGTTTATGCTGACAGACACTCTTGTGGCTCTTGTCTGACCTGTGGCCAGTTTATGCCTGACTGACCATCATTCTGGCACTGGGAGCCAAACCATTTTTTCTCCTCGGTGTCCTGGAGAAAACCCGATGTGGGGCAGCTCCTCGTATTTTAAATGGAAGACACCAATTCAAGGCACCACCATAACGGGAAACAAGTTCAAAGGTTTTTATGTACGGATCCTGGGCAGGGAGGGTGCGATGAGTCAGTGAAACAGTCCTTCATCCCCAAGTCACACAAGGCAGGAATGAAGAGTCAGAGAACAAAAAGAGCAAGTAGCACGTGGCAACTAGTGTATATAAGGAGTAGGTTGTGGGTCACACCAAAGTATTGGGCAAATGCCTGAACAGTCTCTTTAAAGGAAAGAGCAGGAAGTGGGGAGCCCACTTTCTTTGGTTTAAGTTTAAAAACTTATTTTAACCAAAATAACAACCAAAAATGAGTTTTTGGTTAAAATAAGTGTTTTATTAAAATAAAAGTGGGAGAGGTGCTAAGTGGGAGAGGTACCTCTAAATTCTTATCTCTGACCACCAGATTGAGCCAATTAGGTGTGGTGTTCTACTACTAACGTGCAGTCAACAACTTTGGCTGTGCTATTCCCATTGCAGAGTGGTACTGAACAATAGCATTATTAATCAGATTAGACCTTATGCAATCGTAGGAGCTGGCTGGGCATATCTTTGTAAGCCTGATGCTTTCTTTTCTTTTCTTTTCTTTTTTTTTTTTTTTTTTTTCTGAGATGGAGTCTCGCTCTGTTGCCCAGAATGGAGTGCAGTGACGCTATCTCGGCTCACTGCAACTTCCGCCTCTTGGGTTCAAGCGATTCTTCTGCCTCAGCCTCCTGAGTAGCTGGGATTACAGGCGCGTGCCACCAGACCCAGCTAATTTTTGTATTCTTAGTAGAGACAGGGTTTCACCATGTTGGTCAGGCTGGTCTCAAACTCCTGACCTCGTGATTCGCCTGCCTCAGCCTCCCAAAATGCTGGGATTACAGGCGTGAGCCACCATGCCCGGCCACCTGGTGCTTTTATGTCTTATGAACCTGAAGTTAGCAGAACCAGGGGCAGCAAAGAAAGATGGACATGAAGTGGGGGAAGCAAGATTCAGTAGGAATCCATGAGAGAAAATGAGAACTTGCCTGCCTCTCTCACCACCTCAAACCTCAGTAGTGCAAATGACTTACCAAAGAAACTGGTGGCTTCCCGTGGAACTGCACACACACCTAGTGATATAGTTTGGAGATTTGTCTCCATCCAAATCTCATGTTGAAATGTGTTTTCCAATGCTGGAGGTGAGGTCTGGTGGGAGGTGTTTGGGTCACAGGGTTGGTTCCCTCATGGCTTGGTGCTGTCTTTGTGACAGTGAGTGTGTTCATACAAGATTAGTTCTTATTTTATTAAAATAAAAGTGGGAGAGATGCTAAGTGGGGGAGATGCCTCTAAATTCTTATTCTGGCCACCAGCTTGAACTACTAAAGTGTGATGTTCTACTTCTAAGGTCCAGTCAGGAACCTTGGCTGTGTCATTTAAAAGTGTGTGGCACCTCCCCCCTCACTTTAGCTATCTCGCTTGCTCCTGCTTTTGCCATATGATGTACCTGCTCCCCTTTTGCCTTCCACTATGATTGTAATCTTCCTGAGGCCTCCCCAGAAGCCAAACAAATGCCAGCACCATGCTTCCTGTAAAGCCTGCAGAACCGTGAGTGAATTAAACCTTTTTTCTTTATAAAGTACCCAGTCTCAGATATTTCTTTATAGCAATGCAAGAAAGGCCTAGTACACCTAGCCCTCAGCATAACCTTGGGCACACTTTGGCATTGCACACATTTATCATTTATGTTTCCAAAAAGGATGTGACATTCTAAACTCTCAGTTTCGTTGTTGTTGTTGTTGTTGTTTGTTTGTTTGTTTTTTGAGACGGAGTTTCTGTCATATTGCCCAGGCTGGAGTACAATGGCGTGATCTCAACTCACTGCAACCTCCTCTGCCTCCCGGGTTCAAGTGATTCTCCTGCCTCAGCCTCCCAAGTAGCTGAGATTACAGACGTGTGCCACCACGCCTGGCAAATTTTTGCATTTTTAGTAGAGACGGGGTTTCACCATGTTGGCGAGGCTGGTCACCAACTAAACTCTCTGTTTTTATTAAGAGGCATTTTAGGCTATCAGCATTTAAAAATGTTTCTCAATTACTTATAGCCCATAAACACAAGCCCTTACAAAGGCTTATCTGAATCTGAAACAGCAAATTTGTGTAGTACTGTTTTGTTCCTCCTGATCATTTTCTCATCTGAAGACAAAAGCCTAAATTGTTTTAACTAACCCTGAGATTTGGGTCTTGTCTGCAAAACAGTGTTTTAAAGGATATATTAATTAGGGATTCACTTTCTATCCATGGATATATGTGAGCTTTGGGGATAATACTAGCTCTTTGCTTTCATGTTGTTTTCAGATGGAATCCATTAGGAGTATCTGTCAATATTGTTCTGCATCTGGGATCAAAATAGCTTTGTGCTGGTTTGGGTCCTGCTGAGTTGTAATCATTTGTAGCAGGGAAATGCATGACAAGCATTGATCTGAATGTATCAATATTAGTAAACAGTGATTTAAAAACACATTGAATTCAGGCAAAATGTCTTAGATCATGGAAAAGTCCTTTCCCAACACTGATTATAAAACATTATTGACAAGTGTCAGAGTTCCCATCAAGAATGTTCCTTGAGCAAATTTGGGTTTTAGCAAATTCATGTCCAGATTTTCAAGGTTCACTAGAAATTGACCCCACAGCACTTGTCTTTTAGTGGGTGTATAGAAACTGGAGTAAAACTGGAGAAGTGCAAGAACTCATGGACAGCAGAATTGTGGGTGTGATTAAATTTAGAAGATAGAGCAGTGCTGAAGAGGACATTCTAAGAGAAAAGTGAATGGTTGGTAGAAAATAGGATTAATAACCTAGGTTATATTATTAATAAAAATAAACTCTTGAAGAAATAACACTGGTGCTTTGTTTTCCAAAGCCTTCCACAAATAGGTTCAAATATATAGAATTAGAAATGTCAAGTAGGAAATAAGTATCAAAACAGAGGGAATTTTAAAAATCATATGAAAATAGTTTGTACAACTCCATATAAGTACATTTGAATTCCTAGATGAAATGGTTAATATTCTATAACATTTCAGCTTTACAAAACTGACCTAAGAAAAAACAGGATTAAATGGACCAATTACCGAAGAAAACAGAAGATAATTCAGAAAACAGTCCCAGACAAAATCACCAGGACAACGTGGTTTTACATAGAATTTTTTTCTAACATTTAAAAATCAGATAATCCCAAGAATACATGAACTATTTCAGAGCACAGAAATGATGGAAACATTTTACGTTCTATGAAGTTAATATAATGCAAAGGTCAAAACCACAGATTGTTTCAAAAACAAGACAAATTTTACTTATGAATACCAATTTTTAAAATTAGATAAAATATAAGAAACAGAACCCAACAGCACATTAAAAATGATACATCATGAACAAGTAAAATTTATTTCAGAAATGTAAAGATGATTCTACATAAGGAAATCCATTAAAATCCAGCTAAGGAGAAAAATCAGAAGATCATCTCAATAGAGGAAGAAAGTGCAATTGACAAATTTAATATCTACTCATGTTAAAAGCAGCCAGCATGTTGCTTAATGGGAAAACACTAAAAAAATTTTCAATTAAAATCAGAAACAAAGAAGTCTAATCCTCACTGCTACTCTTTAATTTTATAATAGAGGTATTGGCCAGTGAAAGTGGATAAGAAAACACAAATAGAAGCATAAGAATTTGAGAGGAAGACCTAAAGCTCTATTAAGGAAGGATATGATTGTACATCTAGAAAATTCAAAATAATAAATTGAAAAACCATTAAACATATGAAAACATACTTTGATTTGTTGTAAGTGAAATATAGGTTAAAACATCATTAACACATGATTTCAGACCTATCTAATTCTTAAAAAGCCAACTTAACAACCTTCTGTATAGATATACACCATGCCAACTGTGGTAAGGTTGAGAGATCTTGTTCTACAGATATGTATTGAATTATTTATGAAAAAACATTATGATGTCTTACATTTGCGTCAAAATAATCTGGTAGGTGGAGAGTTATAGGGCAGATGAAAGAAGAATGGCCATATATTGATAATTTAGAAGCTGAGTGATCGATTATACTATTCTCTCAAATTTAGTATATGTTTGAAATTTTCCACAATAAAAAGTGAAAGAATATTCATATAGTTTCAAAAGATGCAACTAAACTAAGCCAAAGGCAAAAATGTTATTTAGAGAAAAAGTAATTTTTTGGTTGATGTTAATTTATATTTGCAATTTGATCTGAAACCTTTCATATGGGCACTCATCAATTAATTCTAAATAGTCTTTAAGAAGAGTTGAAATAAAAATTAACTGCCTTCCTAATAGAACAAAATGCTAAAAAAAATACACTAAAGAAGCTTCCCCTTCCCTCAGAAACGTGCCTTCTGTTCTCTTGGTAGTCTGCAGGTCCTTAGAGTACTTTAGCCACCCATAGTTTAATTCTAACCTTCAGGACATAAATGTGGTTACGGGAACGAATATTTCATAGTCAATTAGTGGGAACCACCCTGAGGCTATCATTCAGACAGTGAAGTGCTTGCTGTGAGAGTTCCAGATCTGAAAATGTACCTACTAAAGCCTGACATAACCCAATCCAACAAAGATAAATGAGGAAATATTAAACATCTGCTTATCTTGTGCTTGACAGCTTTATTTTACTGAAACTCTGTACACGGAATGCAAAGAAATATGGCTGATACCTTATCTGCCTAATATTTTGAGCTTTCCGAAGTGTCTTAAGAATACTAAATTGCTGAGGCGGGAGGATCACGAGGTCAGGAGATCGAGACCATCCTGACTAACACGGTGAAACCCCGTCTCTACTAAAAATACCAAAAATTGGCCGGGCGTGGTGGCGGGCACCTTTAGTCCCAGCTACTTGGGAGACTGAGGCAGGAGAATGGCATGAACCTGGGAGGCGGAGCCTGCAGTGAGCCTTGATTGGGCCACTGCACTCCAGCCTGGGCGACAGAGCAAGACTCCATCTCAAAAAAAAAAAAAAAAAAAAGAAATATTAAGTTGGTTTCTGTTAATTTAATACGTTAAAGTCACAGGTTCATAGCTTGTCAAGGCATTCTTGAGACTTATCCAGTAGACTGGCAAAGAGCACCAAAGTTTGTGTGGGTAATTCCAAATGTGGAGTAGCCATCAACACGTAACTGTAGCATTTGCCAAGCTCCCCACTGGCGAGCAAGGAGTATATCCTCAGAGCCATGCAAAATGCCATGCAAGTGAGAGGTGGTGATGAGAGTATGTTAGATGGCAAATGGATGCTTATACGGAGGAGCCCAGTTCTCTGAGCCCTGACCTATTCAACCGACAGCTTTATGTGTTCTCTGCTAGCACAAATTTTACTTTCAAGTGCAGTATCTCTGTGCTTTGCCTTTTCTCATGTTGTTTGAAACTATTCCTCTGAAGATATATTCTATTTTGAGAAGGTTTTGTACTCTTGTGCAACTTAAGATAGAAAAATGAGCTCAGGGGCCAGGCACAGTGGCTCATGCCTGTAATCCCAGCACTTTGGGAGGCCGAGGCGGGCGGATCACCTGAGGTTGGGAGTTCGAGACCAGCCTGAACAAAATGGAGAAACCCCATCTCTACCAAAAATACAAAATTAGCCAGGCATGGTGGTGCATGCCTGTAATCCCAGCTACTCAGGAGGCTGAGACAGGAGAATGGCTTTAACTCGGGAGGTGGAGGTTGCGGTGAGCTGAGATGGCGCCATTGCACTCCAGCCTGGGCAAGAAGAGTGAAACTCTGCCTTAAAAAAAAAAAAAAAGAAAAAAGAAAAATGAACTCAGGAAGCTAGACCTGGAAAGCAATACAGTGAGTCTTTAATCTAAATACTTACCTCATTGATAAGAAGGGAGAATCCAAGTCCTTGCACTCGGATGGACACCACTTCCACAAATGGCTCATGAGATTAATTTCATTAATCATGACATTTGCATGGCTGCAGATAGCTTAAATAAATTTATACACTCAACAAATATGTATTGAGCTCCTTCTATATGGCAGCCACTGAGCTGAGCTCTGTGGATCCAGCAGTAGACAAAAGAGATCAAGTTTCTGTGCTAATGGAACTTACATTAAACAAAAATAGCAGGAGCTGAGAGATAGAGTGGGGAAGAGTGAATCCATGAGCAACTTCATTTGAGATATTCTAGCTATGGAAATTCTGTTTCTGCATATATCCAGGATAAAATTCCCTTTCCATATAAAATAAAAATATTCCTACTTTGTTTCTAACACAATTTGT
This sequence comes from Homo sapiens, assembly GCF_000001405.40. NCBI lineage: Eukaryota > Metazoa > Chordata > Mammalia > Primates > Hominidae > Homo > Homo sapiens. The sequence continues at coordinate 54,873,121 of NC_000018.10, forward strand.
ATTTCAAATTATAATAATAATCTTGGATTTTCCTTCTCTGTATATGACTTCTCATCCAAAAACTGAGGGGCTAGACCACCTGATTACTTGAATTCCTTTTTACCTTTACGACTCTTCATTAAACAGAGCCTCATGGGTGTGATACATTTCAGTTCTTTTCCCTACTCTTTTTAGCCCCTTGCCTTCCCATGAAGGGCTTGTCTGTATCTAAAAGTCCTCCTGGTTCTTGTGGTACAGCTTGTGATACCACGATAAAGACTAAGTGAGATGCATTTCCTGAAACACTGCAGTCTTCTGGCCTTTTCTTCCCTTTTATATCCACAGAACCAAGAACCAGCAAGACCATCAGTCATTGTACAGGAATAAACAATACTGTTAAACTTGTCAGCCTTTTGATCCTTCCCACATCATTTTTTTTAGCCCAGTTCTAGGAAAATTTGCCAAGGCTTTTTTTTTATGGTGTTGTATTTGCCATGCCAACAACCAACAATAGAATATTGAGGCTATATGATTTTAGGACTCAAAAAAATCACATAATAATAAAAAGAGGAGCTGAGCCAAATCCTGTGTGTGTGTGTGTGTGTGTGTGTGTGTGTGTGTGTGTGTGTGAGTGTGTTGACAGAGACAGACATAGACAGAGTGAGAGAGAGAGGAGAGTAGTGATATAAAAAATAAGAAATAAAATTCATTTTTGAAAGGAGCTTAGAAGTGAACTGTCTCATACCTAGCTTAATATGTCAAATAGCCTATTGGAAAAATGAAGATTTTTCCACAGTGCCAAGCTTTGCATTCATTTCAGGTGGAATTTGTGTTAAATGTCAGGAAGTGTCCAGCACCCTTCACTTATAGAAAAGAGGCAATGTGGGCCACAGTGGAATTGATTTGTGTTAGCCTGGATTGTTCACTCTGGATTAGACTTTGACTGGGAGGTGGCACCAGTATTGCCCCAGGCAGGTTTATGTACAAAAGACAGAGAACAGTCTGGCTGCCAATCAGGAAAACATGATAGGTCGTGTAGTTAGCAAGTGGTAATAGTCTCATTCTACAAGTGGGAAGTAATCTCCCATGCTATGGTCCTGTATCTCCTCTCCTCATGTCTAATTCCCCTCCACGCTATAAGGTTAAATGCAAATTTTCCTTCCTCTGCAGTCTTCTTGGATCACTGCAGTCCCTGAAGACACTGTTTTGTTTGAATTGAAAACACAACCAGGATTTGACTCATTTATCAATTAATCATTCTACCTTGCAAAATTACGTTGTATTTTCTCAGATCCTTATTTCACTTTTAAGTAATTCAGACCTTGTCAGAAGCTAGACTAGAACTTCCATTTTTAAAATTTTCATCTTTGGGCCTGACACTACGTATTGAAGACATTTAACTAGATTTGCTCATGACTTAGTGTTTCTTGAGACTGTCACGCATTCATACACACACATTTGCTAAAAAAAAAAAAAAAAAGTTAGCTTTAAGCAAAATTTTAAAGTATGTAGATGTGTCTTATTGACTCCATTCTTTTCACTTTTTCTGGGAGCCACGAAATCCAATGTCTTCAATTTCACACCCCCACTGCAAAAACTGCTAAAAAAATTAAGGCTTTTGCCTAGGGAAGAATTTGGCTTTAGTTACTAATATCGTATAATAAATTTAAGCACTTTCTTTTTTCTGAAAATTAACAGTTTCATCCAATTCTACTAGTGAAATGACAAACATTATCACCCTCCAAAATAGTTTTACATGAGCAAGTTTAGGGGAAGAGGGAAAAAGGTAGAGTGATGGTGATAACAGACCTTAAGTGTGGGGGGAAATCATACTATGGCAGAAAACTTCTCTAGCTATCTATTTGGGTTGACTAAGAGCAGCAACTAAGAATAAGAGCAGCAACATATTCAATGATACAGTCCTGGTAAAATATTTTACCAGGCTGAGCGTGGTGGCTCATGTCTGTAATCCCAGCACTTTCGGAAGCTGAAATGGGTGGATTGCTTGAGCCCAGGAGTTTGAAACCAGCCTGGGCAACATAGCAAAACCCCATTTATACAAAAAATACACACAAAAATAACCAGGTGTGGAGGCGTGTGTTTGTAGTCCCAGCTACCAGGAAGGCTGAGTTGGGAGGATCACCTAAACCAGGGAAGGTCGATGCTGCAGTGAGCCCTGATCATGCCACTGCACTTTAGCCTAGATGACAGAGTGAGATCCTGTCTTCTCCAAAAACAAATTTTTTTTTGGAGAATCTGAGAAACCAGTCCATTCTTGGCAGTCACACAAAATAGACATTTTCCAATGTCTGTATTGGAATAATTGAGACATGTGTATCCTTCATGGCAATAATTGAGACATGTGTATCCTTTTATTAAGGAAGACGGGTCTTGATGGGTGCTATGGATCTCTTCCTAAGAAATGATTATGCTTTGTCTAGGTTTTTTTTTTTTTTGAGAACATCCATGGTCAGCAAAAATCCATCCAGAGAGCTCTGCTAGTGAAGAAAGTGTGTTATATGGCAGGAAAGCTTTAGAGCAAAAGTATGAATTTGCAGCTTTAAAAACATCCTACCTCAAAAAGCATTAATTCATGAAAGAAACATACATTCATAATAAAGTATAACGTAAAGCAATGCAAATATTCCAAATGATATAATGATACTGGATTATTTGATGAGTACCTCATTCTATTCTTCATTATTATTTACCCAAAGACGCAAAAGTTTTCAGTTTTGATTGGTGACTAAAGTAACAATATAAAAACAAAAAATTGTTTTAATTTTTTGTACATGTACATGTACCAATTTTTTTACACATAAAAAGTTATTAGAATTATCTAGTGATTTTAGATATGTCCTCTATTAGTCCATTTTCATACTGCTATAGAGAACTGTCCAAGACTAGGTAATTTATAACAGAAAGAGGTTTAATTGACTCACAGTTTAGCGTGGCTGGGGAGTCCTCAGGAAACTTACAATCATGGTGGAAGGTGAAGGGAAAGCTAGGCACCTTCTTCACAAGGCAGCCGGAGAGAGAGAGATAGCAAAGGGGGAAGAGCCCCTTATAAAACCATCAGATCTCATGAGAACTCACTCACTATCATGAGAACAGCATGGGGGAAACCACCCCCATGATTCAATTACCTCCACCTGGTCTCTCCCTTGACATGTGGGGATTATGGGGATTACAATTCAAGATGAGATTTGAGTGGGGACACAAAGCCTAACCATATCATGTCCATAGAATAGGCTGTTGTTGAAATTTAATTTTGATTACCCCAGAATGCTTCAAGAATACAGTGTTTTCTGAATCTTCAGAGGTGGAGAAGTCTTCCTCCCTGTCACATAATACTGAGATAAACCTTTGCATTCTAGAAAAATCTTCATAGGCCTTCCTTTACATGAGATATGACAAACCCATTTCAATTAATATAGCCCATGATTCAGGAAGTTGTACCGAGCAGTAAATTATTTTGCTCAACTCAGGAGTGGAGATTTCACCAAGTAGGTAATTGTGTCATTCAAATACATGTCCTGGTATTCTCGGTGTTACTGGTACAGGATTAAAGCTTGTCATGTCAGTTGTTAAATGTTTTAAATTAAAAAGGAATAATTTGTATACAGATTATATAGAAGGCTCATCCTGCATGGATAGATGCAAAACTTATCCCTCTGCTTTTTTATTCCATTATCTGTCTATAAGTGATGTCTCTCTGTAGGATATCTGCATCGTCTTGGACTGGGTTTTCTGTTCCCTGTGACTCTCTCCTCTTCCTAATACCATCCTCTAATCCCAAATGCACTGGTTTTAAAACACAAGTCTATAACTTTTTACTTTAAGTTCTACTATTGCTGTGTTATATGGTTTGGCTGTGTCCCTACCCAAATGTCATCTTGAATTGTGGTTCCCATAATCCCCATGTTTCATGGGAGGGACCCAGTGGGAGGTAATTTAATCCTGGGGGCATTTATCCTCATGCTGCTCATGTTTTTTCATGATAGTGAGTTCTCACAAGATCTGATGGTTTTATAAGGGGCTTACCCCTTTGCTGAGCTCTCATTCTCTCTCTTGCCACCCTGTGAAGAGATTCCTTCTGCAATGATTGTAAGTTTCTTGAGGCCTCCCCAGCCATGTGGAACTATGAGTCAAACCTCATTCCTTTATAAACTATCCAGTCTCAGGCAGTTCTTTACAGCAGCATGAGAACAGACTAATGCACTGTGGCAATTGATATTTTGCATATTTTTCCGTATTAGGTGATATGTGGTAAAAAGATTTGTACTGAGTAAAACATTAGATGTGCCTTCACCCCTAAAGCTGCTTTGATCAAGTTAATTTCAAATATGGCAGAATAGAGGTATTCAACTTTTTAACCCTGAAAATTAAATTTATGTCATATTTTGATATAAAGCAAAGGAAAATCAACTTTAATCAAAACATACTTGTTTTCCCTCTCCTATACAGACCGACCAAGACCATCACTATGACCGATGGAGACTATGATTATCTGATCAAACTCCTGGCCCTCGGGGATTCAGGGGTGGGGAAGACAACATTTCTTTATAGATACACAGATAATAAATTCAATCCCAAATTCATCACTACAGTAGGAATAGACTTTCGGGAAAAACGTGTGGTGAGTTTTTAATCGTACTTCTAACCTTGTCACTCATCCCCCTATATAAAATAAGAATCAAGAAGCTATGTTTATTGCATTGGAGTCTGTCTTTTGTCACACGAAATTCATAACCTGTCATTTTAATTTATTTTAGAATATTATTTACTACTTTTCAACTATAAATAACATTTTCCTAGAAAAGTATTAAGTGGCACTCTCTCTTGTCTCCCAAAGTGTACAAGGCAACCCAAATCAATATTTTACTGATTTGCATAGTGTGTTTTCTACAAATTCTTAAGAAATCTTTCAAAACTTGAATTATTAGAATTTAAAAACATTAACTCTGATCTGAGTTAAAGTCCTCAATAAGAGCAAGTGATCATTTCCCTACTCTTAAGAAAGAAGTTAAAAGTATGATTGGCAAATATCTGGAACATGAGCTTTGTAAGCTCTTGCTGCATTTTTATTTATGTGTAGACTCAGCCATCAATCACTGGCTTCTTATGAACAGAATGTGAGACCAATCATGCTGTTTTCCAAGATAAGAGAGTTTAAGTGAGAATCACAACCACTTCCTTCTCCTATGCTAGACGCTATTGACAGGAATAAGGATATTGTGACATGTGAGATGTGTAGCATAGGCACAGAAGCTAGGCCAGATTTACTGCCACCCTGGGTATTCTTGATTGCCAAGATGGCTGTGGCTTCCAGTTGATGTCACAAATCTACTCATTCCCTGAGAATTGGGAAAGAAAACAAAAGAAATGGTAACTGGAAGCCATTGCCTGGGAAGTTGAATCACGGTTTTTTTATAATGTGCTGGACCTGATCTGAAAGTCAATACATGGTTGTGTAGGCTTAGCAAACTCCCTGACAACCCATTCAGGGTTTTCCTGCCTTCTCTCCTTTCCAGTATCTGGGTATATGTCCTGGCAGAATTTTCCCTTTAAAACGTATTCACTAAACTATACTTAAGGAAACTGAGTAAATATTACATCTTTTAGGCTTTGCTTAAACAATAAAAAGGCCAGAATTTTTTTAAAAAAATTAAACTTACCTAAAAAGAGCCTTTGACTAAATGATTAGTGAAGAAAGGCTTGAAATGTCCTGTGTCAACTTATTGAGAAAGTCTGTGCATATTTCATGGCTAAGTCATTTTGAAAGTCCATTTCACAGTAAAAGATATTCGGATATTTGTAAAGCACTTTACTGTTTTAAAAAAACTGCTTTTACCATCTGTGATTTCACTGAAGTGTGCAGTTTGAAGTAACTCTGTAAATCAGGAAGGGGTTATGGGTCTCAATTTAGAGATAAGAAAATAAGACTCAAAGAGGTTAAATGAAGAGTTTGTATTTGAACCTAGAACTTGGGTCCTAAATCTGATGTTTGCTGCCTCATGAGGAAATGACAGAAGGTGTCTAATTTAAGTTTGCAATATGCCTAAACTGTGTTGAAAATCATACTTGCACTTGACATTTAAAAGTGAGAGTACATGTGATAATTCTGGAAAAAAATAAAGCAAATATTTATTCTGCACTATGAACTTTGATTATAGTAATTGAGAAAAAAACATGCTGAGTGAACCCAAAGAATTTGAGTGCTGACAAAATCCAAAGCAACCTCAACTAATGAACGTTGTATCTTTCAGGTTTATAATGCACAAGGACCGAATGGATCTTCAGGGAAAGCATTTAAAGTGCATCTTCAGCTTTGGGACACTGCGGGACAAGAGCGGTAATAGTAAATTGCTTTATTTGTGGCTACACATAGCTTAGAAAAACTTACTTTAAAATGAATTCTGTATGTGAACTTGAAAAACAAATAATATTCAACTCTTCTCCTGGTTTCAAAATAGACATTTGTATCCAGAAATAAAAATAAATGATTTGTAATTAATTAATCACAGTAGCACTGTGCAGTTGGTATGAATTTCAAAAATCAGACTTTCAAAAATCTCTCTGAAGATTCTTGCTATGCACTGTCTTTGCACTTCTTAGAAGGAAAAAAAGGTTCTCCAGAATTTAATTGAATGAAGATGGGAAATTAACGCCGTTATAAGTGCTACTTGAAGAGGGAGTTGAAGAAAGGGTGTTAAGATCTTCCTTGTCTCTTTCTGTTATTTCAGCACAGCCTCTTTGTCCCATGCCATGCGACTGGCTTTGTCCTTTCAGACTTTGATCTTAAAACAATTGCCCTCCAGCTAGAATATTTTACTCCTTCCCACTTTTCCTGATCCTCTCCTTGTACCAGGCCCAGCTCATATTTCTTCTCTTCTATGAAGCCTGTCTGAACATCCCAGCTGAAACAAACTCCCACTTTTACTCTGAACTACTGCAGACACCGGTTATTTCACCCTTAAGGTCTAAATAATTATATGCCACCTTGTCATGAAATGAACATTCTATTTGTATCTTTAACTGTTGTTCACTGATTCACTTGGGGCCTTCTCACTCCAACAAAATTGTCATCTTTACAGGTGTGGAGATCTTGCCTGGCTTTCCAGCATTGTCTCTGGTACAGTGTCCAAGCTAATACTCGGTAGACAGTAGTGTTAATTCCTTAGAGCTGGAGGTACTATTCCATTGTTAGATGGAAAAACAAAAGGGATCCAAAATTTCAAAGTGCAAAAGACCCCAAGCTAATGAAGCTTTTCAATATTAGATTAAATTAAAAGTGGCAAAAAATTGGCAGAGAGGATATTTAGAAGGCACATACCTCCAAATCCTGCATCGTGTGTCTTAGAATGCTTATGCTTGTAAACACTTCCATCTTTGAAATGCATCCAAAGCGTTCTCGCTTTTAGCGAGTGTAAATGCCAGGAGAGGTGCTGGGCCCTCTCTGTTAGCTTTTTTGACTGTGAATTCCATTTACACACACCCTTCAACACTGCTGGTTCCTCTGAAGCCATTCCTCACAAGAATCTCTGTTCATATGTCAGTTTTGTTGTCACAAAGATGTATGTTTTACAGAGCACTTTAATTCATTTTTGAAGAAGTAATATGAGAAAATGTGGTTCCCATATGTCCTCGCACATGATATGTCAGCCTTGCATGATGGCAGCCTTCTCTGTCTGTCCCCTGAAGGCAGCTGCTGTATGGGGGAAATGGGGAATACTCAGGGCAGGCTTCAGAACACTTGGGTTATTCATCACTTGAGAATTTTGCATTCTGTGTATATATAAGGTGTAACTAAGCAACAAGATAAACAATGCCTCACACCTCAGCCCTGTGCCTAAGGACATCTGGCTGTGCAATCCATGTAAGATAATGGGTATTGATAGAAGTCACATCATGGGAAGGAAGAGAAAACACATGGCCCTTAAGGAAACTTAAAGGATACAAGGCACAGACTTCATTCCCAGTGAGGGGGAGGAGTGATAATGTAGCTTTGGGGTCTGTTTCTTCTGTGATCCTAGTGTTCTGGAGCAAAAGGGGCTCATCACTCAATGCGCTAGAAGCCAATACTATGACACTGGATTTTGAGAAAAAGAAAGGTTTTATTGCAAATCGACTTGCAGGGAGACAGGAGGGTCAAGCTCAAATCTGTCTTTTTGTTCTGGCTTTTTGAAGTAGTAGTTTTATTAGAAAAAGTTGTGGCAGGGGTGGGTTCTAAAGGGGAGGGCTGGAAAGTCCTTGGACGTGGGCAGTTATCTCTGCATTCTATCTCAGGGGTCACGTGTGGAAATTCAAGGGGAGTTAGTATGAAACATGTGGTAGAAATTCAGGCTGTGACATTAGCAAGCTCATTCTGTACAGATTCCAGTCGGCCATATCGGTTCCAGTCGATTTCAGCCAGTTCTCTTATCTTATAAGCAGAGGGAGTTTCAGTGTTTCAGCAAGTTATTTCCTTCTTTATCTGCCATCCTGCAAACTCAATTTCTGTTCATCATTGGTTTCTGTAACTCTTTGGAACATGGTTTCACTGGTTCCTCCACCCTGCTGACTCAATAGACAGAATGAGATGGGTGGGGGAGGCTGGAAATGAATTACTTGTCTCCCCGTGGGGGAAATGGGGGATATCAAAGATACTGGACAGAATAGAGCAAGATGTCTGTTACTGCTCTGGAACAAGCGTGTCCTATCCATCCTGCTGGGGAGGAGAAATTGTTTGCCCCAAACAGATCACTACAGCAAGCATGTTTTTGAGTAACTTTGTCATACGCTCTGGGCAATGAGAGGGAATAACACACAGTTTTGTTCTCAAATGAGACACACACACTTAAGGAGAGAACAAAGAGCAGTTTTCCTGGCATGACACAATTATGGTCAAGTAGGAGACAATTTTGTGGGTACAGCTAGTTTCCAAAGAGGGAGAATTATTCAATCAAAGCACTATAATCTCTGTGGGCTTCCAAGGAATGGTAGAAACAAATCCACAAGAAAAAATTGAATAAATTTTTTTGGTATTTCTGCTCTACAGTTTTAGATCATGATGATGCCCTACAGACAAATCCTACTTTGGAAATAAATAGCAGTGAAAATATCTCTTCTCCCATCTTTTGGTATGAAAAGTATCATTCTCTGTTGCAGTCATTTAAAATATTTAATAATTGTATATCTTTTACTGTTTCTTTCTTTCACTTGCACTGTTTAACTTCACAAATATTTAGTGAGCAAATACCAGGTTCTGAGCCATGAAAATATGATGGATAGCAAGTTAGAAACACAGCTCCCTTCCCCTTAGAGCTTACAGTCTAGGGTAGAATTTGGATGAATAAACAATCGCAATGGAGCCTTAGGATACTAACAGGAAAACAAAGACATAGGCAGGCCCACCAGGAGGAGCGCATAGCCCACATGCAGTGTTGGGAAGGCCCCTTCGGGAAGTGTTATTTCCTCTGATACCATTATGTATTTGCTCATGCACAATGTATGAGTGAGTGCTATCCAGGCTCAACGAAGGGGTAGGAAGAAAAGGAAGCACTAAGACTAAGTAACCCACAGAAAGACCAGCATGTGTGAAAGCCCAGGGGAGCAGAGTGAACTTTCTAAGAACTAAAAGAAGATCAGCATGTCTGTGGGTAGTCAAAGGGATGAAGTTGGATAGATGAACAAAGATCACTTCCTGCAGAGCCTTGCCAGCTTTGTAAGGAGTTTGTGCATTACCTTACGAGTGATGTCTAATCATTAAAATGTCGTTAGTAGAGCATTGATATAATCTATGGGAAGAAATGGAGTGGTGATAGGAGTAGGGTCCCAAACAAAACTGGACACGGGAAGCCTAATCAGAAAGCTGTTGAAGTTGTCCAGGTGAGAGAGAATGGGTTTGGAAGTAGAGTAGTGGCAGAGTAGATGGCCAGAAATGAGAAGGTCGAAAGATATATGTTAACTGTAGACACCAGGTGAAGGAGGAAGGGATCATGGCAACCAGAAGGGTGGTGATGTCATAAACAGAAAAAGAAATTAGGAAGAGTGGCCAGTTTGGTTTTGGATGTATGAAGTTGGAGATGCCTGAGTTTCCACCAGCTGGAAGTATCCAACAAGTAATTAGGCATCTAATGTGAAAGGCAGGGAACATCTGGATCTCTAATTTTGGGCTTCTCAACACACAGGCTACAAATGAGCCACGGAAGTGGATAAGATTATCCAGTCAATGTATATAGAGTAAGAGGGGTCAAGAATAGACCTCTGAGGAAACCAACACAAAGGATCTATAAAAAGGCTAAAATAGGAGACCAAAAATTAGAAGAACATTTAGGATAGGAAGCGATATCTCTAGTTCAAAGTTATGTGCCTTTCTAAAAACCCATTGCCAAATTCAAAACCTTCTCTGGTCCCTACATGTGGTCTCTGGTTTTGCCCATTGCTCTTATTGAAGTGAATCTCAGCACATCTTTAACTTCACTGAAGATGGTTGGTGGTGGCTGGGGTCGGGGGTGAGGGCATGGAAAGCTGACCAGGCAGGGAAAAACTTTGCATTGCACACGAAAGAGCAAATTCTCTAAAATCCTCATTAGAAATGAGAGTTCTTTCCTTCTTTCCCCAATGACTATGTCTCTTTTCTGTCCTGACCCCCACTCAGTCCTCCAATCATCTTCCTTTTCCTCGTGAATCCTAGATGCCAACCTGAAGCTCAGTTTTACCCCCAAACAGTGCTTTTTGAAAAGAGTTTTGTCATCAATATTCTTCCTTACAAAAGAATTCCAATTCCTGTAGCTAACAAGTTGCGGTTTCCTTCATATCATCACAGGCATTCATTTTCAGGCTACTGTGTGCCAAGCTTTCTTCTGGGCACAGACAAGAAAGATGGAAAGTATAGGTTAAAGTCCCCACTCTAAAGTGCTTTACATTTTAAATGTGGACCACAAAATGCCCACGAGCCAAAAAGATTCCAAGAAGCTGTGTAAGCAAATCCATGATTGAATGTTACAAACTGTGTGTATAAAGTGCTGTGAGATCAGAAAGCCAGGAAGTGGTCTTAAAAAAAAAAACTACAACCAAATCTTCTCTCTTGGTTCTTCAGCAATTTCTCTGCCCACATTCCCATTTCCCTAAGATATTCCATAAGGGCCAGTCACGGAGAATTCATACCTGAAAGGGAAACTGTTATTTGTGTTGTTGTCAAAGATATGTGGACTAACTTTCAGAACTACCCACTGTGTTTCCTTGGCAGGTTCCGGAGTCTCACCACTGCATTTTTCAGAGACGCCATGGGCTTCTTATTAATGTTTGACCTCACCAGTCAACAGAGCTTCTTAAATGTCAGAAACTGGATGAGTAAGTGGGACTGAGTAATGTGCATTGGCCGCTTTGGGACTCAACTGCCTTAGGTGCTTGTTGGTCTTGCAAGATGAAACCAGATTGGGTACCACAGATTAACTTTCAAAGTCATGAGTTTAGTGTTGCCTGTGCCACTGTGTCACCTTCAAAGTGGTGGCCTTTATGTGGACCACCCTAGGTAGCTTGGAATAGTATTTTCTAAATATCTAAAAATTGATATTTTTAGAGGAAGCCTATGTAGCTTTATCACCACTTGTATTTAAGATCTTTATTATTGTCATTGAAAGGCCATTGATTCCACTTTTCCAGTAAGTCTTGAAGGACTTCTTAAAACTAAGTGAGCTACTACATTTGACCTGGGGAGATCACAGGGAAAATCGGCAGTATTTTCTGAGGGGACACTGGCACTGAAGGTGTGTTAAACACTAGTGGGTTAATTAGGTGTGAAACCAGAGCAGACCAGTCGCATGATGATAAGGTGAGGCATAGCACAGTGTGTCAGTCAGTCAGCTCGCTTGGGAATTTTACTTTTAAAAAGGGGTTCAAATGTGAGGAAACCATGTAAAGACAAATCTCCAGCCCCTGTGGAAACTTCGATATAGTACAAATTGAAATGTTGCCTAATCAATTACTAAAGTCATATTGACATACATCACCACAGGAGAGAAGTATTGGAATTTTCCTTTGTTTTACTTGATGTCATAATAAAGGGCATATTTCATTTGTATTTTTTATTACAAATAAGAATTTTGATCCTAGCAGGATATACAAGTAGCAGGACAGCTGAGTCGTCCTATGGGGCTGCTCTTATCATTTCCAGATTTGTCTGGGCCATCTGTAGCTAGAGTTGTATTTTTTAAAAACTAGATCATGTTATTTTCCTGCTCAGAGTCCTTCTGTAACTTTCCATCTTACCCGGAATAAAATCCAGAGTCCTTCACTTACCTACAAGGTCACTGTGATGATGTCTGGGCTTCCTCCGTAATTCCCTCTTACTTGGGCCCCGTTCACTAGCCTTCAGCCAAACTGCCTCACATGCTATTCCCAGTATGAAAATCTTGCCATTCCCTTTATCTTTTTTCTCTTCTCTCATTTACAGCCCTGTGCTAGTTTCTTCATTCCCTTCAAGTTCTGGCCAAACTTTATTTACCTCTTGACTGACCACTCCATCTAAAATAGTACTCATCACTCTGTATCCCCTCAACACACTTTATAGGTCATGGCCATCACCTGATAATGTGTTATGTATTTTTTGGTTTACTTGTTGTGTTAGTTCATTCTTGCATTGCTGTAAAGAAATTCCTGAGACTGGGTAATTTATAAAGAAAAGAGGTTTAATTGACTCACAGTTCTGCAGGCTGTATGGGAAGCATGTGGCTGGCATCTGCTTGGCTTCTGGGGAGGACTCAGGAAACTTACAATCATGGGGAAGGTGACGGGGGAGCAGGCACATCTGACATAGCAGGAGCAGCAAGTGAGCAAAGGGGGACGTGCCACACACTTCTAAGTAACCAGACCTCATGAGAACTCACTATCATGAGAACAGTACCAGGGGATGGTGCTAGACCATTCATGAGAAATACTCCCCCAGGATCCAGTTGCCTCCCACTAGGCCCCACCTCCCACATTGGGGATTACATTTCAACGTTGGACATAGATCCAAACCATATCACTTCTACACCCACTTCAAGTTTTACCCAAACCTTATTTGTCTCTTGACTGACCACCCCATCTGAAATAGTACTCATCACTTTGTATCCCCTCAACACGCTTTAGAGTTCATTCAGTCCCAGCCATCACCTGACATGATGTGATGTATTTTTGGTTTACTTGTGTTTTTGATGCTTTCTACCACTAGAATGTAAGCTCTTATGAGAGTGCAGACTTTTCCATTTTATTTCAATGCAATATGCCATACCTGGGTGAGTGCCTGGCACAGAGTAGATGCTCAAAATAGATATATTTCTTATCACTACATATTATGCAAAATTGATAATGTATTTTGTATATAATTCATGATTATATATAATAATTATATAGAACCACTCTCGGTGTGGGTTCAATAACCTTGTAACTAATGGGGAAACAAATTCTGACTTTCATAATTGCTTCTCCAAATGAACGTTTATCTTAGGATCTGTCCTTTATTTCCATTTAATATTGTATTTCATTACCCAAATTTTGGTGGTAGCTTTAGATTCCCAGGAGACAAGGAGATAATAAGCTTATTAAATTCTTTCAGAGAATGGTTTGTTTATCCTTTTTCAAGGCAGATGAGAGTCTCCCTTGTTTTTAAACGTCTCCAGAAGGATATTGCTGAGATTTAAGATAATTAATTGTCATGCCTAATAACACTTTAATTTTTAACACCCAAGTAATTGGTGTTACAGAGTTAGCCTTTCTTTGTCTTCTTCCTCTAGTCTTGGCAAGGTAGCACACAGCATGCCTTATGATAGACATTAGAGCAGCCTCTGTAACCTCAAAAACACAGCTTGACAGGTTTCTTATATTTTTTTCCCTTTTTTTCTTACCATGCCCTTCCTGCCCTGCCCTGCCCTCCCCTCGCCAACTCTCCCTCCCTTCCTCCCTCCCTCCCTCCCTCCCTTCCTTACTTCCCTCCCTCCCTCCCTCCTCTTTCTCTCTCTCTCCTCCCCCCTCCGCCCACACATAGTGTTTTTTGGAGAAAAGAGAAAAACAAATTACTGGTCTTAAAATTGTTTCTACATGAATTTGTAGTGATTAAAAAATGCTCCACACTATAGATCATCATTTCGGAGGTTAGAGAAAGGAAAGGTAACAACTTCCTAAAGGAAAAAACAAATTTACCCACTTAAAAATCATGTTCTATTTACCTCCATCTATATTTGAGGAACAAATGGTGTGAAGCAGTTATGGCCATCTCAGGGAGCATTTCCCCAGATGTATTCCGTATTTACTGAATACTTACTATGTGCTAGCAACTTGGTATGTATTATTAGAAGATATGCTGTATTATTAGAAGAAATCCCCTTATTTATTATTATGTATGTGTATTATGTATTATTAGAAGAAATCCCCTTAACCAAGAATAGCACATGGATTGAAAAGATCTTCCAGAGGAATATATGTGATGTTTTAATGAATTACTTAATAATAAAAGCACCTAACATTTACTAAATGTTTGGTGTTGACAGAGGTGCTTCATATATATTATTAGAAGAAATCTCCTTAAGCAAGAACAGCGCATGGATTAAAAAGATCTTCCAAAGGAATACATATGATGTATTAATGAATTACTTAATAATAAAAGCACCTAACATTTACTAAATGTTGGGTATTGATACAGGTGTTTCATATATATTATTAGTCCCCTTCATAATCTGAAATTTGTAAGGTGTTATCTCCGTTTTACAGATAAGCACATTGTGACTGGGAAGAGGAAGTAACTTGGCCAATATAACTAGTAAGCAACCAAACTGGAGATAAGCAATTAGATCAGGAATCTGGAATAAGAGCAGTCATTTGACATCACTTATTTATCAATAACTTGCTGGTTCCATCTGCTTTCTTTTCAAGGCCAACTGCAAGCAAATGCTTATTGTGAAAATCCAGATATAGTATTAATTGGCAACAAGGCAGACCTACCAGATCAGAGGGAAGTCAATGAACGGCAAGCTCGGGAACTGGCTGACAAATATGGGTAAGTCAGTTACACTGAGATGGCATGTGACTTGCACACTGCTGTTCAGCAAATGGAGCAGAGACATTAGATTGATATTAGAAGAAATCCCCTTAACCAAGAACAGCATGTGGATTAAAAAGATCTTTCAGAGAGATATATATGATGTATTAATGAATTACTTAATAATAAGAGCACCTAACATTTACTGTATACCTATAATGTGCTAGCAACAGTTCCTAGACATTAACTCATTTTAACCCATCATAACTAGAGTTATCTCATTTTATATATAAGAATTGAGTCACAGAGAGATTAAGTAACTGATGGAAGGCCACCCCACACAGTTAGTGACAGGCAGAGCTTAAACTCAATCCAGACAGTCTGATATCAAAGCTCATGCTCTTAAACACTGTATTCTTCTGCCTCTCAATCAATAGATGTAAAACTCCAAGAAATAATCCCTGACAAGGGTATGAAAATGTGGTCTTTATCCCAGCTGAGCTTGAATGGCAGCTTAAAAAAAAAAACAGAAACAACACCCCATGTAATTGTAAATTGACTTCCGTGGCAGAATCTGTCATTATTCTTTAAATTTAAAGTAGTTTTATCATATCTGCCAATTTTTTATGGAAGAATTCTCCCTAAAAGCTGTACAATTTACACGTCTTTCTTGAAACTTTTAAATCCAAATAAACATTGACTGTATTCACACAAATATCCTTATTCAATGCATACCTATTTTTTAAAGGAGATTTCCAGATAATTGAGTGGAAGGGAAGCAATATTTTAATAGTAACATTGGTCAGTAGTTTTATTGATCAGAGGGTATTTTTCCCCTCCTAATTTTTTTAAACAGTGATAATGCCTTGGCTTCAACTTCCTGACTACCTCTTGTGTCAATTTCCTTGCCCATAAAACTGGTTGTAATCATACTAAAGAGCAGCTCACCAATTTTTACTCACTGAGGAAAAAACAAGGATGCTTTCCAACTTAGCCAGCAAAACCATAATCATTTCACAATCTCTCAGCCAGCCGTTTTTGCATGTGTGATTCACTTGTACATCTTGCTGTATCTGTTCTGATTTCTTCCTCTCAAAAATATTTGCCATCCTTTCTATGCTAGCATACCATATTTTGAAACAAGTGCAGCAACTGGACAGAATGTGGAGAAAGCTGTAGAAACCCTTTTGGACTTAATCATGAAGCGAATGGAACAGTGTGTGGAGAAGACACAAATCCCTGATACTGTCAATGGTGGAAATTCTGGAAACTTGGATGGGGAAAAGCCACCAGAGAAGAAATGTATCTGCTAGACTCTACATAGAAACTGAACATCAAGAACCCCACCAAAATATTACTTTTAAAAACAATGACAAACCACACAATTGTTGTTGAGTAAACCACGCACAATGGCATGTCTTTCTTTTTCTGCCAGAAAATCTATTTTAAGAAACCAGAATAGTCAACAGTGTTCAAAAGAATTGACTAGTTATCCCTGAGGCCCTTTCAAACATGATCAAAGATTTCCCAATGTGATCTCATCATCATGGATACTCAATTTGTTTTTTCTTATAGAGAAAATGAGTATATAAGACAATATACAAGAAGAAATATCAGTGAGTTTTAAATCAGAACAAGTTACCTGTCACATTGAAGAAAAGGGTAGGCACTAAAGGGAGAACACAGAAAGAAGAATTTCTAAAATATTGGATTTACTTCTTATATTGAGTCAGATGCATACTTTTAGATTTGCATTGGGGAAAATGTACTAGCTAAAAATGGATACACAATGAAGAATTCTATTTGGCTAATTAAGAATGATATACTATGTACACCCAATAAGCTGTACTAGAATGAATAAATTACTGATAAGGTTACAAATAGGTAAATGTCACACTTCTGTTAAAATGCAGGAGGTAGTGTCATAATGCCGTCTTTATATTCTTAATAAATAGCACTTTGACAAGAACAGGACTGTAAATGATGAAGTACAAGACAAATACCCTGGGAAAAAAAATGAAAGTATGAGAAATTGGCATTTCTACAGCTGAAATTCAATGTATCTGTTAGAGATGTCTGGAAGGGTTACTTAGCCAAATTTTACTCAAGCCAATTAGGAGCTGATATTATCAGTTGGAATTAAGAGAACTCCAGAGGTTTCCATTTCAAACAAAATTTTAGAAATTGGTTTGGTGTTCAGCTTCACATTTCATTTTTTCTTAGCACATGTTGATAAAATAGTCACAAGGAGAAATTACCAGTTACGGTTTATTAAATCTCTTTTAAAATGCAGTCAAGGAAAACTAGCCTTGAATTTTTTTTAGATAAAATAAGATGGTGATATGAAACAAAAAGTGGCAATTATTGCAGGTTTCCTTTTAGTTTACAAAAGTACTGGAAACTAAATCATATTTCTTCCCTCCAAATTTCACCCATTCCTGACTTTGAATCAATTGCAGAAATGCAGGTGTGTTACTTTGTTGATCAATAACTTTGGAACAATTATGGATCAATTCTATGGTCACTCTGAATTTTCATGTCATTAATCACATAAAAATTGATAATACCTCATTCTGTATTACAATATGATTTTATTTTGCCAAAGGCAAGACACCTATAGTTGAGCTGTATTTTGGGGGATTGGGTGAGGAAGGACTTCTGATCTTATCTCAACAAAAAACTGGCCAGTATTTTTGTTAATGTAAAGCTTCCTTTTCTTTCTAAAAAATAGTAACAAAATTATTTTTCATTGGCCTATTCTGTTCTTGTGTCTAAACTAACATTACATTAATTTTTAATCTTAGTTTCTGATAAACACAAGCCATTCCTATCAAAATATTATTTATTTCAGTCAATTTTACCAAATAACAAAGACAATATATTTTCGTTTTTTTTTATTATGAGCATATGATTTTTTGACAGGCTGTTTCCTCGTCGTATAGATTTTTTCCAATCAAACCTACTTTTTCCATACTCTGTGCATATTTTTTGTGAAGTTATACACATTGAAGACCCTAAAAATCCCAGTCCATCATTCAGCTTACCTCTGCGAACTTCTATCTGGTATTGAATCAGTTTCAGAAACACAGACAGATCCAAGGAAATGTCTCTTTATAATGTTCTTAGGATGGACTAGACCCATAAATGTGCCATGAATCAAAATATTAATAATTTGAAAGCTTTCATGCTGTTAGCCCCTGATGAAATTCTCAGCATTAACTGGCCAGCTCCTCTGATTTCTGCAGCATCGCAACAGGTTCGAAGATGGGTTGTGGCTGGGTATTCCCTCCCATGGTGTTTCCTCTGGGATGCTCTTCATTATCTCAATGCCTGTGCCATGAAGATAGAAAACTGTAAGCTAACATTTAAGATGTTTCTTCTGGAAGGAAAGTGAGCAGGAACAAGTTATATTGCCACTGCTGTGGCAAATTTTGGTGAACTTTTGGGGTCATTATATCAATTTTTTCTTTGGATTCAAATTGTAATGTCCCCTGCATTTCCTTAATAGGGAATGTGAAACCTTTATAAAACTCTAAAAGTATTCTGTTTTGATATGTCTTTTTGTTTCTATTCATTTTCAGTTATATGATTGATTTACTTATGCCAAGATTCTGTCACTGTCAGTTATTTAATGAGTGTTTTTTCAGGGTCTGTTTTAAGATCATTATTTGATAGCTGTAGCATGAAGCAGAGGTTGATGATGCCCATAATTGCAAGACTATTCCTGTAAAAATAACAATTATTGGGTAATAACTTCAAGAGGAATGAGAAGTGACAAAATTGATTTAAAATATTGTTCTACTTATAAATAAATGCTTGATATAAAAAATTTTCTCCATAAAGTTTGACATCTGACCCCAGATTCTATGTAATCATTATTAGAAATTCCTTCTCTCATTATTTCAGGATTAGTAGTTCTGTGTAATTCATTTTACAATTTCAAATTGTTCTGGTGCCATAAAGTATACAGACTACTTTAAAGATTTCCAAATCCCCTAATTTACCCCACAACAGCATGTAATTTTAGCCAAGATATGTCCTGTTACTAAGTATCTCCCAATGCTTTAGTAAAACGTATTTAGGAGAAATGTTGAAAATGTACATGAAGCTCCTTTCTGATATAGAAACCATTTCTGGAGTATTTACACTGGTTTGATGTTTACATTGCTCTAACTCGGTGCCTCAGATACCTCTGTGACCAAATTTGTCTCCAACCACATAGCTCATTTCCTATAATGTTATATCATAGGAAGCCCTCACAGAGACACTAACACAGCTAAAGATCTTCTGATATTATCAGCAAGGGATGCAAGGACTTTATTGGAATCTGGAGAGTTTAACTGCCTTCTCTTGGTCTCCTCACTTACTTCTTATGAAGTTGGCATTACCTGAGACTCTTAGCTGTGATTAGGTACAAGCTTACCTTTTAGGGTAGAAAAAGAAAGATCATTTGAAAAATGTATCTAAAATAATCCAGAGAACATAATGTTTGTCTTGGTCTGATAATGATAAGAAGTCAAGGATTGGCAGAGAAAATACTAAACGCCAAGAGTTGAGCCTGTGGGTCTCTCCATAAGAGTTTTAAAACTCTTGCCAGTTACCACTTTATCCAATTTGCTATCATTTTCGTATTATCAGCTATCGCCCTGTAAAATATTCAAAACTAGCTATTTCTAAAGTAAACATTTTATCTGTTACTTTTAACCAGATAGGTGTCTTTGTCATCCTTCTACTATAAATTGTTCTTTGCCAACCTGTACAGGTAGATGAACCAGGCGAGAGTTTTAATCAGCCTTTTCTTGTCCCCTTTGTAAGAAAGAGATGCTTGCCATAGAGAAGGACATGAGTACATTAAAAATAATTTAATAGCCACAATATGATGTTCTTTAAGCTGCAAATTGAGTACACTGGGAATCAACAAATTTGATGAAGCCTGTCTGTCTCTTCACCAGTGGAGTGAGTGCAGCAGTTAGAAAGAGAAGCAATATTGTGCAACTGGTGCAGTGGTGAGTTAATCATAGTGTATAACCTTGTGTTCATGAAACAGGTTGTTCATTGTTCTGCATCTCTCTTCATTTAAAAAGGATACACAATTCTTTCCTCATTGCATATTACACCAAACGTTTGAGGGAAAAATCCTCATTCGTAAAGGATTTTGGATGTATAATCTAAAACTCAACAATAAAGAAATAATATTCCAAGTCTCTGGTTTCCTAAGATACATAATAACTGTTTATAAAGAAGGTCTAAGAGCTGATATTTGCCAAAGTGATAGAAGAGTTGTTTTTTCCTCTCTACTACCAAGCTTTAAGACATTAAAAGAAGTCTAGTGTATTTGAATATTTTAGAGAAAGCTTTATCATTTTTTAAGATGCCAAGATGCTGCCTACGTTTGCAAAAGTTGTCTAAGAATTCACCATGAGCTATATTTTCTTCTGGATCTTTGACCAAGGTGATGTCAGCTTATTTCTGGGGAAGGTGTTGAGCTCTTATACATGAAAATGGATATAGGCTATTCTCTGGGATGAGTGTCATTTCAATGCTTTATAAATCCATGAAGCTGCTTGTCTCATAAAGTAGAACTGATACAAATTTTGGTTGGATATATAGAGAATTTTATAAATGTATTGCCTTAGAATTTCTGGGTGGAGACCCAACTACAATGACATTGTCATGCCAGAACTATAAAGATAATTAGAGTTAAAAGTTGTTTAAATTGTGCCCTTAAATACAGCAGAACCTGGAGAAGGTCATACTTCAAAGGTCGATTTTGAGTCCGAATAAAGAAAGACCTAGTAACAGATAGTTTTTTTTTGTTCATTTTCTTCTACCAAGTAGAGGTTTATGCCCTCAGAACTAAACTAGTAAAAATATCTGAACAAAAAACCTTTCGTTGTTGGCATAAAAATGTGATACACTTAGAGACATTTTGTTTATTGCATATAAATCTAATTTTTCCATAAATTAGATTTATGATATTTTCATAAAGCACTTGATTAGTTTTTCAAGGCGTACCATCACAAAGATGCTTTCCTGCAGAGTTCTTTGTATCAACAGCCTATGGTTGAGATGTTTTCTCATTTCCTGTAGAGAGAGAATACCACTAACAAACAAACAAAAACTTTAGTGCCAAAATAGTGGAACTATTTTGTCATCTTTTGAGAAAAAAATATACAAAGAAGTCATCTTTTCATTAAGTGGATTCCCTGGTTCCTTTCCAGCTGGTTGTGGAAGTAATGGCTAACATCCTTCAGCTGACTTTGTCTACAAGGATTATTAGCAAATTCTGTAGGAGCAAGCATGTCTGACCTTAACTTAATGGATCCCTTATTCAATCAGTGGCTTCTGTCTTTATGTCTGTTGGCATATCAAAATGGTTTCTGTTCCTAGAAAAGTAATAACATATGCTTATCTTTATTCTTTTTCCAGGTGATTTTGTTTTCAAATGCTCCTTGTGAAAACACCTAGTGTTGTAGAAAGGAAAGTGGCCAGAAAGAACAACTTGGGACCATGAGTAGGTCATTAAATAGCTTAGTGATTTATCCTCATATAGGGCTTATAAACCCTGTATGTGTTTATATGTGCTTCACAGAGTTCGTGTCAGGCTCAAAGGAGATATGTATAAGAAAGTGGTTTGTAAATTATGTTCCATTTCATAAATAGACACTATTCACAAACTAAAATCTAATAAAAAACCACAGTTGTAATTTAAACTGCTTGATATAAAAAGAGGTATCATAGCAGGGAAAACACACTAATTTTCATACAGTAGAGGTATTGAAAACTGAAAATGGGAAGGCAACTTGAAGTCATTGTATTTGATTGAAAATGTTTAATACATCTCATTATTGACAAAATATGTCATCTTGTATTTATTTCAAGGAAACCAATGAATTCTAGGTAGTATATTACAAGTTGGTCAAAATATTCCATGTACAAATAGGGCTTCTGTGTCCATAGCCTTGTAAGAGATACTGATTGTATCTGAAATTATTTTTTAAAAAAATAAATTATCCTGCTTTAGTTAGTGTGTTAAAAGTAGACGATGTTCTAATATAACACTGAAGTGCTTCATTGTATCCCAACAGTTTACCTTCAAGTAATATTATCTTTATTTTTAGGCTAAGCACGTTTGATTATTTTGTCTGTCTCCTATATAGATCTGTTTTGTCTAGTGCTATGAATGTAACTTAAAACTATAAACTTGAAGTTTTTATTCTATATGCCCCTTAATAGACTGTGGTTCCTGACGCACACTGTTAGGTCATTATTTTGTTGTACCAAAGTTCTAGTGGCTTCAGAAATCATAGCATCCAATGATTTTTTGGTGTCTGGCTATGAATACTATGGTTGAGAATTGTATTCAGTGATTGTTTCTGCACACTTTTCAAATAAAAAATGAATTTTTATCAATTATTTTCTGTACTCAAAGCAACTTTATTTCTGTGCTGAAGTTGAGTGTATGGTGAGTGGGGAACATTAAACCAATATTAGCATGGAACTTGTATCACATTAAAAATGGATTCCATTCCCAACTAGGAAATAAGTGATTTGGACTTAGCAAAGTGATTTTTACTTACCTCTCCAAACTTTTCATTAATTATTTAAAGACTGGGCTTTGTGAGTGAATTTTTAAAATAATTTTGAAGGAAACATTTATTAAACTTAGCAATTAACATGTTGAAGTGTTCACTAGTACATAAGCACTTCCACGTATTATAACCTATTTCTTCTCCATAAGAAAATGCTGAGCGGGTGGTGGTATCTACCTTAGTGGCACACTGGTGAAAGATGGTGTTTGAGGCCGACTCCAGACCACAACTGTACAGCTTCCTTTACAACGTTCATTTGCAAAGGCTGACTTGTTCCCAGAGTGGATCTCCCTCCATATGTTACTTAGATTGGCTTTGCCAAGATAATGATGAGTTCTTAATTTAAAGATAAACAGCTCTCCCACTGCAGGCAAATAAATCCTTGGCACCATTCTCTCAACTTTATTCCCCAGTAGCAATAATGCTGTTTCTCACAGGCAGAATCTTTTGCCCACTGGGTTCATCTTAAATAATTCAAGATAAGTAATTGAGAACTCATTTTTCTTAATGGTTTTATAGAATTTTTAAAAAGTCACAGCATGCCCCATATTGAGGAAAAATAAAATAAAATAGAGCTGCTGGACATTCACTGTAATTATAGAATTTCTGTTTTTAAAGCCATATATAAGGTGTATTATTCACAGTTCTCCATGCCAAGGAGAATTTCATTTCTAATATGGATTGCTACTGGTGGGGAAAGAATAGCCATAATAGTGTGAGCATGGCTGTTCTCTTAGAAACTCATTTAGCTGACTTGCATTACAGCTTAGGAAGCCTATACACTAATTAAGATTTAACTAAAGCTATGTTATAGGTACTCAATGTTTTGTGATGGTAATCTGACTTTTGCAATTACCATAGTTTTGGACCATTTCGCTGAGAAAGACAAAAGACTGTCCATTACCAAAAGGATAAAAATTAAAACCAGCAAGATTACAAGAGAGGATTTCATCTGTTCAATTGATACCCCCAAGAAAGTTACATCATGAGCTCGTTCACTCTCATGAGAAAGTGAACCAGAAGGAGTGATTACGAGTTGTGCTGGTTAGAACATTGATTTATGAGTACTCCCACTCTGAGCAACCTTGGGACGTTTCTCCTCCCCTTACTTCCAAGGGCATTTCCTCTAGCCAAGAGGGGAAGTCAAAGCAAGACCACTTAACTGAACCATCTAGGCTCAGTTTTTCTTTTGATGCTTTTTGCAGAGAACATGGGCTTTCTCAGTATATTAGGGAAACTAGACCCAGGAGGGGATTGAGATACAGATTCCAAAAACTTGTTGGCTAATTACTGCTCAGCATTCAAAGAATTGGAAGGATAACTTACTAATCAAATAAAAGGAATGATTTATACAAAGGAAATATGACAAAATATATGCATAGGTAAGGATTTAGATGATATTGAGTCTTCCTCTCCTATTTAAATTGCAAATCTATAGTTAACATTTGTTAAATTATCACCCAATTTAAAATTGCAACCACACTGTCATCCCTAAAACTTCCTATTTGTGGGTTCAGCTTTACTTTTCTTCAATTCTTCAGACACCTCTGACTGTATTATCTGTCTCTCCTCACTAGAATATATTCCCATGAAGGTAAAGACTTTTTCTTTCTTCCCTGCCCCTCCCCGTATACCCCACCCCCAAACTGCCCACTACTGTAGCCCTGGCATCTAGAACAGTGCCTGGCAAATAGGATGTGATCAATAAATATTCGTTGAAAGAAAAATGAGTGAATCCTGCCAGAGAACCTGTTTGGGTGGACTGTAGAATAACAGTGCTCATGTCTTTTACTACTTTATTGAAGCAAATATTATATACAATACATTGCACATATTTAAACTGTATAAAGTAATGACTACTGTCATGGAATGTTCCCATGAAAAAATCATCATTTTGAAGACACTGAACATTGCTATGGCCTCCAATGTTTCCCTGTGCCCTTTTGTAGTCTCTTCCTCCTTCTACTCCTGTCCCCAGGACCCTGGAACAATGTGGGGCTTGCAAACACAGACCATCCCCTAACCAGGAAGTCAAAAATTGGCATATAACTTCTGATTCCCCTAAAACTTAACTACTAATAGTCTGCTGTTGACCAGAAGCCTCACTGATAACATAAACATTCAATTAACACATATTTGATATATGTATTATATACTATATTCTTACAATAAAGTAAGCTAGAGAAAAGAAAATGTTATTAAGACAATCCTAAGGAAGAGAAGATATCCTTACTATTCATTATGTGAAAGTGGATCATCATAAGAGTCTTCATCTTTGTCTTCACACTGAATAGACTGAGGAAGAGGAGGAAGAGGAGGGTTGGTCTTGCTGTCTTAGGGGTGGCAGAGGCGGAAGAACATTTACATGTAAGTGAACCCTTGCAGTTCAATGCCATGTTGTTCAAGGTCAACTCTACTAATTTGCTGTCATTATGATGTCATATAGTATATCTTCTTTTTCCCTCTGGCTTCTTTCACTTAGCATAAGGATTTGAGATTTATCCATTGTATATATTTGTTTGTGATTTGGTCCTTTTATATTGTTGAGTTATATTCCAATATATAAGTGTACCACATTTTGTTTATCTATCTGTTAATGGACATTTGTTTTTAGTTTGAGGCTCTTACAAATAAAGTGCTATGAAAATTCACATACAATTCTTTCTGTGGAAAGAATCTTTTGTTTCCCTTGGGCAAAATAATGAGGAATTGAGTGACTAGATCAGATGGCAAGTTCATATTTAAATTTTTAAGAAACAGCCTGTTTTCCAAGTGGTTGTACTATTTTTGCATTTCCACTTGTACTAAATGAAAAGTCCAGTTTTTCCACATCCTCAGTAATGGCAAGTCCTTTTAATTTTAGTTGTTCTAATGGGTTAGAGTGTTAGACACCACTAATGTGGTATCTCTTAGTGGTTTTAATTTGCATTTGACTGTATTAATGTATTAATACAGCTAATGTATTAAGCATTTTTCAGGTGTGTATTTGGCATTTGTATATCTTGTCTTGTAAAGCAATGGTTCAATCATTTTTGCCCATTTTTATTGTATTATTATTTTTATGTTTTAAGAGTCTTTATGTATTCAGGATTCAAACCCTATATTTGTTGTGAGTATTTTCTCTAATTCTATGGCTTACTTTTTGTTTCTCTAGTGGTGTCTTTCAAAAAGCAAAAGAGATGAATTTTAATAAAATTTGATTTATAATTTATTTTTCTTTTTTGGCTTATGTTCTTTGTGTGCTATTTTAGAATCTTGCCTGCCTTAATATTGCAAAGAAAATCTACTAGGTTTTCTCCTAGAAATTTTGTAGTTTTAGCTTTACATCTAGGCATATTGCCCATTTCAGGTTAATTATTGTGTATGGTATTAAGTAAGGATCAATGTTTATTTGTTCCCCCCACCCCATGCAGACATTTCCAGTATTTCTGGTACCACTGGGAAGACTTTCCTTCCCCCATTGGATAGCCTTGACATCTTTTTCAAAAATCAATCAATCATCTAGATGGATCTACTTATGCATTCTTTTTTCCAACCATTGATATGTCTGTCTTTTCACCAACTGCTAATATGTTGATTCTTTTATGTTAATCTTGTACTCTGTGACCTTGTTAACTTCACTTTTTCCAGTTTTTTTCCTAGCTTTATTGAGATATAATTAACAAATAAAAATTATATATATTTAGGATATATAACATTTTGATATACATAAACATTGTGATTACTATAATCAAGCTAATAAGCATATCTATCACTTCACATAGTTACCTTCTGTGTGTGGGGGGTGGGGTGAAAATATTTAAGAACTATACCCTTAGCAAAGTTCAAGTATACAATATCTGGTAGTTTTGTAGTTTTATTAGAGTTCTCTATATCAATAATTATATGAAATGCAAAAAGTGAATAGTTTTACTTTTTCCTTTCCAATCTGTATGCCCTTTCCTTCCTTCCTTCCTTCTTCTTCTTCCTCTTCTTGTTTCTTCTTTCACTTTCTTTCTCTTTCTTTTCTTTCTCTTTTTCTTTTTCTTCTTCCTTTCTATTTTCTTTTCATTTTCTTTTATTTTTCTTTTCATTTTATTTCTTTTCTTTTTCTTGCCATATTCCAATGACTAGGACCTGCAGCACAATGTTTAAGACAAGTGGTAACAAAAGCAGGCATCCTTGCCTTTTTCCCACTATCAGTAGGGAAAGCATTAGTCTTTCACCATTAATTATATTAACTGAAAGCTTTTCATAAATGCTCATTATCAGAAATGATGAAGTTTTCTATGATTCCCAGTTTGCTTAATGTTTTTATCATGAAAAGTTGCTGAATTTTGTAAAGTGATTTTTTCATGTACTAAAATTACCATATAATTACTCTCCTTTATTATGTGTATATGGTGAATTACATTAGTTGGTTTTCTAGTGATAAACCAACTTTACATGCCTAGGATAAATCCCAATTTTCCATAATTCTACCACAACTTTAAACAATTTTTTTGTGTAGGGGAAAATAAATATATTTCTTTCCCATCTTAGTTTCATGGCTGAAGCTCCTATAAGGAAAGATAGATTAATAAGAGACCAATATACAAATCTATTTAAGTTGTATGTAGCATAGGAGCCTTATAAAACAATTAAGACCTGAAGAGACGGGTAAAGCTGTGTTTTTTAAATGCTAGTTTTGATGAAGATGTGGATAGTTGTGAAGAAGTATATTGGAGAAAAGGAGTATGAGCTAATGTTAACAAAGTTGGAGGAAATTAGCAAGGCCTGTTTGTTCAGATTCTTCTCTGTGTCCCTGTGTCTTCCAAGATAAGGATATTCCTTTCCGGTGGGTATAAGGAGGACACCTCTTGAATGAGGGTCATATAGGGGAAAGTTAAAAAAAATTCTTGCTAGATTTTATGACCTGCTTCAGGGCAGAAGGAGGGAAAGTAAGAGTGGCCTTCCTGCTTCTGCTGTTTTCTCAAGTGCCAAGGTGCCATGTTTTGGGGTAGCATGTCCTGAAAGCCATCATTAGTATATACATTAATAATAAATCAATTAATATTATTACTTAAATCTTTATTGCCTCCTTAATATTTTCCACCAAAAAATAAGAAAGGAAGGAAGGGAGACAAGAAGGAAGTTATAATGATTGCAATATTAGTTGGGGGACTTTTCAATTCTGGGTGGATAGAGTAACTACTTGGATATTGATGAGGATTCTGTATTTATTTGCAGGTCAGAAGAGAGGTAGAGATGTTCAAAGTAAACATGAATGAATTTGAGAAGTTGTGTGTGTGTGTATGTGTGTGTGTGTTCCTCTTAATTTTATAACTCTTTTTTCAAATTTAGAGTAAAAGCTTAGTAGATTTATTTTATTGTCAATTTAAATCCAAGGAAAAGCAGCAGAAAAATTCAGGAAGCTATTTATAAATCTGTTCACTGACCAAAACAATACATATACTATGGATAATGTTGTCATAAACAATCAGATAAAACCTACTGGTCTGGCGCTGGTGGCTCACGCCTGTAATCCCAGCACTTTGGGAGGCTGAGGCGGGTGTACCACCTGAGGTCAGGAGTTCGAGACCAGCCTGGCCAACATGGCAAAACCCTGTCTCTACGAAAAATACAAAAAAATTAGCCGGGTGTGGTAGCAGTCGCCTGTAATCCCAGCAACTTGGGAAGCTGAGGCAGAAGAATTGCTTAAACCTAGGAGGCGGAGGGTGCAGTGAGCCGAGATTGCGCCATTGCACTCCAGCCTCGTCAACAAGAGCAAAACTCTGTCTCAAAACAACAACAACAAAACAAAAACAAAAAACCACAAAAACCAAAAAACTACTTAATTCATTTATGCATAATTTTAATATAAAAAGAAAACCAAACAATTCACACAATGTAGCATCAATTTTCTTTATGGTAAGGCATATTATAAGCAATTATTCAAAAGATATACTATACTAATTGTTTAAACATTTTATAATGATAATTTGTAACAACATATGTAATCAAGGTAGAACTAAGTTTCTTTTCTTTTCCTGACTTCATGTATGAATTTCAGACCCACCTCAGACCTTCTTATCCAATAAATTCAAGAGTATAATTAGAAGTACATTATTTGGAATAAAACTGAACTAGTGTTTCTTTTCCTATATTTCCTGTGAAGTACTATTTTAGCTGAATAAATATTATTCCCCCTTGTAATCTTGTTTTTTCACTGAGAAGTGTTTTTTTTTTCATAAAAAAATATTTCAAATGATAATTTTATGATAGTGGATATAGGAAACAATCCATACATGACGAATAAATGATAAGGCTGATGGTATTATAAAGACAGCTACTCGGGAGGCTGAGGCAGGAGAATCGTTTAGTTTTGGGAAGGGCTATTATAATTTAACCTATAAAGTAAATTTCTCCCAAAGTTAGCTTGGCCCACACTCAGGAACGACCAAGGGCAGTTTCGAGGCAAGATAGATAGTTAGGTCAGATCTCTTTCACTGTCATAATTTCCTCACTGTTATCATTTTTGCATAGGTGGTTTCACCACTGTATTTCCATGTTCAAAAATGAGTATAGTGAAATCAAAATAAAAACCAACAGTGTCTTTCCACTTTTGACCTTAGAATAAGTTATTCTAATGGAAATCATCAAGATTGTCAGGTCAGTTAAATAAGCCCATTCCAAAATCTGAAATTTATTACAATCCAGCATGATGAATGAGGTATAAAAGGAATCTGGTCTCCTAGTAAAAGATGGATTCTCTTACTACACTGCAAATACTTAAAGCAGGACTCATGATCCTAATTTTCCTACAAGTGTGCCTGAAAATGTATCATGAAGAAATTCTTCAATGTGACATAAAGTCATAAATAATAAATGTATGATAAACAGATTTTTAGCAGGGAAGTTTGTCTGAACTGAGTTCTCACAATGGTAGTCCAGCTGGTGAAAGATCAACTCATTTCAGCAAAATATTGATTTTATCAGTATTTGTTGTTTCTTACTGTCATCCACAAAATAACACAGGCAGTCATCCAGGAAGCTATGTGTTGATTAAAGTGGCAAAAATAGAGAGATTTCTATAGCTGGGAAATTTCTTAGACCACCATGTGAGCAAGTAGAATGAATATCAATAGCCAAGTCAAAAGGTTCAAATTTTTGCTTCACAGTTAGCAGCTGGGCAAATTACTCAACCACTCTCAGTATCTTTCTCTGTAAAACAGGAATAATCTGCTTCTGAGGGCCTTGGGGAAGATAAAATAAATTAATACAAGTAAAGTGCTTAGACTTGTTGCTGGTATAAGGTAACTATGCCCTAAATGTTAACAGATAAATATACCTTCAAAATAAGCAAGCAATAAAAATGTTTCCAAAAATACCATGAAGCGTAAAACTCACACACAGTTACACAACAATTCAAGGATTACAGTACTTGGATAAATTTATAAATACATTACATCATCTCATTTTTATATACCTTCAAATATTTATAGACAACACTGATATTTCACATTCCATAATGAAAGAGTCAGCATCTTTTCTGAGCAAATATTTAAAGTTATACACTAGAGAGGAAGATCAAAGGCCTAAAGGAAATTCATCCTTTAGGGGGACCAAGGTCTCTCATTATACATTTAATTGAAGTTTGTTCTTTCCTGACTGTATGTCTGCATTTCTGCAAGTCAGAATTTGTTCTATTCACTGCAATCACAAACTCCACCTACAAAGAAGGCATGTATCAGAATTTAAGCAAACTTTCACAAATACACTATATATATCTTTCCAATTCATAAATTCAGATTCTTTCTGGCTGCAGACAGCAGTCATTATTCCTTTGAGCCTATAATATATACATTTTCATGGAAGTATGAGCTAACAGCATTATTTTTCTATCCCCCCAATATTTTATTTAGATACTATTAATAACTATCAAGAAGAAAATTAGTCACAAAGGCAGAGGAAACCATGTGCATCCCTGTGCGTTTGTGTGTACAGGTTACCTCTAGAAACCAATTTTTAATCCCAGAACTAAGAAGAACAGTCATTCTCTGATGTGTGGTGAGGCAGCCATGATTCTCAACTTCAGAGGGGCATATGGGTTGGGGAATTAGCTAAAAGGAATCTGCTCTTTCTCCTGCCCATAATTCAGTCAAGTATAATTCTCCCACAAACAATGGATCAGGAGATGAACTTATGTCACTGTACGATCTTTCCTATCATCCAAAAGTTAACTTTCAAATATGTTTGCTCATTCATACATATACATGCCCTTCATACATATATATGCAGGAAATGTATGTTCATTCATACACATATACACTCTCCCTTCTATTTATACTCTTAAAAACCACTATAAAAAAGTCAGAATTGACAATCTTAAAACAATCCCAGTAGAAAAAAAAATCTGAAAACAAGATTCAGATTTTTTTTTTTTTTTAATTTAAAGCAGAATCTGTCTTCCATCATGAGAAGGCACCTGGTTTCTTCAACTATTTGGTAAGTTTTGAAGAGTCCATCCATTAAATATAGATTTGTTTGATTTTCTGAAATGTCATCTTCTTGCAAAGCCATTGGTATGTAATAAGTTCCATTTAAATAATGGCATTTTGCCATTTTAACATGAAACTTGGGCTGTGTTTCAGAGAATAAATAAGACTCACGCAGTCTTTCTAAATCAGATCTTCATCCAGCCAGTTCATTTCCGTAACCTAATCAACATTAAATAAGGGGAAACACCTTCGGTCTTCAATTCACTGTAGAAAAGACAACACGATGATCAAAATGGAGAATGTTAAACTCTAGTGATTATGGCTAGACTACCATACTCAACTACCACAATACTATTCACATCAAATCTGAACTAACTGCTTTGTTCTAAGAGATGTGTTAATAGATGTATTCTGACCAGTTCCCCATGATATACAGTAGAATCGCATTGTGAAAGCATTTAATGCATGCAAATTCTGCTAGATGTAACAGGACAAGAATGAGGGAGCATGAGGGAAGCCGGAGAGAGGAAGAGCCTGTATCTGCCATTCCACCTGGTGAAGACATTCCCCAGAGTGAGTTGGAGATGACAAAACACAAATCAACTGTTCCCCCAGGCTATTTTAGTTCAATGCATTTTGCATAGCCTGAATTTATTTCCTCACTGTGTGATTCTAGTATTTAAAACTGTAAGTATGTGTGTGTATATATATACATATGTACACAGACATATGTATGCATGCACACACATATATACATATGCATATTTTATTATTGTTGTTTAACAACATGGCCCCTCATCTCAAGCAAACCACTCAAGAAACATCAGGCTGGATGCAGTGGCTCATGACTGTAATCCCAACACTTTGGGAGGCTGAGGTGGGATGATCACTTGAGCCCAGGAGTTCAAGACCAGCCTAGGCACCATAGCAAGATGCTGTTTTCCACAAAAAGAAAATAGCCAGGTGTGATAGTGTGCCTGTAGCCCTAGCTACTGGGGAGGCTGAGGTGGGAGAATCCCTTGAGCCCAGGAGTTTGAGGTTAAGATGAGCTATGATTGCACTGCTGCACTCCAGCCTGGGCCACAGAGTGAGGCCCTGTCAAAACAGAAAAACAAAGAGAATGAAAGGAAGTGGAGGGGAGGGGAGGGACTAGTTGGGAAGAGGGGAGGG
The DNA here is from genome assembly GCF_000001405.40 of Homo sapiens. NCBI lineage: Eukaryota > Metazoa > Chordata > Mammalia > Primates > Hominidae > Homo > Homo sapiens. Next base: position 54,905,322 of record NC_000018.10, read on the forward strand.
GAAAGGAAGGGCAGAGAGTGGGAAGGAGGGTAGGGGAGGAAGGGGAGAGAAAGAAAGGAGAGGGAAGAGGGGAGGGAAAGGAAGGGAAGAAGGAAGGAAGGAAGGAAGGAAGATCTATATGTTCTAAAGCTCAAGTAAAAAAGAAAAAACCTTTTTTGTTTGTATTCCCTGAGAGAATGTGTAGAGATTTGCCAAGATTAAATTTTTATGTGTACATAATTTTCTAATTTCAGTCTTAACAGTTATCTTTATACTCAAATCTCTCCCTAGAGTTAATTCCATTGTATATTTGTGAATCCAGATTTACCAAACCAAACTACCACTTACATTTTTCAAGCAACCAATGGGCCATATTTTATTTTGCAAATGTGAGTCCTGCCTTTATATCAGGGGTGCCCATGACTGGTGCCATGGACTGGTACCAGTCTATGGCCTGTTAGGCATAGGACTACACAGCAGGAGGTGAGCAGTGGGCAAGAGGGCGAAGCTTCATCTGTATTTACAGCCACTCCCCATCGCTCACATTACCTCCTGAGCTCCACCTCCTGTCAGATCAGCAATGGCATTAGAGTCTCATAGGTGCACGAACCCCATTGTGAACTGTGCATGCGATGGATCTAGGTTGCGTGCTCCTTATGAGAATCTAATGCCTGAACATCTGTCTCACCCCCAGATGGGACTGGCTAGTTGTAGGAAAACAAACTCAGGGCTCCCACTGATTCTACATTATAGTGAGTTTATAATTATTTTATTATACATTACAATGTAATAAAAATAGAAATAAATGTAATGCACTTGAATCACCCCGAAACTATCCTCTCCACCCTGGTCCATGGAAAAACTGTCTTCCATGAAACTGGACCCTGGTTCCAAAAAGGTTGGGGACTGCTGCTTTACATAATTAATACGAGAATTTCTATCAAAAATCACAGAACAAAGGGGACATTCAGTCTCATTTCACCACTTCAATTAGGAAATTTCCCCCATTTGGCCTTTCCCAAGTCACAGGGAGAAGAAAAATCTTTAAACAGTAAACCTTTAACTATTAATTAGTTAAATACTAATTAATAGCTGTAGCTAAAGCGTTGGCCAAAAAAAGCATTCTCTTCAACATGACCCCTATATACCAGCCAGAGTCTCAGCATTCAATACTAGAGTAGTTACCATATGAAGATAACCAGCTGTTTCATTGTCTGCTCCATTCTGGCCCCATTCCCTCCAGGGTCCAAGCAGCTGGGACTGGCCATAGTGCTTCACCATCCCAATGGGAATGGTAAAGATGGAAGGGAGCAAAATATTAGCCATCCTTCCTTCCCTTAGAATGTCACGCTTGCCCTCCTAGTCCAAACTTTTCACATCTTCCCCAACTGAAGTGACTCGACTCTCCCTGCTTCTGAAATGTAGGCATTTCCTCTCCTCCTGGGAAACCTCTGAGGCTTCATTTCTTTTATTTTCTAGAAGTTGCAGGGCTAGTGGCCAAAAAGTTTCTAACAAGCATCTGGAGGCCAAAAGATTTTAGAGGACTTGAATCATAATAGTTTCATCTCTAGTCTCTAATTACATACATCATTAGCAAAGTGAAATACTGTTTCAGGCAGTTTTAAAGAGAGAAGAATCTTCCTGAATTCCTAGACTGATGCTAATCATAGTGGGTCTGATTTTTCCACCTCCGGCACTGGGCTGAAGAGACGTTTAGAAAATAAGATTCTTCCCTAGAGGGACTAGCTTGGGAAATTCAAAAGCTGCTAGAAGACGAAGTTTTTAATCACTTTTTGAATGATACATATAATTAGAGACTATGTTTTCTTTTAAATGATAATTTCATGGGGTTTGTGGAAATGAGATTTGAGCCCAGATTCTGATTCTGCCAACAACCACAACAAAAATTTAACTTAAAAAAATGACTTAGATGGTTTCAACCATCATTTCAATTTCTTTAGTAGGTCATCATCATCGCTTGAAATCATTCATTATTAGATAGCTGTTGAAGAACCTTGTCCTTAGCAATGCAGGAAATTAAAAAGAACTATTCTTGCCCTGGTGATATTTATATTAATAATTTATTAGAGTTGACAACATAGCAATTTCAAAAAATGCCAACAATTAAAGATTAAAATGTCCATCAATGGCATAAAAAACTTGAGCAACAGAAGAAGAAAGACAATAAAGGAGATGATCTGTAATGTCTAGGTGTTGGAGTTGAGATTGGGCTTGTTAATTAGGGCAAAGAAGAAAAAAAGAGATATCTAAATTTGTTCATTAATTTATTTAGTATTTCTGTGTTAGGCTTTGAGGATTAAATGATGAACAAGATTAACACAGTTCTGAATAGAAACTGGGAGAAAAACAGTAAACAAATGATTACATAAGCAGTGACAGACTGGAATCTTTCTTGAGTGGGTTGAATGTCTAACATGTTCAACATAGGTTGTGAAGACAGGGTGGAAGAGGACAGAGACCTTACCTTGTAGAGACAGCCTTAGATACCTTTGTCCTAGGAGTTTCAGATGAAAGTGCTACCTGGGTTTTTAGTTCTTTATTCTAAAATTGAAAAAAAATGCAGACGTCAAATAGCTAACACATTTATTAGCTACACCCTCAATGCTTCTATTCAACCCAACACCTGCCTCACTCGTTGGCAGCAAGTTTGTTATTGCAGTTATGCTATAGAACACAGAAAATAGCCAGTTGAAAGTCACTAAATATTATCTCTGAAGATGCAGATACTCCTTTAAAAATGTATAATTTACCAAGGGACTAAAATAGAGTATTCTGATTTAGCATCTGAAATTCAACAGCTGAAGTATCCATATTTTATTTTACAGAGTTTTAAAAATACAGGCAAATGAAAAGAACTTTTAAGGAACCTTGTTAAAGATACCCACAATATCAATCACATGTTCGTCTTTCTTTTGCGATCTCTTGATTATAAACCCCATGAAAATAGGTACCATCTGCTCTTTACTATTAATATAAGTTCATGGCCTCTATAGCCTCAATTTTCTTATGAAACCTTAGTTTCTTTATATCTATACTAGTGGTAAATGATACATGTCCTGCCTACTTTGTGTAAGTTGTTGGAAGAAACAAGTGTCATATGAACATAATATTTTACATCTGGAAGCACTCTCATAATTCTGGGAGTTCATGCAACAGCTAAGAACAGGAGTGGTTAGAGCACAAGTTCTCAGGTACAAATCCTAGCACAGCCACTCACTGGTTACATGACCTCATTTAGGTTACTTAACCTCTCTGTGCCTAATTTCCTCATCTGAATTACAGATATAATAATAACGCCTTCTCCACAGATTTAAAATGAGATAAAAAAATACGTCAAGTGCTCAGCTAGTGCCTGGCACAGATTTTAAGAGTAAAGGCAATTGGTTATGATTTTCTAGTCGAAGTGCCTTTTTTTTTGACAGTGTCTGGCTCCGTCACCCAGGCTGGATACAGTATCTCGGCTCACTTCAACCTCCACCTCCAAGCCTAAACCTGCCTTCCACTCAGCCTCCCGAATAGCTGGGACCACAAGTGTGCACCACTATGCCTGGCTAATTTTTGTATTTTGGGTAGAGACAGGGTTTCACCAAGTTGCTCACACTGGTCTTAAACTCCTGGACTTGAGCAGTCCACCTGCCTCAGCCTCCCGAAGTGCTGGGATTGTAGGTGTGAGCAACCGCACTCAGCCTCAAGTACCATTTTTATAACTATAAATTGAATTCCAAAGACTTCCAGTGCCCCACATCCTATTCATGCAGAGCTCAATGCCAAGCTGTTTCCTCCTGTCCAGAGCCAGTGTTTTCTCTACAACATAGTCAAGTGAGCAATTTCACTTCCCAGATCTGGAAAGTGAGACTTAAAATGGTTAGGGATCATGAGCAATGCTGAGTTGCCAGTGGGTTGCACTTTAAAGGACACACCCATATAAAAGTGTCTGCGACCAAAAGGTAGCTGGGGGGAACGATGACAAGTGATGAACAGCAGAACATCAGCTCCCTTCCCTTTCAAGGAACAGACTTAGAGAGTCATGTAATTATAGTTTAAAAGGTATTTTCTTTCTTTTTTTTTTTTTTTTTTTGAGACAGGGTCTCACTCTGTCGCCCAGGCTGGAGTGCAGTGGCGCGATCTCAGTGTTACAAGGTGTCATTTTTCTGGCCGCAAATGTTTGAGGCCAGTGGCGCCTTTGCCAGAGTTTTACTTGGTTCCGTTGGGCTCATTTTGTTCACTCAGCCTGGCAGGCTGTGAACTACTGGCCTAGGTCTCATGCCTGTCAAGGGCGAGTCAGGTGTGAAATGGTGAGGGGTGTGTGAGCAAGTGGTGTGGGGTCCGGCCACTGTGTATAGTCAAACATGCCGACTGCTACAGTGGGGCACACAGCGCCGGGTACTGGCATGGGTGCTGGCTCTGCGAGGCTGCGGCTAGACCAGGTGCACCACAAGCAGCTTCCACAGCTGGCACCGGGGAACACGGTGGCACCCAGAAGCTTGGAGATGCCAGGAACCGCAAGGCCCCAAAGAGAGAGTCACAGCCCTGGCTCAGGGAGCTCCCAGGTCTGGGCTGCCCAAAGGGCCACAGCTCTTCTTTCCTTCTCTTTGCCTGCAACATGGCGAGCAAGGGGCATGTCTCAGCCCTGTTTGTGTTACAGCTCTTTTAGCCCAGGCATCCAGTGGGTCCTGAGTTCTTGTCTGGCAACCAGGAAGAATGAGGTACCCAGACAAGTGTAGAGTGACCAAGACAAAGAGGAGCTTTACTGAGCAATAGAACAGCTCAGAGGAAACCTGCAGGGGGCAGCTCCCTTCTGCAGCCAGGGTGTCCTGACAAGTGTCCAGCTCCTAGCAGAGAAGGTAGCTCCTCTCTGCTAGGCAAGTGATCCCAACAAGTGTTCAGCTATCAACAGAGACGGTAGCTCCTCTCTACAGCTGGCTGCCCCATCGTCTGTGCAGCTCTCATCAAAGAGGAAGCCCTAGAGTGGGTGGCTCCTCTCTGCAGGCAGGTTGTCCCAATATCTGCTTGATTCTCAGTAGAGAGGAGGCCCTGGAGTGGGTAGCTCTTCTCTGCAGCTGGTCATCCCAGTGTCTGCCCAGCTCTGGCTAAGCCTGGGGCTTTCATGGCCTCAGAGGGGAAGGAAGTATGTGCTGATTGCTCCATGGGCAGCCATGAATGGGCCCACAAAAGGCAACACAAGTTCTTACTCCAGTGCATAAGACTGGCAGCCCGGCCCCCAGCATTCAGACCCTTCCTGTCCTGAAGGTGAGGACTCACTGGAGACCTGCCCCCTTCTGCCCAGGAGCCTGTCTGCCTTCTGCTGTGGTTCATAGCACCCAGGCTGTTTGTGCCAAGGGGCACCTTCAGGCCAGCACCAAGCTGCCCTCAGCACCCCCTTGGCTTCCCTCTCATGCTCAGTGGTGCCCAAAGTCCAGAGGGGGTTGAGGCAGAAGGGGGTTAGCATGTCAGCTCTAACCCGAGCATGCACACACCCAGCTGAGCTGTGACAGTGCCTGGGCTTGGCCCCAACTTTGCTCCGAGATTGGGGAGGGTGCCAACAGCAGGGAGAAGCCAGGCAGTGGGAGCAGGCACTTCCGAGCCTGCAAGGGCAAGGGGGGCCTTCCAAGGCCCCCAGGAGTGCAGGGACTCCTGAGTCTGCAGCCACAGTTCAAACAGCTGCAGCTGTGCCCAGTAGGGGTGGGGCTCTTGTGGGCTCCATGGAGAATGCAGCCCTTGCCACGCCTCCCTGCTGCAGCCAGTGAGATGGCAATAGACCCTCCAGATGGCTCATTACAGCCATCAATGGCTCACTGCAACCTCCACCTCCACTTCCTGGGTTCAAGCGATTCTCCTGCCTCAGCCTCCCGAGTAGCTAGGATTACAAGCACGTGCTACCACAGCTGGCCATTTTTGTATTTTTTTTAGTAGAGACAGGGTTTCACCATGTTGGCCACGCTGCTCTTGAACTCCTGGCCCTCCAGTGACCCGCCCGCCTCAGCCTCCCAAAGTGCTAACATTACAGGTGAAAGCCACTGCACCTGGCCTACAAGGTATTTTCTGAAATTCCACCTGATGGTTTGGATTAAGTTAATGGTTTAGAGTCAGCCTTGAATTGTGCCTCTTCTTAGCTCCCAGCATTTATCATGAATAATAACTCAAAGATGGAGCCAGTATCTTCACATGCAATCATCATTTCACTGTGAAATTTCAAGAGTGAAGCTAAGTTTCACCAAGGAAATGTACTTCAGATTTCATCAATTGATGGTGAAGATTTCCTCATATAATGAATATAAATCTATTATACACTCCAAACAAGGGCAGGCACATATTATAGGCCAAGCACGTGCCTAGAAAAAAGTCCCTCTCTATAGTACTTTACACTTGACAAAGCAATTTGAAACACACTCCCTTGATGACAAGCATGATTGAAATGAAAATATTCTGTGACAGGACAATTAGGTAAAAGCTACTTAGGTTTTCCCCAGAATAAGCTCCCAGTTTCTCGACCAATTCAGTACCAAACAATACAAAAGCATAGGAGTTATTATGTTAGACTCTCTTCAATTTATTTTAAATTCCATGCTGATTTGTTTCATCTACCAGATTTAGGCATTTAGTCTTGATTCATAGACTTTTCTGATTTTTCCTTTAACTAGGACAGTATATGCATGAGTTTTATTTAAAAACTACAAATCACTGGCCAGAATATGCCTGCCATTATTATGGCTCTGTCTAAGGATAGTTTATTGACATAGTTTTCACAAAGAATATAATTTTTGCATACTTAATATTTTAGCAACACACTCCAGAATTAAATTTAAAGGATGATGGTGCTTATATAAAGTAGGATAATCTTCAAAGTTTAGAAAATGGAGTAATTTCTGAAAATGCATTTCCCTAGGAGCAGGTCCTTAGCGAAGAAACTAGAAATGCAAGAAATATAAGATGAGTGTCAGAGCTGTAAATTAAGATGATGAAAGATATGCAAAACCAGAAAGAAAGTAAATAATTTCGGTAGAGTTAAGCAGAAATTTTCTGGTGATATTTAAAACTGGCTAAGAAGAATTAAACATTTTTTAAAAGATAGGGTTATATGAGTCAATTTTATCACCTATAGGGAGAGGAAAAAAACTGCTAGGATAGAAAGACCACCACAGGAAAAAAGGAGGTGTTTCCATTACTTGAAAGCTAGAAGTAAGGTAGAAAATATTTAATACAGTAACTGTGACAATGACTAAAATCAACGTAAAAGACTATGCAAATTTAATGTTATAACCAGGTGTTTAAAAATATATTGGCTACACATATATATTTCACAAACATGTATACACATACACACACACACACATTTAATCACCCAGTGTATTAGTCTGTACTGACGCTGCTAATAAAGATGTACCCAAGACTGGGTAATTTATAAAGGAAAGACGTTTAATGGACTCACAGTTCCACATGGCTGGGGAGGCCTCACAATCATGGCAGAAGGGAAAGGAGACGCAAAGACACGTCTTACATGGAGGCAGGCAATAAAGAATGAGAACCAAGCGAAAGGGGTTTCCCCTTAAAAAACCATCAGATCTCATGAGACTTATTCACTACCATGAGAACAGTACAGGGGAAACTATCCCCAGGATTCAAAGATCTCCCACAGGGTCCCTCCCACAACACATGGGGATTATGGGAGCTACAATTCAAGATGAGGTTTGGGTGAGGACACAGCCAAACCATATCACCCAAATACCCAGATAAGCAGATATTGATGGGCAGGCATGTGCTGCAAAATTAAGCAGACTCAAATGCAGGTTCTGCCACCTGCTTGCTGAATGATTTTAAACAGGCTGCTTAACTTCTCAGATCCTCAGTTTTGTCACTTGCAAAATGTAGTCAACATTAGCTCTCCTGGAGCAGCTTTCAGGATTAAAGAAAACAAAATACGTAGCATGACTAAACAGAGACAAACGATTTTAGCATGAATGAGAAAGTGATGCTGTCTTTATGGTTTCAAAAGTTGCTGGGTTTAAAAGGTTGTTCAAGCTCTGATGATCATTTTTCATAAACTGAATCAGTTCCTCCTGTTATTTTAGGAATTCCAAAATGGGCAGTGACCTTAAATTTGCAGTGCAAGACAGTGTACCCCTGCACATTTTATTCTAGCTTAAAAGCTTTATAATAAGCTATTCACTAGGAATAGGATAGAAATTTATTTACTATGAGGCTGAGTGAAGTGGTTCACACTTGTAATTCCAGCACTTTGGGAGGCCAAGGCAGGAGGATCACTTGAGCCCAGGAGTTTGAAACCAGGCCTGGCAACACAGTGAAACTCTGTCTCTACAATTTTTTTTTTTGTTTGTTATAAATTAGCCAGATATGGTGGTGTGCGCCTGTATTCCCAGCTACACAGAAGGCTGAGGTAGGAGGATTGCTTGAGCCTGGGAGGTTGAGGCTGCAGTGAGCCATGATCATGCCACGGCACTTCAGCCTCGGCAACAGAGTAAGACCCTGTCCCTAAAAAACAAATAACAAAATAAAAATAAAATAAAATAAAATAAATTGAATCACTATGGCTCAAAGTCACTATATTTAGGTATTTGGATACCTGGTCCAACATGTGCTCAGGGATGCCCTCCCTAATCCCTGTTACTCTGTGACTCCCCACACTCTTCCATTCTTCCTCGGAGAACTTGGCACTTCCTAAGCAAGCTGTGTACTTGCTTGTTTATTTGTTTGTTGTCTGTTTCTTCAAAGTATAAGTAAGATGAAATCAGGGACAATCTGTCACATTCATAGCCACATACCCAGCACTTAGAACATTTCCTGACACATCATAAACACACAAAAATATCTGTTGAATAAATAAATTAATATGGCTTGGACTTTTTAAAGCTCAAATGGGTGTAGTAACATCCACTGCTGTGAAGGAAAGATTTATCTGTTGAAGAAAATAAATGTTGAGAACATAAAGTCACTCATCAGATACTGTTATTATTTGAAGCCTTTTTTTATACAAGTGTTAGAAAACACTGGCTTGAGTCTGGGCACAATGGCTCACACCTATAATCCCAGCACTTTGGGAGGCTGAGACAGGAGGATCACCTGAGGTCAGGGGTTCGAGACCAGCCTGGCCAACATGGTGAAACCTTGTCTCTACTAAAAATACAAAAATTAGTCAGGTGTGGCGGTGGGCACTTGTAATCCCATCTATTTGGGAGTGTGAGGTAGGAGAATTGCTTGAACCCGGGAGGCCAAGGCTGCAGTGAGCCGAGATCACGAGATCACGCCACTGCACTCCAGCCTGGGTGACAAAGTGAGACTCCATCTCAAAAAAAGAAAAAAGAAAAAGAAAACACTGGCTTGGGTTGAGCTACGTACAGAGACTCTAAGACAACACTGAGAGGTTCTGTCACATTACTGTAGAGAGTCTGCCACAAACCAAGAAGTTTTCATGAGAGGAGAGGGACATACGTATATTTCTGTGGCATAATTGCTGAATAGTCGGTAATTATTTGCTGAATTTTGGAATATACAAACGGAGTACAATGGAAACAAATACACCTTCCTTGTCTAACTGTTTAACCAACAGGCCAGCTGAATAATGTACAGCGTCGGGGTTAAGTTGTCAGTTTATTTAGGAAGATAAACTCCTCATTGGGAACAATATAAATAAATAGGCACAACTAAAGAACACAAAATTGAATTAGAAGCTGTAGTACCACTGACACATTGACTTTGTGATAAGAATGGGCACTTAATTAGATATGAGCAGAGCCCAGAACCATATGAAGTGAAAGATCTGAGAATGATGCCAACTCTAAAACAACCTCTCCAATTAAAACATATTACAGATGTACAATAATTAAAGCAGTAAGCTATTGGAGCCACAATAGGCTGATTCGCTGTTGGAACAGCTTCAATAAGAATTTAGTCCAGAATAAAGAGGCATTTCAAATTCACTCACTAGGCAGTAAGTTCCAGGAAGCAGGACTCATGTCTATTTTGTTCAACATTGTTTTCTAGAATTTAGTGCCTATACTGTAGTAGCCACTCAATAATTAAGTGTAGAAGTAATTACATAATTAGTGATGTGGAAAAATGAATGAAAGTTTAAAAATGAGAATACAATAGGCACAGTGCAGTGCCATATATATTCTATAGTTAGTATGTACACACAGGTATATAACAGGCACATAGATTCCCACAAAACATAGATATACCCAGCTATGCTGATTTGGTATCCAGGGATGGTACTTTTATCAGTGATTTTCTTGTTCTATTTGCTTATCCATATGTCCCAACTTATATGGAATGAATGAATGTTAGTTACGTAAAAAATGTAAGAAATAGGCCAGGCATGGTGGCTCATGTCTGTAATCCCAGCACCTTAGGAGGCCGAGGTGGGCAGATCGCTTGAGGTCAGGAGTTTGAGACCAGCCTGGCCAACATGGTGAAACCCCGTCTCTACTAAAAATACTAAAATCAGCCGAGTGACATGGTGTGCGCCTGTAATCCCAGGTACTCGGGAGGCTGAGGCAGGAGAATCACTTGAACCCAGGAGGCAGAGGTTGCAGTGAGCCGAGATCATGCCACTGCGCTCCAGCCTAGGCGACAGAGTGAGATCCTGTCTCAAATATATATATATATATGAAATACATAATATATTGCTACATGTAATAATATAAGAAAAAATATTTTATCAAGTAACATTTGCCAAAAAGCCACTAAGAAAGGCTGTGAAGAAATGTCTTTAGAGAACATTTCATACAAGGGGACTCCACTGTGACATGAATCACATAATCTGAAGGTCCCCTGAAATAAATTAGCCAGCTATTACTGGGCACTTGAGTGAACACTAGTTTTGAGCCAATTATTCCACAATCAAGGCATTTTTAGCTGCACAGAGCTGAGAGCAGTGTGTTAATCAGTCCCATACAGCCTGAAGAGGGCGAGAGTCTAAAGACAGTGCGAGGTTCAATGAGGCCTATCCTCAAAACCAAAAGAGAACAATTGTCTGCTGGGAAGGTAGAAATGGAAAATGAGGCCACAAAAATTAACATGTAAAAAACTATTATTATGATTTTTTATCTTCTGTTTGGGGAAAGCAGAAAGAACATGATAGTGGAAGGAATAATTCCAAAAGAGGATAAGGCCTCCAGTGGGAAGTCAGAACATCTCCACAGTCTACAGGACTGGGCAACATTACGCTGGCAGGTGACAATTGGCAGAAAATCAAAATACTGAGGGATGGAGTAGAACAGGTGAACAGCTCCAGGCAGTGGGTGATGCGCCATTTGACAGAGACAGAAGCAGAGACACGGCAAGAAATGGAATGAGGTGGAGGTGCTGTGGGGTCTTCAGAGGAGCTCCAACCTTGGCAGGGGCTTCATTGCACTTCCTGCAAGGCAGGGGCATCGCCAGCAGAGGACAGCAGCTGAGTGCTAGCAAGGGGGTTGATATGGTTTGGCTCTGTGTCCTCACCCAAATCTCACCTTGAATTGTAATAATCCTCACCTGTCAAGGGCAGGGCCAGGTGGAGTTAATTGAATCATGGTGGCAATTTCTCCCACATGGTTCTCATGATAGTGAGTGATTTCTCACAAGATCTAATGGTTTTATAAGCATCTGGCATTTCCCCTACTGACACTTCTCTTGCCTGCTGCTATGCAAGCTATGGCTTCCACCTTCCGCCATGCCATGATTGTGAGGCCTCCCCAGCCATGTGGAACTGTGAGTGCACTAAACTTCTTTTTCTTTATAAGTTACCCAGTCTTGGGTATGTCTTTATTAGCAGTGTGAGAACAGACTAATAGAGGGGTCCTGAGGAAAGGGGAAGTGAATGGGAGAGAAGAAAAGCATGTCTTATCCCAGGACATTAGATTGTATTGTGCTCAGTTTTAAAACACTGAAAAGTAAGACAATTATAACAGGCTTCTAGAAGTAGGTAAGCCTGGAGGCAAAGCTGGGAGGCCAGGATGGATGTGAATGAAGAAAGGAGGAAAGAGGACATCCCAAGCCAGGAAAGGATCATGCATGGGAACCAAAGCAGGAGACAGGAAGCCTGGCCGTCTGACTAGAGTGAAATTTACACAAGAGTAGATTTGAGCAAGCCTCTGATTCAAGCCCATATCGAGAGAAGTTATCATCTGCCTCTCCATTACAGCAAGTATTCTGGAAAATCCGAATGAACTTTTAATAATAATTTAATAATATTTATTTAATATGTAACAAAAATGCTAATAATTTAATAACAATACAATCTTTTAAACACTTCATAATTTAACAATTGTTAAATTGTCAGTCCTTTTTTCCATAGTGCTAATTTCTTATGCATAGAATATGCACAGACACACTCACAAAATGACACTTGCATACACACAGAGACACATGCACATACACTTAGACATAGACAGACCCAGCACACACAGTCACACAGACACTCATATGCCCGCTCCCAAACAGACATACTCGTAGTGTTATACAGGCATACAATGCATGCTTTCATACACAGGCTCACTGATACTGATACCCTCACGTGCACAGACACACACACACACACACACACACACACACTCACACCCTCACAACAAAATGTAAGACAGGTTCCCTCCTTACCTGGGCTTCAAGTATGTTAACCTTTTCTCTGAGATTTTCAATTCTTTTGTCTTGTTCTTTTAAATTATTTTTTAATCCTTCCATCTAAGAATTAGAAAACACAATAGGAAAAACCTTGTCAGACCACAGGAAATAGTTACTTAAGTCAGAAATTGTATGGATTTCTGAGGTCAAAAGATGTTCATCAAATTAAAAAAAAAATTAAATCCCAAAGCATTAGCAGACTCAGCAGGCAACAGAAAATAGCAGGCCAAACTGACACCTGGGGCTGAAAGCCCTCAGCTGGTGCCGTGATTCACTTTAATCTTTGGATAACCTGTTTAAACCAAGTTCAGCAGGAGTGCGTCCTGTGAAAGCAGCACTGGCCGCCCTTCTGCATCTCAGCAACTTAATGTTTTCATCCTGCAGATGCAGCTGCTGGTGGACAGGATGCGAGACCACTGCCTGGTGTGCAGAGGGTCCCTGCAGTAGAGATTTGTCAAGCAGCAGCATAATAAGGTGAGCCTGCTTTGCCAAGAGGCAATGTGGAATTGGGAGGTGGGGTGATGAGATGCAAAGCAGTGTAAGAAGAGAGGGGACACAAGGATTCTAAGACCAACTTTGGCACCACTAGCTGTCATTAAACTGCTCTATAAAAAGAGGGTGTGGGATGCCCCCAAAGTCCCTCCTGGCTCTCAAATTCCACTACTCAATTCTCTGGCCTTTTAGTGATGTCATAGCCAAGCAAGCACAAATGCTATATCTATGTGAGGAAGGCTCTGGAGTATTTGGGAGGACTTGTATTTGGCAGTAAAGTACCTGAATAGAAGTCTGATTTTAAATTTTAAAACAGAACCCCAAAACCAGATCAATGCATATCTTGAAGTAGATTTTAAATACACACTCCGCCATCTAGCTGGCTGTTACCACAATCGCCTCGACTTTGCCACCTATCAGGCTGCTCCCAGAGAAGAAGGGCCAGGCTACACCCCTATCCTAAATCATGTCCTAAATAAATTATGAGGTTATGAAAACAGATCATTTCATACTCAAGGAAGGGCTGAATCTCCTGATCTACAAAATTGTCTAAAGACCAGTGTACATTATTTGGCGCAGAAGACTTTTAGAAAATCACTGAAACATCTAAAAAACAGTTATACATAACTTTCCAAGCTATCTTCATCGAGAGCATTACAGGTGTTTTTGTTACAAACAAGAGAGGGCATTGAAAACAGAGACATATTGCATGAGAAACAAAAAAGGATATGTCAGTAGGGAGAGAAATCTCATTGCTTCAAAAGTCCAGTCAAGCCACTCGTATTTGGGCTCCACGCTGTAAACATACTGTCTACCAGATAAATACACTTGATTAATCTGACCTCCTGGATGACACTGCGCAGGTTCTGATGTTGGGAGTGAATCACAAACTGCAGATGAGAGATCTGCTCCTGGAGAATGGAAATCTCCCTCTGAAGATCCTGGCAACTGGGAATGCAAAGGGAAAAAGACCAAGAGAAAATGATTGGCTCACACGTTCCATAGCTCGTCCTTACTGCTAGCCCTCCTACACACTCTACTGCTACTGGGGATCAGTTGGGTAAGACCCCGGGGCCCCATTATGCCACATAGGACACACTGAAGATAAATAGCTATGAAGCGGGCTCTAATTTGATTGGATTTAACTTGAATGAGAATATCAATTCCCATCAAAATCTCCATTCTGGCCATCTGTGACTCCTCTAGCAGGTAGTGGAATCAAGTTATATTCAGTACGATAAAGCACTTATACGCTAAATTGCCTTGCCTAAGCACCCACAGACCTGGCACCCATCAAACTTCACAGACAATTGCATGCCAATAGCAGAGTCAGAACATGGGAGCAGAAATGGAGATTTTATCTATTAATATATTTATAAGAAACCAATTTCTAATGATTCGGGCTTAGTATATGTTGTGGATTGTCTGTGTTTGTCTTTTTTTATTTTTTATTTTTTGGATTCCTACTTTTGGTAATTCTACTATCATTCCATAGGGAAACGGGGGGAAAAAAGGAGAAGAAAGGAAGAAATTTAATTCCAGCAAATATTTTTGAGTCCACATCCATCATTATGGAAAAAAAAGTCAATTTTGAATTTAGATTATTTATACTTTCCCAAAGCTTCATTCAGGTAACTGGAATTGGTTGTACTGTTTTGGCTGTTTCTCTTCTTGCTACTGTTATTAGAGTTATGAAGCCACATGCACTGTGGCAACACCATCAAGCTTAGAAGCATTGTGACCTCGGAGAAGTCACTTGGCCTTTGCTCTTATCCAATGTCATCCCAATTCTGTTTCTTTCTTTTTTCTTTTTTTTTTTTTTTTTGTTGTTGTTGGTTTGTTTTTTTTCAGACGGAGTCTTACTCTGTCGCCCAGGCTGGAGTGTAGTGAGGCGATCTTGGCTCACCGCAACCACCACTTCTGGGCTCAAGAAATTCTTGCAGCTGGGATTACAAGCATGCACCACCACACCTGGCTAATTTTTGTATTTTTAGTAGAGATGGAGTTTCACCATGTTGGCGAGGCTGGTCTTGAGCTCCTGACCTCAGCTGATCCACCCACCTCAGCCTCTATGTGTATCACAAAGATAGCAGAAATTCATAAAATACTATATAGCATGTTCTAATTAGAAAAAAAGAGTTATTAGTTTTCATTTTGTTTCATATAATGGACTAAAACATTGTTTCAGAGAAATGCACATCTAAACCACTATGAGATACCATCTCGCAGCAGTCATAATGGCTATTATTAAAAAGTAAAAAAATAACAGATGTTGGCAAGGATGCAGAGAAAAGGGAATGCTTATACACTGTTGGTGGGAATGTAAATTAGTTCAGCCACTTTGGAAAGCAGTTTGGACATTTCTTAAAAGGGTAAAAATAGAACTACCATTCAACCCAACAATCCCATTACTGGGTATATACCCAAAGGAAAACCGATCATTCTACCAAAAAGACATGTGTACTCTTATGTCCATCACAGCAGTATTCACGACAGCAAAGACATAGAAACAACCTAGGTGCCTATCAACAGTGGATTCAATACAGAAAATGTGTTATATATACACCATGGAATACTATGCAGCCATAAAAAGGAATGAAATTGTGCCTTTTGCAGCAACGTGGATGCAACTGAAGGTCATCATCCTAAGTGAATTAAGGCATAAAAATAAAATCAAATACTGCACAATTCCACTTATAAGTGGGAGCTAAACACTGGGCAAACACAAACGTAAAGAAGGAAACAATAGACGCTGCGGACTATTAGAGGGGGAAAGAATGGAGGGGAAAGGGTTAAAAAACTACCTGAGTGCTATGCTGGCTACCTAGGTGACAGATTCAATAGTAGCCCAAACCTCAGCATCAGGCAATATACCCACGTAACAAACCTGCACATGTACTCCCACAGGTAAAATAAAAGTTGAAATTAAAACAAAAAATCAGAAGCTTTATTTTAATTGGTCCAATAGAGTCCTGGAAAGAAAACAAAAGAAGTTTACAATTTACAATTACAAAAGAAATTATTGTAATCTTCCAGGACTCTAGAAAGAGACAGGAGGGGAAGATAGGAGAATGTTTGGGAGTACAGCCACAAGAAATCTACAGGGAACAGGACGCCTACAACATTGGTGAGGGGAGTGAAGCAAATGAGGGGCCTGGGAGAAGGATGCAGAGAACAGAAAGAGAAGACACAAAATGACGGGGGAACAAGAACACGCGTCAAGCGTGCTACTCTGTTTTAGATGATAATCGGAAACATGTCTGATTATCATACCTACACAACGAAATCTCACTGTGAAAGTCCATTTCCCTCCTCTTGATTAACACTACAAGCAACTATGAAACTAAGAAAAGCTATGAAAGAAATGTAAACGGTCAATGCAGGCTGAAGGAAGATCACTAACTAGTTCAGCTGTGCCAATATTTTATCTGCTTTTTATAACATGATCATTTAAAGGACCCCATACCTGGCAGAAAGCCTCACTTTGATCTTTTTCTCTTAGAGAGGGGCAGTAGGGAATCCGAACCAAGTAAATAAACAAGCAGTCCCCTTGTTTTTTTTTCCATGGTCCACGGCAGGAAGTGTTTGAAAAGAAATAAGCTGGATGCCTGATTCAGATGAAAACGCTTTGTGCCCATGTAGTTTGAACTGACAATAGCAGCAATACTGAGCCCTCAGTATTTCCAAAATTCAAGTTCAGAGAATGGCTGCATCAGCACACCAGCCTGTATTCACATTAGATTTCAGTTGTCCCTAGACTTGAGGTTCAGAGGCTTCTTGAGGCACGGGAGACTGAGGAAATTTCAGCACCCCCAGCGGGTAAGGTGCCACACCCTAAGGATGTTGCGGGGAGATGGAAGAGCCTTCCAAGGTGAGACCAGACTTTGGATGTTGGCAAACATTCTGAACAAACAGTGAGAAGGCTTACCGCCCACAGAGAATCTTCAGGGGCAGGATGTCTTCAGAAGTCCGGGGAGATTGGGAGTGTGCGAGAGGCAGGACTGAGAAATCTGCAGATGTTGCTCAGAACCCTTGGAGGGTAGAATTGCTGCGAACATGCAGAGGATGGGGTAACTAAGGAGCCTCAGAAGAAAACCTCAGTTACTAGGAAAAGATGACTGGAGGATATAAAGATCAAAACAGGCCAGGCATGGTGGCTCACGTCTGTAATTCAAGCAATCTGGGAGGCCAAGGCGGGTAGATCACTTGAAACCAGGAGTTCAAGACCAGCCTGGCCAACATGGCAAAATCCATCTCTATTAAAAATGCAAAAATTATGCTGGGTGTGGTGGCTCACACCTGTAATCCCAGCACTATGGGAGGCCAAGGCGAGTGGATCACTTGAGGTCAGGAGTTCGAGATCAGCCTGGCCAACATGGTGAGACCCTGTCACTACTAAAAATACAAAAATTAGCCGGGCATGGTGGCATGCGCCTGTAATCCCAGCTACTTGGGAGACTGAGGTACAAGAATCGCTTGAACCCAGGAGGTGGAGGTTGCAGTGAGGCGAGATCGTGCCACTGCAATCCAGCCTGGGTGACAGAGCAAGACTCCGTCTCAAAAAAAAAAAAAAAAAAAAAAAAAAGATCAAAACACAGAGGGCAAACAGAAATTGGGTCCATAGCTGGTGCTAAAATTCAAAATTGCTCCAGCAAGGAAAGTAAAAGAAGAAAAGATAAAAATAACAGAAAGAGCAGCTATGACCCACTTAATGGTCAGACTCAGGACTTTCCCAGGAAGTAATGAGAAAGAGCTTAAGACGCCTCGCAGAGGCAAGCTGGCTTTGAATATGCACGAAATATAAAAATACTGTAAGCTGTTAAAGGTGAGTAAGGTGAGAATTTAAAATGGTTCTTTTTGTGTCCCATGACCCAGAACCTTGGAACCAATGGGAAAAAAAGATGGCTTTAGGCACAGAGAACATAGGTTGTTATTTTTCTATCAAAAATCCCAAGCTCAGAAAAATTTCCCATGTACTCCTTGAAGGTATTACCATAGCGTTCACTGTAAGTAAAAAAAAAAAAAAAATTGAAATTGGCCTCAAAATAGAAGAAAACTATTTCTAGAAGCACTCTTGAAAACACATGGCCTTGGGGCTTCACTTGTCTCCATTAACACACTAAAACAGTGACTAAAGGCCATTGCAGAAAATCTCTATTAGGACTGTCCAATAAATATGAAGCCTAGTCATCCATTTAAGACCTTTAAATGTAAAAATATATCTAAGTAAGCTGCCACTTGATCTTCTTTTGAGCTTTGTTATTTATCTTTCTGTTAAAGCACTCAGTCTTTTTTTTTTTTTAAACAAAGTCTCACTCTGTCACCCAGCCTGAAGTGCAATGATGCAATCTCGGCTCACTGCAACCTCCAGCTCCTGGGTATAAGTGATTCTCCTGCCTTAGCCTCTTGAGTAGCTGGGAATTACAGGCACCCATCACTATGCCCGGCTAATTTTTCTATTTTTAGTGGAGACGGGGTTTCACCATGTTGGCCAGGCTGACCTCAAGTGATCTGCCCACCTCAGCCTCCCAAAGTGCTGGGATTACAGGCATCAACCACTGCACCTAGCCCAATCTTAATAAAGAGGTACACAAGCAAAACTGGAGGAAGAAAACATAAGGAAGGGTCAAGCCTAAAAAAAGGAGGCAAATGTCTGTATCTGGGATTCATGCTCTGCCTTCCAATGTCTCAACATAATTTTTGATCATGTTTTCCTCTACAATGCAACTGAATAAAAATATAAAGCAAATGTTGAAATTAAAGCAGAATTGAAAAGCTTTGGCTTCTAAGAAAATGTAGAATACATGCTTTTCCCCATTGTTCCTGCTAAATACAACTAAAAGCCCTGGATATTGTATATGAAAAAAAAAACACAAGAAGACTCTGAACAGCGGAGAGAAGAAGGCAGACTGGCTCTGGAACCTGGGATCCAAGAAATGACACAATGGTGAATCCTCTGGGGTTTCTTTTTATCTCACACATCCCAGACTTGGAGCTGGAAAAAAACAGCAGCCTGGAATGCCAATGGGGGCAAGCAGAAAAAGCCCCAACAAAAAGAGAAGAGAATCTCTGCCCTACCCTTTTGAAGGAGGGAATTGAGGATTCTCTCTCAATTCATCACTGAAGGAGGGGGAAGAGACAACTATTTCTGGTTCACTTCCTGTTAGATTCCTTAGCATTCAAGAAAGGAAGTCAATCCTATCTTTAACTGCAGAAATGTGAAAAGAAATTACTTTGCCTCTAATTAGCAACATGGGATGATCATAGAAGAAGCACTTGACAGGAAGCCCACCCTCAATTTCTCTACTCCCCAACGTCTCCCAAAGGGTTGGTGAAAAGAAACTGAGTTCATGGAGAACTTCTCTCCCTCCACTCCTCACAATACTCGACAATCTATCTTTGGGTCAACTTATACCATAGCGGGTAGCATTATTGGACTTTCTCACCGTGCCCTCTGTTCCCCCCTGTTCCAATGGCTTTTATTGAATTGTGTTGGCATCATGCTATTCTGTTTAGATGATGTTCTGAGGTAAGCCTTTGTGTTTATTACAAGGGGTAAGCTGAAAACATTATTCAGGGTTCTTTTTATGACCATACCCTGGGCAATTTTCTTTCTGGCTTTATAGATAGATAAGAAATAACTGAATGATCGCAAACACCTGATTGGTTTTAATCATGTGGAATTGTGACTCAGAAAACTAATCATCATTTCCTGTTTGGGTTGGCTGCTGGAAAATTTGAAACTGAGTCAGTGATCCCCTGTGAGCAAGTCTGTAGCATCCATGGGCCTAATTTTGTAAATGTAACCTTATGGTATACCTATTCTTATATCTCCTTGTCCTCATCATCTAATTTTTTTCTAATTTAAGTAATCATATTATATTTTACATAGTTTTTATAAATAACCTTAGATTTTCTTAAAAATTTCACAAAGGGCATGAATAGCCTGAGCATGGCCATATTTACACAACTCAAGAATATAACATGTTTAAATCTTTATAAAGTACATTTCTTATCAAGGATTCATGTAGTAAGATGTTGATGAGAATGAAAATTCCAGAAGAAGCCAAAAGAACTAGGTGCTGAGACAAAGGAAATAAAAGTAGCAACGAAAGCCATGTTGCAGGCTCTAAGAGGCTACTTCTGGGTACACTACAGATTATAGAGGCATTGGAAATGTGAATAGCCCTACATAGAAATCCCACAGGATACAGAAGATAGTGAGATTAGTGGCATCGTAGAGCTTCTCTGAAGCTATAAAAGAATCTTACTACCATCTGTGGGGACTCATACTGCCTTCTGTTTAGGATCCAATGTTTCTCTGGACTTCCATGAGTGTAAACATCACTGACTATGGGCCCCCAGTGGAATAAAGGATAACTAGGGACCACAACCACAAGAAGAGAAGAGGTCAGATCCTTACCATTCCCAGGCCAGACTAAGGGAAAGAATCAGCTTGGATGTAGGTGTAGCCCTGTTTGCATTTCAACAAAATTCATGAATGTGTCTTACTATTTTCTATAAAATTCTTCTTTATTATTATTTTCATTGGTGGTACCAAAGGGGTGCCTTGAGAGAACACTCCCACCCCAAACTACTGCAGATAAATGTACAATTTAAGTGGCAACCATATGCTTTGACATGCAACCTCAGCTTCAAGGTCTTTCCTCCTCTAAGGAGTTTCCATTCCTAAGCAGCATCTATGTAAATACAGAGGGGCCAACACTGTTTATTTTTACAGCTCCCTGTATTAGTCTGTTCTCATGCTGCTATGAAAACATACCCGAGACTGGGTAATTTATAAAGGAAAGAGGTTTAGTTGATTCACAGTTCTGCAGGGCTGGGGAGGCCTCAGGAAACTTACAGTCATGTTGGAAGGGCAAGTAAACATGTCCTTCTTCACATGGCGGGCCAAAACCATGCAGCAAGGAGAAGTGCAAAGCAAAAGGAGGAAAAGCCCCTTATAAAACCATCAGAACTTGTGAGAACTCATGAGAACAGCAGCATTGGGCTAACCGCCCCCATGGTTCAATTACCTCCCACCAGGTTTCTCCCATGACATGTAGGGATTATGGGAACTACAATTCAAGATTCTCATCTTTTCGGGTGGGGACACAGCCAAACCATATCAATCCCAAATATGTTTCCCCAAAAGATAACTCTTAAAAAGGCCTGCATATTTGTTCGTGATGTGGCAGGGCAGATGGAAAAGTTGGAAAATGGCTTTTTGCTAGTCGTCACTCAGAGGAATGAAGAACCCAGTTTAAGAGATCTTCAGAGGTTTCTAGAAATAAAAGAAAGATGGTCAAAATCTTGTATAGCAGAATGAGCTAATGCTTTGCTATGTATGAGAATGTAGGAGCAAAATCTCCGAGCTCTATAATTTCTGAGAGATTGAGCAATCTTGGACAACTCAATTAGAACTTCATCTCTTTCCCAGAAAGGTGAATGAAAGGAATAAAATAAAGAAGTTACCTGAGGTTATTCTGAAAACTGCAAAGCATTTTACCTGTGTCAATTACCAGTAATGGTAATAGAAATATGGAGTCAACCTTATTTTTAAGAAGACAAATCTTTTTGACTTTTCTGTCTCTTTTTTATGACCATATCTATCTAATCTTAACCTAACAGAAACTGTCTTTTTTGTAGTAGCTTAATCAAGTCTCTGTTATTTCAACCAAAAGAGTCTGAGTCATACTGATTTCATTTTCTTGTTACTTCACAAACTGAATGCCTCTACATAAAGCTCAGACAAAGTAATAAGTCATCACAAATATGTATGATACCTACAATCTGTAAAAATTGCATAAGCCTGGATGTTGGAAAAACCTTTCTAGAAACACCAAACATCCATTTTTCCCAAGAAATTTCTAAAACTTCCTTAGGAGCTTTTAAAGAATTATTTATAACAACTGCTTATATAGAATAGAAGAGAAAGAATAGATCAGGTTGGTTTTTAAAACAGGTATATTGTTGGCTCAAAGACAGACAATAGCCCTATCACCAATTTTTTTTAAAACACATTTTTTAAAGGAAAAAAAAAATCAAGCTTGGAAGGCCTGAACTTTTAATGGAAGATGCGTACAAATCAGTAGTTCTGCTACCTGGAAAAGCTCTGCCTATTTAAGAAAAAATATTAACTGAAGATGTACTTAGAATTAAGTTATGAATATCCATATGTAATTCCAAGATCTAAGGATACTTTCTACAGTATTTCCTTCAATCTCTACAGAAATGTTCAGTGTTATAAAACTATCTTAGAAGTCCACTCTCTTGGGCTATATGTTTGTTACAGGGAAGAAGATAGGAAAATTAATAACATATTGGTATCCTAGTATGTTTCAAATGTGTGTGTGTAATTGCCAGGATCAGCCCATTTCTGGGCTTTGGCATATGTGGTCCAAAATGCAGGATTACAAGCCAGGCAGAAGGTACAACATATGAGGACAGGTGGGAAGAAAGATAAAAAAGGAAAGGAAGCAGCAGGGAGCCTGTAGGGGGGAAATCGAAAGACTGAGAAAGAGGGATGTCTGAGCACACATCATTGAATAAATGACAACAATTCTGTCCATAATGGTGCCTGATACCCTAGTGAACAACAGTTCTAGGATGACAAACTAAGATCTTGAAATCGATTTGACTTTGAACAATATTATATAATTATATCGGAACATACAATGACTGTGTTGGACTTAGAATTTTTTAAAAATAAAGAAAAATCTCATAAAATGTCTTATGATATGATTTATTACATGATAATACAGAGACTTTTTCTAATAGCGGCTGAGTAGCACAGCGATTATGGTGATATCCACAAACCCATCCCCAGCATACTGAGGACTGTGACTGCTTGTGAACTTTGAGTATTTATAAGTAAGTCCAAAGGACTAAGGATATTGTCCATAGCATTTCCTTCACCTTACAGAATTAAGGAGTATCAGGAAACTGTCTTAGAATTCTGCTTGTGGGCTGGCCAGTGTAATATCTGCTGTAGAAGTGACTCATTAATAAACACAGAAGCATCAGGGAATAAAGATCTCTCAAGCGTCCTCCTTAGCACAAATGGTAAACCAGGAGGTGCCAGGCTCACTCACTCATTCACTCTTTAGAAGGACTAACCTTCCTGCAGGGTTCCCTGCACCCCCAGTGAACTCTGCCCCCGGCTCCCAACTGCCCTGTGATTCCTCTGAGTTTGAGGAAGGGGAGGCACATAACTACATGACTGTTAATCCCAAGAATTCAACCTTCCTCCTGCACTGTCAGTCATCCTATTTCTTTGGGGGACAGAAGGTCTTCTGTTCCCTGGCTGGCATACCAGTGGACAGGAAAGAAATCAGGAACTGCCTTTACTTAACAGGTAGCTTCACAAACCTTTTTCCATATGTAGCACTGGATTTGAGTTGCAGTAGCTTGTTTTCCAAAGACAGTTTTCTTTCTAGTAGTGTTCTCTTTTCCTAGGAGAAAATAAGATACAAATTTTGCTAAACTGCATGTGTATGTTTGGTAAGGCCTTCCTCTTGTCATACTATAACTATGGCTTGAGCTAAAGAGTTAATTTCACATGTGCTGTTACTCCTCATCTTCAAGGAAACCTGGCCAAGTATTCTCCTGTGTGCTTTGCACATAGTTCAACTATAGGCCAAAAATAGTTGTCTTCACTCTCTCACCTGCCTGGAGGACTTCTTCTGCTCCTCCTCCAGGGCATTGCCCATAGCCTGTTCAGCTCAACCTCTCCCACTAATCTCTCCCCATCCTACCACATGTAAACATCCTGCCCATCTCTCGCTAGACCCTGGCTCTCCCACCCTTACACCTGTTTCGCCTACATTAGACTGACTTGTTGGTATCCAAGGACACTAGATACCTCTACATACTACTTGGCATCTGTCAGAAGGTAGTAAAGCAATAAACATGTTTTTGATGAAGGATCAAGGCCACAAAGGATACAACTGCTTTCCAATTAGGATACAGGAGAAACTGAGATTGCAATTTTATGATGCTAGGAAAGAATATCTTTTAAAAAGATGCCTTAATTTGATTATTAAGCCAAAGCTTTTCCATCCAAAAGGAAAACAGACAAGACCATGAAAAACGAAGCTGAGATGACTGTGTTCATTTTATATTTGATGGCACTCAGCTGAAAAAAAGGAATTTGGTGCTTTGGCCTGATGGTTTAGGTTGCCAAGTTGGAAAGAATCAAGGGAGATTGAAAAAAGGCAGGAATTGGTATTGGCAACATGGATGGAATTGACTGGAAGAGGCGTGCCGAAACCATAATGCTGTTTAAAATTACTTCCCGCTGCAGCATCTGAGTGAGTGGTACACAGCAAGGCAGTGCTGTATAGAAGAAACATCACAAAGACTGTACATAGGGACTTACCTGGTTTCTAAATTTTGGCCGAGGTTTTAAACTCTCTGGGCCTTACCAATGTTAAGAAAAATTAACCCAAACTTGGAAATAAAAACAATATACAGCATGCAGTTTTAATATCATATTGGGTCATCATTTAATCATCTGACCCAAGATTTATTTAATTCTCTCAGAGAATTTCCCTGTGTTCGCTTTTATTATTTATTATTTCATTAGAGCCCTGAGTCTGTGAAGTTGCATGTAAATTTGTAGATTTCTGTCCGGTAGAAGACATAATCCCAAAGGTTATGATTTAATTGCCTTAAAGAATATTAACCATTTTTTAAAAATTTAATCTAGTACTCCTATACTATTTTTCACTTTTTCTCCAAAATGCCTATAAATGGCTAGTTTCTGAAAATATTTTATTTAAACCAGCTTTCTCATCTTACTGTTTCCCTCATTAATTAATGAGTTAGTTACAACATTTGACTTGTATTCATTCTATATTCATTTGACTTATATTTGTATCTTCTGAGCATTCCTAAAATGGGGATAATATTACCTATATTGAAATGTTGGGATAATAGAGATAATATATGTAAAAGGCATACAGGCTTCCTGGCACATATTTGGACCTCAATATATAATAATTTGAAGGCACTAATTACTTCAAATCTTAATGTGTTCTGTTATGTTTTAAAATTAGCTTTTTCAAATTTTTCTTATAGTATTCTTGCCAGATAGAAATTGTCCTGGAGTTTCCCTAGCTGTGTTCAAATTATTTCTGAAGGATCACAGATACTCACTCCCTTCCTTCCTTCCTTCCTTCCTTCCCTTCCCTTCCCCTCCCTCCCTCCCTCCCTCCCTCCCTCCCTTCCTTCCTTCCTTCCTTCCCTCCCTCCCTCCCTCCCTCCCTCTCTCTCTCTCTCTCTCTCTCTTTCTTTCCTTCTTTTTTATACAGAGTTTTGCTCTTGGTGCCCAGGCTGGAGTGCAATGGTGCGATCCTGGCTCACTGCAACCTCCGCCTCCCAGGTTCAAGCGATTCTCCTGCCTCAGCCTCCCGAGTAGCTGGGATTACAGGCATGTACCACCACGCCCGGCTAATTTTGTATTTTTAGTAGAGACGGGGTTTCTCCATGTTGGTCAGGCTGGTCTCGAACTCCTGACCTCAGGTGATCCACCCGCCTTGGCCTCCCAAAGTGCTGGGATTACAGGTGTAAGCCACTGCGCCCGGCCCACAGATACATCTTACAAGCGTATGATAAGGCTTGGATTGTCAAAAAAAACACACCACAGATAATGTATTTTGAATTTGTAGGGTGAGGGAAAATAGTGCCTAACAAATGTTAAATAGACTTACTCTTGGTTAATGGATTTTCATAAACAGGGGTCAAGGGGACCAGACAACCGGACAAGTAAATGCTCTCCCTTGGCCAGGCTCTGCCATCTAGCTTGGGTTCTTTTTGCCTCCTCTTTGACAATACAGAAAATCTCACCATACCAGATAGCGCTTCTCAGGCAATGTCTTCAGGAAAGGGAAAGGGAGTTCACAGCACCACACAGTGGGCAACCCCACTATTCCCAGAGCCATACCTCCAGACAGCTCCAGGTTTCCCTCACCAGGCTGATCGGAGAGGGCACCAATTTCAATCATTGCCAAATGCTAACATCTAAATGTTTTGGAACCAAGTCTATCATTTTTGTCCAGCATTAGAGAAGACGGGGGCATAATGGAAAGGGTTGTGATCTAGAAAGTGGAGGATTGTGGAATAGTTTCTGGTTCATGCTGTCCTCATTTATAAAATGATGATGAGGAACTAGGTGGTCTCAAAAGTGCCTTTGAGCTCTAAAATTGCAATGGAGCTAAATCAATGACACTAGAAAACAAATATGATGTAACAGAATTGCACTGCTAGCAAACGGAACATATGCCATATTAAAATGCTCTTATTGGGCATTTTTGCTAGCTTATCACTGTGCTTATGGAATTCATTCTCACTGCATTCCTGATTAAAGTGGGACAGACGGTGAAGGTTTTAAGTAATATGTTCATTACCAGACCTCATACTACTAATGGCTATTTACTGGAGCGGTGGATTGTTCAAGTGAGTAGCAAGTAAATTTTTCTCCAGGGGGCACCTACGACCAGGCCAATATTTATCAACCTTTGTGAGGATGTTTGTTTTTAAGTTTTACTTTCTTTTTGAACTTGTGTCTTTTTCCTATTAATACAAAAGGCCCAGTACACCCTCCCCTTACTCTGGCTTGCGCTCCCCACCTGAGACACCCTTCCTCACAGCCTGTCTTCTCAGTCTCTCTTTAAACCAAGAAGTTGCCAAACTTCATTCCTTATAGTTTTATTTATTTGCTTGTTTCACAAATATAAAATATTTTTAAACCAATTTGGTTTTTTTTTTTTTTGAGACAGAGTCCTGCTGTATCACCCAGGCTGAAGTGCAGTGGCGTCATCTCGGCTCACTGCAGCCTCCACCTCCCAGGTTCAAGTGATTCTCATGCCTCAGCCTCCAGAGTAGCTGGGACTACAAGCACATGCTACCATGCCCAGCTAATTTTTGAATTTTTTTTTTTAGGAGAGACAGGGTTTCACCATATTGGCCAGGCTCGTCTTGAACTCCTGGCCTCAAGCGATCCTCCTGCCTCAGCCTCCCAAAATGCTGGAATTACAGGCGTGAGCCACCACACCTGGCCTAAATCATTTTTTATTTTAAATAAAACTGCACATTTCCCCTCCACATCATCCACACTTACCTCCACCCTCCAGAGATTCCAGTAGGCTTGCCCTCCAGAAAGTCACTGAACTATTCTGGAAGGTTGCTGCATGGCCTTACTAAGCCATGTGCATCCTGTCTGCTTCCTTTGTCCAAGATCTCCTGGAGACAGCCCACTGTTGCGAGTTATTATCAGGGCAGGAGATAGGCCATCACTTCCCAAGAATGTCCTGCCAGGATCTGAGCCACTGAACCTTATTCTGGGGCATGCTCCTCTGCCTTTGACTGGGCTTTCAGCCTCCCTAAAGGACTCATAGAGGAATTAAGAAAGGGAGATCTGGGAAGTTCCTTGAGCCTCACACAATCCAGATATACTACATTGTCATCTCCACAAAAAGAGACTGTCTGGTTCATTCACAAATATATATTCAGCCCCTAGTTCTATGCTACACATGGTGGTGTTCAAATATTTGTTTAGTAAACAGTCAAGTAAATATACCCCAGAACTCTGAGATGAACTAACATCTAGTACACATTTCTTGGGATTACTAGGAAATAGAAATTATCTTCCACTGTTCTTTCTTTTTTTTGACACGGAGTCTCGCTATGTCACCAGGCTGGAGTGCTGTGGTGCAATCTCGGTTCACTGCAACCTCCGCCTCCTGGGTTCAAGCAATTCTCCTGCCTCAGCCTCCCAAGTAGCTGGGACTAAAGGTGCGTGCCACCATGCCCAGCTAATTTTTGTATTTTTAGTAGAGACGGGGTTTCACCATGTTGGCCAGGATGGTCTCGATCTCTTTGACTTCATGATCTGCCCACCTCGGCCTCCCAAAGTGCTGGGATTATAGGCATGAACCACCATGCCCAGCCTGTTCTTTTGTTAATTTGGGGGCAGTGACGGTTGCCACTAAACCTGACCAATATCACTGGGTTTGAGATGGCGTGAGCTCTAGACTAAACTTAAATTTTAAGCTGGTTAATCAAGTTGTTTGGTTAAGCAATTTATTCGTTTCCCAGAATTGTCTTTCTTTCCTTAATGCAAACATTCTTTGTGCTATCTTAGTTTTGTTAAGCTATTTATTATAGGATCAAGTATTCTACCACTACCAAGTATACAACCAAATATTACAGTTTTTCCAACACAGCATAATTATAAATTGTCATGCCTGGATAAACTAATTGCTTAAGGAGACTCTAACCCAGTGATTCTGCTAAAGTATAACACTCAGTGACCTTCCACATAATACACATGCAGCTGAATATTATCTTAGAGCCACTTGATAATGGGCATATTTAATTTTTGTGATTTCCTCATAGGAGCTTCACCAAGACTACAAATTCAACCAAATCACAATGTCATAAAACTTTAAATTCTTGGGAAACATTTTTAAACAAATCAAGTTTCCTTTGGTAAGAAACCTGAATATTGAAATGTGATGTTTTTGAAATGACATTTATAAAATGGCATAAACCCAGGCAGACTCATAAAACAAATTAAAGCTAAAAAGAATACAGGCAAATACAATAAATATAAAAAATGTATTGGGCAATATTTACTAGTATCCAAAGCCTATATTTTTCTCTATCCCCAATTCAGTTTCAGAGATGCCAGTTTTCTCTTTGTTTTGCTAATAAAAAATATTCCTTGATTTGTCCAAATTCTAAATTCTATGGCATACATACACAAATTTATGTGTTCACCTTTTGTGTATATTTTGAGTGCCAGCTACTTAAATGAACATGGCATGAAACATTTTAAAATTTTTCTTCTATTATTGCTCTTCTCTAAATATGCCTTCTTAAAGTTCCAATTTCTATAGAATAGATTTTCTTAATGTGAACTGTATCTCTCCTAGTGCAGCCGTAGGTTTTTCCAAACACAAAGTAGACTTGGGTGGCCAAAAATGGATACTGCACTGACTCTAATACATAAAAATGCTGTGATTACAGGGAACTGCTACATTATTACTCCTAATAGATGGACTTTGTGATCTTTTCCATTATTTGCATTCACAGCCTCACCTGGTTCCCCTTTCTAAGTCACATATTTCCTAGAAAGAGAAAGTGACAAATGATGATATGACTACAGTATTTGCAGAAAGGTAAATCAATCACCACAGTATAGATCATATGAAATGTTTATGGGAAAAATTAATATTAAATACTTCCTAAGGCCAAGAATTGTAAAGAATACTTTCACATAATATTATCTTATTTAATTTAATATCCTATTTATTTTAGTATTATTTTATTTCATTCTCATCCTAATGCTGTCAGTAAGAAAATCCTCTAATTCTCCAGGGGCGTACCTTTTCCATTCTCTGTACAAGGTTCTCCAATTCTGTAATTTGACTGTGTTTTTCTTCAAGTTTTTCAGCAACTTGATTCAGATTTTCAACATGTTGTTTCAATTTCTGTTCTTTTTCAAGCTTGTTAACCTATGGTCAGAGAATCAGTTGTGTTGTGAAAACTCTGTTTTTCTTAAACCTATACACATATTACCTCTTTCTATAATTTTCTAATTAGCCAAAAAAATTCAGAATTCATACTTGTTTAGAATTACTCTTTTGATTTCAGTGTTTACTTCAAAATAACCCTGATAGACTACAACAACATTAAATAGAGAATTAATAATGTATAAATATTCTTCCTAGAATGTTTCCATTTGTTACCATAAAGCATACTTCCTGAACAGGTATAAGAGAGAAAGATGCTAATTTAACGAAAGCAACATTTTTGACTTTTTCTCAACAATTATTATCCAGAACAAAAAAAACCTTACATGTTCAATTAAAACACGTTTTATGTTTAATTAGAAAGTGTCATAAAAGCAGAATAACTCCTCAGTGTGTCATGGTGCTACTTCATAGGCATAGAGCAGGGGTTGTTCTGAACCATCATAGGAGAGAAGACTCCATCTAGCAGGCAGTAAGCTACAGTGGGACTGTGTCGACTAACTTGTTACTCTTCTGTGTGTGTATTTAACAAAGCTTGACATTTCACAGGGAAAAATAAGTGTCTGGCTTCCCTTGTAAATACCAAGTGGGCCTTCCAGTCAGGTCACTCCAGGCTGGTGCCGAGCCCACATTACAGGGATGCACACTTCCCGTCCCCACAAGCGCCCCCATAGCATAGCACCCTCATCCGCTTCCCGCTTATGTTCTTCATCTGCACCCAGCATGCATGTGAGTTTGCAACCATCACTACCACAGCCTGATGCATGAAAGGGTGTCACCTAGGCAGTGAATTTCCTACTGTACTCCCCTGAGGACCTTCTTAGAGCCTGAGCTGACAGACACCTGGGTGCCCCAAACTATGATGAATGAACTTTCCTATTAGCTGTTTTATAGTTTTAATTTTGGCAAACACACACACACAGGCATACACACACTTTTTTGACTCCTCCAGTTCTAGAATATATTTTTCAGACAGATTTTATTGGTCCTAGTATATATACTTCAGATTTAAAAACAAATGAACAAAAAAGAATATGTTTGAGTGTCTGTACATGATTTTTATTTTTAAAATTTATACATATTTACATATTAAAATATAAAAGCATCTAAATTTATATTTTAAAAAATATATAACTATATTATTTATATAGATAAATATATTTATTTATATAGATATTATATATTTATTTATTATATTAGATATTATAATTATATAGATAAATATATATAATTATTTATATAGATAAATATATATCTATATATTTTTAAAAAATATATAGTTATATATATTTAAAAATATATAGTTATATATTTTTAAATAATATATAAAAATATAAATATATAAAATATATAACTTTATATATTATTTAAAAATATATAGATACATATTTTGTTTTCTGTTTTTTTAAATCCGAAGTATCTATCCTAAGACCAAAACAATTTTGAAAGCATGTGTCTAGCCCAACTCTTTCATTCTAGAGACAAGGACACCCAAATCCAGAGAGGAAGAATGGCTCAGTCTGGGCCATCTAGCGAGTCAACGGCAGAGCCCGAAGAGAAGTTACCAGCCCAGCTCCGCAGAGCCAGTCCAGATTTCCAGGCAGGGTGGCACTGCCTCCCTCCCACCTGTGCTCATGGGGGCTCTGGGCAAGAACTGCAACACAGCAGCTCAGCAACATCTGGGGTGTCCGGCTAAGCAGGGGTGAGAGAAATTGGCAAAAGAGACAAGCACACCGCTTCTTTCCCAAGTCTTTTGCCAAGTCACTTGGCCATTGCTTGTTTCATTTCTAACTCTTCTAGAAAGATGAACTTCAACAGCTCAGGGTGGGGGCTAGTTCTCCAATAGACAAGCTGCATGTTTGGTACCTGGAGTAATTGTTTACTGTCCTCCTGCTTCTTTCTCACTTCTTCAGATTGCGTTTGGTAGTTTTCAAATAATCTCTGGGCCACGTTTCTCAGAGCTGCTGCTCCTGCTTCTCTGGAGGCTTGCAGCTAGAAAAAAGGTCACTATGCATGTTCTGACATTTACAACAAAAAGTGTTAAAGGCAGAACAGTTTGATGGGCAATTAAGAACACCAAAGGTATAACTATACCATTTACAGCCTCATAGACAATGGATACGAGAGAAGACACTGTTATTTGGTAAGAGGAAAATGTAAAATGAGAAACTCCCTATTTAGAGGGGCTGTTGAACAGGCAGATTTGCCATAGTCAAACCAAACCAGAGCTCTGTGCATAGTAACGTCCTGCAGTGATAGTCCTCACTGTTCACATAACTCCATGGTGCTCTGTCAGCTTATACACTTATTTGCAAGCCTTTTATCATTAATGTCCATAACACTATTAAAAAGTGTATCTTCCTGAAATAGAAGTGGGACAAGGTTAAAGTATTGAGGACAATAATGCTAAAATGTTATGAATCTTTCCAGGATTTAACCTAAGGAAACAATCAAGGATGACTATAAAGACTTCCCTACCAAGATATTCATTGCAGGACTGCATATAAAATAAACCCCTAAAGAGAAAAATCAAAAGCATTCAGCAATAGACAAATGTAAAAATATTGTGACATTTGACTATGAAGGCTATAATTAATATTTATTAAATATGAACACACTTTTAAAAAGGTATTGTGGATTGTGGTAAGAACAATTAACATGAGATGTACTAAGTGTACAGTACAGTATTGTTAACTATAGACACAATGTTATGCAGTAGATTTCTAGAACTTATTCATCTTGCATGACTGAAATTGTATAACTGTTGAACTTTTGTAAGATATTTTCAATAACAAAAGAAGCCTCAAAAATAAAACAGTGAGATATGATTTGTGAAATATAAAAATGCTTCTCTATGTAAGTGAGCATGCAGATGGACCTATGGATGTGTGTGGACATCTCTCTGCTTTTACAGAGCCACAGATGCTAACAACCCATTCTATTAGCTCGAAGGCTCAAAACACAAAATTTGAAACTTCTAAAAGTCATACCTTGATTTTCAATACTTCATTCTCTTTGTTCATTTCTAAGAGCTGTAGGTCTTTTCCTTTTATCTTTTTCATAAGCAAATCCAAACTGCAACAAGAAGGATCCATTTCAGAATCAGAGCCCTGTTGAAGGTTTCCACAGTGCTGAAACGGACAAATGAAAATCATAGACCTGACTATCTTTTCCTCTACAAACTTTGACAACAATAATGATCATTTAGTATTACATATATCAAAGAAGCTTCAGATCAGCACAAACAAACATCTTTTGAATCTCAAATATCAATGGGAAATTCTAGATGAAGCAGTTGACTTCTAATTTGCTGAAATTTAAACAGATTCTTATATTGAAAGAGTTAGAATGACATTTTAACTTTTATATTTTCTATAGTTTCAAATGTACTGATAAGGGCTTTTTAGGAGATAAATAATGTCCACAAGGCCAGACATTTTTTTAAAAATCTAAGTTGTGGACATAATTACATTTTGGTCACATTGCATTATAGACTAATACTGTCAGACCTAATAGTTACAATACATAATAGTCAATGTTTGGTGATGCTTCACTGTAATTACCTCATATTAAATTTCCAATCAGAGATATCAGAACTGAATGACACTGCCATTATAACCTGATGTAAGCTCTAGCTCACTGAAAATACACTTGGAACATAAATCTCATCTGGAATCGTGGACACACGGAGGTGGATAATAAATTGGAAACCACCTAACTTAAACTGTCCATTTTACAGATGTAGAAACTGAGGACCAGGGCCCAAGTTTATGCAGCAAGTGAGCGGGAGACCTCATGGCACTGCCTCTTGAATAGTTATTGTGTGCTCTTTCTGTTCTTTCAATTTATTTCAAAACTGAGAAATGATTACACAATTACACATACACTACAATTATAATAACAGCTTCTATTTGTTAAACACCTGTTATATGCCAGGTCATCTTTTAGATGTTTTATGTACAGTCCTTTGTCTGAATACTCAAAACACTGGAAGGTGCTAGGCCCTTTACACAGGTGAGGAATTTGAAGATGAGAGTTTAACTAACACACCTAAGGTTTTACCTAAAGTAACTGCCAGACCAGAATTAGAATCCCAGTTTGTTTAACAACAAAATATATGTTCTTTTCACTACAATATAATAACTATGATTGCAGAAATAAAAAACAAAAAGAACTTAGTGTATGTGGATAATATCCTCCCTCACCGTAACTCTGTCACAGTTTTGTGTTTTAGAGTCAAGACCCTAGTGCATACTTCCACTCTTCATATACAGAGTAGGAATTATTTTCTTTTTTAATTTGTTAAAGAATATTTGACAAAAAAAAAAACTCTTGAAGAAGGCAGATTATCAGCAGTGGTAGATGGCTACAAAGATCATTGATCAGTGCTTTTCAAACTTCAATGTGCCTGTGAACTACTGGGTGATAGAACTGGTTAAAAATGCAGATTCTGAATCAGGAGGTCTGGGGTAGAGCCTAGATGCGGCCTTTCTAACAAGCTCCTGGTGATGCTGAGCTGCTGGGACTGCAGACCACACTTGAGAGTAGCAAGGCCCTAGATCACTATGGTGAAATCTCTACAGGGCCAGAGGGCTGATGCTTTGATGCATGGTTGATCTGCTGACCTTCTGTGGTTTGAGGTGGCTGAGGCAGACACATGGCAACACAGTGTCGTCACCATTCCTAAGAAGCTCCTCCTATCTATGGTGGGCATTCAGTCCGCAATTTCCTTGGCCCATGGACATTATTTGACAGAGGGGTCCCGCCGTGCTTCTGAAACCCTCTCCTCATTTGCCTTCAGTGACTCCTGCTAAAGTGGCCTTGACACGAGTAACTTCAAACCATAAGAGGTCAGCAGATCAACCACACATCAAATCATCAGCCCTCTGGCCTTGTAGAGATTTTGCCATGATAATCTAGGGCCTTGCTACTCTCAACTGTGGTCTACGGTCCCAGCAGCTCAGCATCAACAGGAGCTTGTTAGAAATGCAGCATCTTGGCTCTACCCTAGAGCCCTGAAATCTCCTTCTTTTCCTCCTAATCCACCAGCCTCATCTCACCTTCCTGGGATGGTTCTTCTTCCTGATATCTAAACATTGGGAACGGTCCCCTCAAGACTCAGTCCTTAGATCTTCTCTCATTTCTCTCCACACTCACTCACTTGGTAAACTTCTCCAGTTTCAGAACTTTAAATACAATCCTCAAATGCCCAAAATCTCTACCCTGTATCCTGGACCTTCTAGCTCAGTCTTCTACCCGCAGCTCCAGAATCAGATGTCCAGCTGCCTATTAGAAGCCTCTACTTGGAGGTCTAACAGGCAGCTCAACATAGCCCAAACTGAATTTTTTAATCTTCCCTATCATTCCTAAACATAACCTTGTTTTCTAGTTTAGAAGTATTTTAAATAATAATTGAAGCTAGTTATGTTAGTGTGGGAGGCTGAGGGTGATGAAAATGACTACATTTATGCATTATACCCCACGTTCTGGTGGACTCTGTGGCCATGCCTATAGTGGACAACACTGATTAAGTACACTTGGCTCAGATGTGGTTTAGCTTGGTGTAATCCAGACAAGGCTAAGTGCAGATTGCTCGACCTTAGGTATATACAGCTGATGTTGGGGAAGGGAGTGCATTCAAACTTATCAACTATCTAACAAAGTCTTGACTCAACTCAGGCCTAAAAGCTTCAACTGTATGTGTCTATTCATGTGGCCCACGTGAGTCTAAAAGCTCTGCCTGTCATTGGGAAATGTTGCTGTCATGGATCTTGGCTGGGCCAACATCTTCTCATTTACTTTCGATAAGTAAGCCTTGTTTAATATATTCAAGTAAGGCCTAGCCATTCCAATTTGATCTTATAACATTTGTGGTTAAACATTTCACACATATGGCCATTAACGTCTTTAGATATGCATGAAATATTTCAACACTCATCCTTCGAATCTTCAAAGAAGTTAGTAATTGCCCAAAAATTACTTTAAAAAGTCTAAATGGCTTTATGCTAATCTTCTGCAGGAAATTATTACCTTTGCATCTAGTTTGTGATTTGTACTGTCATGTCTTATTTCATCTTTAAACATCTGGGTCCTGATCTTTTGCAGAGTAGTTCGAATCTAGAGAAGGAAAACAAAACCATTTGTTTCAAAGGCATTTAATGCCAAACGCTTTTTTTCTCAATACCAGTTACAGGGTACCTGATTATCTAGAAAGTAATACATATATACATATATTGATCTCAGATTTAAATAACTGCCACCATCAACCTAACTTGCATTTAGGCTAATATTGTTTAGATTGCTGAAGGTAAGCATTTGGACTTTATAACTCTTTCTCAGACAAATCTAAAATATCACTTAAGTGAATATTATCCCCCAAAAAATTATTAGTTAGTAATTAGTACTTAATACTATTTAGTTTTGTTTTGTCTATTTAGTAATTTAGTACTAATTTACTGTTTAGTAATTACTATAAAACAATTACTACTTAGTAATCACTACAAAATAATTACTACCTAGTAATTACTACAAAATAATTACTATTAAGTAATTACTACAGAATAATTACTGAGAGATCACACACATTTATGAATGAAATATAAGCCCATGTCTTGATGACCTATGGAGTTGCAAGACACTCAAAGATGATGGAATTAATTAATCTGAACAAGTTATAAACTATGCCAGAATTTGTCCATTATTTCACTAAATAATTAAATAATCCAAAAAGGTAAAATATGAAATTTCTCTTTTTATTCAGCATCCTCTTAGACTGTAAGACTGTAAGAGTAGGAGCCAGGTTTATACTCTACAACATTATTTTATTTTTTATTATTATAATTTTTTTGAGATGGAGTCTTGCTCTGTTGCCCAGGCTGGAGTGCAATGGTGTGATCTCTGCTCACTGTAACCTCCGCCTCCTGGGTTCAAGCGATTCTCCTGCCTCAGCCTCCTGAGTAGTTGAGATTACAGGCACCCACCACCAAGCCTGGCTAATTTTTTTGTATTTTAAGTAGAGACGGGATTTCTCCATGTTGGTCAGACTGGTCTCAAACTCCTGACCTCAGGTGATCCACCTGCCTCGGCCTCCCAAAGTGCTGGGATTACAGGCATGAGCCACTGCACCTGGCCTACTCTAGCACATTTTAAGTGCTTAACACATGTCTGTTGTAAGAAACAGTTAAGAATATATATTTCTGCCAGCCATTATCATTTTGGATTCTCATAAGACTTCACATGTTTAATGAAGTGATATGCCAACCCACAGTCACTGGCAATAGTTACCCTGAACTGTGAAAAGGAACAAGGTAACGAGAGGCACCAACTCAGCAGGAAATGTAAACGTCTACTTGGGAACACGATCAACACTCATGAAACCACTGGAAAACATTATAAAACAGTAGGAAATCCAGTGGTGAATAGTGAGGGACAAATTAAGTGCTGATAGGTGTTCTGAACCCTCCTGGCCCATTATTCAATTTTACTGAGTGAGTAAAATCATTTTACTCCAAGCATAGGAACAGTTTCGTATCCTCAAGAGAAATGACTAAACATGGGTTTAAACTTCAGCTAGGAAGACTGTCCTTTGCCAAACTAGGGTTGTTCCTTTACATATGTTCTATGGAGAGGGAAACAAAATCCTCCAGCCCATATTGGAATTTCTCTTTAAAAAATCATATCATACTAATGATTTCTGCTACCCACATACCTTTTTCACATACTCGGTTTCTTCAATAATGTGAGCGGACGTAGACTCATACAAGGCAGAATTATCTTCCATCTTATCCCTTGGGGGAATTTCTGTGGTCACTGTCACTGTTGTCATTGTGAATTCTGGCTTTAGGAAAACATAAATCAGCTAAGCAAAACAGACTGTTTTGATTGTATGATTATATGGTTCATAAACTGAAATAAGTTGTTTTATCACTATAGTCAAATATAGCAGAAAAGCTATAAATCATTGGTATCTGTATATATTCATAAATCCAGGAATTAATTTAATATAAAGCCATATCATCTGAAGGAATCATTAATTAAAAATTTAACATTTAAATAATCTAAAAAGGTAAAATCTGAAATTTCTCTTTTTATTCAGTATCATCTCAGACTGTAAAATCTAAAATCTCAGACTGTAAAAAGGAATGAGGTTTATATTCTAGTACATTGTAAGTACATAATAAATGTAGAATTAACATGATACAATTATAACAAAATTATGTTTTGTGTGCGTGTGTGTATCTTCATACATAGTCTGCAAAGCCTATTTACTATTAGGAGAACTAATAGTAAAAGACTGGAAAAACCCCATGCCAACAAGAAGAGGATAGATTAAATAAACTATCAACTGCTATGGAGCCATCACTAGGATGTATTATTATCTCATGAAAAAGCATAGAGCGGAAAATAATATATAATATCACATTTTCTATAAGAAGGGTAGGAAATATGAATGGAAGGAAGAAATCTGTGTCTTAAGGTTTTCATACTAAACCACATATATATATTATCTAACTATGAAATAAAATTGACAGAAAAAGTAATCATCCAAAATAAAGGTGAAATGAAATAAACAAATAAATATATCTGTATATCAAGTTCTATAACCATAAGAATTATTTCAAGTGATTAAAAATGACATACCAGGAACTATTTATCCCTGGTGTGCTATATTCTAAGAACAAAAAGAATAGCAAAATAATCTTGAACTATATTCACTCATAATATTGTTAGTGGAAATATTGGTATTGCCATTTTGAACTGTGAACTGTGTTTGGTGTGTTTATGTACACAGGTTCACATTATAGAATAAAGCCAACAGGTAATTGTGTTAACATCATGAAGAATCAAGCTATTTATCATAAAAGAAAAAATAAAATATACAACAAAAATGTTAGGTGAAGCCGGTGAAGTCGGGCATGGTGGCTCACATCTGTAATCCCAGCATTTTGGGAGGCCAAAGTGGACCGATCACTTGAGGTCAGGAGTTTGAGACTAGCCTGGCCAACATGGTGGAACCCCGTCTCTACTAAAAATATAAAAATTAGCTGGGCATGGTGCACATCTGTAATCCCAGCTACTCGGGAGGCTGAAGCACAAGAATCACTTGAACCCAGGAGGTACAAAATAATGATTTATTTTCCTTTAAATAATATATATTCTACCTTTATTCACTAAAAAACCTAGAAATAGTAGCAGTTAGCATCCCTCACGGCCAGACTGTGGTCTTTGAATATCATATCCTACCAAAAAGGAAACTAGGACTTCTTGGCTGATCCAGGTCTGGGGTAAGAAATATGTAAAGTGAGCTTATAATTATTATTTACTATAATAAATAGTAAATAACTAATAAGTAAACTATAATAAAAAGCCCTGTGGAGTAGGATTATTAATCTTATGTTACTGATAAGAAGCCAAGACTCCACTCCCATAGTCTGAGATATCTGGTCATATCAGCAAGCAAAAAAGTGATCAATACTATTTGAATAAGACACAAAACCCATCCTGAAGAAGAATGTCTATGATGGATTGAAACTTATCAAAAATGTTAAATCCCTGAATTTATGATGACTGAAGAAAAACCCGCAACAACCACAATGCTTACTGTCCACCTTTAGAAGCACATAAGGCAAAAGCTCAATGCACATAAACCAAAAGTATACTAAAACCTGGCAAAAAAAGAAACAAGCATGTATTATATGAACTATATTTCATAGCAACCAAGTAGTTGATGAGGGAAAGTTTATTTATTGAATTCCAGCTAATAAATTCAAAAGGAGAGATAAAATTAGAAAATCTATATTTTGCAACCCTTGATGAAGTAAAAAAACCTAAGCATCATCACCTAAAGCTAAAAACATTAGTGAATATTTAATGAGGAAACTTTAACCTGAGAGACACCATTAATCAATCTTAACATAAATTAAGGATCTTAAGAGATACAGGACCAAATGCAACATATGAATCTTGTTTGGATTTTGATTCAAAAAAATCAACTATGTAAAGACATTTTTTAGACTAACTGGATAACATGTGATGTTAAAGAATTGTTGTAATTTTGCTAGCTGTGATAATTGTGACATTCTTTAAAAGGATTGTATCTTTTAGTAATACCTACTGACATATTTGCAGGTGAAATTGTGTTACATTTGGAACTGCTTTAAAACTCAAAGAGAGAGGTAAAAAGGACATGCGGATAAAGATTAAGGAAATTTAGCAAAACATAGATAACTATTGAAACTGGGTGATGAGTCTATAGGGTTCATTGTATTCCTCTATGTATTTTGGTTTTGTTTGAAATTTCTATAATAAATAGTAAATAACTAATAATTAAACTATAATAAAAAGCCCTGTGAGGTAGGATTATTAATCCTATGTTACTGATAAGAAGCCAAGACTCCACTCCCATAGTAACATTAACTTACCCAAGACGAAGTAAAATTAATAGAGCTAAAACGCCAACCTTGGTCTTTTAGAAGTTCAGAGATGTTTCCATCATATTAAGACTGGCTTCCCTGGAGAGAAACAATAACAACAACAAAATATTTAAAATCTAACAGTTGTGAGCTAGGCTGCAAAAAAAAACACAAAGAATTTGCATATTTGAGGGCATCACTTTGAAACAAGATCGCTTCTGGGGATACTACAAAGTCCTGCATTTATCCTTTAATCTTCAATGAAATTGACAGAGGATGCCAAGAATTTTCCATTTTATTATAAATCCTCTTAGCAGCTATGGCTTCTATTAAATATTTGTTTCCGCTGAAGTTGATTTGGCAGCAGCAACTCTGCAAGTGTGCTTTTGCAAACTGTGAATGGAAGTACGTCTCTTACTGGGTCCTCTGAAGTATCTTCCGGGATTAAGATATTGGTGCAAAACAACATTTAAATGCTTGAAGTAAGAGAAACACCCATAGAGTCAATATGCAGTGTGCTTGGAAGCCAGAGAGAGGATGGTCAGGCCAGGGTAGGGGTCAGCAAACCCCAGCCTGGGAGCTCAATCCAGTTTCCCTCCTGTTTGTACAGCCCCAGAGCTAAGAATGGTTCTTACATTTTTGAATGGTCAAACAAAAAAATCAAAAGAAGAATAACATTTCATGGCACATGAAAATTATATGAATTTCAAATTTAGTATTCATAAAAATGGTTG
Organism: Homo sapiens; assembly: GCF_000001405.40. Lineage (NCBI taxonomy): Eukaryota > Metazoa > Chordata > Mammalia > Primates > Hominidae > Homo > Homo sapiens. The sequence goes on from NC_000018.10 coordinate 54,946,113, forward strand.
GAAAAAATCAAAGGAGAACATTTCAAGACACATGAAAATTATATGAAGTTCAAATGTAGTGCCTATAAATGAAGTTTTACTCTAATACAAGATAGCCATTCATGTACATATCTTTTATGTCGCTTTGGCGCCACAAACAGCAGAGTTCAGTAGTTGTGACAGAGAAAGTACGTGGCAGGCAACGCCTAAAATATTTCCTTATCTAGCCCTTTACAGGAAACGTTTGCTGACCTTTGGGTTGGGGCTTGGCAAGGAGTGGGGGCAGGACCAGTGGGAAAATAGAGGCAAGCAAAGCAATCGATCTGGCCTGAGTTTGTTTTTTTCCTCCAGTACAGTACCCTGGATCTACAGTCCCATTTGACTGATTTACTTTCATTTTCCTTTTTAGTATGTTATGCAATGTGTACATTAACAAATCATAAGAGGCATTTTATCATAGGAATGAATCGCTCTTTAGAATGAATCCCACTGCCTTCTCAGGCTCTTTCATAATTTGAAAATTGCATCGGGCCTTATGTCTTTTATCCTAAAATATACTCTCTTATGTACCTTTTATTCTTAAAATCAAGGAATTTTGTTTCTTGATGACTGATATTTCTGAAAACTTCCCACCTTTTCCACTCACTGGTTGGGCCACCTTAAACAAGTTACATAAAATCTTTGTCTTCACTTACATAGCTGTCAGGTAGGGGTGATAACACCTAGAGATAGGAAAATGAGTTTTTTTTTTTTAAATGCCTGCTAGCAGAAGGCACTCACTGGACAGTCACTGTCAATAGTGTTGCCCTGTTATTTTATATTATCAATAGCCACAGAAGACAAGCAGGGCAGGTAGTTCACATCTATCTGGTTGCAAAGCTTTATAACTGTATCCATATGAAATTAAATTCCATTTCTGTCTTTGGTTCAGAAAACTTTTGTACCCAGAGTCCTTGGTTGGTATAAAGAAACCCAAGGGGAACATAAGCCGGCGAAGTCCAAATTGCCATATGGCATTACTATCCTGGGGAAAATCCATGTTAGCATTTTATTTCAGCCAGAAGTAGATTAAGGGGATAAAATTTTCAAAATAAATCACAATCAGTTAATTAAAGTAAGGAAAGACTTTTATTTGTCTTATGCTAGAATGGATTGAAGACAGCTTACAGGTGGCATCACGCCAAGAGGAGGTATTTCCTAGACAAGTGCCTTTCAAACAGGGCTCCCAGGGAGGAGGCAGAGGGCTGCTGAATAGACAGGGCTCTGCCACCTCAACTTCAACCACCCCAGCTCTGCTTTATTCTGTCTCACACACTGAATTTTTCCATGAGGCTTTCTGTGAAGAAAGAAGGTTCCACAGCTGAAACAGTTTAGAGGCAGCCTGCCTAGTCTCATGGCTCCATTCTGCCACTCCATACCTGTGTGACCTCTGTCAAGTCCCTTAACTTCTCTGTGCCTCGGTTTCCTTAACAGTAAAATGAAAATAACATTAATTATTAACAATAATCAATGTGGGGTTGTTCATGAGTTAATATTTGTCAAGCACTTATAGCAGCACATTTAATATATAATAAATGATTTGTACATATTTGTCAAACAAGTACATAAAATATGAAACCACTATCCACAATTAAGGCTGACATGAAATCTGGGTGGTTTCCTTTCTTCCAGGAAAGAAGCAGGTTATATTTTAAATAATCTGTTACTGGGCTATGAAGGAAAAATTGCTTTGGGGGACTTTAAGACTAGCAAACCCGGGGGAGAAATTCCTTATTGCTAATGCACCGATAATTTGTCAGTTTCCTCAAACAATGATGCTAACATCTATTGAAGAGTTTACAATCTACAAAGCAATGCACACACGTTATTGTGAACCATAATCCATGTGATAAACCACCACACCACCAGGCACCCAGGAGAATCTAACTAAACCTTGTGCTCTGGTTAATGACATGAGAATAGCAGTACTACACAATAAACACAAACAAATGCCTGTGATGGGTTGAATTGTGTCCTCCCTTCAAATTCATGTTAAAGTCCTAACCCCCAGTTCCTCAGAATGGGACCTTATTTAAAAATAGGGTTTTGCAGGTGTAATTAGTTCAGTAAACATGAGGTCACACTGGAGTAGGGTGGATCCCTACTCCAATATGACTGATATCCTTATGAAAAGGAGCAATGTGTCGAGAGATGAGAACACCGAATGCCCTGTGAAAATGAAGGCAGAGATGTAGCGATGCTTCTGCATGCCAAGGAACACCAACGATTACTAGCAAACCACCAGAAGCAGGGGAGAGGCATGAAACAGATCTCTCCCACAGCCTTCAAGAGGAACCAGCCCTGCAGACACCTTGATCTTGAACTTCTAGGCTCTAGAACTGAGAGATGATCCATTTCCCTGTTCAAGCCACTCTGTGTGTGGCACTTTGTTAGAGCAACCCTAGAAAAGGATTACAGACACTGTTTATATTGTAGAGACTGTAACAAGAGTGTTTCCTTTCTTTACTTAACTCTTGATTCATTTATTGAGAGAGTAAATATTTACAGAAAGCCACTGTGTTAGGAACTGTGGTTACAGGGCTGAGCCAAAGACCCTAGTTTCGTAGGATTTTCAGTACAAAGGGAGAGACAGACATTAAACAAACGAGTAAATATAGAGGGAGTCTAAGGGAGGCTGTGATGAGTGACGTGAAGAAAAGCTGATCAGGGGACCAAGGGTAAAAGGAGGTGCTGTTCTAGATGAGCAGTGAGGGAAGCTGATCTGAGGAGGTGGTATTTGAGCAAAAGATGAAGAAAATCAGGTGCAAGCCATGTGGCTCTCTGGGATCTAGGAGAAGAGAGTTCCAGGCAAATGGGAAAGCAAGAGCAGAGGCTGGCAGGTGCCTAGAGCAGTGTTTTTGTTTGTTTGTTTGTTTTTTGAGACAAGGTCTCTCACTCTCTTGCCCAGGTTTGAGTTAAGTGGCGTGATCTCTGCTTACTTCAACCTCTACTTCCTGGGTTCCAGTGATTCTCGTGCCTCAGCTTCCCAAGTAGCTGGGATTACAGAGCTGCATCACTAAACCCAGCTAATTTTTTTGTATTTTTAGTAGAGATGGGGTTTCGCCATGTTGGCCAGGCTGGTCTTGAACTCCTGTGCTCAAGTGATCCACCCACCTTGGCTTCCCAAAGTGTTGGGATTACAGGCATGAGCCACAGCACCCGGTCCCTAGAGCAGTATTCTAAGAAAACCACGGCACATAGCAAAGTCTACCATTTTCTTTTCTTTTAATGTTGCAGGACCTTTTTCTTTTTGATCTAAACTTTTTGAGGCTTCGTTTGCCTAAGGAGTTGTCTCCTTGGCCACATTAAAACAGGTCTAGCAGTGGCTATTACGGATCCCCCAGGATTGAGGCAAAGACAGAGTGAAGCTGTCAGGTACTGCAAGGTGTAAACAACTGACTCCAGGTCAGCCCAGAGAAGGGACAATGAAGTCTGATTGACCGCACAGAGGTATTCACTCACGTCTGGGGGCTGCTGATTGAAAAGCACCATGCTGGATGTCTGGCAGGTTTTGGCTAGCTTGTGCTTGAATCTCCTTCCCAGATATGCTGAGGCACCATCTGTATGAGTCTTGCAGGAAAGGTCTCTTACTTGTTCATGCTCACTCCCTGGAGCTGGGGCACAGGGACAACATCTAGAATCAGCCAAATGACAGCTCCCGCTGGAAGTGCAACTCAGGGAATGGCCATCTGGCTGGTTGGAGCTGGAGGCAGTGGAAATCCAGTCATTGTTCAGGAAAGGGAAGGAGTCTCTGACACAGAGTGGTGCTTCATGTCCAAGTGGCAGGAAATTCAGTGGCAGTATCCAGTGGCCAGTGTCCAGTGGCTACGTCAGGAGGATCCTAACTCCTCATCTCACAACCTGATTTCACCGGTGTCCTAGCATATGAGATCCTCCCATTTTCCAAACCTAGTTTTTCAACATTCCCATCAATTCCGGTAGCTGCTCTATATCCTCTCAGTAAATTCTTCTTCTACCAAGTCAGCCAGAGTCAATTACTCTGGATTGCAATCAAGAGCCCTGCTTGGTTTTAGCACAGTTTCTGAGTTTTCAGATTTTTGTTTCCTGGTTCTAAGAGATTATTTGTTCATTTCTGATTACTATTTTATAGAGCTTGAATATTAGAAACTGAAAAAGTAAGTCACTACAAAAGTGCCACACGGATAATTCGGTTATATGAGGGAAAATAGCGAACGTTATCTCCAAACCCTTGATGAGGCTAACCATGTCCTGAATACTAAATAGCACACCTGTTCTGCAGCTACATTACACAGCACAATGGTGACATCCAGTGTCAGCTGGCTAAATCTCAGGTGACTGTGCAGTTTATCTGAAAACGAGCACAGTATACGAAAGACATGCATGTTACGCTGTACCCAAGTTCTGTTTTCAAATAAGAATCCAAACTTTTGCTAAGCAGAATTAATTTTATTCAACTACATGCTAATCATTTGTATATACACATATATTATAGCCAGTGCTATAGAAAATTCTTAGATATAAGATAAAAGCTATTTCGGAGGAAAAATGAAATATTTGTGTAAACACAATATATAAATATGTACTATTGACAAAACATGTGCCATTTACCAAATAATTTTTCATATATTGCCCAAATTAATCATTACTTCACTGTGTTATTGTTATTATCTTCAGTGTATATATATATATATGATGCAATAAGGCACAAAAAAGGATGTAAGATTTTCTAGGTTATAAGAACCTCATCAACTGAACACAATTAGGTTGACCCCAAATTCAGATGTCTTTTTTTTTTTTTTTTTTTTTTTTTTTTTGAGACGGAGTCTCGCTCTGTCGCCCAGGCTGGAGTGCAGTGGCGCGATCTCGGCTCACTGCAAGCTCCGCCTCCCGGGTTCACGCCATTCTCCTGCCTCAGCCTCCCGAGTAGCTGGGACTACAGGCGCCCGCTACCACGCCCGGCTAATTTTTTGTATTTTTAGTAGAGACGGGGTTTCACCGTGTTAGCCAGGATGGTCTCGATCTCCTGACCTCGTGATCCGCCCGCCTCGGCCTCCCAAAGTGCTGGGATTACAGGCGTGAGCCACCGCGCCCGGCCCAGATGTCTTTTTAATGAAATAGTCTATCCTCATAGTTCACTGGCATAATTTGAAACATTGAAAAACAGCTGAAAGCTTCAGCCAATGTTCAGTTCAGCAACTAAACTGCAAAAAGGTACAAAGCACATGCATCCCTTCCCATCTGGAGAAGAGTGGGAAGGAGGGGCCAGGATTTGTTAAGTGAGGACTATATGCCAGGTAGGGTATGCTCTCTATAATACTTCTCACATATGCCCTGAGAGGTTGATATTATTATTCCCATTTTGCAGATGAAGAAACAAGGCTCAACAAGATAAACAAAGATAACTAGTTGGTGGCCATTGGATCCCAAACCATGAGTTGTCTGGCTCTTTCTCATGAGTCTACTAGCTCCTTCTAACTTACCACTTTGCCTCTGCTACATTCTGAAGGAGTTTCTAAGCCTCAACTTCTTGGGCCCAAGATAGCTTAAGAATCAAAGTTTTCCAAAGTAGGTCACCAAGTAACAGTCACAGAACTCCTGATGGGAGGTCCCAGGTGTGTCCTTCAGGAGCCTGAACAGATGTTGTTGTCCCAGTAGATTTATTCCATGAACAAAGGCAGTTTGGCTGCATGGCTTAAAAACAAGGGATTTGGACTCAGTTGTTCTGCCTACAAGACTCTGTTCCACTTCATCACCAGCTGGGAGGTCTTGGAAAATCATTTAAACTCCCTAAGCCTCAGTTCCTCAACAGAAAAATTCAGATGAGAATGCCAACCTTCTCAGAGCTATGTGAGGATTAAATGAGATAATGCATGAAAAGTGCTTAATGGAGCATCTGACTTCATGCACATTAAATTAATATTAAATCATAATGTTTATACTCACAACTTATTGTGGACATTTGCTTGTAGGACATGATTTGAAAGTGTCAATTCCCAAGCTTAGTTTTCCCCTCACTATTCTTTCCTTAACCCATCAGCCAATTATTCCTCCTGATTTGAACTTCTCTATTAACAAGTCAACCCAAAAGCTGAGTAACACTTGCCAGTCAATAAAATATAAAAGGAAGCTGAGGTCAATGACATATGTCACAGTCACTTGCAACATTTACATGATGCCCTTTTAGAAAATGTCATTTGTGGCTCTATAAAATATTTTAGGAGTGAAGAGCCCAGGAATTTATAAAATACCTACAGTTTTCTGAGCTTGTCCTGGATTATTTTAGCTTGAACATAATTTATGTCATTTAAAAAAATTATCCAGCAAGGGGAAAAAGAGAAACCATACCAGTTCTGGTGAGGATGTGGAACAGTTGGAACTCCTGTCTGTTGCTGATGGGAATGGAAAATGTGGAGCTGCTGCGGACAACAGCTTGGCAGTTTCCTATACAGTTAAATACATAGTATACAACCCAGAAACCCCATGCCTTGGTATTTATCCAAGTGAAATGAAAAGTTATATTCCATAAAACCTGCACACAAATGTTCATAATTGCCAAACACTGCAAACAAGTCAAATGTTCACCAACAGGTGAATACAACTCCTCATTAAGAAGGAATGGACCAGGCATGGTGGCTCACACCTGTAATCCCAGCACTTTGGGAGGCCGAGGCGAGCTGATCACCTGAGGTCAGGAGATCGAGAGCAGACTGGCCAACATGGCGAAACCCCATCTCTACTAAAAATACAAAAATTAGCCAGTTGTGGCGGTGCACGTGCGTAATCACAGCTACTCAGGAGGCTGAGGCACAAGAATCGCTTGAACCTGGGAGGCAGAGGTTGCAATGAGCTGAAATTGTGCCACTGCACTCCAGCCTGGGTGACAGAGTGAGACTCTGTTTCAAAAAAAAAAAAGGAATGTATTACGGATACACCCAACAACATAGATAAGTGTCAAATGCATCATGCTAACTGAAACAGCCAAATTCAAGGAGCTACATATTCTATGGTTCCATTTGACATTCTAGAAAAGTAAAAACTGTAGGAATCAAAAGGGATAGTGGTTACTTGGGACTGGCAGTGGGGGACAGGTTAACTACAAAAGGAACACATAGGACTTTGGAGTGGGGGAATATATCTTGTTAGTGATCATGGTTCTATGACTATAACAATTTCCAAAAACTTACAATAGTCTATACTGAAAAAGATGAATTTGTACATGTTATTTAAAAAATAGTAACCTGGCAGGATCTAAAAAAAGCAATGCACAACTGAGATTTCAAAATCCAAGAACCTTCACTGATTTTATCAGAAGTAACTGGAAGCCAAAATTAATTGGATTTGTTTTTCTTCATTCAAATTCTTGACCCCCAAAAGAGTGTAAATGATTATATATATACATACACACACACACACACACACACACACACATATATATATATAGAGAGAGAGAGATACATAGATAGAGAGCAATGGAATCAGGGTTGTTAAAAACAACAGGCAACTGGGCTGCTGATTCTAGCTCACGCTACATGACTAGTCAATTAAACTTAGCATTCAGTATGACAGAAACAAGGAAAGCCTTTTAAACATTTTTAAAAACTTAATCATAAGCACTGTTTATTAAAGGTGATAAAGTAGAAGGAAATATACAATAATACATAAGAAATATAAGAATATTTCCAACAAGCTTTAAATCTAATTTGTGAACCTAGAACTTCTTTTCTCATCTACCCATTCCTTTTCTAATAGCTTTCTAGATGCACAATATGTTTTCATTCTTCATATTTGTCCATCTGCACATACACTGTTGGATCGATGATGAAAATATCTACTTATTCAGGGCCTGAAACAGCCAGGACCCTCCCCTCCCCTCCCCTCCCCTCCCTTCCCCTCCCCTCCCCTCGCCTTCCCTTCCCTTCCCTCCTTCCTTTCTTTCTTTCTTTCTTTTTTTTTTTTTGTTTCAGACATAGTCTCACTCTGTCACCCAGGGTGGAGTGCAGTGGCTCAATCTCAGCTCACCGCAACCTCCACATCCCAGGTTCAAGCAATTCTCCTGCCTCAGCCTCCCGAGTAGCTGGGACTACAGGCATGTGTCACCACACTCGGCTAATTTTTGTATTTTTAGTAGAGATGGGGTTTTACCATGTTGCCTATGGCTGGTCTCAAACTCCTGACCTCAGGCGATCCACCCGCCTCAGCTTCCCAAAGTGCTGGGATTACAGGTGTGAGCCACCATGCCGGGCCATGACCCTACTTTTTATCAACACCATCGCCCACCCTCCCACACCATGAAGACGTTTGACTTATCCAAGAGCAGCATCCTACCAAAATCCAGGTGTTTATAGAAAGATAGAAGAGTCAGAGGCAGCTTCCCACTTTGGGTAAAACTAAGTTCCTTGTATCAGATCACAACAATGTAAGTGACCTAATCAAAATAAATAGCAGGTGCTTACAGCTCAATACTAATCAAGCCTTCTTTCTCTTGATAAACCAACATAGCTTGGTGAATGTCTCTGCCCTGATCCTGATCCCTGGAGTATATGAAAGTGAGAATGATGAAGGTGGATTCCTGTAGATGGTAAATACCTCTTAGGAGATACTTGCTATAAAATCGTGAGTATAAGGCTAGAAAAAAAATGCATTTGTTTTAGAATTTTAAAAATCCTTACCAAGGAAACAAAGGTGTATTACCAAACAAGATTGATTACTCCATCCAATCACAAACAGATCATCAAAACAGTAGTAGTATTCTCATCTAGGAGTTTTAGGAAGTTGTTTGACATTTCAAGCAGAAAAAAATGAGTTGCAAATGAAGACATTCAGCTTTGGAAAACTATATTATTTAACCTACATTATCTTCTTTTCAAATTGTAGATGTTAAAAAAAATAGTTTGCATTCTAAATTGCCAATAAAATAGACTTCAAAAGTTGGCCACAGTGGTTCACATCTATAATCCCAGCACTTTGGGAGGCCAAGGTGGAAGGATTGCTTAAGGCTGGGAATTGGAGGCCAGTCTGGGTAACACAGTGATGCCCCATCTATGAAAAAAAAAATTTAATTAGCTAGGCATGGTGCCACATTCCTGTAGTCCCAGCCATACAGGAGGCTGAGTGAGGCAGGAGGATCACTTGAGCCCAGGAGTTTGAGGCTTCAGTGAGCTAGGATCCTGACACTGCACTCCAGCGTCAGTGACAGAATACAACCCCGTCTTGAAAAACACACACACACACAAACAGACCTCAAGTTATTTTGATGCTCTTTTTTTTCCCCCAAAAGGAATTTGCAATTTGAGTAGTAACTTAAGGGCACTCAGAGAGACACTGTCTTCTTTTTAGGCTCACAGAACTGGCTAGATTTTTATAAAAGGATTTCTGTTCTACTAGAGAAATCTTCCTAAGAGGATATTTAAGCATAAGTTGTGAAGCATGACCCGCCCCCACCACTCAAAATGCATTTGCCATAATAGTTAGCACAAAGCAAGGTCAGTGGAGATATATAAGAAAACAATTCTGGCTGGGAACTGCTATTCCAGTTTCCTGATTCCTAACAGAGGTATACCAAAAGTCAATGTTCTTGCAAAGTTAAGAAGTTCTTTTTTGTTTGTTTGTTTGTTTGTTTGTTTGAGGCAGAGTCTCGCTCTGTTGCCCAGGCTGGAGTGCAGTGGTGACATCTCAGCTCACTGCAACCTCCACCTCCCAGGTTCAAGCAATTCTCCTACCTCAGCCTCCCCAGGAGCTGGGATTACAGGCGCATGCCACCACACACAGCTAATTTTTAAAAAATCATTTTTAGTAGAGAAGGGGTTTTACCATGTTGGCCAGGCTGGTCTCCAACTCCTGACCTCAGGTGATCCACCTGCCTCAGCCTCCCAAATTGCTGGGGAAAATTAGAAGTTCAGACGAGTCTTGCTCTGTTGCCCAGGCTGGAGTGCAATGGTGCAATCTTGGCTCACTGCAACCTCTGCCTCCCTGGTTCAAGCGATTCTCCTGCCTCAGCCTCCCGAGTAGCTGGAATTACAGGCGCATGCCACCACGCCCAGGTGATTTTTGTATTTTTAGTAGAGATGGGGTTTCACCATGTTGGTCAGGCTGGTCTCGAATTCCTGACCTCGTGATCTGCCCAGCTCAGCCTCCCAAAATGCTGGGATTATAGGTGTGAGCCACTGTGCCCAGCCAAGGTAAGAAGTTCTTAACATTGGTTTGTTGGAGAGTTACACACAGAAAACACCACTGCTTAATAGGAACCTGGATGTTTAACTCTTGGCATTCATATTTAAAATTATCATAGAAGAGAGTCAAAGCACCAAATAAGAGGTTGGCTCATATCAGTTATTCTCACATTATGCTACCATAGAAGCTGCACCAATGTATCTGTTTTACCATGCAAAAGTATTTGCAGAAAGGTCTACCAAATGGTGAACAAAATGCGGCATAGCCATGGCATGGAATAAATCCTAGTTAAGCAATAAAAAGGAACCAACTACAGCTACATGTGACAACCTGAATAAACCTCAACAGCTATTCTAACTGAAAAAAGCCAGATGCTAAAGACTATATATTGTACGATTCCATCTGTATGAAATGTCCAGAAAAGGCAGATCTAAACAGACAAAATAGATTAGGGGTTGCTGGGGCTGGGGTAAGAACGGTGAGTGATTGCAAACAGGCCCCAGGGATATTTGGGGAATGATGAAGTGATCTAAAATTGGATTGTGCTAATGGTTGCACCATTCAGTAAATTTACCAAAAATCATTGAATTATACACTTGGATGTATTTTATGGTATGTAAATTATACCTCCAATAAAGCTTTTTTAAAAAAAAATACAGAAGGAAAAGTAAGAATAACTTGAATAAAGATGCTGTTTTCCTCTGGGGGTGGGGTGAATGTAACTGTAGTCTTATTTTTCTAATTTATAGGAAAAAATATAATTTAATGGATAGATGTTTTTCAGTTTTAAATTTTTTGTTCATTAATTTTTGTCTCTAGATTATTGTCATCCATACTACAAGTTTAGTTTTTATTTAATTTGCATGAAATTGATACTTAGCTATTTTAAGTTAATATTTCATAACATTAAGCCTGGAACACATGATTCCTAAGTTCTTCCCCAACCTAAACAAAAGAGAAAACCACTGAGCAGAATAACATGCAAGCTCCTCTATCATTTTTAGACTTGACTTTTTAAATCAGTGAAAGGAAATATGTGATTTGAAACTAATCTAGTTTTAGTCACTGTCGAAATTGAATGGATCATTTATGTGGTCTGTAAATCTATGGCCTTGACTTGGGGTGGCCTGGAGGACTCCAATGTAGTAAATTCCAGGAGGATAGAAATGTGTCTGATTTACACAGGGCTGTGTTTGGCCCAGACCCTACTTCCCCTCCCATCTGGTTCTCCCACACAGAACACAGTGTCCTCAATAAATATTGTTTCAATGAATACATGAATAGGCCCACAAATTTACAGATGTACCAAATAGTTTCTAAAACAATGTACACACACACACACACACTCTCTCTCTCTCTCTCTCTCTCTCTCTCTCATTTTCCAAACCTATATAAATGGCTGTTTTTGTGCTTAGTAAATGACATTCATTTAAACGTGTTAGTAAATTCATGGTAAAATTTTGCCATTATGAAATGTTTTCAATCAATAAATAGCCATATAATTTTGATGTAAATATCTCAGTTCTAAAGATGAGAAACTACTATTTTAAAAGACTTTTACATTCCCATCAAAATCTTCAGTTATTTCCCCTTTCAGTCATTATTCCAAGCAAATAAACACCTCATTTTTCAGGTTTGTCTAAATCTAGCTTACATTTTTTAGCTTTGGCCAAAATTTGGATTACAACTCACCTTCAATGTTGAGCATACTGTAAACAAATAAGCTAACAAATAACATGCCTATCAGTAATTCACAAAATAGCAACAGTATTAATTTCAAAAGTCTCTTTCTAGTTAGGACAAGGGATCAATTTATTTTGTAAATAACAAGAGGAAAGAACCTTCTTATGACGTCGGCCTTATGACGTTGGCCTGGGTCCCAAGAAGTGTAGTTGTTTTCATTCTTTCTGCAAACATTTGAGGAACCACACGGGGATACTCCCTGCCTTGGGCAGAAATTCCTCTGTGTCAGGGGCCTTCCCTCTCAAATTGGGAGTGGGGTGGGGAAGAGAGTGGGCAGCGGGGGAAAAGCATAACAACAGCACCAATTGTGTCTGCCAGGGTACCTGACACTCCTGCCCAGCTCACATATCAGGAAAACCAGACTTCAGTAGCTCTGAATATTTAATGGCATTAGGTAAAATCAAAAGAACAGATTATCTCCTCCCTATCACAAACACAGAATAATTCCTTTTTGTATTCTGACACTTCATCCGAACTATATACACCAAGAAAGTAAAAGAGGTTTTGATTCCTAAAATAAAACAATCAGAATATAATGGGGAGCAGGTACACCTTCAGTTATGTTCAGGGCTTGTTGCTTGTTCTGATCCTTATATTCAATTTTGTCTTCACTTCCAAAAAGGCTGAAAATTCACAGCTATGTTATCATCCAATCTAAAAACTACACTTGCACGGTCCCGTACTAACCTTCAGTAAGATAAGAGTGTTCCTTTGTCTAGCCGCCTAGCACTCTGTAACTTCCACATCTAAAATATCATGATGCTACTCAACATTAAGGAAAAGGTCAAGCAATGGGCTGCTCTTTTTACTACACCTGCGGCTGCAGAAGCCCGCACAAATGAATGAAGACAGCCACCTTCATTCATCTCTGCTCTTTAAAAAATGCGAGCGCAGTGACCTGTCAAAGCCACCACGCTGGAGTTCCTAGGTCAGGGCGTTTACCGCAGGACTTTTCTCCATAGCCTCTGAAATTAGCAGGCAGAAATCGCGGGGACCCCTGACAAACGGATTGTATAACAACAACCTAAATAAATAATCAGGTGTGCGCCGGACTAAGTAGGGGTTCCTCTCTGCGGAAAAGCAGCTCTTCCCAATGGGGAAGAAACTTCTCGCCCAGGAAATTCGAGCCCAGAACCGAGGTTTCCAGGGAGGATTACCTCTTCAACAAGGACCCTTTTACAGGAAATGTCCTTGATGCCAGGAACTCCACTGGGGAAGCCGCTGGAAAGGCACCTGGACACCCACACACATGGAGGGGATGCGGGGGCGCGCCGCAGGGACCGGGCCCGAAGGTGGCCAGACTCGCCTACCTTGTGGGGCGCCCAGCCGACGCGGGGTCCCGGTGCTGCTCCTCCCCTGGGCGATCGGACCTTGGGGCCAGGGTCGGCTGCCAGGGCCCTGCGAGTGCAGCCGCCACCGCCCGCAGGCTTGGCTCCGCCCCGCGGGGCGCGCCCAGGGCAGAGTCCGGCGCCGGTGAGGCCCCGGGGAGGAGTCGCGGCAGGACGCGTACGCCCAGCGCTGGAGAGCCAGGCTCTGCCCCTCACGCCCCTCGCTAGGGTGCTGTACAGGCGGGTGGGGGGAGGGGATCGGCCGCTGCTTTTCAAGAAGGTTCTATTTGCACCCTAAGTTTATAAACTTTTGTTTTTGTTTTTTAAATAATTTTTGATTTTATTGTTTTTAGTATAAATTTATGGAGTACAAGTGCAATTTTGTTGTTTTTTTAAAAAACTTTCTTTTGGAACTTAAAAAAAGTTGCAAAGATAGTAGAGAGAGTCGTCTATATACCCCTCAGTCGGTGTCTCCTAATGCCTACAGCTTCCATAACTGTGGCACATTTGTCAAAACTAAGAAATTCACATTGGGCCAGGTGCGGTGGCTCACGCCTTGGTAATCTCAGCATTTTGAGAGGCCAAGGCAGGCGGGAGGATCGCTTGAGCTCAGGAGTTCGAGACCAGCCTGGGCAACATAGCGAGACCTCATTTCTACTAAAAATATTTTTTAAAAGACATTAACATTGATCTGCCACTATTAACACTACTCCAGACTTGATGTAGCTGTCACTAGCTTTTTGGCTAACGCCTTTCCCTTTCAGGATCCCAGCCAGGATACCACACTGCATTTAGCATCCTGTGCCCTTTGTCTCCTCTAATCCATGACAGTTTCTCTGTCTTTTCTTGACTTTGACAGCTGTAAAGAATTCTAGTAAAGTATTGTGATGAAGTATTCTGGTAAGGTATAGTTTTGTGGGGGTACCTCGACACCCACTCATGTGGGTATTGTCTACTGTTTTTTTCTCATGATGAGACTGGGGGGAGGAAAGACTCAGAGATGAAGTGCCTTCCCCACTGCATCCTCTCAGGGACGATGGCACGATGGCCAGGTGACTTATCACTGGTGACTTGACCTTGATCCCATAGTTAAGGTTGTGTCTGCCAGGTTTCTCTACTGCAAAGCTGTTTTTCTCTTTCCATACACTCTACTCTGAATGGCATGAATGGCATGACTCAATTCAGCTGACACTCAAGATGAGGGCAAGATTAAACTCCATCCCAGAGCAGGGAGTATCTATATGTTATTATTTAGAATGATTCTGTAAGGAAGATTTGTTCCATCTCTCTTGTTTATTCAATCATTTATGTCAGTATTTGTTATGTCAGTATGGACCCATGTATATTTATTTTATACTTTGGGCTAGAATTCAATACTACATTATTAATTTTGTTGCTCAAATGGTTCCAGCTTTGACCACTGGGAACTCTTTCAGGTTGGCTCCTGTGTCTCTCTGAAAGTTCATAAACTTTTAGGATTGTGGGGAAAAAAAAAAGGTGTATTTCCTCCGCCCCCCCTCAACATCTAACAGATTGAGAAAACTGCAACCCAAATCCTTCAATATCCAAGGGCTTTTCAGAATCTTCCTGGGAATCCTATGATTACTGATTCCCACCACAGTTAGAGAGGAATGTTATTTTTTTTTTTTCCTAGCAGATTAACTTGTAGATTGTGACCCAATTGGAGAAGTGAAAGTTGATGGTTCTTAGGTAATTTTTTTGTTAACTAATCCTTGTGGTTCTAGTAAATAGATGTATGTATGTTTACAGACAAATCGTGTTCCAAAGATAGCCATGGATGTTTATTACAAGTTTCAGCATTGAAGAAACCCAGCTGTTGAGGATCATTTGTTACATTGCTTTGGTTTGCTCATGTTTGCATTTGCAAGTTGGTTCCATAAACACCACATTTCCTCCTTCTGAGCTTGGCTTTTGCTCAGCATTTGACACTGCCTGCTTTCTGAGACCTGTCCACCTCTCTTCCTGGCCTTGACCCTTCCTGGAGAAGGAAATCTACTTCTCCATTAGCTTGGGTTGAGCTGGGTAAACACAGGATGCGGTGAAGTACCAGTGAGTACTCCAGAACTGCAGAGCTAACTCATTTTCTATCTTTCAACTATTTTTAACAAAGTTAGAAAAGTAAGAGTTAAAGGAAAACATTTCATACCTAAGACTCACCATATCTGCTATGGACTGAATGATTTGTGTTCCCCCCTAAAAGTTTATATAATGAAATCCTAATCCCCAACGTGGTGGTGAAAGTGGGGTCTTCGGGAAGTAATTAGGTCATGAAGGTAGAGCCCTCATGAGTGGGTTTTAGTGCCCTTCTAAGAAGAGACAAAAGGCTGGGAATAGTGACTCATGCCTATAGTTCCATCTCTTTGGGAGGCCAAGGCAGGTGAATCGCTTGAGCCCAGGAGTTTGAAACCAGCCTGGGCAATATGGCAAAACCTCATCTCTACAAAATATACAAAAATTAGCTGAGCATGGTGGTGCACTCCTGTAGTCCCAGCTACTCAGGAGGCTGAGGCGAAAGGATCACTTCAGCCTGGGAGGTAGAGGCTGTAGTGAGCTGACAGTGTACCACTGCCCTCCAGCCTGGGTAACAGAGTGAGACTCTGTCTCAAATAAAGAGAGGGAGAGAGAGAGAAGAGATATCTGTCATGTGATAACACAGCAAGAAAGCAGCCATCTGCAAACCAGGAAGCAGGCCTCCACAGACACCACATCTCTGGGTGCCTTGATCTTGGACTGCCCAACCTCCAGAACTGTGAGAAATAAATAACTGTGGTTGAAGCCAGTTAATACCAGTCTATGTTATTTTGTTATAGCCCCTGGAACTAAGACAATATCCCAGAAGAAAGCGACAAGGTCAGAGATGAAGCTGAGATTCTTGTGTACGTTTCTGGGCGGGAGAGGAGAGACTTTAAGTGAAAGTGGTCATTCTAATTAGAATGAAATCATAGTTTTATTTCATAGTTCTGCAAATAGACTATTTTCTCAGTAACTTTAATAAAACTTTTGTGGAGGGGAGCAGAGTAAACTCAGGATTCATGAGAGTGTGGAGTTACAATATATTAGCAACCTCCACAGGGAAGCTCAGGAGAATCTATAAACTATTATTAATTTAAAACTCCAGTGGTGTTTCTCAGAGGTTGGATATTGGGGGATTAGGGATGAGGCAGGGATTGATGTTTATGGATTTCTCTTACAGCTACTGCCTTTGATTATTATTTTTATGACAGCATATGTACAAACCATTTAAAATTTTCCTAGAGCTGTATATCTTTACACTTTTAAGATTATCCACATTAAGAAAAAGTATTGCTATTACATAATTTTCGGAATGGCTTTGGTTGGGTCTGATAGAGATTAGGTCCCGGGGACTAAAGCATCCCCAAACCACCCAGAGTGCCCTCGTTGAATAAATCCGTTCTCCTACTCACTCCACTAAAAAGAGGAGGGATTGAGGGTGCAGAAGAAAGCAGCAGATGCAGTCTCCTCTCCTGAAGAACACTGTGAATTGTCACCCACGTTCAAAGAGGGTCTAATTGTAAATCTAACACCCTGCCTTGTGACATTCAGAGCCTGTGGCTTGTGGCATTTGGACCCAGGCTCATATTTGAAATCGCTCTTGTTTATTTCTGTTCAGGGATTATTTGCTGAAAGGGAAAGTTGTGTGTGTGTGTGCGCGCACACACGTGTGCGTGTACTTAGTGCAATTTTATTTTATTTAAAATTTGCATTTAAAATGTATTAAAATTATTTTATTTTAATATTATTTTAAATTTGCATTTAAAATACATGTGTGTGTCTATACACACATACATATATTTAGTGCAATTTTAAATGCAAATTTTACTGTCATTTCCAGCCTCTAACACGTGCGCATACACACACACAAACACACACCATTCTTTAAAACATTTCATTGTCTCCCCATGAGCTCTTATTAAAAGCCTAAACACTTCTCCAGGGAGAGAAGTTGCTTTGCTCTCCCCCATCCACCCCTCCTGCTTCATCTCTTGCCACATTGTTTTTCAACAAGGCTGGATGATTTGTAGTGTTCCAAACCAACTCTCGTTTCTTACCTTATTCCTTTTGTTGCTCTTGTCTCACCCCCACCCCCAACTCCTAGACTAGAATGTTCTTTCTCCTCCTCTTTGACCTGGAAACTCCTTCTCCATTTATTTCCTGTGTATAGGGAAACGTTCCCTGAGCTCCCCAGTTTATGTTGGGTGTCCCACTTAGGTCTTCCCATAAAGTGCTTGAGGCACTGCATTTGCTGTTTTATAAGTTTTCTGTGGGTACTGTAACAAATAACCACACTTGGCTGCTTACAACAGTGCACATTTTTTGTTATAAAGTTCTGTAGGTTAGAAGCCTGTCATGGTACCAGGGTAAAATAAACTATTCCTTACTGGAGTCTCTTGGGGAGAATTTGTTCCCTTGCATTTTCTAGCCTTTTCTAGAGGCTCTCTGCATTTCTCCACTTATAGCCCCTTTCTACACCTTCAAAACCAGCAGCACATGTCCTCCTGACTCTGTCCCACTTTCACTTATAAAGACCTTTGTGATGACATTAAGACCAACTAGATGACCCAAGATAATCTCCCCATCTCAACATCCTCAACTTGATCACATCTGCAAAGTCTCTTTTCCACATAAGATAACATATTCACAGGGGCTAAGGATTAGGACATGGACTTCTTTGCAGGAGGGCATTATTCTGCCTACCATAGTTTTGTACCTAGGTCAGGTCATAATTCAAACATTAATTAGGTTTTGTTATGAAATATTTCATTTTTAAGGCACAAAATCAAGAAGGCTTTGCAAAATTATAAAGGAGGCATGCTCCCATCACTTTTTTGGTGATGCCTTTCCCTGCTTTCCCTCCTGTCCTCTCACATTCCTGTGACGTCCCCATAACGCCACCCTAAGGGGTTCCTGGTATTGGATAATTTTCCAACTTCTTCCTCCTCTCCCATACCTACCGCCTTTCTACATTTTCTGTGACTTGTGGAAAGGAAAAGGGAATGCAAATGTGGAAGTTGCAGCATTGATCTTGACAAAATTTAACTGTATGAGCCCTCCAAGTCTTGCATTTTGAGCTCCAAGCTCACGATTTAGCTGACTGCTAGGGAAAACACTCTATACCTAATGTCTCTCGCAAGCTTAGGACAAAACTCCATCTATTCTGCACAGTTCACAGCTGATATGCTAAGTGTTGGGGTCCATTTTACAATTTTAAATTTCAAAGAGTTTGCACTTTAAATGGCTAGATCACATATAAGCACATAAAAATACCTATCCATGCAATTATATAATAAGCTACAATATTTTCAAGCAATAAATCATCACTGAGTATTAGTGAAGCTACTAAGTACTAGAAAACTAAGAGAAAGTACTGATTTTAGTTGGTGTTCTAGGGAAGGCCTCAAGAGGAGGTAGGCTTGGCATTGGTTTTTGAGAATAATTACCATGTTATTCTGGGAGAGCATGGAAGCCTTTAAAGGTCAGACACAGCCAAAGGCACCAGGGCAAGTCAATTTTCAGGCAGACTGGGAATCTACCAAGTAGACCAGTCCAGCCAAACCACAGGAGACTAGTGGGAGATAAAGCAGAGAAATGTAAGCAAGCCTTGAGAAACAAACAAGAAGTACAGGAAATACATTTTTCTTGTCCATCTCTGCTAAGAGAGGAAGGGAAAACAATATTGTAGGAACTGAAACTCTGGCTATTGAATGAGTTCATTAGTAAAATAATTAGCCAATGCTTATCAACAATATGTGAATGTCTACTTATGTATACAAGTCTGTCTACACAGGTGAATCTTTTTCTAGGACTCCTTTCACATAATAGGTACAGAAACCATGACATAACCAAGAGTGATATTCAGAATATGAACCTATCGGTTGAGCAGTAGTACTGACCAACCAGAAAAGCTGCCAGCCATAATAGACAACTGGCGAGTAGGAACCCAGGTGAACCAGCAAAAAGTCAGCCCTGGACATCATTATTTAAAATGATTGCTGCTCTCTTAGCAAAACTAAATATCCTGTTGGAAATGTCTTTTCAAAGCACCCAGTTGGAGTTATTAAGTTCTGATTTCTGTAGGCATTCTTTCTGTTGATGAGCTTGGTTCACTTTATCTTAACAGTAGCTGGAATAATAAATAACACTTCCCTCTGCACTGTGAGCCCTTACCCCTGAGTAAAGAACTCATAGAGAAAGGTGAAACAAGACAAGAGGGTTGAGATGTGCATTCTAAATTCAGGTATTTCTAAGTTTGGAGGAGGGATGTGAAGCCCAGGATAAGGCTGTAGGAAGGCTGTGTTAGACAAGCTTATTGATTATAGGTAGAGACTGAATTTCAAGACTACTTGTCTTTGCTATTTGTTCACTTTCTCTGCCTTTATTCTCATGCTACCTTCAGTTGGTAAAGACAATTTCAATATTAACTTCAGAAGCTCATGTTGGTTTGTTTTTATTTCTTCAGCTGGAATAGAAGAAAGCTTACTGTATTCCCAGGCCAAACAAGATGAATTTTCTTTGATTATCCACTGTTTGAACCTGTCCACACACTGTAGTGAAAACCATACCTTTACAAAATATTTTTGCTTGTTTTTAAAGGTATTCTCTAATAGTCTATGGGATTTTGGCTTTCTATCCTTTTTGCAACAGCAGTGTTTTGGGGGATAATTGTGGTTTGATACCTATATCCCTGTTTCTTGGTTTTTGTTTTTGTTTTTTCTTTGAAATATTATCTTTCTTGATGGTTTGGTAAGTGGTTGATATCAAAATAAAAATTTTGGGAAAAGAAAAATAATGTCTTCATGTTAGCTCAAGTAATAGTGGGGAGTTAATATTAGGGTCCACATGGCAATAAGGAAGATGGAGAGCTCATCCAGGTCCCAAAGCAAGAACCCTGCAATCGCTGAGATTCCTGGAGACTGGATAAGGATGGAAGAGCTTTAGGGTTTCAGCTAGAGTCTGGGGATTCTCCCTCGAAGCTTTACCCAGCATTAATGCGGCATCTCTGCTTCTATGAGGATGGCTCCTGGTGTCTTGCCACTATTGAGTGGCTTCCTTACCCCTTGTCCTGTGACTCTTCAGTGGCCATGAAGTGTTGTGTAAAGCAGTGTTCAGGTTAGCTAGTCGACCTTAGGCAAGTGACATAGCCTCTCTGGCTTCAGTTTCTGTAAAATGGGCTCTAACTTTCATGAATCCTTGCAACCTCAGCCATGGCGACACACTGCTAGATTATTTTTGTTCTTATCAGTTTGAATTTTTGAGAGTGAAGATTTGATTAAACCTGCTTTCTCCTCTTTAGGATGAGCTATTCATAGATCACCTCAAAAGTCACAGGCCATGCTTTGGCTTGGCTGCCGTTGGGATGGGTGCCCATCACTTTCTGTCTGTCTTCTAAGACTTAGTAACTACTTGGTGGTTGCCCATGACAGAGCAAATGCCTGCCTAGGGCCCTTCCCTCAACAGGGGCTATGGGTGTAACAAGCCCTTCAAATGAAAACTAGGGCTGGGGGGCACCATGACTGTGGCTTCAAGTACAAAGAAGATAAGGACTGAGGCCAAAGAATTCAACTTGGGGCCAGGTGGGGGCAGGTGGCATCTGGAGGAAGGATTAGAGTCTTTAAGAAAATCACTAAAGAAGGAAAGAAAGAACTCAAAAGTTAAAAAACTATAATTATCTCCCAGCTGTTAGGAACTGTATTTCTCTTTTTTAGCCATAGTTAAATGCTTTAAATTATTACCTAAGTAGGCAATAAATCTCTACATTTATATATCTGTGTATGTCAAACTTCACACACATGTAAACAGTGATTAATAAATTATTATACTAATAATGCACAAAACTAATAACATTAGAATTTGGGTATTTTTTTTTCTGTAAAATGACTAAGTTATTTTATGCCCAGATTGGTAGAGATTCTGCAGAATCTGTTAATTTTGGGTACTTTTTGATATAGTCTTTAGTCATTTTTAAAAATAGTCCTTGCTTTTGGAAACAAAACTATATTCCTTATCATTGTTAATGTTATTGCTGTATATTTTTATAATGTTGCCTACAAACCTGTTTTTCTTTAGATACTTATGACATTTGTAGGATGTTTATCTTCTTCAGCAATTATTTTTTATTTTGCCTTTCCTAAATTCAAGCCTCAAATTCAGAATAATAAAGCCATTAAGATGTCTTTCATACCTCAATTGTCTTTGGGTTTCTTAAAATGGACATTAGGTAACACTAAGATCTATTTGTTTACCCTACAAAAGAAAAGGCAATAGAAATAATTGGGTTTGAATAAAATTCCCTAAATTTTAAGTAAGATACTTGGTCTGTTTTCATACTGTTATAAAGATGCTACCTGAGACTGGGTAATTTATAAACAAAATAGGTTTAATTAACTCAGTTCTGCATGGCTGTGGAGGCCTCATGAAACTTATAATCATGTCAGAAGGTGAAGGGGAAGCAGGTACCTTCTTCACAAGGCGACAGGAGAGAGAGAGGGAGGAAGCACCAGACACTTATCAAACAGTCAGATCTCGTGAGAACTCACTCACTATCACAAAAACAGCATGAGGGAAACTGCCCTCATAATCTGATCACCTCTCACCGGGTCTCTCCCTCAACATGTGGGGATTACAATTCGGATTACAATTTGAAATGATATTTGGGTGGGGACACAGTCAAAGCACATCAGTAATTCAAAACTCTTTTGCAATGTCTTTTCTTTACCAAACTTATGATAATTCAAAATAACTGACAAAGCAAAATGAGAATTATCTTCCTAGATTAATTATACATAACACATATATACTAACAAACATCTTTTTATGATTATATACTTTTTAAGTTAAAAAACATCAAGCTCCTGTTGAAGCACAAAGACTGTAACAATAACTGTCTATGAAAAGATTTTTACTAAAGGAATTTAGACTCACAAATCATTTTCTCTTTTGTTCATGGAAAGTCTGAACAAGCACTGGAGGTACTGAGTCATTTACAAGGAATCATCAGAGGTCTTTTTGCTTCCGTTTTGTTTGTTTTTTTGTTTTTGTTTTGAGATGGAGTCTCGCTGTGTCACCCAGGCTGGAATGCAGTGGTGCAATCTCGGCTCACTGCAACTTCCACCTCCCAGGTTCAAGCGACTCTCCTGCCTCAGCCTCAGGCGCCACCACGCCCAGCTATTTTTTCTATTTTTAGTAGAGACGGGGGTTTCGCCATATTGGCCAGGCTGGTCTCGAACTTCTGAGCTCAAGTGATCTGCCTACCTCGGCCTCCCAAAATGCTGGGATTATAGGCCTGAGCCACCATACTCAGCCCTTTTTGCTTCTTTAAATCTCTCGTTAGGACCAGCAACCAAGGCATCTCCTCCTTATCTAAAAGCTATAGCAGCAATAGCAAAGTGTATTTGTTTTTTAAAATTTAACTCAGTGGATTTAGTCCTAGGGTTTCCACAAAATGTAACTGTATTAGGCCGTTCTTGTATTGCTATACAGAAACACCTGAGACTGGGTTATTTGTAAAGAAAAGAGGTTTAATTATCTTACGGTTCTGCAGGCTGTGCAGGAAGCATAGCAGCTTCTGCTTCTAGGGAGGCCTCAGGGAACTTACAATCATGGCGGAAGGAGAAGCAGACAAGTCATATGGTGAAAGCAGAAGCGAGAGAGAAGAAGGGAAGTGCCACACACTTTTAAACAACCAGATCTCATGAGTACTCTATCACTATCATGAGGACAGCATCGGGGATGGTGCCAAACCATTTATGAGAAATCCCCCCCCTCTAATCCAATCACCTCCCACTAGGCCCCATCTCCAATTTTAGGGATTACATTTCAACATGAGATTAGGGCGGGTCAAATATCCAAACTATTATCAGTAGTATTTCTCAGTTCTATACAGATTTTCTGATTGTCCTGCTGACTGCAAACACTCAGCCATTTATACAGCTCGTTTCTTGACCTCCTATGAAATATTGTTCATTTCTCTTCACACATCACTACTCGTTACTGCAACACTCTATAGCCAGTCTTTCTCTTCCCTCACCCTAAGGAGCAGGAACTTACCTCTCCTGCACAGAGAGACTTCTTTGAATAATGCTGATTAAATTTTGTTTGATGATGATGGTTTCTACTTAAAAAGAAAAAGTAAAAATTGCATACTAGGCTACATTAGCACAGATGTGTGTTTACCCTTAACATATTAGCTTCTCCCAGAAAGTAACATAGTTCAAACAGTTCGATTAATTGCCTTTGCCTGGGCATGCTGACTGACCAAAGATAAAATAGCAAGTATTTATACTAATAATAGGTATGATTTGAAGTTAATAGACTTTGAAATTTCCTGAGGCTATCCTTGCTACAATGGTCAGTTTGTTTTCTTCAGAGACATTCCAGCCTGCTTTGCAGAAATTATATAATTCTATTTAATGAGCCTGCCCACCTTAAGGGGTCAATGTCTTATTTCTGTGGTTCCCAGTAGAATCTGTGACCCTCTGTCACTACTTCTTAAGAAAGCATGATTTCTGCTCTAAGCTAGTTTAAATTTAAATTCATAACCCAAGGGAAAGTTTATGTTTTAGCAAACACTTTTTGCTGTGCCTTTATAAATTCTAGAGGTCACATTGAACGGTTCAGGACCAGGATAAAGGAGAAAAGCATCCAGGTCTCTAGAAAAGGCCAGCTGAACTTTGGGACATCCTGGGATGATAACTGAGGCCTCTGCTTCAGGGTCTAATAACAGAGTGGGTGGCCCTTTGGTTTCTCACACTCACTGGGTTGCAGCTGGCTGATGCATCTCTTTCAGATTCTTAAATGCTACTTTACAGCCCTTGTTACACCAGAGGTTTGAATAACTCATCCTGTAACAAAAAGAACAGAAGACATTAACCTTCCCCCAACTACAGGCAACATTCGCTGGACAACCTCCTGATCAGCAAAATCATAGCAATGGTAAAATGCTGTATATCCTAGACTAATGCCCTGTGGTCTAATATTGCTTACCTTTGGTCTAAAATGGGACTAAGAAAAGAAAAAGCAGCTCCTGAGAGTCAGGAGATAACATGGTATTATCAGCTGGCCTTGGCATTGCCAGGAGAAAGGAAAATAACAGGCCAACACCATTTATGAGCATATATAGGTAAATCTCTCAGACAAAATACTATCAAATTGATTCTAGCAAGATACAAAAGGGGTAATATAACCCAACCAAGGTGAACTTGTTCCGCGGTTGCAAAAACAGTTTAACTATTAAAAATCTATCAACATAATTCTTCACATTAAGAAAATAAAGAAATGAAATGAATCATTTCAAAAATGGAGAAAGGACTTTTGTTAAAACTGGATACCTGTTCATGATTAAAAGACAAACAAAACTTATAACAAATTAAAAAAGTGAACTTCCTTAATTCAGTAAAGAATATCCACAAAACTTCGTAGAAAATATCACACTTAATGGTCCTCTAATCTGAGATCAGAAATGAGGTAAGAATACTTCCATCACAGTTGTTGTTTTGTTTTGTTTTGTTTTGTTTTGTTTTTGAGATAGAGTCTCACTCAGATGCCCAGGCTGGAGTGCAGTGGCACAATCTTAGCTTACTGCAACCTCCACCTCCTGGGTTCAAGCAATTCTCCTGCCTCAGCCTCCAGAGTAGCTGGGACTACAAGTGTGCACCACTACACCTCGCTTTTTTTTTTTTTTTTTTTTTTGTATATTTACTAGAGACGAGATTTCACCATGTTGGCTAGGCTGGCTCGAACTCCTGACCTCAAGTGATCCACTTGCCTCACCCTCCCAAAGTGCTGGGATTACAAGCATAAGCCATTGTGCCTAGCCTCATCAAAGCTTTATGCAATATTATATTGCAGATCTTATCCAGTGAAATAAGTCAAGAAATGGAAATAAAATATATAAAGATTAAAAAGGAAAAAATATGTGTCATATATAGATAACGTGACTATATATGTGGAATGTCCATAAAAATCTATAGATAAATTTTTTAAGTTAAGAAGTAAATTCATCCATGTTGCTGGATGCATGGTTAATATACACACACACAAAATTAATCAATTCTGCTTCTGTAAAAAAACAATAAACAAGTAGAAAATAACAAGTTTTAGAAAGATACCGTTTACAATAGCATTAGTAAACAATAGCATAAATAAAATACTTGGAATAAATAAAACCAAAGAAATGCAAGACCTTTACACAAAAAACTGTAAAACAGGCTGAGCCAAACTGCAGAAGGCCTAAAGAAAATGGAGGGATATACTATGTTCATAGATTGGAGCACTGATTCATAAAGTGGAAGATGTACTATCAAAATGCCAGTTGTTTCTCATATTGATCTCTGCAGATTTAAAAAAATTACAATCAACATGATGACATTTTAATATTTGAAGTTGACAAGTTATTTATTAAATTTATATGGAAATGAAAACATCCATAAACAGTCAAGACAAACTTGAACAAAAATGGACTAAGTTGGACTTACACAGTCAGATATCAAGGCTTAATAGAAAGCTAAGGTAATTAGCTTTGTAAATGGCCAAAATATAGACAAACCCACAAACTGAGTAGGATAGAAAGTCTAGATATCCACATATATCCAGTCACATGATTTATAAAACGGAAAGGGTTACACTATAATTGGAAAAGACTTTTTTCCAATTACAGTGCCACCAACTAAGAAAAAAATGAATCTTGCACTTTACTTCACACCATACGTGTATATTAATTCCAGCAGCATTGTAGATCTAAATATGAAAGACAAATCAACAAAACTTCTAGCAGTTAACATAGAAGAATATCATCACAATTTTGGCATATGCAAACTTTCTTAAATAGGATACCAAAATCACACACTATGAAGGATAAGATTAACAAATGTTACTACATTAAAATTAATAAGTTCTGTTCATTAAATTAGATCCAGAGAATGAAACTTAAGTCACAAAGTGGTATAACACACAGTTAAATACTGTATAGAAGTTAGAATAAATTAGCTCTTCCTGCATACAACAGCACAGGTGAATCTCATAAACATGTTAGAGAAAGAAGCCAGACACAAAAGTGCACACGTTAAATTCATTAATATAAAGCTCAAAAAGTGAAAAAACAAATTTGCGGTGTCAAAAGTCAAAACACTGGTTACTTTTGGGTGCACAGTGCCTGGGAGGGGGCAAAAGGGAGTCTTCTCTTCCAGGGTGCTGGTACTATTCTATTTCCTGTTTTGGGTAGTATTGACCTTGTAAAAACATTTCACATTTTACCTAGGCTTTTTGTACATTCTGTATGCTTGTTATACTTCACTTAAAATGTTCAATAAAAACAAAGACAATCTTCTCTTATTCCCACTTCCTCTACCAGTTACCTTTCCATTTCTTTGTACCATATATAGCAAAACTCCTAAAAAGAGTTGTTATTACCTCCAATTTCTGTTTACTTACTCTCTCTTAAACCCATTCCAATCAGGCTTCTCCTCACCCCCCAACCCCCACATCATACCAACAAAACTGTTGTTGTCATGGATACTGATGACCGCCACATTGCTAAGTCCAGTGGTCACTTCTCAGTTCTCACTTCACTTCACCTGTCTGCAGTATTTGGTGCAGTCGTCTCTCTATCCCAATAGACGTGGATGCCTTCTCTTGGCTCTCAGGACACCACTCTCCCAGTGTTACTCTTACTTCGCTGGCAGTTTCTGTTGGTATCCTTTAATGAGTCCTCCTCGTTTTCTCAAACTCTTCATTTTGGAAAGTCCTAGCCACTCAGTACTTGGTCTGCCTTGCCCCTCCATCTAAGCTCACTTCCTTGATTAAATGCCATTTATGTACTGATGACTCACAAACACAAATCTCCCAGCTTGGGCCTCTCCTCTGAGTCCAGACTCGTGTTCCCAGTTGCCTGCTCAACATCATTACTGGGATGTCCAACAGACCCTTAAACGTGGCATGTTCAAAGCGGAACTCATGATCTTACCACAAACCTGCTCTACCGCAATCTTCTTCACTCGGTAGAGGGAAAACTTTATAATTCCAGTCATTTAGGCCACAAAATCTTTACATCATCCTTGAATTTCCTCTTTCTGTTATATTTCCCATATGTTTCCTATCCTACCAGTCTATCAGAAAATACTATAGGCTCTACCCTCAAAATACATCCATCCCTTCGCTACCACCCTGGAATAAGTCATCATTGTTCCTAGCTCAAATAACAATAGCTTCCTAACTGTTGCCCCTGTTTCCACTCTTGCCTCCTTAAAATCTATTCTGGATCATTACTAGAGTGATCCTCAAGAACATGAATATAATCAGGTCACAGTGCCAAAATTCTTGCAAGGATCTGCAAAGACCTGGTCCCTACTCCCTCTCTGTTCTCGTCTCCTCCTCTCCCTTCTCCCCAACTCCCTCCACCCTGACTCCTGGCTATTCCTTGAGTGTGTCTGGCAGGCTCTGGCTTTACACTCTTTGCACCATTGGTTGTTTGCTATGCCTGGAGTATCCTTTGGGTATCTGTATGCTGAATTCCCTCACCAATTTCAAATCTTTGCTCAAATGCCACCTTGATGACATCTTTCTAATCCTCTTATTTAATGCAGAAGACCTCTTTCCACTATACGCTGATCTAATTTTCTTTCTTATTTTTATAAAGAACTGATCACCCTCTAACACCCTAGATATTTCTTTGGGTGTTTTATTTACTGCCTATTTTCTGCCTTCCCCCGCCTTTGTGTCCACTGGTATATCTTCAGCAATATGTGGCATATAAGATGTACTCAATAGTGTTTCTACAATGAATTAATTTGTGAGATTAGAATAGCAGAAGGAAGAGTAGGTTTTAAAGGAAAATTGAGTGTTTCTTTTTAAAACTTTTTATCTAAAATGCCTCCCAGATATCCAGTTGCAGACAGCTAACAATTACATATCTCAATGTATTAGACTAAAGTTCTAAACTGGATACAAATATATATATGAATTATTAAATGTATATGAAAATATAGAATGGGTGAAATAATCTAGGGAGTGAGTGTAGATGGGAAATATTTAGAAAAGGGTGTATCAAAGACCGAGAAAAACAACCAATACATTTGGAGAAATACTAGATGTATGTAGCTCTGAAATTTTGTATTTCTTGGTAAATTTCATGATGCGATGAAAATAGAGGAAGTCAAGCAGAAATCCAACTAGTTAATTAATTAATGTGACTAGTACATAACCATTTAAAGCTTACATATATGTATATGATGTTTTGATGATGATGATCTGTAAAATAATAATTTATTAAAACATAAAGATATTATTTAGGACAGTTCAAACAGGTGACCAGTTTCAAACTTGGAACAGGATAATTCTCATCCTGTTCCTAAAAGCAGATAGTAAGCAAAAGTCACAGCTTATCTTTACGAGTAAATAAGTGTCCCCTTTGTGTGCACATGATTTTTGTGTGTGGTATCAAGCTGTCACAGATGCGCAGGATATAGCATTTCAGGTGCCTCTGGAAACAGAAGCAGGCCTCAAGTGTCCACAGCTGACCTGAGTGTGGACGCTCAGGGCCTCAAGTGTCCACAGCTGACCCTGAAATTCTCCCTAGGTGCCTCTCTTGCCCCCTCCTGTCCTGTATCACTGTTTCGCCCTGAACTTTAAACTTGGTGACAACTCCATACTTGAGTCCTAAGGAGATGCTGCTTTCCACTCCATAATCTTAAAGAGACTAAAAATATTTACTTAAAAACTTAGCTTAACCAAATAACTATGCCTTTGGAAATAATTGTTTGGAAAGCTAAAGCAAAATATAGCTATCACACAGGTGCAGTGAGAATGTGGTAAGTTTTAGATGTCACAAGATGCTCAGTTAATTCTGGAACTTGTTTCCTGATCATTGCTTCCCAAGACCCTTTGTGGCCTGTCAAAGGGGCACGATTTTCATTCTACTTTCTGCTCTCTTCCCTTCTAGGGTCCTTCTAGCTTTGCTCTAGCTCTTGGTTCAGCAGAAGGAAAAAGAAGACACAGTATCCCCAAGTCCTCCCTGGACTTCTGGTCTTGTAGTGAGTTCTTGCCCCACCTCTCCAAAAAGGCCCTAGGATACCTGCTCTCATAAGGCCCACTTCCCACCTTGCTCCATCGCTCTGTGTGTCTCTGTGCTGTGGAGCTGTTCTATGCCACATTCACTACGTCTTCCTCAGGGAAGCAGGGCACCTTCATTTGTTGTGCTGAGCTCAGGCCTCAGAGGGCACAAGTGACCGCCGTATTGCTCAGTCTTCATCTTGAGCTCCTTGGCAGGTATCACATCCTTTTCTCACCTGGAGGAAGAATCCCAGCCCTTCCCATTTCCAGGCTCTGAATTCTCTTTGGATGCTTCCAGGAAATTTGTTTTCTAGGCTAAAGAAAATCTCTAATTCTTGGTTTATTTGCAAAATAGAAATTATTGCTGAGTCATATGTCAAGAGCATGAATTCCTTTCCACAGAGTCCCTAAGACTCACTCCAATAATTAAGGAAATAATTCTCTAGAGTTTGACAATAGCAAAATGATTTAAATGCACATTGAGTAGAATGTTGATATAATTTCTACCAAAAGCAGGGTGGTAAGTATTTTCCCACAGTTTCTACATACATTCTTGCCTTTAACAATGTAGTTTAACATCCTGACCCATACAATAATATAAATATGCTTTTGAAATTGAAACACGAATACCAGAATATATTCACTTACACTTCACATTCTTCCAAAAATAACTTGAGGAAGGATATCATAAATATTCCCAATTACCTTAATAGTTGGAAGCATAGAACATTTACAGAGAACTGAGAATTTAAAGTGAACTAAATATCTGAGTAAATTAGCTCAGAGAAGAGGCTCCAAGTGTTCAAATATTGATTTTCACTGCAAAGAAATACTGTTCCTTGCCTCACAAAATTAATGAAGCTCTGTGTTAATTAATCACTACGCCTCTATAATAAGAGGCTGCCAATCAGCCTGTCAGATTGTTTACTGCTGAAATCCTAGCCTAACATTCATCTAATGATCTAAGTTAAATTTAACCCATGTCTCAGGACCTCAAACATAATTTCAAATCACAACACTGATCATAGCTTTAGAATCCCATATGTGCATCTTTGCTTTTCCATTACAGTAGCCAAGACCCAGGATCATGTTGAGCCTCCTGGTCCAAGGCTGAAACTTAGCTGAACCTTCCTAGGCTATGAAAATCTAGCTAATATACAGAAAGTCTATGCATATTTCTTTTCAGTCTCATAGAGTAATATGCTTGATAAAGAATTTCTTTTCTGCTATTAACTAGAAAATTACTAAACTATTTGATACATTTATAACTAAATCTTTAAAATTTGGGACGAATATACCATCAACTAGAAATAAATTAGAAATAATGGTTTCACTTACAGTGCTGAGTTTATATTTTTATTCAAAACTTAAGACTTTTGGCCTATTACCCTTTTGTGATTTTTCTTCTTTTTTACAGTGTTACAGACATACCTTGGAGATATTGTGGGTTCAGTTCCAGATCACCACAATAAAGTGAGTATTGCAATAAAGCAAGTCACACAGATTTTTTGGTTTCCCAGTGCATATAAAAGTTATGTTTAAACTATACTGTAGTCTATTAAGTGTGTAATAACAATGTACATATCTTCATTTAAAAATACTTTACGGCTAAATGTGCTATTGATAATCTTAGCCTTCAGAATCATAGTTTTTTTTGCTTGTGGCGGGTCTTGCCTCAATGTTGATGGCTGCTGCCTCATCAGGGTGGTGGTTGCTGAAGATTGGGATGGCTGTGACAAAATTTATTAAAATGAGACAAAAATGAAGTATGCCACATTGATTGACTCTTCCTTTTATGAGAGATTTCTCCGTAGGATGTGATGCTGTTTGATAGCATTTTATCCACAGTAGAAATTCTTTCAAAATTGAAGTCTATCCTACTGTTTTATCAAGTAAATTTATGTAATCTCCTAAATCCTCTGTTGCCACTTCAACAATGTTCACAGCATCTTCCCCAGCAGATTCAATCTCAAGGAACCACTTTCTTTGCTCATCCATAAGAAACAACTCCTCGTCCATTAAAGTTTTATCATGAGATTGCAGCAATTCAGTAACATCTTCACACTCCACTTCTAATTCTAGTTATCTTGCAATTTCTACAACATCTACAGTTACTTCCTCCACTGAAATCTTGAACCCTTCCAAGTCTTCCATAAGAGTTAGAATCAACTTGTAAATGTTGATATTTTGACCTCCTCCCATGAATCACAAATGTTCTTAAATGGCATCTAGAATGGTGACTCCTTTGCAACAGGTCTTCAACTGACTTTGCCCAGATCCATTAGAGGACTCACTGTCTATGGCAGCTATAGCCTTATGAAATATATTTCTTAAATAATAAGACTTGAAAGTCGAAATTACTCCTTGATCCATGAGCTGCAGAATGGATGTTGCATTTGTATGCATGAAAATACATTAATCTTGTACATCTTTATCAGAGCTCTTGGGTGACTAGATACATTGTCAATAAGCAGTAATATTTTGAAAGGAATCTTTCTTTCTGAGCAGTAGTTCTCAACAGTGGGCTTAAAATATTTAGTAAACCATGGTGTGAACATGTGTGCTGTGATCCAGGCTTTGTTGTTTCATTTATAGAGCACAGGAAAAGTAGATTTAGCGTAATTGTCAAGAGCCCTAGGATTTTCAGAATAGTAAATGAGCATCAGCGTCAACTTAAAGTCACAAGTTGCTTTAGCCCCTAACAAGAGAGTCAGCCTGTCCTTTGAAGCTCTGAATCCAGGCATTGACTTGTCCTCTCTAGCTATGAAAGTCCTAGAGAGCATCTTCTTCCTACGTAAGGCTGTCTTGTCTACATTACATTGAAAATCTGTTGTTTCACGTAGCCACCTTCATCAGTCATCTTAGCTAGATCTTCTGGGTAACTTACGCAGCTTCTACATCAGCACTTGCTGTTTCACTCTGCACTTTTATGTTATAGAGATGACTTCTTTTCTTAAACCTCATACATCCAAACTCTGCTAGCTTCAAACTTTTTTTGGGCACCTTCCTCACCTCTCTCAGCCTTCATAGAATTAAAGGTTAGGGCCTTGATCTGTATTAGGCTTTGGCTTAAGAGAATGTTGTGGCTGGTTTGAACTTCTATCCAGATCACTAAAACTCTTCATATCATCAATAAGGCTGTTTCACTTTCTTATCGTTCATGTGTTCACTAGAGTAGCACTTTAAATTTCCTTCAAGAACTTTTCTTTTGCATTCCTAATTCGGCTAACCATTGGTGCAAGAGGCTGAGCTTTCAGCCTATCTTGGCTATTGACATGGCTTCCTCACTAAACTTTGGCTTTAAATGGGAGACCTGCAACTCTTCTTTTCACTTGCACACTTGAAGGCCATGGTAGGGTTATTAATTGGCCTATTTTCAATATTGTTGTGTCTCAAAGAATAGAGAAGCTAGAACAGTCAAGACACACAACATTTATCACTTAAGGTCACTGTCTTCTATAGATGTGATTCATTGAACCCAAAACAATTGTAATAGTAACACCAAATGTGACTGATCACAGATCACCATAACAGATACAGTAATGAAAAAGTTTGAAATATGGTGAGAATTATCAAAATATGACACAGAGACACAAAGTGAGCACGTACTGTTGGAAAAATCGTGCCTATAGACTTGCTCGACACAGGGTTGCCACAAGCTTCAATTTGTACAAAACACAGTAACTACGAGATACAATAAAGCAAAGCACAAGAAAACGAGGCACACCTGCACTTATATCAAGCCACTTTCCTTGAAAATGAAGGCTATAGGATTTAAGAAAGCAATCCTAAGGAAATGTTATTCTCTATGGCACTTAATGATTTTAGAAGTATATTAAACAATTTCTTAAAGGGTCTTTTCCAACTTTGTGTTTGGTAAACTTTTGTGTGATGGAAAAACGTGTCCAAAGCGAAGATTCAATGGACTCACACATTTCAATCATTTACCTTACATTGGATGGCCAACAGGCTCTCTGTAAGTGGTGTGTTATTTTTGTCAATGGGGTTTCCATTCAGATGGTTTCCCGGGAGCAATGACACAGGAGTGGGGAGGGTAAAGGCAGGGCTAAGGGTTCAGGAAAAGGAAAAATCACACAGTACAGCTAGCCTGGGAACTAGTCCATCTGTGGTCAAAGAACAGCCAGGGGCTCCTACCAGGTGACTAATCTATGGTCAGCCCATGTCTTCAAGTTTAGGGTCAGGCTATTGTTTCAAGCAGCATTGTTGAATAAGGCAGCCAGGATCCACCTGGGACAGGTGAGCTGCTCTAACCCTCAGAAAGGCTGACTTGGATTTTGCCACATGGCAGCAGCCATTTTCCAAGAGAACAATCCCCAATGCAAAGCATTTTTAATTTGTTTTTATTTTTGTTTAGTGCTGTTGTTGTTGCTTTGTTTTATTTATTTTTTAAATTGGCAAGTAAAACTTGTATGTATTTATTGTGTATAATATGTTTTGAAATACTGTAGATATACATTGTGGAATGGCTAAATTGAGCTAATTACCGTATGCATTACCTCACATACTTATCTTTTTTTTTTTTTTTTTTTTTTTTTTTTTTTTTGCAGTGAGGGCACTTAAATCTACTCTCTCATCAATTTTCAAGAACACAATACTTTACTATCAACTACCATCACCATGTTGTACTATAGTTCTCTTGAACTTACTCCTCTTATCTGGCTGAAATTTTGTATCCCCTTCAAGCCTCTGCTTCTGTAACATTTACCAATGTCTCATTGGACAAAGCAAACCACATGGCCAAGCCCAGAGTCAATGCAGGGGGCGGCCACACAAAGACATGGATACCAGGAGGCATAAAACTGTCAGATTTTACCATCATAATTTACCACAGTTAGCCATGTCAGGTAATGTACTGACTAGAGAGCAGGATATAAGCAGGGGAATAGTAGGAAATACTACATGAAAAGTAAATCACCATTATATTTTGGGAGGCTTGAAACTCCATGGTGAGAAATATACATTTAATTTGTCAGGTTCATAAGGAACCACTGAATGTTTGCAGTAGAAAAGTTCAATATGTGTAGGCCAGGTTAGTTGTTTTTTGTTTGTTTGTTTGTTTTGTAGTTTTTGAGACAGGCTGTTGCTCTGTCACCCAGGCTGGAGTGCAGTGGTGTGATCTCAGCTCACTGCAACCACCACCTCCCAGGTTCAAGTGATTTTCCTGCCTCAGCCTCCCGAGTAGCTGGGACTACAGGCATGTGCCACCACGCCCAGCTAAATTTTGCATTTTCATTACAGACAGGGTTTCACCATATTGGCCAGGCTGGTCAACTCCTGACCTCAAGTGATACGCCCGCCTCAGCCTCCCAAAGTGCTGCTGGAATTACAGGCGTAAGCCACCGTGCCCAGCCTAAGCATCTTGATTTTAAATAAACACACCTAAAAGAGCATAGTCTAAAGTGTCCAGCTTCAGTTCTTTTCAAGAAAAGTGAGGACATAAACATACTTGGGAGGAAATCTAAGTACAGGACACTTCTAGATTTTCATTGATTTTTCGAATCCATTGTTTTCTTACCATTTCCTATTTGGGGAGCAAAATCTTTTTTAGCAATTTATCCTTGGGTCCTTTTCAAAGCATTCAACTTATTTTTCATAAAAACAATTATTCTTTTTTGTCCTACTTCATCAGTTCACAAGATATTCAAGTAAATTATAAAACTAAAATGTAGAGTAGAACTGGTACACATCAGTTTGGGGAAAGCATGTAATTGATGGTTAATAAACACACAACCCAGTCATGTGAGAAGAGGATCTGGGGTTCCAGAGAGTTAGCGTACTAGCTGTGGGATCCAGAGGCAGTGAGCATCACTCACAGATGTTATCAATGGCATCCATGCCATGGACACTAGAGATTAATTTCAGAGAGCCAGTTAAATGGGAATCAGATGAAGAGTTTCTTTTGTAGATTTTGTGCTAGCTTGAAGGATAGCAGGATGGTAACAAATTGGTAGTGCTGTGAAACATGTTTACTGGCTATTTGAAAGATCATTAATTAGCAATATTAAACCATATGGGGTTTTGTTTAGGTTTTTGGTTGTTGTTGTTTTACATGTACAAGTCATTTATTTAGTAAACTTAAATTCCAGTGTGTACTCTAGGTAAACTTTCTTCTTTTATTTCAAATTTCCTGTAGCCTTCTTTTCCATCATTACCACATGTGTTACAATGTTTATTTATTGTCTGTTTTCTATTAGAATCTAGGAGCAGTTGTGGGGTCAGAGACTATGCCTATTTGGATCACTATTGAATTTCTAAGGCCCACATCAGAGAGTCAATAAATATTTGTTTAATGAACAATTATATACAGTATTTTGTCCTTTCTAGGGCCAAGTTTCCAGTTATTGGCAACTATAATAGTTCTAAACCATCTGTTTACTAACAGTGTGCTTTCTGCAAAACAAACAGATAAAACCCCATTATATAACATTTACAGATATTTATGTCTTATCACAAGGTGATTTTCAATATAATTGGAAGGGTATGCTGAGACAATCCTCCTCAATAATCTGTGTTGTAATCAATATGCCTCCTTTCCTACTATGGAGCCCCCTACCACTAAGAACAACAGACATTTAAATGTTGCTTTAAAATATGACTTTGAAAATGCTAATTTTATAATAAGCCTGAGGTTAATTTCCAGGCAGTAGCTGGATCATTAATGACAGTTTTAATTAAAAAGTAAAAGCTTAACATGTGTAGTGATCAGTAATATATCATTATTTTACTATAGACAGTAAGAATTCATAAGAAATGCCTATAGACAGAACTTGTTCTGGAACTTTATTTGTTAATATCAACTATTTACCCTTTTATTTTATGCTTTTAATAAATATAAATGAACAATAAAATGTATCATGGCATTCTCAAAGACCTCTCAATCATGTACCAAAATATTTATTATATAAGATAACATAACATTTTATCATACAAATCTCTCATGTGTCTTTATAGCGGTTTTATTATCTAACTGTGCTCCACATAACAATCCCCTCTTCAGGCTGGAGTTCTTCAATCCTAATTCACATCACTGGGAACCTTTTCTTACCACCTCTCTTCCTCGTCCACAAATTCTTATATTTTTACTCCTTGCTGTCACATAACAGTTGCATCCCAAAGCCTCCTTTTATGTCAGAGTCATCCATTTATTCTTCCTTCATTCCTTATCTACATTTCTCCAAAAAAACACACTTTAAAGGAATAGCAAGGAAAGTAAAGTATATGTTCATTTTAGAGAGATTACTTTGAATTTTCTGAAAAATCCCAGCCTGGTAGAACACAAGGTTTGTGTCCCATGTGCGGTTGCTGGCATTTTTGGTTTTGGGGTCTGCATCGAGACTTTGATTTAAGAACATAAAATGCATAAGAAAAAAAAAATTTTATCCTTTCTTTCCCCAAGTCGTTAATATGATGCCAAATGACCAGGTCATGCAATGAGATTTTTTTTGAATCGTGACAAACATCTAAATCCTTCATCCTTTGTCAGGTAATCAATGTGTTAAAACATTTAAAAATCAAATAGGAGCATAAGAATAAAAAACAGAGAAATCCTCAAGTGTGATATTTAACATCATATTGTTCGTATGATACAAGGATAACCATTCAAACAATGTGAATAACAAATATGTTATTTTTAAAACAAGAGCCCACTAACTGGAGCTTTTTTTTTTTTTAGTTGAAATAATGACTGTAGCGAATCTGGTTTTGTTTATGATAAAATTGTTAAGTATCAGATAAGGTGAATGTGGTTTTTCAGGATCCCTGTTAGAAATTTAGACAGTGCGGACAGTAAATATGACAACATGTTGCCACCTAGTGGACATTTCATAAAACGTCTAGACATCCAGGTTCCTGAAACAGTGTACGTATTTAGGATCCTGGAGTAGGGCTGAGGGGATCTTCTTAGATATTGTCTGTAGGGCTGTCTTGTTTCACACGATTAGTCTTGGCTCTAGATGTATCAAAATTTTAACTGTAAACTCAAGGACTGAAATCAGAATGTAAAATGCCTAACGTTTATTGAGCATCTATTTTGTACTAAGCTGTGTGCTAAAAGCTTTAGCTGGATTATCTCATATGAGCCTCACAGCAACCCTGTTACTACATAACCACCCGCCCTTCCTGCAGATTAAGAAACCAAGGCAGGGGCCGATTAAGTGACTCACCCAAAGTCACTGGGCCCCAAGCTGTGGAACTGAGGCATGAATGGACTACCTGCCTTCGGAGCCCAGGTCCTCGTCGGAGCAGAAACCTTCCTCAGTTTATCACAGGCAAAACATTGGGACTGGACTTCACTGTATTAAATATGGCACGTTGGGGGTGGGGGGTGATATTAAGTTCTTTACTGAATGCGTATGATCCTCGGAAGTGGCTCTAGGCTTCCAAGAAAGAAAACAAGAGGGCCAGTGTGTCCTCTCTGCTAGACTGAAGACAGCAGACACTCTTGTGGGGGGGATCTGGGCAGCTCACTCCTTTACTCCTGCCTGACAAAGCATTGCCCATTTCCAGACTCGAACTTCAGTGGTCACTGTTTAAAGGATAAAACACTGTGATCTGGGAGGGCAACCCAGAAGCTGTGAATATTTGATCTAATTAACCTATTTCTGCCTGTCATTTCTGAGAAGGACCAGCACCTCTTGATGCAGTAATAGAAAGAGTTGTACTAAGAACTAGTAAATAAAAGAATTGTCCACAAAATTGGAGCTGGAATTTGCACATGGAATGAAGAAAAGAGAGATTGTACTTTCCTCCAGTGCTCCGCCACCCATATGCCCAAGCTTGAATTCGTAGTTATATTACAATGAATATTTCAGTCATTTAAAAGCTCCTTACCCTCTCCATAAGCCAACCATTCTGCCCATACAGGCTCCTAAAGATGCCAAAAGGGCATTTTTAAAAGTCTCTGGGCCCTCTGATGCTAGCACGATTCCAGGATCATGGTATTTATTCAATAAATGATTGTTGGATGACTAAAATGCAACTCGGGATATCTAAAGTTAAATCCCTAAATATACAATTTAATGGTATGCTGGGCTTCACAAGTCCATTTTTGCTTAGCATTTGAAATGATGTAGGTGATGCTTTCCAAGATTTTGTGATATTGACTGGTAATTTATATCACCAAACAAAATTCGCAATTTGGAAATAAATAACTGGGTCTATCCTGATGAGGAATAATTACACTATATATACAAAATTTTAGGTTAATAAAATGGAAATGTAATTTAAAGGAGAAATGAAAACAAACAGACGTTAAGAGTCACCAACCTTCTTGGAAATCAGAAATCTGTGAATCTCCGGATATGCTTATATTCTTTGAAAAGAAGAGTCTAGTTTTTCCACTGAATCCACAAAGCTAGATTCTAGTATTCCTTAATA
This sequence comes from Homo sapiens, assembly GCF_000001405.40. Lineage (NCBI taxonomy): Eukaryota > Metazoa > Chordata > Mammalia > Primates > Hominidae > Homo > Homo sapiens. The sequence continues at coordinate 54,984,833 of NC_000018.10, forward strand.
CAGGAAATCTCTGTTTGAATATCTAGCAGATTGCTCAACCTTAACATGTTTGAATTGGAACTCCTATTCTTTCTGCCATGTTCTCTTCCTCCCAGTTTTCCCACCTCAGGGAAGGACAACTCCCTGCTTCTAGTTCTCAGGCCCAAAGCCTTGAAGTCATTTTGACTTCTCTCATGCACCACATCCCACCCATCAGCAAATTATTTTGGCTCTTCCTTTAATGTATACCAAGAACCCACCCTTTCTCACAGCACTGTGGTTGGGCCATCCCGTGTCACCTGGATTCCTGCAGTGGCCTCCACACCATCCCACCCCCAGCAGCCCATCCTAGGAAGAGGCATGACCTTGTAGTTTTGACGTAGATACTTTTAAGAATGTGACTCAGCTATCAGAGTGTGGCGGCTTTCATGCTCAAAGCCCTCCAAGGGCTCCCATTTTTTCTCCAAGGACGAAGTACCCATAATGGCCTTCATGGCTTTAGACAGTTTTGACCCCGCTACCTCTCTGACTTTTCTTATTACTCTTCCACGCCTGTCCCCACCTTGTTCTTGGTCCACACTGGCCTGTGCATTTCTTTAGACAGGAGGCAAGATCCCATGTCAAAGCCTTTACTCAAGCAGCTTCCCTTTCTGCCTCTCTTCCTCGCACCTCCACAGAAATTTCTCACCTCTAAGCCTTTCTTTAAATGTCATCTTTAAATTGTAACTGTCCCCCAACCTCCCCTGAGGCACTCCCCATGCCCCTTACTCTAGTTATTTTTCACTTTCCAATAGCATGTGTGATCTTTCAGCATATTATATGATTTACTTAGAATGCTTATTGACCATTATCTCTCTCCTTCTACTGTAAGCTTTCAGAATAGAGGAAGTTTTTTTGTGTTTTGTTCACTGATATAGTTCTAATACCCAAAAGAGTGTCAGACACACAGTAGTCACTAAATAAATATTTTTGCATGAATGAATAGATCAGTCCAGCCATTCAAGACATTTTAATAGATACAAATGGCATCATATCTCAAATAGGAATTACACTACTTTTAATTGTGCTGATTTTCTTATTTCCCCCAAGTTACCTAAAAATATAGTGTAACTGGCATGCCCACTTTAATAAAACATGCCATGTGCGCTTCATTTTACTTCTGACTAATCATTTGAGTCTTAAAAAGAATTTCCTGGCCAGGCTCGTGGCTCACGCTTATAATCCCAGTACTTTGGGAGGCTGAGGTGAGTGGATCACGAGGTCAGGAGATCAAGACCATCCTGGCCAACATGGTGAAACCCCATTTCTACTAAAAATACAAAAAGTACCTGGATGTGGTGGTGCATGCCTATAGTCCCAGCTACTCAGGAGGCTGAGGCAGGAGAATTCCTTGAACCTGGGAGGTGGAGGTTGCAGTGAGCCGAGATTGCGCCACTGCACTCTAGTCTGGGTGACAGAGTGAGACTCCATCTCAAAAAAAAAAAAAAAAAAAAAATCAAAGGACTTGAGGCTCATAGTCTTCTTGCAGCCAGCCCATGACTTATATATACATCACCCTTTTGTGGTATGTTTGTCCTTCACAAGCATCCAACAGAGACATCCTCTCCTCTCCTGTCTCCTCAGATTTCTCTTTAAATAACTTCATTTCCTTTGAAACCTGCCCTGATCCCACAGTTTAAATTCATTTCAATTCAATAAAGAGAGTTAAGAAAGGCCTGTGTCATAAAGAGTATGATTTACTCTTATGTTGAGCCACAAAACTGATACAAACTTGTAAACTAAAGGCCTGGCTCTTAAGAATTTATGATACAGTTGGACCAGCATGCATGAGCCCACAGTAAACAGGACAAGATAGAGTGGATTTGGAGCTAAATCCAATGGTGTAGACACGGAGCGCTAGGGAGGAAAAGTACAGCGATTAAGGAGACACAGTTCCTGCCCTGAAAATTAGCCACTGCCCCAGTGGATTTTGGAATTGCAGTGCTAGTAAATCACGTTTAAGTCTAAGCTAAAAACACCATTCCTCCATGAGGCCTTGAGTTGTTTCTCCAGCCTCAGATACAACTGTGCCCTGAATTCTTAGAACACTCAGAATCTGTACCACATAATTGAACATGTAATTGTATTTTTTCTAGTAATGCTTGCTGGTTTTTTTTTTTTTTTTTTTTCAGGATGGCTAGTCTTCTACTTCAACCAGATTGCAAACCCACTAAGGCCTGGGAACATATATGTCTGCATAGAATTGAATGAGACCTTTGAGATCATTCTGTATAATCGTTTTATTTCTACAGCTGGGGAAATTGAAGACCAACAAGTTGTGAGTTGTCCAAGCTCATACTACTAATTAGTATTCAGAAAACTCCTTAAAATTCTGCTTGTTTTTGTCTTCCCTTGATTGGTGAAGAAAAGAGGGAGTGACACTTTTCTCAGGGACTTTGTTACACTGTAGTTTGTCTAGGATTTCCTCACCTTGAGGAGTAGGAGTAGTAAGAGGCATGATCTTGTAGTTTTGGTATAGATATTTTTGAGAATGTGAGTCACTTATCACTCTGTGCTGGCCAGGAAGACTTCAATGTGGAAATTCTGGGACTCTGAACATTGATTTAAATTCTCTCCACCAATACAGGATAAGGCATTAGAATCAAGAGTTTTTCTCCAAGTGGGAACTCCAAGTGGAGTTTTTCTCCAAGGCCGATGAGATAAGCCCTGGTCATAAGTGAGAAAAAGCAGTTCAGATCTGAGCTGGGTTGGCCAGACCAGAGAGAGAAATGGGAGCATTATAAGAGGCTGAGCCTGGCTCTGGAGGTGAGAGTGTTGGGCTTTCTCTTTAGACACCCAAATGAGAGATGCCTTCTTTCCAGCTGGGAGCCTTGAATGGCCTAAGGTGGCTTGCCATCACTGGTCACATCCATTCTTGAGCTGCAGATATCTGAGCCTTGAGAGTCATCAGCCCTGATAGCAAAAGTAGGAAAAAGTCCAGCTAGATCATTGCACATTTGCCATCTTCTCCACTAGTGCCAGAAAATTGCTCATTTTAATCTTTTTTACTCAAGAAAAAAATATCAATATATTTTGATAAAGGTAGTTGGGTTAAACAGGATTTCAATAGTCCTTCTTTAACCTCCAATCTGTTTAGAAACCATTCTTGAGCAGCAATACTTCTTTGCCTGAAACTGAACTGCCCATTCCATTGGTTTTCTCGCCAAAAAGTTGAAGAAGAATCTATAAAAACTGAGAGTTTTTAATTGCTATTATTTTAATAGCTTTAGGGAGGTATCGTTAACATACAGCCAACTGCAAATATTTAAAGTATACAACTTGATTTGGTAAGTTTGGACATATGAATCCACCTCTGAAACACCAAAGCTTCCTTGTATTAATACCTCTTTGAAATGTCTTTCTACCATTCCTGCCCCGTGGTCTCTAGGCAACCACAGATTTGCTTTCTCTCACTCTAGATTAGTTCACATGTTCTAGAATTTTACATCAGTGGAATCCTACAATATAAATCTTTTTTGCTTGGCTTCTTTCACTCAGCATAATCATTTTAAAATTTATTTGTGTTCATCAGGTAATTCATTTTTTTGTTGCTACAAAATAGTATGTCATTGAATGGATATACCAGAATTGGTTTATCCATTCACCTGTGTTTTAACCAAATTTTAGATCAATTTGTCTATCTTTATGTCAATACTACCCTTTTTGATTACTTATGTTTTACAATAAATCTTGAAAGCAGGTAGCATTAGTCCTCCAAATTTGCTCTTCTTTTCCAAAATTATTTTGGGTATTCTACGTCCTTTGTATTTCCATACAGATTTCAAAATCAACTTATCAATTTCTACTAAAAAAAAACTATTGAGATTTTGATTGAGATTGAATTAAATCTATAGATGCAACTGGAAGAGACTGATGCCTTAACGTTATCAAGTCTTCCAAGCGAGGAACACAATGTATCTTTTCACTTATTTGCCTTATTTAATTTCTCATAGTAATGTTATGATAATGTTATTTGAATTTCAATTTCTGATTGTTCATTGCTAGTATATCCAAATATAATTAACTTTTACGTTGATTTTTGTATCCTGCCACCTTACAAAGCTCACTAGTTTTAGGCTGGGCATGGTGGCTCACGCCTGTAATCCCAGCACTTTGGGAGGCTGAGGCAGGTGGATCATGAGGTCAGGAGATTGAGACCATCCTGGCTAACATGGTGAAACCCCATCTCTACTAAAAATACAAAAATCAGCCTGGCATGGTGGTGGGCGCCTGTAGTCCCAGCTACTCGGGAGGCTGAGGCAGGAGAATGGCATGAACCCAGGAGGCGGAGCTTGCAGTGAGCTGAGATCGCGCCACTGCACTCCAGCCTGGGTGACAGAGCGAGACTCCGGAGGGAAAAAAAAAAAAGCTCACTAGTTTTAATTTCTTTTGTTTTGTAAATTCCTTAAGATTTTTCTACAAAGATAACCATATGTCTCCAAACAAGGACAGTGTTGTTTCTATCTTTCAAGCGGAATGTCTTTTATTTCTTTTTCTTATTGTATTGTGCTGGCTAGAACCTCCAGTACAATATTGAATTAAAGTGCTGAAAATGGACATCCTCGTCTCTTTCTTGATCTTAGAAGGAAAGCATCTAGTCTTTCATCATTAAATACAACATGAGCATTTCTGTAGATGCCTTTAACTGGTTTGAGGGAGTTTGCTCCTAACCCACGTCCTGTGAATTATGAGGGTTTTTTTTCAGTCTAGCTGATGGGAACAGGCTTTATTCCTGACTCTGTGAGAGCTCTGGATACTGATTTTTGAAAAACCTACAGTCCTTTATTGAGTTGAGGAAGTTCTCTTCTATTCCTGAATTGTTGAGAGTTGTTTGTTTGTTTGTTTGTTTGTTTGAGACGGAGTCTTGCTCTGTCGCCCAGGCTGGAGTGCAGCGGCTGGATCTCACCTCACTGCAAGCTCTGCCTCCCGGGTTCACACCATTCTCCTGCCTCAGCCTCCCTAGTAGCTGGGAATACAGGCACCCGCCACCACGTCCAGCTAATTTTTTTTTGTATTTTTAGTGGAGACAGGGTTTCACTGTGTTAGCCAGGATGGTCTTGATCTCCTGACCTCGTGATCCACCCGCCTCAGCCTCCCAAAGTGCTGGGATTACAGGCGTGAGCCACCACGCCGGCCGAATTGTTGAGAGTTTTTAACATGAATTAATTTTGTCTGATGCTTTTTCTACATCCCTTGATATTATCATGTGGTTTTCCTTATTTAATGTGATAATATGGTAGATTACATTGATTTTTGATGTATTGTTTAAAAATCTGTTCTTTCTATAAAAATCTTTTTGCAACAAGACAAAAAGAATGGGATGGGGTGCCATTGTAGGAAAAGGTTCTGAAGCCTCATTCAACCTCAGCAGGCAGCAGTTGAGAATTGACAAGAAATGCCTGACCTAGGGGTAGGAGGGGGAGTGGCTGCCCATACACCTGCAGCTGCCATCTCATCCCTCAGTGGTGATGTATTCAACAAAGTAAGTGATGTTTTCACCCACTGCCTTGCAGACAGCTTGTAGTCACTTCTGCTTATGAAATTTCCACAGTCTGGGTGTGGTGGTTCATGCCTGTAATCCCAACACTTTGGGAGGCCAAGGTGGGAGGATCACTTGAGCCCATAAGTTGGAAACCAATCTGAGTAATACAGGGAGATTCTGTCTCCACAATTTTTTGTTGTTGTTGTTTTGAGACGGAGTCTCGTTCTGTCGCCCAGGCTGGAGTGCAGCGGCATGATCTCGGTTCACTGCAACCTCCACCTCCTGGGTTCAGGCAATTCTCCTGCCTCAGCCTTCTTAGTAGCTGGGATTAAAGGTGCCACCACCATGCCCAGCTAATTTTTGTATTTTTAGTAGAAACAGGGTTTCACCATGTTGGCCAGGCTGGTCTTGAACTCCTGACCTCAAGTGATTCACCTGCCTCGGCCTCCCAAAGTGCTGGGGTTACAGGCATGAGCCACTGTGCCTGGCCCACAAATAATTTTTAAAAATTTGCTGGGAGTGGTGGTGTGTGCCCCTGGTCTCAGGTACTCAGGAGGCTGAAGTGAGAGGATTGCCTGAGCCCAGGAATTTGAGGCTACAGTGAGCTGTGATTGCATGACAACACTCCAGCCTGGGCAACGGATCAGACAAAGGAAAGAAAGAAAGAAGGAAAGACATAAGGAAAGAGCCAGAGAGAGGGAGAGAGAGAGGAAGGAAGGAAGGAAGGAAGGAAGAAAGGAAGGGAGGGAGGGAGGGAAAGAAAGAAAAGAAGGAAGGAAGGAAGGAAGGAAGGAAGGAAGGAAGGAAGGAGAGGGAGGGAGGGAGGAAGGAGAAGGAAAGAAAGAAAAAGAAAGAAAAAGAAAGAAATTCCCACAAATGCAATGATGATCTACAAGAGTAGCATCTGAGCCCCTCATGTTGTGTAGCTTACATTTTATTTCATTTTCATAAGTTAATAAAGATGTTTACTTTCTTCTCATTTGAAAAAAAATAACTGTTATATAAACAGCAGGCCTGTGGATATATTTAAGACTAGAACTTCCCCTGACATTTCTTCCGGATAAACTTGTCCTTTGGTCCTCAATTGGGTATCTCTGGGGTGTGAATGATCTGGAGAAATGTCTTTCTTTTTGAAGTTGTAAAGCATAAATGAGAAATTGGCAGTAGGGATTATTTATGCCTATGCTGCCCCTTCCAAACTAATCCCACATGCCAATCTTTATGTCTCTAGTAGAGAAGCCACTGAATGGGGAGAGATGTGTTCATGGTATCTGCAACTAGAATTCAGAAAGAACTTCTTCATATCACTAGGAGCTACATGCCACATAAAATATTGTTTAAAGTGTTTAAAATATTGCTTAAAGTGTTTTGTATGGATGCATTAAGGTTCAAATTTTTTAATTTTGTTTTTCTTAGAATCTACCCTTAAACATAAAGCTTGCTTCAAATGACCAAGAGAAGAATTCATAGAACTTGACCCATTTGTAAGTTGGAGACAGTTGGAATATTATACTAATACATAATGCTAAAGCATATATGTTCTATGTATATTTAACAATATGTGAAGACATTTGAGATGACAATGAATAAAACCTTAGGTTTCTTGTGCAGAAAAAATGAAAATTGTAGAGGGAAAAAAATCCCAGACTGCTACTGAGCTGTCTGAGACAGCTAAACTTGAAATTGATTCTGGCAAGGCCATTACGGGGGTAATTGTCCAAGAGAATGTTTTCTTAGACAGGAAATTAGAGACAGGGAAAACATTATTAAAACTAAAAATTTGTAGATTTTTGAGTCTGCCAGAATGTGTAGCAGCTATTGTATCCCCTTATGGGATTAACGATTAAATTGAATTTCAGTTAGACTCTGAATTTGAGCTGAATTCCAAGTTAAAGAATCTTCAAGGAGAGAGAAAACAGGCAGAGAGATTCAATATGTTGTTGGATACAGTGAAACCCGCCCCCCACACCCTTGCTGGAAAATCACATGTTCTAAGACGTTACCAAAAAAAAAAAAAAAAAAGGAAAGTGAGGGGTTTTATTGCTTATATTAAGTGAACCATCAAAATGTTTTGATTGGTGCTTTTGAAAAATCTGGCCATATTTCTGCACCAAATTCACCATATGTATGTGATTCCAGAAGTTAGACATGACATGATATGAAAAATATCTGTCACTAAATCTTACAATTAAACTCTAGCAAAATTTAGAATTGATTAATTCAGGAGGGTGGGTGGGTATGAATATGTGTGTTGTGTATGTATTATGTGAGTGTATTTATATGGACAGGGAATGGCATGGCAGGACTTAAAATGTTAACTTGAAAAGAAAACTTCTTGAATATATGAATTACAGTGATTACTCATTTTAATCCATATTATTAAGTAATCAAGTAACTTTTTATTTGGCCTATATACATATAGTTCTTTGGATTTTCATTTTAAAATTCAACTTTATTAACATCACAGCTTCTTCCTCTCTGCATTGATATAAAACAATGACTGTACTATGTCATGTAGATAGGCATTTTTGGATAAGACATGATCTACATTTATTAACAACTCGTTTATTTAACATTATAAGTTCTGCATAGTGAATTTTCCAGATAACCAGAATTAAACACATGAAGTTTTTATTTTAACCATTTTAGTGGAAAGGGCTCAACTTTTCTCATTTTGTAAGGAAACCATTCTTACGGGGAATCCAAGTGAGTATTAGATAATTATGAGAAGGAAATCCTGATAGCCAGTCAGCAGGAATTAGAATATAATGTACAATTTAAATGATGTACAATAAAGTGATACTTTTGCATGACATTTAAAGATATGAAAAATGGTCACTCTATCATGCTGAATGGAAAAAGAAGTATGTAAAGCTGTAATCTGTATTATCTCAATAATAATCCTCATGTAGAGTATGCACACATGTAGAGTATGCACAAGAAAATATAAAACATCAAATTAGTAACAGTAGTTCTCTTTGGATGGGGACTTAGAAATGATTATTAAATTTTTTTCCTCAGGCCAGGTGCAGTGGCTCACGCCTGTAATCCCAGCACTTTGGGAGGCTGAGGTGGACAGATCGCTTGAGGTCAAGAATTCGAGACCAGCCTGGCCAACATGATGAAACCCCGTCTCTACTAATAATATAAGAATTAGCCAGGCGTGGCGGTGTGCGCCTGTAATCCCAGCTACTTGGGAGGCTGAGGGAGGTGAATTGCTTGAACCCAGGAAGCAGAGGTTGCAGTGAGCTGAGATCATGCCACTGACTCCAGCCTGGGTGACAGAGTGAGACTCCATCTCAAAAAAACAAAAAAACAAAAAAACAAAAAAACAAAAAAAAATCCTCAACCTTTCCTTCAGATTTTCTACAATAAACATTTTTTTAAATAATCAGAGTTTTTTCCCAAAGGTTGTTGGTTTTTAAGTTATATGATATATAGCCTGTTTATCCCCTATATAATAGTACCTATGCATATTAAGCAATTAATAAATGTTCCTATATGAATAATAGGTGCTCAGAGAACATTCATTCATTTTGACTTTGCAGAAAAATATCTCCTCAAAATTTCTGAGGGCATTTTTATAAACAAGCTGTCCTTGGACTATTTCACTCAAGAGAAAGCTTCCTTTTAGAGACTCAGATTGTTCTTACAGATGCACTCATTTACCACAAGAGGCAAAGGGGTTCACTAGGAGGTTAAATACAGATACCTGATCCTTCATCTGTATCTACATTCTACAAAGCAAAGTAAGGACATACTGTTTATAGTTCTCAGTCAGAGTAAACCCTTGAGGATGGGCTACTCCAGCCCAAAATGTCTGCCAAAAGCTAGAAATTGCCTGACTTGCTGCCTACATTAATCATGTGAATGGGAAACCATACAATTAGTTCAGTGCTGCATGGAATAAACTAAGTTCTCAACAAACATCTAGGTCTTCCCTTCAGTTCTCTGTGGATCATCGAAAGGCAGCAAGAAAAAGAAATGGAGAGTTACCTTGGCTAAAATGCTTTATAGTGGTTTCCAAGGTAGTGATATTTAATTTTTTTAAAAATTTTTTATTTTATTTTTCCATAAGTTATTGAGGTACACTATAAAATGCTTTATAGTGGTTTCCAAGGTAGTGATATTTAATTTTTTTAATATTTTTTATTTTATTTTTCCGTAAGTTATTGAGGTACAGGTGGTATTTGGTTACATGAGTAAATTCTTTAGTAGTGATTTGTGAGATTTTGGTGCACCCATCACCTGAGCAGTACACACTGCACTATATTTGTAGTCTTAGATCCCTCAGCCCCCTTCCACTCTTCCCCCCAAGTCTCCAAAGTCCGTTGTATCATTCGAATGCCTTTGCATCCTCATAGCTTAGCTCCCACATATCAGTGAGAACATACAATGTTTGATTTTCCATTCCTGAGTTACTTCACTTAGAATAATAGTCTCCAATCTCATCTCCATTAAATGCTGTTAATTCATTCCTTTTTATGGCTGAGTAGTATTCCATTTTGTGTATGTATATATATATATATACACACATACATACATACATACATACATATACACACCACAGTTTCTTTATCCACTTGTTGATTGGTGGGCATTGGGTTGGTTCCATGATTTTGCAATTGTGAATCGTGCTGCTATAAACATGCCTGTGCAAGTATCTTATTCGAATAATGACTTCTTTTTCTCTGAGTAGATACCCAGTTGTGGGATTGCTGGATCAAATGGTAGTTCTACTTTTAGTTCTTTAAGGAATCTCCACACTGTTTTCCATAGCAGTGGTACTAGCTTACATTCCCACCATCAGTGTAGAGTGTTCCCTGTTCACCGCGTCCACGCCAACATCTACTGTCTTCTGATTTTTTGATTATGGCCATTCTTGCAGGAGTAAGGTGGTATCACATTGTGGTTTTGATTTGCATTTCCTTGATCATTAGTGATGTTGAGAATTTAGAAAAAAAAAATATCAAAAAGTGGGCTAAGGACATGAATAGACAATCCTCAAAAGAAGATATACAAATGGGCAACAAACATATGAAAAAGTGACATTTAATCTTTAAGATCATTGTGGACTGGGTGATCCACAACAGCAGTGTTTTCACTTCTTTGGCCAGAGCTAATTAGAACAAACTCAAAGGGCCATTTGACCAGGGTGCCATTCGACTTGTAGGCACCACACCTGAAGTCATGTATTGCAGTGTGTGGAGGCAGAACTGAATAGTAGTTTGTGGGCTGGGCTGTGGATGTGGGCCACATGGATTCCTTTTAACTGGCATTCTTGAGCATGACACTTAAAGTCTCTGTGCTTTAGTTTCCTCATCTGTAAAATATGACTAGTATTAGAAACTACCTCCCAAGGCTTTTGAGCTGATTAAATGAGATAATTTATGCATGATGCTTAACACAGTTCCAATGACATTTAAGTGTTCAGAAAATGTTATCTTTTCCTTATGATTATAAATAAACATAATAGTACATGTAAATATTATAAATTCTTAATGTGCCAAAAGGATGACGGGATTATAGCAAATCTGTCCTGGCAGGTGATAGTCAAGAACACGGATCAGCAAACTGTAGCCCTCAGGCCAGATCCATTCTGCTGCTTCTTTTTGCAAATAAAATGTTATGGAAACATAGCTTCACCCATTCATTTGCATATTCTCTACAGCTGCTTTTGTGCTATAATGGAAGAATTGAGTAGTTGCAACAGAGACTACATGGCAAGCAAAGCCTAAAATCTTTTTTTTTTTTTTGAGATGGTGTCTTGCTCTGTTGCCCAGGGTGGAGTGCAGTGGCGCGATTTCTGCTCACTGCAAGCTCCGCCTCTCGGGTTCACGCCATTCTCCCGCCTCAGCCTCCCGAGTAGCTGGGACTACAGGTGCCCGCCACAATGCCCGGCTAATTTTTTGTATTTTTAGTAGAGATGGGGTTTCACTGTGTTAGCCAGGATGGTCTCGATCTCCTGACCTCGTGATCCGCCCGTCTCGGCCTCCCAAAGTGCTGGGATTACAGGCGTGAGCCATCGGGCCTGGCCTAAAATCTTTACTATCTAGGCCTCAACAGAAAATATTTGTCATCCTCTTGTCTAGACCATAAAGAGAATACAGTGAACCAGGGGAGAATATATAGGAGCTGAAGAAAATGCAATACTTAGGGAAACACTAACGGAGTCGACTGTCTGAGAAATTACACTGATTCAGTGATTAGCAAGCAAAAAAAGTAGTAGTAACCATTATAGAAGCAAGTGATTACATAAACAGAATATCAAGGAATAAACAGCAGTTAGCCTATTTGAGGCCAAGGGGAGGGATACCATTGATGAGAAAGGGAGATAATAAGGAAGGGCAAATACATATAAAGGTTTATATTACCAACTAAGGAAAACAAGGAATGCCATCTTCATCCTGTATAGGTCCATGTTCCAAGGCAATGATAAAACACAGAAATTAATCAGTGGTGCTGTATACAATTTGGAAAACGTATATGGGTGCACACATCAAGAATGTTGGGGCTAACTATAAGATGACTAAGGCAGAAATAATAGAACCTAGAGAAATCAGCAAAATCTAGTTTTCTGCTAAGCTAAAAGTAGATGACAACCTCTTGGGAAATATACAAAGATACAGAAGAACACTTAGTCTACCCAAAGATAATCATGGGATGATGTTCTCTACTGGGTTACATAGTCTTTGGGAATTTCAAGACCGCAGCACCTTCCCAAGACAAAAAGCCCTACAAAACATTAAGGCAGAAATACTTTAGTGGGGAAGAAATTGTGACTTTATGGGATAAAGTTGCCAAAGCTACAAAACTTCTCATCATTTTTTCTTGCATAGATTTGGCCAGCAATGTATAAAGACACAAAATGCCAACATCTGAATAAGCATACATAGTTTCTTTGAGTCTATAAGGTTCAAGTCTGTAAACCACATCAGTTGTAATTAATGTAAACTCTCCATTCTCAAATGTAGCATAACTTCTCTCATGCCTCACCTGCTGAAAACAGAAGGGTCAGGCAACTGAGTGACCTGAAGGTCCATCCAGAACTTCTGAGATTTCCTGAGTCCTCTTTCAACCAATCACATAGGACAAGCTTAAAATGAGGCAAAGCACAGCGATGCACATTTAGATGCAAAGACTGCTTCTGTAGAACCTGAATTTCCCACAGAATGTCCAGCATTTCCCTTCACTTGGGCTATGTAGACTATTTCCCCATCAATCTTTGGTAAAAGACTAAGTAGTGCAGGGAGCAGCTTTCACGTTAAACTAAACTAATGGAATCAAAACAGACCTATTACTAGCTGCTATCTACAGGGAAGAAAATTCTTACCATGTACTATGTTCCAATTTTGGAACCAATAGATACCTGCTGAGACATTAAGTTCATTAGATTTATTCTTCACTAACATTCTGAATTGTACGATTTCTTCACTGATGCTCCTTTCATGGTTCCATCATCATTACAAGGCTCTTGGGAGACAGACTTGGGAGCAGTATATGGAAGCTCTGCTCTGTCACACATATGGTTGGATACATCAAAAGCAGTGAAGGATGCAAGGTTGAAATTAACTCAGTTTAGCTAAAACATCATTTCTGTTGGACTCAGAGCAAGATGCACGAACTAAGGGTTTCGGAAGCATTTTGTTGCTTTTCTTCAACGTTGGGGGGAATAATAACGATGCACCTAGTAATTATTGAACTCTGAATATTTTAATGGTTCCCCAAAATGTTGGTTTAAACCTGTAAGTAGTTATAAATGGGGAAACAAAGACTGGAAGGAAGACAATTTATTAAAATGTTAAGATATGCTTTATTTGGGTGGTGAGAATACAGATTTTTCTTCTCTATTTTCTGTATTTCCAAGTTTTCTAATAAGTATTTGTATTCTTATATGGTGGAGAAAATATATAATGAATTTTATTACATTTGTTTATCTAATATCTTCTAGCATATTTGGAGGAAAAAAAAAGAAAGAGAAAATTAGCTTATTTCCTGATGTGACAGATGGATGTCTGGGAACTACATTTTTAAAATGATTTTAATAAATGAGAGTAGGCAAAATAATAACATTTTTCTGGCATTTAAGCTTAATATAAATGAGTAAAAAGGCACAGTCCTACTACCTTAATGAAATACTTCTGCCAAAAAATCATTCATTTTTATTTGTCATATGAATAACTCAGTGTGATTCCCCAACTCCCATCATTGGTTCTACTTGTTTCCTTTCTGCCGCTTTACCTTTCCCTTTTTCTTTCTCCCCATCTCCAGCTTTATTGTACAGATAAAACAACAGTCACCATTATTCAAATACATATAATAAAGACGTTTGTCTTTTGAAGTAGCAGACTTAACATTTCATGTTTATTTTCCATCTTGCTTCCCACCCATAAATTAGGTTTGTGTGAATTGCTCTATATTGATCATTAAAATGAGGTAGATATTATTCTAATTCGAGAAATAGGTAGTAACTAGGATATATTTGCAATTAATGAAAATTTTTTGATATGTCTACGCTACAAGTCAACATTTAAAAACACGTTTCTCAGCACATATACACTAAAATGTGTATTTTAGGCCATTATAAGTACTATAAGTACAAAAATTGCCGTGTCTAAAACAATTTGTACTTTTGCATTTGCAATTTCCTTGGTCTATTATAAACAACTGCACATTTTATAGAGCACATTTAAATGCATTATTTCCATTCTTAAAAATGTACTCTTTTTAAAAAGAGCATTAAAAGAAATGTTAATGTGGCCATTTTACTAATTTCACGCGGGCAAAGGGTGAATCAGTTGAAGCTTGGGAAATCAAATAAAATATTCTAACTCTGTTGACAAGATATGTGATCTTGTACTTAGGCAGTATAGCAGTCAATCAATCAGACTGAGGCTGACACTGCATAGGATAAATATTACCAGACAAAAAAGACCATCGACAGTGTATAGTCCCGTAGGCTTCCAAGCCAGAGAGATCTGGCTGTCATGTCCAGCTCTACCATTCATTCGTGTGACCTGGGGGGTGTTTCTTATTTGTACTGAGACTTACTTTCTTCATCAGTCACTGTGTGTGAAAAAAACAGTACCCATCTCATAGGCCTTCTGTAAATGAAACAATGCACATGAAACATTTCATGTAATGAGAAGTCTGCAGTAATGCTCAACCAAGGGTGTTTGCCACAGTTTTGTTTCTGTTGTCCTCATCCGCCTGCGACCCAGTCATTTAGCCTACAATGCAGAGTCCAGCTCTTCCTGGACCCCGTTCTAGTGGCTAATCCACAATGCCCATTCACCTGATTTTCTTGAGGCATCTCCAGTCCAGCAACAGGCATTAATCCAGACCCTACTCTGTGTGCAGTGTCATGACAGGCAGACTCCTTGGAGAAAATAAATAGACTGGGGTGCAAAATAAACATAATATTGTTTTTAAAACCTAACAGTCTTAATGCTAAAATTCTTCCAGCACACACAGGGCTCCTGACTCCCGCCCCTGTACTTCTTACCTTGCCTACAAATTCCCAGTTTGGTGTCTTATAAATAGTAGAACTTGATCACATTATTATGACGTGGATTTAACCTAAGCCCCAACGGGCTCCTTTCCTCCTTCAAACTTAGCACCTCCTGAGCCATGTGACTAATCCTATACTTACTTAGCAGGGTGAACAGAAGCAGCCAATATGCCAGACACACAGAGGCCCGGCCTCAAGCAGATCCCTCCATGGAGTTGCTCTGGCCTGTGCTCTGCCACAAGGCTGCTGCCCTGTCTGGGAGCCATCTCTGATGGGAACCAGACAATTTTCATGTACCTGAGTCCATTCTCCAATAACCCGCCCAGGACTTTTTTTTTTTTTTTTTTTTTTTTTGATAGAGTCTCACTCTGTTACCCAGGCTCAACCGTGATCTCGGCTCAACACAAACTCTGCCTCCTGGGTTTAAGTGATTCTCCTGCCTCAGCCTTCCGAGTAGCTGGGATTACAGGCGCCCACCACCAGTCCTGGCTAATTTTTGTATTTTTGATAGAGACAGGGTTTCACCATGTTCGTTGGCCAGGCTGGTCTCGAACTCCTGACCTCAAGTGATCCACTCACCTTGGCCTCCCAAAGTGCTGGGATTAGAGGCGTGAGCCACCGCGCCCATCCTAGGGCTCCTTCTAAGGATGGGATGGTGGTTTATTCTAGCCAGTAATCCAGGAATGAAGGCCTCCTCTGAGTCCTCTGAGTCCCGCTTTCTAGAGGCACTTACTTTTTAAACTCCCTCACCCTGGCCAGGGGCCCACATACCTGGATTTCTCTGATTCCTGGGATGGCTGAGACGCTCTGGCTGACTCTTGGCTGTCACTCCCTCCAGATCACTCTGTTCTTTGGAGACCAAATTGCCCTCAAAGGATGCAAATTGCCCTCACTGGTCTCTCCAGTCACCATGCTCCCCATCCACAAGTAGTGTGCCTGCTTCCTACATGCCAGCATCACTTAGCTGGCCTCTTCTCAGTAGCCACAGGCTTCTTAGCTCCTTCTCTGACATGGAAGATCTGAGAATGTGGCTGCAGTTACGGTGTTGGAGCCCAGAGGTGTCGCAGTCGAGAAACAACTAGAAGTCTTATGGCTTTCATTGTAAAGGCTTCAAAGTATATGGATTTTTTCCCCTCCATTAATTTAGTTCTGAATCTGTAAATGCCATCTGGGATTCTTTAAAAGTTTTCTCAACCAGTGTTTGTTGTTTGAGAAATACTATGACTTGCCTCATTGTGGGCTGTTGAGAGAATTGATGCTCTGTTCTTTGTTCCACTGCACGCCACCTGAGAGGCACTTGTCTGTTTACTAATGCACGGAGAGCAGTATTTTTAAAGGATGAGAGGATTGGGAAAGTAGCCTTGAAACAGACCCAAATGAAACAGAAAAAGGATAATATTAGGGCTGCTAGAGATGGAGGATCCTGGAAAATATGCTTCTTCAATACAAATCATATATGTGTGTGGATGTAGATTATATATGTGTATATATATATATATACACACACACACACACACACACACACACACACACATATATGCCAAGATTTGTAAGTAAGCCATCTCTACCTTCCCATAAGAAAGAGAGCTGGAGCCTCAGCAGGGGTAAATGAGCTTCCTGCAGGTTTAAGAAGCTGTTCCCTGATCCAAACCGGAGTGCTTGAACAGTTCCGATAATGAAATGAAATGAATTTTCAACTGCTATAGAAATGCTGCTCAGCCGACCCAGACAGGCATCTCCATTGGTGCTCACACAGAAAATGAGTTTATCACAGATGTTCCATCTCTTAAAAGTCTTCCTCCCATTTTATTTTAAGCAACTCGCTCTCTGAATTGGTCCTTCACAAGGTTATCCACATCTGAGCAGCAGAAAGAGCACCTGACCTGCCTCATACCTTTCCTGAGAGCAAAAGCAGCAAATGCATTGTTCAACCTGGCCATCCTGGTGGAGGGATATTTTTGGAGTGAGGTTAGCCAAGCACACGTGAGTGAGCACCAGCCCAGCAGCCCACCTGTGTACACAAACACACACACTCCCAGGTCCAAATTATGTTAGGAATTTCCTGATGAGAAAAATTTATTTACTTATGTATTCACATGTGTAGGTCTTTCCAAGTTACTGAGATTTGAACACGTAAGAAAATTACATTTCAATGAGTAAAAATGACCATAAGAAAGCTAAACATCAGACTGATAAAAATATTTGCAATAAGTGACAGACAAAGGTTTATTATTATTCTTTTTTTACAGAAAGGGATCTTACCAACCCTAAGAAACAAGTAAAATCTTTCATTCCCCTCCTCCAGCTTAAAACTGCATAAAGGGCAGAACCAGCTAATTCACAAAAGAGAATATATAATTGCTCAATAAGTGCATGAAAACAATTCAAATATCTAGTAGTCACAGGAAGATTTTTTTACAATTTGAAATGGCACCAATTTTTATTTGTTTAAATATTTAATGCTTGTAGGTTTAAGAGTGTTAAGTGACAGGTATGATGGGTCATGACTGTGATCCCAGCACTCTGGGAGGCTGACGCAGGAGAATCTCTTGGGCCCAGGAGTTCAAGACCAGCCTTAGCAACATAGTGAGATTGCATCTCTACTAAAAATTTAAAAAATTAGCCAGGTGTAATGGCGCACACCTGTGATCCCAGCTGCTCTGGAGGCTGAGGTGGGAGGATCACTTGAGCCCAGGAAATCAAGGCTACAGTGAGCAGTGATTACGCCACTGCACTCCAGCCTCAGTGACAAAATGAGACCCTGTCTCAAAAAACAAACAAACAAAAAAGAATGATAAGTATTCTTTAACACTTCAAGTGAAAGTATAAATTGGTTTTATTGTTTTAGAAGTCAATTTAGTTTACATGTCGATTGATCTGATTTGTGAAAACAATTTTAAAATATAATAAAATATTTGTTTCAGTATGTTAATAATTCTAGGCTGTAAAAACAACATATTTACCAATAAAATATATGATTTTATATAAATATAAAATATATAATATTAACAAATGCATTTGTAAGAAAAAGACTAGAAAACAATAGATTATTAGTGGTTATTAAAAAGAATGATAAACTTTTAAGTGACTTTCATTATTTCTTTATTGCTTCTCTTTATTTTTTATTTATTTATTTATTTTTTGAGATGGGGTCTCACTCTGTCGCCCAGGCTGGAGTACAGTGGCATGATCTTGGCTCACTGCAGCCTCTGCCTCCTGGGTTCAAGCAATTCTCCCACCTCAGCCTCCCGAGTAGCTGGAATTACAGGGGCATGCCACCACGCACAGCTAGTTTTTGCAGTTTTAGTAGAGACGGGGTTTCACTATGTTGGCCAGGCTGCTCTCGAACTCCTGACCTCAGGTGATCCACCCGCCTCAGCCTCCCAAAGTGCTGGGATTACAGGTGTGCATCACCGCGCCAGGCCTATTTTCTACATTTTAAAAAATGATCACTATTTTGTTTATATCAGAGAAAAAATGTAAAACATTGTATGTATGTTTTTAAAAATACACGTACATACCTTAGTTTTCTTGCTGAGAAGTTTTAATATCTAGGTCTTTGAATAGTTTTCTCACCCCACCTTTATTTGAACAGTGGATATGCATGAAGGACTTCCAGGCCACTGAAAGTTGTCTGCGCATATGAGGTGTGGAGAGAGAGAGTCACATCTGACTTATCGGCCACATGGCTCTGTAATTATATATAATGTTATTGGTCACATAGCTCTGTAATTATATATAATGTTGCAAATCCTAGTTTTCCATTTTCTCTGACTGTATGCTTTTGTTTAAAAAGAAATCACCAGCACATCTCATTATACAGGATGCCATCAGTGTACTTTTTTAGGAAGTGGACTGAATTTGAAACATTGCTTTTATTTTAGTTTTGCAGCTCTGAGTTTGGTAATGTCCTGGGCACGGGCTGTATTTCACTGCAGAGTCCACGTGTAGTCCAAGTGGGGTTGTTGCCTATGCCTAATG
Organism: Homo sapiens; assembly: GCF_000001405.40. Lineage (NCBI taxonomy): Eukaryota > Metazoa > Chordata > Mammalia > Primates > Hominidae > Homo > Homo sapiens. The sequence goes on from NC_000018.10 coordinate 55,003,825, forward strand.
TTACAGTACTCTGCAGTTTACAGTGCATTGCATAACTCCAAGATTGAAGAGTGCATCTGGTCCAGATGATGTGGACGTGGCATGATACATACCAACGAATGCAGAAAGCTCCCATGTGGATGCGGATGGACTCAGAGAGAGCCTGCTGTGTTTCCAGAAGGTCTGATATGATCTTTACTCACCCAGACTTTATCACCCACACAGGCTGGATTTCCAGCTATCAAGCAGAATGAAGGTTTGAATTATTGTGATTTTGGTGCTAGAAAGAAATTTAGCTTCATGGATTATGAAATTCTGTAATATACTTGCCATATATGTAAAAGTGTTTGACATAAAGTCTGGCTCAAATTAAGGAACCCAAAAATGGTAATGCCAAGAGTAGACTTCGGAGGTTATAGGAATGGATTCAAACATTAGTTTATCAAATTCCGCGCTCTTAACTTTTGTGGTATAGCGGGTTTTTGGTTATAATAACACTAAGAATTGATGGATATGTAATTCATCATTTTAGGTATTTAGGGCTCATATTCTTTATGAAATGACTTCTTTGCAAAGATGCCTGCAAGAATAAAGGAGGATGGAAAGAAAGCTGCAAAAATGACTTTCCATTGGCTCCCCAGTGGACAAGATAAAAGTGGGAGAAGCACAGAGACGTATCTCAAAGGCAGGAAGAGGCTGGCTTAAAACAGCCGTGGATTAATGTGAGAAGGCCCAGGCCCCTTAGTATTTCTGCAAATCAGACCCAATACTCAGGTACCAACCATCTTTGAAAAGTTAAGTAATTCCCAGTAGCCTCATTTGTACCTTATTATAAATTGCAACGATCAAAACAGTCTCTGCCTGTTAGTCCACGGACTGAGAAGTCCACGGACTTTAACAGAAGTGTTAAAGAGAGGCAGAGTTTGAAAAGATGGACACTAGACGTGAGTGAGAGGGAGTTTGACCAGCCTGAGGCTCTGGAAGCCAATGACAGGTAGTAGAGGGATTCAGAAACCAGAGAAAAAGGCCATAATGACCACAGCTAACAGAACACCTCTGGCCATGTATCGATTACATGGATTTTCCAAGTTTATTAGTTTCACAGAGAATTACGGGCTAATGGGTCTACCCTTTCAAAACTCAGACGCCCCAGCTTCACTCTCAGGGTCTTTCCTTGCACTTTTGCAAATACAAAGCAAGTTCACTCACTACTGAATTAAAGCGATACGTACATTTAATAGAAAATATCATCAACATGTGTATTTTAAACGTGTGCTTTTAATCATATGTAAATTGTATCTCAATAAATAAAATATAAGAAAAAGCCAGCTTTTGAAATTTAAAGTTGAATTTTTCTAAGGCTTTGAAAGCTTGGCTTGGGTAAAGTAAATGATTCTTTTCCTTTAATTCCACCAGCTCACATTCACCTAACCAGAAGAAGGCCTGGCGATGTAGTGCAGGTGAAATTTTACTGAAAGCAATGGGGTAGAGGGTTCTGAATGGGGGACTTGGGGTACTGGATAAGGGAGAAACACTACATAGGTTCATGGAAAGTCTGAAAGCAGGGAATCCTGAGAAGAGACTTTCAAAGTAGGTTTGAAGGATTTCACGTCAGTTGCCAAGGCAGGTGGTTAGACAGATAAGCCTGAGTGTTCTTGGCTCCTTAGGGACTAAAAATGGAAACTGCTTGTGAGAAATCCAGAAAGTTCTCTGTGCTTAATGGAGGGAGGACTTGGAAAAACTTTCAAAGATAGTGGACAAGCTGAAGTCTGGGTCAGCAAAAGGAGGCCTTTATGTACTGGGATTTGACAATTAGAAGCAAAAGGCAAGGATCAGAATCTAGAGCAATGGGTGGCATCATGATGTTTCAAGAAACCAGATGAAAGCAGGGTACTCCAATAGGCAACCTCCAGGATGCAAGCCAAAGTGTCACCAGCAGAGACATGTGAACATCTACAGACACTGACCCAATATGGGAAGGTTGAAAAAGCTAAATGGCCAACCATTTGCTCAAAAGACGCCAAAGCATCCAATGAAGACGGCCTGAGCATAAAAATTCTGAGATAAACATTTAATTGCAAATATAAAGTCAATTTTTTTCTTGCTACTGAGAAAGGTAGGGATTTATTTAGGGTTATTTAGGGATTTATTTAGGATTATTAAATTAGTTATATAAATGATAGAATATACCTCTTCACACATTTGAATTACACTGAATATAAGTTTTTAAACGGCTTTATTGAGATCTAATTTACCTACCGTATTACCATATAGTTCACCCATTTAAAGTGCATCCTTCAATGGTTTGTGGTACATTTGCAGAGTTGTACAACTATTACCATAATCTAATTTTAGACTTTTATATTATCCCCAAAAGAAAACTCATGCACATTGAATGTAAAATTTTGATCACACTTGATAATTTAAAAACTTTTGGATGAAATTTTAAAAGTAGGTTGGGAGAGGAAATTTTATTAAAATGATCCAAGGGCACTGGATCTCAGGAATGGACTAGACCTAGGAACAGGAAGTCCACCCTATTTCTCTCTGTGTCCCTACTTCTCTCAAGTGTCTGCTCTATTCTGTATTCTCTGCCAGAGACCAAATTTCTAGTGTTTTTCAGAGTCACCCACAACAGCTTGGGAGGCCTCATAAATATTGCAGTTCCAGCGATCCTCAGACTCTAGAATTCCAAAAGCTTGGGGCAGCTAGCCACTTCCATACCACCAAGTGGTAGCTTGGGATGAAGACCCATATGTGGCTCAAACGTGATATTTAAACATCCAATCCCATGGACCATCAACAAATTACAGGCAAGCTGTGTTGCAGATACTATGGAATGATTCAATAATCACACTTTCTCAATTCCCATTCTCACCTCTATCAAGTATGATGATTGATAATTCTACTATGCAGATTAGAATTCTACAAACTTGCTCTCAGCTTCCCTTGCAGTGAATTGTAGCTTCCTGATTCCAGACAAGAAAATACCTGCAAAAATCATTGGGGAAAAAAATTAATTGGCAAAAAATAAAGAGCAATGTGATATCTATAATTGCAACAGCCATCTGTGACCATGAGATGAGAGCAATGAGGACAAAGGCTAGTGTAAAGGATGGCAAAGCAGAAATATGGAGTAACCTGGGTCTCTGATGGTATTTGGTTTGCCCTGGACTTCATAAGATAAAAAAATCTCTTTGTGTTTCTGCTGTTAGGCTTTCTGTTCTTGTAGGCAAACCCATGCCAACCAATGAACAAGGAAATCATCATCTGAACATATACCCCAAATGGTATTTACTATATTCTTGCCGCTCCTTTCCACCTTTATTCATTGATCTCTTCATTCACAAGTATCTGTTAATGACCACTATATGATGGAGACTCTTGCAGGTGCTGAAGATATGGTGATGAACTAGATAAAGTTCCTGAGCTCCTAGTGATGAGATCTACCTAGTGGAAACTCAGGTTCTGCAATAGCCTCTTCCAGATGAGCCTCCTCTTAATTCGAGACGCACCTCCAGGTGAAATCTACTGATTCACAACATAAAGGGAAACTTAACTAGGGTTTCTCTTTTGGGTGTTTGTCCCCTTTCATCAACCAACTGGTAAGCTTCTCAAGATAAGAGACTATGATTTGTGCTTCTTTTATGCCTCAGTTTTTGGCACTTGGAAGTTTTATAATAAAGTCTTCTTGGTTGACTAATATTTTGGCCAAAGTGAAGAAATTGTAAATTTTGCCCCAAATACCTTTCCAGCAGCACCTGCCTTACTTTCACCTACCGTGTATCCTTCAAGGGGGTCAGAAACATGGATAAGGTCCCTTGCATTTTTAGCCATTTGCCGCTGTCTCTCTGGTTTATATATCCTATAAAAGTTGGATTTATTTACATTGTTCTTGGTTGGAATTCAGTTTGTACAGCCTTTCCTTTTGGAAGATTCCTGCAAATTTCCTCATACTTACTGCCATTCCTTAAGCTATGTTTCAGCACAGAGCTTTCTTTGTTCACAAGAATTCTGAGTGTCTTGCTGCAGCAGCTGCACATAACCTATACAGGAATGTGTCCATCGCTTTTTTGTGAAGGGGGATACATGTGTGGTTTCCGAACCCCTATGCCTCAATGAAAGGGTAGTAAAAAAAGTTTATGTCGATGAGAAGATTTTTGTTCCCTAATGCCAAAACAGCAGCAAGTCTGAACCAGAAATAACATGTGTATGAAGAGGAATGCACTTGCTTTGAGCAGCCAAAGTGTGGCAGCTCAGTCTATGAAAGCAACCTACTATTCAACATTGATTGACTATTAGCATATTATAATTTAACCTCATATTGCAAAGATTCTTCATGTAAATGGTTGGGAAAAAATCTGTAGGCAATTATTGTTAATAACAAGCAATTTACAGCATCCGGGGATCATAAAACCTGTTACAAATTAGTATGCAGTATCATTCAAAACACACCATCATGAAGGGGAAGAACAGAGAGGTTAAGGGGTTTCACAAAGACTCCACAGCCAATCACAGGGAACAATGCGATGACCAGAGGCTGGGGGTCAATGGAACTCATACTAGAAGCACCCAAATTCCAACACCAGAGCAATCCCATGACACTGCCGTCCTCCGCTCTCTTACATTCCCACATCACCCACTCATCAGATTCTTCTCTGTGGTCCATTAACCTTCAAAGAGTTGAGCAAAGACAGTCAAAGGCATCACAATAGATGTATGGAAACAGTGGGACTTGAACACCTGCATACAAGTAATGAACAACAAAAACAAAAAAACCTGACAAAAACCAATTAGTCCCTAAGTAACAGATTATTTTAATCAGTATATAAGCAAGTAGATGTTGTCCACTGGGTACAAATGATTCTTCATTCTTCTCTCTTATTCTCTCTGTCAATAGATCTCTTCTGTAATTAGTCCCAAGTTAGAGAAACATAGTCAAAATAAAAATCAAGAGTACCTTTAAGTCCACAGAAACAAAGGAAAGATGTTCCTGTAGCTTTTTGGAGACATATGAAAAACTCCTGCATGACATACATTTGTGGAGAATGTATGACAGCCGTAGGGCCTGAGGTATCATTTGTGGGGGACTTAGGGTGACAGTCTTTTTTTTTTTTTTTTTTTTTGAGATGGAGTCTCACTCTGTTGCCCAGGTTGGACTGCAGTGGCATAATATGAGCTCACTGCATCCCCTGCCGCCCAGGTTCAAGCGATTCTCCTGCCTCAACCTCCCAAGTAGCTGGGATTACAGGTGCCTGCCACCACGCCCGGCTAATTTTTGTAGTTTTTAGTAGAGATGGAGTTTCACCATCTTGGCCAGGCTGGTCTTGAACTCCTGAACTTGTGATCCACCCACCTCGGCCTCCCAAAGTGTTGGGATTACAGGCATGAGCCACTGCACCCAGCCAGCCAATAGTCTTAAGGTCAATAAGACTGGCAATTATATAGAAGTGGATGCTGTGTATAATCCTTATTTGAGGAAGAGAGCAAAAATAGCTCTGAGTTCTTCCTTTCATTTTGCACAAAGAGAAATTATTCATTGGATTTATTTGCCATTAAGAGGCATCTTTGAATTGTGGGAGGTGTAACACCTTTCTTGAAAGAGTGCTCCCATATCTCCTGCCAGTTAAGCTTGTTAGTTGAATATGTAGCTCTGCTACGTGTAGCTTTGAGATCCTCTTATATAAAAGACACCTAATCTTCCTGCTTGTCCTCACGCCAATTCCTTTTGCCATGAAACTACTAGTATAACCTAAATCAAAAGAAAATCTTTTGAACCCACAGATACAGCAGATGAGACTGTTCTCAAGCCCACAGTCCTCTAGGGAGCTTTTTTTTTTTTTTTTTTTTTTGACTACTCAGTCCAGTCAATATAATCCAACGTAGTTCAATAAAACTCTATGCCAGGATTTAAGGGCTAGCAAAGGAAACAGAAATAATCTCGCCCTCCAGAAGCTTGCAACATTCTTTTCCTCTCAAAATCCACTGTCCAAAATGTCTGTACTATGCGTATGTTATTAGATATACATGGTCTTTATTTTTATTTAGCTTTTCAAGGGAGGCTATCTTGAGACTCTGTGCAGACAATTCTTCAAGGTCAGTAAATTTGCCATTTGTGTTCTCCAAAGCACCCAGCATAGTTCAAGGCCTATGGTAATCATAATTTAAGGCTACTCTACAAACATTTTTAGTCAATCAATCAATCAATAAGAGTATTCATTGCATCTTTATAGGAAGTATTATATCAGGTTCCCGATCCTGCACTCATCTGAGGGGTTTCTATCTAAAGGATCAAATAGGACATCCACAAGAGATCAAAGTTTTGTAACCATATGCCAGAGATTGGAAATTACCACTGTATTATAGATTTGGGATTATCTTGGAATTTTATGGCATTTCCTACCCATCTTTCTTCTCACTAAAGTTATCTGCAAAAATCCTTGGGGAAGGAGAAATTGGCATCTTAAGTTTAATTGCATACCTAGAGTCAAACAATAAGCAGGAGCAAGATATTTGGTCACATCACTATTGATATATAAAGAGCTTGATCGGCACCTTCTGTTTCAAAAATGTTGAAATTTACCACTATGAGGAAAAAGGATAAATACAAGTTTCTATATCACAGGATGTCTCAGAGCCTTTACCTGGCTATAGTACACCATAACTTTCCATGAGAAACATGTCTGTAATATTTCCTAAATATACTTGAAAATGGGACTCATATTTTCAAAATACCTTGTATGACTGGTGTTCCACAAAACATAAATTGGACTAATCTATGAGGTTTACAATACACGAGATCCGTCCTTCAATGACTGTACAAAATGCAACTCCACTTCTTTGTCAATCTGAACAACTTTAGAAAATGTGTGTAAGTAGAAATTTGCAATAACTTTCACCTCTACATTGAAAACAAAAAAACTCTTTACTCTTTTTACAGGCTGATATGTGACTTTTCTCCAAACACCCTTCAAAACCATCTCTCTGATCTGATTCTACACAGTAGTGTATGCCCAGCAGGCTTTCTTGCATCTGTGTTTCCAGAGAAGCCATGGTAGCCTATATGTACAGTTCTTTTAGATGATAATTAAGGATTAATTGGATTAATTAGAAAACATTTTTAGGACCAGCCACAGTGGCTCACACCTGTAATCCTAGCAATTTGAGAGGCCAAGGCAAGAGGATTACTTGAGCCCAGGAGTTAGAGACTAGCCTGGGCAATGTGGTGAGACCACATTATATGGTTAGGCTTTTTGTCCCCACCTAAATCTCATCCTGAATTGTAATCCTCATAATCCGCACATGTCAAGGGAGAGACTAGGTGGAGGTAATTGAATCACAGGGGCAGTTTCCTCCACGCTGTTCTCGTTTCGTGATAGTGAGTGAATTCTCACGAGATCTGATGGTTTCCCTCTTTCTTCAGCACTTCTGCTTCCTGCCGCCTTTTGAAGAAAGTGCCTTGCTTCTCCTTCACCTTCCACCATGTGTATTTCCTGAGGCCAACCCAGCCATGCTGAACTGTGAGTCAATTAAACCTCTTTCTTTTATAAATTACCCAGTCTCGGAAAGTTCTTTATAGCAATACGAAAACGGACTAATATACCTTGTCTCTACAAAAATAAAAAAAACTTAGCCAGTTGTGGTGGTGCACACCAGTGGTCACAGATACTCAGGAGGCTGAGACAGGAGGATCATTTGAGCTTGGGAAGTCAAGACTGCAGTGAGCCGTGATTACACCACTGCATTCCAGAGATAGAGGGAGACAGTGCCTCAAAAAAGAAAAAAAGAAAGAAAGAAAGAAAAGAAAACATTTTAAGACACCAAGATCTAGACCTTGTATATCATGCTCAAACATGGTATATTTCAGGGTAAATGATAACAGCAAATAGAGATAAAATCCTGATGGCCTCACTAATGAGAGTTCCTTGATTTCATGTTTTGTGTTACTTTTGTAACCACCTTGCTCTTCATCATGTCCAAGTCTGTTTTTGTTGAAGAATTAACATCAAAGCAAAATATGTGACAAGGTTCTTACTTTTAACAACTTTCTTAATTAAACTCATCAAGTTCCTTCTTTTCCTCAAGTTGAAAATTTATGTCCTCACCCAAAGGTACCATATGCCCCTGAGTTTTAGGATGCTCAAACCATATACCCTGCTGCTTATTGTTTTAAAAACTAAACACATTCACACCCGAAATAACTACAAAGCCTGTCTCCAAGCCACACACCAATCAGACAATGCCTGTTTGAATTCACCACTAATTGATTGCATGCACTAGACACATGGAAAAAAGTACGTTGCTGCAGTGTTTCCTAATGACTTCCAGAACTGAACTCTTCAGAACGTCGTGAATCACAGCAAGCATGTGTCTAGGTTGCAATTGGGAGATTGTTTAATTATTTACTTTTAATATAGGCTCTTTGCAAAGGAATGTTTTCTGAGATCTTTGTTACTCAAAGTGCTGCCCTAAGACCAGCAGCATCAGCGTTCTGCGGAGCTGTGGTAGAAATGCTAAACTAAACTCCACCCAAACCTCGTGAGTCACAATTGCCAGTTCGGCAAGGAGCTCAGGTGATTCTTATTCACATTAAAGTTGAAGAAGCCCTGAAACCTGGGAGACTTTTGGTCAAATTTCCCTTTCTAGGCTTGAAGCCCATTCACATTTATTGTACAGTAAATGATTTTTTTCCTTTCCTACAAACATAAAAATATATTGTTAACAAATCATGGTATTGTATTAATAATACAAGGAATATGAGAGATTTTCCCATGATGAATATTGGATGTTGCAACAAGCAGAGAATGTAATGATTGCAAAGTTCCCTTAGGAAATCTTTCTTATTTAACAGTGTGCTTGTTTACTTCAATGTGGCCACTAAGTTGTAGAGGTGTCTGTTGACCTCACGTCATGCAAAGTCATGAGTCAATGATTGGCTTTCATAGAAGTCAATCATTTATGTTTCAGAGAGGTAATAAAAAAAAGGCCTAAACAGGCCGGGCGTGGTGGCTCACGCCTGTAATCCTAGCACTTTGGGAGGCCAAGGAGGGCGGATCACGAGGTCAGGAGATCGAGACCATCCTGGCTAACACGGTGAAACCCCATCTCTACTGAACGTACAAAAAATTAGCCGGGCGTGGTGGCGGGCGCCTGTAGTCCCAGCTACTCAGGAGGCTGAGGCAGGAGAATGGCATGAGCCCAGGAGGCGGAGCTTGCAGTGAGCCAAGATTGTGCCACTGCACTCCAGCCTGGGCAACGGTGCAAGACTCCGTCTCAAAAAAAAAAAAATGGCCTAAACAAAACCCCCACATTTTAAACAGCTTCCATTGTATCTGCCTCCCTGTAAAATAGCTTGAATTTGGGGGAAAAGATTATTTTAAGTCAGGGGCTGAACCGATGTGGGTAATACCTAAGTGATGTTTAACACTCTGAAGATCGAGAATGACAGCATTGTAGAATAATGTACTGATCTCCATCTTTGGTGTGATAGTTCTGCTTTACTGTTTATATTTGTAAGTCCTGGAATTTGGCCTAGACTAGAAGAGTCATCCACTGATTGGATAACACAAAAAGCTGAAAGGAACAAGGTGTAATGCTCAAGAAAAGCCTTCGATTGTTAACAACTTCAGATTTTGTTCAGTTTTTTTTAATCCCCTTCAAATTAGTCACCTGAAGAGGCCCACACTTTTTTGTTCCTGCAGTGTTGTTATCAGAAACATTCTTTTCTAACTTATCTTTTAAAACTTGGGCCAGGTGCGGTGGCTTATGCTTATAAACCCAGTGCTTTGGGAGGCTAAGGCAGGAAGATCACTTAAGGCCTGGAGTCCAAGACATGCCTGGACAACAGAGCAAGACTTGTCTCTGAAAAAAAAAAGAAAGAAAGAAAACTGCCCTCAAAATGATCTCATGAGACTCACAGGGAAATGATATGACTGGTTATTAAATTTTGAACTTTGTTATCACACCTTATCACCCACACTTAGCTCTTAGTGATCTTGAACTATTTCTCTGTAATTTAGAAACCAGCCCTAAAATAAAGCTTGCACCACTTGGTTGTTTAAAAGCTTGTCCCCAGCTTTGTTATTCCAATAGAGGAATTCCATAGCAGCTTTGGCCAGCAGCAAAATAAGAACAGCTTCCTCATTCTCAGTTTCTCTTTGTGGAGATAGAAAATACTCAGATTAAGATGTTCAAGTGTGTGGTAATTCTGGTAAGTTTTGGCAAAAACTATCAATTCAGTCTACAGTCATGTCTTATCATGTATAGTATTCATCTAATTTTGTATATGATGAATTACGTAACTGGTGAATTGTCAAAAGTTTTCTCCATCTCTGAAAAAGCCGTAATTCCCACTCCTCTGCCCTAGCTCCCTATAAAGTAAAACCAGAAAAGGAGTCAGTGAGCTGTCACAGAGAGGTCCACTATATGAATAAAGGGGTGTGTGTGTGGTGTGTATGTGTGTGTGTGTGTGGTGTAGGTATGTTTCTAAATGCACACTCATAACCATACCACACCACTTTGTCTAGTTTTCCTGTGCTTGCAAGTCAATTGTGATATTCTCAATGTCTGTTTCAATGATGGCTCAGTGAAGAGTCTTCATCCATTTCTTATCTCTGAATCTTCTCAGGATATGGGCTGGACTGTCACAGAGTGTGCGGGCTGGTGCCCATAAGAGGCTATCTCTGAGGTTCTGTGTCAAGAGTCTGCCAACCCTCTTTCCCACTTTTCCCAGTATCCATTTTCCCTATTTTCCTCAATATCAGAAATATGCTTATCTGATTATATAGCCATTATACAGCCACCCACACACCCCAGGAAAAAACGGGGAGGAAGTGCTAGATTTTCCCAGCCTTTCTTGCAGCTAACTGAGTCATGCAGCTGATTTCTGGTCAATACCCCAGTGGCAGAAGTTGTGTGTACATCTTCCAGAAAGCATCCTTAAAGGCCAGCAGCTTATCCTCATAGACCTCTCTTTTCCTTTTTACTGACTGGAATATAAATTTAATAGCTGGAGCTCCAGCAGCTACTTTGAACCATAAGAATCATTACAAACAAAAGTCACAAATGGGAGAAAAAGACTTTATTCTAAAAAATAAATGGGAGAGAAGGAACTTTAATACCATGGCCTGCCATACCAGCCCCAGACTACAGAACTTGATATGGCAAAGAAAGAAACTTTGAACTTAAGTTGCTACTATTATTTTAGGTTATTGTATTACTTATGGCTAAACCTAATAGAAGCTGACAAAACCTCTTGTGTGTGATATTGGGCTCCTCAATCAGGGTAGGGATGTCTTTCTCCTAGTTTCTCTAAATAGCGGCTAGTTCATTAATTATTAGCTAGGCCACTTTAATTGACAATTTATCAAGAATTGTCTTCAGTATTTCTTGTTGTCATTGTCATTTTAAATTCATATTTAAAGCACTAATTTCAGTTCAACTTCTGTGTACTTTCATTTATTAAACCTTGCTTTTTCAACTAAATTGGAAGCTTCTTCCATTGTTGACTCACATCCAGGGATTCCAGATATTTAAGCCTCAGTGATAACTCAGGGAGACATTTAGCACCTCGTGTTGAAATTTGAAATGCATTTGTGTTTTTTAGAGATAGGCTGTACATTTGTATACAGAGTTACTAAAAAGTAAGTTAGCATGTGGTTTAAAAGCTTGGTTTAAATCCCCTATATTGAATTAGGTGAGTTACTTACCCTCACCATGTCTTGGTTTCCTCATCTGGAAGATGAAAAAAATCATAGATGAAAAAAATATACATGAAGGTTAAAAATATAAAATCCTCTCTTAGGAAGAAGTTATCATAATTAGTCTCATTTATAGGTGAGGAAGTGGATTCTTCAAGGTAATAGATTAGGGAGAGGTGACAGCAGTGTTCTCATTTTTTTTCAAGTGAAGACGAGAATAGAATAGTCCTATGAGTGTCTTACAGTTGTATAGAACTTTACAGTTCATAAATCACTTTGCCCCTCCTATCTGATTTAATTCTCATGTGAACCCAGAAGAAACAGATATGATCTAACGCCAATTTACAAAACAGGAAACCAAAGATCAGAGAGGTAAAGTGGCTTTCCCAGGATTACATAGATAGTAAGTAGCTGACCCATTTATTCTGGGTCCAAATCCAATTGGTCTTCCTACTATTTCATGCTGTACAATCTCGAAAATCTTAGCATAAGTCAGTAGCAGAATTTAAGGCCCAACAATCTGATTTTTGTCAAGCTTTCTGGGAAAGGTCAAATGAGGAGTACCTAGAATCGCACATTATCTGACTACCAAAAGATTTGTCCACATCCTATGAGAAAGCTGAAAGAATGCATGGGAATATAACCCAACAATTCTACTCTCAATGCACATATATTATCTATGGGTAGGCACCAAGTCTATGTTTACCCTTAGGAGGCACAATAAGAAACAACTTGAATTTATCTAGGAAAAAAAAATTGATTTTTTCCCCCTGATCAAAGGAATAAGCCAGAATTGTCTAAACCTTCCTTCCTCAAATGCCGAGATGAGCATTTCCTTTCATCAAGTATCCCAGCAATTTCTTTCCTACAGTTAAATCTTGAGTGTGGACCCTGTGGACATCCAATGACCTGGAATATAGAGGCGCTATCCCAGAAGATCTGGGCCCAGGTGCAGAACAAACCAATGCTCTTCCTAATGTGTTCCTCTTTTCAGTAACAATAAAAAGTTATAATCACTTTTTTAATCAGTTTTCCCCATTTGGATAAGCACAGTCCATGGCTCTCTCTGGTCCTAAACATGCTGTTCATGCCTGTTAATGACCAGCCCCCATCGTTTACTAAGCACATGCTCATCTCACTTTGGTGAATTAATATTGGCACTTAGCTCACTTATAAAGGCTATTTATTATCAATTTTTCAAATTAGCAGTTGATTGGCATTCAGTATAACTTCTTTTGGGGGCAGGGTCTTGATGTACAGCTAATTAAACTAAGGAATTCATCTGTTCAAAAGTTAGAAGAATTAGAATTGTGAAAAAATAACATTTTTTGCCTCAAAATTGCTATACTCATATGTATAAAGTTTCTATATAATGTGATGAAATAATTATTGTAATTAGCAACTTAATTTGAATTTAGATGCAATTTGTTTTTTTTCTTTTTAGAAATCTAAATTAATTCCCTGGGAAACTGATGAGAATTTTTCAAAGTAGAAATAAATGCCTGTAATAAATCAAGAGATAAGGGAACAGGCAGAGATTATTCTGCAATTAAAGTTTACTAAATTAATTCCACTTAAACTCCTTGGAGTTTAATGTGAAAAAACTAGGAAGTGTGTGTATCTTCTTGGATTAAAAAATTCACACTGAAAATTTAAAGGCAAAGAAGAGAAAAGAACCATGTAATCACTATTTCCCTAAACACTAATCAGAAAATGAATGTTCATATCCTTCTCACAGTTTGATATTAAAAATATAAATAAAAGGCACCAAACTTGAGTAAATTAAATGGAAGCGTGGACAGGTGATTGGAAGTTGAATGTGAATATTTGTTTTACCCAAATGAATCTAAATTTCATTAGTTGATAATTAAAAGGAAATTATACAGACATTACAATTACTGGCAATGGCATAAATTATGAAGCAGTATGGCAAAACAATTTAGGAACTCACATTGCTGTTACTATTGTCAAACTGGTTACCAGAGAAACCTAGGATAAATAATATACTCTGTGACTATGGAAATGAGGCCTTGATGTGTTGCTAAGCTGTTAAAGCTAATGTCATTGTGTAAAACAATAATGTTAAACATTATTAGTTTTTTAATTATGTCAGTTAATTAGGATTGTTCCTGTTAATTGCTTATGATTCATCTCCAGATGAAAAATGCTCAAGTAAGAGCTTTCGCTTTTTCTCTCCAACATACCATCTAAAATAAGGCCGGAGTTTTGTACAGCTGAATTTTACAAGCACCATTAGCCTGGGCAACATTGGGAATCATGGCCAAATTCATCCATAATAAAAGATACATTAATAAAAACATAGTATTAAGGAAGATAAGAATACAGAGCCATCATTTTATCACACTGGACTAAAAGATTGACCCTTGATTCCCAATCGTTGCTTTTACATCAAATATTTTTATATCAAATCTAAAGCAAATGTGATTTGGGCAGACTATTTGACATTTTCCTAGCCTATAAAATACCAAAACATTGAACTTCTGTTAATTCAGCTTCTTCTTTATATTTCATGAACTCAGAAAAAGTTTATATATCTTAATTTTACTTGTATTGTTCAATACGTATTGAGTATCATAGTGTTTGATTAAAAGACTACGTTAAACACTGGATATCCGGTTACAGGAAAATAGGAGCATGAGCCTTCCCTTGTAGGACTTAGGGTTTAAAACCACAAAGGCACCAGTATATCACTTACTGCAGTTGAGACCATCAAAACCTTAAAACCATATCACAGCGTCATGGCCAGAATACCAACAAACTAAGTCTAACCTTCTCAGCTTCCCCCATCTAGAATAAAAGCAGAAATGCTTGTTCATGAAGTTTTGGTCTGCTACTATATTCCTAGTGCCCAGATGGCGGTTTATTATAGGTGTTTACTTCATATTTGTTGAATTGATAAATTGACTATTACTGGAAAAGCAAAAAAAAATATCAAATGAGCTTCTCCAGAGCAATTTTGTTTGGTATTAAACTTTAATAATGTAACACCAAGAGAGTTTATGAAGAAAACACATTTTTTTAAAAAAAAGTTAATTTTTCAGTGTTTGTACTTTACGATTAGGTATAAGAAATGTTACAGAATTTGTGCTTATATTCTGATGAGAAGTCTTTGTTTTTGAAATATCTAAAGTTTTCAGTGGAAGAGGGGCTTTCAGAGAATAATTGTATCACAATAAAATGATATCTATAATATAATTGCACCACTTCCTACAATATGCAGTAGCAAGAATGACTCATCTCTGTGGAATTTTAGAATTTCAGAAATCTTAGAAGTCATTTGGTTCAACCACTCTTCCCATTCTCTTTATATTATCCCCATTTAGAAGTCACTCAGTATCTCTGAATAGCTCCAGAGGCAAGAAATTCACCATCTGTCCAAGAATCCCATTCCATCACTGGACAGTTCTGGCTGATGGAAATATTTTTCTAATATTCACCTCAAATAAATTTAGCTACAAACTTTATGTGTTAGTCCCAAGTCTACCCTTTGGAGCCTCACAGGACATATGGCATTTATTAGATACTGATAAATTTTTAAACCTTTAATAAATATATGAAATAAACATTTGAAAATGGCCCTTTTTATCCCCAAGCTCTTAGCTAAACAAACCATTTATTTCAAATATTTCTTGATGATGTTAAGCCCCCTTTTCTTTTTTTGTCTCTTTCCTTCAGAATGACTCCAATTTATCTATGAAATGCAAAGCCTAGAAATGAGTACCAATTCACCCTTTCTCTTCTGGTGGGCAGAGCAGAACAGGATGAACACCTCCCTCCTATTGAATATTATTCTTCTTACTCTGAGATCACATCTGCAGTTTTGGTGACGGCACCATGCTCTTGATTCATATTGCACTTTAAATCAGAAGAAAAACAGTCTTTTTCACATGCGCTATTGGTTCCCCATGTTCCCCACTCTCTCCCAGTCTATACTCTGCATGTTTGGGAGGTCATTGGGGCCCATGTATAGAATCTTATGTTTATTTTTATGAGGTTCCACCTTATTAGATGAAGGCATAGAGTTAGAGGTTATTTCATCAAATCTTCTGTTTAAAAGGGGCAAAAACTGACAACCCCACAAAAGTGAAAGGACTTCCTCAGGTTCCACAATCCACAATTGGAGGAGCCAGAATTCCAACTCAGGTTTCTGATTCAGTATTTTCCCCCAGGTCCGTGTTCTTAATGTGTGGTGCACAGGCTGGTAGCATCAAGATCACCTGAGAACTTGTTAAAAACGCGAATTTTGGGTCCCCACTTCAATCAACTGAATTAGAATCAGTTGGGACCGGGAGGTAGAGGGTGGTGGTTGGAACTCAGCGATTTGTGGTTTTACAAGCCCACCTCATGACTTTGATGCACCTTAATGTTTGAGACCCACTGTTCTACACCATGTGCCTTCACACTGTTGCAAAAGCCCACTCCGAGTTTCTAACCCATCAACCTAGTTAGGAACCTTTATTCTGCCATCAAATGTGTGAGAGCTCTCTCTCAACCTCTTATCATGTTCAGGGGAAAGCAAAACTCAGGAAGACAAGTCACTCCTTCCCTCCATGGGGAGAAAAAGGAGGAAGAAAGGACTCCCAGAGGAGAAAAGTTCCCTGGATCACCGGGCTCTTTTCTTCCTATCCACCATGACCACTGCTGGCAAAGAAAACCAGTACTCCTTGCTTTTGGTTTTAATGAGTTCTTGGAAACCCTTTTAAAATTTGAGTTGTCAAAAATCAGGCAATAAGTTTTTATAGAAATCATGTATCTGTTGAGAGTTATGTTCCAAACCAAAAGTTTTGCCTTAAATAAATCATAGTTGTAATCAACTTTTAGGACACAAAGTGCAACTATAAAGCTTGATGTTAATCAGAATTCCTACAGTACACTCCAAGCACCAAAAATAGTCAGAAAATTCTCTGCATAATGGAAGGGAAACATTGTATTAAGTAGAGCATACATAACACATAAAAATTCAACTGGTTATAACATCATTTTGAGCTACCAAAGCTGATCTTAATTAAAACAAAAAAAGTTTTTGCCTTCTTAACTTTATAGACTTTCTAGACTATATGAGTGACATAAGTTTGAAAAATGTTTCAGGGGAGTCCAGGCGTGGTAGCTCACACCTGTAATCCCAGCACTTTGGCAGGCAGAGGTGGGCAGATCACCTGCCCCCTCCGGCTGGGTCAAAGAAGGTAGTATTAAGGTTGCAGTCTGTTAATAGTATAGTAATGCCAGAGGTCAGGAGTTTGAGACCAGCCTGGCCAACATGGTGAAACCCTATCTCTACTAAATATGTACATGTATATATACATATATATATATGTATATATATGTGTGTGTGTATGTGTGTGTGTGTATGTATACATATATATGAAGCTGGGTGTGGTGGTGGGTACCTGTAATCCCAGCTACTCAGGAGGCTGAGGCAAGAGAATCACTTGAACCCAGGAGGCAGACGTGGCAGTGAGCCACGATCACACCACTGCACTCCAGCCTGGGCAACGGAGTGAGCCTCCATCTCAAAAAAATAGAATAAAATATAAATATAAATAAATAAAAAGTCCCAGGGCAATATTGAATAAATGCCTTGTTTCCTCTTGGCCTATTTCTCAGTTACAACTGGAGGCATTCGAAAACACCTCGTGTCCTACCTCCCTCCCACTTCACATTTTCTGTTTGCTTATTATGCTCCATTCACTGTTCCAAGGCATATGTGACTCCTGATTTATTTATTCCTCACAATAACTCCACAAGAATGCTATGATTCTTGCTCCAGTTTGCGATGAGAACACCAAGGCACAGAGTAGTTCATGAAATTCACCCAAAGACACAGAAGCAGTAAGTGAAAGAGCCTGGATCTGGGCCCAAGAAGTCTGGTTCTAGAATCAAAACCTTTCAAGTGGGTTACCTAGAACCTCCCTATCTAGGCTAATACCTAGAACCTGGGTTCTTTGCTATCATCTGTACATGTTATGGCAGCTCGATGTTTCAAAGCATTTCAAGGACTTTGTTAAAGCACACTAAGGACCTTGTTTGTGTCATTTTTGTCTTGTCTTCACCCACAGACCATTCCCTGATAATGAAAAGAGGAGAAAACCGTGAATAGGGAAAGGATTCAGTGGAAAATGTACAGTTTCCAGAGATGGTTTTCAGCAATTCCTTCTATTCCTCTACACTCATGTTGTTCTTGCCATCAAGAGGTAGAGCCGGCCAGGTGCGGTGGCTCACTTGTTTACTTCATATTTGTTGAATTGGTAAATTGGCTGTTACTGGAAATGCAAAAAAAAAAAAAAAAAAAATATATATATATATATATATATATATATATATATATATATATATATATATATATATAAAAAATAAGCTTCTCCAGAGCAATTTTGTTTGGTATTAAACTTTAATCATGTAACATCAAGAGAGTTTATGATGAAGAAAACACATTTTAAAAAAAAGGTTAATTTTTCAGTGTTGGTACTTTACGATTAGGTATAAGAAATGTTACAGAATTTGTGCTTATATTTTGATGAGAAGTCTTTGTTTTTGGCCTAAATCCCAGCACTTTGGGAGGCCGAAGCGGGTGGATCACTTGAGGCCAGGAATTTGAGACCAGCCTAGCCAACATGGTGAAACCCTGTCTCTACTAAAAATACAAAAAATTAGCTGGGTGTGTTGGTGCATGCCTGTAATTCTAGCTACTTGGGAGCCTGAGACATGAGAATTGCTTGAACCCAGGAGGCAGAGGTTGCAGTGAGCTGAGATTGCACTCCAACTTGGGTGACAGAGTGAAACTCTGTCTCAAAAAAAAAAAAAAAGAATTAGAGCCTACCCCTCATGCACACACGCAGAAGAAAAGCCCACCTGACCCACAGAATGGAAGGAATAAAATGGTTGTGTTAGGCTACTGCGTTTTGGAGTGGATTCTTATTCAGCAAGAGAAATGGGATAGAGAAGGGTAGCAGGACAGCCTTCTCTGGCTCCTTAATCCCTATCAAGCCAAGTTCATTTCAGCTTCCTATTTTCTTTGTAGCTTCTACCTGGAATTCTTCCCTCTCTTTGCTCAGTCCACTTCTACGTCTCTGTTCCCCAGCTTCAAGACCTGGATATGTTTCCCATCCCCTGTGATGTCTTCCTCAACATCCCCAGGCCAGAGGGATCTTCCTCTCCTCTGAATTTTTCTCCATGTATTGCCTTTCTGATGCAGATTTATAATTTACTGTTTTATTGCAAGTAAATTAATCCCAGATAAATTATACTCATGCAATTTTTATTCTCAGTCTCCATCTGGTCAGGCTGGAGAGAAACTTAAACTAAGTCATTCTGGGTTTGCCCTCTGCCTGGGTTGTGCCACAGTCAGGGTCTTAGGCAGTGCTAAGTCATTAAGTGGGATACCTCTGATTACTGGGCATTGCTCTTCACCTTACTCCTGAGAATTCTGCTGTTTCTATTCCCTCATATGTTGACATTCTGGTGATTCTCTGCTGTTTGGGGACCTGAAAACCTGGCTAGATCCTATCTCACAGATGTGCATAAAGTCAGTCCTTTCTAGCACATTGCTCTCTGCCAACTAGGGGACTGCCAGGGGACAGGGCTCTCAGCAGCAAGCCTGCCAGGACTCCTAGACACTGTTATCTGCTTCTTACAATTTCTTGTCTAGGGAAAAGTTTCAATCCATGTCTCTGTCTATTTCTTACCACAGTGGCAAGGAAGGGGACAGTGCCTATGCATGCTGACCACCTCCCACCCCAAGCATCTGGCATTGACTCTCTGCTTTTCAGCCTCAGTTCTTTCTCCTAAAGTGAGGGGAGCTTCCTTAACACAAGCACTGAAGTGGCAAGGCAGGAGGAAGGTTTGAATACAAATGGCCATGGATGAAGGGCCCAAACTCTCAAACATAAAAGGGCCATTTCTGAGGTGCAGCCTGTATGGCCCTTCAAAGAGGCCCAAGCAGGACTGAGCCCTGGTTGTCTTCAGTGGTATCCAGATAACTAATGTATCATTTCCCCTTCCTCCCTGTCTGAATCTCTCTACTCTTACATTCCTGCTTCCTGGGATCACATCCTAAGTTCCATGCATCTTGGTCCTTGTCTCAGGCTTTACTTCCAAGGGAACTGAAAGTAAGACTGTTTCCCATCCCTCTTGAATCTTCCAAACTCTCCCTTCCATTCCATTGCCTGCTCAAAGCCATCAATTTATCTACAGACCTAGACCGGTGATGCTATATCATGGGCAATTCTGCCACCCCTAGGTGACATTTGGCAATATCTGGAGACATTTTTGGTGGCCACAACTGGAGGACGGTGCTAGTGGCGTCTACTGGGAAGAGGCCAGGGATGCCGCTAAATCTCCCACCTTGCATAGGACAGCTCCCTACAACCAAGAGGGCCTC
Organism: Homo sapiens; assembly: GCF_000001405.40. Taxonomy (NCBI): domain Eukaryota; kingdom Metazoa; phylum Chordata; class Mammalia; order Primates; family Hominidae; genus Homo; species Homo sapiens. The sequence continues at coordinate 55,023,901 of NC_000018.10, forward strand.
AAATCCAGCCCCACAGGGCCCCACAGGACAGCTCCCTACAACCAAGAGGGCCTCCAATCCAGCCCCACAGGACAGCTCCCTACAACCAAGAGGGCCTCCAATCCAGCCCCACAGGACAGCCCCCTACAACCAAGAGGGCCTCCAATCCAGCCCCACAGGACAGCTCCCTACAACCAAGAGGGCCTCAAATCCAGCCCCACATGCCAGTAGTGCCCCAATTAGGAAATTCTGGTATAAATATTTAGAGATGAGAAACAGGAAGTGTTGGAGGCTACTGCTTCTTTTCATCAGTCACATGCCTTTTTACAAGTTAAGATTCTCAGGTTTCAGCTTAGATCTCCTTCCTGAATCAGAACCTTTGAAGAGGACTTGAGAATCTGTGTATTTTTCTTAAACTCAGGTGATTTTGATGGATCCAGGGTGGCGCCAAGGCATACACTAGCATTTGGGGTCTAGTCCCCTTGATGTGTCCTGGGAAGACCAGCTTCCTTATTATTACAGAATGTTCTAGAAACATACTAACTCGCAAACAAAAGTTTATCATGTGGGCCCACTAGATGCTGGTATGAAATACCCTGTGACAAACAGAGACATGAGGAAAGAAGATGTGTTTTACATGTGAGCAGGGGGCTACAGAGTTGCAGGCAGGGGCTCAATAAAACTTGGAAACCCCCACCCAAACCTTTGTCCAGAGACTCAGAGAAAAAGTGACTCTGCTTTGCACTAAAAAACTGATAGGACCAAGGGGCACTGGGTGTGAAGCATCCCTGTCAATTCTCACAAATATTTTGGAGATGAATCACAAATATTAGTACTTTCAGGGGTTCAGTGACAAGGGCTGGCAGGGTTCAGAGCATTAAGATTTGATGAATTATGTTAAACATGACTAATATTGTCCTCACTCAGTGTTTAAGCCTGCAAAGTGTGGATAGTGCATTTTCTCTATTCATTTTTGTTTAGCTATACATTTTCCCCAGTTAACCTGGAAATGTTCTCAGTCTATGCTACATATCCTTGTTTTTCAATCCCCTGAAAGCTCCTACACAATGTTGGATTCATGGGCTTCTGTTGAATTGATTTTCTGGTTGGAAAAGAGCCAAGATAACTATCTAGTGACATTTCCAAGAATTCTGGATTAATATCAATAGTACTCTCCATCAAAAATGTACTCAGACTACCTGATGTCTAACATAACTTACATTCCTTTTTTTGAACTGACTAGCTTTTGCAGACTTGATACAGGTAAGCTTTAAAATAGTTTGTCAAGAAACATTTATATGTGGATTAATTGACTGATGTACAACCTTTTCCATATATCTTGAATATTGACCTGTTGTTTTGCTTAAAGCAAATTCAGCAAAGAATTGTTTTGTTTGATTTTGAGGTTTGATCCTTGCCTGATCAATGGCTGAGATTTCATCTTTGAATTTTAGGCTCCTGGACATCAATGAATAACCTAACAACCTTGGGAATAAGCAAGCATGAGGAATTGAGGAATATGGCCCAAAAGTTGAGAGTAAGACTCAGAGTCAACCCACCCATCTCCAAGTATAGATGTGCAATTTACCATCAGATTATGGGAACTCAGAGGTAAGTTACTTAACTGCTCTGTGTCTACTTTCCTCATCCAGAAGGCAGGAATTGCAGGTTGTGATGATTAATTGGGTAAATGCGTGTAGCAGCTTTAGGACAAACCCTGGCACAAGGTGAGTGTTCAGTCCACAGTAGCTGCTACTACTAGGATTATTTTAATGCCCAGGTCTGATAATGAATTTATCTGCATTCTAACATAAAATTTCTTACAGCCTTCCCATCACTGTTGGTAATCTCTCATTTCTAATAATTTTGGTAGAAGATTTTGAGCATTCACATATATAATTTTTCTTTGCCAGTAAAACCCTTCTCCTTCATCTTCTTCACCCAGCTATCTCTAATTCACTCATTGATTCATTCATACATTCAATCCTTCCATAAATATCTGCTAATTATGTCAGGCTCAGGGTTTGGTTCAAGGACTATAATGGGAACAAAATAACCCAAATATGACCTCTTTTCTCATGTAACTTATCAAGTAAATGGGATGGGGTGGAGGAAAAATCAAACAATTATAGAAATAAATGTGCCATGAAAAGTGTTGTGTATCATAATGAGTGTGCGTAATGATACTTGACTAATCCAGTGAGTTCAGAGAAGACTTCCATTGAGAAGCAACGTATAGACAAGATTCAAAGGATAAGTAAAAGGTTGCTAGGCAAATCAGGGAAGGAAGAGCATGCCAAGTAGAAGAACCAGCATGTGCAAGGGTCTTGCAGCTAATCTTTTGACTCTCAACTCAAAAGTCACTTCCCTGGTGAGACCTCCCTTTTCCACCACTGCCCCTCCAGACAGGGTCAGTGTTCCTCTTTGCATTTCCTTCTCAACAGTTTGTAATCCCATATTTACTTATTTTTGTCCCTACCAGATTATAAGCTTTATGGAAGCATAGGACATGGACATGTTTGCATTATATCCCAACATCAAGCCCGTGCTTGGCCTATGGCTGGTGCCCCATGAATATTTGTTATATTCATTGTGCCTTCCTTCAGGGATAGTTCATGACTTACTGATTGGTTTTCTTTAAGCCTATTGTGCCTGTCCTGGTAGTAAATCAAGATTATTCAATTATCCAGATCGTGTAAAATCTCTTCCTTTTGTAATACCCTCCAACTCATTTGGGGTATAGAGATTCTCCAAGTGCCTGTTATTACAGAGTACAAAACAGCCATAAATCATATGATTGAATAGATTATAATTTAATGGATGAGTTAAGATTAATTTAAAAAACCAAAGAATTGTAGATTTTTCAGAGCCAGAAAGGGCCTTGAAGTTCATTTAGCACTCATTTTATAAATTATCAAAAGATCGGGACAGGACAGGCCTTTCCACTCCACCAGCCATTTCCAAGATATGCCCTTCAAAGAAGCTTCCAAAGGCATTTACCAAAGGCATATAGGGTAACTTGATTAATAGAAGACCTAGTTCTCCAACCCTTTCCTTTGTTGTGAACAATGTTTTTATCCTAGCTGTTACGTGTCCATTTGGATCTTAATGGGAAGGAGCATTTTTTGTTCCTAAACTGCTTCCTTGAACTGGTTACAGTTATTCCAACTCAGTAGCAGGAGGGACTAGGACAATAAATAGGTGCCTTAACACCTGCAAAAGTTCTGGAAGCCTTCACATGTCACATCCTTTATCCAGAATCTGAACTGATAGGTTGGGATGGATGTGTTGTAGAAGCCCAATATCCCTGCATTACAAATAAAGCATTAAGACTGCCTATTCAAGGATAAAGAAAGGACTAGACAATATTAACCCAGAGAATAATGGCCTTGGAACACATTTGCACCTTTCTAACAATTTCCCAGCTTGCTCCACATGCTATTCAGTAGTCAAGCTGCCAAACAGACGTTTTGTCCTTCTAAAGATGGTCTCATTCCTTGAAGTTTCAGTTTTTGTAATTTGGCTGATTGGAGAACTTGGCTGAGCAAAGCATCATCAGAGATGATTTCTCTTGTTGTGAATTCAAAAGGCTTCAGCACACAGCACAAATGATCCATTAGCGTCCATTGTCTGGAGTTCAGGAAAACACCTTCTGCAGCATTGTGCAGTAATGTGTATGGCTTTTTTCTTTCTCTTTCTTCTTCTTCTATGAGGAAAGCACGCCTCCTAACATATAGGACGACTTGTTTTTCAGTATGTGAGCAGTTTATGTATGATTAAAGTTGGGGAAAACTGTCACTCTTCAAAAATTTTCAAAGAATTTTGACAAAATGGCAGGAACAAGTTTCAAACAGACTGAGAAAAGCTGCAGTACTTCTGAGTTTATCAGGAAAATGTACATGTTACATAGAGGGAAGAAACAACTAAGTATTTACTGTGCATGGTAAAATATTTTCAGGTGAGCAAAGTAGAATAAAACATTGCCTTTATCTTCTTCCAGCTTACATTTCTATTGTAAAAACAGAACTTAAAATAATACATTACCAGAAAAAAAAACAGTAAGCCAAAAGAACTTTGAAAAAGAACAAAATTGGAGGACAAACAGTATCTGACTTCAAGACTTATAAAGTTATAGTAATCAAAACAGTATGACCATTGGTGTAAAGCTAAACAAATAGATTGATGAAATAGAATAGAGTCCACAGATAGATATGTGCATATATGATGTATGGACAACTGATTTTTGACAAAGATGCAAAAGCAAGCAGTGGAGAAAGGGTAGTCTTTTCAACAGCTGATGCCAGAACAAATGGATTTCTAGCAGCAAAAAACCAACAAACCACAAAACAAAGAAACAACTTTGATCCATGGGTAGCACCAATATAAAAAGCAATTCAATCTAGTTATTGGAGGCTGGTAAGGGTCTAAGGGAGGGGAGTCTAGGGAGAGGTAGGTTAACAGTTACAAAACTATGGCTGGATAGGAGGAATAAGTTCTAGGGCTCTGTAGCACTGTAGGGTGAATATAGTTAACAATAATTTATTGTATATTTTCAAAACACTGGAAGAGAGAATTTTGAATGCTCACAGCACACAGAAATGATAAATTTTGGAGGTGATAGATATGCTCATTACTCTGATTTGATCATTACATATTGTATACATATATCAAATATCATATCACTCTGTATCCCATAAATGTGTACAGTTATTACTTGTCAACTAAAGATAAAAGGAAAAAAAAAACTCAAAAGGTATCATAGACCTAATATGATAAAACTTTGGAAATAAAAAGTAGGAAGAAATCTTTGTGACCTTGGATTAGGCAATATATCTTATATTCAATGCTAAAAGCATCAAATTGATAAATGAGACTTCATCAAAATGTAAGACTTCTGTTCTTCAAAAATCATTGTTAAATATATGAAAAGACAAATCACAAAGTAGGAGAAAATATTGCAAAATTTTGCAAATTATATCTGTAGAAGAACTTGTATCCAAAATAGAATTTTCAAAATTCAATAAAACAACTACAAGCCGCCTATTTTTTTAATGAGCAAAACATTTGTGCTGACTTTTTGGAAGATACCCAGATGGCAAATAAGCACATCAAAAGATACTTGACATCATTTGTCATTAAGAAATGCAAGTTAAAACCACAACAAGATACAACTACATCTGCTTTTCTGGCTGAGATTTAAGAAACTGACCACTCTAAGTGTTAATGAGAATGTGGAAAAACTGGAATTCTCAAACACTGCTTGTGGGAACATAAAATAGGACAACCATTTTGCAAAACAGTTTGGCCATTTCTTAAAAAGTTAAACTTATACTTACCATATGATTCAGCTATTTCATTCTTAGGCATTTATGCAAGACAGATGAATGTCTATGTCCATGTGAAGACCTGTACATACTGTTCAGAGCAGCTTTATTTGTAATAGCCCCAAATCTGGAAACAACCTAATGTCCACCAACAGGAGAATTAATAAACAAATTATGGTACCGTATATCCAGACAACAAAATACTACGCAGGAATAAAGAGAAATAAACCCAACAATATGGATGGATGCCAAATAATTATGGTGGTAAATAAAGGCATACAAAAGATAATACATCTTTTAATTCCATTTATAAAGTCCTAGTACATGTAAACTAATCTGTAGTGATAAAAAGCATATTAGTGGTTGCTTGAGGAGGAGGTGCAAGGAGAGGCACAAGAAAATTTTTTGGCTTTAAGAATGAAATGTTCATTATCTTGATTGTGGTGATGGTTTCATGGGTATAAAGATATGTCAAAACATCGAATTGTAAACTTTAAATATTTGCAACTTATTATATGTTAATTTTACCTTATTAAAGCTGTTAAAACAAAAACAGTACACGATAAAGTTGGGAAATATTGATTCAGGGAATATGCATTGTGGGAATTCTTATGGGATCAATATACAGTAAAGTCAATAGGAAAGGTTTTCCAGAGGAAGGGAGACCTGGCACAAACCTGAACAAATGAGAAGAAATTTTAGAACAGATCAGTTCACTTAAGAGTGTTTGAGCAAGAAAATTTGGAACAAGAACTGAGTAGAAATTTGCACAGAATGTTCTGGAAGAACAGGGGAAAGTAGTTTAGCCCTATCTGAAGGTTTGGTAAGGGCTTCATAAAAGACGCCATCTGAGTTAAGTGTTGTAGGATGAGGATGAATTAGCCAGGAAAAGAAAGGTTGGGCCAGGATTCCAAGAAGAGAGAACTTCATGAGCAAAGGTATGAAGATATGAACAGCATGTATGCTGAGAAATAAAATTCAATATAAATAGACAATAAAAATGAAATGAGAGATGCTCATGCATTCATCCACTCAGTTTGCCATTCAACAAATATTTATTAAGTGGTTTTTACATCAGATGACAATGCAGTCGAGACTTGTGACCTCTATGAAACTTCTATTGTGGAGATGGAATTCATTCTAGATATTCCCTTGATAAGCCCATAAAGACCAATGAGGACCATATTATGAAGAGCTTTGCCTACCATTCCAAGTGACAGGGCTTTATTCTGGAGGCAAAAGGGAGCTGTGGCGAATAAGATGGTCAGTTTTTAAGATCATGCAGATTTGGAGGGATGCATGTATCTGATAGGGATGAGTAGAGAAGAGGAAACCTGCTAGCTCACTGTAACAAGAACCAAAATTGGAAACAAGAGAATAAAACATTGAAGGGCAAAGACAATGACGAGTTCAATTAGAGACATGTTGGCTTTGATGAGGCCAGGGCAGTTGGCCCTGTTATTCTGGGCTCGCCAGAAAGATAAGTCCTCAAGATAGAAGCATACACTGAGAATCTAAATCAAGAGAAGGATTGAAGGCCAAAGAGAGGCATTCGCCCCTTTCCTATCTGCTAGTCACTGGATACTTGCATAATTGTTGCCTAAGGAACCTCTTGTCCTGGTTATTAGCCATTCTTATTGACTATTCTTACACAGTCACATCCAGCATGATATACCACTTCTAGGAGGTGCCAAAGTGAGGCAGCAGACCCAAGATTACCAAATCCAGCACATTGGATTCAAAGGGGTTCTAGAAACAATTTTACTCATTATCCTCAATTTACAACATCATTGCTTCAAAAACATTTTGGTAATCTACTACTAAATGAGCCATCCAAAATCATGTCTATTCCAGAAATTAAAGGTACAAAAACCCCACTGTAGATTAAATAATGTGTCTAAACAGCCCTTAATTATTTAGAGAAACAGAAGCAATAGACACTTATTAATCACAAGAATGAAGCATTATCTGTGTGTGAATGTCTCTGGATATGAGAGAACATAGTATCTTTCATTGTGCTAAATTGTAACCTAAAAAATTTAGACTAATGATGGTATCACTTGTCTCAAAGCTCTTTAAAATGCCCAGAGATATAAACTATCAGCTATAGCCTCTCATAAACCTCAGACTTGAACTATACATTGTGCATGCCTTCCCCCTGCTGGAGCATTTATTTGTACATGAGAAATGAAAGACTGATGCAGAACCATAGTCTTTGATACATCCGTAAGAGTGGCCAAATATTCTGGTTGTCAAAGTAAACAGAGAGACTTCTGTCTGGGCTTTTCCGTGATTACATTTCTTACTTTTTGACAACAGGCATTTCAGAGCTCCCCTGTGCTAAATGTGCCTCTGATTTCTGTCCTTCGCTCAATGAGGCCTGAAAACATAGTCTCCAATGAAAGAAACTTAGAATTTAATCCATAAATACAGCAGTCTACATTTAATACCGACTGTTGAGATGGGACAGAGGACTTCTCTATTTATGAAGACAATGTAGAAATGAACAGGAGCCCGAGAGAAGACAGTCACACCCACACCTTCTATTTTCTGTCAAGGAAATAGACACAAAAATGGCTGTTTCCATGACAGGAAAACAAAGCAAAACAAAACAAAAATGTCTGAGTTGCAATTGTTGCTTTGGTGATTATAGTGGTGGTGGTGGGCTCTTCTTTCCTTCCTTCTCCTCCTCCTTCTGCTCTTCCTCCTCCTCCTCCTCCACTGCCACTGGCACCGCCTCCATCACCACTTTCTCCTATGCCTCTGTATGCCTCTCTCATGTCAGTGAAAACACGAAGTTGTTATCCGACCTACCTGGTTCCAGCGACCCTGAGCAAATTATATAACTCTCAATGCCAAAAACAACTCAAACACAATGCAAACATCAACAAGTTTCCCTCTCACACAGCCAACTATTTTTTTTCTGAACCTCTGTTAATCTGCTTGGTGACACTTTTGGTTCCGCATACCCTTCTGATGACAAGGAGAGCTGGAGTACTTTAGGGAATGCCCAACACAGCAGCTTATGTGCAAAGATCGTAGCTGACTGATAACATGAAGGCTCTGGGTCAGAATGGTGCTGCCTAAAGTCATTGTTTTTGCTTATATCTATGGAGCTCCTGTCATCTTGTACTCTAGCAATGATGTAAGAACAAGACTTACATTTTCCTTTTCACTCTTATAAGTGGCTCTCATATTTAGCTATAATATTTTCCAACTTCTTATGTTGACTATTTTACAAACATAATTTGTGTCAAGTTTAGAGCTGAAGCATGTTCACTTTTTACATTTGTTAGAAGTCTTTCCAAAATATCCACAATTCATTTCTTAGCTTTTTCTAGCAGAGAACATTTCTGGGTGCTGAAATACTGATTTGGAACTGTCTTTGACTGAGGAATTGGGGGATTGTTATGGTAATTGAATCTAGAAATCATATGCACCAGCTTTTCTCAGTGTATATTGCTTCCAAATGAAGTAATCCTAAGAAAACATTTGTTGTAACCTTCAACAGAAATTTGATCGCAATTTGAGAAAGAGGATCCAAAAAACTTCACTGGTCAGAGTGTGAATGACTTTCTCTGAATTACAAAGGGTTAAAAGCCATTAACTCCAGTGCATGGCTATGCTAGTTTCATTTAGCACAGTGAGAGGACACATACAGCACCTCTCATGTCAGCTCATTAAATTACCAAAGCACAGGATCTGCATCCTACGGTCTTTGTAAGTGAAGGTATTATAAATTTCTGACATCGCCTACAGTCAGACATTAAAGGAAACGGCCTTTCATTGTTTCTCACTTATAGTTCACAAATACAACCCAGGCAATTTAGGAAGAAAATGAAAGACTAAATAACGAAATGCCAAATTACAATTTGTAGACTTCGATCTTGATGTGCCACTGCTGGATTGGGCTCTTTAATATTCTACAACGCCTGTGACAACTACTTCTCCAAGTGTTGGATATGTAATTTCGATCTCTTTTTCTCTGAATCTTTGTACCTTTTAGTCTAACAACAAAGAGGAACAAAGATCCTAATTATACCCATAATCATTATTATCTGAAGAAGTTCCCAGTAATTAAATTTTAAAGAAAATTTATTTAATGAGCTTTCTACAGTCACATCCAAGCAATACACATTCAAGTAGATAGTGATTAGTATGAAATAGCACTAATTTGAATGACTTGATAAAAGCTCCTACTTCACTACTATGTTTTTAATAATTGTGTAATTACATAGAGAATTATTCCTGTAAATATCGCTTGTTTTATATAGAATGGAGGACATGAAGATGTGTTCTATCTGAAGCAAATTTCCAATATTTTGAAGCTGTATCTTCTTGTGTCAGCTAAAAAGTTAATATGTACATCTTAATTACACAAACACACACACTCTCTTGCATGGAATATACACCTTTCATTTGCATGAGTTAAGAAAAAGTGCTTAGCTTAGAAGAAGCAGAGGTGGGGGAAAAATAAATCTTCTCTGAAGGAGTGCATGGTCATTACCAGTGAATGAAAATGAAAAGCGTATTTCAGCGAACAACTCCTAATTATCCTGTAAGAGAGGCACGATAATTGACATAGACTATATCGGTGTTGTTGCATCTATATCATTTCCAGTGATTCATGGAGCTTTAGAAATGTTATCATGTAATATTGTGCATTTGTTCTTTTTATTTGAGGGCAAACTAAAATGCTGATCTTAAATACAATTGTAGAAAGATGAACTACAGCTCAAAGCAGGCCTCCTTCATTTGAATATTTTACTTGCACATCACGAGGCTGAGATACTAAAGGATACCAGGTATACTCAGATAACTGTTATAAGACACAATGAGACAAAAGGGACGTTTACTAGTCAAGGACTCTATCACTAATTAGATGGTATCAACTTGAGCCAATCACTCGCGTTCTCTGGGCCTCAGTTTCTTCATCTGTAAAATGATAAAATTGGAGATCTGGTTTCTAAGGACACTTCGAACTTTCAACTGCAATTTATCTTAATATCACTAGCTCTATGATATATCTTATTTAATTTAAAAAATAGAAACATCTCCCTGGGTATTTCCCTTCTTTCTAAAATGATAAATAAAAGCAACTATGTATTGCTTTCAAAAGGAAACGTTTGAATGCAAGTCATCTAATTCAGCTGTAGGTACCAAAATGTTTACTTAACATTTTATTCTATACCTCAATGATACAATTTCAATTAATTTTTAAAATAGGCAATACAAAGAGACAATATTTAAAAAGAAGAAAGCAAATATGATACATATGACATAAAGTTTCGATGTCATGAAAATAAAATTAAAATGGTCCTGCATTCCTAACTCCTACCAAACTCTTCTTTTCACCCATGCACAATTCTATCCCTGGAGAAATGGGGCTGGGGTAGATGTAAGAAGATGAAAGCTTCTAATGTAATTGGAACCTAGCTTCTCACATGCTGACATTTGTCATAAGAAGTAATTGGCCATTGTTGGTGCAGTCTTTAACCTACAAGGAGATATTAGTGGTTTCAGTGCTACCAGAGTGGATAAAGAGAAACTGAGTAACTCACGGCAACGCCATAGGACTCAATCCCAGAAGGAAAGTTAGTGTGGGTCTAGCCCATCTGATTTGCCACAGGATCCTTGGACCTGCCAGGGAAAGCATTGCTGATCTTGATCTGGCCCCCTGTGATTATGAATCATTAGAATTCCTCTTCTGGTCAACACAGACATTACCCTCATTACTGATACCGACATGACACAATGGAGATATTTATATCTCCTAGAAAGTCCATAGTTTTCCTAAGCTGAAATGCAGGCTGAGAAGAGAGGTTTTATCACCATTTATCTTAGTATCTTAGTAAATATGAGGGCAGAGCATCCTGTCTGAGGTCAGACCATTCACTTGATTCACTTCGACTTTTAGCAGTCCAGGACTTGGTCATTCACTCAGGAAATAACCTCAGGTTAAGCTAATAACTTGAAGTTTTCAAGCACAAATCTAAAACTTGTTGGGTATCTATCTAAGCTTAGAAGAATTAAGGAACACATCTTAGGCATTATCAGCTTGTCCTCTCTGTGTGGCTCTGACTGAATTGTAATTTTTGAAACCAATTTGGCAGCCATCTTAAGATTCCAGAGACACCTGTCATTCAAGCCAGCATCCTTAATCAAAGTTGGGCAAAGGACCAAGTGATAAGGAGACTGTTAAATTATTCTCTCTTAGGCAGAATCCATGTAAAAAGAGGTCCAGTTAGATCAGCTCTCCAGTTTGGTGTGATCCTTTCGTGGAAGTTTTTTCAGGCTTCATAAAGAACAGCACCCTCAAAATAGAGCCAGATAAAAAGACAAAAATTAATCTTCAAGAATTATAGATATTAAGAATTATGTGGAGTGTCTGCCACTTAGGGTTTTCTGCTTCTTTAAGTTCACCTTCAAATTGATAGTTGAGAAAGATGTTAACTACTCTCAGTCCAAAATTATATTTACATTTGCTTTAAGTTCCATAACTACCACATTTCACATAATTGTGTATTAGGGCACTAAGCTTCATTTTTAATGTGTTTCGTGAGTTCTTAAGATGTGAAAAAAATAACATGTCACAAATACGGCAATTCATTTGAAGATAAAATTTGGATAAGGGAATTTTCTTTAGTAAATACATTATTTGAGCAGGCTAGATTCAATACCAATCATCTTCAGATTTTCCTGTTTAATCTCAAAAATAAAGCAGGCAAATTTAAAAAGAAGAAGAAGGATCCTGAAAATAAGATAAGTTTGAGAGCAATTTGTTGGTGATGTTGAGGAGCCGCCACTTTCCTGGCTGATTTTATTTTCTATGCCCATGATGTGTGAGAAAAATGCCAGCGCAGAAAAAATAAAAGCGGAAGAAAATGGATTTTGATTAGTAAGGAAATGGTACTGATTGTGAATTTCCAGTTCATCTCATTCTTCTGGCTTCCATTTCAAATGTCTTTTCTTGCATGTTTTATGCTCCCTGAGCTGTTAATGTACCCTAATTAGTTGGTTCTGCTTTCAACTCAGGCATTCACTACCTATACCTGTACATCCTCATCTCTCTTATTACTCCACAATCTTTTGATGCAGGCAGTTATTTAGATATGCTTTCTATCAAGTCCCCAAGATTCCCTGAAAAGATGTCTTTCTTGCAGCTCATCAGGATACCTAATAGTACATTCAACTTCATGCAATTCAATTCCATGAACATTCCCTGAGCGGCCTACTATGCACTAAGCAGCTGGTCAGTAATAGCCGAGAAGCTGGGGGTCTCAATCTGGTACAGGCCTGCCTCAGTGGAACTTCCTGCGGAATATTCTTACCTCTGACACCTCATTTCTCTTAATCTCATCATCAACCTCACATTTTAAATAAACAGAGGTTTAGACTATTTAGCAATAAACTGTTCCACAACTACGTAGAGGCCAGACTTCGTACTGGGAAGTATACCCACACAAGGACCAGAACAATGTACCATCACCATTCAGTGTCTGAATCTAGTGACTCGGTTAGTTGGCATTTAATTAGTTAATAAACAGACCGTTTCATTGAGAGCATGCATTAGCATCTAACACCGGCTGGCAGACGAGCCTTCTTGATTGATTAAAATATACATTTAAATACATTCCCTTAATTTATATCAGTCGCAAAGTGAAGCAGTTATCTTTATAACTGAGAGCATTAGCGTAAATTATTTAGTATCTTCATTCTAATTTGCACCATATTATAATATCTATCTTGATCTCAGAACTAAATAAGTCATCTCTCCCAAATCATAAGCACACCGTGAGTCCCAAGATTTTCATAGCACTTTTTGATCTGCCTCGCAATTTTTCCAAAGGGTACTGGAACTCCAAGGATTAGCAGTAGATTACTTTAGCAGAGAAAATGAACTTTTGAAAATGCTGTGGTCATTTTCATAAGAATGTGAATCTTAGAATCTGATCTATCTTTATTTAAATATGTTATCATGAATTGAATATAGAAAACTGTCTGAGCTCTCTCAAGATGTAAGGGTGCTGTTTTCTTTTTTTTTTTTTTTAAATCATTGTTGATGTTTTTTGTCTGTTTCTAATCACTATAGAAAAATCCTTCTATCACTAATCACTTATGAGAGCCGATTATGTGACTGGCTTTGTAATGAGCTCCATAGACAGGATGGTATAAAAGAAAACACAAGATTTAACTGTAGTCATGTTAGAAAGATGAGACATACAAGAGGTATGTTGAGAAAAAAGGAAATATTATGTAGTGTTATTTCTGCAAATATAGGTAAGTGAAACACTTTTTCAAAATAATTTTTGCTGATAACAAAATACATATTGACTATAGAAAACCTTAAAAATGCAGAAAAGTACCAAGAAAAAAATTAAATTACCCATAATATCATTCAAAAATAATCATTATCAATATTTTGGTGTTTCACATCTTAGATTATCTGAACATATTTTTTTTACAACTGGAATTGTACTAGGCTTACTTTTTTATAACCTTCTTTGCCCCTTTAATGTTTTATTATGAACATACTCCCATGTTGTTAAATTCTATTCTAGAATCTTTTTGTGGCTGAATATTAATCTATCATGTGTATACAACATAATGTATTTAACCAATTCTCTCAGTCTAATATTTTTATAATTCATTCTTTGAGAGTATTTAAAGTAAGACTTTAAGTGAATCTTTGTCCACATTCATACTTAGGGAAATATATTGTGATAGATATTACTAATGCTCATCAATATCCCATTCCTCTCTATTGCATAGGCAGTTGGAAGAGAGCACTGCCAAATTCCAAATTCCTACTTAGAAAGGGTCATATAGGCCAGGCACAGTGGCTCACACCTGTAATCCCAGCACCTTGGGATGCCGAGGTGGGCAGATCCCTTGAGCCCAGGAGTTCAAGATGAGCCTGGGCAACACGGTGAAATGAAACCCCATATTTAAAAAAAATACAAAAATTAGCTGCACATGGTGGTGTGCACCTGTAGTCTCAGCTACTCAGGAGGCTGAGGCAGGAGGACCCCTTGGGCCTGGGTGGTCAAGGCTGCGGTGAGCTGTAGTCCTCACTGGACTCCAGCCTGGGTAACAGAGTGAGATCTTGTCTGAAAAAAAAAAAAGGGGGGGTCATGTGACTCATTCTGAGTCAATGGGCAGAAACATTTAATAGCCAGGGCATGATTTATCACTCTTCTCCAATTGTAGTAACTGATGAAACCCTGTGTTCCAAATGGTGCAGTAGCACTGAGGAGCCTCATCTTGCTAGGTCCCAAGTACAATAGGAATACAATAGAAGCAGAGCCCCCTGACAATTTAGTGAGAGATAAACTCTGTGTCAAATCACTGAGACTTTGAGTTGTTTATTTCTGCAGCATAACTTAGCTAGCCTGGCCAATACATGCATTAATATTTTTATCAATACTGAAATCATGTAATACATTGAGATTGGGTTTCCTTTTGATGTTTGACAGTGATAATATTAGACATAGGATTTCAGTTTTCCCTTATAACTTGACATTATCCTCAGAGACTTTATTGAGCATTTATTATGTGGCAGACATTTTTTAAGCACAATGCATATATTAACAACTCATAAGTTATACCAAAAGAAATTCATTCCTTCTTTCAACAAATTATTCAACAACTAAGGGTGAAGCATTGTGTTGGGTGCCCTATGGCTTATGAATTTAGAAAACATTTACATTCAAAAGTACTTCCCAGCTCAATAAAAGAAAAGAGACACACACCAATGGCCATGAAGGTAAACAGAGTGCTAAGTGTCACATGAGGACTCCACACCAAATGCGATAGGAGCTTGGAAGAGAGGAACCAGACATACTTTCTAGCTGGAAGGTAGGATTTCAATAGATGAAGTAACAAGGAGGTCAGGTCAGATAATGGGAATCCCAATACTAGTACATATAAAGAAGAACGATGAAATGTCAGAAAGTTTGAGTAGTTTAGATTAACTAGATTGTAGGGTTTATTTTTAGGAAGATTGTCAGAACGACCAGAAATCAGCTTGTAGCAGCCCAAAAGGCACAATCATGAATGCAAGCCTAAGGAAATCTTATTTGATGCATTACTTATTGAGGAATTTTAGGAAAAAGTTTGAGTAAGTGAGTTGCAAAATTGGATTTATTCTTTAGGATGTATAAACAAACTCAGACATGTGAAGTAGAGTGGAAAGGGAGAGAGTGTAGACAGGAGTTTCTAACCATGGTTGCACACTGGAATCTTCTGGGGAACATTAAGAAAGATTAATGCACTGACCCACCTCCTAGAGATTCTGATGTAATTGGCTTGGCTATAGCCTGGGGATCACGTGTTTTTAAAGCACCCCAGGTGATACATACATCTAGTGCTGGCTGTTAACCATTGAGAAGGTGATTGAAACATTTCAGCTGTGATAAAAGAGGGTCCTGAACTAGGAAAGTGAAGGTGTGGATGGAGTGCACTGATTTAAACAGGAGCTGAAGGAGAAAATATAGGAAATGATGTCTTCAAAATTGCAGGACCAAGTGCCCAGGAAAAAGAGAAAATTGTAACAAAGAGAGGACAGTCAGAAGCAAGAGCTTACTTGGGAAGGAAGACAACAAGTTGAGTTTTGGCTACCTTGACTTTTTAGTGCTGGTGGATGATCCTATTAGAAACTAAGATTTCAGGGCTCAGATGTAGGTGAAGAAATCAATCATTTGGAATTAGGTCACGGTTGACATGGGAAAGTTGAGCAAAAGACAGGACACTAAGACAGATGTCTGAGAACAGAGAGAAGACAATTCATAGACTGAAGTGTCCAGAGGCTTGTAGGCCAACCAGGATAGTGGAATATAATCAACACTAATAAAAAAGAGACTGTTATAGAGGAGAAGACTGATGAATGCTACAGGAGAGGTAAAGGGGATACTGGCCAAGGGAAGATTACAAGATTCAGGGAACAGGAGACATTGGGGACCTTTGGAAACCATTTCAGTGAAGTTTAGAGTCAGATTCCAGATTAATCATGGTGATGACAGGAACTATAGATGTTTGTTACAGGGTGGAAACCAAAAAATGGAATCACAGGTCAAGGAAGTAATAGAGCAGATAAATAGTTTTAACAGAAGAATGAAAGAAACAAAGAGAAGGAGGATGTTGAAGATGCTAGCCATGGAGGACATAATTCAATGGGGAAAAGGTCCCAGAAAAGAAGAGAAAGAAGGGATATGGAGTACATGTACAAGAGCTGGATTTGGAAGGGAAGGATTCTCTTTTCTAAAAGAGAAGAGGGTCGATGTTGGGGTACAGAAAATGATTCCCAAGAATATGGCACTTTTGCACACTGAGTGCTTTGAAAGACCCTGGAAATAAACCTCAGAACAAAGGGCTCTCTCCTGCCTTCCTTCACCTCCCTGTCTCTCAGATCCTCTTTCACAAAGCACCTGGAGGGACCCTCTGGAATTTCTTTATCTGACTAAGAAAGCTTTTTTTCCCAAAACAAATGCAGTTATCTTAACACCCCCTCCCTAGGAAGCTCATCAAATAACCAGGAAAGATTAACAACCAGAGAAGAGAAGAGACTGGGCATCATCACCATGCCCAGACAGACTTTTCATCTGTTGTCCTGAGGGCAGCTCCAAGAGATTACTTGGAGGACTTTATCTGCATAATAAGACAACCTGTGTTCCTGTGGAGTTCTGCCCTTCACCTTCCATAACTTGTCTATCTCAACCAGCTTCCAAAGAGAATAATTTACAAAATAATTTCTGCCCCCTTGGTCTACACATCTCTCCCCTGTGAAGAGGGTATTTAAGCCTCAAACATCTGGTCCCTCTTTGAGTCTCATACTTTGTGTCTGGCTTCCATGTATATGCAAAGGAATAAATCTTGTTTGCCTTTTTCTCCTGTTAATCTGCCTTTTGTCAGTCCATTTTCAGCAATCTTTTGGAGGGGGAAGAGGGAAGCTTTTCCTCTTTGCCACAATAGTGAAAAGGAGGAAAAAGAGAGAACAGGAATAGAAATTGAGGGATGGTACAGAATATGTGATGATGGGTAATAAAATGGGGCATTTTAGGACCAAAAGATCATGGTTTTAGTAATATTATATATACTAGGATATAAATCCTAGTTATCTACTGAAAATGAAGAAGATAGCGTAAGAAGTGAAGCCTCAAATAATATGAAAAATGATTAGAAATATGATAAAACATTTAACAAAGAAAAATGAAGTAGTGAAAGCAAAGTAGCAAACTGTCAACCCTCTGAAAACAGAGCGTGAAAAGTAATTTAAAACTCCAGAAAAAGCCTTTGTCTGAATGCTTCAAACCTGTGCAAAGTCTTGCATATGATTTGAAAAAAAAAAAAAAAGTACAGGTCATTCTATTTCTGGCTGCTAAACCACTGTGAGAAAAAAAATTTCCTGTGTAGCATTACCACCATTGTAATATGCATTTATTTGTATGATCTTTTAATTAACATCTGTCTCCACCTAGCAAATATTACAGACCTTGAAGGCAGAGTTGATGTGCCTTTCTTCCCACCATTAAATCCCAACATCTAGCAAAGACCTTCAGTTAATATCAGGTTTTTGGTAAATATTTGCTGAATAATTGATCTTTTATTTAAATGCATTCTTTTATTCTCACTGTTCTTTATTAACAGGCTAATTTCAAAGTAGCTTTTGAAACCAAGGACAGTACTTTTCCAATATAGATAGGTGAGAGTCAAACTAAATGAAATTAGCAAATTTGAGTCATTTATATGTATAACCTACAAACTCTAAACTGCAGGAATGCAAAGAATTGCCAGGGACAGTGTCCTTGAGAAGTATTAATCCTTTCCGGGAGACAACACCCAAAAGACATTTAAAAATTATATAATAAAAAATATTTCAATAAGTTTCAAGACAAATATATAGGCAGGGGAGGTAATGGGTGATTAACTGTCAAAGATTTTTCCAGACCACAAAATTTTGCTTACGTACTTCCTAGATTTTAAAAATTTTGGATCCTCTTAAGCATTTTAAGTTTATATATAAAAATTTGATTGAATATTTATAGTTCCAAAAAGATGATTTTCCAATTAACCATATATTTCTAAGGGTTTGAATATATTTTATTGATATATTTTGAGCTGCCAATATATATGGAATTGTGGGTTTAGCTCACTTCATTTGTGGAAATTGTCTGCCATATAATCAAATAGGCTGAGGCAGTCCTCACTGTCGAATAAATTGGTTAATCTAATTGAAAAGGAGGGACTCCTCCCTAATTCATTTTATGAGGTCAACATCATCCTGATACCAAAACCTGGCAGAGAGACACAACAAAAAAAGAAAACTCCAGCCCAATATCCTTGATGAACATCAATGCAAAAATTCTCAGCAAAATACTGGCAAACCGAATCCAGCAGCACATCAAACAGCTTGTCCACAATGGTAAAGTCAGCTTCATCCCTGAGACGCAGGTCTGGTTCAACATATGAAAATCAATAAATGTTATTCATCACATAAACAAAACTAATGACAAAAACCACGTGATTATCTCAGTAGATGCAGAGAAGGCCTTTGATAAAATTCAACATCCCTTCATGTTAAAAACTCTCAATAAAGTAGATATTGATAGAACATATCTCAAAATAATAAGAGCCATTTATGACAAACCAACAGCCAATATCATACTGAATGGGCAAAACCTGGAAGCATTCCCATTGAAAACTGCACAAGACAAGGATGCCACCTCTCACCACTCCTATTCAACATAGTATTAGAAGTTCTGGCCAGGGCAATCAGGCAAGAGAAAGAAATAAAGGTTATTCAAATAGGAAGAGATGAAGTCAAATTGTCTCTGTTTGCAGACGACATGATCCTATATCTAGAAAACCCCATCATCTCAGCCTAAAAGCTCCTTAAGCTGATAAGCAACTGCAGGAAAGTCTCAGGATACAAAATCAATGTGCAAAAATCACAAGCATTCCTATACATCAAAAATAGACAAGCAGAGAGTCAAATCGTGAATGAGCTTCTATTCACAATTGCTACAAAGACAATAAAATACCTAGAAATACAGCTACAAAGAGATGTGAAGGGCCTCTTCAAGGAGAGTTACAAGCCACTGCTCAAGGAAATAGGAGAAAACACATACAAATGGAAAAACATTCCATGCTTGTGGATAGGAAGAAAAAATATTGTGAAAATGGCCATACTGCCCGAAGTAATTTATAGATTCAATGCTATTCCTATCAAACTACCATTGACATTTTTCACAGAATTAGAAAAACTACTTTATAATTCATATGGAACCAAAAAAAGAGCCTGTGTAGCCAAGACAATCCTAAGCAAAAAGAACAAAGCTGGAGGAATCACGCTACCCTCCTCCAAGCTATACTACAGGGATACAGTAAGAAAAACAGCATGGCACTGGTACCAAAACAAACACATAGACCAATAGAACTGAATAGAGATTTCAGAAATAAGACCACACATCGACAACCATCTGACCGTTGACAAACCTGACAAAAACAAGCAATGGGGAAAAGATTCCCTATTTAATAAATGGTGCTGGGAAAACTGGCTAGCCATATGCAGAAACCTGAAACTGGATCACTTTCTTATACCTTATACAAATATTAACTCAAGATGGATTAAAGACTTAAGTTTAAAACCCAAAACCACAAAAACTCTAGAAGAAAATCTAGGCAATATCATTCAGGACATAGCCATGGGCAAAGATTTTATGATGAAATCGCCAAAAGCAATTGCAACAAAAGCAAAAATTGACAAATGGGATCTAATAAAACTAAAGAGCTTCTGCACAGCAAAAAAAAAAAAAAAAAAAAAAAAAAAAGTACCTGTCATCAGAGTGAAAAAGCAACCTACAGAATGGGAAGAAAATTTTTGCAATCTACCCATCTGACAAAGGTCTAATATCCAGAATCTACAAGGAATTTAAACAAATTCACAAGAAAAAACAGCAAACAACCCCATCAAAAAGTGGGCAAAGGACATGAACAGACATTTCTCAAAAGAAGACTTTTATGCAGCCAACAAACATATAAAAAGAAGCTCAACATCACTGATTATTAGAGAAATGCAAATCAAAACCACAATGAGATATCATTTCATGCCAGTCAGAATGGCAATTAAAAAGTCAAGAAACAACAGATGCTGGCAAGGCTGTGGAGAAATAAACACTTTTACACTGTTGGTAGGAATGTGAATTAGTTCAATCATTGTGGAAGACAGTTTGGTGATTCTGCAAGGATCTGGAACCAGAAATACCATTTGAACCAGAAATCCCATTACTGGGCATATATCCAAAGGACTATAAATCATTCTATTATAAAGATACATGCACGTGTATGTTTATAGCAGCACTATTCACAATAGCAAAAACATGGAATCAATCCAAATGCCCATCAATGATAGACTGGATAAAGAAAATGTGGTACATATACACCATGGAATACTATGCAGCCATAAAAAGGAATGAGATCATGTCTTTTGCAGGGACATGGATGAATCTGGAAGCCATCATCTTCAGCAAACTAATACAGGAACAGAAGACCAAATACCACATGTTCTCATTCATAAGTGGGAGTTGAATAATGAGAACACATGGACACAGGGAGGGGAACAACACACACTGGGGCCTATCAGTGGGGCCGGGGAGGGAGAGCATCAGGATAAATAGCTAACGCATGTGGGGCTTAATACCTAGGCAGTGGGTTGATAGGTACAGCAAATCATCATAGTGCACATTTACCTATGTAATAAACCTGCGTGTCCTGCACATGTGTCCTGGAACTTAAAATTTAAAAAAATAAAATAAAATAATCGGTTAATCAAACTTACTTTCTGCTAGAAAAATAAAATCTAAGTTTATTTTAAAAATTCAAATGAACATGCTAATGTCACTTTGTGACAGTCTTTACATTTCTCAATTCTGTTTTCAATTCAATCTATAATAGGTAGGGAGATGGACAGACAGACAGCACAATGCTTTGCTGTGAGCTTTTCACCCTGAAATAAAATGCATCCTTCAAGATTTCATACAGCAGCGATTTTTTGCTTGGATCACAAAGGACTGTCCTTTAGAAGTGAGGTATTTCATAAGGAGCTCTTTTGTTTTATTTCCCAAGGGGTTTTATAACTTTTCCAATCATTTTTATGCACTGAAGGCCTTTATACAGTAGGGCAAGAAGATCAGGATAAATGAAAAGTGTGCATTTATTTGGTAAAGTGAAGCAATTGCTAAAAAGGAGGTAGGAAAGGAGACTAGGTTCACCACAGGCCTCAGGAGGATTAACTGCAGGAAAGAATGTGATTGAAGGTTGTGATCAGAAGAGTGATTCCCTTGAAGTTATCCATTCCCATGCACCCTCCGGAAAGCTTTAGTTTATCCCTAAAATTGAAGATTATTGTTTAGATAAAGAGTTGGCAAATGACAACCTATAAGCCAAATCTGATCTGCTGCCTGTTCTGTAAATAAAGTTTTATAGAATAAACTATATTCATTTACTTATATGTGGCTGCATTTGCACTGTAACAGCAGGGCTGCCTAGTTATAACAGTGACTGTATTGTACTAAAAACCTAAAATATCTAGCCCTTTACAGAGAAGTTTGCCTACTCTTATTCTAGATGTTATAAAAGTGCTGTACCTTCAGGTCAGAGACAGAGAAAGAGAGAGAAAGTGTGCATCTTAGATTGGGTTGGTCAGCGTAAAATGTGCTAGCTAACTGAAAAAAATATGTGGAAAGATAAAGAGAATAACAATTGGCAACAAACCATACTGGCACTATATCTAACATAAAAATGAGGAGTCCGTATGATAAACAGGCCCATGCTAAATCTTACAGCCAAGAGAATTATATATGGAGGGAATAGGCCTACGAATAATGCTTTAGTCAGAAAGAATGAGTTATTAAAACACATGCTATCATCCAAACCAATATAAGGGTAAATTGCTCCCAATCACGTGGGCATTTCCCCTGGAAGTCTGCAAGTAGCAGTAGGCAGTGAATGAGATCCTTAAGCAGGTTTTAATAATGGTCGATGTCTTCACTAATGTAACTAATTGATTCAGATCTGAAACGCAAGCTCAGTAATGTAATCTAAGTGGTATTTAGTTTTCTAACGTGGTTCTGATTTCTCAGAACAGACTAGAGTATGTAGGTGACCTCCACCAATTTTTTCACTAAAATTTATTTTGACTCTTAATGCTGTCTTTAAATTGCCATATAAACGCTCTTTAAAAAACGGTGTCAGCAACAACAATAGCAACAAACACTAACACTCCACTTATTCAAACAGATTAACTAAGGCTGCGATTCTTTTTACAGATATTAGAAATCTGACTTTCCTATGGGTGTGGTAAATCCAGCCAGTCCAAGTCCTAGCATAGGGTTCTAGAAAAAATCCTTTAGTGAACTGAAGATTTGGTTGAATTCACTCCATCAATTAGAGCATTCTCAACATTTATTAAAGACCTATCATGTATAAAATATTGGGTATATCTGAGTGCAGTGTGATATATATATATATATATATTTTTTTTTTTTTTTTTTTTTTGAGATGGCATCTCGCTCTGTCACCCAGGCTGGAGGGCAATGGTGCGATCTCGGCTCACTGCAACCTCTGCCTCCCAATTCAAGTGATTCTCCTGCCTCAGCCTCCCTAGTAGTTGGGATTACAGGCGCATGCTACCACACCCAGCTGGTTCTTGTATTTTTTAGTAGAGACAGAGTTTCGCCATGTTGGTCAGGCTCGTCTCAAACTCCTGATCCCAGGTGATCCACCCACCGCAGCCTTCCAAAGTGCTGGGATTACAGGCATGAGCCACCGCACCCGGCACATTTGTACTGATTAGAAGAAATTTTTGGTAAAGAGATTCTTGATTCAACCCCCAACTGAATTATGAAAAAATCAAAACTGAGAGTACCTAAATTCATAGTCTTTCTCTCCAGAGTTCAAGTCCAGTGTTCAAGTGTAAGCAGAGACTACTTCCCATTTCAATATTCAAAATTGAGTATAATTAACATTAAATGCCAGGTATAAAGACAGAGAGCTCCATAGACTTCAACATACTCTAACATTGTTTTCAAATTTACTAAATAAGAAAATTTTTTTATATCTTTATTTACTTAGCATTTGATACATCAGACATGGCCTAATTGGGAGACAAAAACCATGCAGTAATTTGAACAAGGACAGTGTAATATAAAGAACCATTAACAGAGGGTTGGAGTAACAGGGACTTCATTCGTAAGAGTTAAAGAAGACAGCAAAGAATACAGAAGTGATAGATAGCAGGAGCAGCCACTGTACCTAGGACTGAGCTAGAGAACCCATGGAAGTGCCCTGCCCAAACAAGGCTAGGATACTGACTTCACTGAAGAGAGTATCGCTGCGGCTCACTGGACAGCAAGAAGTAGCTGATGTGTCATGTAGGCAGAACTTGCTGGACATCTGTCCTCTGAAATCCTGCAGGAAGGTGCTGGGCTTGAGAACTCACTGCAAAGTCACCCAGGAAATTGGTGTGGGAGGCCCTTCACAGGCCTAAGCCTTGCTGTCAGCACTCCACTCTGAAGCCTCAGAGGAGGTTCCAGGAAGCTGCTGGCTGCTGTGGCTCATGTTAGGCAGCAGGAGCTGGGATATGAAACAGCCTTCCTTTACAGGAGCAGGCACTGAAGAAATTGTACTCTTCACAGGAATTTAGCAAGGAAGGCACACCAGAACACAGATGAAAAACTCCTTTTTTCCTCCAGTGTCCTGTGATTACCCCCACTCCCATATTACAACACTGAACATTGCACCAACTGACAAAAGAGAAATATTTACAGAGCCCACCTTCATGATTACAGAGCAGGCAAAGAAAGACATGCTTTGAGCTAAGGGGTAATACATCCATAACTGGCATGCTTAGCTTTTGTGAATGTGCTGTAGATATTCATCAGTGCTGAAATGAGAATTTCATAGTTGTCCATTTCTCCACATAGCACCACAAATATACTGGGAAGGCCTTTGCTAACCATTTATTCAATGAGCATTGATTGAGTGCCCTTGCTGAGCCTCATATGTTCTCAGAGGTCAGGAGTAAAAGACAAAAATTTATAATCTGGCCACAAAAGATTGTACAATTGAGCAGAAGAGATAAATGGGTAAGTATCCAGATACAATGAGCTGAGCACAGTATCAGAGGTGTGTATACACAGTGCACAGTGCCCGTGAACCACAGAGAAGAAGCTAAGTCTGCCCTGGAGGAGTGAAGGGTAAGGATGGACAACGTCTTGTGCAGAGAGGATGGCCACTTATTGCATCTTGAAAGATGACTGGGAGTTTTCCAGGAAGACAAGAGTGAAAAGTCCTTCTCTCCCAGAGTGCAGTACATGCAAAAGTTCAAGGTCATAAAGATAATGAGTTATTGGCTAAAGGACCAGTAGTTCCCTGAGGCTGGAGACTGCCATGATTGCCAGCAGCCGAACTGGAAAGACCTCATTTTGATAGACAAACTAAGACTTGACTTTAAAGATTATCCTTTCTCCATTTTCTGAAACATTTTTTAGAAAAATATACTATTTTCATTTGTCGTCCTGGAGAGTGAAAATGATAAAATGAATGCTTGGATCTGTACTTTCTGGAGGAATCAGATTGAATGTAAACGAGAACAAACACCATTAAAAAAGAAGTGGCTTGCTCTCTCTCTTTTATTTTTATTTTTAATTCAAATGCGACTCTGGAGTGCAACCATCATAATATATTGGAGAATCAGAACATCTGAGCCACATCACTGATTAGCTTGCTTTTCACCCAAAGCAAAGGGAAAAAATTATTGATGAATTAAATAAATGAGTCATTGAAAATGACTAAGCATGCAACATTTTGGTAAGTATGTCATGGCAACTGTACTGAGTCATATTTCAATTCTGAACTACAGTGGAGGGAAATACAATTTCCTCATTCTCAGCTCTGAATTTTAGAAGAGCTAATAAAGGTTTAACGTTATATTATGAAGACTTGAGGAGCTGCCCAGAGCAGAAGAGGAGGAAAGTCTCCAAAGACTCGTTCTGAATGTGGGGAAGATTCTGTTTTCTTCTTTTCTTGGCTTCAGGGAAAATGTGTCTTCTGAACATAGTGAGCATGGGGAGGAGGTTTAGCTCATGGGTAGAGCAAGCAATCATCTCTATGGTACAGTTTGAAAAATAACCCTCTCCTCACAAACACCTCCCCAAAATAACTTGAATGCCTTCCTCCATTTCCTGACACTTTGCCATGTGATATACTTCTGCATTATAAATATTGATTGAGTGATTGGATTAACTTACTGTCATTTCCAGAAATCCCCTGCAAAAATTAAAAAAAAAAAACCACAAAAACATAGACACATTGGATAGTAATGGCTAACATTTATTGAGCACTTACTAATTCAGTCCATGTCTGAATTATTAAAAATAATAAACTTATTTAATCCTCACTGTGAAAAAGTTCCTTTTAGTAGCCCCACTTTCCACATGAGAAAGCTGAAGCACAGAGAGATTAAGTAATTTTCCCAAGGTCACACAGCTAGTACATGTTAAAGCTGACACATGATGGTAGCCAGACTTCACTCTTCTAAGATCTTGTAGTGACCCATCACTTGCCATTAGAACCTTAGTTAGGATTACATTGTGAAAAAGTTCTTTTCAGTGCTTATATGAGCCAAGTACTGTCCTAAGCATTTTATACATATTACTCTATATTCTCTTCAAATTTAATACTCTGCTAAGATGGGTAACAGTTCCCTGTATTTTATGTAAGAGAAAACTGAGGTGCAAAAAGATGAAGAAATGTTCCCCAAAAACTCAGTTGTTAAGGACAAGGGCAAGATCCAGGTCCTAGGTCTGCCTGGTCCCCAAGCCTACAACTCAGGAGATTGCTCAGTTCTACCAGCCAGTATCCACTCACCCCAAAGTATCATACATGGTTTGCCATATACATTCTTATTTCTGTACATTTTAGTGGAATTGCCAGATTATCAGGTGGCGATATAGTTGGAAGAGGAATGCTAAGTAATTTTCTTAAAGTTGTACTTGCATAACAAGCCATTGTATTTGTTGGGGCTTACAGTAATTATGGGAGGGAGGGTTTAAAGCCCCACTGAAGCAATCTCTTAGGACTATTCATGTTTTCAGAGTGCCCATTCCCATCTCTCTGCTTTCTCCTTTCTTTCCAGCTGAGGGAAATTTCCCATTCCTTCCATAAAGCAATTTTGACTTCTCTACTTCAAGATATTTACTCCCCCTGTGAACTCATAAGCTTTATCAGTAGACCCACCAATTTGATAGCTATTGTGTGTGTAAAAAGAAAAAGAGAGAAAAAAAGAGAATAACTTTTAAAGCATCTACCAAGTGTTGGGTATAATGCTGTACTGTGTAGATATATATCTCATAGATTCTGAAAACATATTTCTTTTTTCACATTAATGTCTCTGAAATTGGGATGCTTTGCACAATCAACTGTGTCTAACAATTGCTGTTGACCAGCCAGTAGTCATGATATAACTGTGTCATTATTCACTTACTATTTTGGTGGAATAACAGGAAAATCCCAATCCCTTGACATCCAATACAGTTAACACTTAAGAACCATTTGAAGAAGGAATGGAAGTTCCGAGTGCTTGAAAACTTTCTATTGAGACCCCAGTATTAAACTTGCACTGAGTGAAAAATTTTGAGTGAAAGTACCATGGGAGAGCTCTCATACATAAGAATGGAACATTCTTTCTTTTATATATGAAAGTGGAACATTATTTCTGCATCACCATTGCTTTTGCAGGCCAGGGGGTGATGTTGTAGGGAAAACATAAACATCAAGAACTCTGAGTCAAAAAGAGACAAAGAAAGATCAGATGAGAAGAAATCTAGGAATACTTGGCCAACTTATTTTTCTTGTATTTTCCCATTTTTATGGGCCCAAGAGTCATATTTTTTTTAAAAAAAACCTATGTCTAAGTAAGTTTTAAAAAACTCTTTGAATAAATAGAAATTCTAAGAAACAAGAAAGATTGTATTTCTGGGATTAATTGGCAGCATATTTTCTTTATTAGTGAAATATAACATAATAATGCTACTTGCAATCAGTGATATCTTAGATTTGAAGAATGTCTTAGTTTAGACTGCTATCACATTTGTGTCTTAGACAACAAATGTTTACTTCTCACAGTTCTGGAGGCTGAGAAGTACAAGATCAAGGTCCCAGAAGATCTGGCATCTGGTGAGGGCATGCTTCCTGCTTTGCAGACAGCCATTTTCTTGCTGTGTCCTCATATGGCTCAGAGAAAAGTGAGAACAAGCTCTATGTCTCTTGTTATAAGGACACAAATCCCATTATGATATGCCACCCTCATGACCTAATAACATTCTGGTATGGTTTGGATTTGTGTCCCCACCCAAATCTCATGTTGAATTGTAAATCTCATGAGATCTGGTTGTTTAAAAGTGTGTAGCACCTCCTCATTTTTTCTCTCTTCTGCCCCAGCCATGTGAAGATGTGCCTGCTTCCCCTTTACCTTCCACCATGATTGCAAGTTTCCTGAGGCCCCTTCAGCCATGCTACCTGTACATCCTGTGGAACCATGAGCCGATTAAACCTCCTTTTTAAAATAAATTACCCAGTCTTAGGTATTTCTTTATAGCAATGTGAGAACAGATTACTATACCATCACAGTGGAAGCTCAGTTTCAACATATGAATGTGGAGTTGGCAGGACACATTTAGCCATAGCAGGAAAATATAATATACCTCATTTAATTCTCACAACAGCCCGAAAATCTACTGTTTGTAGGAAAAACATAGACATCAAGAACTCTGAGTCAAAAAGAGACAAAGAAAGACCAGATGACAAGAAATCTAGGAATACTTGACCAAATTATTTTTCTTGTATTTTCCCTTTTTTACAGGCCCAAGAGTCATATTTTTTTAAAAAAGAAAACCTATGTCTAAATAGATTTTAGGTACCATCGTTCTTAGTTTACAGAAGCAGCAGAGATTGCCAAGCTAGAAAGAATTGGAGTTGAGATTGAGCCCAGGTCATGCCAGACCCACACTCACGACTTTTGTTATCCCATGTGGCCAGTGGGCTTGAGGTTTACCTCTTATCGGTTTTGAGGTCACTAAACAGTTTCCACTTCTATAAAATGTTATAAAAACACCTATGCCACAGAGCTGCCTGGAGGATTGAATGTGGCTAGATTTCACAACCCTTCCAAACTAAAACTACAAGAGACACCATCCTTGTTGTGAATTAGCAACTGCCACATGAAGGCTCTTGAAATGCCTGCCTTTTGTTAGAGCATCATTAGACAAGTTTTTATGTGAATATCCAATCACAACTCAGTGAACAGCATTTTGAGAACAGGGATTTGTTGTTAGAATGAATTTGTATTTTTATAGCATCCTATGCACATAATTGGTATTGAATGGATATTTATCTAAATGAATAAAATAGCATTTGAAAAGTTGTGAAGCATTCAATACTATTGATGTTATTCCCTGTGAACCTGTTGGAACAGAAGACAGGCTGGGAACAGCATATGTTGGTAATGATTTGGCTGCAAAAAGTGTGAGACTTTTTAATAAAACTGTACTAGACCACATTCTCTCCCATGATGATATTTATGACATTTTAGGTAGCAGGAGAACAAGACTCTTGAAAGTAGAAATAATGGAACTAGAGATAGAACACAGAATTGGAAATGGATTTTTTAAAGAATGTGTGGCTAGGAAGGAGTCCCACTTGCTCTGTGATACATGCCTTTTTGTTGTGTACTAAGTCATCTGAGACTCTATAGAAGGAGCTTTTGTCCTTAGAAAGCAATTTTCAGTCAAGTTCCAAAATAATGTCAAACAATTATCTTTTTAAATACATGTTTATGTATTGTAATTAACTTTAGAATTGGTGTTTCTAATCCCCAGTGCCAAAGAAATTCCCTGGAAGTAAGTTAGTTATTTAGGGAAGGGCATTCATTCTGGGCCTGTAAATTTTATTTAAAATTGAGCCATCTTCCTGCTGTTTGTTTAACAGTCCCTGTGTTGTTTGCAGGAAAGTAATGCATCTCCCTAAATGCACCTAACTCACTATCAGCAAATGAGTTGGACACAAGGGCCTCGATATGTAATACCAAGAAGAAATTTGTATACATGAACACATGCCGACAGTGCAGAATTTTTTTAGAGCAAAGATGTATGTGATTTTGCCTTCTGGAGCTTCTCAGCCCAGGTTAACACCCATTCCATAGAGAGGGTACCTTGAAGCCTGCATGGAGGGATGCTGAGCAGAGAGACTCCACAACTGCTCCGATTTATGGAGTACTTAAAAACTAATTAATTAATAGGGAGGTGGGGACAAAGGTTTTGTTTCATAATTCTGATTTATTGCAGACAGGGGATACACATAGAAGAGAAGAAAGCTGAGTATAGAATAGAATTTGAGGGATGCTCCCAAGTCCTGGAATCCCAAATTCCTTCCTTATTCCTTTGCCTTAGCTTCCAAATTTTCTACCATGAATATCATTCCTTTGGATAAGGTCCTCTTTCCTAAGAAAAAGTGATACAGAGGGCAGATTATAAAGTTTTTTTATCATGAAGTCCTGAATTGACCTGAACCTGTTTCCTGTATAGTAGACACAGCGCTCTTTCAGACGGGTTCACACATTACATATATTTTTTTACATTAAAGTTTAGGATTAAAAATGGTGTGGGAGAAAGAGAACTGATCCAGTTGGGGAAGGATTCCACCCTGGGAAGCACGAGAGGCTCCCATGTGCCCAGAAGTGCATGGGGTACAACAATGGGAGAAAGTTGAGCAGCAAAGAAAAATTCGATTTCTTTAACAATTGTGGCTGGCTCAGAGGTTTCACATTCTTTTAAAATGACAATATATACTTCCAAAGAATGACTGTTGTATCTTAATTGAGAGTGTTGCAAACGTAATGTAAGGCAGTGGGAATTCATATCATCTTTTAGTAGGAGGGTCAGTCATGACAGCAAATAACAGCCACACACAACCCCAGCCTAACTTCCTGGATTGCAGAATGCTCGCAAAACCAATTACAGCGGGCTGCGCCACATTACAGAATCCAAACGCTATAACCAATTGTTATAAAAAGAAAATTGAGCCACATGCTACAGTTTTTTTTTCCTTTCCATTAAATCATAACAGAGTATCTTTGGCCTAATGTCCCCTGTGAGACGGGTTGGGCTGATTTGTGTAGAAATTCTCACTTGACAAGCAGCTGTGAAGGCAAGCTTGCCGGGTTGACAGGCAGAGCAGCGCACCATCCACCCAATAACTCAGGGACAAAAAGCAAATCAATAGACATAATATTGCAAAACACTGCAGCAGGATAAACACAGCTCTCACATCTATTTGATTTTTCTCCCTCATCTGTCAACACAATTGAGAAGTCGCACTTGCTAATTGTCTTCAATTGGCAGACTCCACCGACTTTGGCGCTGCGACACTGGTTGCCACAGTCTTTGCCGCTCGTAGTCGCTAGCCTGGCGTTCTTGGAAGCGGCCTCCATTTTGGGCGGGCTGCGTTCATCCGCACGACTTCTCTCTGTCTGGATGAGGCACAGTCTCCATTATGCAGTTCTCTCATCATTAGCACCGACTGAAGAATCTGTGCCATGTTCTCTGTATCCAAAATATTTGAGGGAGGCAAAGAATCCCAGGAAGTCAATGAAAATGCGCTTCTATTGCCAGCTAGCATTTGCAACTGCCAGACTTCCTTGCATTCAAATTAGATTACCCAGCAGAGAAAGGACAGAGAGGGACTGGTTTCAAACTAAGCTTTCTTTTGTGACTAAATGGCTGTGTTTAAAAAGAGGACACTTGATTCACTTTCTAAGAGGTCATGCACCATCAGCACCCTTGTTTGCCCCCTGGAAGATTGTAATGTCATCCACAAAACTTTAAATTCCTCAAAGACACAACAGTGAGCCCCTTGTCCTCCATGCACCTAGCATAGCGCTCGGCAAAGAGTTGGGTCCTGACAAATACTGGCCATATTGACCCAGGGGTGCTAAAACTACACAGAAGAAAGGAATATTAGCCCGGGAGCTCAGGGGTCTGCAATTTTCTAGGAGGAGGGTAAGACACCTGTATCCTGCTGTTGCTAATATCCTGGTTTGGTGTTCAGGTATGGCACAATTCATCCCGTCTGTTTGGCGGTGGTTGTCCAAGGTGTCTTTGCAAAGTCATAAAGTAGATCTCTAAGAACTTAGCAAATAATCCAGGTATAACTGGCTTTATAGGTGAACCAGAAGTAGGCAGTCCTGGCATCCATGGTTAGAAGGTTAGCTGAACTCCCCCCATACCACCTTTCAAAGGCCTTCTCACTAACTGCCAGGGGTACTACTGGGAACTTTCCCTGCTCATGTATGTGCATCCTTCACACTCCTGGGGTCATGGAACAAGAACTGAATCTCCTCCACTTTGCAAATTAGTACCTCAAAACATTCAGTTCTCTCTTGGCTGCTTCACTTTTCTCAGACACCTTTGCCTCATGAGCTCATTCTCTCTTTCTCCTTCTATCTCTATCTACACACGCACACACGCATGCACGCATACACACACACACACACACACACACACATTGCCTCTTTATTACGGACAATTTCAAATATACCAAGTAGACAAATGTGTAAGTAACCTCCATGTATTCAAACCCAACTTCAGCCATATCAACTCATGGCTAACTTATTGCACTGATTTTCCACTTTTCTTCTCTTACAGTGATATCATTGTGAAGCAAATCTCACATATCATATTATTTGCACATGTTTTAGTAGACTGTATATCTTTAGCAAGTAATTAAGTAACATCTCCAAGAAACCTCTAAGCCCTTAGGGTTTTGGGCTTCCTGTTTTGTGCTTTCTTGATACCCTGCTTGCTCCCGACTAAAACGAAATTGTTAGTCTGGCTGTTTCCAGGTTGTCTCCCTTGCTCGATGATAGAACCACGGAAGCCTGAGCTCACCTAACAGATAGAAGCTCACAGAATTGCATCGTGTTGAACAGATCAGCACCTCTTGTATGTACCACAGACTGCATGTCAATCCCCTAACAAGTAAAGTCACAAAGCCAAGTGAGTCAGCCCCTTTCCCAACTCCCTTTGAAGCAAACCATGCAGATAGTGTGAGAAAACAAATTACAGTGTGCTTTATACACTCTTGGTTCTTGAGTTTTTTGGTTTTTAAACTAGCCACTGTTTTAGTGCCTGGCCTTAAAGGCTGTGGGAATCACCAGCTCCATTTCCCAGCATCCTGCAGAGGACCTCATGTTTTCACACTTCTGATCCAGGCACTGACTTTTCCTGCCAGACAACACAGCTTTAGATTATAAAATCCCAGCCACTGAAACAAACTGCTGCCCATTTCCGTGTAGATTTCTCAGCTGCAGAAATTATTGTCTTTTCAGACAGCACTCATACATTTTGTCAGTAAGTAGCCACCCTCAGCTTTCATTTTTGATGGTAAAATAATAGAGAGGAGGAAAAAATGGGTTTTATGAGTGTTCAAAGTTTTACATTGCAAGTCTGATTCCTAATTGTAATTTTCCTGGTCGTAATTCTCCTTAAGTTTTAATACATATAAAATGACTTGGCTATAAAATCACAGAGTGAAGAACAATTTTGATCTCCATGTTAAAATAACCATTTTCAGAATAATCAGGGAAGCCAAATGGTGGCTTTTATCTTAAAAGTTTTCATAGTGTCATTTTATGGAATAGAAAAGGTTGTCTTCAGACTGGAGACATCTGAAAAATAAAAATATATTTTTGTGCTTAAAAATCATTGATTTGAGACGGTTGTCCATGGGACAATTATGTAGAGAACCCTGGCATAGAAAAGAAATAATATGATTTTTTGAGACCTAGGTTCCAGTGAGGAATGTGCCACAAAATAGCTCTGACCTTAAACCCTAAATTACCTTAGTTCCTTGGGTCGAGAGTTAACAGATAAAATAGAAGATGCCCAGTTAAGTTTAAATTTCAGATAAACAATGACTACTTTCTTAGGATAAAAATGTCCCAAATGTCTCTAGGATAAATCTATCCTAAAAAATTGTTTCTATAATTGTATAATTTTACTTGCTAAATCTTGCAACTCTACCTGGGTCTCATCGTCTTCAAAGCCCTGCAGCCCCATTCTTATCTATCCTTTTTGTTTTCCTTTATCAATTTACAATAAGTATTTTTGCTCATCTGAATTTAACTGCTCTTTACGTTGTTAAAGAAATGCTATTTATATTTTCCCATTAATTTTGCAAAGGTGTTTTGAATATCATATTCTTCCTGAATATAATAATTTCTGGATAAAAATCTCAGAATATTAGAATGTATATATTTCAAAACAAATGATCCCCAGTTGTTTCAAGGTTATAGAGTTGAAAACAAAGAAAGAACTAAACCCTTTCCTTTTATGATCATTTTCCCTTAAGTAAACACAGCGTTACTAGCATTACTAGGCTTGATATCCCTCCTCCTGCAATCCTAAGAACAGAAAGGTGATTTGAGCCCAATAATTATTAGTAAACTTCATGGTTAATAAGAGAACATAGATTCATGGCCAGAGTCTAGGGAAAAAAAAACAGCTTGGTACATTAACTGCTTTTTTACTATTTAAACCATGAGGCTAGTTGGGTATTTGTTTACAAACAAGTTATACCTGAAAAAAAAGTTGGTCAATTTAAAAAAATACAAAAGACTGTGTTAACTTTTACAAGTAAGTTTGAATTTTATGGGTCTTACATTCCATCTGAGGCAGCCTATATTAGTGACACTTGTGATCAAGTATAAACTGTGCTCATATATAATGTCTTGAGAATTAAAGAATAAATAGCAAGATATTTTTTTAAGGCCTGATTCATAGTTTTCCTTATCCTCATGTATATTCTTTGTGATTCTCTTTTAGTCAAAATTTATATCTTTAGTGTTTGGGCTTCTAATGAGCTATAGAACAGATTTTTTTCTTTGAAATCTGTATTTTTCACAAAGCTAATGGAAACCATATGTGATTGTACTAATTCTAGTCAAAAATTAAATATGTTTTTGTCTGTTTAGTCCTATTGGAGAGAACGTTATTGAGGCATCCTTGATCTTGTATTCTAAAGATTCAAAATGGAAATCTAAACCTCATCAGGACAGGTGGCAACTAACAAAGTCTTTCTTGAATTCTTAGTTTTAATGATATTTTAAATTCTGTCGGTACCTCAGGCAGAGAAGGATAAAAAACAAGCACAGTACTGATGGTGTATGAGTTAATGGGAAGATAACTGATAAAATTAAACCTTTGCAACCTGCTGAGCTAACCCAAACTTGCTAAGCTACTAGAACATTAATGAGTAAGAGATCTTAATTAAATTGTTTGTAATTAACTCTCCCAGGAGTAAAAAGTGTAAAAGTAGTGAAACTAGAATACCTGTGGCACCTAAATTCAATAAGAAAAGTAATTTCAACCCAAATGACATGCATAGATGTATATAAAATATATATGCATGCATGTATATCAATGCCATACAAACTGTAGTGATTTATTTTCTCTTGAAATTTTTCCAAGCTACATTTTTAGAAGGTTGATATTAATATTTGTTATTTAGTGCAAATAATGCATTCTGTGTTGTCAGTGACAATGCTATGTCCTAAAATAAACCAGGGATTTCAATTAAAGGTACAATATTTTCTATGTAAATTTAATGAGATTTAGATCATCTGTGATCTAATTTGTCATAAGACAAATATACACACCGAAAAGACCTGGTTAGGAAGGAGCAGCTATGTTTAACTATGTACCAAAATGATCTCTTGCTTTTCCAGGGGATCAATGCAGCCATTCTAAGGGCAGTCATGCAGTCCAACTCTATGGGTAGCCTGGTATGACCATGAGACAGGTGGACCATAACCGCTTGAGCCAACCAAACTTACAATATAATCTGATTCATGAATGGCTTATTCATGAGCTCAGGCATTGCAAGAGGTGCTGAGATGCAAAGGTGCATAAGACACGGCCCCTAGTTTATGCACCTTGCAGTCTAGTGGAGTTAAGGGGCAGAGGGTAAAAGTTTCAACCAAATGAGTTCAACTTCTTAGAGCTTATTTTCATTTCTGTGTTTCTTTTCACATTCCCATTGAAACTGCATGTGCTTATTACATGGAAACTTTAAAAACTTGATAAATTAAAATAAATGATAATATACATGAATGTATTTTATTAACTGTAAGACCCTAATGCAAATCTTAATATTACATAGGTGTGACCTGATCCACCCACACCATCTTTAATCTTGACACTGGGGTAGGCAAGTAGCCCTCAGACTTGCGTAAGCCTGATTATGTTTTAAGAAACAGAATATGGAACTGGCTGACTGGCCTGACATTGGTCCTCTTCCCACTTCTCACCACCTTTGCCAGAGTGAAATTCACATGGCCACCATCTTCACTGTCCAGGGAATCCTTTAATATCATCTCTGTTCTATTGAGGTCACTGGACTAGTCCTTAACGGATATTTGAGAGTCAAGTGTGACCCTGGGGAGCCATGTCTTCTCCATTCATGTCATCATTACTTTTGATCACAGAGCTGCCTTTTGCATTCATTACCTGCTGGTTAAAGTAATGTTAAATTAGAGAGCAAAAAGTTCTTTGCAGATTTCAGGGCATCATTTCACTAATACAAGGAGCAGCTGACTCTCAGACAGCAAAAGAAGCAGCCTCCTCATCCTTCTCTTCCCTCCACTTCAACAGGTGAGCAATTCCCCTGTGCATTAGATCAGCTACTGACAAAACTTTTTGAGTTATTATTTTCTCGTAGCAAAGGAGACTCCAAGGTGAACTCCATGCTGCAGAGCTACATTCCATTTTATTTACTTACATTCACTCTCAAGTTTCAAGAGGGTGTGCGTCTCTATAAAACCAGTATCTTGGTTGTCAGGGGTTTACAAGGCTTTTCTGCGTTCCAAGTTCACAAATTCCAAAATCTAGTCAAAAGCCTATGTTCCTCCATGATTTTATATTCCTGGATCATCTTATCCCCAATCCTATGGTTTCCAGGCTGAAGTTTCAAGCTATTTTTTTCTCAATGTATTTTTCTCAGGAGGATCTTTTGCCCCTGTTGAGTGTTTAAACATTTCCCCACTTAGTTAATATACCCAACTCTGAATTCTTCCTCTATGAAATTGAGAAAAATATTTACTGACTCCATTGAGTTGTTGTGAGGTTGAGAGCCATCATCCATGTACAGTATTTGCAATGGTGTCTGCCCCTATCAACCATTAATACCCTGCATTCATGTCTTTTGCATGTTTCTATTTAGACATAAAGGCATACCTTGGAGATATTGTAGGTTCAGCTCCAGACCACCCCAATAAAGCTAATATCATAATAAAGCAAGGCACACAAATTCTCTGATTTCCAAGTACATATAAAAGTTATGTTTTAACTATACTGTAGGCTACCAAATGTGCAATAACATTATGTCTAAAAAAATACATACCTTAATTTAAAATTACTTTATTGCTAAAAAATTCTAATGATTATCTGAGCCTTCAGCTAATCACAATCTTTTGCTGATGGAGGCTCTTGCCATGATATTGATCATGGCTGACTGATTAGGGTGATGGTTGCTGAAGGCTGGGGTGGCTGCCGCAATTTCTTAAAATAAGACAATGATTAAGTTTGCCACATTGATTGACTCTTCCTTTAATGAAAGATTTCTCTGTAGCATGAAATGCTATTTAATAGCATTTTTCCAACAGTAGAATGTTTTTCAAAATTAAAATCAATCCTCTCAAAACTGCTATTGCTGTATCAACTAAATTTATGTAATAAATTCCAAATCCTTTTTTGCCATTTCAACAATGTTCACAGCATCTTCCCCAGTAGATTCCATCTCAAGGAACCACTTCCTTTGCTCATCCATAAGAAGCAACTCTTCATCAGTAAAGTTTTATCATGGGATTGCAGCAATTGAGTCACATCTTCAGCCTGTACTTCTAATTCTAGCTTTCTTGCTATTTTTACCACATCTGCAATTTCTTCCTCCACTGAAGTCTTGAACCCTTCAAGGTTATCCATGAGGTTTGGAATATATTTCTTCCAAACTCCTGTTAATGTTGATATTTTGACTTCCTCTCATGAATCACAAGTGTTCTTAATGGCATCTAGAATAATATATCTTTTCCAGAAGGTTTTAAACTTACTTTGCCAAGATATATTAAAGGACTCACAATCTATGGCAGCTATAACCTTAAGAAATGTATTTATTAAGTAATAAGACTTAAAAGTCAAAATTGCTGCTTGATTCATGGGCTGTAGAATGGATGTTGTGTTAGCAGGCATGAAAACAACATTAATCTTCTTGTACATCTTGACATCTAGTTGACATCTAGTCAGCTCTTGGGTGCCTAAATGCATTGTTAATGAGCAGTAATATTTTGAAAGGAATCTTTTTTACTGAGCAGTAGATCTCAACGGTGGGCTTAAAGATTCTGTAAACCATGCTGTGAACAGATGTGATATTCTCCAGTCTTTGTTCTTCCATTTCTAGAGCACAAGCAAAGTAGATTTAGCATAACTCCTAAGGGCCCTGGGATTTCCAGAATAGTAAATGAACATTGGCTTCAACATAAAGTTACGAGCTGCATTAGCCCCTAACAAGAGGGTCAGCCTGTCCTTTGAAGCTTTGAAACCAGGCATTGACTTCTCCTTTCTGGCCATGAAAGTCCTATATGGCATCTTCTTCCAATAGAAGGCTGTTTTATTTACATTGAAAATCTATTGTTTACCTGTATCAAAACATCTTATGTACTCCATAAATACATACACCTACTATGTACAAAAATTTAAAATAAAAAAATTTACAAAAAGAAAATCTATTCTTTAGTGTAGCCACCTTCATCCATGATCTTAGCTAAATCTTCTGAATAACTTGCTGCAGCTCCTACATCAGCACTTGCTTCTTCACCTTGCACTTTTATGTTATGGAGATGGCTATTTTCCTTAAACCTCATGAATCAACCTCAGCTAGCTTCCAGCTTTTCTTCTGCAGCTTCCTTACCTTTCTCAGGTTTCACTGAATTGAAAAGAGTTATAGCCTTATCTGGATTAGGCTTTGGCTTAAGAGAATTTTGAGACTGATTTGGTGTTCTATTCAGACCACTAAAATTTTCTCCATATCAACAATAAGCCTGTTTTGCTTTCTTGTCATTTGTGTTCCCTGGAGTAGCACTTTTCATTTTCTCCAAGAATGTTTTCTTTGCATTCACAACTTGACTAACTTTGGTGCAAGAAACTTAGCTTTAGGCCTATCTAATCTTTCCACATGCCTTCCTCATGAAGCTTAATCATTTCTGTCTTTTGATGGAAAGTGAGAGATGTGTGACTCTTCCTTTAGAGGCCATTGTAGGGTTATTAATAGGCCTAATTTCAATTTTATTGTGTCTCAGAGAATATGGAGGCCCAAAGAGAGGGAGAGAGATTGGGGAACAGACAGTCTGTGGAGCAGTCAGAACACACACCACATTGATGGATTAAGCTCACCCACCATCTTATACAGGCCTGGTTCATGGCACCCAAAAACAGTTACAACAGTAACATCAAAGATCACTGATCACAGACCATTAACAGATATAATAATGAAAAAGTTTGAAATATTGCAAGAATTATTAAAATGTGATACAGAGACACTCAGTGAACAAATGGCACTGATAGACGTGCTCAACCCAGGGTTGTCACAAACCATCAATTTGTTAAAAAATTCAGTATCTGCAAAATGCAATAATATAAGGCACAATAAAATGAGGTGTTCCTGTGGTTGTGTAGTTGATATTTAGTGTGTCAACTTGACTGAACCATAGAGTGCCCAGGTATTTGGTTAAACATTATTTCTGGGTGTGGCTCTGAGGGTGTTTCTAGATAAGATTGAATCAGTATACTGATTAAAGCAAATTGTCCTCCCCATTGTTGGTAGACATCATCCAATCTGTTGAAGGTCTGCATAAAGTATAAGACTAAGTAAGAAAGACTCTCCCTGCCTAACTGTCTTCAAGTGGAGACATGGATCTTCTCTTGCCTTCAGATTGGAAATCAGACTGGAACTTGTACTTTCAGCCCTCTTGGTTCTCAGGCCTTCAAGCTCAGACTTACAACTATATCATCAGCTCTCCTGGGTCTGGACTTCTCAGCTTCCATAATCTTGTGAGCCAATTCTTTGTAATACAGATGCTAATATACATAAATTATTTTTTAACATATGTCACCCCATTGGTTCTGTTTCTCTGGAGAACACTGAGAATATAATAGTGGAGATTTCCTCAGACTTTTGCATGAGTTCTTTATTATTATTACTGTAAATGTATTTTCCAGACAGTTGTAAAATCTTTGATCTTATTAATTTTTGAGTTTGACTTTGTAAGTTAAATATTTGTATGTAGTTACCTACATTTCTGAAGACTTCATCTTAGCATCTGTGGAGCTGAGCGAAGCAATTCTGGCACTTTTCTAATGACTTCTCTAGTTCATCATCCTGTATTTAACTTGTAAAAGAGAGTTTTTCCAATGATCTGCCCTCTGATTATTTTTTCTTTTCGCAAATTTTATCACACATAACATATATAAAGAAATGAGTCATAAGTGTTCACAAATTTAAAGTCAGCACACCTGCATCACAAACACCCAGATAAAGAAATTAAGAAGGAAAAATAAAAACAGAATCCCAGAAGTCCCCTTGAGCCTGCCCTCAGGGTTACCACTCTTCTGACCTGTAACAGTCTAGATAACATGGCCTGGTTTTGAATTTCATATAAATATAATCATACAACCATGTAGTCTTTTGAGTTTGACCTCTGCTGCTCAACATTATGCTTGTGAGATCCAGCCGTGCTGCTTGTAGCTTTGGCCTAGTAATTGTCATTGTTGTAGAGTATTCCCTTGAATGAATTAACCACAATTCATTGATCCATTTACCTTTGATGCACTCTGGGTTTTGATTCCGTTTTTGATGGTTGTAAATAGTGCTGACATGAACATTCACATAAATGTCTTTTGTGAATGTATGTGCCCATTGTTGCTGGATGACTGTCTAGGAGTGGAATTGCTAGGTTGCAAGACACTTCCGCTTTTTATCTCTTCTTTTAATATATTTTCCTTCATAGGTTTCCTCAATTATGAGGTTATCCTATAAACATGAGTAACTTTAATTTTATATTCCCACCTCTCTGCTGTCTTAAGCACCAGCAAAATTATACGTTAGTTATAAAGAAAAACATTGCTCAGGACTCCAAGTCCTTGGCTTTCATCCCTCCATGGCCTGCCACCCTGCTGCATCCTCCAGGCAAGGGAACACGACTTCCAGCTACAAGTTTGAACTCAGACACCTATCTGGTCTCTTTCTTACCTGTGTTGCCTGGCCACATATGAAATATAAAGATTAATTTTCTCCATGTAGTTAAAGGCCTGGGTGGTGGGAGGAAGGAAGGGCAGAGTAAGCGTCCGCTCTTTCTGGAAGTTTCCATCCTAGTTCCTCTCTGGGTTTCTAAGGTGTAGGAAGGGTTTAAAGATAGAATGGAGTGCCACCATAGCAGGACAAGTCCTAACACCCGCCTGCCTTACCACACCAGCTGCAGGAGAAAACAGTTCTAACAGGGAGACAATTTAAAGAGGAAACGGTCCCTACATGCAGAAGAGAGAGCACTAACCACTCCACTCCTCCCTTGTGCCCTCACCCCAAATGTCGTGATGTGCGTGTGATTTTGACCACTGGGGCTCCTCCTTGGGTAGAGGGAGGAGAGTGTGCACCACTAGCCCATGGTTCCCGGTGTGTCAGGGCTTATCTGGGACCTCAAACTTAGCATATCTAAAACCAAACCCTTATCTTTTCCCCAAACCAAATCCCCTTTCAGACTTCTCAGTTTCTGTCAGCTGTAACATCACAATCATATTCATCGAAACCTTACAAACCATTTCAGATTATTTTCCTTTAATCAGTCAACAAATATTTTTGATTCTTCTTCAGAACTATTCATCTTTAAAGTGACTTTTGTGTCCCCTTGGGATCATCTTTTGTTACCTCCCAACTGGATTATTGCCAAAGCTTTCTGGGACTGTCTCACTGACTCTGCCCATCACCCCATCTGGCTTTGCTGCCATCTTGATATTAAGCTTTCTAAAAGGGTGACTTCCTAACGTTATTCATCTTACTAAAAACCTCTAAGGCCTCCATCAGAGGAACAAGAACTACTGTGAAGTAATGGACATTGAACTGACAATGAGCAACTAGAATTTATATAACGAAATAACTTTTTTTGAAAAAAGTATAGTCAGGTTACTGTTGAATAATGAAGTCTAGAAGAATCAAGACTAGGAAGACCTAAATTTAACCCACTTTATTTATTTATAATTTTTATTTATTTATTTATTGAGATGGAGTCTCGTTCTGTCACCCAGGCTGGAGTGCAGTGGTGCCATGTTGGCTCACTACAACCTCTGCCTCCCAGGTTCAAGCGATTCTCGTGCCTCAGCCTCTGGAGTAGCGGGGACTACCACCGTGCACTACCAAACCAGCTATTTTTTTGTATTTTTTAGTAGAGATGGGGTTTTGCCATGTTGGCCAGGCTGGTCTTGAACTCCTAGCCTCAAGTGATCCCCTCGCTTTGGCCTCCCAAAGTGCTGGGATTACAGGTGTGAGCCACCACGCCCAGCCCCAAGATAGTTCTTTAAACTGGAGAATCAGTCAGTGCTTTTGGGTAGCCACCGCACCTGACCTGATTTAACCCATTTTAGAACTCAAGTGTATGAAACACTTTAGAAAACAGTTTCAGCTGGGCATGGTGGTTCACGCCTGTAATCCCAGCACTTTGGTAGGCTAAGGCAGGCAGATCACCTGAGGTCAGGAGTTCAAGACCAGCATGACCAACATGGCAAAACCCTGTCACTACTACTAATACAAAAATTATTAGCTGAGCATGGTGGCATGCACCTGTAATCCTACCTACTCAGGAGGTTGAAACACGCAAATTGCTTGAACCTGGGCAGTAGAGGTTGCAGTGAGCAGAGATGGCACCACTGCACTCCAGCCTTGGCAATGAAGTGAGACTCCACATCAAAAAGAAAAGAAAAAAGAAAACAGTTTCAATTGGAACAGAAATCCCAACTGCAGATTGCTTTGAAGTGAGTGAAGAAGAGCCATCTTTTGGGCAGCTAGAATGCAGGCCTGAGGAGGACACTAGACAATTAGTTTTGAATAATGCACAAAAATAAGCATTTTCCTTCATGGAAGCCAAAAATGCATAGTCTATTACTACCCCTCTTCAACTAGCACATGAACCTTAGCAGCTGATAAAATTTATCTATGCTTAAAATAGGTAATCCCTTTTCTGTCCCTACCATGTATGTCCAAAGCTGACCCCGGTAATCAATCCACTCCCTCCTGGTCAGCCTCTATGTGGTCAAGGTCTCCCGCTTGGTACATTGCTCCTTCTCCATTCCTGTTCCACATTCCATCATAGACACAAGCATATACGTGAGATGCCACTAGGAATTCTGAAAGGAATGAGAAAGTATACCTGGCCTGACTAACCCCTCCTTTCTCCCGTCCATCTTTTTACAAACATTTGGTATCTACTATGTGCTGAACACATTACCATGCATTTTTTCAAAGGTGAAAGTAAATATTATATAGTTTTTATCTTCACAGTACTTACTCTGTATGTTATGGTTGAACTCTCTCCCTCACTCCCCTCTCTCTCTCTCTCTCTGTTTCTCTCATGCATTCATACATGAATGCATACAAGACTATAATATTGGGATTAAATACGAATTGCATATTGTCTCCATTTCTATTGTGCCTTGTATTATAGGGTCAAGTAAGTGTTAGAATGATTTGAATCTACTGGGCCTCATTGGCCTTAGCCTTCTGCAAGTAGAGCCTTCCTCCCAGGGAATTCAGACAGCTTGGGAACCCCAAGCAAGATAGAAGTGGAGAGAGACTAGAACAACAAATAGAAGTGCCAGAGGAGGCAAACAGAAAATCTGGTCCCCTTTTGCATACATTTTCTATATCGAACCAATGTTTTAACAGCAGAATGCTCCAAAGGGCATAGATTGGTGGTGTGGCCTCCATTTCTCCTGAAGGCTTTGTTCTTCCAGACTACTCAGTCTGTTGTTAATCCTCCTGCAGACAGTAAATGGTCCAGGTAAGGGCTTCATTCGTGGCTGCTTTTAAGAGATACTGAATGAGAGAGTCCTTGGGAGGTCAACAATTAAATCTAGATACATGAAGATGACAGAATAGGACAATAAATATTTGGGAGCTTGCTAATTTGTGAAAGTGTCCTGCTCAGTTCCATTTGGGCTTCCTGAGAAATGTCTAGACCACAGCTGGACACCACATGGGCCCAGAGTTTGATTTCCTTGAACAGAATTTCAACTGTAATACAGGCAAATAAGCAACTATGAGGACTCCTCGGAGGATACTTCCCATCCTCCATCTCTGAATGCTAGGAACACAAAAGCCAGAGGTTGGAGGAAAGTAGAAAGTAGAGATTTTATTTTATTTTATTTTATTTATTTATTTTTGCCATCCAAGGGATGGAATGGTATAACAGTGTTGCTAGTTTTTAATGACCATACAATTTTTGATTCTCCTCCCATCAAGAAGTGAGATCTTTGAACCCTCCCCTTGAATCTGGGTGGGCTTCTGTGACCACTTTGACCAATTAAGCATGATGGAAGCAATGCTTGTGACTGCCGATGTTAGGTCATAACAGGCCATGCAACTTCCACCTTGTGCTCTTGGAATACTCATTTTGGGGAAAACCAGGACCCCTGCAAGAAATTCAAATAATCTGCAGCTACTGTGCTGCAGATGCTAAATGAGAGGGCTTTGTCAACAGTCCCAGCTGAGCCCCACTTTCCAGCCGTCCCCACCAAGGCACCAGACATGTAAGTCAGGCTGTCTTGGCTCCTTCAGACCAGCCCTTCTGCCAGCTGAGAACCACTTATTTATTATTGGTAAATGCTGGGTATGAAAAAAAAAAACAACCAAATGAGCCCTGCCTGAATTCCTGAACTATGCAATCCATAGGATATAAT
Organism: Homo sapiens; assembly: GCF_000001405.40. Taxonomy (NCBI): domain Eukaryota; kingdom Metazoa; phylum Chordata; class Mammalia; order Primates; family Hominidae; genus Homo; species Homo sapiens. Next base: position 55,068,308 of record NC_000018.10, read on the forward strand.
AAAATGGATATTGTCTTAAGCTTCTAAGTTTAGGGAGGGTTTGCTATGCAGCAATGCTGCCCGGAACAGAAGGGCGCATGGCCTGAGGGTAAACTGTCAAAGGTCCTGCTGAGGGTGATCTGGGATGGAGAGGAATGATTGTTCACAAGTTGATGCTGCCAAGTGGGTCTGAATTGGAGGGCAGGGAAGATAAGGATGCTCCTCCATTGGCTTTTTTTTTCTTTTACTTTTTATTTTTCTTTTTTAAGATAGGGTCTCATTCTGTCACCCAGGCTGGAGTGCAGTGGCAAGAACGTGGCTCACTGCAGGCTTGACCTCCTGGGCACAAGGGATCCTGCTGCCTCAACCTCCCATGTAGCTGGGACCACAGACACATGCCGTCATGTCCAGCTAATTTTTTTTATTTATCTATTTTTTGTAGTGATTGGGGTCTTACTTTGTTGTCCAGGTTGGTCTTGAACTCCTGGTCTCAAGAGATCCTCCCACCTCAGCCTCCCAAAGGGATTACAGGTGTGAGCCACTACACCCAGCCCCCACTGGCTTTTGAAATAGGAATACTATCAAAACCCTCACACTCTTAACTCCCTATTGAATAACAAGCCTCTACTGAAGTCACAATAGGCAAGGGTCCTGACAACCTATTTTGTGGCCCCACTGTGTTACTTAAGGATTGTATTAGTTGACTAGGGTTGCCATGACAAAATACCACAAACTAGGTAACTTAAGCAACATAAAGCTATGATCTTACAGTTCTGGAGGCTAGATGTCTGAAATCAAGGTGTCTGTAGCGTTGGCTCCCTCCTAGGCCTGTGAAGTAGAATCTGTTCCATGCTTCTCTGCCAGTTTCTGATGGTTTTCTGGCAATCTTGGGCATTCCTGGGCTTATGGAAGCTCACCCCAGTCTCTGCCTTCATCTTCACATGGTGTTTCTGTGTGAATATCTATGTTCAAATGTTTCCTTTTTATAAGGACACCAGTCTTACTGAATTAGAGCCCATCCAATGACTTCTTCATAACTCAGCAAATTACATCTGCAATAACCTTATTTCCAAATCTGGTCACATTCTGAGGTACTAGTATTAGGGTTCCAACCTATGAATTTTGGGGGCAATTCAACCCATAATACGAGCTGCGTAATCTTGTACTATTATGGAAAATAATAATAAACCTCCGCTATTAGCTCAAAGAGATGCTGAGGGAGTTAAATAATCTAGGTAAACTGGAAAAGGCTGTGCATTGGTTTCAATGCCGAAATCTCCCTGCTCCCACCCTGAGCGACGCAGCATGCGAGGTGTGAGGTGTGATGTCCCACAAGCCAGGTGCTCAGATGCTGTGCCTACATGAGGGTGTGGGCTGAATGGGAGTCTCGGTGGCATTTTGCAAGGGGATTTTTTTGTCTGGTGTTTCTGTGCTGCGTGGGATGGAGCTCATTTATGTTATTTTCACTTCCTACATTAGCAATGGCAGGTGCACAGTTATGGAGAACTTCATCCCTCCCTGTCTGCTTCAGGGGTTTGTGTGTGGTCAAGTGGGACTGAAGAAAAGTAGCACACTCAACACAAGGGGTACAAGACAGCAAAGAATTCCATCCAGGCTACTTCTCTCATGCTGTCCAGCTGGGACAGGTCACAAGAAGGGGGTAATATTTTAGAGATCTTAAGGCAGGGATCTCAGAGTCCAGGAGACAAAGATGACTGCTGAAATTCATCACCTGCAGCCACTTCTCTCCTTCCTCAGCTCACTCTCAATGGACACTTGACCCATTACCCCCGGAGCCCTTGAAGCAGATGAACACAGCAGCAGTGTGTCCATGACTGCCAGGGGAGAGATGCCTTGGGAAGCCCTGTCAGAGGGGCCTGAGTTTACAGGAAAAGTCTAGTTTCCCAGCAAGGGAGACAGGCATTTTTTACTCATTTTATCAAGGCCAAGTTGATTTGGAACCAGTGCCCACTGATTGCCTGAATGGAGGTCAGGACTGTGTCGAAAATCTGGGCACATTTCCCTTTAAGCATTTGCACGTTCCATATTTGAAAGCCAAATCTGAGTCCAGGGACAAAATCTGCTTTAGTGAGGGCATCTGGGTGTCCTGGGATGAGATTGTGCAAAGCAGCCCATCAGAATTCCAGGCCCTGGGATCTTCCATGAAACCTCCCTCCGGTTTTACTGGGATAAAATGAAGATGAGATGACTGAAACCAAAGCTCCTAGGGAAGGAGAAATCTCAAGGAATAGTGTATCAGCTGACATTCTCTGGGGCTGCTATCTCAAAGCCTAAAGCAGAGAAACGGAAAAAGTCTGCTCCCCGGTAAGAAGAAAATCACCAGTTTGAATTGCAGAATATGCACTCAATTCACCCTCTATCCATCATACAGATGGGCATCTCCCTGCAGCTTTGTCCTGTCTCTTTTGCATCCTTCCCCTCCCCATGCCTGTTCTCTTCTCCTCTACAATTATGTTCTTGACTCTATGTGTGTCATAGAAAGAAATAAAATTTCAGGTTTAGGAGCTGGGGTTCTCAAAGTATGCTCTGAGGTCAACCTACATCAGAATTACCTCTTAGGATAGAGAAAGGCATCAAAAATCAGAGTTCCCAGCTCTGTCTTAAGCCTGTAGAAAAAGCAATTTCTGGAGGTGGCATCTGTTTAGGTTCTTGGTATCAAAGTGCGGTCCGAGGATCAGCAACACCAACAGCACCTGGAAGCTTGTTAGAAATGCAGGCTCTCAGGCGACATCCTGGACCCACTGAGTCAGTGACTGCATTTTAGCAAGCAAGCCCTTCCCTCCCCACCGCAGGTGAATCCCAGAGGCATTTATGCATATTAATGCTAAAGGGTCTATTAATTATCTGACCCTCCAGACCCAGAGCTGGGTTTCCCACCCAACCCTGTGGTCTTAGTAGCAAGACAATGATTCAAGAGACACTTTGGCCAGCTGCCCTCGATTTCCATTCTATTTCATCTGGATTAAAATAGCAAAGAAACTACAAAGCAGCTTCTTGGGACCTGACTTGTCAGCATCGTATCTTCCCTGCCCCCACCCTGACACTGTCTTTAGACTTCACATTTCCTGATTTGCAAAGCACAAACAATATTTATTATAGCACCAGTGGAATCTTTGCGTGGAATAAGAGACCCAGCTTTATCCATTCACATTTGGTCTAGCACTTCTTTTCGAATATGGCCAATATTATTTCTAGGTGCCTCACACTGACCTTTCAGTGAAGCACTCGTATGTGTATAAAATACCTATGAAGTGATAAAAAGAAATTGATGGTTACTTCCAGGGAAAGAAAGAAGGTGGCTTTGAAAAATGGGTGGGTGAGATGTCTTCCTGTATTCCCATTTGTAACCACTGAGGTATGAACCTTTACCAAGAAAAAATAAATTTAAAGTAGAAATCGAATTGAAAATGATCCCATCTCTTAATTATCCTACTCAGAGACATTTGCCAGCTCTCATTCCTCCTGCATGGTTGTGAATGTTTTTGTTGGTAAATCAACCGTGCTTGTATGTCCCCCAGCTCTGGATGCAGAGCCAAACATTTGCGTATCGATTAAAAGATGCATTCTTGGAGGTGAAAAGAGAAGAAATTTGAGGGTGGAGAAAAAGGAAAGAAAAAAGAAATAGCATATACGACAACACAAAGATTTAACCTAGAAAAAACTAGAAGCTTAGGGGAAATTGGAAATTGTATGATAGGCTTCTCTACTTGTCCCCTTCTAGCTTTATTTATTTTGTTCCAAAAATCATGACATGCTGCTAACAGAAACTGAAGTGTCTAGGGTCACCTGAAGCTCATCTTCCTTGAATGGCTTCCCAAATGTTGCCCCAAATCACTGTTATACATTCTGGGATCCATGGAAATGACAATAAGACCTCCAGTTACCATTTTGCACAAATATTGAATGATGTGGGATATAGGACAGGAAAAGGGTAAAAATAAAGTTACTTTCTGGACCTTCTTGGAAGAAGTCCCAATCTCATGACTTCATTTTGAAATGGCAGGAAAAACAAAACACATTGAAATAGGGTTTCAGTAGCAGCCCCAACTTAGACGAATGCACAGAGAACTGCTGAAGTGTTCAAAATACTGCCAACTGGCACTTACATATGCAAATGAGTTACAAATGTGAGGGTCCAAATTTTGGGTTATGTGTGCCAGGACCGAGGGGACAGAGAGAGCATGTGTCTATTTCCAGACTGCACCTTTTTTAGAAGCTTATTTCTACATTGTCAGCTTCCCTGAAACCTTTATCTCACATTTTGAATGATAAACATATTTTTAATTCTATAACCTGATAGACATTTCAAAGAGACTATTCTGTGTATCTGGAGGTGGTATCTTGGTTTAAAGAACCACAGTGTTGAACAACATGTCTCTCATCAATAGCATCATTTTTTTTTTTTTTAAGATCATCAAGGTCTGATCTGCTGGCAAAATGCTTTTGCTGAAAAATAAAAATGTCACTAGGACCCAGGGTTTAATGAAGATGCACTAAAAAAGATGCACTACATTTTTATTCTCCTCCAAGAAAATCTATTATAGTGTTTCAAAAGTGAGATGTCATCCTCAAAATGTCTTTTTCTTCTTGGCTTCATGTACAGGAGTTAAGCCAGAGCTAACTCACAAAGCGCTTCCTTGGTTTCCTCACTCCCAAATTGCTGCTGCTCGCATCCCTGATCTAGTCACACACTGGGCCTGGCTTTGCCCTGGGAAAGACAGCGCATCGACCCTCCTGCTGGGTGGATACTCACCCCAGTGACCAAGGTCCTTCCCAACTGCTGGGTCTCCTTGTGGTTCTCTGTTCATCTTGCTCTGTACCTGTCTTGCCCTTCCGGGTCTCCTGGCTCTCGCCTATTTACAAAGTACTGGGTTTTGCATCTAGCCTTATCGCCTGACATTTATATCCTGGTTTTTATCTGTACACCTGGCCTCTGACCTGCCCCTTGCTCTAAATATCATGCTTCACAGGTGCCTTGTCTGGCCTGCTGACTCCTTGGTGACTCAACGCCCTCTCAAAGCTCTATCATGCCAAGTTCTTGCATTAGAACAATTGTTTCTGATTCCCCTGGCTGCATCCAATTGGTGGGCATGCATAACCTCTGATTCAGTTTAATCCAGTCCAGAGTTATTAAAAAAGCAGATTTAACCAAAGCAGTACCTTTTTGCTAGTTACTGTACTGAAGTCACAAACACAACAGAGACAAATAAAGAGCAACAAAATCCTCAAATAAACATACATCTAATAAAAAATTACAAATAATTAATATGTGCCATCATACTTGAGCCATGAATAAAAAAGTATTTCATTTGGGGAAAAGGGAAGAGAGAAGCTGCAATGTCCACTTTCTGCAAGTCTCCACAACAGAGTGTACATGAGAGGGAAATGAATTCCAGGCTCTTCTTGCCAGAAATGCAACCTGTCTTCCCAAATTGAAGTCCCACGCTTCTCTTACCAAGAACTGTGCAGGGACTGGGATTTTACCCTACTTAAAATAAACTAGATTGTTATTGTTTCATGCATATCAGCAGAGGAAACAAGACTCCAGGGTCAGAGACAAAGGACTTTATTACTCACAGCAAAAGCTATAGCTAGTTGTTCATTTTCTTACAGGCTCCCCAGTCTCCTAGTCCCATGCAGGCAATGCAAGTGCCCATCATGGTTGCCTGCATATGCAGTAGGTTGCATCATAAGAGAAGCACACTGAGCTTAAGGGACTCACCATTAGCATGCAGAAGCAAGCCTGCTTTGGGGGGAAAGACATTACCTCATCCTTCAAGGTTGCTCATTGCTAATACTCTGAGAAACATAAGTGTCAAGTATCTTGATCAGAAGTTATTGGGGCTTTGTACTCTTGGCATACTCAGCAAGAATGTGCAGGACTTTCAGGGCCCATGGTGGACTGCTTCTCCCACTGCTCTCAGCTCTACTCTACAGAGGCCCTGCATGCACCTGTGCCCGGCCGTGGCTCATGGTCATGCTGTTCCTCCTCTGTGAAATGCTGTCTGCTGAATCTCCACCCAAGGGGTGTGATCATTCTTCAAGGATCTCTGCAGAGATCTCTTTCCCCTATGAAGGCTTTCCTGAATCCTCTTCTTCCTCTGAGAAGATGCTTCTCCTGCATCCAAGAATGTGCATAGCATTTGCCATGTTCTTTCTTTTCTGAACATTAACTGTATACATGTCTGACTCTCCTCCAGAGTGGAAGGGCCCCATGCAGCCTTATGCCACGTACAAGGCCATGAACATATTAGACAAACAAAACTGACCATGAGAGAGACACATGGGAGGGAAAAATGTTAAAACCTAAAGAAAAAAATTATAGATATATGCCTTTCCAATTTTGCTTTCTAAATACCATTCCCTAACAAAAAGAACCAGGACTATAAAAATTTAATTTTAGAAAAAGAAAAACCAGGGCTCCTTGGAGAAGTGGTTGATTCTAAGTTCGAGGCAGGGAAAACACAAGATAAGCCTAGAACATCTTGTGGTGCCATAAAAAGAGGGTCTGAGAAAGAATGGGGGCATTCGGAAAGAACTCAGGAGGCAGCTTGCAGGATTTCCCAATGGCCAATGCTGGAACAACTTCAGCAACTAAATAAATAACAATAATATTATATTACTAGCATGAGGATGCCCAAAGAATAAAAGAAATATTCATGAGTCCATACTGATATAAATAAATGATAGAATAAATAAATAAAAGGAAAAAAAAGGACAACTCTTTCCTACAAGATAATTCCAATTAATAAATGTAGAAGATATGATGAAAATAGAAAACCCCTATCAGAACACTATAGTAATCATCACTGTAGGCAAGATTCACCCATGAACGCTTATACTAGCAGGCAAAAGTTTAAAGAGGAACAAATTTTGGCATAGTCTCAAAGTATCTTCCCAAAAACAAGAGGGAAAGTGATTATTTACAGTGGCGAGACCTAGCAGACATCACCTAACCCAAGCGATCAATGATAACATCACTGACGTTGTGAAAGGCACGTCCTCCCTGTGGCTTTTGTTCCCAAAATATGTGACCTAAATCTACTCATGAGAAAAAAGTCAGACAAGCAAACTGAGGAACATTTTACCAAAAAAATCACCAGTTCTCCTGAGAAATGTCAAGGTTGTAAATGACAAAAAGGACTGAGGAACTGTCACAGATCAGTGAAGACTAAAAAGACACAACAGTTAAAGAGCAATGAGATTTTGAGCACATCTTCCGTTCCAAGGGGGCTGCATTTACTGAGCTCTAGCCTGAAGTGGTCAAGCAGGAATGCGAGCCTGGTGTAGCCAAACCTTCCATTTTTTCAAAGAAGTTGGGAATCCATTTTTTAGATGTTTTATTGAATACTGGCAGCTGGCGGGGGGTAAAGACGTGCATGAAAAAAACTGGTGAAATTCTAATGAAGTCTATAGTGAGTGTTGCACCAATATAAGTGTCTTAGTCTTGATAATTGTGCCATGATTTTGTAAGATGTTAGCATTAAATGTGGCTGGGGGAAGTGTATGTGGCAAGTCTCTGCAACATGTTTGCAACTGCTCTATATGTCTAAAATTGTTTCAAAATTTTAAAAAAGTTTTAGAAAAACAATATAGTGAGAATTTATGGATAATATTGCTAAGCACTTTATATATATTGACTCTATGATGAAGATTATCGGGTACCTCCATTGTACCCATTTTATAACTGATGAAACTGAGGCACAGGGAGGTTAAGTAACTTGTCTAAATTACCCAGTTAATAAGGAGGGAGGCCGAGATTGAATCCAGGTGTTCTGACTCCAGAACCTGTGCTCTTAGCCATGTTGCCTTATTGGACAAGGGCACTGTGGTTCTTAGGAATAGTGTTTTGTTTTTTCCTGAGTTTTCCAAGCTCCAGAGTAGAAGTCATTGATAACTGGGAAGCTACTATGTCCCAAGCACATATATAATCTCCAAATCATTTCAGGAGGTCTGTCATCTTATTCTGATTTTACAGATGAAGAAACTAAGGCCCAGAGAAGTATGCCAGATGCTACTTTTATTTTATTTATTTATTTATTTTAGAGTCAGGGTCTCACTCTGTCGCCCAGGCTGGAGTGCAGTGGCATGATTACAGCTCACTGCAACTTTGAGCTCCTGGGCTCAAGTAATCCTCATGCCTCAGCCTCCCAAGCAGCTAGGACTACAGGCACACACCACCACGCCCAGCTGATCTTTAAATTTTTTGTAGAGATGGAATCTCACCATGTTGCCCAGGCTGGTCTCAAACTCCTGACCTCAAGAGATCCTCCAGCCTTAGCTTCCAAAGTACTGGGATTACAGGAGTCAGCCACCATGCCTGGCCCAGACATTGTTTTTGATAGTACAGTCTTTGTTTTTCTACTGTCTTCCCAAAAGCCAGAGTTACAAAGTCTGAAAACTTAATTTTCCAGAGTCCGGGGTCAGTGGGTCCCTGGTTGGATTCCACCCAGGAGAGCCCTTGTGTGGGATTGGCTGCCCTGTGGCTGCAGCCAAGCCGAAGCACAGACTGCAGGCTGCAGATGGAAGGTTCTGCCTGTGGTTTCCAGGAGGCTTCCAAAGAATGACCTCGTTGGCTGAGACCAATGGAGTCAGCTTCCCTACAATCCTTGTGTTTCCAGAAATCTTGGTATTTACTTTCCCAGACTCTATTTCTGCTTCAAACCTGATAGGCATTTCCCAACTGAGGATGTTAAGTTCCCCTGGCCTGTGAGCATCACTATGACCGAAACTCACCTATCAGGTTGGACACCTTCAGTTACTCCAGCCTGAACTGAGCTGACTTTTATTACCGACCTCCCTGACAGTTTTACACATTGTGATTCTCCTGCTCCCCAGCAAGGACAGAATTAGAAGCATATAATTCCACGGATTCTCCCAATTCCCTTTTTCTACTGCTGTGGTTCCAATGCACATCATCCTCAAAGCCAAGTTGATGGCGACAGGCAGCCAACATCAAGTTCAATACTCACACGAAGGAACTTTGTAAACTTTACAAACTGCAAAGTGCTAGTAAAAATTAACTCTTCTCTTTGATTGCATGAACCACTGTCCAATTTTGTCCCTAGAAACCTGGCTCATAAAATGAAATTTAAAAGGATATATTTACTTAGTAATTAATGTTAGGAAAGTATCAAACACAAGCTCAACACATTAATAGGTGTGGATCTCTAGCGATTCTATTTAAACAATACTAATGTTGCAGATTTCGGTTTACTCTGTCAAATTTGATATAAGCAGCCATTTCTGGCAAACGTTGCTGATATTCAGTTAATATAAACACTAACCAGGTCTTCTCTTCAACAGGAAGAGTTTTAGATTGAGTTTGATGGGTACAATACTATGTGGAAAATAATAAGAAGACGAGGAGAAAGCAGAGTTGGAGCAAAGAGCAACTTCAAAAACAGGGAGTGATACCTACTGTCGCAGGTCATGGCAGAGCCATAATGTCCAGAGGGAAAGAGACAGATGGTACACAGAAAGATGGAAGGGTGCACATCTTCCATCTGAGGGGGCTGTGTTCATTGAGCTCCAGCCAGAAGTGGCCAAACAGGAATGTGGGCCTAGTGTAGCTGGACATTCCAATTTTCTCAGAGAAGTTGGAAATCCATTTTTAAGTGCTTTATTAAAAACATTCACACATACATGTGAATATATACACATATATACACACATATATACATTTATATATTTGTATATCACATATATAAATTATGTATCACATTTATATAAATATATATTTAAATATCACATATATAAATGTGTGTATCTATATATACACACACATATAAATTTATATCACTCTTAAAATATTGGCAACTAAATTTTATTTTATTAATAAATTTAATAAATAAACTTTATTAAATAAAATAGGGCCTACAATGCAAAATACATCTGCAATTTCTGACTTTATGAATATCTTAAGGTTTGAGATATATTTATTTAAAGAAGATATAATAAAAGGACCATTAGGAGACAGGAAACTGTGGATGAAAAGAATTATCCTTTCTTAAATATTTGCTAAGCATTGTATTAGGCTCAAGGCATGCATTATTTCACTTAAAGGAAGAATGCTATTAAGAGTCGGGGTGGAAAGCAAATAAAAGAAGGAGGAAAGAAAAAAAGTGAAAGGTCCTGACAGAGCGTTCTGGAATGTCACATTCATCACTGCAAGGGTCAGCCTACAAGAGAAGCTCAGGCCTGACTGAGGAAGCGATTTCTAGGGCAGGAAAAGCAGCAGCCTTCTAATGAAAACTTGGCTAGTGTGTTTATTAATTTATTTCCTTCACATGTTTACTTTTATTTTTAGAATAACTGATATACTTGGAATCCTAATATATCATCCCTTCGGGAATTAAAGCCTGTAGCTTCCTGTCTTCAAGGCTCTGATTAAATTTAAACGAAGTTCATTGTCATGTCTTGTCCATGTGTCTGCGACCTGGAGTCCTGGCCCGTTAGTCTCTCTCCCCATTACTGCTGCCCTGAAGGGCTCCTTCAGCATGCAGCAGGGAAGCGGGGCTTGGTAAAAACAGTCCAGGGCCACTGGTGGGGTCAGGTCCATGGAGGGAGTAGGATGTATGCCAGCCACCCTAGCCTCTCCATGGCAACCCCACTGTGGAGAAGTGGATGGGACCCCCAGCCCACTCTTCACCCCTAGTGCCTCCTGTCTGATTTCATATTTAATGCTGGGGAGTGCATCCGTTTCCTAGGACCGCTGTAACAAAGTACCAAATACTAGTGGCTTCAACAATAAAATGTTTTATTGCAACAGAGGCTAGAGCCTGAGATCAAGGTTCGTCTGGGTTGGTTCCTCCTGAGGCCTGAGAAGGAATCGGTTCCATGTTTCTTCCCCTCGTTTCTGGTGCTTTGCTGCCAGTCACTGGCCTTCCTAGGCTTGGAGAATCATCACTCCAACCACTGCCTTCTTCCTCACATAGCCTTCTCCCTCTGCGCATGTCTGTGTCCGGATTTCCCTGTTTTATAAAGACACCACTCATAACTGGATTGGGACCTACCCTCCCTAATGACCTTAACTTAACTAATTACACCTACAATGACCTTATTTGCATATTGGGCCTCATTCAAAGGTACTGGGACTTCAACCTATGATTTTCGGGGGACTCATTCAACCCATAACAGGGAAGAAGTCACTTGTAGATGCTAGAGACAAAATAGAAGTTGCAACCCTGAGAAGAGTGACTAGGGTTGAGGTTCACCGCAGTTCTGAATTATTCCAGGAGAAAAATACCAATATCTGGGAGTGAGAAACAATTCAGAAGCTCCCCGGAGCTCCTGCACAGTCCAGGGGCATTGGGAGAGCCTTCCAGGAATGAGCACTGTCTCACCGCGCAGCCACAGGGCTGTCTCTGGTGCTGAAATGCCCTGGCCTCCCTTGCCTAGCCCACCTTCCCCTAAGAAGGCACGACAGCCACCATTCCTGCACCCAGAACAAACTCATGAAGGGGCTGAGTGCTGCTCTTCTGAGAGCTGATACGGCAATTCCTCCACCCCAGGTGGTTGTCAGCTGGGAGGAGGCATCGCCAACAGCCTGCTTCGTGTTTAATTTGGCCAGCTCTGTAACACATCTCTTACTTCTAGCTATTTGTCTTAAAGGAATGGATAGGCGCTTCCACATCAAGCCACAAAAAAATTCGTCTCTAGTCATTACGTATTTATTTTTAGGCCTTTTGAAGTGAACTCTCTTCTCCATCAGATGCCCCTAACTAGTCGGAAACTGGGTCCCTGCCTGCACTCTGTGAATTCCTTCCGGAGCACTCCTTTTGGTTGCTTCCAAGCAGAGCTGAGGGAGGCGCCTGGGCAGTAAGACAAACAGACCTGGGTGGGCTCCAAGCCCTCTGGCAGCGCTCTCCCAGCCTCCCTGCTTTCTGAGCTATCACAAACTCTTCCAAAATCATCCCAGCCTGCTGTCATAACACAGACCCAGCTCGCTACTCACTCAAAAGTACAGCATCTAGACATGCTTCGTGCAGCCCAGAGAATCCCTAGCAGCCAGGAGAACCACATGGGATATTCTTACATCTCACTCCTGACTTTGGGCCAGAACGTGCCTATATTAATATTTCAATTACTACATGCAGTTATCCTACTGCACATCTATAGCTATGCCCAGGGCAGAGAGTGTTTGACCTATAAACCTAGTTCATGGGTTCCCATTCACATTTCTAAGCCAGACTCTCTTAATTTTGAATTTGAGAGCGTTCAATAGGGAACAGGGCCAAAGTTTATCTTTCAGATCCTACCTAAAACTTTAGTAATACAAATTGATAATGCCAACAAGATGTAAACTGTTTGGATTCATTTCTTAAGATTTTCGAAACAAAGTACCATATACTGGGTGACTTAAAACAACAGAAATTTAGTCTCTCACAGATCTAGAGACTGAAAGTCCAAAATCAAGGTGACGGTAGGGCCGTGCTCCCTCTCAACTGGAGTGGGGAAGACTTCCTTGCCTCCCTCACTTCTGGTGGTGGCTGTAGAGCCTCAGTGTTCCTTGGCTGGAAGCTGCACTGCTCCAGTCTCTGCTTTGCTATCACATGGCATGCCCCACTCTCTGTTTCTGGGCCCAAATTTCCCTCTTCTTATAAGGACACCAGTTATATTGAATTAGGGCACACCCTAATGGCCTATCTTAACTCAATTACATTTACAAAGATCCTACTTCCAAATAAGATTATATTTATAGGTACTAGGGTTTAAGACTTAATACATCCATTGGGTGGACACAATTCAACCCATAACACTATTTGTCAGTAAGAAGATGATCACTTCCAAAAACACACATTTAAATACTGACAGTAGGCATGCAAACTAAAAACAACTGGGCTCAGATGACCCCAATGGCTTCCTGTTATCTACATAATATAGACATAGCAGTGTCTATGCACCTCATCATTCTCATCTTCTGGATCTAGCTGATGTGAAATCTTATCATTTTTGTGAGCACCTATTAGGCTTTTCTACCTCTGAGACCCATTCCTTGGAAGGTATTTTTGTTTTTGTTTTTGTTTTTCTGTTTTGTTTTCACACACCAACATCTTTTGAGATCTCATTCAAATAATATTTCTCAGCTCACACCTGTAATCCTAGCACTTTGGGAGGTTGAGGCAGGTGGATTGCCTGAGTTCAGGAGTTCAAGACTGAACTGGCCAACATGGTGAAACCCTGTCTCTACTTAAAATAGAAAAATAAACAAATAAATAAGTTAGCCAGGCAAGGTGGTGCACATCTGTAGTCCCAACTACTCAGGAGACTGAGGCACAAGAATCCCTTGAACCCAGGAGGCGGAGGTTGCAGTGAGCCAAGATCACATCACTGCACTCTAGCCTGAGTGACAGAGCAAGACTCTGTCTCAAAAAAAAAAAAAAAAAGAAAGAAAGAAAGAAAGAAAGAAAAGAAATAGTATTTCAGCTTAAGCAGTTAGAGTGTCTTTACGTATGCTGAACCTCAGTTATCCAGGTATTACTATAGAGCACAACCCAAAATAAGAAGGGGAAAAGACCATTTAGTAAAAACCACTCTAGGTATTAAAAAAAACCCTCCATTTTTATGAGCTGTTCTAATAAGTTTGGGCAATTGGTTTTCTATATCTCAACAAAATGAAAGAATCAAATTTAAAAAGGCCATGGTGATGTTGGAACAAATGGATATCCATATGTGGAAAAAAAAATGAACCTCAAACTACAACCTTTACATCTCATACAGAAATTAACTCAAAATAGATCATAGATCTAAATGTAAAACATGAAATTATAAACATTTTAGGAGAAAACATAAAAGAAAATTTTTATGGTATTGGCTTAAGCAAAAAGTTCTTAGCTACAACACCAAAATCACCATCTATAAAAGAGGAAATTGAGAAACTGGACTTCCACAAAATTAAAACCATTTGCTCTGCAAAGGATAATGTATAGAGAATGAGAAGAGAGGCTTTAGACTGAGGGAAAATATTTGCAAATCATACATCCAACAAAGGACTTATATGCAGAATATATAAAGAACACTTAAAACTCAACAATAAATAAGCCACCTATTTTTTAAAATGGGCAAATAATTTGAAGAGACACTTCACCAAAGAAGATACATGGTTGGCAAATAAGCACTTGAAAAGATACTCAACATCATTACTCATTGGGGAAAATGAAAATTCAAACCACAGTGAAATATTCCACCACACCCATTAGAATGGCTAAAATTTTAAAGTACTCCCAACACCAAGTGATGCTGAAGATGATCTCTCATATATTGCTGGTGAAAATGTGAAATGGGGGCCAGGCATGGTGGCTCACGCCTGTAATCCCAGCACTTTGGAAGGCCAAGGTGGGTGGATCACTTGAGGTTAGGAGTTCGAGACCAGCTTGGCCAACATGGTAAAACCCTGTCTCTACTAAAAATACAAAAATTGGCTGGGCATGGTGGTGCATGCCTGTAGTTCTAGCTACTGGGGAGGCTGAGGTGGGAGAATCACTTGAACCCGGGAGGCGGATGTTGCAGTGAACCGAGATCATGCCACTGTGCTCCAGTCTGGGCAACAGAGTGAGACTCTGTCTCAAAAAAAAAAAAAAAAGAAAAAGAAAAAGAAAAAAGAAAATGTAAAATGGCATAGAAGCTCTAGAAAACAATTCCTTAAAAAGTTAAAGCATACATGCATTTACCAGGTGACCCAGCAAGCATACTCCTGGGTATTATTCTACAGAAATGCAAAACTTCACATAAAAACCTACACAAATAGCAACTCTATGTATAATTACCCAAACTAGAAATAACCCAGATGTCCTTCAGTGGAGAATGATAAGCAAAGTATTGTATATCCCTGTAATGGAATACTACTCAGTAGTAAAAAGGAATGACTTCTTTATATATACAACGATGTGTATAAATCTCCAAAGGCATCATGCTAAGTGACAGGAGTCAGTCTCAAAAAGTTACATACCGTGTGATTCCATTGATATGACATCCTCTAAAAGACAAAATTGTAGTGACCGAGAAGAGTTCTGAGAGTGTCAGAGTTTAGGGGGAGGGGGAGGGTGTGACTTCAAAGGGATGGTACAAGGGATATTTTCGGCAGCGATGGAACTGCTCAGAGTCCTGACAGTGGCAGTGGTTGCCCAACTCTACACACATCTTAAAATTTATAGGCTTGTATACCCCAAAAAGTCAATTTTGTGTATGCTATTTTAACAAATAAAATTTTAGGAAACTGCACTGAGCAGCTAGAGATATGACTTTCCTGGTGGTTGTTGATAGCTGATAGGCTAAATGAGAAAGAGGATACTACAGCCATCCTGGACTGCAAAGTGAAAAATTAAGCAGCCCAACACATCCCCACAATCCTGTGGTCATCCTTGCATTCCCGCACAGTGAAGACATGCTGCATGCTAATTCAGTAGTAATGGTAGCTACATTGTTTCAGCATGGAATTTTTATTTTCTGAAAAATAAATGTATGTATGTGTGCATGTGTATGTTTCAGGATTTCATTGATTCACTTATGTGCCTTTAGAGCCAGAATTTCCATAGGACAATTTGTGACAATAGATCCTTAGGCCAAGATGTCAAGGTACTAACTCAGTGTGATTTATACCACCAATCTGGGAGAAAGGAAGTCATAAGCCAAAGAAAACTCTAGGTCAGAGGCAGGAGACTCTGGTCACCTGAATTGATTGCATGGACTCAAGGGTGAAGCACACAAAAGGCTGTAAGAAAAGTGTCCCAAATGGGAGCACATGAAACCAGAGGATGTGCAGCCATGGCCAGAGTCAGTCCTGGAGCAACTCTTTCCTTCTTCCCTGAGCCACCTGGTTTGCTCTCACTAGACTGACAATGGGATTGGTTTTGTTTTTGTTTTTTGATTTTTTAATAAATGGCAGTCTCCTGCCAGACTGGCCTGGAGGAACACAGTAAATGTTTTTTTTAGCCAATTTCTATGCCAAATGACTAATATTAATATTTTTAACTCATAATAGGATACACTTCATTTCTTGACAAAACTACTTATGAGGAATAGCTCAGTTACTGAGAAAGCCAGATAATTGATATGTTTCTGTCTCTGCCTTGTCATTTCTATAATGGCAGGATAATGAAGTATTATTTAGCTTAACACAATCACTTGAGCTTCTCTATGGTCTTGGAAGGAATAGACACAAGCTAGGAACCTTTTTAAAGTATAATCAGTTTCTTATACAAGATTATATAAATAAAAAGTGGAATTAATTTAAATGACAAGTGACCCATTATTTATCTTCATTATGTCCTAGGACTGGTGGTTCCATGGAAATGAGTCAACCAAGAACATTTCGTTATTATAGAGACTGAGAGAATTTAGAGTAGATCTATATAAAATAATCTTTTAAATAAGATTAGGGTTAAAGTGCATTATGAAGCTTTATATATTTCATAAGACAGTAAAACTCAGTTAAGTGGGAGAAAAAAATAAAAGTAAATAACATTTAATAGGACAAGGATAGTAAGTCAGAGTGGACTTTTCATTGACTCACATGAGGTCTCTGTTTCAACTCCACCATCTGGCATTTTGCATTTGTCTCTCTGCAACATACTTTCTAAAGGAGTGGACTGATTTTTAACCAAATTCAATACCCTCCCTAAGGAAGAGTAATGAGATACAACTCCAATCCCTTTTGCAGCTCAGTTCTTTTCTTGCAACAGCTGATAAAATCCTGTAAAACAATCTTATAAAGAAATTGTACCAATTTGTTTTGCAAATAACTGCTTAATATTAATATTAACAATATTAATATGTGTGTGAAATATTATGTGTATGACTGTGGCTTATTTGCAAATTAGGTTTACTACTGTATCTGTGAACTGGGAATCTCACTTGGAGTAAGTACATTCTGTATTTTAGCAGCCCTTTCCACATGATTAGGGACAAATCTGTTGAAACAAACAAAGAAATAACAACTTTAAAACTTGCCAGACAATTGGAGGAATGTAGATTTCAGCTATGGGACAGGATTCCCAAAGGGTTAGTGATTTCTCCATAACTAGATGATTCTTTATAACTAATGGTTGGGAGAACTAGTGAAAATTAAAGCAGAAAAAGTGAGTTGTACCTATTGGAAAATCAGAGTTTCAAGAAGATAAATAAATGAATGAAAGTACTGGTGATTAATCTATACCAACAACAATGAAGCAATTGATAATGAAACATTTCAGGCTCTTTAACCAAGTTATCAAATAAAATCCTTCTCCAAGAGGTCCATTAGTTAGGATGCAGCCTTCATGTGGTCCAGTGGGATTGTTGAGTGGGAGCATAACTTGTGTTCTCTACAGAGATAGAAATAGTTACACTTTTCAGGTCCAGGGTCATAGCAAAGGAAAGAAATAGTCATCAAACATGTCTTCAAAATGAATGTAAATTCCAGGAAGTGTAAGCTACAAATTGTGAGGCATGAAATTGCAAAGGGAAAGTTACTGCAAGGGAAGAAAGGTGTTGATTGTTCGAGACTATAAACTGCGGTGCAGTCATGTTAATTAGGGGTTTCCACTAAATTTTCTGGGTTATTTTGAAAATGTGCAAATGTGGCACAGTATACCAGTTTGATCTTTTAAACTGAATCCTAGAATTAGAATAGTAAACCCAGTGAACATAATGCATCTGAATTTAATAAAACACCCAAAAGTAAAGTGTTTCCCTAAGATGTGATTCGAAGAATTGGATTGAACTGGGTGGGATGGAGGCCAGTCACAGAAGTGGAACTTTGGCCAGCGGTCCACATGCAGTGGGGAATGTAACCACCCACTGTGAGGAAGTGGGGAACAGCAGAATAGGGTGAAGGGCTGTTTACACCCAAATATTCAGGAGTGGTTTTGAAAGGTTCCAAAAGTATATATATGTAAAATAATTACCCATAGAATGCAAAATGGGAACAGAAAGCTGTTAGTTCCTTAGGGATGGCAACAAATTTACACATTCCTTCTGGACAGGGCTATGGAAAAGATGCAAATTCTATATTTTAACTTAATCTATCCTTAGCCACATCACCCCAGTTCTGTATTCTTTGAGTGCTTCCAACAGCCTATCTTATTATTTATACTTTGAACCATGCCAGTTTACATTTAATATTATTATCTCATATGTATTGAGTGCTTACACATACAGGGCATTTTAAACTTATTTAATACTTACTATAGCACTATGAACTAGGGATTATTATACTTAACTGGTTGAGGAACAGGGGCTTCAAGACATGAACTGTCCACAATCACACAACAGGTACTACTCAAACCCCAGCAGTCAGCCTCCAGAGGCAAGACCCTTACCCAAAACTTCCCCTCATTCTATTATCTCATTATTCCATGTATCTAGTGTTTTTTTTAACATTTAGATAGTAGTAAAATTGTTATCTATCTTGTCCCTGTCCTCTTTCATGTAGGACAAGCCACAGATATTTCAAAAGAACCCTCAGGCAGAATGTATTCTCTTATTAAATGAATGTGAGGGATCTGCCTGCTCTTGAAACCAAGTTCTGGGGTAAGGGGGAGGAAGCAGGCTTGAAGAAGCACCTAACGCTTTCTTAAGCACTGTTGGACTCATCTGTGAAGGGCAAATACCTTCCAGGGATATTGGAAATCCTGTGGGCGTGAAGGGCCGAAAGAGCCAAAGAGGGGATGTGGGCTTAAAAGAGCCTTTGGAATAAAGCTCTTCTCTTCAATAAAACCAACATGACATAAATTGGTTCTTTGGATCAAACTTCAAAATGGAGCATTCAGCAATGTCTCTGATCTTTGTAACATGTTTGAGTTTTCAGCTGTCACTCCGTGTTCAGCTGCTGAGGTCTCCAAATGTGATTGGGTTTTTGCCAGAAAATAATTGTGCAGGTCCATTCATAGCTTCTTTCCAAGTGAGCTCTCTGTTCACAGGAGAGGCATGTTGTTTCTAAATAAAGTCTCCATCTTATTAAATTCTTTAGCCTATGGTTGTTGGTTTTGGGAGGGTTCTTTTTCCTAAGTGGAAAAAAAAAAAACAAAAAACAAAAAAACTCAAGATTTCTAATTCCTAGAAAAAAAATCCTTGCTCCTGACTATCCAGGATTCTGTGCCCATGTTTTCTAGTTGAGACCATGAGGGGAGTTGAAAACCCCCAGATGAGGCTGTTAGCTATAATAGCATTGAATACCTTATTGGCTTTAAATTACTTTTGGAACCAGCTCTAATCAACTTTCCGAGGATAGGCTTTCCTATATTCCTGAAGTTTAAGAACATGTTATTTTACCTAATTTAAGCAAGAATCCCATAAAAGCCAATATGGCAATATGCTCTCCAAATGGTTTATTGACCTCAGCAACTTTGGGATTATCTACATGTTCCAAGAGCCAATAAAATACTGAATAGAGAATATTAAGGTAAACTGATTAGAGAGACAGTGAAATTTTCTTCTACACCCCAAATTATTTCTTTTACAAGTCAACTCCAGAATGTATGAACAGAGATTTATTTCTTCAAAGAAAAAGAATTTTCTAAGTGCAGCTCCCCCCAGGAGGGATTAAAAGGCTTTTAATTGTTATTAATAATAACTTAATGTGAACGAATTGTGGGCAATGGAGAAAGTTCGCGTAGGAAAGAAAAAGAGAAAAGATCCTAATGCATTTCCCTAGCAGTTACGGCAGAGTAGATTATAGGTCTCTTGGAAGATGTGTTTAAGTGGTATTTAAGATGAGAGATAGTAAAAGGTACCACTAAAGGAAAAGCACCAGTAAAATAGGCAATTTGCCTATTGCACAATTTTAGGTCACTCTTCAAACAAGACCATTGGTGTCATTCACTTAACTACCAGGAAGCCTGTATACGTCTACAGTTTCAGTGATGACAACTGCAGAATTTGAAAGTGACCAAAGAAGTTAGGCTATATTTGCTGGTTAATTTGCAAATACTTGAGTGCCCTGCAACACCACAAATTCTAAAGGTGAGTCACAGAGGCTCTGAAGTCAAATCTTGAATAGCCTTGCAATTGCCCATGCAGTGCCAGGCTGGAGTTTCTCCACTAATCAAGGGAGTTGAATGGGAACAGAGCACACTAACGTTTGGCCAAGGTACAAGCATGTTTACTTTATGATTTTATCCACCTCATAGAAAACCTTCCTGAATTTATAAAGGACAGACAGAAGAATTACTGGTAATATCTTCCCTTCCTCATAAATCCATGGATAATCTCCAATTCTATTTTCTTTGGGATGGAGTTCCTGGGTCAAGGGTAATGAATGCAATTAAGGAAATATTCCAACTTCTGAAGCATCCGGAAGAAATAAAAAAGAGCTGAAGAGTCATTTGTTGATTATGTATTTTCTATTTCAATCTTTCTCACATATCCGCCTCTTAGCTCACTCCCTGCCGTTTTAGTGTGGTTATCAAAAGCAGAGTTTGCAGGATTCAAGCCCAGCCAAAGCAAACAGACCAAAAATTTAGGAAATGATTTATCTTAATCCAAGGGTGGTAATCCAATTTATTTGACTCAAGTGCTTTAAATTTCATCAGCTAAACCAGCAGCATTAGAGTTTGTCAAAATGATATTTAGTGAAAGCAGTCCCTGCAGTGTTGGCCACTTGTGAACAGAATGATTTTCATCTTTGAAATACACATGCTATTCTACCTTTTCATGCTTGTGGCTAGCAAGCAAGGCTGGTGATAAAGAGGTTGAAGCCAACTGAGAGAGTTGTCTTTCACTGTAATGTTCTGCATCCCCAGCCCCAACCAGTCACCTCATAAATGTAGTCACTAATGAAAAGGGAGTGAGGGATGGTGGGTGAATTGATGCATGTCTATCTTCAGAAGTAGAAAACTCCCAGGCCAGGGTGCAATGCACTTTCCACAAAGATAGTATAATATTTAAATGGAAGGGGAGATTGCTTGGTCCTTGTCCCTGATATTAAGCAATACGGAATCTATTAAGTATCTTACTTCTCATCCACAATACAGAAAAAAAATTGAGATCGTGTCCCAGATCTTACAGATTGTTCATCTGTTTGTACTTATGGAAAACTACTTTCATGGCTTTGAAAAGTAACAACATAAATAAAGTAGCATCAAATAGGGCAAAACAGCTCTAATTTAGGAATCCATTGACCTGAGTTCTAATACAGCTCTGCCTCTAATTATAGATAGCTTCCATGATTAAGCCCCCTTACTTCTCAGAGTCCAGGTATCAAATAGATTCCTGAAGTCCTCATAATGACACTTCCAGCGTTAATTAAAGCAATTTCTTTATGTTCAATGCATACCACTAGATTTCTATTACTATCATGTTTAAGAAGTCAAATTAATTTCTATGGTGGTCAAAAATACAGAATTTAAGCATTCCCTAGCCCACAATGGCATGGCCAATGGTGCCAGAGCAGTGGTGAATTAATTTGGCTTTATTATTTACCCCCATTCTTCTACACCTTGGCCCATTGGCCAAACCGGTCCACTTCCTGTTTTACTCAATAAAGTTTTATTGGAACACAGCCATGCTCATTCTTTATGGATTGTCTATGGCTGCATTCCCATAACAACAGCAGAGTTAAGTAGTTGCGACAGAGACTGTATGGCCGCAAAGCCAAAAATATTTACCATCTGGTTCTTTGCAGAAAATGTTGGCTGGCCCTGTTCTACACTTTTAAATCTATGTTCACTATCTTTCCATTGGAATATATGCTGCTCCTCTTATTTTTACTTAGACTTTTGGTTTCCTATCTAACCAAGCATATTTGACCTCACCAATGTTTCCAACTCTTTCTAGCATTTTTATCCTAGTTTTCCTTGTTTTCATATTCATTATAGGGTCATCCTTTATTTGTTCATACAATCCTTTTTTTTCAGCCGAGACTCATTTGTCAATTTAATATCAAGCAATGTTCCTCTCTTTTAAACCTTTAAAACCCTCTTGGAAAGTTGGTCCTGATGAAGGATTTTAATGACAATGACTGCTAGTTTAATGCATCCTTAATCTGTGCTGCATTACTTCCTAGGGCATTTGTGATGATAGATTGAAAATTGTTCAGGGTCAGAGACTAGGTCCTTTGTTTGTTACATTACAATACAGAACAGCCTAGAATCCACAGTATTCACAATGATCTGTAAATTACTTTTGCTTTCTGTCGTGAACAGTTCTCCATGAGTTCTCTTACTGGTCCCCAAACTTGGCCTATCCAAAAACATTTTCAGTTCTAAGCAAACACAGTCTTAACACAAGTTTGAATGTGTTGCCTCAAAAATTTGGTAGACTTCTTTTACAGAGCTTTACAGAATAATCATTGTACACAAGTCTATGAAAGAGTCTTGTTCTCAGTTGACAAATGAGGAAACTTTAAAAGTTTTGGTCTTTACTAGGACACTTGGTAACCTCTAGTTTATCAGATGTAATTTGGTCATAAAGCATGACTCATAGCAGCTTTCAATTTGATAAAAGAAGATAACCAAGATTGACTTAAAACATTGCAGAAGAATGCAAATGTAGTTGGAAACATAATCTACCATTGCATCATTCATCACTGTTGTTAGTCTGACTGTCTTGATGCCAAAGATACACACAGTAGTTCCCCCTTATCTGCAGGGGATATGTTCCAAGACCCCCTAGTAAATGCCTGAAACTAAAGATAGTACCAAATCTTATATATACTATATTTCTTCGATCTGGTAACTGAGACAGCTACTAAGTGGCTAATGAGCAGATAGGATACACAGCATGGATCTGCTAAACAAAGTGATGATTCACATCCCAGGCAGAATGGAGTGGGACAGCTCGGGATCTCATCATGCACAATTTAAAACCTATGAATTGCTTATTTCTGGAATTTTCTATTTAATATATGGAGATCGTGTTTGACTGTGGGTAATTGAAACAGTGGAAAGCAAAATCACAGATAAGGGGAGACCACTTGAAAAGAAACAACTTGCTTTTTCTCCAGCATGTTTGAATTTGGTCCTTATGAAATTAGCTTTGGAGCTGTAGACACACTTGAAGTTTTACAAATATTCATTAAAATAGATAGACACATACAAATACCACTGACTCTACAGCTGGAGTTGTATTTCAATCATGGAGATGTTCTTCACAGGTACCTACTTTTTCTCACCTAGTGACAGAAAGGTATGCTTGTTGATGGCGGCAGGTAGTAATTATCTTTGGGAGCAGCACTGATGTATAGGAGGATTGATTCTGTAACTTTGGCCACTGTGACCGAAGGAGCTCAACAGATGATGTGACCAGACTGACTCCAGGGTTTAATAATCAAAGAAAAGATATATTTGATATCTGATATTTTGGGCATTCTCTCACAAAAACAAAAGTTCCTTTTTTTTTTTTTTTTTTTTTTTTTTGAGACAAAGTCTAGCTCTGTTGCCCAGGCTGAAGAATAGTGGCATGATCTCGGCTCACTGCAACCTCTCCACCTCCTGGGCTCAAGCAATTCTCCTGCCTCAGCCTCCTAAGTAGCTGGGACTACAGGTGTGTGCCACCACACTCAGCTAATTTTTGTATTTTTGGTAGAGACAGGGTTTCACCATGTTGGCCAGTCCGGTCTCAAACTCCTGAGCTCAGATGATCTGCCTGCCTTGGCCTTCCAAAGTGCTGAGATTACAGGCATGAGCCACCGTGCCCAACCACAAAAGTTCTTAAAAGTAGAAGTGTAATAGTCACTCCACAGTAGACATAACAAAATTCATTACAAACATCTGAGTGGGGAAAAAGGGGTAAGTAGAGATTAAAAAAAAAGAATAGGGACTGCTGATGTTGTAGAAATATCACAGAGTCTATTACTTGTGAGATATTTTTGCTGTATCTTATCCAACAAAGCAGTTACTGTATAAGTTCGAGAGATAAGAAATTCGAGAGGATATTCAATCCCAATGCCAATCTCTCCTCTACGGAGTCAAAGTGGAGAGTGAGGTAACTCATCTTTATGTGAGCATCCAGAGGCAGCACTGAATATTTGTTTATTAGAAAGTTGTTAGATTTTTCTTTCTCCTTGGTCCAAGTTCCACCATTTATAACTATACACACACACACCCACACACACACTCACACACACACACACACACACTCACACACACACAAAACCCTCCCAATGTTTATGAGTCGGAGGTTTTAGTGAACCTCTGACTTTATGCAGAGCATGGTCATTCATGATACACTGTTTCCACTTCTACTCTGAGCCACAGACTGTGCCAGGTGCTGAGGATATGAAGAAGAATATAGCATAATGCTGATTTCCAAGAGTTCGACACTAATTGCAGAGAAAGCGAACACCTAATTGCAATCAATGGAAGTGCACACAAAGTGCTATGGGTGTATAGAAAGCAGAAAAGATTTCCTGGAAGGTGTCTCAGATAAGCTGCACCTTGAAAGATAATTAGGAATGTACTCACTGGAGAATGCAGTGAAAAGCATTTCTGGACATAAGGAACAGTATGTGCAAGGGCATGGAGACCTAGGAGATGACACCACAAGGTGGAAGGTCAGCAGATGGCTTGAGCTGAGGTATGTGATTAGGAAGACTAAAAGCTAGGACCAACCTCAAGTAAACTGGAATGAATCAGAAAAATAAAAGTCTTTGTGCTTCTCCAAAGAAGTTTTTAATTTTGTCCACCAGACAATAGAGGTCCTTAAGCAGGGATTTACCTTGAACAACTTTACATTTTAGAAAACATTTTTAGGATAAGTAAAGAATATAACTAGAATGTAGAAAACCTAGAGAATGAGTCCAGTGAGAAGACAGACTAGTACAGATGAAGACTGATAGACTATATTGGTGGTGGGCACCAAGCTAGTAAGGAAAGAAGAGAAAAGATTCAAGAGATATTTAGGTAATAGGATCAACTGCAGCTGGGGAAGCACTGGGTGCTGGATGGTAAGGCAGACAGTGAAGCTGAGGATGACCATAGTTTCCATCTGGGGTTACTAAGTCATAGTATAATAAAAATGGGCAATAGAAGAAAGAGGAATGAGGAAAACATTAATTGGTTTGAGGTGTTTTGAGTGAGTTGCCACTTAAGGATGTCCAGTTACAGCTGTCTAGAGTGAGTTGGAAATATGGGTCTATAACCAGCAGAGAAAAGGGTGAATATACTTATTTGAGAATTGACATTGTTTAGTGGTAGCTGAAGTCATCAGAGCAAGTAAGATCCTCAAGGAGCATGTGTAGAGAAAGAATGAGAACAAGGACTGAAAATTACAAATAAATCCCTGAGGACTATGAGCTATTGAGGAAGTGAAAAAAAAAAAAAAAAGAAAAAACAGAAAAAGAGAAGAGAAACATAGGGAACTTTGAAGTAACATATACTGAAGTTAGAGAGGAGAATTTTAGGATAATGTCATCCATTGTCAAGCTGTAAATGATTATATAGTTTAAATGAGACAAATACTGTAAGAAGAAAATTAAGAAGCCATTGGTTTCCACCCACAAAAATTCAGAGCAGATGATAGTGGTGTTAGAATATGATGGGGATTTGGCAGGTGGGGGGCAAGAGCCAGATTGCAGTGAATTGAAGAGGGCAGGAAATATGGGAAAATAGAGACAGGATCTGAAGGCTCTTACATGATTTCCAGGAAGCATGTGTTTTGAGCCATGAATTCAAACACCAAACACACTACCACAAAAGGATGAAACAACAGGTACCAAGTGAAAAGAAAAAGGTCACATAGGAGTTGAGGGCTAGAGGGTAAGCTCTGTGCATCTAGAGGCCATGATTTATGTGGCCTTTGCAGGGCAAGCCTCATGGGTGTGCAACCTGTGCAGTCACACAGGACCATATGTTTAGAAGGGCTCCATGCTTGGTTTAATGTTCTGCTGTCAGTCACCATCTTGAAATTCTTAATGATTTTTGAACAAGACATTCCCATTTTTATTGTGCATGGGGGCCTGCAAATTATGCAGCCAGTCCTGGGCCTCTGAATCTCCTGCTTGGTCCAAAGCAAAACTGATTGGTATATAACTTAGGTGATCTACTGATCCATGGATATGAATATGTTCAAAAATTGAGCTCATTGTCTCTTTTTTATTTGTTACGCTAAGAGTACCCAGACCCAATTTTTCCTTTAACAATGACATAATAATTCATAACATGTCTTGACCAATTACTACATGCAAGACATTGTTCTATATACTTTATACCTGTTAATTTGTGTAATCATTGCAACAATCCCATAAGTAGGTATTATTGTCTCTATAATAGTAGTAGTGGTTTTTATTGTCATAAAAACACCTACTCATTTAAAGATGAACAAATGGAGGCAGAGCATAGTTAAACAACTTATACAATTCAGAAGGGGTCAATCTGGAGTTAAAACCCACACACCTAACTTCCAAGTCTGTGCACTTCACCAAACCCTTTCAGTCTTTATTCCCAACTTTTCATTCATAGTGTTAGATATGTTTTTGTCACCTTTGTCCCTATTTACTTAACATAGTCCACCACCTGAAACCTGCCCTGTAGAGAGCTGCTGCAATGCTGCAGGAAGAAGACATCCTTCTCCACATGAACCTTCAAAGACATCCTGTGTGAGGGCTTAGGGATCCATAACCTATTTAAAAGTCAGTGGTCAGTGCATACATCTCTCCCACATGGGAAATAATAAGAGCATTGTGACGTGGGCACAGAACAAACATGGTCCCATCCTATGGTCTTTTTCCTGTCCCCTTTCCCTTCCCACTACTCACATAGTTGAGTATCACCAGAACCTTTACTCCTCTTCCAGAAGGGTTGAGTTGAGGTTTGCATTTAGCCCATTCCTCATGCATCTGGTTGAACATTTGGTCACTGTTCAGAGAGAGTTGTACAGTGACTTCTCTCTCCCAGCCCTCCTGTTTCCTCAGATGGTTTAAGTAAGTGAGATCACCAGTAAGATTTGCAGCCCGAGTTCTGCTAAGAGGGTCTATCAGCGTGTGTCTTTGACACAAATCACTGCAGATATAAAAGAATAGAGATGGGAGAGTGGACTTTCAACTTTTCTTATCACTGGAAGTTTTTGAGGAAATGAATCTTTGGCAAAACCCAAATATGCAAAACAATAGAGCAGTATTATAGTAAAACAAATTTATTCCTTCAAAGCTTTGTCACTATTTACTCCCTATGAAGTCAGCCAAAGTGGCAATGGGAGAATGTCTAGAAACATAAACACTGTTAGTGTTTGAGTGAAGTTTGTAGATAGCAACGTAAGACTTATTCAGCATCCATGTGATGCTAATCACGTATTTTTAAAAATTCTGGAGCAGCAATTCAAATTTTAAAATGTGGACTTCAGACTATAACAAAAGATCTCAAGTCCATGCGGAGGAGAAAAATGACAAAGTTCCATACTTACAGCTGTCTTTCCGGGAAAGGTAAAAGAACCAAAATGTATTGGACTTGACAAAGTGCTAGGTAAACAAAGCCATGAGGATTAAGGTTTAGGCTCCAGTGATTAGTAGGGAAGTACAGGATAATAAGCACAGCAGGATGTCCCTCAAGGTGCTTCAGACTCCGGCTGTGTTTATTATCCCATATCAGTATGGAAATCTATGCCTGACTACATTTATGGTGTCATTTAGAACTTTAAAATAGGCACTTATTCTCAGAAAAGGGTTACTAAATTATTCACCCTGTAAGGTTTTCTTGATTAGCATAATTCCACCCATTATCTGCCTTATCAAGAATACCTTTCCACTGTAGGGCATGTGCTCCAGAGAGACGTTCAGGGGTACAATTTCATGGCGTCACGTCAATCCTGAGATACCCACCTTTCGCTAACTTGAAAATAAAATCCCCTTTTATAATTTGCAAAGTAAACTTCTCCAGGTTGACACTTTTCCTGTTGAGGAACACAGTGAGGGATAATCTGTATATTCTTCCCCTGGTTTTCTGCCAAATAGTTTACTTTTTTTATGACCTTTGATGTTAACTTTTTACTTTTCAAAAGGAGAATGCATGACTATCAATGGGCAGAGCCTTCATGTGGAATTTGGGATTTTTTTCATAAGTGCTAAGAAGGCTACGTAGAGAAGCAAGTGTGTGTTTAACTAGAAATGGGGTGATCAGAGGGAGAAAGGAGGCCATGGGGGTCTCATCACTTAACACTAATGGTGCCTCTTCCTGGGAGCTTTTGCGTACTCATGCCTTCATTTCTTTATGCTCATCCATGTCTCTTAAGCACGCCAAGAAGTTTCTGAGCCCACACTAGATGGCAGCATGGTTTACTGGTCATGTGGGCAGAGCCAAGGCCCCAGCAGCCTGAGCCCACATGATGCTCATCCTTGCTTTCTCTCTCTCTCTGTCCCTCTGTCTGTCTCTCTGTCTCTCTCTCTCTCTCACATGCACACACGCACACACACGCACACACACACACACACACACACACACATCTTCTAAAGGGTCCTAGCTTTTCCAATGTCATCTGCAACTCTATCTGGCAAAGTGGGTAAGAGTTGGAAAATCCCCCTGCAAATTGAAGCCATCCCTTCCACTGCACTGTCGGTTTGTCCAAACACTGAGAAAGGACTTTAACTTTGTGCAGCCCTGTTCCTAATCGCATCATCTGGATATCTGTGGTTTCACAAGGTGAATGAGGTCGCAGTTGCTTTATGTTTACTTTGTGAACACCAAAAAGGTCCTTTCGGTTCAGTCCACGCAATCTGCACTCTGTGTGTGTTTGAATCCAAATGCTTCTCTTTCAGAATTGAATATTCCATTTTAAAATGCCTTCCAGTTGCACCCAGGTTCAGCGTTCCTGTCTCAAAAGGAATGTGGAACGGGACCTCTACTCAGAAAGGGAGTGCCCATTGCAGTTTCAAGGGCTGAAGTAGGGGAATCTGACCATAGCATTTGAGAGCTGAATGGGAGCTTAGAGTACATCAAAGTCAGTCAATCTCATTTGACAGATAAGGAAACTGAGACCCAGAAATCTTGACTTGCCTAAGGCCACACAGCTCGTTAGAAACAAAGCCAGGACTGGAAAACTGGTTTCCTTATACTCTGTCCAAGGCCTTTCCCATTGCCCCAGTTGTGATTTATAGAAAGTCATAAATATAGAGCAGATGAAACCCCAGAGCCCTCAGAGCCCAGCTGGTTCACCCCCTGCCTACCCCACCCCCAACCAGCTCCATGAACCTCCATCCAGCCACGCTTGGACCCACCCATGTGCTCCATATCTCTGCCGCCAAAGTCCTCCTCCATGGCCAGGAAGGAGGAGGGATAAAGAGAAAGAGAGAATCGATATTCGTTGGGAAATTGGATTGCAGATACAGAAGTACTGAAATATTGCAGTACTTCCCTTGGCATTTCCTCTTGACCAGAGAAGGAAATACCAGAAATCTCATAAGCGAACCAATTTGGGCAATTTTTTTATACTCAGTATTCATACATTTCACATTTTTTTTCTCCAAACCTTTGAGTACTAATTCAAACCGTCCAGCCTCCAGGCCCCCTGGAGATTCACCTATCACTAAATATTGTTGATTTGCAAAACACACGGATTCTTTTTCTAGAACAGGCTCCGCTTTCATAGCTTTCTTCAGACGCTGAGCCTTTTCCCAATTAAGCGATGGCCCAGCTTCTCTCTGGTTAGGATTACAAACAAACACCACCACCCTTCTGCCTGGGCTCCAGTCACCCCTCCCTTCACTTTGACACATGGTTCTTTTGATCTCAACCCCAGACCATAGCAACAGGCTCCTAATTACTCACCAGCCATAAATCATGGCAGTAATGTGCTCCTTGCTAAGGAAAAGTAGTATTGTTGAGCCATCGGAGCCTGGAAAACTGGGTGTGTTTAGTGTTTCCAAAAGCAAAGCAGTCAGGGAAGGAAGGCAGGAAGAGAAAAGATGCTTTAAATGTTTGTAGAAATAGTTGCTTTGATGTTGAGCCCTCTCCCAGAGGAAGTCAAGAGTCTGCAAACTAAGTCTATATTTTTTCATATTTGGAGAGGTAATAAAATCCATAAGCCCTGCTAGAGGCAGGTGTAAGCTGGGCCTCCTAGAGTGAATACAAAGGAGATGTCCAAGTACTCAGAGTAAGCAGCACAAACATGCTTCTTGCTGTCTATCTCTTAATTTTGTTAATTTAATTTTAGTCACTCACTTGCATGGGAAATCTTAGTTCCTTCTTGTCCTTATGGAATAGTGGTTAATCTGGTTAGGTTTGACATTTTCACTGAGAAACTCTCTGGGAATCCCAAATTATTATTATTTATTTTAAGAGACAAGGATCTCCCTAGGTCGTCGAGGCTCGTCTTGAACTCCTGGACTCAAGTGGCCCTCCCACTTCAGCCTCCCTAGTAGCTGGGACTGCAAGTGTGAGCCACTGCACTCCCAAATTATTTTTTAAATTTGACCTGGACCAGGATGTGCTACTGAGTCTACACAAAAACCAATAATTCTAGTAAAACTGGTCAATGTTGGTCTGATCTGGGGACAGGTCACATGAACTCATTATCATCTTGCTAATGAGGTTTCTGGGTTTAATTGAACTGGAAATCATTCTTTTTAAATTTCAGGATGAGAAATACTGTATAAAGGCTAAGAATAACATATGGACATCCTTCCATTGGTCAATTCTCAGAAACAAATACAAAATATTATGGATTTTTTAAAAATTTAATTGTGTTAACGTTAGACATTCTACTTGGCTGTAACATACAGACAACACTGTGCTGGATAAAATTGTGAGATTTGTCTTTATTCAACAAATATTTATTGAAGATCTACTTTGGGCTAAATCCTGGGGTTATGACAGCTAAGAATTCAATAGCAGACAAGATTAATGTTATTTTTGCTTATATGGTACTTACGTCTAGAACAGGGTTGGCAAACATTTTCTGTAAAGGGGAAGATAGTAAATATTTTAGGCTTTGCAGGTCATACAGTCTTTATCACAACTTCTCAACTTTGCCTTTATAATAGGAAAGCAGCCATGGGTAATACATAAAGAATTAGGCATAGCTGTGATGCAATAATACTTTATTTAAAAACACAAGAAGTGGGCCAGATTTGGCCCATGGGCTATTCTTTGCCAACCCTTGCTCTATAAGGAGACACCTTTAAGTTTAGAGAAGAGGAATCACAGAAGGCTATGAAGGGCAACATGCCTAAATTTGTGAGTTCTTGGAAGGCCTTCTAGGTCTAGTGATCACTACGTTAAGACCTCCTGTGTTGGTAAAAGTCAATCCAGGGAAGTGGACTGGGGAAGAATATTTTAAGGATTAGGAATGGCATGTGTCACTATTTGAAGATAAATCACAGTTGGGGAATGGAAAGAAATTCTGGATCACTGGCTTGGGGGTGGCAAAGGTAAGGTGAGGCTCGAGTCTGAAGCCAATTAAAAGGTTTGAGCAAAATAATCGGAGATCAGACACGTACTTCAAAGAGATCACTTTGGCGCTTATATAGCAAATCTGTTCAGGATCTTTCTAGGAACCTCATTCCCTCCATATCCAAATGGCAGCAGAAAATGCTTTACTGCTCTTTCCTTTTACTCCTTCCTCCCTGGGAGCAAAGGTGCTCCCAGAAGCAGCTAAACACAGTTCATGGGAATCTCTTCCCTCAAACATCTATATTTTCATAGGAATTGAAGCCATGGTTTAGTGGGTGAAGGTCTGATGGTGGTATTTTAGGCAGCAGTCCTTGCAAGATAAAGAATTTCGTTGAGGGAGGAGATGAGAGAATTAGAGCAACAGCCCCCGTGAAATCATACCACCCAGTCATTTTTTCACCAAAGCATAAGAATCTGCATATGAGTTCCTTTTGGGTTAAGTTTTCTGATCAAATTATTCAGTTGGACAATTAGCAATAAAGAGATTTTACTTTAATGGTGGGACCAAGGTTAATATCACCAGTAATAGGGCAGACCGATACTGTGAGCTCCACGATAGGATGCACTGAGAAGCATACAACATCATTACTATGATATTCTTACCAAAGATGCATGACCTCATTCTAATCATGAGAAAATATCAGACAAACCCGGATTGAGGAACATTCTACAAATTAAACAGCACGTCTCCAGAGTGTCAAGGTCATGACAGACAGAGAAAGGCCGAGGAACTGTCACTGATTAGAGAAGATCAAGCAGAACTGACAATTAAAAGCAATGTGGTATCCTGGACTGGATCCTGGGATAGAAAAAAAAGACATTAGTGTAAAAACTGGTGAAATCTAAGTCAAGTGTGGTGGCTGTCCCTGTAGTCCCCGCTACTCAAAAGGCTGGCATAGGAGGATGGCTTGAGGCCAGGGGTTTGAGACCAGCCTGGGCAACATAGTGACTTTTCTATAAACAAACAAACAAACAAATAAATAAATAAAACTGGTGAAATCTAAATAAAGTCTGTAGGTTAGTTAATAGTATTGTGCCAATGCAATTATCTTGGTTTTAATAATTATGTTATGGTTATGTAACATGTTAACATCAAGGGAAGCTGTGTGAGAGGTATGCAGGAATTCTGTGCTACTTTTGCAACTTTTTGTAGTCTCAAATTAGATTAAAATAAAGTTTTTTCATAAAAAGAAGTGAATAAACTTCTTATTCAAATAATCTTGTTATATTCTGCCATTCTAGACAGGAAAGACTGTTAATAAGTGTTTCCTTGTCAAGTTATTAATTTCTCCACTAAAAATGAATGATGATTGCCAAGTTGCTTTTAGATTGTTTCAGGTCTCAAAGTGCTAAAAGTCATCATATGAAAAAAACCAGAGAATCATATTACTTAATTAGTCACTCATATGGAATCTGCCCTTCCTTCTGACAACACTCTGCAGAAGCTTCCCCATCGAACACCACTTCTACCTTTCTCTTCCTCTGGCCTTGGGCCAGTGCTTAGTCGCTGCTATTAAAAAAAAAAAAAAAAAAAAAAAAGGGGGTTCCTTGCTATCTTGTAGGGTTTGTGGAGTATTAGAGAGGGTCTGGCACATTTTTTGGCAGTATTGTAAAGTAGAGAGCCCTGGATAGGGAGTCAGGAAATTGGAATTCTTGTCTTAGCTCTTGAGCCTTGTAGTCTTGGGTAAATCATTGACCCTCAGTAAAATCAGATATTTTCAGGCAAGATCTAGATAAGTGAGTCTCATTCTTGGCTGGGTATTGGAATCATCCAGGAAGCATTTTTTTTTTATGCTGGTGCCTGGGACCCAGTTAAACCCTGATTTAACTGTTTTGAGGTACAGCCGAGGCATCTGGAGTTTTTTTAAGTTTCCAGGATTGGTATTAACAGGTAGCCAGGATTGAGAACCACTTATCCAGATGATCTCTAAATTCTAACCTAGGGTTTACCAGTAATTATTGTTCAAGCAAGATGAGTCAACAGAACTAGGTCTTGAAAAGTATTATATCTAAAGGAATTCTGGCTGTGGGAAGATAAAACTACAGTTAAGAAGCACTTTTCCATGATTTTTCAAGACTGTTGTTTGTGCCTGTCTGATGCATTATCATCTTAACTAATGATTTACACCATGAGTTGCAGTATTTAGCTTGTGGCATATGCCGTAAGGAAGATTAAAACAACAACACCTTTATACGGATGCCTCAGAACAGGGGTGTGAATGTCCTACCCTCAACCCGTCAGTTACCTTGTCCTCTTTCTGTAGTCTTCCAGGCTTCCTCCAGCTCTACGGTCCACAACACTATCTACACCTACCAGAAATCTACACTTACAATAAAGCAAAACAGCTGACACTGGTGACGTGTGTCTATTTAGGTAGGCTGAGGGAGAAAGAGGAAGAAAATTGCACTGTTTAAAGTAGCAGTCCCCAACTTTTTTGGCACCAGGGACTGATTTTCTGGAAGCCAATTTTTTCCATGGACTGGGAAGTGGGGCTGGCGGGGGTGGTTTCAGGATGAAACTGTTCCACCAGAGATCATTAGGTATTAGATTCTTATAAGGAGCACACAACCTAGATCCCTCGCACTCACAGTTTACAATAGGGTTTGTGATCCTATTAGAATCCAATGCTGCCACTGATCTGATGGGAGGTGGAACTCAGGTGGTAATGCTTGCTCGCCTGCCGCTCATCTTCCGCTGTGCGGCCCAGTTCCTAACAGGCCACAGACCAGTATTGGTTAGGGTTGGGGACCCATGGTTTAAAGGATAGCAAGAACTGAAAGCCAGGGTAGCAAACCCAAATGCTTCTGGGAGGACAGACCACAGGGGAGCTAGAGGGCCGTGGAACTAGAGAGCTCATGACTCTCCTAAGGACCACTTCTCCTCTGCTCCAGGCAGTTGTGGCCAGGGAGTATGTTGGCCCAGCAGTGCCAGAACTTTAGATCTTTAAGAAAATTGAGAAATCCATAATTGATTTGTAAATGCTGAAAGCCTTTATTGTTATTATTATTATTTTAGAGATTGAGTGTTGCTCTGTCACCCAGGTTGGAGTGCAGTGGAACGATCATAGCTCACTGTAACCTGAAACCTCTAGACTCAAGTGATCCTCCTGCCTCAGCTTCACAAGTAGCTGGGACTACAGGCTTGTGCCACCACACATGGCTAGTTTTTAAATTTTTTTGTAGAGATGAGGTCTTACTACATATCCCAGGCTGGTCTCGAATTCCTGGTCTCAAGTGATCCTCCCACATCAGCCTCCCAAAGTGCTGAGATTACAGGCATGAATGACGGAGCCCAGCCAAAAACCAATTTTTTAAATAAATATAAACACTGTGTAGGCCAAATGAAACAATTATGCAAGCCAGATCCTGCCAGTTTGCAATCTCTTTTTTAAAGGTTAAAAACTGTGATAGTAGAGTTGCTGGCAAAATTCTTACTGGTGAAGGAGGTATTTTGTTTCATTTGGGAGATGGTGATCTTATGGGAGAGTCTCAGTTGTCCTAAGACACACTGGACCCTCCCAGTACAGTCTTACGGGAAGGGAGGATATTAGTGCCTGGTGGGATGGAGTCTGTGTAAACTACTGAAGTTCCAGACGGTGACATGGTGAGAGCAATTGGGAAAAACACAGCACAGTGTCCAAGCTCAGGGGTGGCTTAGGCAATTATCAAAGGCCAGGGCAGCCCATTTGGCAAGTAGGAGCTTGAGAGTCAAAGAGCCCAGAGGGCAGGGGACAGACAGCCTTGAGTTAGGTGACTCTGAGATGTTGTCAGTGCTCTTAGAACAAGACGCCTTCCAGTGGATGGTGATATGGTGGAAAATTCTAGCAACTCAGGAAAGGAGGGAGGAAGAGAAGAGGAAAGGTGTTCTGACCCCAGCCAAATGGGCTAGGATTCAAGGAAGGGCTCAAGTCCCAGAAGAGGGGATCAGATAGGGTATAGGATGGATGGGAGCAATATGTCAACACTGACACCGAAGGAAGCACAATGCAGGCTTTCAGTTTGCCTGATGGCAACAAAGGCAGTTGGACTGCCCTGGCTCACCAGGAATCAAATCTGTCAGGAAAGATTCTTAATGACAATCCCTACCAGTTGGGAGACTAGGATGGTAAGTTATTTTGGCCCAGCATGAGGGGT
Source organism: Homo sapiens (assembly GCF_000001405.40). NCBI lineage: Eukaryota > Metazoa > Chordata > Mammalia > Primates > Hominidae > Homo > Homo sapiens. Next base: position 55,103,737 of record NC_000018.10, read on the forward strand.
GAATTTGGGTGTACAGCTGCAGCTCATTCACCCATTTAGCTGTGGGGAGCTGAGAATGAACAAGGCAGATAAAATGGAGCAAGTCCTAGTTCTCCTGAAATGATCTCAGATGGACAGGTGCCTACTCTGCTTGTGTTTGAAACACTGAGGGAAAAAAATCAGAACCTTCCTGTCATCCACAGTGCCAGCTCTATCCTAGGTCACTGTGCACCTTCAACTTTAAAAATCTATAGTCCTGCCATGGTGGCTTATGCCTATAATCCAAGCACTTTGGGAGGCCAAGGCAAGAGGATTACTTGAGACCAGGAGTTTGAGACCAGCTTGGGCAACATAGTGAGACCTGTCTCTACAAAAAAATTAAAAATTTGCTGGGTGTAGTAACTGTGGTCCCAGTTACATGGAAAACTGAAGCACGAGATTCACCTGAGTCCGGGAGGTTGAGCTGCAGTGAGCCATGGTTGTGTCATTGCACTCCAGCCTTGACAACAGAGTGAGACTCTGTCTCAAAATAAACAGTAAAAATTTACTTATAGATCTGGTCTTGGAATAACACAGAGATACACCTCATATAGACTATTTCAGAAGCACATCAGGGAAGTTCTTAGTCACTGTATTAGTTCATTCTCAGGTTGCTATAAAAAACTACCTGAGCCTGGATAATTTATAAAGAAAAGGGGTTTAATTGGCTCAAGGTTCCACTGGCTGTAAAGGAAGCATGGCTGGGGAGGCCTCAGAAAACTTACAATCATGGTGGAAGGTGAAGGGGAAGCAGGCACATCTACATGGCAGGAGCAGGAGGAAGAGAGAAGGGAAAGGTGCTACTCACTTTTAAACAACCAGATCTCAGGAGAATTCACTGTATCATGAGAATAGCAAGGGGGAAATTCGCCCCCATGATCCAATCCACCTTCCACCAGGCCCCTCTTCCAACACTGGGGATTACAATTCAACATGAGCTTTGGGTGGGTACACATATTGGTTTGGGTTTTTGTCCCTGCCCAAATCTCATGTTGTGGATTTTTCACACTTTCCAAGAGTGAGAGGAAGCAAATATGGACTATTGTCCTTCAAAAGAGACTAACATACTAGCATCATAAGAATTTACCCAGTTTTCTTAGTGACTGTCTTCTACAAATTCCCATCCACCAAATAAATGACAACTCCTTTTTTTTTTTTTTTTTTTGGGGGGGGACAGAGTCTTGCTGTGTTGCCCAGGCTGGAGTGCAGTGGCGCTATCTTGGCTCGCTGCAAGCTCCACCTCCTGGGTTCACACCATTCTCCTGCCTCAGCCTCCCGAGTAGCTGGGACTACAGGTGCCCACCACTATGCCCCGCTAATTTTTTGTATTTTTAGTAGAGACGGAGATTCACCGTATTAGCCAGGATGGTCTCAATCTCCTGAACTCGTGAGCCACCCCCCTTGGCCAACTTCACTTTTATGCTTGCTTTGATTGACCATGCAGTATGCCATAGTGGTAAGAACATAATGGAAGAACTTATCTATGAGTAACTTCTGGCTTCATTGCTTATTTATTGGAACATTTGGGGAAAATAACTAACTTGTGAGCCTCAGTTTCCTTGTGTTCCAATGAATTTAACAACATCTGCTCCATTTACCAACTTCACAGGGTAGTTGAGAGAATTAATGTGATAACTTGGCTAAAGAAATTCACATGCCAGCAAGTGTCAATGCAGAGGGGCTAATTCTCCCAGAAAGGATAGACCTAAATTTCTGGGTGGTTAGAAAAAGGATTGAAACTACATTTTTATTTGGAAGGCAAAGCTCAGCTAAAACTTCGATGTTGATTCTCACCTGGTGGCAGTTCCTCAAGAGCAGATTCCTCATGGGAAAAAATATTTAGGTTTTTCCAAAGGGGATAGGGTTTTGCACAATGCTAGCCTATGTAAATGTAAGATCTTAGTCCTTTGATTTCCATTATACTTAGCATTCTTATTTGTCTTATGTTAACAAAGGTGCATGTTATAAACAGGAGGGACTTCTGATGCTGCTTTAAATCTGGTGTTTTTGTTTGGTTGGTTGGTTGGTCAAAGTGACTTTCACAATTAAAACCTTGAGCCTGACTCTCTCTTAGTGACTCCATTCCTTTGAGAGACTTCAAAGGAAACTTAATAGAATCATGGCATTTGAGCAGGAAATTCAAAGAAATGGCAATCAAACAAGAGGCTTATTTTATTTTTTGAGAGAAAATTTTACAAATTTCATCCTCAGTGGTAGAAACAGTTTTGTTGGCTTGACTGCAGCTGTGATAAACAGAGCACTCCTTGCTGTTTTGCATGTAGATGTTTATGCATGACCAGGGAAGTGCTGAAGCATTCCTCGTTAACTCACACACCTACAGCTTTCATAAAATCTAAGTGAAAACAATCAGTGCAAAAGGTTTGAATTCTGAGTCATATATCAGCATTCTCAACCCAAGCTCCACATCATTTAGTGAAAATGCTGTTATTTCTTCGTAAAACATTACTGTTTTTTTTACCTGCCTCTATTTTTCCATAAGCATTGTTTCTCCCTGCATTTAAGGAAGAATTTGGTATGATGGAAAGCACTTTATTATTCTTTTCGCTAAACAAAATTGGGTTGACTCCACTGTTTACAGTTTGTATGGCTGGGGCAAGGTATCTTACCTGTTTTCTACTGTAAACTGGATACAACCTCAGAGCCTTTCTCTGAGGAATGAGAAGTCAACATGTGTAAAGCGCACGGGATATCATAGTGAATGCTCTATAAATAATTTCTCTCTGGCTTTTTTTTTTTTTTTGGTCTCCTAACATCTATTCAAGCTTTTATTTCATTTTGATTCTCAGTTCTGTTTCTCAAATTTCAGATCAAGGATGCTTTAGAAGTAGAAGTAGCCTATTACAACATTCATCTTATGGGCTCCGGGAAAACACCGGGTGGGGCCAGAAAGCTGAAATGATTTCCCCAAGATGAGACAGAGAGTCTCAGAGCCAACCCATGGTTCCTGATTCTAAGACTAGTGCTCTTGCTATTAAAAAATATTCAACTGTTTCTTTAACTGATTAGCAGAATTTATTTCAAGACTGCTTTGCCTAAAATTATCTATAAGACAGTTACATAAGCCTTTAACTCTAATTTCTTAATACCAATCCAGGATCTTTTCAGTTACTGGAGCTTCACTGTACTGCTATCTTTAGGGTACACGCCAATAAAAAATATTTGTCAGAGGTTATTTACAAGAAGTTCTTTTGCTACTTTGGTAATAAATTATTCTTAGATCCTTAGATCATACGCAGTATGGGCCAACCCTTAGAGCAATTATCACAACCACAAACTCTTCTAAAAACTGACATAGCACCTGCTGAGCAAGACTGCCTTAGGAAATTCCTTATCCATTCTTTGGCTACAATTCCCTACTACATTTTGGCCTCGGCTAATTGGACCAGAGGGTGAACACCTGACCAAAGGCAAACATTCCATTGGCTGGTCAGCATCCTATTAGGAGGCCTGAAATGAAAGCTTTGACCAATAAAAATCAAGATAACAGGTCCAATTAGATTCTATCTCAGAGTGAAAAAGAGTCAAAGTCAACTAGTTTCTAACAAATGCTGTGATCCACACTTCAGATTGGAGTCTGTGAAATATGCACCAACTTCAAGACAATTCCGTGGTAAAACTGGAAAAAATTAGTCATTAAGACATTAGCCAGGATGTTAGTGGTATGAGAGGATATAAACATGCAGCCTTGAAATTAAAATACATAGCCTTTAGGCTTTGACCTAGATATCTCAGCAAAGTGAACAAAGAATAGCATTAAAAGTAAATAAAAGATTGAGGCAGGAGGATAGCTTGAAGTCAGGAGTTTGAGATTGGCCTGTGCAGTACAGCGAGACCTCTTCTCTACATAAAAATGTTAAAATTAGATACAAATATAAGCCCGTAAATAATCTTTGATCTTAAAATTTCTAATTTGGAAAAGTGTCATTTGTATGGTGTTCTATATTATTAATGGTTTCAAACTTTAATCAGAGATATCTTTCCTTTTCAGGCAAAGCACACACCATGAAAGATACTGCTAAAAGTTTTTAATATTGCCAGTAATATTATCAAGGTAATTAAAGGGCTTGTAATAATATTTTGTAATAATATCTGAATATCTTAGTGATTAAACTTGGAAAAGCCAAACTAGATAGAGAATGACACTGAGAAGAGTAGATAGCACAGGGTCCAAGGTCAGGCGTGGTTCAACAATTGTCCATAGAAAGTCTTTGTTTTGATCAGGATATATGAGTTGGAAAATTTCGTGATCGTGGATGAAGTTTTCTTTGTACTTTCATGAAAAACTACCATTTAAAATTTGGCAGATGTTTAAAAATGATGATTTTTTTAAAACTACCATACTAGACAATGTCATTTGTAAATCAATGTGTAATTAAAACATTTTGAAAAGATGCCCATACCAGACCTCCAGATTTTCTCCACATTTGAGTAACTTGGAATTTGATTTTCTTCATAGCCTGTTAGCCATTTTGACTGAAACAGGACCACACCAAAGGCAAAGGCTGGTTGTTTCAGTCCAGAGATGTGCCTCCATAGAAGAATTACTTTGAACAAATCTTAATAGATTTTAGGAAAATATTTTAAAATCAACTGTTGGAGAATTTAACTATTTTCAGATGAACAGTTTATTGCTTGATTGTTTTTCCCTTCTTATTCTTCCATGTGGTTTTATGCAGAAGTGATCTGGTTGTAAAATATGAAGAGATGGCAATAAACTCATTTGGCATTATTTGGATCAAGCAGCTGGTTGACTTAAATCAGTTATATCACTTCTGTCCACCTCCATGCGAAGCACTGGTCCAGACCACCATCTCCCTCACCTGGGTTACTACAGCAGCTCCCAGCTGGTCTCTCTGCTCCTCTTCTCACTTCTCCAATCTATTCTCAATGAAGAAGCACAAATGAAAAAATATTAATTGTATCATGTCACTCGCCTTCATTCATTTAATGAGCCCTAATCACAACTCTTTAGCTTCCTGCCACATTCAGAGTAAAACAATTTCCCATTCTGGCTTTTAGGGCCATCCTTGATCTTGCCCTTGACTCTTTCCAATCTTGACTCCTCTTTCCCTGGGTCACAATCCTCTAGCCCCACTGGGCTCCTCTCATTCCACCCCTGGAGCACACAAGCTTTTCCTCACCTCAAGGCTGTGCACATGTTCTTTGCTCTCTCTACTGATGGTCTCTCCCTTTCCTCTCCTTTTTTTCTCAAAAAGAAACCCCTCTTCTTTTCAGGATAATGTCAACTCTTCAAGTAAGCCTTTAGCACCCAGCTAAAAGATCCCGTCCATCTCAGTCCCTTGCTGGTTATCTTCTCAGCGCATATCACAATTAAGAATGGCTCTATTGCTTTATTCTGTGTTATCCATGGGAGCTGACAAATGTCTGTCCTCTTAACTCATATCTTCCCAGCATCCAGCAGAGTGCCTTGCCCATGGTAGGTATCTAATAGGTATTTTTTGAATTAATAAGTGAATGAACAAATGATATTTCTTTCTGAAATCTTTGTCATCAATCTAATCTGAAGATTGGGGATATTCTAAATACAGTTTAAATAGCCTTATATTTCTTATTCTCAGAAAATGGCCAAGATATACTTCTGGGGCTGAATGGCTAGACCTGTTTTCCTATGGGAGGGTATGGGGATTCTAGCCATGTGAGATAGCCCATATTTTCCATCTTGTGTCATGCCAGCACTCAGCAGTTTTTATCCCAGTCTTAGTATAGCCCTGAAATCATGGGAGAATATGAATACAGTGAAGTTCAGATGGAGGGTGGCTCAGAGTAGGTTCCCTGGACTAGAGTCCAGCAACTAAAATCCAACTAGTCAGGCCAATGGCAAATGGGCAGCTCCTGGGCACCACGCAGGTTGCTACAAAGAACTCAGATTGAGTTTAGGAGCTACTCAGAGGAACCTGGAACACAACACTGCATCAGCCTGGAGAACACTTTCAAATGCTGAGAGCTTTCCTTACTCCAAGGGCATGTTTGTGAGCTATACTATCCAACCCCCAACCCCTCATACTTGGAGAGATGTAAATCTGAATGACACTTAAGCTCTTTCTCTCTCGTGGATATAGACTGAGATCTTCTATGGGCAAATCATTTTCTAAAGAGGTATGTCATTTCATAGTTTCTTCCTAGATTTGAGGGGATGATGCTATCAATTGTCCCTTAGCCTTTAGAAGAGAGTAGCCTAAGTTGAAGAGTTGCTTTTGTCATGCTAACCAACAGCCAAAGCAGCAGGAATTGTGTGATTGAGGGGAACTTCAGGCAGCCCAGGAGGTGCAGGAGTTTATATTCTCTCTCTGTGGCCTACTCAAAGGACTTTCTGATACATACACCTCCAGGGGAGTGGATAGAGTTTATCACATAAACTCCTCTAGGGAGGATTACTTAGGTAAGACTGGAAACTCAGAGGATCTGAGTAGGGCCAAAAGCCAGAAACTGGTACTCTGAATTATAATCCAGATGTCCAGTGGGAAATGCAGCTTGGGAGAGACCTGCACAAAAGTCCTCCAGCATTTTTGTAGTTTTTGGATCGTTTACTTTAACAAGCTCTTCCCCCACTGCACTCCCACCTCTACCTTTGTTTGTTCAACCTTTCCTATATTGACTTTAAATTAAAAATAAATTTTACAAAACATAACACAATAGAGATTCGATGGCTAAGTGATCACACAGCATTTGCCCCAAAGAATGAAACAATTAAAATCCCATCAGTCTTGATAACGTTTTGTACCGTGATGCTAGACTTCCTGTTGCTTTGACCTCTCTCCTTCCGGCATCCTGTCCGGGGACAGAAATGACACCACAAACGTTTCCTGTGCCTGTCCTCTCCACTTCTGACCCCTCACTACATCCTCTCTCCATCTATTTGGAGAGCAATGATTTGGTTCCTTTGGAATTCCTCCCAGTTCATATATTTGATGACACTTGTTGCTAATTTGGGATGCCGACAATGCAGGCAAAAGCCCGGGCTGAGCTCATACCAGCCTTTAGCCTCCTACGCCACTAGCATACTGGCAAATTGGAAATGCAATATTCTTAGCTATTTTTGGTCATAATTTGTTGTGGGATCCCTTCTCACTGCAGTCTTCCTGAGTATCCTGGATATCTGAAATAAATTAATATCTTAAACTCTTTTAGATACTTTTTCTGTGCCCACTCATTTTGAAAACACCTCTTGAAGTATCATAAATCAGTGTCCTGCTGTGCAACTGTGGGAAGGGTCCTCTGGACAGAGGCTGAGGTCAAGGACTCCAAGTCTGGGACCAAGGAGCTACCATCTTGCTATTTGCCCTGGTGCCATAGGAGCCTTCCTTTTCTTCCCCAAGCATCTCATGTCTGTAGAATTAAGATGTCAGCCCATAGCATAACAGCCAATGGCCAGCCATGCTTAATGCTGTGGTCTGCAGAGCATTCAGTACATTGTTGCCAGCCAGAAGATATTAAATACAAGTCATGACCATACTACCATAGAATAATAATTAAAAGAAGATGAGTTCTGTTGCCTTCATGGTACTCTCCTCCCCATAATTTAGCAGCTGATGGGATTGGGAAGCCAGGCCAGGTACAGAAATGGGGCCCCAGGTGCTGTCTGCATACCTTCCCTGCACCAGGAGGCCTTGGTTCTGAGCCCTGTGCTGTCTGCCTGCTGGCCAGCTGCCTGTGGACACCCACAGATGCCCCCCTGCTGCTCCAGACACACCACTGGAATCTATTCCCAAACAGCACATGTTGGGTTCACATTTTCATCCTCTTCCTTCTTAAGATGAAATCTCCCATTTTTTCCTCTACTGAGAGACCCTACTAACTTACTTTATCTGAATCCACACCTGAACATGATCACTTACCTTTCAGAAGCCAAAAATTAATTACTGGCCTTGCCCAAATCTGCATATCCAGAGCCTAGAAATGCTAGAAGTATTTTGCAAAGTGCCTGGCACAGAGAAGGCATTGACTATGTGGCTTACTGAAGGGAGGGAAGAGACAGAGACAGGAGAGGGAGTAGGAAAGAGGGAGTGAGAAACATTCTAAAACCCAGAGACATTCTAATGTTAAGCCTTCCTTGGGTCATTCCAAGCCTTTCAAAGAGACCTACATCTAAGAGAAAACTATGATTTTACCACCTTATGTGGTTATGTGCTTTTATGACTATCAAAGATATGGAGATGCCAGGAAGAACAGATTGACAATAGCAGCAACAAAAGCAGTACCTAAGAGTTATGAGAACTTTTTGGGAGGCACTTTGAAATCTTTGACACGTGTGGACTCATTGAATTTCCAAAACAATGTCATGGATATAGTGAGTAATACTGTTATAGCTATTTGATAGATGAGCAGATGGAATTTAGAGAGATTGAGTAACGTAAAAGTTAGGAAGTTGGAGGGGGTGGTGTTGAATTAGATGTCACATCTACTTAGGGGTTTCTTTAGGTCTTCTCTGAAGGTTCTATGACCCTTCTCCATGGTTCCAAGTTCTCAGAATGTGAAGAAGGCAGGCTCAGTGTCATCTTTTCCTGCTGTCTTAACTTGAATGCTTTATGATTTGATACCCTGAATCCTCTTTGCAACTCTACTTCGGTTGGGATCTCCTGGTGCCCAGCATACCTGTCTCCCTAATCCCACAGCCTCCTGAAACAGCCACGTTCCTTCCCTGTATTGCCTCCTCGTCTTTCAGTGGGGGGTGACAACAATTCAGGCTCTTTCAGTTGGGTGCCATCAAGGCTTTTGTGAGTTGCTGCTATGGAGACAAAGCACAGGTACCGTTTCCATTTGCCACCAATTGCTATTAAAAGACAGGCACGGGATGGGAGCCCAAGATGTTCAGTGAATCAACCTGGAACTTACCCCTTTTTGAAAATTCTAATAGAGGGTAATTCAAGCATGTTTGTTGGTGAGCCATCTGCCTCAGGGACCAAGCACAGGTTAGATAATTAAACTCAACCTGTTCCTGCATGGCTGTCTGACTTACCATTTACCTCATTTCAGACTACTCGCCTCCAAAAACCCACTCTCCAAACTGGTTAACTCATTGTTCCCCCAAAACACCTGTCCTCCCTTCTTATTTTTACTCATGCCATCCCATCCACCTGGAATGCCCTTACTTTACTCTCCCTTTCCAGATCCTTATCATTTTCTTCACAATATGTTCCCCAATCACCTTGCTCACAATGATCAGTCTCTCCCTTGGATTCCAATAGTAACGAATTCTATATAATTTGTCTGGTAATTAATCACATGCTGCCTTACAACATTCTACTCTTACCTTAAACTGTTATTTAAATCTTTAATTTTAACATAACTGTTTCCATATGTTTGTCTTATTTCCTTAATTGGAATATAAGATCTTCAAAGGCAGGAGATATATTATACAATTGTATCCCCTTTAGTACTTGGTATGGGGCTGATTGTTCATCTTTTTTTTTTTTTCCTTTTTTTTGGCAAGTGGACAGCCAAAATTATAAAATTTCAGCCAATTACTTTGGTAATAATAGATCAATAATAGTCAAACATGTATGAATGAGTGGAGAACGTGAGACACTTTCTAACCCAGAGAACTGAGGAATGAGCAGGAACAAGAGGACTTTTAGGAGTCCACTGGCCATATCTCTTTCAGGAAGCTTTCAGTCTGCTTCCTTTCTTCCAAAGGAAGACATATAATTCTAGAAAAATGCCTCCATAATTCTTCGTTTGTCTCTCTTTTTCTCTTCCCCATCCCTTCCACCTTGCAACATGCATACTTTATTTCTTCTCTTTTTCTTTCCTCTTGAGTACTCATAAAGACACGTCCTAATGCTTTTACTGTGGCTGTGACATCTTCCTTTGCTACTCAAGGCCAGGGAGTTTGAACCCTCATTGCACAAAGAAATAATTAAAAAGACCTTAATGAAATTAGTATATGTGGTAGGCAGCCTCTGTGATGACCCTCAAGGACCCCAGACTCCTAATATACACACCTCTGTAGAGTCACATTCCTCGAGTGTGGGCTGGAACCAGTGACATGTTTTTAACAAGTGGAAAATAGCAAATGTGATAGTATGGCACTTTCCAGATAAGGTTCCAAAGAAACTTTGGTTTCTGTCTTGCCTGCCTTCCCCGCCTCCTTTCTCTGAGCCTTCCCTCTAGGGGAAGTTCCTCTAGGGAACAACAACTCATATGTTGTGAACAGCCCTGGGAAGAGACCCATGAGGCAAGGAACTGCCAGTCCAAGGGCCCCGAGGTCAGCTGTGGGAATGAGCTGGGAAGTAGATTCACCCCAGTTGAGTCCTCACGGCCCTGGCCAACACTTCATGGTAGACCCTGAGCCAGAGAACTGAACTACGCCACCGAGATTCCTGACCCACTCTAGCTGTGAGATTGAAAACATTAGATGTTTTAAGCCACCAAATTTTCAGGTAATTTGGTATGCAATTAGATAACTAATACAGTATTTAATTATGGTTAACCATTCAGAAAACAGGCAGGATCATCTGAATGCCTCTAATGATGTTTATAACATTTTCCTTTTGTAAGCTTGAAAAACATAGATGGTTCATTTCAGACAGAATAATTGAGTTGATACTAAGTGGTTGGTCCACTTGCTCCATGTTCTATTGTCCGTCTTTGATCACAGTGAGTCTGGCTGATGATTAGCAATAGATCCAGAGCTGGGCCAAGATTTCACAGCTAGATAGATGTCTGATAAACTAAACAGTGTGGGACAAGTCACTTAGCCTGCTGTAATTCTCAAGATGATCAGGGAAAAACTGGTATCCTCAGTGGCTTAGTCTCCAAAGTTCAGCAAAGTTCTAGTAATTACTCAGGAAAGAACTAAGCTTTTGCTTCACTATTTGAGATTGTACCTTCCCTAGTCAGGATAAATCTCACTTGTTTAATGGACAAACTGGGATCAGCAAACCATAGCTCATAGGCCAAATCTACACCACTGCCTGTTTTTGTAAATAAGGTTTTATTGGGACATGGCCACACCCATTTTTAGATATGCCTGTCGCTGCCTTTGTACAGCAAGGACAAAGTTGAGAAGCTGCAACAGAGTCAGTGAAAGCCACAAAGCCTAAATTTTTTATCATCTGACCCTTTGCAGAAAAAAAATGTGTTAGCCCCTGCTCTAAGACAGTGAATTGCAAACTGTATTTGAAGGAGCACTGTTTCTACCAAATGGCATTAAATGTTACACGGGAAAACAATAGATAGGTTCCAAATGTTGGGAAATACCAGGTCATACAAAGTTAAACAAGTTGTTTGCTGCAGAATTTCTCTGAGCTCTTACTAAAGCTCCAAGAGGAGGATATGGAATGCTGCATGTTTTACAATTTTTTGGACCATAAAGCTCTTCATTTCAGAGAGCATCCCAAGAGACTAGTGTCCAATTTCCTGGGAAATGCTATTCTAGTGCTATGAGAGCAGCAGTTTTCAAAGCATTGACTTTGCAAGATATGGAGTAGACATAAGCATCACCAATTTTTGACTTTTAAAAACATCCACAACACTTGGAAAATACACAAGGAAACGGCCTTACTAATCGTGAGCTCAGTATACAACGGACATTTGGAAAGTCAGATAAATATAAACATAAAGTTGCTTGCTAGTAGCAGGCTCTGTTTTTGCAGAGCCAGACACGCTCAAAAAAAAATCCTAAAGTTGAAAGGAGAACAACCTGATATTTTACTTCAGTAGGTCTCAAATTTTCTACCACAGAGCCGCCATATTTCATGCCATGAGGTCTCTGCCTGGGAAGAAAGAAGGTCTAGGTTTTAACAGCCAATTTGGAAAAAAATATGGGTTTTACTACTAAAATTTACTAGTCCAACCTTTGTTCCAGAAATCAGGAACACACTTCTAGAGCGCCAAAAAGATAATGGTCACAGGTAGCCAGCCATGGACCAATGACCAAGGTTCAGACCCATGTTATAACTTTTCCCCCCACCATACTATCCTGCTCGTGGCCTGTGGGACACATTTTCTGGATGACTGGCCAGGCTAGGGGCCTAGCCCATAAGCTTGGGAAACTGCTAGCTTACTCACAACCTTGTCTGAATCAGCACAGGATAGGGGAAAAAACACCAGAAAGAGTTTGGTGAGTTCAAATGAAGACAATAAATTACAAAGTAGGATGGAGAGGGAGATGTTTCCTATTGTCTCAGAACCATGGTCAAAGTCCAAAGGTGAGCTTGAGTTGTTGGTGATAAACATGTCTCCATAAGGTTTACTAGAGGCTCCATCTCTGAACTATCCCCAATGAAATTAAGAAAAGACTTGAGTTGGGGATGGGAGAGTGGTAACATAAAGTTGCTTGCTAATAGCAGGCTCTGTTTTTGCAGAGGCAGCCACATTCAAAAAAAATCTTGAAGTTGGAAGGAGGACAACCTGATATTTTACTTCAGTAGGTATTTGGTGAAGTGCATGCTAGTGAAGAAAGTTTTTTCTGTCATGTCTTTGTAGTTGTGGCTAGTGGTGGTGCCTCTCTCTCCTCAAAACCAAGTAAGGCAATCTCCAAGGGAATCCTGAATAGATGCTGAAGGTGACTCTAAGAGACGTAGGCTGGCTGGATACATGCTAAACTGCAGATTTTGAGGTCTTCTCTGATGAGAGGAGTGGGGCATTGAGAGAGGATACTAGGAAATGAGGGGTAATGCACACTATCCTTTTTATTTCCTGATGCCTGCTGAGGTGAGAGGAGAGAAGGGTGTGTACTAGATATATGTCACCTGGAGTTTTGGGAAGGTGCATATTTGAGTATAGTAAATAGTGTTCGCTTAGAGACCAGAGATTCCTGAAGGTAGTTGCTCTAGGTCAGTAGCCCAAGACAGCAATGGCTTGTCATGCAATATACCTGGAAATGAGATATGGGCAGCCCCATCCCATTTCAAGGCTCTGTGGACCTGGGAAATACAAAAGAGGACTCCAGTGGCTCCCATAGCTCCATGGGAAGCAACATGGAAGCTGATGATAAGAGCCATAGAACCATTCAGGATGACCACTGGACCAAGCAACAGGAGACCCAGCACAGACAAGGAGTTGGAGATGTTTATCACTGCTCAAGGCCAATATACAACTGCCCTCTCTGGTGGAGGTGGAAGTTCCCAGTGATGGAGGGGGCCAAGATGAAGCTGAATGCTGTCCCTCAAACACACCACTTCTATGGAGGCTGCCAATGAACTGAGAGCACCAACCTCAGAAAGGACTGGCCTGAAGCAGAGCTCGACCAGGACAGCTTCCTCCCACCACACACCAGTCCATCTGTTTCTCATCTGCTGACCATGCCACGATGGGCCAGAATAGGATTCAGGAGGCTTCTGAAGTCTAAAGAAAGGAATTCAAAGAGAGAAGGAAATATGTAAGTACACGAAGAACAAACCACCAACCTTCAAGCCACTGGAGTCACAGACTGGGGGAGTCAACATTTGTGGGGGAGAACACAAGCTCTGAATCTGATTTGAGACTGAAGTATCAAAATACAAAAGACTGAATCTTAAATAACAAAGTGAACTGTTCTAATAACCAAAAGTGACAGGAAAGTTAGAGGAGCAGGCCAAATTGCTGTTAAGGGAGTTACTTTCCAGCAGGAAAGGTGGGTCAACATATCCTCGTTGAAGGGGTTGTCATTGTATAAGTGTAAAACTGTTTCATTTTTATACCCATAACAAGTTGAGACTCCCTAATAAATTTGTTACGTAAGGTAAACACTTTGGACAGAACTTTAATGCTTTCATATTTCTACTGCTTTTCTTCCAAAGGATTCTGAAGGCAACATGCCAATATTTTCCCCATTCTGCAAATTAGCACACGGAGAGAGTGGTGTTGGTTATCAAAGGGACTCAATCTATCTACAGCCTTCTGTCTCATACTCATATCATGAGGCGGCTCACTCCCCCTCAGACCCAAATGTGATCTGTTTTTAATTGGGAACAGAACTTTTCAATTCTTGAGCCCAAAACAAATTAAAAAGTAGAAGAAGGAGGAGGGGAAGGACAAGAAAAAGGTTTGCTTTTCCCCTAATTTGAGAATCTGTGATTTCTCACTGGTTTTATCAGTACCAAGATTTTTTGTTTTGTTTTGTTTTGTGGGTTTTTTTTTTTTAATGATTCTTTTCTCTTTTTTTCACAGTTCTCTATTCAAGACTAAATTTATCTGCTTTAAAAAATCCATCTGGCTTTTGTGTTATGGAAGCCCACACAAGCCTGCACCAACCGTTCTAGAAGCAACAAAGAGTTATCAAACGGAGTAAGTTTCAAATGAAGGGACAGCAAGTTAATTAAGGCCTGAGTTTCTTAATAAGGAATGAAGCACAGTGGAGACTTGAATGATGCCAAAACACATGAAAGTTTCAAAGACTAAAACAGTTTGTGAGGAAGAAAAAAAGAAGAAGTGACTTGGACAATTTTTTAGGTTCTACCCCCAAAATAAATATATCTATTCCCATTTGTATCAACAGACAAATGTAAATATCACTCAAAGAATCTCAAACTAACATTAACATGAGAATGAAATATAAATAATTCTGAATGTAAAGCCTAAGTATAAAACATAGTATAAAAAATGTAAATATAATAAAACTAGGAATAACAACATTGCATTACGTTGATTGTTAAGAGATTGTCACTGGTTTTCTTCAGAAACTTTAGGCAGATTTTCCTCTTCTATACTATTCTTGACAAAGTATAATTTCTTTCAACCAATGGATGAACAACGTCCAATAAAGTGAAACCTTTCTGCAAAAAAAATTATTTTATTCAAGTGATCCTGGTGCTAATGAGATGCATTGTTATTAGGCTTTATTTTTAATATTTTTATATCAATGTTAATGGGCAAGAAAAATGGGGAAAATCTCTTAGGAAAGATCAATATATTTCTAAGTTATTGAAAAGCCTGTAGATTTAAAATGTGCGTAATATATTCCTGCTATACTGGCATGATCTAGGGAGAGGCCCTACTAAACTAAGAATTAAGGGATCTGAAAGCTCATTTCAATCCTGCCTCAGATGTTTTCAGGGAGATGCTTTAGCACATGGTACCTCAGTTCACTCCTCAGAACAAGGAAGCTGTTGATAGCCACACCAAATCCTGCATGCCTCTAGGAAATGAATTAAGAATTCATGTGTGAAATGTTTCTTTGAATTTTATAATGAAATGGCATCTTATAATTGTATGATATGGCAAAGTGAAATCAGGGTGTGGTTATGTTGAAACGTTTCTGTTTCTTTGGCTAAACCAAAGATAAACAAGCAACTTTTTCTGAAAGCAGACTTCCTTGGGGGAAAATCAAATTGTTGCAAATTATAGAAAGGGAGAGAAGACAGGGAGATGGATGGAGAATTTTGAGGAGGGCATAGACCAGACAGGCTCAAAAAGCTCAGTTACCATCCTGTTAAAATATAACCCACAAAATGTTACACCATAGCATTCTTCACAGCCATCTGCTTCTGCCATCAACTTTGATTCCCACAAACAGATTTCAAAAGTTGAATCTGGCCCTCAGTGAGTTTAGGAACATTCAGCAGGACTATCTGTATGTGATCAGAAAATTCACCAACTCTCTATTCCTGTCTCCAGAAACAATCTATCTCTCATCCTTTCCAATTAAGGCATAACATGGTCTTGTAATTCCTTGTAGCTTTTCACATCCTTCACAGGGCCTAGCAGAAAATTTAAATATAGTTTGGACTCCCATCCTTTTCTCTCCATCTCCACTTCCACCCCTGCCCCCAGGCCTACCGTGTCAAGTCATCTTTCCTCAGCTGGATGACTGCGATAGCCTCCTACTGGTTTCCTGTCGTCCACTCTAATCTCTTTCCCACAGCCACAGTGAACTTTGTCCAAAGGAAATCAGATTGTGTACTCCCCTGCTTAAAACCTTCCAATGGTTTTGCATTGCACTCTAAAAAAAAAAAAAATCTAACTCCATATAATAGCTGCCAAGACTTTATATGTCAGTTAGTCATTGCTGCATAACAAACCACCACAAAACTCCATGTCGTAAAACCACAAAAATTATTTATTTTTTATGTATCTGCTTAGCTGATATAGGCTGGACGTGGGCTTATGCACGTATCTTTGGGTTTGGTTGGGGTTCTATTTCACATAATTCTCCTTCTCTTACCCGCAGACCTTATGCTAATAAGCCAGTCTTTTAATGAGGATTTTTTTTTTTTTTTTACAATATTGACAGGCAAGCATGATCTGGGAGTGGATTTACCCACTAGGCATAGAAAGCACAATGACTAGGGCCTGCAACACTTTTAGGAGTCCAGATAATTGCTTTAATTTTACATTATTTTAAAATCAGGAGGAAAACTTGAATACAATATTAATGCATATTTACAAATAAATTCACTAATATATTTGTCTTTATACCAATGCAGTTTTAAAATATATTTTTGAATTTTCTTTATGGAGGAAGTGGCCTGGAAGGTAAAAATGCTGAGGACCACAAAGCTCATAATGCAGCCTTGCACAATCCTAGTTAATCAAACTTGAAGCATAGAAAACTCATTGTTGGTTCTCTGTTCTCTTACTTAAGTAAGTCATGGAACATCATGAAATGTCAATTTCCTCCCTAAAATAACACGGCGGTAACTGGCAAGAGATTCGCCTATCCTTTATAAAAGTAGAGTACCCCAAACACTGGATGATTCCTCCTTATAGTCATTAATTTGCTCTACCCTGGAACTCTTGGCTGGTTTTGCTTATTATGAGAGACACAATTTTAAAACAGTATTGTTCTAGGTCTGTCATTGCCACCATGGGTCATAATATAAAGGAACAATATGGAGAGTTACTTTAGTCCTGTGCAAAGAACAGAGGAAGACTTTATTCTCCAAAGTTTTATACCACTTTCCAGGAGTCTCCTTTACATTTTAATTCTATAAAAGTCCCATTCATATTATCAATTCTATTAGGTTTATAGAAATCTAATGCTGGCCAAACATCATGAGACTCAGAGGGGACGCAAAAATAGAAGTTACTGTTTGAAGAAGAGAAGCAAAACAACTCTTCCTCTGTAAAGATAGTTCAAAAGTAAGAACTTTCTTTATCTTGCATAGTCTTGTCATTCTCACAAGAATAAATGTTCTTAGTGACCATCTATATATATAGTTATTCCATCCATTTTAAAAGAAGCTGTGTAATTTTTTTAGATCACTGTACATAATACATTCCAATGTTAACTGTGTCCTTGTGAAACTCTAAATTAGCTTTATAATCTTTAAAGTATTTTGACATAATTCTTTGCTTTTTTAATGGATAGTTAATTTCCTGTTTCCATGTAACCCTTGATGACTCTGTGAAAGCTTGGATTACTTTTCCTCTCTAGTTCCCAAACCACAAATGGGAAAAACTGCAATCCTGCAGTGGCCACATCACCTACCTAAATATTTTCACAGATTCTGAGATTTGTTTCCTTGCTGAACTGGGAGAGAAACTTTCATGGCATTTTACCCTCTGGAATATAAAATTAATTTAATCTTATCTTTGTTTACACATACTTCTTGGTACCCAGCAGTCCTAAAATACCTCCACGGACTCCATAACAATATGACTTTTCATGGGCTCCATTTTTGGGGTGTCCATGTGTCTTGTGGCCCATGAATTGTAGAAAGCATTTCTTCTTCCCTAACTCTGAATCTCATGCCTAAAATTTCCTAAACTTAGGCCAGTCATCTATTCATCCCTTCATCATACTTCTGAGCATAACACTGAGATATATCTTCAAATAATACAGAGGGAGATTTTGGAACGCCCAAGCATGTCCTCTGTGGCATCGACTCCTGGGCAGGAAGCGTGGGTGGCCCGCTTAGGGTCACCTGTCAGGGTGTCTGGTCTAAAAGAAAAAAGGAAGAACAGGCTTGAATCTCAGCAAGGCGGCCTCTTCCTCTCAGCTGTCTCTTTCATTCTAAGGAAAGGGTCTCTGATTTACCTGGTGGAACTAAGGTAGTGGTTGTCAAAGACAGGCCCTGAGCCAACAGCGATAACATCACCGGGAACTCATTAGAAATACATATTACTGGGCTTCACTCCAGACTTCCCAAACTGGAAACTCTGAGATGGGGCCCACTGACCTGTGTTTTAACAATCCCTTCAAGTGATTCAAGTTTGAGAATCACGGGACTAAGATGTTTTTATTAAAACTGAAAGTTGAACCCACAAATTTTTCACTTGGCCCCACCAAGGCCTTATTCAAATCTGTGCTTCCTGGTCCCTATTAGATAGCTCTGTTGCAGGTGCTCGCTGCAACCTCTGCCTTCCTGGGTGGGGCACAGGTAGTGTCAGAAAAGGATCCTTGTAAGATGCATGCAAAGTCGGCTTCAGTAGCCTCCTGTATTTCCATTCAGGACTTCTATCCTTCAAATTCCCTTCATGAGTTTATGTTGTGCTCACAACCCCCAAATCTCAGTGGTTTAAAACCACAGGGATTATTATCAATCATACCGCATGTCCAGTGTGAACCAGTGGGAGAAGGGAACCTCTGTCCATTACGGTGATTCCCACTGTGGGACCCAGGCTGGTACCAACTCATATCTTGCCTGTGAATGTGGCAAAGGAAAACAGTATGGCAAGGTACAGAGTGGCTCATCAAACTTCTGTTCAGAAGTGACACACAACACTTCTCTCCCATGCCATTGGCCAAAGCAGATAACATAGTTATGCCTGGTCTCAATGGGGCACTAAAGTTTAATCCTACCCCAAGGAGAAGAAGTGTCTATTACCAAAAAGTACTGCAATCTTACTCCATCCTCCAAAGGGCTATACCGTCAATGTAGAATTTCAGACTCCATGCTGGACAATGGAAAACCGTGTTTGTGTGTGTGTGTGTGTGTGCACACGCACTCACACACATGCACATACATGTGTGTGATGTTGAATGGATCCAGGATGAAGAGGGATTCTCTGGGAAACCTACTTCCTGTTGGCTCTTAAGCATAGTCATCGGGCCAATTTCATAAAGGACAAAAAACAGTCACATTGATGGAATGCCATCTAAGTGCTGGCTACTATGCCAGACCTTTTCTATTCATATTCTCTCTCAAGCTTCACAGAAACCTTATGCAGGAGAGAAAGGAACTAACCTTGTTCAAAGAAGCCAAGGCCCAAAGCAATTTAGTAACTTTGCTGTAGTGACAGAGGATATGGTAGCACTAGGATACTAAGTTCTTGAGGACCCACGAAGCTCGATCTACTCCCAGGAAAACACAGAGCTGAAGGGGAGACATCTCTCTCCCATGTAACAAAGAGAATCATTGATTCTTCTGCTGACCTGCATGTTTCTGGTGATCCCCACTGGTGCAGAATTGGCCTCTAGTCATGGTATACAGATCAGTCTTAGTCCAATGTGATTGTTACAGGTTGAACATCCCAAATTCAAATCCAAAATCTGAAGTTAACCAAAATGTGAAACCTTCTTTTATTCTTTAGAGACAGGTTCTCACTCTGTTGCCCAGGCTGGAGTGCAATGTGATATGATCAAAGCTCATTGCAGCCTTATACTCCTGGGCTCAAGTGATCCTCCTGCCTCAGCTTCCCAAGTAGCTGGGACTACACATGCATGTAACCACATCCAACTAATTTTTAAATTCTTTGTAGAGATGGGGTCTTGTTATGTTGCCCAGGCTGATCTTGAACTCCTAACCTCAAGCAATCCTTCCACCTTGACCTCTCAAAGTGCTGGGATTATGGGTGTGAGCCACAGTGCCTGGCTAAAATTCAAAACTTTTTGAGCATCAATATGATGCACAAATGAAATACTCACTGGAGCATTTCAGATTTCAGATCTTCAGATTTGGGATGCTCAACCAGTATAATGTAAATATTACAAAGTTTAAAAAAATTCAAAGTATTTCTCATCCCAAGCATTTCAGATAAGGGATATTTAACTTGTACTATCAAAGTGAAGCTGTTTCTCCCCTATGAGTACAAATTTTCAGGGTTTTAATTGAGAAAGCAGTTCTTCAAATAAAAGTAGAGAAAACTTTGTTATTTTTACTAATGAATATCAAGAAGTCTACTCAAATCTAGAGTGTCCCTAGATGAATAAAACCAACAAACCCTAGCTTAATGAAACCATGAACTCTGCCATTTTAGAAAAATAAAATAAAATAAAATAAACCACACTTTATAGCTTTATTTGAGGGAAGCCCTTTGATTTACATTATTAGTGGTATATCAAAAGAAAACTTCTTTAGCTGTATTTCACCTTCAAAAGCACTGCACAACAAGCAGCAATAATGCACATTAGAGTGTATCACTGGTGGAGAAACTAAGAGGCAAGGATATCCAAGAAACAGAACCCTGCAAATCAGGTAACAAGCAGCTAACTTTGTCAACTCAATCCAAAAGTGCTTACCTCACTCAGAAATGGCACCAAAGCCCTTCATGCAAACGCATCATGAAATTATGTCGATGTGATGCTGAACTCAGCAGCTCCATCAGCAGGACACCAGCTGACTTCAAATGTCTCCCAAGAACACCATGAGCTAATGACCGTGAATGCTATCCAGGGTCAACCCCACAGCATCCCAGGAGACAAACACCAAAAGCCCAAGAAGGATGTAATCTTTCAAAGAGTGAGTCACACTCACTGAAGTGGCTATATGGCATAGAGACAACTAAATATTTATTGTTCTGTAATATTCAAACTGTCACCATTAGAAAACAATTTCCAAGAAATTTGTTGGTTTTTATTACCAAGCCCATTATAAGTACACTTGGAAGAGAAAAAGTCTTACTAACTGAGGAGAAATGCCACAATAACACAGCGTTGTAGTACAATCATGCATTTTTCATTCAAGCCCTAGGAGTGACTTGTGTTAACATAATATGAGCTTGGAAGATCTCAGATGTAAGTTATGGAGCTAGCATAATCTCCAAGTCAACTGCCTATAACATATTCATTTCTTTACAAATTCTCTAAGAATGATAAATCCAGCCTGACTTTAATTACTATGGCATCTTTCTATATTTTCAATAACATACATATATAAATCCTAAAATCCAACAAATAATAAAGCAAAAATCACTGAATACACATACAGTGTACAGTTTTAGGGAATACTCTGAACTGGCTGATAGTCCTATCATTAGCTTGTTACGATCTACAAGCTCAGCCTATAATTTTTCCTTTACTGCACTTTAAACTCCCTCTCCATCTCAACAATGATGCTGAACGTGTTCATATATCACATACAGTATATCTCTTCATGTTTTCCAGATGGTATTGGATAAAATGGAAACAAAAGAAAGATGTCGCAAAGAAAAATAGATGTTTTTCTACTTTCATTCTTAACACAGCTTCTCATCTGGTAGAGAAAAATACAAACCCACACAGAGCTGATGGAGAATCTCTAGAGATACAGTTCATTTTGAGGAGATACACATTGGATCCATAGGTTCAGGCTTTTCTTTTGTCCTCAGCCAATCTCAGCAAACTAAGGGTATGGATTTCCTGAACTCGGATGTACGGTATCGTTGGCTTGTGCTTTCAGCAGCGATTTAGTGGAGTGGTTTGGATATAATTAGACTCATTCCAGTATTTGTCCCTACAATGATCCCCATGCTCCAAAGAAAATATCCACAGTTACAGCAAGTTAGTTTTTTTAAGGTTAGCATTTATAGACCCTGAGACATTTAAAACATAAAATTATCAATTTTGAACAAATCAGAGAAACATTTGAATAAGTTATTTGAGAAATAAAAATACTGAGTTAGAACATGACTTTTCAAAAATTACCTGGAGATTTGACTTTTCTCCAAGCAGGTGACCCTGAGATGATTTTTTTTTCCAAAAAATTTGGATATAAACACTTACGACTTACAGGTCATTTGTGAGGCAAACACACAAAATTTAATAATCTTTGAATGAAATACATTGCAAGGATGGTAAAGAAAATTAACTTATTTAAAGAGGTGATAAATATTATGCACAATCAGTCCCTCTCGTTTCCATGTAGTGTTTGCCATTTTGTTTAACTCACATCCCTGGAAATAAGTTGGGACTATTTACCAGCCACGATGGACTACAAATATGTGCACACACCCACTCTGCATTTCCTATCAGGGCTTGTTCTGATGGTCGGGGGTTGGGGGTGACTCTCATGATCCATCAGCAACACTCACTCTAAGAGCCATCTGTCCTTTTGGCCAGTGTCTCCCCATGTCACTTATAATCTATCTTGGTTAGTTCTTGCTGCTGTAACTAAGTACCATAGACTGGTTGGCTTATAAACAACAGAAGTTTATTTCTCACAGTCCTGGAGTCTGAAAGTTCAATATCAAGGTGCCAGCATTAAGGTCCTCTTCCAGGTTGCAGATTGCTCTCTACTCACTGTGTCCTCACATGGTTAAAAAGAGGGCAATAGTGCTTTCTAGGGCCTCTTTTATAAGGGAACTAATCCCATTCATGAGGGCACCACCCTCATTAATTTATCACTTCCCAAAGGCCCCACCTCCAACTACCATCCCAATTAGAGGTTAGAATTTCAACATATGAATACAGGGGGGCACAAGCACTCACTCTATAACATCATCCCAAACAAACGCCCGAGGTGGGTTACAGGTGATCCTTTTCTGGAGGCTCTCTGAAGCCATCTGCTAATGCACTCAGGTGAAGAAAGGAATGACTGGGACTCTCAAGGCTTCCCTGAGTCCATTTATAAAAACCTTCACTGTGAACCTTACCTGCAAGTTGCTTGGCCCACGCATTGCAAGGCCCAGCCTTCATAGAGAGACATCATGGAAAGTGAAAGTTGGATTCACATTTCTCTCCATTACAAGTTGTTATTGTAGCTTGTTATAAGCTACAATAACAAGTTGAGCTTCATTTTATCATCTGAAAAATGGGATAATAACTCATACATTAAAGAGTTCTTCTGAAGACTAAGTGGGATAATATTTATGAAAGCACAAAATAGGAAGTATCTGGCATATGATAGATGTGTAAGAAATGCAACATTCTTTCTTTTAGTCAATGATAGATAGTTTTCCAACAATCCCCAACTTTCTTTCAGTGACTTAAGTTTTTTTCAGGCTCCTCTAAAAGGTGCTCACAATCAACACTACTAAAATCATGCAGTATCAGAGCTAGAAGAGCCATCAGACACAGTGTAATCTTGCCCCACCCTATGCATTTGCTCCTATCCACATATCTTGCTCAGGGAGTGTGAAGGCAACTAATCTGGATGCTGATACAACATTTGCCCCTCTTTATGATTTTTTTAATGATTTGAATAAACTCAAGCATTAATCAAGATAGAGGAGCATAGCTCATCAGTATAAGTTTCATGTATGGTTTCTTACAAGGGAGCTAGTGTTTATTGAATACCTAAACATCCAAGTGGTTGTTTGGTTGTTTACCCATCCAAATCTCATATTTAATTGTATTATAGCACCCATAATCCCCCTGTGTCATGGGAGGGACCCAGTGGGAGGTAACTGAATCATGGGGGTAAGTTTTTCCCATGCTGTTCCTGTGATAGTGAATAAGTCTCATGACTTATCTGGTTTTATAAAGGTCAATTGGTTTTATAAAGGGCAGTTGCCCTGTTCACGCTCTTGTCTGCCACCATGTAAGACATGCCTTTGCTCCTCCTTCTGCCATGATTGTGAGGCCTCCCCAGCCATGTGGAACTGTGAGTCCATTAAACTTCTTTTTCTTTATAAATTACCGAATCTTGAGTATTTCTTCATAGCAGTAAGAAAATGGACTAATACACCTACTATGTACCAAGTACTAAATCTTTGTCATCCTATATAAGCATCAGGACACCCTTTTTACAAATGTTACATATCTTCTGTTGTTTTGTTTTGTTTCGTTTCGTACCTATTAAGAACACAGTGGTCATGTGGTCAGTAAGTGACAGAGCCAGGTTCAAACCCACATATGTATGACCCAAAACCTGTATTCTTTTCACATCCCTCATGGCAGAGCAATGGCAGAGAAATAACTCTCAGGGATAGATAGATGAGCATAGAAACAAAAATGGAAGTAGAAGTTTCGAAAGTAATAAAGGTAACAACTACCAATGATAGGCATAGCTTTAGGGTGTGTTGTTTCAGGAACTATGAGGATAATTTGGAGAAGATAGAGTTCTTATCAGAAACCAAACCACCCATGAGTGGAAAACAAATCCTGAACTTTGCTAACCCTGAACAGAATACAAAGGTACAGAGAAATAAACATAAACACATAAGAAAGGAGACAGAGCATTTATGGAATTAAAACCAGATTGGTAAATAAATAAATAAAACCAGATTGGTTTGCAAGAAGGATGTATGCTGTATGCAGAGCTACTCTTAATGGAAGCAAATCAATTCTCTTATTACGTTGTTGGGAGGAAAAGATGAAATGTTCTCTGAGAACCCTTTGAAGGGGAAAGCTCTATAAAATGTACTGATTCATTAGTTTATTGAAGAGCGCTCTGGATTGAGAATCAGAGAGATGGAGATCTAAGCCCTCCCGTCCGCTTGGCCTCAAACTTGATGTGTGACCTCGGGTCACCCACTTAAATTTTGTAGTCCTCAATTTCATCAATAGCACAATTCAGAGTTTGAACAAAGTGGTCCCCTACAGCTGTAAAATTTTGTCCCAGTTGCTTATATTATTATCCCAGTTACTGCTGCCTGAAAGACACATACATCTAAGGAATCCCTGTGCCCCTGGATTCCAGGGTGATTGAGAGCCAGTGCCGAGGTTTGTTCCCTCAGCATTGTTCCAAGCAAGTTCTAAATTTGCACATTGTACAGAATCATGAGCGAGCACACACACACACACAGAGAAAGACAGATGGCAACAAACAAACTTGCTAACCTTTAAAAAGACTCCAGTCTGGCTACCCCAGCAGTCTAGTGGCAAGGATCTGTGCCCAGAGGAGCAGAGACAAGTGAAGAACTCCCAGGCTGCAGGGCTCAGGTGCTGAACATGCAGCAAGCTTTGCCCCCTGCCTGGAAAAGAGCAGCCTTGTTCCTCCATAGCAACTGCCTCAGCTCACTGGGGTCTGTGAGCAACAGGAGCCTGAAGGAAGACCCCGTTTTCTCTTGTTCCAGGATTATTAAGGGCCAAGGAGCTTCTGTGAAAATTTGGAAGAGAAAGGAATCCCAAATAAGAATTTGAAACAGACTTATTTTATTTGTTTTGTGGAGTCCCAGTCTGTTGATGGGTTTTCGTGGTGTCTATATAGTCGGGTGATTGCTAAGTAAAGAGGTCAGAAATCATGCCCCTAAATAAAGCATCTTCCTCTGCAGGATGGGGTCCTTGAGGGTCTGTTCATTTCTGTTGAGCAAAATCTTCTAGGAATTTGCCTCAAGGAAAGAATTATTAAACATTGGATTCTGGCTGGCACAGCGGCTCATGCCTGTAATCCCAGTGCTTTTGAAGGCCAAGGCAGGAGGATTACTTGAGCCCAGGAGTTCGAGACCAGTTTGGGCAACATAGTGAAACCCTGTTTCCGCAAAAAATAAAAATAAAAATTAGCTGAGTGTGGTGGTGCACACCTGTAGTCCCAGCTGCTCGGCAGGCTGATGCAGGAGGACCCCTTGAACCCAGGAGTTTGAGGCTTCAGTGAGCTATGATCATGTCACTGCACTCCAGCCTGGGTGACAAAGTGAGACCCTGTCTCTAAAACAAATGAACAAAAAAAGAATTCTACAACAAGATGGACTGGGTATGTGCTATGGGTTGAATTGTTTTCCCCCTGGGAAAAGAAAATGTTGCTGTCCTACCCCCTAGCACCTATGAATGTGACAGTGTCTTATTTGGAAAAAGAGTTGTTGCAGATTTAATCAAGTTAAGATGAGGTTATGGCCAGGTGTGGTGGCTCATGCCTGTAATCCCAGCACTTTGGGAGGTCAAGGTGGGTGGATCACTTGAGGTCAGGAGTTCAAGACCAGCCTGGCCTACATGGCAAAATCCCATCTCTACTAAAAATACAAATTAGCCGGGCATGGTGGCACGCACCTGTAGTCCCAGCTACTCGGGAGGCTGAGGCAGGAGAATCGCTTGAACCTGGGAGACGGAGGTTGCAGTGAGCTAAGATCATGCCATTGTACTCCAGCCTAGGGGACAAGAGTGAAACTCCACCTCAAAAAAAAAATGAGGTTATTAGGGTAGGCTTTAATAATCTGAGATGACTGGCATCCTTATAAGAAGAAGGAAATTTGGATACAGACACAGGGAAAATGCTATGTGAAGACACAGACACATAGAGACACAGAGAAGTCAGCCCTGTGAAGATGGAGGTGGAGGTTGGAGGGATGTGGCCACAAACCAAAGAATGCCTGGGGCTGCCAAAAACTGGAAGAAGCAAGGAAGCCTCCTTCCCTAGAGATTTCAGAAGGAGTACGGCCCTGTAACACCTCGGTTTCAGACTTCTAGCCCCCAGAGCAATGAAGAAATAATTTTCTGTGGTTTTAAGCCACCCAGTTTTTGATACTTTGTTATGGCAGCCCCAGGAAATTAACACTATTTATTTTTCAGTTTACCAAATTCTAGCTGTGTGACCTCTGGACAAGTTCCCTAACTTTTCTAAGGGGTCAGAGCCTCATCTGTAAAATGGAAACAATGATAGTACCTGCCTTATAAAGTTGTTATGGAAATGAAATAATAAATTTAGCTAACTGATTTAATAATTAAGTTCACTAAACATGGTATTGGCACATCGTAACAGCTTATGTATATGTTTGTAATGGTGACAGTGGTAATGATGAGTTTACATTGTTTCCTTTCAAAAATCGTCAATAATGATAAATCTTCACTTTTTAAACCAAGAAGGCATTTGAAGTATATTGAATTCAGGCTGAATTACATTGTTTTAAAACAAAACCATGAACTGACTTTTATATAGTAAGATTGGGTATGAAAGTGTGAAGGCATTTGAAAAGCCCACGGTGCCAATAAATACAGATCAAAATGGCCTATAACCAAATATATAATTTTTAAAAGAGGCAGTTATACTAGGGAAATTTGTTCTCATGAGTGGTTTTCCCATGTGCTACTCCTGCTTCTGAATTTACAAAAAGGCAGGTCTGCATCTCCTAGGCCAACAGTTACAGAGAGCAAAGCCTGACCTCGGGAGAAGTTTTGCCCACTGTCCACGCCCACCTTCCATATGGATGTCGCTCACCCTCTATACCTGGTGTCCCTAAAGTCCCTAGAGAAATGCAGAAGCCCAGCAGGTTTAGTTATGGGTGTTAGTGAGAGTGGAAACTGTTTTACTTTAAGTAGTAATGTTTCTTTCTGGTGAAACAGTATTATTTTAATTTTGGTAAGTTCTTTTCTGATTGTTTCAATAATTGAAAAACCTAGTTATGTGTACATTCATTACCTGGTTTGTACAGGTGCTTTGAAAGGGTAAAAGGTTGTATCTTCCTTAAGAAGAAATCATTACTCTAACGCTGCAAGAAATACATCCTTTTAGGCTGCTCAGCAGGGAAAATTATCTTCAATAAATTACCTCTTGAAAACCACCTTTCCTAAACTCCTCTGTTGAGTGTGAGAGGGACTTAACAGGGATGAGAAGAGTGCCACCCTATTTACAGTCCCCAGGCTGACGCTGGACAGAAGGCAAAACTCTCATCGATTTTCGACTAAGGACACAAAGTGAGAAATTTGAAGTGCTTCCCAAGCTCAACAATTAAACTATGACCAAATGATCACTATTTATTGAGCACTTACTCCATGTTTAGCTCTAAGCTGTGGGCAATATGACTCATGTCTTTTGTGCTTTAAAGAGAAAAATAAATAAGTATTGAGCACATACTATGTTGTGGTTTAATGTCAATCTTTCCACATATATTGTCGTGTGTAATTCTCTCAACATGACATGAAGTATGTATTATAATTCCCATTTTATAGGTACAAATAGAATGCATAATTGTTAGCTCTCCTAAGGCATATTGAGTAGCAGATTCAGGATTTGTCTACGAGTCTTCACTGTTCCAAGCCCTAGATCTTTGCATGACTTTATACTGCCCAGTCTTGTAAAGTACCCAAGACTTATGCTTTAAGATAGAAAATATAAAATAAGATGCAATGAAGGGTCAGGCTGTGAAATTCCTCCTGTTAAATGCAACAGGGTTTGGAGAAAGGAGAGAACTAGATTAGGTACAGGAGGTGGAAAGGTGCATAACATTGATAGAATTGCGTTTTTCTGTCTAATATCAGGATCAGTCACTTGCTTCCCAAGTCAGCAGGAGGAAAAATAAAGTCTTCTTTTAAAATGCTTGGGATTTTAAGGTAAATCATGGAATAATTTGGAGATCAGGGCGTGCTTGTTTACATAAATGTTTATCATCTGTATTTTTTAAAATGTCTAGGCCAAAGGGCTTTGATCTGGTTATGTTGAGAGATAAAGGACAATCTCTATGTTAAAAATTATAACAAAGGTAAGAACACAAGACATGTAGGGAGTCACAGATGAATTTATGTATTTGTTTAATTGATCACTCATTCATTCATGTATTGAAACACATATTTCAGAAACTTCTATTATAAATTTTTGTCATTATTTCCTTTGTTTGGGAATATTTTGAAATCTGTATTTCAGATTCGGAGTATTTTGAAATTGCAAGCCCTATTTCATATTGTTCATTTTTATTTTTTGTTATATTGTTTAAAATGTTCGTTCAACATAAACCATCAGCAAGATGTCTACATGACTCTGATCTGCTCTGCCAGATATGGAACCCAGGCTCACAGAGGTATTTTCTTAGTAAGGTTTATTTTGAAGAGAAGCCTCAGTCTTCTCTCTTCTTTTTCTCTGTCAATCCTTCAGGCCCCGTGACCCTCAGAAAAAGCTTCATTTAAATTCCCTAGAATGGTACCATATAAAATCTATAAAAATTTCACAGTTGAAAGATTTAGTAAAGAAATACTCCACACACAAGAATAAAGGAATTCAAAGGTTTTGAAAAGTTACTTTTTAAGGCCTGTTTGTTATTATTATTGTTACTAGTTTAATGACAAAGATCATGGGAAAATTTTCACTCTCTGGAACCAAGCCTAGCAACTAAAATGAGCAATGAGACAGATACAGCTACAGCTCAGTACTGCACAGAGGTTGAAGAGCAGAGGTGAGGTAGCTGTTGCTAAAGCTGTACCTACTTATACCTCAATCTTATGTAATAATTAATAGATTCCCATACATCACAAGGCAGGGCTGTCTCCTATTTTTAGATGAGCTTATTAAAATGTAGTTTATTGAGGCTTCACTTCAATGTACAAAATAAAAGCACCTATGTCCTTCTTAGATCTGGCAAGACCAAGACTTTATCCACTTTATCCATGACTTTATCTACTCTGTTGGTTCATTCATTCATTCTTTCAGCCAACAGATATGCATGGAGCACCTCTGCTGAGCTAGGGAGTTGTAAGGCATGGAAGACATATTAGCAGATAAACTCTCCTAGAGGTGGCCAAAGAGTGGATGGAAATAGACACCATCAACAAGATACATTAATATAAGTAATATAAGCCCTTCAGATAATGGTTACTGCTGCAGAGAAAAATAAAATGAAGGAGATTAGAATGGGACATGATTGGTGGAGAGAGGGTTCTCAAGGAAAGCTGCGTGGGAAAGATGACATTTCCTCAAGGACCTCTTTGAAGGCAGTGTCCAGGAGGTGTGAGGAGAACGCCAAGCAGGAGCCTGAGATGGGCGCATGCTTGAAAAGGTTCATGGGACAGGAAGAAGACCCGCGTGGCTAGAATGGAGTGAGCAAGGGGTCATACCATGGGGCCCTCTAGCTCAGTAGAGGGGAGTAGGCTTTTCCTCTGAGTGAAATGTAAATGGGCTAGGGTTGCCAGGCTTAGCAAACAAAATCCCAGGACACCAGTGAAATTTGAATATCGGATAAGCAATGTGGTAGGCAGATGAATGGCCCACCAAAATGCGCATGTTCTAATCTCCAGAACCTATTCCTTTATATGGCATGTGTTCCCTTATATGGCAAGTGGGACTTTGCAGATGTGATTATATTAAGGGGCTAGAAATGAGAATAATATCCTGGATCATCTGGGTGGGCCCAAGGGCATGATACGGGTTCTTAAAATGTGTGACAGAGAGAGAGAGGCAGAAGAGTGAAGGAGGAGATGTGTTGGTCCAAGCAGAGGTCAGAGTGACTGGATCACTGCCCTTGAAGATGGAGGAAGGTGTTACAAGCTAAGAAATTCATGCTGTCTTTATAAACTGGAAAGGGCAAGGAAAACAATTTTGTCAACACCTTGATTTTAGTGCAATGAGACACACTTTGGACTTCTTGTCTGCAGAGATATAAGACAATATATTTGTAGGGTTTTAAGACACTAAGTTTGTGGAAATCTGTTACAGCAGCAATAGTAAAATAATATAAAAAACAAATAAATTTTAGTGTAAACATGTCCCATACAACTTTTGAGACATACTCATGCTAAAAAAAATTGCTGATTATTTATGTGAAATTCAAATAACTAGGCATCTCCTATTTTACCTGGCAACTCTATCACAGAGGTTCAGAAGCTTGACACACTCTGAGTTTCATGGCAAAAGGATCACTTTGGCTGCTGGTTTGAAAACAAGGAAGGAGGGCAGGGGACGAAGCAGAGAGATCTATCAGGGGGATACCGCAATCATCCAATCATCCAGATGAAACACAGGGGTGGGTTGGATTAGGGTGGCAGTCATGGAGGAGGTGAGAAGCTGTGGATGCGTCTGCATATCTTCTGATGGGCTCTCTGCGGAAAATTGCACTGAGGGAAGTGTTTTCACATTGTTACTCCCTTTTGCCCTGCAGCCTTCTATTTCCTAGTATGTGAAATTCAGTCTTGCACCTAAAACATGTATCTCCAGTTACTGAAGCCCAAAAAGAGGAGAGCATCCTGGACACAGAAAACAGAACTAACCCATGGTACTTTCATGTGTGCAGGGGGCGGACCATTATTTTCATTCTTTTTCTCTTGTCTCCCGACCCCAACCCCAAGCTTGTGAACCATTAGGGAATGAACACCTGGAGCCCTTATTAATCTGTGAATGTTATTCATCTGTCTAATAAGCAAAACTTTTTTTAAATTCCAAAAGACAGTATTTCTGTTTATAAGGGGTTTCCTTGGTAGAACTACCTCCCCATTACATGTTAGTCTAATCTACAGCAAAACTTGCTGGCTTTGTCAGATTGTCTGAAGAGCATCCTTCTCTCCTCTGTTCTCTCCTTGAGGATCTTTTTTTTCTGACTTTTCCGAAGGCTTAGGAGCCTGAGTGGCCAAAGAGCTAGAATAAGAATTATTTCATGTTGCCTGCAATTGTTCTCCTGGTGCATTTCACTGGGAGAGTACACTGCATTTTTATTTGCCTCTGCTTTTCATTTCACTCATGCAACTAGACTGTTGGTGACCTCTGTCACCAAGATCCTACTATCCAGGGAAGAGGTGAAGAATCATACGAATGAATTCACTGGGTGGGCTGGGTGAGCACACACAGGTTTCCAGACATCAACTTTATCAAGGTCTATAGATCTTCCCATTTGAAGAGGACAATGGGCTCAGACGCAGGTTTTGAAATAGACAAGTGAAGGTTGAGTCTAATCTTGGTCTATTTTGTGGACAGAGAAAATGAAGAGACAGTGACTACAATAGGCATTGAAGTGATTCACATATTTTCCCAATCTATTCCACAAATATTTACAAACTGCCTACTTTGTATAAAGCATTATACCAGTTGTTTAAGAGGTGACTGAGTCATGATCCCATCAGTTTTATACAGAAAGCTTGCAAATTACTAGAATAATCCCTCTATACATACGTGTCTTCATCCTAATCCCTGTTCTCATCTTTAATACTTTTCTCTTATTTATTTTTCTGGAAGATCTGTCAGCAGACCTACAAGTCATGACCCCACTCAGGGCATCCATACAAGAGTATTCCTGTGATACATTCTGAAAGGTGTGCCTAAATCAAACAGATTCTCCAATCCAACAAGATTTTCTTACCAGTCAAGTCGGCAACTATAGGACATTTGTAAGGTACCCAAAGCTTGGGTACAAATAAAAGGAGGATAGGCAATTTTTTCCCCTTTAGGGACTTGTATTATACCAGAGAGAACAGAATGATCAATAGAATGCAATCACTGGAAATGCACACAGGCAAACACGTTAATTCCAGTCACTGGAAATGGAAAATGAATGGAAGAGAGGTCAGTGCTACGTGGGGAAACAGGAGAGAGGTTGGAAATGGAGATAAGATGCCTTGTTTTCTGGGGCCAAGCAGCACCCTTCAGATGTTCAGCCAAAGAACTTACTTGGACATCTCCCTGACCGTGAGTTGTTGAGTTGGTTGGACCTTCATTTGCATTGCTGCCTAGGAGAGGTTATGTCTGAAATAAACTAGTGGTCTCTGGGAAGTCTCATTGTGTGTGCTGATCTTCCCTGGGAGTGCTCTTGACAGTATCCATTCACAAGTAACACCCCCACAGGTCACATAACAAACCCAGTAACAAGTCATGAATTTTGGCTTTCTGATACAACCCCGGTGCTAACATTTCATGTCTAGCCATTTACTTAAAACCCTGAAAAGGGCTCGAATCATCACAGCACTTAACCATGTATTTTTTTGAAAAAGGGTTCCCTCCCCAGGTCTGTGCAGTGTCACACATTAGCACTCTGCTTTCTTGATTGCCTTTCTTTCTCAAAATATGGGTAAAGAATGTGCCAGAGGCTGCAACACTGGGGAGTTTCACATCCTCTGTAAAATGATCGAGAGTAAGCAAGTGGAGAGCTTGAATTGGGGCTTCCCAAGCTATCCAGGCAGGCTTGCCTCTTGTGCTCCCTTCTCACCCCTTCTCTAGGGCACCCCACTCGCTCTAACATCCCGTGAAGCCATCAAATGTGGACCAGATGCAGAAAAGCATCCTTACCGACCTCCTAGCTTTACCTAAAAAATTACACCCACATATGATTCTCCTTCGCTCCAGCCCCTGCTTCAGTCATCTTGCAAGTCATGAAGTGATGGTTTAGGCCAGAGCCTGATGTCTTCCATCGCTTCATTTCCTGACTCCTTCAAAGCCTTGCACCTGTGTTCTGTCCACACAGGAGGTTTAAATTAATAGCAGCCTCACAGAGGATGGGTTGGCCTCCCGGGATTTTTAATGAATTTTTAAATTGTAAGGCTTTAAATCGTAACATACTTTCTTCGAAATGGTCTGTTCTCCGGCACATCTGAAAATGCTAAATGGAAAGCAACAGTTTTTATCTGTGTTCCGTTTTTAAAGAAAACAGAGGATGTGACTTAAATGCTTGAGTATTTGGAGTTGGACATTCGAGAAAAAGGTAAGAGGTTTCTTTCCTAGGAATTCTTAGAGAGTGGCTCATTTCTAAATGACTCAAACCTAGACAGATTTCGTGGCTGTATCAGAGAAACAAAACACCCAAGTATGTAATGAACATTTATAATAATATGGCTCTGTAACAACAGATTTACTTTTATAAAAATCACTGTTACACATAAAAGTCTGGAAATGAAAAAACCATGTGAAAGGTTGTGTTTTGTGGACCACCCAGTTCAATATGCTACACTCTTGTGGGCTTTTTTTTTTTCCTTCTTCAATAGACATTTATTGGGCATCTTTATGTGCTAGGTGTGGGGATTCAAAGATCAATAAGAAGCAGCCTCTGCTTTTATGGTATGTATAGCAAGGGTTACATTTGCCTCTTATAACAGGAAAGCTGCAAAAGCCTCAGGAATCTCCTCTGAACTCTGCATGTTACA
Organism: Homo sapiens; assembly: GCF_000001405.40. Lineage (NCBI taxonomy): Eukaryota > Metazoa > Chordata > Mammalia > Primates > Hominidae > Homo > Homo sapiens. The sequence continues at coordinate 55,137,500 of NC_000018.10, forward strand.
GATGGGGAGATCAAGACTGAGAAAACGTAAGACACAGATAAGCACACAAAGGTCCAAATTTTCAGCCTCCTATATTCTGATTTGGATATTTCTAGAAAGCCCAATTATGCTCACCAAAGACATGAGTGGGTAAAGTGGAAAAAGCACAGAGAGGAATGAGGAGCCCCAGTGTTCACCCACTTTGGCCACGAATCTGGTGCATGCAAGGAACCCAGTCAGTCTTTCCTCCCCAGTGATAAAGATTCCCTACAGGGTTTTTGGAGATGGTCAGCTAGGCCTTTCCCCTGGAAATGCTGACTTAGTAGTTCTGGATTGAAGCCTAGACCTCCAGTGAGGCTTATCTTTAAGGAGCTTGCAGAAACACTGAAGCAGATAAGCTCTAACCTTCTCGCTATAAGAATATTTTAAAATAAAGCAAAATCAAAGAAGATGTGGCAAGACAAATATTTGTGTACAGCAAGGTTCTTGCTTCTAAAGCATGAAAGCTTTTACCAAGCTCTGTTTCTATGATCAATATACTTTGCCTGCTGATGTGCTCAGCTTCCTCTGGTCTTCTGAGGAAAACCATTCACAATCACCTACATGAAGGACTCCTAAAATGCAGAGAAACTTCCAGGTACCGGCAGACCACAGCTTATTATAGAATGATGTTACTCCATGTAAACATGTGTCCATATGGGCATGTGGAAGAAACATATTTATATGTCTACATCTCAGTAGAGAGACAGATATATTCCACCAAATTCTGGAAATTTCACCTGGCATACTAAATAGGCTTTTAGGAATTTTGTTGTCATTGTCATTGAACCTAAAAAAGTAAAAATTGTACTCACATCTTCTACTTACTTTCTAAGGTGAATGGTTAGTGTTTGTATACATTATTTTAATACATCTAATGTGCCTAACAAAAATGGGTAGAAACCGTCAGTTAAAAGACGTTGGATTGAAATTAGAAATGTCAACATAGGGACAAATTTGTGAACACATCTAGTTAACAGGCTTTGGACTAACTGATTCTTTTGCATTTTGCCAATGTAGAAATCACAGATTGAGGGTTTTGCTCTGTGGTCCGGTCTCAGCACTCCCTCCATGAGAAAGTCAGAGGCATGCACACACCAGATGGGGTACATTTGATCATCATGCTAGAACAATTTGTAAGCAATTAAAAGAATTTTGTTCTGTTTTGTATTCTCTTCCATTTCTTTGAGTTGCAGAATTAAAGACATCGATTTCAGATATGAAAGAAGAACTGACTGATGATGTTATTCTGGAAGTGTTTAGGCCTGAAATATCTGACAAAGCCAGGTGATGGCTAGACAGGACAACCAGAGAGACAAGAGACTCGAATAATTCAAGCAAAATCAAATTCTTAATGCCTAAGAATGTGTGTGTGTGTGTGTGTGTGTGTGTGTATGTGTGTATACTTAGTTCTTCTGAATTTCTTATCTAGTTTATATGGATCTAATTGTTTATTCTCCCAACAGATAATCATTGACCTCATCCTCTATGCTAAGGCACAATGCCAGACGGTGTTGGGATCCCGAGAAGATGGAATAAAGAGGTAGTGCCTGCTCGTAAAGAGGTAGCACTCTATTCATTACTTACATTTTCTCAACTGTAAAATGGGCATGGGAATGAAAGAGAGGTGGAATGAGCAAAAATCAGGGAACAGCTCTACTCCCAGTGTGGCCACTCTCTAATTGTGTAAACTGGCCCTCAGTTTTCATCTTTAAAATAGATAAAGTTTCCCTTTCAACATCAAGAGTCAGTGATCCCATGCAATACAGAGGATTTTGTGAAGAACAGTTTAAGGATCTCAAAGATACAGGAAAATATGGTCAATGTCATTACTTTCTTGGGACAACTTTACACTGTCACTTTGCCTGGGCAGAATGGGATATTTTGGGTTGTTAGAGATGGGCTTTTTTTTTTTCTTTGCTTTGCTTCTCCTTCCTTCCTCTCTTCCTCCCTTCCTTCCTTCCTTCTTTCCCTCCCTCCTTCCTTCCTTCCTTCTTTCCTTCCTTCCCTCTTTCCTTCCTTCTTCCTTTCTTTCTCCTTCTCCTTCTTTCTATTTTTTCTTCCCTTCCTTTTTCCTTTCACTCTTTTTTTTGAAAGGAAATGGAAGAAAATTTATCCTTGTCTTATCTCTTTAATTGTTTCTGAAGAAGTTCTCTGGCTCCTTGTTCTGGTGATTATGGTTGTTACACTGCAAGTTCCCTATTAATCTCTGGACAGGTAACAGTGCTGAGGGAAGACTAGCCTCCAGAAGCCAATTTTACAATTTAAACCCCAAGCAGAAGTGTTAGATTTAAAATTCTGAGCCCAGCACAAACCTCTTCATTTTCAAGTTCATTTACCCTTGGCAACATGCAACCTCCTGTTACTAAGAGGGGAAAAAAAAGCTTTAAAAGGCTCATTTAAAAGGCTGAGGAGCCTTTTGGGATCTCCACAAGCTCTTTAAAAACATATTTTGATGATACAAGTGTAAACAAATCAAAAGCATATGGATTGAATTTCCCTTAAATTACACAGGATTTTAAAAATGATGGGAGGGTGGAAATGTGTTTGGAAAAATATGTTTTTGGTTTTACTGACTCAGAAACATGCGAATGAGCTGAAGCTTTGACAGACCCGAAATGACGGCGGGTTTGTCCATCATCTGTCTTTGGGGTTCTTTAGTTTTTCACAAGGCTTCTCTGGTTTTGTACCCAGGGAATAGATATTTCTGTTAGTGCAGCCACACACACACACACACACACACACACACACACAAACACACACACGGTGGGGGAGAGAGAGAAGGAGAGAGAGAGGAGAGGGGAGAGGGGAGAGGGGAGAGGGGAGAGAGGAGAGGGAGACCAAAACCACACATGGTGAATTCTACTTTTCCCTTGAGCTAAAGAGCCCTATTTCGTGGTATTTGGCAATGTGGGCTCTTCTTGTACCAGTCAAAAGGATTAGTGTTCATTTTATAAAACATAAGTCTCTATAGGGCTGCACAACCTGGACCCAGGTGCTAATGTCAGCATCTAGGCTGACTTTCTGCAGCCTGCAAGCTGGTGTCACCCCAAAGCCTTTGCCTGAGGTTCCTCAAAGTCCTCTGGAGAGTCATGTTGTCATCATTACACTCCCTTTATCTTCCAACCACAACCCATGTCTAGCCGGAATGATGAGGGTCAATAACCCAGGCCACTGCCTCTGAAGAGTTGCTAATGTCGGGATTTCAGAATGAGGGGACAAGGGCCAAGAATAAGCAGACAGAGAGAAGGGTGGTGGTGTCTTTATGAACACCAAAGCTTCATCCACAAAGCAAAATGTTGGGACCTGTGATTTAGATGCATCTATCCAGTCCTGAAGGAAAATGTGTTAAAATTCTAGACACTTGCTCTTTTCTTTTTTGCATGTATATAATCCAAGAGTTGCAACAATCCCAGAGAACTCCCGGACGATTCCTGGAGATGCAAGGTGGGCTTGGAGGACCAGGATCCTCTGAAGATACTTTCAGCCATCCAGTTCAAGGTCAAGTGAGCCATCAGAATTACTTAGAGACAAAAAGAGCTCTGTGTTTCCATCTTTGCAGAACTAGCTAAGAAAAATAGATCAGGCTGCTCTGAAGAACCTTCAGTTTGGAAAGTTTAGTTGAAAATGTGTGATCCCATGAGAGCTCAACTTACCTAAGGTAAAAAGAAACTTCGCATCATTTTTCTTTTTGAGAAAAAATATCTACAAATGTGCCTCTCTTTTGACACACATTCACCTAGAGGAGTTCACATTAACCACCCTCTCCTCCTTTACTTTTTGCTTCAGAGGAGTGATGTGAGAATTTACTTTGGAAAAATAAAAGGCTCTTCAGTAAAAATAGCTGCTACTCCATTTGTGCCTCTAGTCCTACAGACTCTGCTCCCTTGCTACAATGGTGAATGTCTAACTGGAGCATAATTTTAACAGCACAATTTGCATTGCCTCGGCAGCTGTCTGCCACACCAACTCTATGAAATCCACCCACGGTGTTTGACTCAATTACCTCCTGCAGCTGCGAATTCCACAGGTTGACCACACTCTGCATGGAAAAGTATTTCTTTGTATTCGTTCCAAATTTATTAGCCATTTGAACCATTCCTTTGAGTGACTTGTATATTTTTAAGTGTTCATGTATCACCATTTTAGGCCCCAGTCCCATTGGCCTGTATTTCATATTCAGCTCAGAATATTAGAGTATGGTCTTCAAAGGATCCATGTAAAAGCAGACCTGGTGTGCTGACCCCTGCTTTATTTAAAGGTCTCATGCCATAGACTTCCTCCCAGCCTCCCAGCCCCACAAATGCATGATCACAAGCATACAACAGAAAAGTATTTGAAGGACCTAGAATGGAGCAGTTCAAAACTTCTTCCATGTTAGAAACATGAGTTGGGGGTCATACCTGACACAAAGGGACATCTCTACAGGAGGGAAAAATATTCTTTTACAGATAAAGAAACTGAGTAGAAGAGAAGTGCGGTCGCATCCCATAAGTCACAGAGATACAACAAGCACCCAATCTGCAAACTAGGTATCCTGAGGACAAGTCCAAGGTTCTTGCCTCGTACAGAAAGTTCTATGTAAGAAGGTAAGAGCAAGATTCATGGATAAAGAAGTTGATGTTCCCATGGGCCAGTTGGAATGGATACTCAGGTCTCCCTGCAGTTAGGCCCCCTGGTCACCATGTGCCTTGCTTCTCTCCCTGACAGGTGCCTGTGAATGCGCTATAGAGAATCCTAGGAGTTCCCCTCTACTAGACTAGGAACAGGCTTCAAAACAAATCCACAAATATGGAGTTCCAGCATTTTCACTTGATTTGAAAAGCGATGTTTCTCAGCCACTTCAAAGTTTTTTGCCTCCCTATCATCAGCCTTCAGGTGAGACCACATGGATGTCTCACCCTCACCCTCGACCTTAGGTAATCTCATGTTGTGTAGTTCCTTAACTTCCCTCACTAAAGTTTCTCCTGTAAACTGAGCGGATGCATAGGATAGGCTGCAAGCTTTCACATGTAGTGGAGAGTGCTCCAGATTTGTAGTCACAGCTTTGCAATTCCAGCTGTCCCACTTCCCAACTATGACTACAGGCAAGTTCCTGAATCTCTCAGAGCTGCACTTCCTCTATTTCAGCACGGCGGAAAGATGCCTAACTTGCATTGCTCTTCCATCAGTGATAGTGTAGCCAGGCATGCTTAGCCTTGCGGTCTACCCGTGACAGATAGATAAACAGATGATAGTTAGATAGATAGATAGATAGATAGATAGATAGATAGATAGATAGATAGAGAGATAGATAGATAGATGATAGATAGATAGATAGATAGATAGATAGATAGATAGATACTGACCTTTTGCAACTTTATGCTATGGTTTAATAAGTGGTGCTAGATGATGCTAAAGGTACAACAGACTTTCACATCCTACTGCTTCAAAGGAGTGGTCCAGCTTATTTAACAGCCTCATCTTAAAACTACATGTAGCAGAGACAACACCCTAAACTTAGGTCTATAGCTTAAACCTTTATTCACAATTAATGTATGACCCAAGTTTAACTGTTCATAGCATATACAAAAACAGGGTTGTTTGGTTAACAGAAAGGAAAGCTTTATGCCAAGACACCTCCCTCCCACAAAAAGAGAAGAAAATGCCACTTGGAAGCGAATTTAATAAAGATATGTTAAGTTGGGCACATCTGCTTCCATTCCATGTCAAGAAATTACAGTCTGCACTTGCATTCGGCAATTTATTCTTTTTCTAAAAGTTTCTTTGCTGTCATGTACAGACTATGTTTAGGGTTTAGTGTTTCAAGATGGTTTTGCTGTATAGGAAATGAAAACAGCTATGGGGTATAGAGAATCTATTAATCTTTTGCATTTCTAGGACTGGAATTTCCTTTGCTCTTTTTGAATAATACAATTGTTTTAACCACTTTTTTCACAAATTCTGAATCAGGGTATTGTTTCCTGGTGCTAAGTTAAAAACCCGTCATCAGCAGTTCAGAAAATCTTTGAAACATCCCCGAGTAACATGGTGTCACTATACCCTGAAAAGGTCTTTGGCCTTTGTTTCCAACACCAGCTCAGTGCCCCAGTTGGCTTTGGGCAAGACACTGAGCCACATTCTGCCTTAGATTGATTGTCTACCACAAGAGAACCTTGGGGCTCCATCCATGCTATCTAGCCTAGTGTTGACATTCTACTCTCTATAGTGTGGGATTCATAAGGCAGCCAAAGTTTTGCAACTTCTTTTTTTGTGACCATTAAAAAATCTAATCATTTGATATAGTTTGGCTGTGTGTTCCCACCCAAATCTCACCTTGAATTTTAGTTCCCGTAATCCCCACGTGTCATGGGAGGGACCTGGTGGGAGGTAATTTAATCATGGGGACCATTACCCTCATGCTGTTCTTGTGATAATGAGTGAGTTCTCACGAAATCTGATGGTTTTATAAGGGGCCTTTCCCCCTTTTGCTCAGCACTTTTCCTTCCTGATGCCATGTGAAGAAGGACATGTTTGCTCCCCCTTAGGCCATGATTGTAAGTTTCCAGAGCCCTCCCTATCCCTATATAACTGTGAGTCAATTAAATATTTTTCCTTTATAAATGACCCAATCTCAGGCAGTTCTTTGTAGCAGTGTGAGAATGGACTAATACGTAGTTCAATATATTTTATCAAAGCATTCTTAACTTAGTTTTATATCTGTTTACCTCTATGGAATTGAGTTTATGACATTCTACTAGTAACAATAGAAACAAGTCTATGTAGTTGTAGATTTGAATTTAAATTTGGATACCAACTTTGGCCAAGTATGCATTGAAAGTAGGCCAAAGGAAAATGCCTACCCAATCTGTCTCAAAAATGATGCAATTTGAGGCAGACCTGGAATTTTTTTTTTTTTTTTGAGTGTCTATGTGCTCAGCTTTGGACAAGTCTAGACCCCTTCACTGGTTGCATCAGCTTGAATAAGCTGCTTAGGCTTTCTGCAGATCCATTTTTTTCTGAAAAAGAAAACAAAAAAGGTTATTAAGATATAATTGGTATAACACACAATTCATCCACTTAAGTGTTAAAGTCAATGTTTTTTGGTATATTTACAGGATTGTGCAAACATCACCACAATCGATTTTAAAACATTTTTATCCCCTCTGAAAGAAATCCTGTACACATGAGCTACTTGCATTTCCACAAATCCTCCTCCCTAGGCCCTGGAAACCACTAATCTACTTTCTGTCTCTTTAGATTTCTCTATCCTGGGAATTTCATATAAGTGGAATCATATGATATATGACGTTTTATGACTGGCTTATTTCACTTAATGTAATGTTTTTAAGGTGCATCTATGTCCTAGCATGCATCAGTACTTCATTCCATTTTATGGCTGAACTGATGGACATTTGAGTTGTTTCCACTTTTTTGGCTTTTATGAATAGTGCTACTATGAACATTCATGCACAAGTCAGCACATCCATTTTTGCATCTACAAAATTGTTTTTCTCACATGGCTATTTTGATTATTGGTTGATTTATGTAAAAACACTGGATGAATTATTTGAAAGACAAATTCATCAGCTCCCATATCATCACCTGATTTTCTGTACTTCCTTGATGATTCCACCTTTGCTCCAGGAACTCAGGAATTTTCAATCTTTGGATTGTCCCTTAATTTTGCACTCTGTGCTCAATCAGTTTCTGAATTCTTTTAATATCTGGGACATATCTTGAATCCATGCTTTCTTTTCTTTCTTCATGGTTGTCTCTTAAATTCAAAGCCTCATTTCTGGCCAAATGTGGTGGCACACATCTATAATCCCAGTACTTTTGGAGGCTGAGGCAGGAGGATCACTTAAGACTAGTTCAAGACCAGCCTGGGCAACATAGCAAAACCCTGTCTCTACAAAATTTGAATTTAAAATCTAGCCAGGCATAGTGGCACATGCCTATAGTCCTAGCTACTCAGGGGGCTGAGGCGAGAGGATCATTTGAGCCCAGGTGTTCAAGGATGTAGTGAAATATGATTCCACCACTATACTCCAACCTGGGAGACAGAATGAGATCCTGTATCTAAATGAATAAATGAACAAAGCATCATTTTTTTCTAACTGAATATTGAGTCACTCCACTCCCCAAGTTCCCTTTCTTTCTTCTTTTTTTTTTTTTACCACAAATCTTTAGTCCTGATTATCAAGTATGTTAAATCTTAATGACTCCTTTGCCCAAACTGAAAGGTTCACTATACTAAATCTTTTACCAAGTGCAAAATTTGCAAGCCACAAACTTAGGTACATAAAAGCTATAAATTTGATGATTTTTCTATGAATGAACTTAAATTATCTTTTAAGCCGCCATTTAGTCTACTGACAAAATCTAGCTATAACTAGGTAAATTCAGACACACTGGTAATGTCTCAGTCCTTTCGGCTTTGAAATCAGTGTCTTAAGGTTTGGCCTCTCCTCACCTTTCCTCTTGGCTGGCAGAGACTTACATGGCATTGAGTGAGGAGGGGGCCACATCTAGCCCACAGATAACCTCTATGTCCACAACCCTACTAAGATGTCTCCTGTACCATTTGCTCTCAGCCACTTCCACACCCATCTTTTAGCCTTTCCTGCTTAGAACTGGCTACTGTCCATCCTTCTCTAAGCCCACAACCCATATTGTCATGAAAGGCTTCTCTACAAGGCCTGTTGCCCTTTCAACTTCCGAGGCAGTGAGTCACCTGACCATTTGTCTGAGATTTCTATTGTCCAGCCCCCACCTCCTCCCCAGGTTGGTGGGAAGGAGTAGCACCCCTTCACAAGGAAGAGGCCACATTTTAGCTGCCTTTGCTGTCTCCTTAGCTCCTCCTCTACCAGCTCTGTCAACCTCTGTTGGGGCTATGCAGACAGGCCATTGGACTTTTTACCAATTTTCTTTTCTGTAAGTTTTTCTTCTATTATCAATTGAAGGCTCCTATTCTTTCAGGTGTTTCGTTTTTCAAAACACCCATCTCTTGGGAATTCAGAGCTGTGGATCTCAAGTCTTTTCTATGAGTCTCAAAAGCCCTCTTTGGACTCCCATCCAAGCACTAACCAGGCCCCAACCTGCTTACCTTTGAGATTGGGTGCATTCAGGCTGGTAGGTCGGTAGACACCAGGAGCCCTTTTGGAATGGCTAGTTCTCAGGCCCACTTCATTCCAAACACTGTGCTCCTAACAATTATGGTAAGCTGTCTCCTGCATTCTGGAGGGTGTCAAGAGCTGAAACCCAACAGCCAACACTGTAGGACTCTCCAGAGCCTGTTGGGGTACAGGAGAAGCAGGAGGGAACTCCTGGTCAAAGTAGCTCTTCCAGTTATATAAAAGTCACTATCTTTTTATGTTTAGAGCCAGTGGTACTCTGACCCTGTCTTGCCAGGCTGTCTGATTTGAAGAGCCTTTACTGATCTCTGATTTGGCTTTTTCTCTGCAGTAAACCCTTTGGAAGGTCAGCAAGGGCTCCAAAGAGGACTGTCATATCTTAGAACACTCCAGCACTAGGTCTGCCTCTGCTGGTGCCTCTAAGAGCTGGGCAAGGGTCTTGGGGACCAAATCCCTGATGGTTAACCCAGGAAAGTGAAAGCACGGGGTGTGTAGTACATTCTCAGGAAAGACATGTAGCAAAAACTCATTGTAAATATTAAAATTTGAAGATAAAAAGAAGTTATCACAAGAAGACCCCATTGTTTTCACTGAGACAAAAGTAGACAAAAGTTGAATCCAAGTTCACTGTCTGTCCTCTGAGGAAAGAATAATTAAATATAAGTAGAAAGTAAAAGGACATGATAGTCAATTCCATAAAGAGGAAATAAGAAAGCCATGTAAGATTTTTAGCATTTTTTTTTAACTGGCTACTTTATGCTATTAATGGAAAAAGATAAAGGCTATAATTGCCTATAATCATCGTTGTGAATTCAGAAACTCAAGCTTCTGGTGAAGTTGGGTTTCTGAATATTCAAGTTCTTGCTGCTATCTTAAAATGGGAAGGATCTGAACTGATTGGAGCAAGTGAAGAAAAAATTTTAAAATGTTTTTTTTCCCCTCTGTGTGTCCTTCTAACTTCTAACATAATTAAAAGGATGAGTTTATTTGGCAAGAAGTGCTGCTCAAATTTAGATTTGGTTCTCTCAAAGAAAGAGACCAAAATTGATTTTTTTTCCCCAGAGTTAGAGAAAAATGAAGCACAAAGATGATATATTTTGCATATTTATTTGCAAAAGATACAATATTCTTATGCATATATATATATATATATTTTTGTCTTGAATATGGGTCGTTGTAAAAGGAAAGTCATCTTGCAGGATTACTTTATTTGGTTGTATCCCTTTAAAGACTTAAGAGCAACTTTTTATCCATATTATCTTGTGATAAATCCCCTGAAATTCCCTGCTAAAACAAGCCCCACTGATAGCAGATCAACAGGCTCAGCCTTCTTAAGTTTTATTTTGATTAATCTCTAATTCATTTTAATGACCGACTCCTTTATTCTTTCTGATGCTGGAATTTCTTATCATCTTAATATGCTTACATCTTAATCCACTCATTTCTTCCTTGGTTGACCATAGCCTGCACGGTTTCTGGAAGCTTCTTTTCTTCTCCATCAGCTCACTATCTGCTGAACATACCCTTAGAGAATTTGCTTTGGCTTAGTATTTTGGGCACTTAGCTTCAATCTCTGTAGGTTTCTAGTTTGAAGAAATCACTTTATTGGGCTTTTTTTAAATTTTAGTTTTTAGTTTTGTGAAACATTTAATATGCTCATTCCTGCATTTGTGTTTAATTGTCCTTTTCCTAAGGGACCACGTTTCTCCCCAGTTAATGTCTAATGGCCCATTTTCAGGGGCATCTGCACCACAGAGGCAGCAGCTGATTTAGATTACACCAGAATTTTCTCAGCAGGAACTTCCATTGACCTAAGCATCCCTTTCACAACACTGTCCCTAGCACAGCTACAAGCCAGTGGCCATCCGGGCCCTCAGCCTCCTTGCTTTAATGAGCTGCTACTTATAATTATTTTAAACATTATTTTAATTGCTTGAAGCCATTAAAAACATACACTCAGCATTTGTGCATTTTTGAAAGAATTGCCAGAGTCTCCTCAGACCAACATTTCCACTGACACAATATGACTTAGAGGGAACATCAAAGGCTTGCAAAGGAGACCACTGAAAAGCATTCTTGCTTCTCCACCCATCAGGGCTCAACATTGTCTAAAAATAATGTGATGTCCACAAATTGCTGGCTAACTGCAGATCTTGTGAACTTTGGCAAAGTTGGCTAGTGCAAAGTCTGAGGAATTGGGGGTTTGCTACTTTTAGGGAAGAAAACCATGGGGCCCCTTTGCTAAGATGTTGGCCTCACATTACATTACAAAAGAAGCAATAGAGTTGTGATCCAAAATCTGTACTTAAAGCATTGGGTTCACTCTCTAAGGCTTTGAAGGAATTTAAATGTGTCTCTAGGAGAAATGCATGAAATTCTAGTATGACTAGCTTGGATCTGATTTCGAATTTGGAAAATGGGATACAATATGCAAGGACACCTTCTGGAAGGTTCCAAATCTTCACAGAAATTTCAGCTTGACATAGCTAATTGTGGGAAGAAGGATTATGAAGGAACCATTTTGTATGCCTAGCATGTAACTCAATACTTGGCAATACGTAGTAGTTAAATGGGTAAATGAATAAATGATTGAATGAGCTAAAGTGTGCAACAACTTAGTGCAAACTGAAAATCAAACTAGTTGTGAATTTATCAACATGCCTATTTTTTCTTGCTTTCCTCCCTTATTTGGAGTAGTAGTAGACCTCTCCCTACCCACAATTTAGCCCTCTACCAATAACCTGGACCCTATCCACCCCTACTAGATCAAAACCTTACTCTAAGAATGAATCTTTTCCCCCTGCATCTTCAATGGCTCCCTCTCTCATGTTCACATTCTATGAAGTCTACTCCCTTAATTTCTCTCACTGCTACTGCCTTCTCTGGGACTTCCTTATCTGTCCATTTCAACTATTTCAATGTCTCCTAAATAAGCAGCAGCTCCGAGACTGTAACCAGGATCCGGTTTCTTTCTCTGTCCTTCTCAGCTCTGCCTCTTTGGTGTTGGTTTCATTCTTCACAGGCTCTTCCCTTAGAGTCACAAGTGGCTGCTAGCAGATCTCCAGGCACTTCTGTCCTTGTCCCATCTAGTAGGAAAAAGGAAGCATTCTCCCCAGTATCTCCAGGAAAATATGGACAAGTTTTTCTTTCACAGGTGTTCCATCAAATACTTTCCCTTATCTCTATCTCTGCTCTGCTCATTCTTTAATCCCTGTGGCCAAGGAGGGGTAGGATACACTTACTGTTTTGAGCCAATCAGGCATCACCCCTAAAAGTAGAACTAGGGACAACAGTGAGCAAACTCACACAGAGAAGAGGGGACAGGCAAATTCCCCAACAGGAAGAAAGGTTATGTGGATGGGAGAAGGAGGAGGGATGCTTGGGAGGCCAACAAAATTATCTAGCGCAGGCGTCGACAGGATAGGATTGATGGTAGGGTCTAAGACCAGAAGTTTGTTTAGATAGAAATGGCAAGAAAGAAGCCACAGCCAGAAGAGTTAGTAAAGGTTGAAACAGCAGTCAGAGTCTATTAGCCAGAGCGTGTAATAAATCAAGTTGCTGTGTGGAGAATGGGTTAGCCTGAAATGGTGAGTGGAGCCATGCAGGGATCCTTGGCTGGAACAGTTGGCCAAGGAGGAAAAGTATTAGTCCAGTTGGCTGTACCTCCTGCCTTCTGACGGGAATGTGAGAAGCAGGCAGGCAATTGATTTCCTCTCCAATGGGAAAACAACAGCAGCAAGTTATCGAGCAATTTTCAAATGATCATGTACAGTGAGCTGGCAGCTAAGGCAAGTCCAGCATGACTGCTTCTTATCTCCCAGGTAAATGGACTTAATGTCTTTGTCAGAAAGGGGTGAATTCAGAGCTTTTCAAAAAACATGCAATGTGATCCATTATTTATCAAATATATTTATGTTTTAGATCTCATATATATCTAAACTGTTATATAATGTTATATAATAACAATTATTTAATAATTGATCTGTCTGTAAACTTTCGCTAAGAAACTAAAACATTTAATAAGATAATTTGTCACTTATTTCCTCTTCTGCTAGATAGGGCCCTATATTATATTTTAAAAATGAAAATGCTGAAAAAACTCAGGGGTGGAAGAAAGATCTAGACTGGTACTCTCTTCATCAACACCAGTAACTGAAATCAGTACAATATGTATTTACTTTCTATCAACTTTAACAATCCTTCTAGCCCTAATAAAAGGCAAAGGAAAGATTCAGGAACCTGAAGGTTTGGAGGAGACTTGGCTGTTTGAAATGAGCAAGAGGAATGAAAATCCTAAAAAAATAGACTAGAACGACCTAATTCTTTCCTACCCACTCCAACCTACAGCATTAGTCTAGGTGGGGTGAGGTGGGAGCCTGCAAAATAACACAGCTCCTACTTCGGGTCTCAGCATGTGCTCCCAGCCCAAAATCCTCCAAAAAGAATCTGATTCCATGCTGATGGGTGAAAGATGAGAAACACAGTAGCTTTCTGGTGGATTTCCTTATGTGTCTGTTCCCAAGCCAATTGTTTGAAGATTTTTCTTTTTTCTTTAATGTTTAGTACATCTTCTTTAGGCTTCTTGCCTTCCATGGAGGGGAATATACCCAAAGATGGTCCAAGTGGCTGGGCACTTAACTTTTCATTCTACCGAGTCCTTTGTTTCATTTTAGCCAAAGATCAGCATTGATCTAGGTTATTCCCAGCTGTGCAACAGCTGTGCAATTCAAGAAAACCACACTGGGCTCAGAAGGCTGAGCAACTTTATTAAATTAAGGGGGAAAAGGGGGAAGGTTGGGGTTTCTTCTCTCCCTTTCAACATTTCCCAAATAATTCTGCCCAGTATTAATGACATCATGTATGGTAGAACTCAGGTTTCACACCTCTGCAGGATTTAATGAAAGAGTTTCATTTCTATTAAGATAAAGAAGCCATACAGATGAAAACTTGCTCATGCTGTTTTAGAAATGGAGTGGGGATGGAAAAAACTTTTCATCTGTTCCAGCATGCAGGCAAACTCTCAGCAGACAATCTCTTTTTCCCCCAAAGTCAGAGACTAGATGGGCTCTTTAAAGAACTGAATTTAGAGATTGAAAGAGTGCCCTTCAAATTGCCAAGAATTTATGGTAGGCAGACTACCTTAGCGCCCTAGTAAAATGCTCCTTTCTGGGTCCAAAATACATGGGAAAGTTTTAGAAAGGGCCTTTCTAATGTACTTGATTAATAAACCCATTAGGGCCCAGGAGTGGTAGCTCACGCTTATAATCCCAGCACTTTGGGAGTCCAAGTCAGGCAGATTACTTGAGGCCAGGAGTTCAAGACAAAATGGAGAAACCCCACCTCTACAAAAAATACAAAAAATAGATGGGTGTGGTGGTGCATGCTTTCAGTCCCAGCTACTTGGGAAGCTAAGGTAGGAGAATCAACTGAGCCCAGGGGGGTCAAGGCTGCAGTGAGCCATGATCACACCACTGCACTACAGTCTGGGTGACAGAGTGAGACTCTGTCTCAAAAAAAATAAATAATAAAAATAAACACACTAGGAGGTGTCTAAAGTGGATTTATGCTTTATTTGCAATCGGTTATATACAAGGTTGACACATCAAGGATATATTTGTACCAATTACTATTAACCTAAAATGAAATAAAATGTCTAACCTATAAATTTATAAAAAAGTAGTCACTCCTCAAAAGGTAGATATTCAGCTGAATTTTTTGAATTGGATAATGCTATTATAACCAGTATAGTAAACAAGATTTTTCACACTTGAACTTCACCTGAAGTGAGAAGTACAGAGCAGACATAGTTCACAGCCTTCAAGCTATGTTGCCATCTCTGAGACCTTGGCCTACGTTTTCACATTAGCATTGGCACGTTAAAATTGTTTCTTACTTGGCAATGTCAAACACGAACACTTGAAAATCACATGGAATATGAAATGCAATATTTTATCGGCAAAATCTCCCTTCCAATAAACTTTTGAATGAGATCATTGGAAGCTTAGGGGGGTAAGTAGAATGACTGATTATTTTCTAGGAAACAAAAATGCCATCTTTTCCATGTGAAGGCACCTTCATGGGTAAGATGCAACCTATGAGATATTTAACTAGAAGAGAGGATGGATTTGCTTCTAAACCCAACTGAAATTTGACTGGTGCTATGTGCATTGCAAGGTAGATAGCTGGATTAGGGGTGCAGCCTGTGGCTGTGGAGGAAAGGTTTTGACTGGTCCTTATAGGAAATAAGCTTGTTGCTTGGGACTAATTAATACTCATTTGTTAATCAGTCTATGCATCTATTTTTTTTAAAAGGAAACAGCCATCTTGCTTTGAGAATCCATGACTATTTTATAAGAGAGATGTGTATAGGGTGACTCACAGCCCCGAGTTCATTTTACAGTTACCACAATGATAAAGTCATATCTTTTTCTTGTTTTGACAAGTGAAATTTCTGGTGGACAGAGGAAAACAGTAGTGAATATCTATGTTTTCAGCCTGACTTGCAGGCTGGAGGCCATTTCAAACTATTCTAATGTATGCATCTCTCTTTCCAAGAGTTTTCTAAAAGAGAATGCTTAGGCAATTCTTAACATTAAAAACACTTTCCTTATGTTCCCCAGTCAGCACTTATCTTTTTATTGAATGTTACTTTATTTAATCGCCAAAAAAAGTATTACTTAGTATAATGATATACAGTCAACAGAGACTGGGTTCAACTGTATGATGATCCCAGCTTCTGCCATAAATGACCAGTCACACACCCTTTAATCATGGTTCCAGAGTGATTACTGCTTGGTCCTTTGGGTGGTCTGTGGATAAGTAATGAATGTGCAGGTCAGTCTTGAGAATCCAGATGGACGTTGCCTCTGAACCCTCACCCACATCTTATACACCACTTCTGAATGACTCCTACCCACCTTACAATTTTTGACATCTGTGTTTTCCAGGCCCACAGATGTTCAGCAGTCCTGATTCATTCATCTGAGTAAAACAAAATGAGTCGGGATCTCACCTAGTGTATTTGACCCTGCTCTTTGTTTCTTGTAACAAGTGTATTGCATTTGTGGATTTAAGGTTCCCTGATGTCTCTTGGGGGTAAATTAAGGGCCAGACTGAGTGACCTGACAATCCAGGGGAAAGCTACAGGGTGGTATTCCAGGGAAAAGTAGAAGAGAAAGTCTAAACTCAGTGATTTTCCAGTCACTAGGCAATTAGGAAAACAAAAAAAATTACCCTATGCTCAGGTAAGGAAGAAATCTAGAAGGAAGGGCTCTTGGGAAAGATATAATTGTCTTGTTTAATAAGGCTTTCTGGTTTGAGGTCTGGTTGGGTCAAGCTGATGTCCAGGAAACTGACCAGAACTGATGAAACAAAAATCTAATTTGGTAAGAACTGTCCCATGAAGGAAGCACGTAGGAGTGGCTCAGAGGCAAAAAAGAAAAAAACCCATGAACAGAGCAGTCCACTACATCTTGCTTATTTAAGAGGCCATGAGCCACCTTCAGTGGCTCTTGGTGTTAGGGTTTCCTGATCCAGGGCTCCAGAGCCCCTGAATAAAGGTAGATATAAGCACCCCAGCATCAGGGAGGCCAGAAACAACATTGTCAATGCATCTGGATTAAACAACCTTTGTGACCAGAGCTAGAATTCTACCTTACAAAGAGACTTGCTAACGGTCCTATTCTGCTACACCAGAGCCAGGTGTGTTTCCTAGGTTTACGAGAGGAGGCAAGGCTTCAGGATGAGGATAAGAGATATCCTGGGCTTCCGGAGGCTGGAAAGGCTTATTACCTCCTCTAGCAGGAAGTTTACTTGTTTTTCCAAGAGACGAGTGATAGAAGGAAGTTGGCTTTTATTTGTTTGTAGTTGGTAAAAAACTTTGGCAGCTGATCTAGTTATCACCTGAACATTTCCTTCTTCCCATCACAATATGAGCAAGCCATGGAATGATTACTGCTTGGTGCTTTGGGTAGTCTGTGGGTAGGTAATGAGCATGCAGGTCAATGCAAAAGCCCTGATGGACATTGCCTCTGAACTCCCATGAGGAGTAAGCCACTCAAAGACTTACAAAGCAGAAGACTTCATTGTCTTCTTTAGAAGTTCCCCTATAAGCTTAGCTCAGAAAAGCTTAGCTTAGTCTTCTTTAGAAAAACCCTCATGTGAATCCGTCTGGTCCTGGACTTTTTTTGGTTGGTAGGCTATTAATTATTGCCTCAATTTCAGAGCCTGTTATTGGTCTATTGAGGGATTCAACTTCTTCCTGGTTTAGTCTTGGGAGGGTGTATGTGTCCAGGAATTTATCCATTTCTTCTAGATTTTCTAGTTTATTTGCGTAGAGGTGTTTATAGTATTCTCTGATGGTAGTTTGTATTTCTGTGGGATCGGTGGTGATATCCCCTTTATCATTTTTTATTGCATCTATTTGATTCTTCTCTCTTTTCTTCTTTATTAGTCTTGCTAGTGGTCTATCAATTTTGTTGGTCTTTTCAAAAAACCAGCTTCTGGATTCATTGATTTTTTTAAGGGTTTTTTGCGTCTCTATCTCCTTCAGTTCTGCTCTGATCTTAGTTATTTCTTGCCTTCTGCTAGCTTTTGAATGTATTTGCTCTTGCTTCTCTAGTTCTTTTAATTGTGATATTAGGGTGTCAATTTTAGATCTTTCCTGCTTTCTCTTGTGGGCATTTAGTGCTATAAATTTCCCTCTACACACTGCTTTAAATGTGTCCCAGAGATTCTGCCAGAGGTACAAAGAGGAGCTGGTACCATTCCTTCTGAAATTATTCCAATCAATAGAAAAAGATGGAATCCTCCCTAACTCATTTTATGAGGCCAGCATCATCCTGATACCAAAGCCTGGCAGAGACACAACAAAAAAAAAAGAATTTTAGACCAATATCCCTGATGAACATCGATGCAAAAAATCCTCAATAAAATACTGGCAAACCGAATCCAGCAGCACATCAAAAAGCTGATCCACCATGATCAAGTGGGCTTCATCCCTGGGATGCAAGGCTGGTTCAACATATGCAAATCAATAAATGTAATCCATCATATAAGCAGAACCAAAGACAAAAACAACATGATTATCTCAATAGATGCAGAAAAGGCCTTTGACAAAATTCAACAGCCCTTCATGCTAAAAACTCTCAATAAACTAGGTATTGATGAGATGTATCTCAAAATAATAAGAGCTATTTATGACAAACCCACAGCCAATATCATCCTGAATGGGCAGAAACTGGAAGCATTCCCTTTGAAAACTGGCACAAGACAGGGATGCCCTCTCTCACCACTCCTATTCAACATAGAGTTGGAAGTTCTGGCCAGGGTAATCAGGCAGGAGAAAGAAATAAAGTGTATTCAATTAGGAAAAGAGGAAGTCAAATTGTCCCTGTTTGCAGATGACATGATTGTATATTTAGAAAATCCCATCATCTCAGCCCAAAATCTTCTTAAGCTGATAAGCAACTTCAGCAAAGTCTCAGGATACAAAATCAATGTGCAAAAATCACAAGCATTCCTCTACACCAATAACAGACAAAGAGAGCCAAATCACGAGTGAACTGCCTTTCACAATTGCTTCAAAGAGAATAAAATACCTAGGAATCCAACTTACAAAGGATGTGAAGGACCTCTTCACGGAGAACTACAAACCACTGCTCAATGAAATAAAAGAGGACACAAACAAATAGACGAACATTCCAATCTCATGGATAGGAAGAATCAATATAGTGAAAATGGTCATACTGCCCAAGGTAATTTATAGATTCAATGACATCCCCATCAAACTACCAATGACTTTCTTCACAGAATTGGAAAAAACTACTTTAAAGTTCATATGGAACCAAAAGGAGCCCGCATTGCCAAGACAAGCTTAAGGCAAAAGAACAAAGCTGGAGGCATCACGCTACCTGACTTCAAACTATACTACAAGGCCACACAGTAACCAAAACAGCATGGTACTGGTACCAAAAGAGAGATATAGACCAATGGAACAGAACAGAGCCCTCAGAAATAATACCGCACATCTACAACCATCTGATCTTTGACAAACCTGACAAAAACAAGAAATGGGGAAAGGATCCTCTATTTAATAAATGGTGCTAGAAAAACTGGCTAGCCATATGTAGAAAGCTGAAACTGGATCCCTTCCTTACACCTTATACAAAAATTCATTCAAGATAGATTAAAGACTTAAATGTTAGACCTAAAACCATAAAAGTCCTAGAAGAAAACCTAGGCGATACCATTCAGGACATAGGCATGGGCAAGGACTTCATGTCTAAAACACCAAAAGCAGTGGCAACAAAAGCCAGAATTGACAAATGGGATCTAATTAAACTAAAGAGCTTCTACACAGCAAAAGAAACTACCATCAGAGTGAACAGGCAACCTACAGAATGGGAGAAAGTTTTTACAATCTACCCATCTGACAAAGGGCTAATATCCAGAATCTACAAAGAAATTAAAACAAATTTACAAGAGAAAAATCAAATAATCAAAAAGTGGGTGAAGGATATGAACAGACACTTCTCAAGAGAAGACATTATGCAGCCCGCAGACACATGAAAAAATGCTCATCATTACTGGCCGTCAGAGAAATGCAAATCAAAACCACAATGAGATACCCTCTCATACTAGTTAGAATGGCAATCATTAAAAACTCAGGAAACAACAGGTGCTGGAGAGGATGTGGAGAAATAGGAACACTTTTACACTGTTGGAGGGACTGTAAACTAGTTCAACCATTGTGGAAGACAGTGTGGCGATTCCTCAGGGATCTAGAACTAGAAATACCATTTGACCCAGCCATCCCATTACTGGGTATATACCCTAAGGATTATAAATCATGCTGCTATAAAGACACGTGCATACATGTGTTTATTGCAGCACTATTCACAATAGCAAAGACTTGGAACCAACCCAAATGTCCATCAATGATAGACTGGATTAAGAAAATGTGGCACAGGTACACCATGGAATACTATGCAGCCATAAAAAAGGATGAGTTCATGTCCTTTGTAGAGACATGGATGAAGCTGGAAACCATCATTCTGAGCAAACTATCGCAAGGACAGAAAACCAAACACCACATGTTCTCACTCATAGGTGGGAATTGAACAATGAGAACACTTGGACACAGGGTGGGGAACATCACACACCGGGACCTGTCATTGGGTGGGGGGAGGGGGGAGGGATAGCATTGAGAGATAAACCTAATGTAAATGATGAGTTAATGGGTGCAGCACACCAACATGGCACATGTATACATATGTAACAAACCTGCATGTTGTGCACATGTACCCTAGAACTTAAAGTATAATTTAAAAATTTAAAAAAAAAAGAAAAACCCTCCCCTCTCCTCTGGAGCTTCCCCTCTTGTGCCCTATTATTTTGTTTGTGTGTGTGTGTGTGAGAGAGAGAGAGAGAGAGAGAAAGAGAGTGAGAGAGATGAGGGGTTGGGATAATAAGTATGTGCTCAATGATATCAATTCAGACCATCTTCTCTATTAGCCTAATCTCTACCTTACCTGAGTCATTTCCCAAAATGACTTCAGCCTGGCTTTCATGAAGTTGTCAGAACTTGTTGAATCAAGAAAAATTAAACTCATACAACCCACACACACAGGCAGACATCTCTCTTCCTCCCTCAGTCTCCACGAATGCTCCTGAACACCTAAGTGCTTTGCAAGGACATGATGCCTGCAGACACAGCAACTATGGATGTGGTCTAGTCTATTCCTTATCCTAAAACTATGGGGGATACAGGTAGTCCTGGACTTTTAAAGGTTCAGGGGCTGCCATGCTGTCCTTGACTTTCCTATAATCTGCATTTTGAACATCTGACCATTAAACACAGATATACTTGATCTTTCTCCAGCCAAATGCAGTCTTTCAGTATCAGCGGACATAGGCGGATTGTAGCTTACTGCCACACTGCTCCTCAGAGCCTCAATTGCTGTGGGAGTGGGGAGTCCAAGAGGGAGACTGAGAACCTTACCCTCCACCTTCCAAACCCCCCTCCCCGCAACCACAGACATTCTCTCAGCCCTCAGCTGCCTCAGGCAGAATTTCACTCACTCCTCAGTCCTGCCCATTGGACCTTCACTGAAGCTCTGGACTGGCTAAATGTGAAGTCTATTATGTCAGGTCACAGCTAGGACAGGGTCCTCTTTTAGCCAGGGTGCCCCTCCCCAAAGCAATGCCTGAGACCAGGGCTTGTCAGACGTTTCATTTGGGATGTGTCTTCAGGGAGCAGCCGCGAGCAGTGGGAGAGGGAAAGACAGAAAGAGAGAAAGAGACAGCAAGATTGCCCTGAGGAATGGGCCCACTGCAGACCTCATCACTCCATGTGGGGCTCCTGAAAATCCCTGTGAAGTAAGTCTCAGAACCAGCTACTTGACTGATACAAAGGACAAGCATTTGTCTGGAAGCTTCTATCTCCCATTGGCAAAGGGTTGCTCCATGGAGTTTCAACTCCTGTCACTTTGATTATTCATGTATGAGAGCTAAACCCATATGCACTCCATGCACCATGGTGTCACAGGAGTGCTGGGATCCACATCAGACAGGCACCGGGCAGGCTTGACATGAGGTGCTGAGAGCTCAAAGCAGGTTGGAGCCTACAGGGAACTGATGCCATAGAGGGAACCAGGGGTGACGCCAAGAGGGTGGGAGGTGGTGCATGAGAGGCTTGGAATAGACAGGCCGCCCCCCATCTCACCCCTCTGCCCTCCTTCTACCTCACGCCTTTCACCCCCCACCATGATTCTGAGGCCTCCCCAGCCATGTGGAACTGTAAGTCCAATTAAACCTCTTTTTGTTCCCAGTTTGTCTTTATCAGCCAGCTTGAAAACAAACTAATACAATAAATTGGTACCAGTAGAGTAGAGCGTTGCTGAAAAGATACCCCAAAATGTGGAAGCAACTTTGAAACTGGGTAACAGGCAGAGGTTGGAACAGTTTGGAGGGCTCAGAAGAAGGCAGGAAAATGTGGGAAAGTTTGGAACCTCCTAGAGACTTGTTGAATGGCTTTGACAAAAATGCTGATAGTGATATGAACAATAAGGTCCAGGCTGAGGTGGTCTCAGATGGAGATAAGGAACTTGCTGGGAACTGGAGCAAAGGTATATCTTGCTATGTTTTAGCAAAGAGACTAGTGGCATTTTGCCCCTGCCCTAGAGATTTGTGGAATTTTGAACTTGAGAGAGATGATTTAGGGTATCTGGCAGAAGAAATTTCTAAGCAGCAAAGCATTCGAAATGTGACTTGGGTTCTGTTAAAAGCATTCCATTTTAAAAGGGAAACAGAGCATAAAAGTTCAGAAAATTTGCCGCCTGTCGATGCAGTAGAAAAGAAAACCTCATTTCTTGAGGAGAAATTCAAGCCGGCTGCAGAAATTTGCATAAGTAGCATGGAGCCTAATATTAATCCCCAAGACCATGGGAAAGATGTCTCCAGGCCATGTCAGCACAGGCTCTGAGGCCCAGGAGGAAAGAGTGGTTTCCTGGGCCGGGCCCAGGGTCCACATGCTGTGTGCAGCCTAGGGACTTGGTGCCCTGTGTCCCAGCCACTCCAGCCATGGATGAAAGGGGCCCACATAGAGCTCGGGCTGTGGCTTCAGAGGGTGGAAGCCCCAAGCCTTGGCAGCTTCCACCTGGTGTTGAGAATGCAGGTGCACAGAAGTCAAGAATTGAGGTTTGGAAACCTCCAACTAGATTTCAGAAGATGTGTGGAAACGCCTGGATGCCCAGGCAAAAGTTTGCTACAGGGGCAGGGGCCTCATGGAGAACCTCTGCTAGGGTAGTGCAGAAAGGAGATGTGGGGTCAGAGCCCCCATACAGAGTCTCTACTGGGGCACTGCCTATTGGAGCTGTGAGAAGAGGGCCATCATCCTCCAGACACCAGAATGGTAAATCCACCGAGAGCTTGCAATGTACACTTGGGAAAGCTGCAGACACTCAATGCCAGGCAGTGAAATCAGCCAGGAAGGAGGCTGTACCCTGCAAAGCCATAGGGGTGCAGCTGCCCAAGCCCATGGGAACCCACTTCTTGCATCATTGTGACCTGGATGTGAGACCTGGAGTCAAAGAAGATAATTTTGGAGCTTTAAAATTTGACTGCCTGGCTGGATTTCAGACTTGCATGGGCCCTGTAACTCCTTTGTTTTGGCCAATTTCTCCCATTTGGAATGGCTGAATTTACACAAAACCTATACCCGCATTGTATCTAGGAAGTAACTAGCTTGCTTTTGATTTTACAGGCTCATAGGCAGAAGAGACTTGCCTTGTCTCAGATGAGACTTTGGACTGTGCACCTTTGGGTTAATGCTGAAATGAGTTAAGACTTTGGGGGACTGTTGGGAAGGCATAATTAGTTTTGAAATGTGAAGGCATGAGATTTGGAGGGGCCAGGGGCAGAATGATATGGTTTGGCTATGTCCCCACCCAAATCTCAACTTGAATTGTATCTCCCAGAATTCCCACATGTTGTGGGAAGGACCCAGGACAAGGCAATTGAATCATGGGGGCTGGTCTTTCCTGTGCTATCTCATGAGAGTCAGTAAGTCTCACGAGATCTGATGGGTTTATCAGGGGTTTCTGCTTTTGCTTCTTCCTCATTCTTGTCCCGCCACTGCTGTATAACAAGTGCCTTTCACCTCCTGCCATGATTCTGAGGCCTCCCCAACCACGTGGAACTGTAAGCCTAATTAAACCTCGTTTTGTTGAAAAGGAACTAATACATCCTGTCTCAAAAAAAGAAAAAAAGTGTTCAAGTTTCTTGAATAGAAAAGTATAGTAATCCACTAATATTAAATAAATCTAATTTGGGAAGTGCCACTAAAATATTGGCATGATAGTCAATTCAGGACCCCAAAGCGATGTTTTACTAAGCAGATTTCGTTAGCTGGGAAGTAGCTGAGGCTGGAGAAGAACTCCATATTACCATGCCATGTGGAGTGTTGGCACATTGCAAATGAAAGATCTGGCTTAACAAGGACTTAGGAAGCCTGCCCTCTTATCCTAACACTGTCCCTGACAAATAGTGCCTTTCAGAAAGTTATTTAGTGTTTCTGGCCTTATCTACCCATCTAGAAGATAAGGAGTTTGGGCTACATTATCTCTAAGTCCCTTTGACCTCCCGTATTCCACAATCCCCAATCCTCTCTGTTCACACAACATAGGGACATGACAGGGATATTAATCAATTATAGTTACTGACCAAACAAGAAATCTCAAAACAGGTTTGAAGAAAGGCAATGTTAACCTGTTCTGAGTGTGTTCATAATAAAGAAATACACTCAGACTATCAGCTACCCTGACACATTGGCTTAAGAGATGTGTTACATCTGGGACTTGCTAACTGAAGTCAGCAAAGACTTTCTATTTCCTTGAAAAGACTTCCTGAAGTCATTTTTCACAAGGTTCCAACTTTCTAAGATGTTCTGCCATAAATGCTTTAGCTGTCAGCAGGCATGGAGCCTGCCAAGTTTGGCCTCCCCAGGACATTCCGCTGGTTCTCCCCTGCTCCAGGGAAGTTGAGCACCATGTATGTTCCCACCCTTTGGGAAATACAAGCCATTCTCTCTCCTCCTTTGTTCATACACTATGAGTATCGTGATCGGTCCCAGTGCTCTCGAGCAAAGCTTGGCTGGGCTAGGCACACTCTCCACATACTCTTGTCTGGAGACACAGGAAGTTGCTAAACCAACAACCCTGCTGACTATTGAAAAATCAATATGCACGAAATAGAAAACAGGTCTGTTATGATGAACAACAGAAGAAGAGGAGAAGTGAAGAATAATGACAGATGTCATTATTGGAGACGTTGCAATCACAGAGCATATGAAAACCAAGTCTTCCTCAGGTGCCCCTCAGAACATTTTTGGTCTGACCATTTACTCGTTCATACACACCCTTTCATGTGCTGTATTTTTCAGCATCATTACATTTTAAAGCCCCTGTTTTAAAGACAAATTTGTTAAACCAGTCAGAGCGAGAAACAATCAGCTGGCCCAAAAGATGAGAGAAGCCCAAACACATATTATTGATGGAACATGTGAAAGAATGGGGGAAAATTGAACTTTACGTGGCTGTAGAAGAAATTGAACAAAAGACCCAGTTGGCTTCTATATTGGAGAGATTATCATATATATTTCCTAGGGATTGATTACCAAGGCTAGCTTTGTTTCAATGCTGAGGATCCTGGTAAACAAAAACAAACATGCTGAAATTACTCTGCATCCCACTTGGTCTTAGGTAGAAGATATTTGCTTACCTTTTATTTTGTAATAGTAAATAAATAAATGGGAGACTGAGGCTATTTCTATCTGTGTCCCCAGTGCTAAGTGCAATATCTGGTAATGGCCATAGAGTAAATGAATGAATGAATGAATCAGGTACAAAAATTAGACATCTGTCAAGTGCAGTGACCCACGCCTGTAATCCCAACATTTTGGGAGGCCAAGGTGGGAGGGTTGATTGAGCTCAGGAGTTCAAGACCAGCTGGAGCAACATAGCAAGACCTTGTCTCTACTAAAAAATTAAAAAGATAGCCAGGTGTGGTGGTGCACACCTGTAGTCCTAGCTTCTTGGGAGGCTGAGGTGGGAGGATTGTTTGAGCCTGGGAGATTAAGGCTGCAGTGAGCTCGATCATGCCACTGCACTCCAGCCTGGGTGACAAGGGTGACCCTGTCTCAAAATAAAATAAAAAATAAGACTTCTAGCCCCATCGTTTTTTACACTCCAGCACATCATTTCCCCTCATGTTTTCATTTCTGACCTGCTGTTATAAGCAGATAATCACATTGGATGAAATAATACTAATGGTGAGATTTCTATGTGCAGAGTGCTCATGGCTCCATCACTCTTACCATGCGTTTGTTAGGCATCCTCCACGCATCTTCAGGAGTTCTATCTGCCTTTGAAGCCAATGACTTGCATGTGGAACATGGCTGCTGTCTGTAAACTACAGCCTCAGTATCACTGTGCTTGCCCTAATTGGGCTAAGCCGTGGACATCTAATCACTCGCAACATCTTGTGATTTACCCAAGCAAATGTCTCTGCTATGCAACACCTTGGGGTTTCCTCTAGTGCCGCTGTAATCAGAAACCACCAGACAAGATTATACACTCTTATCTCTTAGACAGGCAGCCATAGCTGTAGTTCTATCTGGCACTTACGTTTGCATGATGGTTAGTGGACACCGCGTCCATTTTACATACACAAGTCTAAGTTTTCCGCAGAAAGGGATAACTCCTCTTTCACATCTTTCAATGCTCCCTTGGCCCCAGCAGCAAATCATAGCACAGCATCTTTGTAAAACAGACACTCAACAAACACCTACTGAGTTGAAGAACGAGACAATGTTGCTAAACCCACACATTGTCCCTTCAAAATGGAATTTTAGCACTGACTTTGCCTTGCCTTAAGCCTGTTCCTTGGTGCTCTACAGGTCTGCAGAGCTATGTTTCAGAGAAGGTGCCATCTGCTACTGCGAATTTACAGTATCTTTCAGCAAATATGCAAAGTAAATAGGGAAAGCAGGAACAAAATTTCTCCAACTAAAAAACTGACACAGCACAAGTGTTCTCCGAAGAAATATTTTCCATTGATGTGCCCAGTCTTAGGTGGAATAATTCCAGGTACACCTTGTTTCACCCTGATGTCTACCTTCTGAAAGAAATCCATGTGAAAATATAGCTTTTCAACTGATCTCTGGTTTCCTGGAGTGATTCTACATTCCTTGATCATTCAGCTGAGTGAAATGGAGGAAATTCAGTTTGAATCTTAGCCACTCATTCCATGGGTCCATGGAGAAACTGCTAAGTTTCACATGCATAAATTTATTACATTATTAGCTAGTCTATGGACTGCTTAGGGAATATCAAGGATGCTTGTACACACATAAAGTACCTATAAAGTACATTTTGAAAATAATGCCATGTTCTGAAAATGAATCTCTCTCAATTAACTTTTCCAAACCACAGCTTCCTGGTGGCTTCAAATCAGTATTAGGTCAATGTCAAATACTGAATCTAAGATTTAAAAATTGACTAAGACTACCCTTCTCTCTGTGAATATATACTTGTGAATTTTCTACAGTGTCTAAGAGCATGTTCTCTGGAGTCAAGCCCACTGAATTCAAATACTTTTTCAACAACTTAATCCTAGTGAGTCCTTGGTAAAAGTTCTAAGTTCAAGCTTCCATGTCACGATCTGTGAAATGTTGATAGTAATAGTCCCAACCTCACTAAATTTTTGAGAAATTTGCACTGGGCAATTGCATGTAAAGCACTTAGCATATATTCAGTATAGTTAAGTCTGTACTTTTTAACAATTATTCTTATTAATAAAAACACACAATTTTAAGTACCTACACATGATTTTTATGATTTTTAGTAAAGCCTCCTATCCTAAATAATGGTTGTCTTAATCTAGCATCCTGTGACTTAGAGACATACCACTGTTTCTTAGATTTACAAAGTACTCAGAGGCCACAGGAAAGTACTTTCTATGTTTATCATTTATCTTTGCATTTTGGAGCTAATATTGGGTCCCCGAGATCTCCACAACACTCAACTATGTGGGAAGAAACCCAGATGGAAAAAATATTCCTGACCTATTGAAAGGTATGGTTCATTTGAACTTGGCCAGCAAATGATAGAGCTATCTGACCTATGACATCTGCCGAATTTCTGTCTCATCTCATATAATTCCTCTCATCCAGAAATAAGAGGCAACTTCAAGCACAGGTGCAGAAAATCATGTCAGTCTCAAAAACCTGAACTGACATGTTTGCATCTGCTTTCTTCCAGAGGAATCTTCTAGATAGTGGGGGCAGATGTCACTTGGGAACCTTTTGAAGATTATCTCAGACTCATTCTCCTTTTGAACACCTTGTTATCACCACAGAGAATCTCACAGTGTAAATGATTTCTAACAGCCTTTGTAGAAAATGACACAGTCTGTCCTGAGAGCTGTTCATGGAATTACTGTACCTTGTGAGTGGGGGTTGAGTTTGGTTGATACTTAAAAGCAGCAGAGGCTCAGGGTTCTCAGATTTGTACATTCAGTTCCTTGGAAGATAGTAAGAGACTTTTCTCATTTTTCCTTTTGCTTCTTTGGCTTCTCTTTTTTTGCCCTTTTTCCCAATTTCTTTTTTAAACAATCAAGAACACAAGTAATTGTCACCTTGGTATTTAAATTCAGAGATCTAGAAGGCTCTTTATTCTGGGAAACACGTAGGCTGAGCATTCCTGAAATGGAATCAACGAAACCTGTGCACTCCCAGGTGTGAAGAGGTAATTGCAGGTGCAAATCGGCAATGGCCTGAACAGCAGGCAAGTGAATGTAATAAGCAAGCTGCATCCAGACGCCTTGGTGCTGCTTTTTGGAACTCGTCTTTTTACTTGAATTCATTTGCATTACTTCAGCATAAGATGTACATAAAGAAACACTCTTTATATATTCCACCAGGCTCATCAGTCTATGACAGGAATTTTGCCTTCAGCTAGTCCAAGTAACTCATAGGTGTGTGTGTGTGTGTGTGTGTGTGTGTGTGTGTGTGTGTACCCGTGCCTTCAACAGCAAAGATGAGAGGTGGAACATATGGTATCAATGCTCTGGCTTGGATCTTTTAACATAAGGACTACTTGTTTGAAAACTCTGTCAAAATGCAAAAGCCTGAATGATTTCCAGAACTCTTGGGCCACACATGGATTTTAAAAGTGAAAGTCAAGAGGGTGTAGGGGAGGTGGAGTGAGCCTGACCCTGATGCCTTGCCTGGGCTGATGAGTATGGCGCTGCTCTCCACAGCATTTCCTCTGTCTTGCCTTTCTCCCACGCACCACGCTTCCTTCTCCTGCTTTTCTCCCTTTCTATTTTCTCAAAGAAAATTAGAAGGGATTAGCCCGGTTGACAAAGACAGAGAGGACAAAAAGGAATTGAGAAATTCTCCAATGTCCATTTTGTCTCCAGCTCAAAGTCTGAGCAAAGTCAAATGCTTCCTATAATGTTAAGGATAAAAACAATGGGGCTGTGTCCTATAATTCCAGCAATTTGGGAGCCTGAGGTGGAAGCATCTCTTAAAGCCAGGAGTTCAAGACCAGCCTGGGGAACATAGCAAAACCCTGTCTCTACAAAAAAACAAAAAAATTAACTGGGCATGGTGATGCATACCTGTAGTACCAACTACTTGGGAAGGTGAGACAGGAGGATCGCTTGAGCCCAGGAGGTCAAGGGTGCAGTGAGCTGTGATCACACCACTGCACTCCAGCCTAGGTGACAGAGCAAGACTCTGTTTCTTTAAAAAAACAAACAAGCAAACAAATAAATAAATAAATGAAAATAACAGGACGCTGTCCTTTCAACTGCAT
Source organism: Homo sapiens (assembly GCF_000001405.40). Classification (NCBI taxonomy): domain Eukaryota; kingdom Metazoa; phylum Chordata; class Mammalia; order Primates; family Hominidae; genus Homo; species Homo sapiens. The sequence continues at coordinate 55,167,012 of NC_000018.10, forward strand.
CTCAGAAGAATCTATCATAACCCCATGGACATAAGGAGTCTTGCTTCCCCTGGCCATAGCCTGCTAGAGGTTGGGGATACCATAATAAGCCTGGCAGCTATTTCTCACCAGAATTGGAAAGTACATCTTATGTCCAATAGATGACAGAAAAGAATTGCATCGGAACCCCATGCAAAGATGTTCTAAAAGGATATGTTAATTTCCTTTTGCTGCTATAACAAATTACCACCAATTTAATGACAAAACACACAGATGTATTATTGTTCAGATCTAGAAGTCAGAAGCCCAGCAGGGGGCTCACTGGATGAAATCAAGGTGTTGGCAGGGCTGTGTTCCTTCTGGAGGCTCTGGGGAAGAGCCTGTTTCCCTGCTTTTCCATCTTCTGGAGGTCACCTGCATCCTCGTGCGCATAGCCACTTCCTTCGTCTTCAAATATTTCTGACTGTGATCCTCTTCTGTCTCCCTCTTCTACTTTAAAGGATGCTTGTGACTATATTGTGCCCACCCAGATAATCCACAATAACCCCCCAACATAAGATCAGCTAATAAGCAAACAATTCTACGTACAAACTTAATACCTCTTTTCCATGTTTCCACAGCTTTTGAGAATTAGGATATGAATATCCACATATAAAACATATCCACAGCTACTGAGAATTAAGACATCACGAACATCTTTGGGGGAACTCTTTATTCTGATTACCACAAAAATAGAATAACTCAGAAATGCAAACTTACAGAAAATTGAGACATGCCAAAAAATATGGCCACGAAGCAGAGATAAGCCACAACCTAATATTTCAATATAAGCTAAAGAACATTAAGAAAACAATAGAAGCAATGAAAGAGACTTATAAATTAGAATTAGGAAAATATTAGAAATGATATGGCTAAGTGACAGTGAGACATTTTTTAAAATGCTAACAGAGCTCAAGAACAAATGAGAAAGAAAACAAAAAGCAAAGGAATAAAAAGGAAGTTTCAGAAATTAAAAGGCCTCCCTAGCCAGTGTTGCTAGAAAGAAAAGTTTAGCTTTGCCAGGGGATGCTAAGACAAAGGAAGCTGAAATCAGCCCATCATACGCACCCTACCTAATTAGCACACCTCTCCACCTGCTCCTTCATTACATTTCCCCGTCAAGAGCTCATCACAACCTGTTTGGGAGTGATATGGTTTGGCAGTGTCTTCACCCGAATCTCATCTTGAATTGTAGTCCCCATAATCTTCACATGTCATGGGAGGGAGCTGGTGGGGGACAAATGAATCATGGGGTCAGTTACCTCCATGCTGTTCTTATGATATGAGTGAGTTCTTATGAGATCTGATAGTTTCATAAGAGGCCTCCCCATCCTTCACTCTGCACTTCTCCTTCCTGCCATCATGTAAAGAAGGACATGTCTGCTTTCCCTTCTGCTATGATTGTAAGTTTCCCAAGGCCTCCCCACCCATGCTGAACTGTGAGTCAATTAAACCTCTTCCCTTTATAAATTACCCAGTCTCAGTTATATCTTTATTAGCAACATGAGAACAGTCTAATACAGAAAATTTGTAATTCAGAGAGTGGAGTGCTGCTGTAAAGATACCCGAAAATGTGGAAATGACTTTGTAACTGGATAACAGGCAGAGGTTGGAACAGTTTGGAGGGCTCAGAAGAAGATAGAAAAATGTGGGAAAGTTTGGAACTTTCTAGAGACTTGTTGAATGGCTTTGAGCAAAATGCTGATAGTAATATGGACAATAAAGTCCAGGTTGAGGTGGTCTCAGATGGAGATGAGGAACTTTTGGAAATTGGAGTAAAGGTCAGTCTTGCTATGTGAAGGGAATAGCAGCATTTTGTCCCTGCCCTAGAGATCTGTGGAACTTTGAACTTAAGAGAAATGATTTAGGGTATCTGGCAGAATAAATTTCTAAGTGATGATGTGTCCAAGAGCAAGCAGAGCATAAAAGTTTGGGAAATTTGCAGCCTGACAATACAATAGAAAAGAAAAACCCATTTTCTGGGGAGAAATTCAAGCTGGTTGTAGAAATTTGCATAAGTAGTGAGGAGCTGAATGTTAATCACCAAGATAATGGGGAAAACGTCTCCAGGGCATGTCAGGGACCTTCATAATAGCCCCTGTCATCACAGGCCGTGTGGCCTAGGAGGGAAAAATGGTTCCTTGTGGCCTAGGAGGGAAAAGTGGTTTCCTGGGCCAGGTCCTGGGACCCCTTGCTATGTGCAGCCTTGGAACTTTGTGCCCTGCAACCCAGCCACTCCATCTGTGGCTAAAAGGGGCCAATGTACAGCTCAGACCATCTCTTCAGAGGGTGAAAGCCCAAAGCTTTGGTAGCTTCCACATGGTGTTGGGCCTGTGGGTGCATGGAAGTCAATAATTGAGGTTTTGGGACCTCTGCCTAGATTTTAGAGGATAAATTGAAACACCTGTTTCCAAGTAGAGGCGGAGCCCTCATGGAGGACCTCTGCTAAGGCAGTGCAGCAGGGAAATGGGGGATCAGAGCCCCCACACAGAGTCCCCACTGGGGCACTGCCTAGTGGAGCTGTGAGAAGAGGGCCACCATCCTCCAGACCCCAGAATGGTAGATCCACCGACAGCTTGCACCATGTGCCTGGAAAAGCTGCAGACACTCAATGCCAACCTGTGGAAGCAGCCAGGAGGTGTGCTGTACCCTGCAAAGCCACAGAGGTGGAGCTGCCCAAGTTCATGGGTGCCCACTGCTTGCATCAGTGGTAACTGGATGTGAGACATAGAGTCAAAAAATATCGTTTGGGAACCTCAATGTTTAATGACATCCCTATAGGGTTTTGGACTTGCTTGGGGCCTGTAGCCCCTTTGCTTTGGCCAATTTCTCCCATTTGAAATGGATGTATTCACCCAAAGCCTGTACTTCCATTGTATCTAAGAGTAACTAACTTGCTTTTGACTTTACAGGCTCATAGGCAGAGGGGACTTGCCTTGTCTCAGATGAGACTTTGGACTTGAACTTTTGAGTTAATGCTGGAATGAGTTAAGAGTTTTGGGGACTTTTGGAAGGGCATGATTGTGTTTTGAAATGTGAGGACATGACATTTGGGAGAGGTCAGGGGCAGAATTGTATGGTTTTGCTCTGTGTCCTCACCCAAATCTCATCTTGAATTATATTTCCCATAATCCCCACATCTGGGTGGGAGAGAACCAGCGGGAGGTAATAGAATCATGGGGGCAGTTATCTCCATGCTGTTCTCGTGATAGTGAGTGAATACTCACAACATCTGATGGTTTTATAAGGGCTTTGCGCCCCAGTTCACTCTGCACTTTTCCTTCCTGCCATGATGTGAAGAAGGACATGTTTGCTTCCCCTTCTGCCATGGTTGTAAGTTTCCTGAGGCCTCCTCAACCATGCTGAACTGTGAGTCAATTAAACCTCTTTGCTTTATAAATTACCCAATCTCAGATATGTCTTTATTAGTAGCATAAGAACAGACTAATACAGTGAATAGGTAAGAAACTTGGGGAGGCAGGAGAAAGGGGTATGAATATTGTGTTCATTGCTCTCCTGGGGTAGCCCTGCTCTGTGCTGCCAGGGATGTCTGGTTAGTGGTTTCTCCCCCATGCACCTGTATCACTTTTAGCTTTGCTTTTCACAATCTGACATAGTGTTCTACTCACTCTTCTGCTATACCTTTGAGAAAAGAGGTATTTTCAGCCAAATGAGAAGAGAGATTTTGCCTCGCTCATCAGTGTGACTTCAGGAGCTAGTAGAATGTTCTGTACACATTACATTGCATGCACTGCACACACAACTACAAAACAAGTATTTAATGAAAGGGCATTATCAGCATATAAACTAGACTGGAAATCCAGCAGCTTGACAATAAACTGCATTTTAGGTACCCTGAGATCTGACCTCTGAGAACAGCAGTGACCACCTTGGAGCTGGCACTTCCTGGAATGCTTTGCTGCATTACACATTAAAGGTATATGCTCAGGGAGTAAAGGAAACAGAGCTTAATGAAAAATACCTCTATCGAGGCCAAGCCAAGAGATAGGTCAGGTCTATATCCATACAGCTAGTCTAAGGCTGAATCTCAGTTTCTCAGTGTACAACCAGCAACCAGTAGAAATAGGCTCCACCCCAAAGTGGCCCCAGGCTCTCAGCTTCCTGGCTCACTTTTCCACTCTCCGTGGATAGTATATGCCTGCCTAAAAATTTATAAAAGAGGTTAATAATGAAGCAGGGTACAGAGGTCACCTCTCAGGCTGCCCATATTTTACCTCATAGGTAGTTGCCTTCAACCATCTACTAGGATTTAGACTAAGGCATTACATTTTAAACTAAGAGGGAAAGCTCATCAGTCAAGAAAGCATTCATTGAGCACCTACTGTGTGCAAATCCCTGTTCTAGGCCAGAAGGGCAAGCAGAAATAAATCCTTAAATAGCAAGGTAAGATTGAGATGAGGAGGGCAAGGTAAGGCAGACATTTTTACTTAGTACTGTTTAGGCCAGGTCAACATTTTCTGGACAAAGAAATTGGCAAGTGCATTAGGAGATTTTTCAAATTCTAAAATTTGTATGTAATGGCTTCAATTTTAGGACTGTGTCCCACTGAAATAAATCAACAGATGAAGGTTTGTAAATAAAGATGGTCATTGCAGCATCATTTTATAATATTGAAAAATAGAGATTACCTAATCAAGTTGCACATTAAGAATAGGCAAAATTCTGGGAAATTCATATATAAAATATCTGTAGCATTTAAACCATAACTTTTTAAAAAAGCAAAATGGTATAGTAAAATCAAATGAAGAAAGCAAAAAACGTTTAAACACATTATAGTCTAAGTTTTGCTTTTAAATATATTTTGCAGAAAAAGCTATAATATGTTGAAATTATAATACTCATTATCTCAAAATTATGGAATCGTAGATAATATTCTCTTTCTCTCTCTCTCGCTCTCTCTCTCTCCTTTTTATCTGTTTTCTAAATTTTCCATGATGGGCATGAGTTGATTTTATAACCAAGGGGGAAAATGAAGGGATAATTGCCATGTTAAGATGATGACTAGAACTGCCTTACATTCTTTCACTCCTTTAATAGCTAGAGACATAAACAAAATTATTTTTAAAAACAACAAAAATATATCAACTGCAACAAAGCAATGAGTAACATAATGCCTTGAACTTCAAAACTGATGGCCTAAGAAAGAAACAGTATATTTGAGAGCAGGGATTCAGGAAGTTTGTCCTAATGTCACCCCCACTTCCCACCCCCAAAGTCGTATTATTTTAGGTTAAAAACCCTGAGAAATCTTGCTAATAGTCCTTCTGATTTAAAAAAATCATAGAGAAAGATACTGAATCATAGCCTAATCTTTCCCCACTTCTGACTAGTGGAAGGGGGAGGAGGGGACTAAAGAACTAAAGAAAAGGAAAGAGTGGGGTTGTCTGTCCCTGTGAGAAATGAAATTCCCTAGGACTCATGTTGAAATCAGAAAGAACTTAAAACCTGAGAACATTCCCTTGTGCGAGTGGGATGAACAACAAATTTAGGTAGAATAAACTTTTGTATGATATTTTAAGACTATCTCAGAGAAGAAAAGAAATTCAGGTATTTTTTAAAAACCGCCTGCCTCTACACTGCCATTTGCCCAAGCTACACAAATGTGAAAAGTAAGACATACCCAGCCCTCAGCTTGTGTCTTAGAAGGAAGGAGAGAGAAGAGAAGGGAAACAGAGTTAAGAAGTCAGTCATGCAATAATAGAATTAATAGAAGCTCGAGAGAGAGCTGCCCAAGCATGAGCAATATAGAGAAAAACAGCAAGTCAGTAATCTCCATCATATCTCCAGCATAAAAGCTACAAAAAGAATACATGATGAAAGTGTGCATAAAGATCACAATCTAGAAGAAGAGGCAAGTCAAAAATAATTAAATATCTTTGTAATTGCTTAGTAACAACTAAGACAATTTAATAGCAACACAAAATTGACAAAACAAGATCTCGAAGATAAGATGTTAAAGAGAACAATGAGAAGAAAAGACAGACTGTAGAACTAAGGAAATAAATTGAAGATTAAAAGAATACCATAATAGATACAGGAAATAAGAAATAGCAAGAAACTGAATATTACAGAAAAATCTACCAATAACATTAAAAAAGTTAAGATTAGAGGTATTGGATTATAAAATTACAGATGAACATGCATGAAAATAATTAGTATCTCTAAAGCATAAAAGCCAAAAACTAGAAGACAAGATACATTAATAGACACAATATAAGAAAATTGCCTTAACAAAGAGCATATATCATGTTACCAGAAAATCTGATAAGTAACATCCAGCACTACAATCTCTCCTAGTTAAGCTATTGAAAATCAAGAATAAAGAATGATTTCTTCGGGCATTCAGCTAGGAAAAGAAAATAACTTACAAGGGAAAAGTATCAGACTTACTTGGAGCTTCTGCAACAAATGCCAGGTGACAATGGCATAAAGGTCTTAGGCCAAGACTGACCCAAGAATACTGAAACTAGGTTATCGGTCATCCAATTTAACTGGAAACCAGAAAAGCTTTCAAAACTGAAACAAACCACAAGCCTTTCTCAAAAATAAATTTTATCTTCAGAACATTTACATTTTATAAAATTCAATTAAAATTAATTTTAATATTTTAAATAAACCATGACATCTCTATCATTACTTCATTTTAAATGTGTTTTATATTTCTATCTATATGTATTTATCAAAAAAACTGAAATCAGGTTTATTGATAAATATATAGCTAGAAGGATGGAAAAGAGGGAAAGAGAAGACACAAAGTATCAATATCAGAAATGAAAAAGGGAGTCATCACTACAGAGCCTACAGATATTACAAAAATAATAAGAGAATATTATAAACACCTACATGCCAATAAGTTAAACAACTTAGATGAAACAAGCAAATTCCTTAAACACAAAAACTACCAAATCTGATATAAAAAGAAATGTAATAATCAAATAGCCCTATATATATTAAGAAATTCAATTAATTATCTTAAAAATTTCTCCTAAAACAATCAGGACCAGATGGTTTCTCTGGTGAAATCAATCTGATAATTAAAGAAGTAATCAAACCAATCCTACCTAATATTTTTCAGAAAATAGAGAAGGAACACTTCCCATCTCATTTTATAAATTAACACTACCTTGATATGAAAACCCGATAAGATATTACAGGTGAACTTCAGAACAATATCCCTCACAAACACACATATATAAATTATTAATATTAGCAATTTTAAATCCAGTAATGTATAACAAGGATAATACATTATGATATTGATCCCAAGAATGCAAAGTTGTTTTAACATTCAAAAATCAATGTAATTTAATACATTAACATATTAGAGAAAAAATATGATCACTTCAATAGATCCAGGGAAATCACGTGACAAATTTAATACCCATTTATAATAAAAATGCTCAGCAAACTAGGAAGAAGAGAAAATATCCTAAATCTCATAAAGAACATCTATAAGAAACATAGAGCTAACAGCATACTTAGTAAAGACTCTATGTTTCTTCCCTAAGATTAAGAAAGGCAAAAAAATTTGTATTGACCACTTCTATTATTATTGCTTTGGAAGTCCTAGCTGGTTCAATAAGCCAAGGAAATGAAATAAAAAGCATACAGATTGGAGAAGAGCAAGTAAAATTGTTTTTATTTGTTGAAGATAATGAGGTGTATATAGAAAATCCCTTCAAATCCATTTTTAAAGTGACTAGCACTAATAAATGTATTTGGCAAGTTTGCATGACACAAAATCAATATACATGAATTAATTACATTTTATATGTCTACTTAATACTGACAATAATCAACTGGGAAGTAAAATTCTTAAAAGCTACTACTTACAGTATATCCCCAAAACATAGAATATTCAGGGTTACATTTAATAAAAAAAAATGTAAAACTGTACTAAAAACTATAAAATATGGCACTGAAAAAAAATTCTAAAACCTAAATAAACAGAGATTATACCATGTGTATTAATCCACTTTCACACTGCTCTAAGAAACTACATGAGACTGGATAATTTATGAAGAAAAGAAGTTTAATTGACTCACACGTCCATAGGCTTAACAGGAGGCATGACTAGGAGGCCTCAGGAAACTTACAGTCATGGCAGAAGGTGAAGCGGAAGCAAGGACCTACTTCACATGGTGGCAGGAGAGAGAAAGTGAAGGCGGAAGTACCACACATTTTTAAACCATCAGATCTCATGAGAACTTACTCACTATCACTACAACAGCAAGGGGGAAAGCCACTCCCATGACTCAATCACCCCTCACCAGGCCCATCCTCCAATTTAACATGAGATTTGGATGTGGACACATGTTAACGGATCAGAAGACATCATTTTAACACACTTTTTAGTTTTGAAATAACTTTAGATTTGCAGAAAAGTGGCAAGATTCGTAGAGAGAATTATCATATGTGCTTCACCTAGCTGCTCCTAATGTGAACATCTTACATGACTATAATAGACTTATCAAAACTAGATAAATCAACATAGATAGAATAGTAATTGTATCCATGTTGTATTACAACACTATTAACTACAATAGTACTACAATACTATTAATTAAAGTGTAAACTTCATTTGGATTTCACCAATATTTCCACTAATGTCCTTTTTCTGTTCCAGAATCCAATCAAGGATACCACATTGCATTTAGTAGTCATGTCTCCTTTGTCATCTCCAGTCCATGAAAGTTTCTATATTTTTGTTTTTCATGATCTTTTAAAAAATAATTTTCAGGTATTTGGCATAATATCCCTTAATTTGATTTTTCTAATGTTTTCTCTTGAGTAGATAGAGCTATGGATTTGAGAGAAGAATGTCACAAAGATGATGGGCCATTTTTATCACATCATATCAGTAATACCTCATGCCAACATGATTTACTACTGGTGATGTTAACCTAGATTATATGGTAAAATGACGTCTGGAACAATTGGATTTTCATATGTATATATCAGAGGAACCTTAAACATTACCTCATATCATGCACACAATTTAACTCAAAATGGATTATAAACCTAATAAAACTATAAAACTTTTAGATGAACACATAGAAGAAAATTTTTCCAAACTAAGGTAGGCAAAAAATTTCTTGGATGGGACACACACACTCACAGAGTGAGAGAGAGAGAGAAAAAATAAGTAGAAGAAAAAAATTGATGTTAGACTTCTTCAAAAAACTTCTACTCATCATATTCACCTGTAAAACAATAAAAAGGCAAGCCAAAGATGGAAAAAATACTTGCCCTACATATATTTAACAAAGGACTTCTAGAATAGAAAGGAAAAGAAACACCTTTTACCACTCAGTAAGAAGATTTTTTTAAATGTTTTAACAGAAGAAAGGTTTCAACAATCACTGCCAAAAGAAACTTTTTAAATGGCCAATAAGTACAGAACAGATGCTCAACATCATTAGTCATCACAAACTAAAAATGCAACTAGCTACTGCTACATACTCAATAAAGTAGCTAAATTTCAGAAGACTGACAATACTATGTGTTGACAAGGATGTGAATTACTAGGACCTCTCATGCACTTCAGGTGAAAAAGTAAAACAGTTTGGCAGTTTCTTAAAAAGTTAAACATATGCTTATTTTACAACTTATCAATTCACACCTAGGTCTTTACCCAAGGGAAATGAAAACACACATCATAGTAAGACTTGTTTAAGGATGTTTATAGCAGTTTTATTTATAATTGCCCCAAACTAGAAACAGCCCAAATCCATCAAAAGTTGGATAGATACAAACTACTAAGATAAAGCTACATAATAGAATTCTACTCAAGATAAATAGAAACAAACTCAAAAACCTGTTACTGAGCAAAAGAAGTCAGACAAAAAGAGCACATACTATATGATTCCAATGATATAAAATTGTAAAAATGACACATCTAATCTATAGTGACAGAAAGCCGAGCAGTGGACACCTGGGGTCTGGGTGAGAGAGTGGTGTTGACTACAAGAAGCATAAAAAACATTTTATAGTTATAGAAATGCAATATATATAAATGAAGATGAAGGTTACATAGGTTTGCATACTTGTCAAAACCCATCATAATCACACTTAAAATGACTGCAAATAAAGTTGAGTTTTACAAGTCTATTTGTTCCATAATACACATTTTAGAAACAAGAATTGGGTTTTTTTTCAACAAGACATCTCATATAATCACCTAATATTATTGGAACGTTGGAAATCAGCCATGTAAGCCAAGGCCTTGTATGTCTTGGGCATCAATGAGAGCAGATAGCACATCTCTGGTGCACATCTTTTATATCACGTCTAAGCCTTACTCTATAATTGAGTTTGCTGACCCATTTGTTCTCAGAATAGTCAACTCTACCAGCCATATCCCTGGATTGATTGAACACACCCTACTGTCGGAAAGTAACCTTGAAGTTGAGAAATGTGTTTCAATGTGATTTGGCGAAGCTATAACATAGAGAAAACATCCCCCTTTTTTCCCACTATACTTTCTATTATTAAAGTTATTTTTATGACAGACGAAACCAGGAAACAACTCCTTTTTTTCAACCTTCTCTGTCACCCTTGGCCTTCCAAAGTGTTGAGATTACAGGCGTGAGCCAATGCACCCAGTCCTTCCTCATTAATTTTAATAATGCAGATAATTTCATGGGGCGGTTGTTCCATAGTTTATTCATAGGTTGAAAAGCCAGAATGGTACTATGAAGAAAGAAATCTCAACCTATGAATAAACTATGGAAAAACCCAAGCACACAGGAAAAGATAAATTAATTCCTATACTTTTGAACACAGTAACTTGATCATAAACCTTAGTGGAATGTATGCTAGTGACAAGAAGATTTTCAAAAAATATAAAAATACTGAACCTTATTTAATAATTTGATTGTTGGTAATGATATCAAAAGAAGATTTCAAAACTATGTTCTATGTATTCTAAGTACAGTAGATAAGCACATATACTGATATGTTTGGGAACAGAGCTTCTGCCTATGGGAGAAGGGAGAGACAATATAAAATAAATAAAATAAAAATAATTTTAAAACCCTGTGGTATTTTTTTATATTGGAGGTAATTTAAATACACACACTCACAGACACACACACACACACACAAGTTCTGCTGACCGAAATTACCTGCAGGCAATGGACTTCAGTAGCAGTGAGACACTTAAAATTCAGATCTTGGTTCCTAATTACCATTCTTTATTAAAAGGATAAGGTATCAGTGGGAAAATGGCAGACAACAGGTCAGGGGTAGGAAAAGTACAAGGTCACCCCAGAAATCTGATGTTATAAATCAAAGACTGTCTCAAAATCAGATAGGACAGGTCAAAAACAGTCAAGATCCAACTTGAAGAAGCTCTCATTAACCAAATGTGTAAAAAATTGAGCATAAAAAGGGAATTGTGGTAAAAAGTTATAGCATCTTGAATAAAGAAAAGAGTTACAGATTTATAATGATGCTATAAAAGGGATTGAAATAGCAGCTAAAAATGCAATGCAGTCAATGGAATAATTAAGTCTGCCAGGGATCATTGGTGGTTACCGAAAGCATCAGATGAAAAGCTATAGGAGAACGGGTTATACAAATAATTTCAAAATATGACCCCAGAGTTGAATTATTATTTCCAAAGTGGAAGAAGTGCCTTTTCAATGGAAAAATCAGGTAAATACCACCATAATCAAGTATTCAAATTTAGCATCACTGATTACGGGACAAACTGGGATGAGGTGCCGCCTTAAGGGAGGCAGTGGGAGTTACACAACAACCCTCACGTAGTTCTCCTGTCCAATTTGCTTGACTTGTATCTAACCATAAATGCTGGGAGATATCCTACCAAAAAAGAAGGGGGTCCTGGGATCTTCAAATATCTTCATTTCATGAATATTAAAGGAGTTAAAAAATCATGACAACTAAATGTAATGTGTGATTCTAGATGGGATCAAAAATAAAACCATATTAAAAATTATTGCAAAAATGAATGTTTGACTATGAACTATATTTAATGTTGTTATTACATCAATATTCCAATTCTTGGTTTGATAATGACATTTTTGTTTTGTAAGAAAATACTGAAGCATTTACAGGTAGACAATCAGGATTTCAGGGAAAGTTTCTTGGTGTGTTGGTATGACTCTTGGATTAGTAAATCAGATGGAAGAAGCTATCCTGGAAAATGTATAAAATGTGTGTCATGAATGCTACACCACAGAGTATCTAATTATCTGGAGAGATACCAGTGAAATAAAGAAGGCTTCTGCTCTTGATAAACTAACCAAAAAGGAAATGACAAGCAAACTAATGTACAAGAGCGTAAAAGGAAACACAAACATCATCAATGAGCGTTATTACACCCTTCTTTTACCCATTACTGTGCTAAATTCTTAAAAGTATAAAGCATGGAGAGTGACTGTGAAGAGTTTAAAAGTCCAGTTGGCAAGACATAACTTTTATGTACACATGAAACAATTTAAAAGCGATGCAAGACGCCATGTTCTGAAATGCCAAATTCTGTGGTTTGAACTAAAAATGTAATAGGAATTTTTGGAAGGAAGAGATCAATGTCAGATGAAGTTGCTGGCAATCGGGGCTTGTGACACATTAAAGCGAGTACAGAACTTGATTTTAGTGCAAGAGCTACCCACATGTGTGCCGAGGAAATTCACTAATGGAGAGTGTGTGATTAAATCCAGATTTCATTCATCAGAAGATCTTCTACAGAAGGAGAATTTTAAGCAAAATTTGAAGGAGAGATGGAAATTATAGGAATTGCTAAATATATGTTAGAGAGGAAGTAACCTCAGGGATCACCTTTTCAGTTTTATATTTTTATGACAAAAAAAACCTCAGGTCCAGAGGAAGTCTATAGTTTGTAAGAGAGAAAGGGGAGATTGTGTCAAGGGCAGGAAATCAGATGGGGAATACAGAGACCTGTTAAACTTTGGCAAAACATTCAGCATTTCTAAACCTTTTGGTATGTGGCATTTTTCCAACACAACAACACAACTTTGGCAAAACATTCAGCAACTCTCTATCTTTGGGCTGTCTTCCATAAGGATAATGTGTCTAATCCCCTTCCTTTGAATCTGGGCTCCCCTATGGACTTGCTTGATCAACTGACTGCAGTAGAAATGACATTGTTGAACTTCTGAAGCTAGGTCATTGAAAGACTCATCCTTGGAACCCTAAGCTTTCATGTAAAAAGTCCAACTGCTCAGAGGCCACCATGCTGTGAGAAGATCAAGCTCCACTGTGGGGTCTTGGAGGATAAGAAGCATTACAGGAAGAAAGAGAAAAGCCAAGGATCCCCAAGGCACCAGACAAATGACTGAGGAAGCCATTTTGGAAGTGGCTTCTTTAGGCACTGCCACAACTGATGTTATGTGGATTGGAGTTGAACCATCAATCCAAATCCATCCTGAATCCCTGTCCTACATCTCTGAATAAAATAAAATGGTTCCTTTGAACAACTAAGCTTTGGGAAAGTTGGCTATAAAGCAACAGATAATCAAAAAGCTCATTTCTAGTGTTCCTTACAACTCTACATTTCTTTGCTTTTATATATTTCCACAAGAAAAAAAAATGTGTGCAAATGCTTGGTTAAATGTTAAGCAAATAGAGGGTAACAAGTTGGTTGGGCAGGATAGTAGTTTGTAGCAGAAATAATGGGAAGTGTGTGGAAAAGAAGGAGATGCCAAAACTTATACCACACTTTCGAAGGATATGGGACCTTATTTCTCATCAGCAAAAATATCCTTACTTCCCTTCCATCCATGTAATTGACAGTCCCTTCTGGGTCTAATTTTCCTTTTTCAGAATAACTGAATAATGACATTTGTTCTCCCTACCTCAAAGAGTAGTTGTGATAGCATAATATACCTGTCATCAATGCTCAATAATTTCTAGCTTTCTACTTTCCAGGCATATGGGTGAGTTTGCACCCCCTGTCCCTTTATGATGAGTAGGGTCATGTGATTAGTTATAACCAAGGAGTTGTGAGCAGAACTAACCGGGACCACATCCAAGCCAGAGCATTGAATTATCAGTTCTGGACCTCCCAGAGCTCTCTTTCCCTCTGGCACATTATCCAATAATCAAGATAGTGCTGGCTCCATCATCCTGGATTCCTGAGTAAATCTGATGTTTGCAGAGCTCTGCCAACTTATAATGGACATGTAACGGGAATGAGAAATAGACATTTGTTAATTTCAGTCATAGAGATTTTTGAGATTGCCTGTTACTGCAACATAATACAGGCTTTTCTGACTGATGCACCAAAGGAGATTGAAAATGTTCAGGGAAATAGCAAGCAATACAAAGTGTGAGATACTGTTGTTACAAAGGATAGGCTTTAGCAGGGAAGCAACCCAAGTGATCCATGCACTTGTCTGTTACAAGATTTTGTAACTCCACCATATTTAACAAGTCATCCAGTTTTTCTGAGTCTAATTTCTCTGTGTAGATGATGATGATGATGAAGATGATAATGATGATAATGATGATGACAATAGCAAAAGTATCCACTATTTGTTGAAAGCCTATTGTGTGACTAGAAATCATTGTATATATGATTTCTAGCAGAGCATATCTGCAGAATGGGGATAACCATCCCTGTCTTTACAGATGTAGAAACTGAGGCTAAAGAGAGTCAATATGATGTTCTTTTTCTTTCCAATTTTTAAAATTTCTAGCTAGGAAAGGAAGTCCAGTGCTGTGGTAAAGAAAAGTGAGGGTCTTCTCTATTAAATTCATATAGAATGTGGCAAAAGTTCTGAACACATTATATGCTTGCTTTCACTGGGCTTTTAAAACCAGCCAACACAGCTCTGTGTCCAAATCATCTGGTGCCCATGTGTGTCAATGTGCGTGATTCCCTGTGTCCTCTGAGGATGGCACAAATATTAGTTGCTTAATATGAAAGAGGCAGGAGCTGGGAATAATAATCCTCAGTTCCAAGCTGGCTTGACTTCACCTTCATGGGCCCCAGCACAGTGCCACCCAGGGCCTCTTGGAGCTTTAAAATCATCAACGGAGGCTTTGGCCTCACTCAGGAAATATGGGGGATGGCATCGAGGCTGCAACACCAACCTGATTAAGTACATATGGTAAACTTGAACAAGGAAGACATTCAAAATATCGTTGGCCCCACCCCAAATTTGGGTGGCCCTAAACACCAAACTCAGCCTGGAACTTGCGTTTGTATGCACAGGTCTTAAGTTAGGGTATGTCAAATTCATTTCAGAGTGTTTCAGGCCGGTCTAGGACATGAAGACATTTGAAAAAGTTTGGGGAGAGGACAAGAGAGGCTCATACTGATGGTTCCTGATGGAATGGCATGGATCTGAACAAAACTTCGCTGGCTTATTCTGTCGCCCTCTCCCTGAGACCCCAGCACAAGCATTTCTTCTTCCTTGATAATCAACTCCCTGCCCCTGCATCTTCTGTCAAGTCTCACCCTAAGTTTCAAATGTCTTCCTCCCCTTCGTCCTTTCTCCTATGCCTCTGAAATCCCTTGTTCTACTCTAAGACATCACAAGGAAATAAAGTCTCCCTGTCCATATGCCTGGTCTGAGTTCAGAACTTCTGTGTTTCCATTTCAGGTCTTCCTTCCCACAGTCATTCTCCAGAGTACATCGTCATCACATCCCATAACTTACTTTGGCTTCCTGAACATAAACAGACATGTTGCTCATTTACTCATTTAATTAACATTAATTTATTGGCCACCTAATGTGCAAGGCACTGAGCTTGGCATTGGGCATAGCCGTGAATTATGGATACACCATCCTTGTCTTTATGGAGCTTACATTCTAGCAATGCCCTATTTTCCTCATCTTCTCCAAACCCTCCCACTCTCCATTCCCCAAGTAATCCTCCCTTTAGTTAGGTGTCAGCCTTTCCTGGGGGAAATCCTATAAACCTCCATCAGTTTCTCTTAGCTCATATCTTCTCTTTTAAAAAAGAACCATATCCATTGAGTGTATTATATACATAGTATGAAATACACAGGCAAAAACTTCACAGGCAACGCAGAAGGGGAGGAGAGAATTAGACTCCAAACAAGGAGCCCAAACTTCTAATCAGTCAGAATCTCTCTCTCTCTCTCTCTCTCTCTCTCTCTCTCTCTCTGCCAGGCACTATTTTAAGTGCTAAGGATACAAACAAGAAGATAAGGCACTTGTTCTCAAAGAGCTTAAGTCCTCATAAGGGGTCTGTTAGATTGATTGTGGCTTCAATTTTTTACACTACTTTCACCTGTGCCCTTTGGTAGTGCCCTTTTACACTGACTCTGAGTTTGGTCTTGGGATTTGTCTTAGCTCTTAGGCTGTGGCAGAGGTAGTAGTGACAGTTTGACAGTTCTGAGTCTAACCTTCAAAAGGCCTTACACACTTCTATGCCATCTCTCAGATTCTGTCACTGTCATTTAAAAAAGCCCATGGTGGCCTACTGGAGGATGACAGAAAACATAGTGGAGAGGCAAAGTACCCCAGAGGAGAGCTAGAAAACCTTCTGAATTGACAGACGAGTGAGCTCAGACACAACACGAAGAAATACTCTGATAAACCACAGACTTATGAATAAGAAGCAATATATTATAAGAAATGCATACTGTTGTAAGCCATTGAGCACTGGGGTAATTTGTTATATAGCAATAGCTAGCTGGTACAAGGAGGAAACAAACAAAAATCATGTAAACAAGTTAATAAGTCATATATATTCCAGTATAAGATAAAAATGAAGGCAAATTTTTTAAAAATTGTATAAATGGCCAGGCATAGTGGCTCATGTTTGTAATCCCAGCCAGCACTTTGGAAGGCTATAATGGGAGGATTGCTTGTGGCCAGGAGTTTAAGACCAGCCTGTGAAACATAGTGAGACCCCATGTCTACAAAGAATAAAAATTTTTAAAATTATCTGGGCATGGTGGCACACACCTATAGTCCCAGCTACCTGGGAGGCTGAGGTGGGAGGATCACTTTAGCCCAGGAGTTCAAGGTTGCAGTGAGCTATGACTGTGCCACTGCACTCCAGTCTAGGCAACAGACTGAGACTGTATCTCAAAATATATATATATAGTATTATATATATATAGTATAATAGTAAAATATATATACCATATTATATATAGTATAATAGTAAAATATATATACTATATTATATATAGTATAATAGTAAAATATATATAGTATATTGTGTGTGTGTGTGTGTGTGTGTGTATATACATATATGTATATGATAAAGTGATGGAGAATGATTGCCAGGGGCTATGAAGAAGTAGTAACTTAATTAGGATGGTCAGAGAAAGCCTTATTGAGGAAATGGCATTTATGTTGAGATTTAACTGATAAGAAGGAGACAATCATGTCACTGTTTGAAGGGAATTCATTTCAAAAAGAAGGGACAATGAGATGGGTAGATATCCTAGTTGGGAAGTTGAGTAGGCATCTGAAGCTCAGGGGAGAGAACCAGGCTGGAGACATAAATGTGGAGTCATAGGACAAGCTGGGACCACCTGGAAATAAATTGCTGATAGTGAGGAAAAAAGTCTGAAGAAAATGCCCTGGGGGCATTCCAGCATTTGGAGGCTTGGGGGAAGAAGAGGAGCTGGCAAAGTGATTGAGAGTAACAAGTTCATGAAATAAGAAGAAAAATTTAAGTGCAAGCTGCCAAAGAAAAAAGCTTCAGAAAGGAAACGGTGGCCATTCATGTCAATTGCCATCGAGAATTCAGATAGTATGAGGATGGAGAGTAGGCTTTTCAAGATGTAGGTGACCTAAATAAGTGATAGCAATTGCTGGGGATTGTTAGAGACAAAAAGCCCTATTAAATTAGTCGATGAAAGAGAGGTAAGGAAGTAGGGCAGAAGTTTTGGGAGGATCATAGGAGGATTTGGAAGATAGTCAGATAGTCATATTTATGGGGTTATTTAAAAAGGGGATCATCAGATACTTAATCATGTGGTGATGAATAATAAAGTTGATGAAGGAGTCTGACGATATGAGTTATATTGAGACTGTTCCTGGACAACTGAAAACTGAAAGAACAGGAAAGTGAAGCTTTAGAGCATCTAGCTTTGCCTGCACCTGGAGATGTGATATGGTTTGGCTGTGTTCCCACCCAAATCTCATCTTGAGTTGTAGCTCCCGTAATCTCCACATGTCATGGGAGGGACCAGGTGGGAGGTGATTGAATCAAGGGGGCGGGGTTTCCCCATGCTGTTCTTATGATAGTGAATAAGTCTCACAAGATCTGATGGTTTTATAAACGGCAGTTCCCCTGCACACACTCTCCTGCCTGCTGCCAAGTAAGACGTGCCTTTGCTCTTCCTTTGCCTTCCACCATAATTGTGAGGCATCCCCAGCCATGTGGAACTGTGAGTCCATTAAACCCCTTTTTCTTTCAAAATTGCCTAGTCTCAGGTATTTCTTCATAGCAGTATGAAAATGGATTAATACAAGATGTTATGGCAGCAGGTAGCTTGCTGAAATTAAAGGCCCTAGTACAGCCCGTCACACCCTTAAGGGAAAGGGCTGACTCATGAGTCAGTGCTGCAGATGAAGACTTTGAGGTGGTTGGTGGCATCACTGCTGAACTATCTCATTACCCAGCCATGTGGCTTTCAATAAATCCTTAAATCTTCTCCCTCTATAAAATGGGATATTAATATTTTTTCTCCAATGGCCAGTATTCTTTAAGCTGCAAGGGAAGAAAAAATCTCTAATTGGTTTGGGCAAGGAGAAAATTTATTGGCTCAAGTAAAGTTCAGGGGTAGCTCTGATTTATAAGGGGATCTCAAAAGATATGACAAGTCTCTCTCTCTCTCTCTCTCTCCATCTCAACCTCTCTCTTTTTCTGATACAGAAAAATTATTATATACAGAAGAATTATATTATGCATTATTGTATGTGTATACATATATAATCTTTTGCATTTAATAACTTTATTCTTGAAATAATTTTCTCTATTGGGGTTCAGAGCAGCTCTAACATAAGTTATCCTTACAGTTAGTATTGCCAGAGGAAAAAGAGATTTTCTTTCCCAATGATGCCAATTCAACTTCTGGGGTTGAATATTATTGGCTGGTTTGGAACATGTCTAACCTTGATTTATACACAATGTTTAGGAGGATAGACTATACTGATTGGCTAGACGTAATTCCTGTGTTCACACTTTACTGTTTTTTTTTTCTTTTTTTAATTGTCGGATTGTTTATAAGCATGCTCGGAATGACCCAGGGTCTGGATTTTGAAATCAGTTGGCCTTGAAATCAGAGTGTTCTTTCTCTGTCCAGACTGAAGGCTGATTGGAAACCTGTGTTTCACACATTCAATAAATTATAGCAGAAAGAATTCTGTGTTATTTGCCAAATGTTTTCATGAGAGAGTTTTATCTAATTAACTCAATATCATAAAACTGTTAAGTAATTTATGTGTGTTTTAATTTTACAGCCTGAGTAACATATCTGTGGGAGAACATAACAGATCAATGGCTTGCAGACTCGTGCAAAGAAGACGTGAGGGAAAAAATATTTGCTTAAAAGACTATGGATTAGCCCCTGTCTTAAGCTTTTCCTTCTGTTTATCCTGCCCTAGATAGAAAAATTCTCAGTCCTACCCTCTGGCAAATTCATAGATCATCTTTTAGAAGCCAGGAAGAGGACCAGCCACTAAAGCTATTTGGAACATGTCTACCACAGTGCCCCAACCCCAAAAGGTCAACCCAGCTTACTGGCAATGACTGGCTGGTTGATGGAAAATAACAAGAACAGAGTCATTCTGACCTATTTCATCTGACTAAATCCTTTGGTCTTCTCTGAACTTCAGGCTTGGGCTAATTTACAGTGTGATGAGAAGAATCAGAAGACACACCTGGGAATGGGTGACAGTAGGTCCAAACAGGACAGAAGGGACCAGAATTGGAAATCCCAGTGCTGTGTCTGTGGGAGTGCTTCAGGCAGAGGGTAGGAGAAAAGCAAGTAAGGGATACAATCACTGGAGCAATCACTGTATTCCAGGTACTGTGTGAGGTGCTAAGAATTGCCTGATTCCTGCCTTCAAGAAGCTGAGAAGGGATGGATAAGAATGATGTGGCAAGGAGACCAAAGGCAAATCGGAAAGCATGCTTAGATGTCCACGGGAGCACTTAGAAGAGCACCTAATCAGATCAGAAGGCTATATGGAGGGAGAAATGTGCTTCAAGGCTATGCTGAGATCAAAAGCGGTGGGGAGAGATGCCGGGCAGATGGCACAGCTTGAAGGGAAGCATGGTGCCATGAAACAGCTAAATGCACTCAGGCAACAGTCGTTAATTAGAATGGCTTGAGAGCTTTCTTCATTCATCCTCAGTGTTCCCAAACCTACTAAAAATCCCCTAAAACCGGGTCAATGCTTGTATAGTTTTAAAAGTGTGTGATAGATAACTGTCATGCAAAGTCCTCACTAAGAACATTTGCTTAAGTAAGCTGCAGTGTTGACTGGAGCAAGAAAGTGGCTGCAGACATGGTCTGAGATGAGAGTCGAGAAATCTCGGCAATGGCTTTGTGTGCTCCCCTAAATAATTTGAACTTCATCCTAAAAGCAATGAAGAAGCATGAAAGGATTTTAATTAAAACATCCTGGGATCAGATACACATTTCACAAAGATTGCTCTGGCAGCCTGGGGAAGAATGGGTGTGATTGTGAGAATTGAAAAGGAACAAAGAAAAGGAGTCACAGAGTTCTGGAAGGTCATTTCAGTGAGGCAGGCAGGAGGTTGTGAGGAGAGCCAGAAAGAAATGGCATCAATGGGACTTAGCCCTTCCTTGGATGTAAATGGAGAAAGAGAATCTAGAATGACTTCGATAACTAGGTTGCAATGGAGAAGAAACAGTTTAGGTGGATATATGACTTCCCCGTGCTGCTGGTAACAAGTTACTATATACTTACTGGCTACTACCATCAACAACACAAATGTTATTTATGTTCTTGAGGTCAGGAGTCCAAAATGGGTCATTTCAGTGGCAAGGAGAAGAACAGACATCTGCAAAGGGCACTGACAAGAAATAGCCACACTTAGGAAGAAACCCAAAAACTGAGGGAAGGAAGAGGGGCAACCATTAGGAGGAAAAAGGAATGACATCAGTATCAAATATCAGATAGGTCAAGTGAGGCAGTAGCAGAAATGCACCTGTGGGCTAACAGCAACTCAGAAGCCATGGGCGACCTAAAGAGAATTAGGAGAGGAAACCAGATTGCACGAGGGTAGCAGATAAAAGAGCCGTGAGCAAGGTACCTAGAGACAGAAATAAACATAGCCGATTCCTCCATAAAATTTTCCATGAAATATTTTAAACATGAGAAAAGTATAGAAAATAATTTAAAAGTACCTACTTACTGGCTTTTTCAAAGCTTAACATTTTGCTAGATTTGTTTCAGATGTTTTAAAAACAACCGAAACACTACAGATGCAGTTGAAACCTCCTATATGACTTTCTTTTATCCTATTCTCCTTTCTCCTCACTCCCGTGCAGCCACCATCTTGAGAGTTTGATATTGATCATTTTGTGCATGATTATGAAACTACATATATGCATAAGAATATATATAATATTGTTTTGAATATTTTCAAATTTTATATAAGTGGTGTCAATGTGTATATCATTGGGCAAGTTGTTATTAATTCAGTATCACATTTTTGAAATGTAATTATTGAGATATATATCACTAGTGCTCTCATTTTAATTGCTATATAGTATTCTATTATCACTATAATACAATTAGGAGTTCAAGACCAGCCTGGGCAACATAGGTAGACCCTGTCTCTACAGAAACTTTTTAGAAATTAGCTAGTCATGGTGGCACGTGCCTGTAGTCCCAGCTACTCAGGAAACTGAGGCAGGAGGCTTGCTTGAGCCTTGGAGTTCGAGGCAGCAGTGAACTGTGTTCATGCCATTGCACTCCAGACTGGGTGACAGAAAAAAAAAAAATTCTTTTTTTAATCCAAACAATTTCTGTAGGTTGATCTCATAACACACAAACTTGCAGAACTGTCTTAACAGTTGAACTCTCTTAACAGTTGAATGGCATATAAAATCTCTCAGATTTTATATGTAGAATATTGTATCATCTGGAACAAAATAAAATCCTTGTTCTATTCAAATCTTCACTACCAAATGCTATGCTTATTTCTTTTGTTTGTTTTGTTTCTTTCATTGCATTGTCTAAGACCTTTGTCACATTATTAAGCTGAAGAAGTGACAATGCCCTGTCCCTGACATTTATGGGTGTGCCTCTGAAATTTCACCATAAGGGCCACTTATCCAGCTATTGTTTTGATAGATACAACTTACTCTGGAAGTACTGAGAATTTTGCTCAAATCAAGCAACATATGCTAAATACATTGTATTTTTTTTTTGCATCTGAGAGTATAATTATCCCTTCAATCTCCAAATTATGTGCATTACATTAATACTTTTTTTTTTTTTTTTGAGACGGAGTCTCGCTCTGTCGCCCAGGCTGGAGTGCAGTGGTGCAATCTCGGCTCACCGCAACCTCTGCCTCCCGGGTTCAGGCCATTCTCCTGCCTCAGCCTCCTGAGTAAGTGGGACTACAGGCGCCTGCCACCACGCCCAGCTAATTTTTTGTATTTTTAGTAGAGACGGGGTTTCACCGTGTTAGCCAAGATGGTCCCAATCTCCTGACCTCATGATCCACCTGTCTCGGCCTCCCAGAGTGCTAGGACTACAGGCGTGAGCCACCATGCCTGGCCTACATTTTTTAACATATCCAAACATCCTTGCACTTCAGAGATAAACTCTACTTGGTTGTGATGTATTTTTAAAAATACTTTCAAATTTATTTTGTATCACTCTATTTAAGATATTGTTACCCCCACCTCCCCACAGAAACTGGGATTCATTTGCCTGCCAAGTAACAAACAACTCTCCATGAGAATGCAGGTTTTGATCAAGAGGCATTTTATTGCGGTATTCTCTAAAGCAAGTGTCCCCTCCAGGGAGAGTGACAGGAGGGTTTTATGGGATGATGGAGAGGGGAGAGGGTGTGTCTTCACATGTAGGGGAGGAATCCCATTGGTGCAGATGCAGTGAGTCTTCATGGCAGCCCAAAGGTGGCATGTTATGGTAATGAGAATATAGCTCCTCCCAGGGTGGAGACTTCAGTATAGTAATTAGGAAAAGTTCACTGGGGTTCATCTGTAAATTGCTGGCATCTGTCAGGAGCTGGTTCCAGCAGACTAGGTGGCTGCATTCCACACAGGGTTTAGGAAAAGCCGGGCTGCATAGCAAGAGGCCGTAAAACAGGCTGATTGCTCAAGTTGATTAAATTCCTATAGTCCCTGGAAACCCTCCCTGCCTGCTTACAATAGTTTCTTCTAATTTTTTAATGAGTGTCCTATAACGGTCTTTTCCATTTTGGTGATAAGGTGATATTAGCCTCATAAAATGAATAGGGTTGTCATGCCCTCCTTTTTTCTAATTGAGTAGCTGCCTCTTAAACTATGTATAATCTGGAGTTTAATTTCTTTTGTTGAGGTGTTTTTTAAAAATTTCATTTTAGATGTTTTTAATTTCCAATATCTCATGCTTTTTTTATATCCAGCTATTTTTGTTTCATTTTCACTTGTTTTAGTTTCATAATTTTTATTTTTGTTTTAATAGATGTTAATGCTTTTGGATCTTGTGTGTGTGTGTGTGTGTGTGTGTGTGTGTGTGAGAGAGAGAGAGAGAGAGAGAGAGAGAGAGAAACAGAGAGAGACAGTGTCTTTCCCCAGTTGCCCAGGCTGGAGTGCAGTGGCACGATCACGGTTCACGGCAGCCTCAACTTCCCAGGCTTAGGTGATTTGCCTCCCATGTAGCTGGGACCACAGGCACACGCCCCCATGCCCAGCTAATTTTTGTATTTTTTGTAGAGATGGGGTTTCTCCATGTTGCCCAGACTAGTCTCAAACTCCTCTGCTCAAACGATCCGCCCATCTTGGCCTCCAAAGTGCTGGGATTACAGGCATGAGCCACCATGTCTGGCCTGTATCTTTTTATTTTAATTTCATCTGATGTGAATTCTGGATCAACCTGATTTTAGTTCTTTATTGTTTTATAGTTTTGGTGTGCAGAATCATTCTGAGTGAGAGGTGTGTGTATGATTCTCTCTTATGTTGCCTCTTTATCTTTCTACGTTGCTTTCACCTGGACCCCAGGTTCAGAGTCAGACTTAGACACTATAATGACATTTCATGAGATGTCTCCTATCTTGCTTCAAGCAGCAAGACTGACTCTGCCCCGCATCGAGCCCCTTGCATCCCCACTATCCCTCTCAGAAGTCAAACTCCCTGCTGTTGTTACCTGCTTCTAGAACCCAGGACAGAGCAGAACTGTGGCTTCAGCCCCGCTCTTACCACTTAATGTCTCTGTTCTTTCTGATCCATGGAGAATTTTATTCTGTTCTGAACCCTAGTAATAGTTTTAACTTTGCATTTAATATTTTATTTATCATTATTATATTTTGAGCTGAGAGGCTACATCAAATTATGAACTTCCTGCGATGCTTTGAGCGGAAGTCAACAATCACTTTTCAAGAACCACAAAGGGAAGAGAATTGAGATGCAGTAAATTGAAAGGGATGAGCGGGTGGGCTTTTGTATGTTTGTTGTTTTTTGTTTGTTTGTTTGTTGTTTTTTGTTTTTTAGTGGGGAAAACTTTGCTAGCACATATATTAAAATGGTGAAGAATTGAACATGCTGTAAACTGAGCAGCTTCTTAGACTTTAATGCATATGAATCACCGGAAAGTTCTTGTTAAAATGTCGACTCTGATTTAGAAGGTCAGGGATAGGTCTTGAGATTAGATATTTTTTTCTTTTTTCTTTCTTTTTATTTTTTAAGAGTTGGCATCTAGTTCTGTCGCCCAGACTAGAGTCCAATGATGCAATCACAGCTCACTGACCTCAAGCGACCCTCCCCTCTCAGCCTCCCAAGTCCCTGGGATTGCAGAGTGAGCCAGCCATCACACCTGGCAGATTAGACACTTCCTCTATTTTTTATTTTATGTATTTATCTATGTATTTTTTGAGACAGAGTCTCGCTTGTCGCCCAGGCTACTTTGCAGTGGCACTATCTCGGCTCACTGCAACCTCCACCTCCTAGGTTCAAGTGATTCTCCTCCCTCAGCCTCTCGAGTAGCTGGGAGTAGAAGGGCCCACCACCATGCCTGGCTAATTTTTGTATTTTTAGTAGACACGGGTTTCACCATGTTGGCCAGGCTGGTCTCAAACTCCTGACCTCAAATGATCCACCCACCTTAGCCTCCCAAAGTGCTGGGATTACAGGTGTGAGCCACCGTGCCCAGCCAGATTCAACATTTTCAACAAGCTCTCAAGTGACACTGATGCCACTGCTCCCTGCACCTCACTTTGGATAACAAGGGCTTAGAGCAAAGATCAAGTAGAAAGAGAAAGGCTGGAGATACTTAGAGCAAAGATCAAGTAGAAAGAGAAAGGCTGGAGATACAGGGAAGCTAGGGAACGGTTAATAAAGCAGAGTCACTGATGAGACAAATAGGTGAAGCTGGATATGAAGTATCTGCAGCCAGCCAGAGGATCAGAGTGTGCTGCTTTAGGAAGGCTGAACACAGAACCTGTGTGCCACTCTTGCTTGGTGCTGCCTCTTGGCTGTTGACTCCCAGGATCACAATGTTAACTAAAGCCTGAAGGAGATTAAAGTGACTGAGGGAGATTTTTGCAGACATGGTGGAGCTGTACCTCCTCCACAAATGCATCCAAATTCTGGTGTTTCAAGCTGGCTGTTTCAAGAGGCCTTACTGATCTTGACCTGGTGAGAACTGTAGAAGGAGGAGCAGTGCTTGCTAAGGTAGTAACACCTTCCCTTCCAAGTGGTCAGTAGTTCAGCAGGAAAAAGGTCAACATGAGTTACACTATTTGGAGGAGTTCAGATGTGGCCTTTGAAAAGATGAAAGTTATTTTTATCTTTTTTTTTTTTTAAAGCAACTGGGGGAAGCCAGAATTTATATTAAGGGATCAGGATATTTTAGGCAATTTGTATTCATGATTGTAAATGTGTTGAGATTCAAAAAATTACATTGTTTTCATCCCATCCCAAGTTTGAAACCAACAGAGAAGTAGAAGTTAGACAGACAGAGATAAAACTTTCCCTTTTATCAATCTTAAAAGGTAGGATGGAGAAAGGAAATTTTATGCTCGTGCAAAAACCTGCACAGGAACAATCACAGCAGCTTCATTCAAAATAGTAAAAACTTGGAAATAACTCATATATCCCTCAATAGGTAAATGTTCAAACAAACTGTAGCCCATACACATCACAGCCTACTACTCAGCAAGGAAAAGGGGCAAACTATTGACACACACAGAAACTTGAACAGACCTCCAAGGAATTATGCTAAGAAGAAAAAAAAAGCTAATCTCAAAAGGTTGCATACTGTATGATTCCATTAAATAACATTCTTGAGATGACAAAATTATAGAGGTAGAAAACAAATTAGTAGTTGCCAGGGGGTGGTGGGTACTGCTAAAGGGGGTAGAAAGAGGGCACCTTGTGGTGATGAAGCAGTTCTGGATATGGATTTTGGTGACGTGTACACATTCTATGTGATCAAATTGTGCAGAATTATACGTCCACACACAGGAGTGCATGTAATACTGGTAAAATCCAAGCTCTGTGGACACTATACCAATGTCAATGTCAGTTTCTTGGTTTTGCTATGGAACAATGGCTGTTCAAGGTGTTACCACTGGGGAGGCTGGTAAAGGGCACACAAGGCTTCCCTGTACATATATATATATATATAAAATATATATAAGTATTTATATTTTATATATCTATATATAAATAGATATATATAATATATAATATATAAAATATTTAATATATAATATTTAATTTCCCATGAGTCTACAATTTTTTCAAAATAAGTTAAGCTTAAATTTTACATTAAAAATTGCACACATAATCAAAAGGAAAACAACAAAGTAGGAAAATATTTGCAACAAATACAATCAAAAATCTTTTAATATAAAAAGAGCTCCTACAAATCCTTTAGAATATCTCAATCCCTCTACCCACCTACCATGGAAATGTGAGTTAAATATGTAACTAGGGAATTCACAAAACAAAATAATAACAATAAATTACCTAGAGACATTTAAAAATCTTTAATTTCACAAAGAACTATCAAGGAAAAGATCAATGTATCACTTGCAACCTACAAAATAAGATATCATTTTTTAATGTTTATTAAAAAACAAATTCTTCGTTTCCACTTTTATTAATATTTATAGTGTTAGTATCAAAATATGGGTATGCTCATAATAGCGGTGTAAACTGGTACAAACTTTCAAGAAAGCATCTTGCAAAATACTCAAAAGATGTTTCAGATTTTTTTGTAAAAAAAAGAATAAGTAGCTAGAATGGATGGTATTGCTTAGAGCAATGGTTCTCAAAGTATGGGGTCCCTGAATCAGCAACATCAGCATCATCTGAATACTTGTTAAAATCCAGACTCTTGGTCCATATCCCATAGCTACTGAATAAGGCTATCTGGAATTGGGTTTAGTAATCTATCATTTAACAAATCCTCCAGGTGATTCCCATGCATGCTCAAATTGGTGAGCCACTGGCATAAAGTAAGAACTACAACAATAGGACTGAATGCTCTAGAGTAAATCCTTCAGTGTAGATAAAGGAAGACAAGAGATAAGTGTTGTCTCCAACAGTGACCTCTGAGAAGTTTCTTAGTGCAGAACAAATCCCAAATGATGGATCTATCATTGCACCTGTGCACCAGTGCAACATAAATGTAGTGTTACGGGGAAACCCAGCTCACTCTTTCACTTTTTTTTTTTTTTTTTTGAGACAGTCTCCCTCTGTCACTCAGGCTGGAGTGCACTGGTGCGATCTTAGCTCACTGCAGCCTTTGCCTCCCGGGTTCCAGCAATTCTCCTGCCTCAGCCTCCCGGGTAGCTGGGATTCCAGGCATGAGCGACCACGCCCAGCTAATTATTTTGTATTTTTAGTAGAGATGGGGTTGCATCATGTTGGCCAGGCTGGTCTCAAACTCCTGACCTCAGCCAGCCAAACTCCTGATCTGCCAGCCTTGACCCCCCAAAGTGCTGGGATTGTAGGCGTGAGCCACCGCGCCCGGCCCTAGCTCACTCTTTAATCCCATCTTGAACTTCCAGAGAAGCGAAGCCTCTTCTAATTCCCCCAGGGCACAGTTTATGTCCTTTCTCTTTAAGTTAAAATCTTTGTTTCCACCTCTATTATCAATTGCCTTGTATTAGTTTATTTACATATCTGTTTATTCATTAGACAATAAATGCCTACCTTTATTTTTGAATCCTATTTACAGCTGTGCTTGAAAAAATAGCAGATAAATATTTGTTGAACTAATGAATACATGTGAAAAGTAGCAATTACTTCTGACTGCAAAAAATAAGGGGAGGCTTCTGAGAGCATTAGACTTTGAGATGATCTTAATAATTTTTGTTATTACAAAACTTACAAATCCCAGCATTTTGGGCGTCCAAGATAAGAGCATCACATTAGCCCAGGAGTTTGAGACCAACCTGGGCACATAATGAGACCCCATCTCTACAAAAAAATTTAAAAATAAAAATTATCTAGGCATGATGGTGCACACACCTTTAGTACTAGCTACTCCGGAGGCTAAGGTGGGATGATCGCTTAAGTCTAGTAGTTCAAGACCACAGGATCATGACACTGCACTCTAGCCTGGGCAACAAGCAAGACTCTGTCTCAAAAAAAAAAAAAAAAATACTGTCTTTTGGGGAAAAAAATAATTGTACATGTGAAACAATAAACATAAAAACTGATGTATGTGTTTAGGGGAGCTTAATTTGAAATGCATCAAAACTGTGATAGATGAGAGATATGTAGAGGAATGGATGAATATATGATAAAAACAAGTATGGTAAAATTAGTAACATTAATGGTACAGTCTAGGTTGCAGGTCAGGACATGCTTGTTTTATAAATAAAGTTTTATTAGAACATACCTATATGCCCACTCATTTACATACAGTCTATGGTGCATTTGCACTACACTGCTGCATAGCTGCAACAGAGACTATATGTCCAGCAAAGGCTAAAAGATTTACTATTCAACCCTTTAAAGAAAAAGTTTTCTCATATCTGTCCTAAGCAATGGGTATAAGCTGTATAATTCTTTTCACCTTTCTGTATGTTTGAAAATTTTAATAATAAAATGTTAGGGGGAACATTTTAAGAACAATTTAAAGCAGAACGTGATTGAAAAGCAAATTGAACATAAGTAAATGCCAAAGGGCATTTGGACAAGATTAATAGATACTGAAATTAATATTGATCATCTTATGAAAGAGGCAACATGGGAAGGATTGAGTGTTAATAGAATTAGAGAGAAGTGGGAGGTTTTCCAAGAGCAGTGAATAATACAAGTATCACAGGATACATTGGGTGGGTACTTGCTAGTGTTGACTGCACCCAACCCCAACCCCCATTCATCCCACCCATGCTTTCATCTAGACAGCACCATGCAACACAAACACACCCCATCAGTGTGTCAGTAGATCTCCAGTCATCTACACAGGAGATTTGGTTTTGTTTTTCTTGGGAGAGGTGGGAGAAGTTTTAGAGAAGAGAGAAACTGAGAAGGGGAGAAAAGCAGTTTGGGCCATGGTAATGTCTGTATGCCTTAGTTCCTTGGGCTGGTTTTGAGCCCCCCAAGAAGACAGAGTTTGAGAAGCAGAAGCTGCTTTACTGGGTCTGGTGACAGAGTGTGGTACAATTTAGGGAGGAAGGCTGCCTCTATCATCCATTCTGGGAAAAAGAGCATTTGAAGCTTTTTGGAGCATCTTAATCCAGCACATAGAATCAATATTGAGGTTCTCAGGAAGAAACTGGCTGTAGTGAAGATTTTCCAAGTGTGTGGTGGGCAGAAGTGATAGACAAATCAGTGCTCATGAGAACCAAAACTATCTATACCATGGACAGCCTAGACACAGAACAGAAACCATCCCTTACTGTATACAATAATGTGACTTTCTCTCTCTCTGTCTTCATTAGTGTGGCTTTGTTTTTCCAGGAGTCTCCTGCCTGGGCAAATAGTTTGATTGTTGATTAAGAATTTCCTAAAGGGGTCCTGAAAGACCCTTCAACTCTTCAGTGAAAAGTATCATCAGACCACTTACATCCTAAGATTCTTTGAATCCTATGCCTCAAAATCTTCAGCTTGCTATTCCCACCAGAGTCTAGTCGGCTGTATCTTGATCTTTCCGCATTGCTAATTAAGGGGAATTTGAAAGACCCACCTGAAACCAAACTTCTAATTCTCAAAAAATTCCAACCTTCCCTTTCACCTTTGGAGATGCTACCAAAGCTTTATGAGGTGGAGTTCTCCCTTTCCATGGTAAGCAATCAACTCAGCTTTGTCTTATCAGCAGGCTATGTTAGTGATATTTGGGAAGCCAGCTTTCAACTCCAGAGAGAGAATATGAGCAATACAGAGTAGATACCATTGCTACCACTAATGAGTTTATGGGTATCCACAACTTGGTAATTCCCAGGAATGATGGGAGTCACTTTGGGGATGGGGGTAAGACTTCTACTCACGGTTTATGCAGCTATGAAGTTTAGAACTCTCAGTGTAATTTGTGGCCCTCTTACATGAAGATCTTCATTGCCATTAGTATAAATTCCCAACTCTTTAGCACGTTTTATTACCCATATAAAATGTGGCCCTGCTCTCTTCTCAGCTATAATGCTTACGCGGCCTCCTCCCAGTTTTAACACCTAAAGTCTCATGTCCGAGAAAATCCCTAGATCCAGGCAAACTAGGACAGTCAGTCACCTTATTTCTTGTAATCTTGCCATGATTACACACCAAAGGGAGCTCTAGATTCTGACAGCTCATGTTTGGGATCCTCCACTCACCAACAGGGTGACCTTGGGCATGTCACTGAACTCATGTGTCCAGTGCCTTAGTTTACTAATTGGTAAAGTGACACTAAGAGGAGCAACTGTTTCGTGTGGTTGTTGTAAGAATGAAATGAGATACTACTGGTGAAGATCTTTGAATGCTTGGCACATAGCAAATACTTGAGAAATATTAGTTCAAAGAATAATTGGCTAATAATATTTAGAACAATTCTGTCTTGTTTATAACTTTGTTTTCTGGCTTAGCACCAGGACTGGCACAGAATAAACTTTAAAATATGCCTTTAAATAAATGAATAGGCTGGGTGCGGTGGCTTATGCCTGTAATCCCAGCACTTTGGGAGGCCTAGGCGGGTGGTTCATTTGAGGTCAGGAGTTTGAGACCACCCTAGCCAGCATGGTGAAACCCCATCTCTACTAAAAATACAAAAACTAGCCGGGTGTGGTGGCGGGCGCCTGTAATCTCAGCTACTCAGGAGGCTGAGGCAGGAGAATTACTTGAACCCAGGTGGCGGAGGTTGCAGTGAGCCGAGGTCACACCACTGCACTCCAGCCTGGGTGACAGAGCAAGACTCCATCTAAATAAATAAATAGTAAAATAAAATAAATGAATAATGATTATTATCTTTTTTAATTTGGTTCCTCAAACATGCACTCTGTCATCTGGGAGCCTGTGCATTCTGCAGTGTTGTCTCCTCCATCTGGAGCACCCTCCACTATTCAATGCCCGACCTTCTTTCCCTGCACTTGACCTTTGGCCTATCTGCCTGGCTAACGCTTGCTAAAGTTACAGGTTTCAAATTGAGCATCACTTCTTCTAGGAAGCTTTCCTTGAGAACCAGCTATGCCCAGACTGAGGGAGGTGATGCCACGGCCACCTGCACCCCTCATTTCTCATGGCAGCATAAACCACTCTTTATGGAGTGCTTAATATTTGGTCACCCCATAGATATTAAACTGCAAGAGGGCAGCAATCAAATGGGTCCTTTCACAATTTCTTTCCCAGTGCCGTGCACATTTTGGCACTCAAATACATGTACTTTGTAAAAAGGAAAGGAGGAAATGCATTCAATGAATTATATTTAATTACATTCTCCCAGCTTTGTTGGACATTTTAACAAGTTACTACACTACCTGCCTCTCACTGCAAAACAAGGCTAGCTCTCATCTCAGGGAATTCATTTTCCAGTTCTCGAACAAAACATGGGAAGCAGGAGAGCAGAGACTTGGAATAATTTCTCTATTTTATTCAAAGTAAGTTTATTTTAAAAGGCATCTAATTTGTAGAATGATTTTTCTTCTTTGGAATTTGGTTCTAAACCTTTCTAGTCTAGCATTATACATATCGATTTTTCCTGGCGACATCACACTGAAATCTGATTAGCACCAGATTACAGTATGGCCCAGCTTTTTAAAGAGCCTTGCAAACCAAATCCTAGGCAATGGTTCAACTGATCTAAGTGGGCCTCTTCAAGGAAGCCAGTGAGCGGGGATGCTGGAGTGGCAAACAGAGGAGTTAACTTGTGATAATACTTGCCCAAGCCTTGAAAGTCGAACATCTGCTTCTTGGCCTCAAAAGTGAAACAATCCAATAATTACAGTCCTTGGTGCTTTTTTTTTCTACCTCAGGAAACATTTTGCAACTAACTAGCAATTTCCAAAAATATGGCTCAAGCAACACATCTCCTTATCTCCTTGTGTAGGAGAGGGTGTGAGTTGTGATGAGACAGGGGCTCGTTATCTTAGGGGGCTCTGGCAAGGTGCTCTGGAGGACAGCTTTTAATTGGGTAAGCGTGTGATATCTAGGTCTGGGGCTTTGAAACTGTCTTGCAGGATAGATAGCCAAGGCCCCATTTCTAAGTCTTCTAGTTAGTACAAATTGCAATGGCAAGCCGGGTGGGCAGGAAGAGGGATGAGTGGGGAAGGAAGGCTAGTAAATAGCTTGGCATTTTCATACCCCTCTCTGGGAGCTGAGAGTTTGCTTTCGGTTTTTCAGAGATCCCAGGTTTTTGGAACCTGTTCAGGAAGAAAGACAAGAATTCCAGGTGATCAGCCCACTCGTCACTATAAGTAGCAGGTGGCCAGGTGTGGGGACTATAAATGCTGCCATCAGTCATGGCACCCAGTGATTGCACGATGGTGGGACACTACCAACAAGGCAGGCATTCTCTCTGCTTAAACCAAAGAGAAAGAAACGTTACGATTGAATTGGATTAACTTCTGCCTTGGTGTCAGCCCCGAAATAACTTACAGGTACCCACATTCAGAGCCACATGAAATATGGATCCTTCTATAGTGACAACCGACCTGCCTTCTGTCTTGATTTCAAGACCTTGTATCCATAGCAGTAATTCTCACATTTCAGTGAGCATAAAAATCACCTTTGAGCTTTTAAAAACTTAGATATTGAGATTCAGCTTTGTAGTTGCCTCTTTCAGGCAGTCTTCCCTGATTTCTGAAGCCTCTCTTTTGGGCTCTCATAATACCCTAGGAAAATCAAAAACAAGGAAACTTGTCTATCTTCTCATATTGTCTTTAGAGCACTGCCTCTGACTAATATTAGCCAGCAGACATATTTGTCCCAAGATTTGTTAAACTTACTCCACAAATTTACTAAGGTGCATAAAAACTTTCCAGGGGACATGCATGCAGGGATAGTTAAGGGAGATGATTTCCAAAACCTTAACTTTCCTGGGTGCCCTAAGCTGGCTCTCATTTCCCAAGTCCATTTCTCCCAAGTCACAAAGGAAAATGGAACGAACCACTTGCCCATGCCAAATCTCACTGTGGTGCATAACCCCAAAGTGTAGAAACCTGCAGGGCATGAAACAAAGAGGGGACAAGTGGAGAATGCAGACTCACGAGAGGGAGTGTTTTATGAAGGCAAACTAGGGGAGTGTCGGAAATAAATATTGAAGGCTCATAGCAAGACTCTGTGCCTTGTCTTTCTTTTGAGAATTAAAATTCACGAGAAACACGGTTGTTTGGGGAACACTTATGTGAACTGATAAATGAAATCAGATTTTTTCTGAAAGTGGATTTGATTTGGCTGATGAAATTGCACAATAAATGTGGGCTTTATTAGCTTACATGATGGATACTTTGTGTCGTTTTTTTGAGCTATATCTGAAGCCTTGGTGAAAAGATACTTGAAGCACTTTAAAAAACAAGAGCATTTTTTAATCAACGAGATTGTATTGGCTTAGGTGTATTGAAATTAACAGTATTTCCATTTTCTCAACTTGTTCTGAGAATAAACAAGATGCCTAAGTGGCAGAGTATCAGGTGTAATTACTAAGAGTTTTTCGATCAGACTTGGTAAAGCCTTTTTGGTATATTTCCCAGAAACTAGAAAAATAAATAACTCTAATGACTGGGTAAGGAACTCTTTTACAAGTCAGGTGGCTTCCAATTCTATGCTTTCATCACCACTGAAGAAGACTTAATCGAATTGTCAGCTGAGAGATCATTAGATGTAATTTTTGATGATAGATCCCTAAACAACTTCAAAGGAATTCAGAGAATTGAGGAATGCTACTGTAGCAAAACTCTTCCCATTCCCACCTACCTATTTATGTGAGCAAGTTTTCTCAGTGCATACGATATAAAAAGAAGAGTAGGAATCGATTATGAATACTCAACTATTAAACCAATAGGCAATATCTATCCATGGACATGAGAAAACTGGGAAAAAAGAGAAACTTCTGCATATTTTGTTAGACATGTTTTCCCCATGGATTTTGTTTTTACCATTTATATATTAAAATTATTAATATTTATACTGTATACATAATATTTTTCTCAGTTGTATACTAGTAATAATTCTAATAATAGCTCAATCCAGTATAATTTTATGAAACTATTAGGGCATATTGGTGACGTGAAATAAAAATAAACTTCAATTTTCTACACATTTTTGATGTGCGTGTGTTTGATGAGTAAAGACTTTTAAATATAAAAATATTTTAGGTTAGGGAAAAATGTCTATCAGAATTTGAGTGGAAATATGAATTTAAGGAGAAAAGGTGTGTTGTAGAACTACATTTTGTTCAGTAAGAGTTTGTTGACTATGTTTTAAAGGGATAGTGGTGGATATTAAATTGCTGTCATGTTTAAATTCCATATGATATGCTTAAAAGAATGAATAAATTGCTTTATTTCAAAATACCTGTATTTCTAATAAGTTAGAAATGTCAATGTCTTGAACTACTTTAAACTTATAATGCAAAATTGTAGATGTCACCTGAAAAATGTGCAAGAAAACTGTCTCAGTTATTATTTCCTGTGTAACAAACCTTCCCAAATCTTTGTGGCTTAAAACAACAATCATTTTATTTGTTCCTTACCCTGTGGATCAGGCATCTAGGCTGGGTTCAGCGGGGAGGTTGTTCTGCTGGCCTTATCGGGGATCACACATGCAGTGCAATTATCTAGCAGTGACATAGTCTAAGATGGCCTCACTTCTATGTCTGAAAGTTGATGATGGCTTTTGGCTGCTCCAAGTGGCCTGTCATTGTACAGTGTTTCAGACTGTACATCTTTATCTGGGTAAAGAGAGACACAGACCTCCTGAAGTCTGGCTCAGTCTTCCACATTTTTACTTCTCTTCATTCTAATTGCTAAATCAAGTCAAAAAGCCAGATGAGAGTCAATGGATGAGGAAATAAACTGTAGCTCATGAGAGGAGGTACTGAAGTCACATGGCAGAGGAGTGGGAGCACAGGGATGAGAGGAGTTACTTTGGCCATCTTTGCAAAACATCTACACTAGGGACATTATCTTTCAAGCTTCCTTTAGGGGCACTATAAACAAAAGTGTTTGAAGACCACAAGCCAAATTCATTAGTGATAAAAAGTGAGAAGTTTTGTCTTTCCAAAAACCAATAGAGTTTTTGGGGACTATGTCTATGACCTACTAACTGTGATCTCAGAATTTAGTTTCCTCATCTACCATATGAGGCTAATATTAGGACCTATCTAATTGGGTTGATGTAGAAACTAATGAATAAAAGCAAATTCTTATAACGATGGTATATGTTAAAAGCTCAAGAAATCTTAGCTGCTATCATCATTAATATCACCATCATCATTGCCATCATCATCATTTATTTTGTTCAACCTATTTCTAGGCAATATCCCATCTACTCAAAAATTCATATACTAGGGAATGAATGATTTCATTGTGATTTATATTTTAATTTCTGGCTTAATAGAAGGCTTGGGTAAATTATATTCCTGACCCCAGGATAAAATAATAGAATATTTGAAATCAAGGTCGTTTCAAAAAAGCTGAGTTTAACCCAATAAAGACATTTACTTCTCACCTGTTTAACAGTTTAATATTGGAGTTCAGTGAGAGCTTTTCTCCACATGAGGATTTGAGGCCTCAAGTTCCTTCCATCTGTGGGTCTGCCATTCCAGCCTGCAGAAGGGAAAGGAGAGAGTGAGTAAACCTCAATCCTTTGGCTCAGGATTGATGCCAACTACATTTGCTCACATTACATAGGCAAAACTGGTCAAATAGCCACAACTGGACACAAGGGGCATTTGGAAAATGTAGTCCCTGAGTGGGGGCTCATTTGAAACAGTAAGTGTATATTATTAAAGGAGAAGCATGAATTTGGGTAATAAGCTAGGGATCTCTGCCCCAAGTATACTGCTCCACACTCTTAGCCATTTATAATAAATTACTGTCTTGAAATGTAAAGTGTCATCTCTGTGAAAAGCAGTGGCAGGCATGGACCCATATCCACATGACCTTTGCTCCAAGTTGTCAGTTTCAGAGATAGGGATGTTCTTGGGTCATTCCATCTCCTCATTCTTTCCTTGGATTAGTGCATTCAGTCTGCCATAACAAAATACCACAGACTAGGTACATGGCTTAAACAACAGGTATTTACTTCTCACCATTCTGAAGCCTGGAAGTCCAAGATCAGGGTGCTGGCAAAGTCAGTTTCTGGTAAGGACCCTCTTCTTGATTTGCAGATGGCCACCTCCACTATGTGCTCACATAATCTTTTCTTTATGCAAGCAGAGAGGGAGAGAGAGAGAGAGGGTTCTATGGTGTCTCTTTTTATAAAGACACTAATCCTACTGGATCAGCCTCCTGACCTTATGACCTCATTTAACCTTAATTACTTCCTTAGAGGTCCCATCTTCAAATATAGCCATACTTGGAGGTTAGGTCTTCAACATACAAATTTTGGGGAGACTCAACTTTTCAGTCTGTAACACTCCTAATATCACTTGTGAAAGAGATCACCATCTGGGGGCAAGAGCTGACTGGAGCCACAAGACTTCAAGGGACCCATCTAACTAACAAGCCATGTGACCTTGGGCAAAGCCTCAACTTACTGTTTTATGAAATGCACCAGATGAGCAGTTGGCTAACTTTTTCTGTAGACAGGCAGATAGCAAATATTTCTGACTTTGGGGGCCATGCAGTCTCTGTCACAACTACTGTCATGGTGCTCTGTCACTGTAGCTTGAAAGCAGCTGTAAACAATACAGCCAGTCCTCCATATCTGCAGGTTTGTGGGGACTGTATTAGTCTGTTTTCATACTGCTATAAAGATATACCTGAGATTGGGTAATTTATAAAGGAAAGAGGTTTAATTGACTCACAGTTCCACATGGCTAGGGAGGCCTCAGGAAACTTACAATCACAATGGAAGTCAAAGAAGAAGCAAGAACCTCCTTCACAAGGCAGCAGGAAAGAGAACCTATGAAGGAGGAACTGTCAAACACTTATAAAACCATCAGATGTCATGAGAACTCACTCACTATCATGAGAACAGCATGGGGGAAACTGACCCCATGAGCCAATCACATCCTCCCCTGTAACACATGGAGATTATAGGTCCCTCCCTTGATACATAAGGATTACAATTTGAGATGAGATTTGGGTGGGGACACAGAGCCAAACATATCAGGGATGAATTACTTTTGAAATGAAGACCAACTTTTCTAGCTTTGAAGCACTGTATGGCCATTTGACTAAGTTCTGGTCAATTCTATATAAACAGAAGGGTTATGTGGATGCTTCTAGGATCCTTTAAGAGAGCCAGTGCCAGCCCTTGGCTTCTTGCTCTAGCCCCTCCTCTTTTCTGCTGGCCAGAATGTGGACTTGCTGGGCTGAGCCCCAGAGGTCATGTGATGACCTGGAGGTAGACAGCAGACACAATGGGACATGAAAGTAGAATACTTGGGATCCCCTACATAGAGGCTCAATCCTACCAACCCAGCATTTCCCATTCTGGACTCCATGAATGTAAGAGAGAAATAAATTTTCATTGTTTCCAAGCTGTTATTTTGTGACTCATGCTGCTGCTTCAGAACTCCCTGCCCTCTTTGAGGAGAACAATTCTCTATTGATGAGTTCTTGGAGGCTGTTTAGTTAAGTGTTGCCCTTCACTTCTCCCCATCATCAGGTTGTGAACGTGGTTATTAGCTACTCGGAGACCCAGATTTCTTTCTGTTCATCCACCTGACTTCCTGCTTAGTCTGGCATCAGTACGACCCCTGTTTCCCTCCACCTGGTTGGAGTGCTGGTCAGCACAAAAAAAAGCCTGTGGGTGCTGCATGACTTAGAATAGCAGCTATCAACCCTGACTACAGATTAGAATCAACCCAAGGACTCTTTTCT
Source organism: Homo sapiens (assembly GCF_000001405.40). Taxonomy (NCBI): domain Eukaryota; kingdom Metazoa; phylum Chordata; class Mammalia; order Primates; family Hominidae; genus Homo; species Homo sapiens. The sequence goes on from NC_000018.10 coordinate 55,205,649, forward strand.
CTTTTTTTTTTTTTTTTGAGACAGGATCTCGCTTTGTGGCCCAGGCTGGAGTGCAGTGGCATGATCTTGGCTCACTGAAATCTCATCCTCCCAGGTTAAAGTGATTATCATGCCTCAGCCTCCTGAGTAGCTGGGACTACAGTCGTGCACCACCATGCTTGGCTAATTTTTTTGTATTTTTATTAGAGACAGAGTTTTACCATATTGGACAGGCTGGTCCAGGCTGGTCTCAAACTTGTGGCCTCAAATGATCTGCCTGCCTCTACCTCCCAAAGTACTGGGATTACAGGCATAAGTTACCACACCTGGCTCAACACAGGGACTCTTAACCCATATCACCCCCTAGCCCCATCCCAGACAAATGAAATCAGAAGGAAGTGGGGAAAAGGAGCAAGAACACTAATTTTATTTTTTTAGTCTTTCCAAGTGGTTATAATGTGAAGTCCCACATAAGGCCATTGTCTTAAAGGGAAGACAAAGTAAACTACACTCAATACATTTCCAGAAGAGACTCACAATGGCACAGAGCAGGTACCTATTTACTGATCACCTGCTTTTGAGAAGGGCCTCATATGAAGAATATCTTGGCATCATAACACACCCTTCTGTTAGATCTTGTATTAGTGTCCTGGGGCTTCTATACCAAACAACCACAAATTAGGTGGCTTCATACAGAGAAATATATTCTTTCCCTGTTCCAGTGGCCAGAATTCTGCAATCAAGGTGTTAGCAGGGCCATACTGCCTCTGAAGGCTGTAAGGGAGAACACTTCTGAAAGAGTTAGTTTTATGTTACAACTTGGCTAGGCTACAGTACCAAATTATTTAACCAAACATGCATTTAGGTGTGGCTTTGAAGGTATATTGGAGATATGGTTGATATCTTCCACTGGTTGACTTTAGGTAAAAGAGATTACCCTTGTTAATACGGGCAGGCCTCATTCAATCAGTCCAACGGTCGTAAGAGCCAACACTGAGATTCCCTGGAGGAGAGATTCTTCCTTAAGCTTGCAGCATCAACTTCTTGCCTGAATTCATAGCCTGCTGGCTTGCCCTATAGATTTTCAATTTGCTAGGCCCCACCATCACATGAGCCAATTTCTTAAATCTCTCTCTCTCTCTCTCTCTCTCTCTCTGTGTGTGTGTGTGTGTGTGTGTGTGTGTGTGTGTGTGTGTGTGTGTGTATCCTATGGGTTATGATTCTCTGGAACATAACCCGTAAGATCCAGAATGATATCATATCTAGATCCTTAATTACATCACCAAAGACCCCTTTCCCAAACTGTTTTCATTCACAAGTTCTGAGGATTAGGACTTAGACATATAGTCTCAGGGGCAATCATTCAACACACTCCAACCCTTTTATAAAACCTTTATTTAAAATCTGATTTTCCTTTTCTCTTGTTCAACTCCAATTCCCCAGCTGTGGATGTTCTTCCAAGATTAGTTTCCAGGCTACTGAAGATGACTCAGATAGAGCATATGGGGAAGATAATGATCTCATCTTTAGTAGACATTGGGAAGAAAAGAAGCGAGGTGGGTTTGTAGCTGTCCTGTTTTAGTGGCCCTGGCATGATCTTTGGGCAATAGATGGAAAGGGCAGCAGCTGGAAAGAGGGAATTCAGCTGCAAGTCAGAGGACAGCTCTGATGGAGTCGTCATCAAGATGACTCCTAGACCCAGTGTGGCCTTCACAAAAAGACACTCAAAGGATTCTCATGAATAAATGGAGATAGCTAGCTAGCTAGCTAGATTAAAAGAAAACTCTAACTGCATATATTGTGAGTTACCTTTCCAACAACTAGCCCTGACACCCACTTTTTTATCCTACAAGTAGACAGCCATGTCCTCTAAGAGAGGCCCAGCTTCATCTCCACTTTCCAGAAATACATTTTGGCTGGCCTAGTAATTCTATTCCCTAAGCCAGTGATTGGTTCAAAAATGCGCATATGAGAGCATTCCACCCAATGAGATGTAAGGGAAAGTCTTCTGTGATAAGGCTGTTTTTTGTTTTGTTTTTGTTGTTTTTCAGTTTTAACAAATGTCAAAAAAAAAAAAAGATGTCCTCTTCGCACATTTACTGTTCAAAAATAAATAATAATTCAAACACTCAGGCAACCATCAACCAAGTGAAAAAATGGCACTAAACAAGTACCCCAAGAGTCACCTGTGTCCTGCCCCAGTCTCTTTCTCTCCCTCCCAGAGGACACCACTGTATTAGTCCATTTTCATGCTGCTGATAAAGAAGTACCTGAGACTGGGTAATTTATACAGGAAAAAGGGTTTAATGGACTTACATTTCAACATGGCTGGGGAGGCCTGACAATCATGGTGGAAGGCAAGGAAGGACAAGTCATATCTTACATGGATGGCAGCAGGCAAAGAGGGAGATAGCTTGTGCAGGGAAACTCCCCTTTTTAAAACCATCAGATCTCGTGAGACTTCTTCACTATCATGAGAACTGCACAGGAAAGACTTACCCTCATGATTCAATTGCCTCCCACCAGGTCCCTCCCACAACACATGGGAATTCAGGATTAGATTTGGGTGGGGACACAGCCAAACCATATCAACCACTGTTCTGTTTCTTGTGATAATCTTCCCTACGTGTTTCGGTTGTGTGCCATTTTCTGAATGCATTCCCAAATATTGCAGTTTAGTTTCGCCTGGTCTTTGAAACATATATGGATAGCATCATACTTATGTGTTTGTTTACATGTGTTTTGCTTATTATTTTTGTGAAATTCATCCATTTTGCTGCATAGGATTCCATTATGCCAGAATTGGGCAAACTAAAGCTCATGGGCTACCAGTTTTTTTAAATAAAGTTTTTTTTTTTTAATAACATAGCCACACTCATTTGTTTACAGGTCATCTATGGCTGCCTCCAAGCTACAATGGAAGAGAGCAGAAATGGTAGTTGCAACAGAGACTGTGTGATCTCAAAGCCTAAAGTATTTACTCTCTGGCCTTTGATAGAAAAAGTATGCCTATTCCTCCATTTCTGACCATTCTACAATTTATTTATGTATATTACTGTTGATGGACATTTAGAATATTTCAAGGTTAGGCTCTTTGGTACTACAGCTGTGGTCAGTTTTGTATATGTGTCCCAATGTACATCAGCAAGAGTTTCTGTGGCACATACCTAGGGATTGAATTACTGGTTAATACACTGACTTAGAAGAATACATTCAACTTTACTGGGTAACATCAAAATGTTTTCCAGAGTGTGGTATCAGTTTACACCACCTATCAACAATGTACTAGAAATTCTGTTACTCCTGTTCTAACCAATGTGTTCTATCATTATACTTTTCAGTTATGTTCATCTGGTGAGTGTGCAATGATTTCTCATTGTAATACCACCTTCATGTAGCATTTTGGTCTGTGAGTTGTTTACTTTCTTTTCCACTCATCTGTGCATTTAAGAAGGGTATTTCTTTTTAAGCCAGTTATCCAAAATTTTTAGTTGCTTAAGGAAGAATGTAAATTTAGGTATCCAACCTAACATATCAACAGATATAGAATATTATTGTTCTTAACTTGTTTGGTATTTTGCAACCTGTGGCCAGAGGCATTTTAACTGATATGCTCTGCCAGTCTATACTTCCCCCTGAGAACACAACAAAATCCTGGTTCATGCTAAAAGTCTGAATTGGCGTCTATGGGTCAGTCATCTAGAAAGGATTCAAATGCTGACCGTCACAAATCCTCAAAGTTTTAGGCATTTCCGGGATCTGCTGGTGATCGTGGCCAAGGCTGTGGTGGAGCAGAGTTACAGAAAATTAAACACTGAAAGTGAATGTACTAGTCTGTTCTCACACTGCTAATAAAGACATACCTGAGACTGGGTACTATAAAGGAAAACAGGTTTAATGGACTCACAGTTCCACATGGCTGGGGAGGCCTCACAATTATGGCAGAAGGCAAAAGAGGAGCAAAGGCATATCTTACATGGCAGCAGGCAAGAAAGAGGAGAATCAAGTGAAAGGGGTTTCCCCTTATAAAACCATCAGATGTTGTGAGACATATTCACTACCATGAGAACAATATGGGGGAAACCACCCCCATGATTCAACTATCTCCCACCGGGTCCCTCTCACAACACATGGCAATTATGGGAACTTGAATTTTCAAGATGAGATTTGGGTGGGGACACAGCCAAACCACATCAGTGAGTACAAAGCTTCCACCAGCAGAGCAGTCAGCATCTGGCTCCTTTGTGGCACCTACATGGTGGTGAAATTGTCCTTGCTGAAGCAAGCAATGACATGCACCCCATGCCCAAAGGTCACTCACTTGTCTTGACACTGCTGCTCTATTCTCAGCACTTGGCAATGTCGAGGACTCTTTCCTCAAAATGATCTTATTTCCTGGTTTTATGACGCCATTTTCTAGTTCTTTTTAGTCTACGGCGTTTCTTGTTATTTGCTATATTTTCATTTAAATGTTGAAAAGCAAGTGACCAGAAATGACTGACTTATACTTCCCACTTCACTGTCCACTATCAGCCACTTGTCTTCTATTTTATTATTTTTTCTTTTTTCTTCATTTCTCCTCTCCGCCACTCCCCACCCAGCACCCAGATTAAAGTATTTACACTATTCCCATAAATACGTGTGCATTTTTGAAAGCCATTTCACTTGTTATGCTATTTTTCTATATTATTCCACATGCTTAAACTATTTTAAAAGAGATGCAAAGGGTGGGAATAATAACAAATAATTAATAATGTACTATAAATAGCATGGTGCAATAGACATCTCAAACTTTCTTCTGCATCATTCTTCCTTCCCTTCCACATCATTTTACTTAGTGAATATGTTTTAAGAGCTTGTTAGGTCCCAGACAATGGGCTGAGCACTGGTCAGCAAGATGACTGGGCCATGTTCTCACAGAGCTAATAGTTTGGTGAGGAAGATAATCATTTAATAACTGATTATGCAAACAGCAAAGGAATTAGAGTTGTGATAAGCGCTGCATGAAGGTTTAAATATGAAACAGAAGACCCCAACACAGTTGGGTAGGCAAGCATTGCCTATGACAGGGGTAAGGGTCTCTAAGCTACAATTTGAAAAGGTAAAAAATGCTGTCTTAAAGACAGACAGAATTCTAGGGCAGAGCATCAGGGGTGACTGTTGGGGACTGAAATGCATATGTTGAAGTCCTAACCCCCAATGTAACTGTATTTGGAGACGATGCCTTTAGGGAGATAATAAAGATGAAGTAAGGCCATATGATGGGACCTTAATCAGACAGGCCTGATGTCCTTATAAGAAGATGAAGAAGGCCGGGCACGGTGGCTCATGCCTGTAATCCCAGCACTTTTGGAGGCTGAGACAGGTGGATCACGAGGTCAGGAGTTCAAGACCTGCCTGGCCAATATGGTGAAACCCCATCTCTACTGAAAATACAAAAATTAGCTGGGCATGGTGGTATGTGCCAGTAGTCCCAGCTACTCAGGAGGCTGAGGCAGGAGAATAGCCTGAACCCGGGAGGCGGAGGTTGCAGTGAGCCGAGATCATGCCACTGCACTCCAGCCTGGGCAAAAGAGTGAGACTACATCTCAAAAAAAAAAAAGAAGAGGAAGAAGCACCAGAGGGGATCTCTCTTCACGCACACAGAGGAGAGGCCGTGTGAGCACACAGTGAGACAGCAGGCATCTGCAAGCCAGGAAGTGAGCCCTCACCAGAAACCCACCCTCATGCTACCTTGATCTTGGACTTTCAGCCTTCAGAACTCGAAGAAAATAAATTTCTGGTGTTTAAGCTACCAGTCTGTGGTATTTTGTTATGGCAGCCTGCGAAGACTAATGCAAAAACATACTTTGAATCTGAAAGAAACTGGACCTTTTAAAGTGAAGCATTAGCTGCAGCCTGCCCTTGGTCTTCTTTGCTTATTTTATGTACTTACCACGTCCTACAGCAGCAGTCCTCATGTTTTTGGCAGAATTCCTTTACCCTCTTAAATGTATTGAGGATCCCAAAGAGCTTTCATTTATGTGGATTATAACCTTTAATATTTACCATACTAGAAATCAAAACAGAAAAAATTATAAACTTTATATATTAATTTAAAAACTAATAAACCCATTATATATATTTATATGTTTTATTTTTATTTTTATGTTTTTTGATGGAGTCTCACTCTGTCACTCAGGCTGGCATGCAGTGGCGCAATCTTGGCTCACTGCAAGCTCTGCCTCCCGGGTTCATGCCATTCTCTGCCTCAGCCTCCCGAGTAGCTGGGACTACAGGTGCCCGCCACCACCCCTGGCTAATTTTTTTTTTTTTTTGTATTTTTAGTGGAGATGGGGTTTCACCATGTTAGCCAGGGTGGTCTCGATCTCCTGACCTCGTGATCTGCCTGTCTCGGCCTCCCAAAGTGCTGAGATTACAGGCGTGAGCCACCACACCCGGCCTAAACCCATTATATTTTTAAATGAGACAATTTTAAATGAAAAATAACATTTTTCAAAACAATAACTTAAGAAGAATGGTATTACTTTACAGTTTTATAAATCTCTTTAATATTTTACTTAATAGAAGACAACTGGATTTTCATGTCTGCTTCTGATTTCAATCTGTTGCAGTATGTTGCTTTGGTTAAAAATTTGAAGGAAATCGAGCCTCACACAGATACATAGTTGAAAAGGGAGAAATATTTCATAGCATTTTCAGATCATTGTGGGTATTCTATTTTGATACTACACCAAAACTTGACAAGTGGTAGTTTCTTAAAAGTTAGTTGCTATATAGACTCTGAAACTATATCAATGAACTTTATACTCTGTTACATTTAAATCCATTGGTCTATCTTGAATATCCAATAAATCTTTTAACCATGCGTGAATATGTAGCATCATACATTAGTCCATTTGAGAAACTGTGTTGCTGAGCTATGCTGAACTTCCAAATATTGACACATTTTATTATACCACTCACAAAAATTACATTTGTTAATATCATCACTGAATTCATCAGCAAAGATTTTAAGTATTGGGAAGCTGTCAAGCTCACAGCAATAGATACAAGTTTTCCAAAATTTCAGAGTGTTATTTCACAATATTATTTTGGGTTTCCAGGAATTAGTACCAGTTCAGAGCCGGTGTCCAGTAATCCCAGAAAAGTCTGATTATTTCTCCTTCCTCAGTGCCTGGTCACCCTGGTAAATGGCCATGAATCTTTTTGGGGATGTCTGAGAGGAAGATTAATAGTATAAATTAAATTTTGGCAGTGTAACAAGGTCTTTCCTCTGGCCTTCTCTTCACTCAGAGAACTCTGGGTCATTGTACGGCATCAAATCTGGGAATTGAGTGACTGTGACTGTTTTGATGATTCAAGTCAGACTTCAGTTCTCTGGACCTGGGACATTTACATTTACACAGATTAGGTAAGAATCTAGCAGATTTCCCATTGATTTCTCCTCTAGGGACACCATCAGCCATGATATCCAGTCAAGCTGCCAACGCCATGGGTCTCTGTAAATCAGACTGTTCTAATGACTGCTTTGACTCCCCTGTCCATTATGGTAACCTTGCCCACCTTGCCTTTGGCAATTAAGTGCTGCCTTCTGCCTCTTTTCACCCCTGGATTCTGTCCTCCCCATGTTGGGGATACTGGGACTTCTCTCAGGAATTTATTTCTCAACACAGTGGTGAAGGTTTTCATGTCCTCTGGACCCTCCCCAAGTGGGTGAAGAGATTTTACATGACAAATCCACTCTAGCATTTCAATTTCCTTAAGCCTATGAATACTTTCCTCTGTAGGATACCAAGGAAGTTCTGGCATTTCCACTTCATTTAGTGCAGACCAATTTTGAGTCCATATTTTGGTCAAACAACCAAGCAAATAATTAGAACCATTCCTAGCCACTGGAGCTACAAAACATTCTATTTGTATTGTCTGCTTAGTAAGTCCATATCCATTTATTTGGCCTGATCCAATTCCATATTTCTTCCTCCTGGATTCCACATCCTTAAAATTGTTCCCATGCATATTCCCCAGATTTCCATCAATATAATTTAGCAAAATCATCTAATTCTTTTGGTGTACATTGCACCTCCTCACCCTTTGGAATCTGCTGGGGCTTGAGCTTGCTTAAAATAACTCTAAAAGCAAAAAAGGATGGCGGGGGCAGGTTCTGAGATCAGCAGGGCCTTGCAAGGCAACTTTCTTAAGTAGGTCATTATAAGTTCTTCAAGCAAGAAAACACTAACCCCAAGGCAGGAGTGGAAGCACTGCTTCTACTGCCAAGTAAGCTTGTTGGGAACATTTAAGGGAGTTCAGGAGTTCCATGCATCTAGCTCCATCAGAATGTCCCCATCCCAATTTTCAAAATCCCATTTCTTCCCAATCATGCATGCCCTGACTTTAACAAAAGAGACTCCTTCCTAGAGGCTGGAAATTTGATTTGCTTTGCAATTCAGTTACCTGTAGGGTTAGGCTTTCTTCTGGTTTTCAGATGAAATGCTGCAGGAGAAAAGGTTTCTTTCAGGGAGGCAGAGGAGCTTTCAGATCCCTTATACAGACATTGAACTGTAAATTTAAAGCCCTGAGCTCATCTTTTTCTTTTCTCCAAGTTCTCTAGCACAGTTAGAAACAGTTAACCAACCCCATTATATTTCTTATTTTGATTACAATGTTTTATGCTGTGAACTATTAATACTTAGTCCACCAGAATCTTGACTTTCATCAGCATTTAGTTACCAGCTATCTACAAGGAATAATTTGCATAACTGTTTCACCATTACATGTCATCAGATATGATCCACTGGAAACAGGATCATTAACGCCTTTGCATCTAATGAGGTCAGATAATTGATTCCAGAAAACTCAGAACCAATTGAGAAAATTCCTCATTAATATTCAGCTTCCCCTGGGCACTCTCAGGGCAGCTGGTTAAGCCATTCTCTGTAAGGTTTACTGTCTTTGAACCTGAAGCCTCTAGTCCACAGGTCAGAGCAAGGACAGCTGGAATCCACAATCATGAGCTACAGAGCAGGATAGACTGAACCAGGTCAGCTCTTGTCTCTGACCTTGATGGTGTGGATGCCCTGCCATCAGCCTCCCCACTGAGCCCAGCTCACCTAGGGGGAGAGGGAGCTTCTAAAATGCAAATCGCATCAGATCACTACTCTGCTTAAACTCTTCAGCAGCTCCCAGTGCCCGAAGGACAGTCCAGACTCCTTACTGGTATGAGGATCCCTCCTCCTCCCATTTCTCCTTCCATTGACACCAGGCTCCCTATTGTTAGGCCATTTGGAATTCCTTGGTGTTCCAAGAGTGGAGGAGTCAGTGTCACACTTTATTTTTTATTTTTTCCTTGACTTTTTCATGTATGGCAATTTCATTCTTTTCCCCTAAGATTAATTTCAATTTCAATTGCTGTTTTCAGAGTGAAATCTCCTCTGACATCTCTGCTTCTTCCCCAGTCCCTAACTCCACTGGTGTTGCGCTTCAGTACTCTCCAAGCACCTGGGGCTCCTCTCCACTAGAGCACATTCCAATTCTTTCCCATCCCAGCCCTCTCGCCGCAAGACTGTGTTCCTCCCACCCTAAGACTGTGTCTTCTCCCAAGACTGTCAGCTGCTTAAGGGAGGGTTAGATCCTGATCACCTTTGTCCACCCAGCCCTTCCTCCGCAGGTGCTAAGCAGAGGTTTGTGGAATGAATGCACATTTGATGTGTCTGTTTACAAGCTGCGGTGACCTTGCTGAAGACGATGCTAATGGGGGCACCAAATGAAATATTTCTCCTGGAAAGTTCCCTGGGCAAGTTGGGAAGAGAATCTGCTTTTCCTCCTGGCTATGCCAAGTGCTGTGTGGCCTCCAGGAATTCAGAAAGAGAAACTTCCACATCGTGTTAGGTGCTGGCAGAGAGGATAAATGAACACATCTTCATTAATTCGTTTCTGCCTATTGGGTGCTTCGGGGATTAACTCCTCATGAGCTTTTCAGGAAGGAGATGCCCTCTGTGGGCCAGGGCCTGTGATGCCTGAGCTCTTGTATTTACCTTTGCTTTATTATTTCCTTTAGAAAGATTTTGGTATTAAATGGCTCTGCATTGAAATCTCTCTCCCGCTTTTTTTTTTTTTTTTTTTTTTTTTTTTTTTTTTGAGATGGAGTTTTGTTCTTGTTGCCGAGGCTGGAGTGCAGTGGTGCAATCTCGGCTCACTGCAACCTCGGCCTCCCGGGTTCAAGTGATTCTCCTTCCTCAGCCTCCCGATTAGCTGGGACTACAGGCACACATCACCATGCCTGGCTAATTTTTGTATTTTTGGTAGAGATGGGGTTTCGCCATGTTGGCCAGTCTGGTCTCAAACTCCTGACCTCAAATGATCCACCCACCTCAGCCTGCCAAAGTGCTGGGATTACAGACATGAACCACTGCACCCAGCCTGAAATCTCATCTTGATCACTTATTGGAAGCATGATCTTAGTACCTGATCTAATGTTTCTGAGTCTTGTGTTTCTCTGGAAACCTCATTGAACTGTTGTGAAAAATAAGTTGCTTATGAATTCTAGCATTCATCTCATGCAGCAAAATTTTGGGCCCATTTAATGATTTCAGGATCAGGAGTCAGATGGCTTAAACTATACTCTTATCCTTCCCTGCCATTTACCTAACAATCCCTCTAAGCCTCAACTTTTTCATAGGTGGTATGGGAATAAAAATAATACCCAGCCAATAAGATTATGTGGTTAGATAAAACAATATAGCAACTGGGTTTAGAAGAGGAAAAATGTTATCTTTTATTATTGTACTTTTTTAGAGATGGGGGTCTCATTATGTTGCCCAGGCTGGATTTGAACTTCTGGGCTTAAGCGATCCTCCCACCTCAGCAGGTGTCCCCACCTAGCTGGGACTACAAGCATGCACCACCATACCTGGCTTATTTTTTATGATTTAGCTCATTGAGATGGACATTTTTAAATGCATGTTACGATCAAAAATAAGCATTCAGAGATTCCAGTGGTTCCTCTTTTCATTAAGCTGTTTGCATGTTTTATAGCTGCAAGAGATTTAAGTTTCTTTTAGTAACAAGTTTGCCTTCTTCCCGGTGCCCACTACAGTGGTTTTGATCCATGATCTAAGGTCCCAGGACGTTATTGCACTGGTTTCTTGTTTTTGTTTCTCTGAGTTGATGGGACGATCATAGGCAGAATCCAGATGATGGAAAAGATGTGTTTGAATTAAAGAGAAAGAGGAAAACCCTGGTATGTGTGAAGGTTCTGGGAGAGACAGGCTAATGGGGTGCTTGATAATCTGATTGGAAAGAAGCCTGCAGAAGCTGCATTGCAGAGGAAGAACATCATCAGAGAGGGAGGTGGAAGGCCTGCAGTCACACAAGGGGAGCCATATTCTGGATGAGAAAGGGCATTAGACATATTTTAATCCAAGCCAGTGAATCCACCCTCTAAACTCCAGACAACACCAGCAACTTTGGGATCATGAAATGTCTACTGGCTTTAACATCAACAGACCTGAATTTGCCTCTGAGTTACTTTGCCCTGGTCACCTGCACTGACCACAGCCCTCAGAGGCTGGCATGGTCTCTCTCTAAGGTGTGGAGGATAATACTGATTGCTTAGATTTGCAGCGAGGCTTGATGGAATAATGTCTGTGGAAGTGCCATCATTGTGGAAACAGAGCTTTCATGAGGTTGAGATTGCTTGAACATGTTCCTTATAAGTGAGCTCCTTCTGTTTTCAGATTTTTCTAACACTAGGTAGGTGGGAGTTTCATTAAATGTAGGAGAAAATGGGAAATCATAGTAGAATCTGGGAAGATGCACAACTTGATCCAGATGACTTCCCACCTTTGAGGACAGAATTGGGAGTGGGGGTGGGGGCCAGGGAAGACATTGCAAATAGAGGTCATTGCTGCAGTCCCGTGATTAGGGCATGCATGTGTAAATATTCACACATCATACAATCTCTATGTGATGCACTGACACGTTCTCTGTGTCAACATGGATGGAGCACAAGGCAGGTCTTATAATATTTACTCCAAGATGTAGGTGCTATTATCCACATTTCACAGCTGAAGGAAATGGGTCTGTGGAGTAGCTTGTTCAAAAGCATATATCTTGTATGGTATTAGATGGTCAAAGCCCTGTGTGAGTATAAGCTTATACCTGTGACATGAAAAATACAGGAAAGCGTCTATTGCTTTACTGCTGTTAATAATTATCAGTGTGATTTTAAATGTCTTTTGGAACAAAGGTTGGTAAAAATTAAGGAAATGGCATTGCCTCCTCCCACCGGATGTTTTTGTCCAGGCATCCTTTCCTTACCACACTCTGTAGATCCACTCTTCACACCTGCCTAACTCAAAGGCCTATCCCTGTCTCTTGTAAGTGCTCTCCACATTTCACGACCTCTTTCTTTTGTCTTTCTTTTTGAGATGGAGTCTCACTCTGTCACCCAGGCTGGAGTGCAGTGGCACGATCTCCGCTCACCACAACCTCTGCCTCCTGGGTTCAAGAGATTCTCCTGCTTCAGCCTCCTGAGTAGCTGGGATTAGGGGCACAGCCACCACGCTTGAATAATGTTTGCATTTTTTGTAGAGATGGGGTTTCGCCATGTTAACCAGGCTGGTCTCAAACTCCTGACCTCAGGTGATCTGCCTACCTCGCCCTCCCAAAGTGCTGGGATTACAGGCGTGAGCCACCGCGCTTGGCCTCCCACCTCTTATTCATACCAGCCAGCTTCTCCCCTCCTTCATGGAAATTTCCATATTGAAACCTCTCCCTCATCCTGGCTATCATGCTCTGTAGGATACCCCAGCAATCTTCCTAGTATCAATTACTCCCTGCCCAGTTCTTCATTGTTCCTCTATAGCCCCCGTCACTTCCATTTGCTGTTTTAGTTGCTCACACATACCCTTGGGTTGTAGACCTCTGGAGGGCTAAAGTATCATTTTATTGACATAATGGTATGTTGCAAAGGGTTCTCGGATAGGGAGGCAGGCAACCAGAGTTCCTTTTAGGGCTTGGGCATGAGCTTGAGGGAACTGTGCAGATCCAGCTAAGTTCTCAAGGCCTCACTTGCCTTCCCTTTAAAATGTATGGTTTGGCCTAGATTTTCCTATACATCCTCAGAATAATCAATAATACCATGTGGATATTTCTTTTCTTTCCTTTTTAAAATTTTTGAAACAGGGTCTCACTCTGTCGCCCAGCCTAGAGTGCAGTGGCGTGATCATGGCTCATTGCTGCCTCAACCTCCTGGGCTCAAGCTATCTTCCTGTCTTAACCTCTTGAGTAGCTGGGACCACAAACACAGGCCAACACACCTGGCTATTTTTTTTTTTTTTTTTTTTTTTTTTTTTTAGAGACAGGGGTCTCACTTTGTTGCCCAGGCTGGTCTTGAACTCCTGGGCCTCAAGTGATCTCCCACCTTGGCTTCTGAAAGTGCTGGGATTACAGGTGTGAGCAACTGTGCTCAGCTAGGATGCAGATATTTCCATCCTGTACACGTGAGCTTTGAATAACTCTGTAAACCCCAAAGATCAGCCAAGGGTTTCCAGGTATTGTTGCTTGGGTGATGGGAAAGTGATGCAAATGAGAAAAAATGCATAATCATCATTTAAGCTACCATAATTGTCTTCCTACAAGTCTACTTCTTTACAGTGCAGAAAGGCTTGCCATTGTTTTAGGTCCATTATCTTCTCTGCCTGCCGAAATACTCCTCACACCTGGTCACTTTTACAAATATCCCATCTTTTCCGGAAGCAGCTGCAGTGTCTCTCTCCACCACTCCCCAGCATGGTTTGTTCCTACCTTCAGGTAATTATTGTGTTGGTCATATAGATGCATCTATTGCCTTCCAACCGGACTTACAGGTAGGGATTGTTGCCTTTTAACTCCCCCAGTGCTTTTGACTTGATCAGCACTCGATAATAAGTCAATTGATAAATGGATGATGTGATTATTTAAATTTTTCAGGTTATGGGTGCTGTTGGGTCTCCTCTTGGTCCTTTTCCATTCCTGTCTTCTCCTTACTGCTGCAATACCTTTTATCAAAGAGCGATGGATTTTTGAGAGATGGTAATAAATGGGAGGATCTGTAAAAGGAAAGTCAATTGATTTTCTACTATAGTTCCTTTGGGTGGTGTGTGGATGTGATTTGATAAGACCCTGAGATCACGGGATACTGAGATCACGGGATACTGTGCAGACTCGAATTGTGCTGCCCATTTAGCACTTAAAATCTAAGTGGGCCAGACTCATGGCAGTGTGGGCTCCTGAACTGGATTTCAGAACAGAAAAAAAGGATATTAGTGGATAAACTGGTGAAATTCGAATAAAATACCACTGCTAATGTCTTAGTTTTGACAAATGTACCATGGTTATGCAATGTTTTACCTTTAGGGGAAACTGGGTGAAGGGTACATGGAAATGTTATGTATTATTTTTGCAACTATTCTATAAATCTAAAATTATTCCAAAAGACAAAGGTTATTTTTAAAAAAGTGGGTGGGCCAGAGTGAAAATTTTCAGTTTGGCTAGCAGACTCTTGCTGCGTGAATATTCTCACATCTAGTTATATCCCAACAATTTGTAGAATAGGTTGAAAAAGAGAACTGCAGGGAAGTTTAAAAACTCTCCTGTAAAAGATTCATGAAAAGGCAGTAGAAAAAAAATAAAAGCAAAACAAACAAAAAACAAGACTGTGGGCAGCTGGTGGGGGAGGCCTAATATTAAAGGTGGGAAGCCAAGTGGCTGCTCAAAAGGTGGGTCAGTGCAGTGACCCTGGGCTCAAAATCAGGATACTGGCTACTTGTTTTAGCCCCAAGAACTTGAGCACATCACTTTGCCTGCATTTGCCCATCTTTGAAATGGTCTCACTGAGACTCACAAATAAAGATATATAAAATAAAATAATTCCTTACAAAAATCAAGTTTTCCTATTCTCCAAAATTTTGTCATTTTTTGCTCAAGAACAAAAGAGTTCCTCACTCGTGGGCTGGTTATGGTCAAAAACCTCAAAACAGCAAGTCTGATTCTGCATGAGCATTTTCACTTTGCACTTGGCAAGTTTCAGCTTCCTCTTAGAAGAATGTTCATGCCAATGCTAAAGCCATTTGACTTCTAAATATAGTGTAACAGATGTTAATAGGAACAGTATTATTTTCTGTTACACAAAGGGTCTTTCTTTAAAAGCCAGACACCAGCCCAGTTCTGGTTAGGCTCAACCATTTCAATCAAGGTAAATAGGATTGTTTTTTTCCTTTCCCAAGTATTGAAGATTTTGGTATCTTACACCAGATTTTCTTAACTTGACCCATGAACAAGTATCCATGCCTAGATGCTAGAGAGATTTGTCAAGGCCAGGCACCGTGGCTCATACCTATAATCCCAGCACTTTGGGAGGCCAAGTTGGGAGGGTCACTGGAGTTCAGGAGTTCAAGACTAGCTCAGGCAGAAGAGCAAGACCCTGTCTATAGGAAAAATTTAAAAAAATTCGCTGGGCATGGTGGCACATGCTTGTAGTCCCAGCTACTCAGGAGGCTGAGACAGGAGGATCATTGAGCCCAGGAGGCTGAAGCTGCATTGGTAAGATTGTAGCCACTGCACTTCAGCCTGGTTGACAGATGGAGAACCTGTCTCTTAAAAAAAATAAAAAAGTTGAATGTGACGTTTCATACATATATCCTTTTCCCCCCCTCTATGGAGTGGTTTCATTCATCTTCCAAGTGTCCAAAACTCAAAAATGGCAAGAAACACTTGTGCATACACACCACTCCATAGCAAAAAGCCTAAACTATAATTGTTATATTTAGGTACAGATTCAGTAATCTTAATATCTAACACTCCAAACAAATACCCAGATACTGGCTGCCTGGTTGATTTCACTTTTTGACCCCACAACACCCAGCAACTCTGAGGGCTGCACCTCAATGCACATTGGCTTTTAACTATTGCTTTCTCATAGCTGTGACACTGTCTTCCTTTCCTGAAAACATGTGGATTTTCACTTGAGGCACTTTTGTTCATCAAACCTTATCGATTTAAATGATCTCTCAAGAATACCAAAGTGACTCTGGCTCTTCTTGCCCTTCTAGTCCTTTAAAGACTGGCCATGTTTCTTTATAACACAGGCTGTGACCAGTGAGAATGTGGACTTGTAAACCATTTGAATGAGAATGCCTTATGGAACAAGAGATCTTCTGGCTGGCAGAGCATGAAGCGTCCCAAGTGCAATTTAAATGTGCGATCCTGGTGTGATTTGAATATATGCAGCACACTAGTTCCTTCTGTTGATTTCAATGTCTCCCTTAAAGGGGCTTACACATGAAATTTCTTGGGCTGTTCCTCAAGAGAAAGGTGCTCTACAGATGAAGCCCAGAGTATAAATTTCACTTGGTTTCAGATGAATGGACCGAATTATGAGGCTAAAAATGATTCCCTATTTCAGCCCCTTTGGATACTCCTCCCTTCTTCATTTCTAAAATTACTGTGATCTTAACTTCTGGATAATACTTTAGGTTCTCCAGCAATTTAACTTCCCTTTGAAAATGAACCAAAATGTAAGATTAATGTACCTTTTAATGTGGTCCTCTAAAAGAGAACAATGTTAATAGACACTACACAAGATACTGTAGGGGTGCACAGGCACATTCCCCCCCACCCCTTTTCAGTAGTAGTTATATGATCAAATATAATACTAAAAGACTAAATGCTTGTGGCTCTTTTATATATATTTAAAACACACAGTAAGAACATAAGAACATCTCAAATCATTTAGAAGGTAAAAGGGGGTTATCAACCAAAATCTTTGGAAATTTCATAAAATTTAAATATCTGCAAACAGTCCAACCAAAAACGAAAAAAAAAAAAATCCCAACATTTGGCTATGGAGGGCACTTCACATGTGAACCAAATGGCGTTATAACATTTTCCTTCAACTAGTCACTAAACCCAATTAGAAAGAATACAAGAGCAATATTGGAGACATCCCCAAATACCACGTACTTGATTAGAACATTCTGTTATGAAGCGCTCAGCTACCGCGGGCTTTCCTTTACATTGCATACATTACTTTACATTTCTACAGTGCAATGTTGAAATAGCCTCCAAATTTTGCAAAGTAGATTGATGTCCATTCTACAAAAATATTAACTTACAGTACATAACACTGAATAATTTTAATCTGTACATTTTTTTCCTTCCATGATAGTTGACACACGTCAGTTTGTACAAGTTAGAAAAAAACATCTGGTTGTTTACATCTGGATTAATAGTCAACAGAGGCAACCAGAAGTGGTGGGGCGGATGTAGTTTGAGAAAGTATAAATACAGTGTTAATATTAACTGTAGTTAACAATATTCAGCTTTTAACAAAGTGATACAAAATAAATCATCTTAGATTTTTGACTGAAAAGATCTGAGAATGTTCTGCCAAACAGCCGACCAACTGGTGCAAAAGGTTAAGGCTGACTTGACTTAGCAACCTGCAGCACAACCGAAAACACTGGTGCAGTTCAGAGCTCTTCAAATGCATAGCTTCAGTGTTACACACACATTAATTATATTCCTTCAATTAGTTAATCCTCTAGACAGTTTTCTTTTTGTTTTGCATGCATCCCGTTCCATTTTCATTAAGGGCATCTCTTCCTTGATCAATCATGTGCTTTGCTTTTCAATTTGTTTTTGTGATTTTTTTTGTATGTTTTGTTTGTTAAGCTGTCAATACCTCCAACACTTGGAAAATGAAATATAGATGCGTTTTACTTACAGAAGAGAATCATAGCTATATGGACAATGCAAAATGAAATGAAACAAGTGTCAGAAACAGTTTATAAAAATGGCACATTTATTGCTACAGAACGGTCATGTACATGACTTCATCGAATAACTACAGATGGGAAACAGGTAATGGCCTTGACCAAGCTGGGTTTGTTTTTGTCTTGAAGGAACTCCAGCACACAACCTGTTTGGACACTTCTACAAATCAGAAATACACCAAAAACATGAAAAAATCGAGGCACTCAGCCACACATTGAAAACAAGGTGTAACTGTTTATCTTTTTTTTTTTTTTTGAAATGTTTTCCCTTTTTTTTTTTTTAACAATTTTTTTAAGTTTTTAATGCTGCAGCTATGTGTACAGTCGCAAAAAATTTCCCCGCTGCGACCTACAACTAAAAACAAAAACAAAAACAAAAACAAAACAAAAAACAAACAAAAAAGCTACCCATACAGTTTCATCTTGGTAACACATGGTAAAATAACATCTTTTAAATAGTAAAATAAAGTAACAAACTTTTACTCATAATGATTCCAAAAATCTACAAAGAAGAAATATTCAGAATCTGACAATTTTTTTGTAATATTCATGGTATAAAAGGATTGCTCCTGCGAAAAATAAGCCAAATATATTTTTTATTTTTAAATTTAGTTTTTTTTTTTTCCTACTAGGGTGTACTACAGTCTATTTTATAGCAAAAGAGCACTAGACAAACAAAGCTTTATAACAAAAAGCCAGGCACTGATACATGGTAAATCTCTGCTTTTTTTTTTTTTTTCTTATCTTCACTTAATTGCATCACAAGTAACAAGAATGAAAAAGGCCACAGTTCATATATTTTCACCATTACATATGTCTATAATACTTGAAATGAGTATGGCAAAACCAGCACTGCACAAAGATGAGTCCACTTCAAGTCCCATGAGAAAGAGCATGTCTCTAAAGAAAAACAAACAAAACCAAAGCAAAATAAAAAGAGAGGCCTAAAGGCCTTGGTGCCCCATTGTGTTGGAATTCATCATATTCCATCTTGACTTTTTTGCTTCCAGTCAGCCAGCAGACTAAATTTTTGTGCTTGTTTATGCTGAAATTGATTCATTCCTGACTCAAGTTCACTTTTGGACACAGATCATATTCTGCCTGTTGGATGCAAAAGATGAAAATCCTCTTAACTCCAAGTCTTGGTTCGACTCCCTCCCCACTCCCCAACCCCTCATCAAAATCAAGATCACAAATAAAAAAAAAAATTCAGAAATAGGAAAAAGTGAAAAATAAAAAGGAATCGGAAGACTGAATCAGAACCAGTTGCACCACTGGGTGGACTGACAGTTGTATAAACATTAGTGTTCCTTGCAGCTACACAGAAGACAAATGGTAAAAATTTCTAGATGAACAGATCCCTATTCTGCATATTCATAAATTACTTGAATGTGGAGGTGGATCAACTGCTCCAAGTTGCTTTTAAAGTCCGAGTTTCTGAAAGAGATCCCCAGCCTAAGTGTCGTCATACAGATAGCGTAGTATGGACCCTTTTGAAATTTTTGTATAGTACTTTAATCTTAACTGTCTTCTGCTGAACTTCATTTGAAAATCCAGTGCAGGATACCAATATCTTACCTGGGTTTGATAATTACAAAACAACAACAATAAAAAACACACTAAAAAGGCCACATTCCCTTTTTTTCTTTTTTAATGGGGATACAACCCAATTAATATGGATAGGTGCAGATTATGTTTCTCCACCAAGCAAAACCTAGCGAGCAGCTTTCAGTGGCCGTTAGAATTTTCACTTATTTCCAAAGGGAATTCAACAATAGAGGTATTGCATTACTGAGTAATGAATACATCAAAGCTGGTGAACAATAAATTGCAGCTTTTACTCTGAGTGAGAACAAAATATAAAGCACCAATTTAAAAAATAATCAAATGACTACAATTTACTTTTTTGCTTTGTTTACAGATTTGAAAAACTTTAATTCAGCTCTATTAAGCACCTTTATGATAACATGTATCAAAAGTGCCATTCTTAAAATGTACATCAATGCAGGGAGTGTTTCCAGTTCCCTAAAGAGTAAACACCGTATTTTCTTCTGTACACTTATCCTGAATGTGATCAGAGTATACCTGCTTCCTATATAATATTGTTCCTAGGGATACCCGCCTTGGTAGACTATACAAAATGAGTGCAGAATGTACCACTAAAAGGAAATCTTTAACATACGGAGGGAACAAATACACATGGTTTTCATTATTCAGGGAGGAGGAGAGAGTATACATTATTGTCTTCCATGTCCTTCTCTGAGCCTCTTTGTTCATACATTTCACAGGAAAGCCCCAAAATAACTTTTCATGAAGTTTGATTTCTGCTATTCTCCTAAGGTTTTAATCCACCTCCACATTTTAGGAACTTATCAACAAATCAAAGTTATTTTAGTTTTATCGCTACTGAACATATTTACAGTTTTTCAACACACACACAGCTAATCAAAATGTTTATGGGTTTGTAAAAGATGACCACGTGGTAACTATCTTATTTGTTCTTACATTTTCAGAAATGAACATAAAATTCTGATTCTTGTAGCTATTTCATTTAAATGAGACTTCTTTTTAAACCACAGTTTTTAAAAAAAAACAAAAACTGATACAATGTATTAAAACACATAATAACAAGAGTCTACATGTAAAAATATAACTTTTACATACACAATTTCAAAATAATGATACGTTTGCCATTTGTTGCATAAAATTTACAAATGTATTTCATTACTATATAACTGGCAAAACAGGAGAACAGATGGAACATTTAGACCATTTCAATGGATTTATGGCATTTACTCAGTGCTGATAGGTGGAAAAACTACTTGAACAGGGATTTTTTTTTTTCTTAATACATGCCAAGAATTGTGTGGCTGTAAAAATAGAAACAAGTTAGAGACAAAAGGATGCTGACAAATACTTAACTAGGAGCACTATTTGTTTACTGCACTATACACCAAAGTCAATCATTATAAAGATTCACGATGGAAGTTGGTTCAATTGTGCCCAGACGTCAAAGCTAGCTATCTGATGAGTCGCTGTGCCATAGCTTGATCTATGTTTCTATCAAATATGGTAAGTATAAACTTCATTCATACTGGCCAGAGAAATACTGCACTACCCCTCCTCAAAAAAGTGCAACTTAATGCTTTAGGACTTATAAGGCTTGTTATAATGCTGCATGATGATTGAATATTGGCATTTTTCAGACGAAGGAGGAGGCAGTTAAGTCATCTACATTTTAGTAAACCCATTTTGAAAAAAAAAATCAAGAAAGCAACAAAATCAATCAGCTCTGTCACACTACTTGCAATTTTCTCATTTGACGGTTTTTGAACTTTACTTGTTTTTTTTGTTTTTGTTTTTTTCCAAAAATCTGACCATGTATTCAGAAACGCCTCACTGCACACTACTTCGGCTACACAGGTAGGTAACACTTTAATCATTTTGTTAAATCACAGCCACTTTGATTATGTTATGTTTCCGATGATATAAACATTGGAAGGCACAGTGGTAACATTGTAGCATTCTAACCTTGTACCTCTGAAAATCCCAGAATAGGTTCACAAACGCAACATTACAATTCAGACAAACTCTTTTTGCCATGTCTTGGTAATGCTGCTTGTAATATCTACACATGATGTGACTTTTAAGTCCTGTGTTCCCAAAAGACTGGAGAAACAACTTTCTACTTATTTATGAATGAGAAGCAACATCAGGGTCAGCATTTCATCCTGCACTACCCCTCTGGAAGCAGAGTTGGCACTACAGGTTACGATAACAAACCAGGGAAAGGGACAGAAATAAGACCAAAAAAAAAAAAATCCATATTTACAGTAAAATCTTTCTTTTAAAAAAGTTAATCAGTACTATTTTTTTACAGGAGAAAAAAGTCTGAAACAAATGAACAAAAGCTTACCATAGTCACTAAATTTTTAATATATATTTATATATATATTTATATATATATTTGTCATAGGTCTATAAGATCCATCTGTTCCTCCTACCCTAAGGAATGGCTAATGTCATCACTTCGTTGTCATCAGGACGTTTGCTGGTTTTGTTACTAGGGCAGCCGAGCTTCCCCTAATTCAATATCCAGTAATTATAAACACTAGCTGACTTGAATACCAACAAAAACGTTCATGTAGTTTTCTTCAGAAGTACACTTTTTCATTATTGCAAGTTTACAATTTTTTTTAAATTAAATATTTTTTTTTCAGACTTACAAATTAATTATATTTTTTTTTTCCAAAAGAAGTTTAGGCACAAATGCATTGTTCCACAGTGTGGAAAGATTGCCGTTCAGTCTCTGGGCTGTGTCTCAGCCTGTACATACTGCTTTGCACATTCTGAATGATATGTTAAAGAAAGTCGTCCCTCAAGTTGCACTTTTTTCTTTCTTTTTTTTGTTTTTCTGTTTTTTGATAATTGGGAATGCTGAAACCTCTTGCGTCTGCGATTCATAACTACTCAGACTTGTCTTATATTACAAAAATGGGGGTTAAGGAGAAGTGTTTATGTGGGTTTAAGATAATACAGCTGTTAAGGAAGTGGTCTCTTGTTTTAATGAAGCAATGTGGCAACTTGGACCTGAGAAAGGAAAAAAGAGAGAAAAAATTCATTAATATATTTGTAACAGAAAAAGTATGCTTTTTTTAAAAAAAATTCTTTTTCCATGAAAGAAAATATCTGTCAATTTGGGTGAAATTCACTTTTATGGCTGATACACTGATGAGAGTTTTGAATGATCGATCTCAGAAATGGCTGAAAACAAACTTGCCCTTTTACATCTGTCCCATGTGATTCGATGCGTCTCCCATTCCAGGGTGTGGGCCGGCCAAGGAGAGAGGGGGAGGCTCTGAGGACACCTTCTCTTCCTCCCTTCTTTTCAGACACGCAGCTTTCGGATTCAGATTCCTTTCTGTGGAGGATTAAAGCACAGAACCTTTGTTTAATGCTGAGGCTTCTGGCAGAGGGCAGCAATGCACTCTTCTTGCGTGTCTGACCTTTTTCTCAGTGTTTATATTACAGAACAAAAGGAACAGTTACTAAGTACTGTGGCAATCCATTTGGTCAGTCACTAGTAAAAGGTGAACTGCATGTGAGTGTGTACAGCCACTTTACAGTAAGCAAAGGTTGGTAAAGCAAATAAACTAAGCTCAAATTACTGAAAGGATATAGGGAAAGTTGCAATATAATCTTAGTTATAAGAGAATCCCACAACTTAATTACAGGAGAAAGGGATGCTGCCTTATGGATTTAGACACAGTCTGCAATGGAAACAATTCTTTGGAATGATGCTTGAAAGTCTACTGTCTGCCACTGCTCAAGACTGGCGTGCCCATCTCAGCTTGTGCCTGCCACAAGCTCCTCACGAGCTCTGCAAGGAGGCTGGCCTGCACTGACCTCGGACTTGCTGCTCCAGACTGAGGATGACGGCCACCGCCTGGTGGAGGATCAGGAGCTTGGTCTGGGGCTTGTCACTCTTGAGGTGGAGCTGCACCATGCGGCCGAGCTCTTTGAAAGCCTCGTTGATGTCACGGACCCGCAGACGCTCTCGGGCATTGTTGGCCATCCTCCGCTCCTTCTCACGCTCTGCCTTCTGCTCTGGTGTCAGGTCCTCATCGTCATTATTGCTGTGGGACAAAAGGGATGCAACATTTTCTAATGGTGTGGGGAAAAAGAAGGTGTCTACATTACTTTGTTTTCTTCCAGAGTTTTCAGGGAACTTTTCCATCTTATGCCATGTTTTTGGCAGAATTTTTATATCCACTTGACCTTGGGATTGGTTTAGATGGCTTTGACAGTTCACAATACACAAGATATTTGGTTTTCTCGCAGACATTAAACCCAAACCAAACAGGTGAGGGTGACGTAGATTAAAGTTAGAGTGCAGGGTGTGCCCATACTGATACAGGGGGGCAGAAAGGGAAAACAAAGCTTTTTTTATTCAATGGGGTTACACTCTGCAAAGCAGGCATTCACCAACTTACGCCTAGCATATGTTGCATAACCACGCTTCAAAAAGACTTTATGTTTATACTTTATTTTTTAAATATATATAAAACCTTTCATACCGTGACATCTGAAATCTAGGGGAAACAAGTAATTGAAAAATGATTTTGATAGGTCAAAAAAATACAAGGCAGCTTAACAGGAGTAAGAAGAAAGGCCTATATGTAAGACACCAGAGCAATGGGAGTGAAGACAGTGAGGCTTTTATTCAGGTGTCCCCATTACCTTGCTTTGAAGGCCTGGTCAACCCACTATGTGAGTCTCATTTTCTCTATGTATTAAACAAAAAGTTACAAAAACATGACTTCCATGGTCTTTAATCTTATAGATGTTTATGATCCACAGAACAAGTTTGGGAAACCTGAACTGATATCAGTCATGCAAAACGATTCAACAAACCAAACACCTGCAGCTTATGAATGACCATGACCTCATTGTGAGTCAAAAATGAAGCCAGAAAGCTGGGTGCAGTGGCTCATGCCTATAACCCCAGCCTGGACGATATAGTGAGACCTCGTCTCTACAAAAAATAAAAAAAAATTAGCTGGGCACAGTGATGCACACCTGCGGTCTCAGCTACTCAGGAGGCTGAGGTGGGAGGCTCACTTGAATCTAGGAGGTGGAGGCTACAGTGAGATGTGATCAGGCCACTGCACTCCAGCCTGGGCAACACAGCCAGACTCTGTCTCTTACAAAAAAAAAAAAAAAAAAAAGCCAAAAGGTAATTTCTAATTGTGAAAACCAAAATATTCCATGATTCATAACAAATGCATGGCCGGGCCCAGAATAGTCTGAAAAGATAAGATCGGTTCTGTCCATTTCTGAGTGTTACAGTGACAAATTAGAAACTTTTGAATGGAAGGCAAAGAGGATGATGAGCCACCTGGAAAGCATATCATATGAGGAAGTCGTCACAGCAGCAGGGTTCAAATATTCCAAGGGCTGTCATGTAAAAAAGAGAAGTGTGCACGACGTCTTGTCTCAAGAAGGCAGAGCAGCACGTGCTATAAAGCTCTGAATGACTATTGTGAATAAACATGAGTGAGGACTTTTGGGGGGCTTATGAGAGACACAGAAAATGAAACAAACTTCACTGAACATCAGTAGACTCCCCATCACAAGAAACTCCATGGAAGTGACTAACAATTAACCTAAAGGGTAATTTCACACATTGGAAATGTTCACAGAATAAAGATGATTAATCACAACATTTCGGAGTTGGAAGATGTGGGAAATTATCTACTCAATTAAATGTATATTTAATGAATGCTGGTTTAAAATATATGACTCTGATGTTCCATTTTGGAGAATCTCTGGGTAACTTCCAAGTGGCAATAAGGACCAATTACACTTGAGAAGCTCCAATCAATCAAAAGTGGGAGTGGTATTCTTCGGTTGCAAGTATACGTTACACATAAAGATAATGCACGTAAGTCAAGAACACTTGGGTGAAGGAGAAAAGTTAGGGGCAAGGAGGATGACACCACAGAAGGATGCTGTAAGACCAGGCTCCTCTCTCTCCATAGCGTAAGCGCCTTTCCAGATGGCACTGTCTGCCACAGGTGTGTATGGTAAACATGGAAGTCAACTGAGTCCACTGGAAAAGGCCCTCTTTCTCTGCCTTCTGCGGATCCCTCCTCTGCCCTCACCCCCAACTGCTGCCAGTGCCAAGGAAATCAGTAATGATTAATTCACTCCTATATTCTACTATGCAAATAGGCTGTAAAAAGCAAATGAAAACAGTCTCTGCCAGGCCTGTCCGGAAGCTGAGCATTTGGGTGATATTTTTATACATCCAACAAATGCTACACCTTACACAAAGGAGACTGGAAAATAGGAACTTTTCTTCCAAAGATTTTCAGGCTAACGACCAATTAGAATTGGTTATTCACTTACAAATAAACTAGTTATGCAAATAAAACTGCCTAGATTTGAAAAAGCACTGCCTTATAATACAGTTTTGGAGGCATACATAAGTAAATGTCATAAGAGTGACCTTTTTAAATAAGAAGGTTCTCAACAGCGAATGAAAATGTTGTTCCAAAACTTCAAAGAATCCATTAACATGCATAAGTTTGGCCACAATAAGTTAAATTACCAAGAACTGACTGGTCTAACACAGAAGCTGCTAAAGGTATGAAATCCCCTCCTTGGGATTTCTTGCCAAAGTGGCCAAGAATCAGAAAAAGACAACAAGGAAGGAAAGGGGTTATCTAGAAGTATTCGGCATTTTTAAACTTGTGGCAAGACACGGAATTTATCTCAATAATTACAACAGCAACATAAAGAGGCAGCATGTTCTTAATTCACAAAAGATTCCAGATAGAACCTTGAGAACCACAGCCTTTAGAAGGAAAGCTGTAGTCTTAGGACAATTGGTTGAATTTGTGAATAAAAACAACCTCAGGGAATTGAGGCAAAGTACACGGGTGTTGGTATTCAAAAACCATCTGATTACCAGATTAAAGTTCAAGGAGATATAGATTTGAATTTAAAGATAGCAGATATTTAAGAAAACCAGACAGAAGCTATTTTCCTGCAGTTGTGTTTTCTGTAGAAAAGAGTGTCCAGGAAGAAAAACCATAAACAATTAAGGTATTACTCTTATATACATCAGCATGTTTAGGATAAATCTAGGAAATTATTTTCTTACTTTAGAGGTAAGAAAAGAGTTATAGTTGGCACATACATCAGTTGAGTTTTTAACATGGCTACAATCTCTTTTTAGAAATATTATAGACACAACATTTCTGACCAAATTTGTAGAATAAGTATAGTTTTACAAATAAACTGTACTTGAATCAGAGACAAATTTTTTCACTGTGTGTCATTAGCATTGGGTCCAGATTCATAAATGCCAAAACAGTTTAGGCTCCAATAGAGTACAGGTATCTGAAACGATACTTTTAGTACTTCTAGAGTAGGCCTTTAATTTTCTTTTCAGCTGTAAATTTACCTGCCAGGAAAAAACTGAATAGTTTCTTCCCGTTCTGTTCACTTCATCAAAGTCCAATAAAGGAATTAAATGAAGCGACAGTATTATATACTGTTACCTAGATCTTGACCTAGTAATTGATTTGATATCCTTCTTGTCGTCATCTAATTTCTTGTCCTCCGAAGATTTCGTGTCTTGCAGGTTCTCATCACCCTCGTCATCGGATTTGATCTCAGAGCTGCCAGAGGAGACACTCTGCCCCTGTAGTCCTGGTGGCATGCCTGCCGAAAAAGAGAAATCAGGTGACATGTACACCACAATCTCACTGCCTGCACACCAGATTGCAAGGCTGCCAGCAGACAATTCATACTGCTGAACTGTGATCCTTCTGTCACTTTTTTTTCCCCCTGCTATCTGTTGAAGTTTCAAAAAATGCACCTGCAGAAACAAGTTTTCCCTGCATTGGCTCTAAGGTTAAATTCTATTTTGCAATCTTTTGGAGTAGATGGTAATTTCACTGTCTACAAAACATCAACTTAATTGCAATGAAAATCATAATCATGAAAATCACACAGCCAATGTTCTGATTAAGAACCCAAGTAAATATCAGCTATTATATTGAGTTTCTTCCATATGCAATGATTTAATAGAAAAATGTCCTTAAAATATAATTCCCAGGGAGTATGCTAAATATGTGCAGTCAAGACTTCAATAGGTACCCTAATGATATTCTGAAATTAGGCTTCTCTTATTCTCAAGAAGTAATCAGCATTTTAAAATGGTACATATGGAAGGCAGTTTGCTACTCATTTTAGAAATTTCTAGCTTTATCATTGCTCAACTTTCCAAGTCACACTGCATTTTAAAACACGACCCTAATGTAGTAATTTTTTTAAAGGTAGAAGCATATCTGTCAAGTATTCCTCTTTATTTGTAATCTGTGTATTCTAGAACCTTGCCACTCAAACTTTGGTCCATGCGGCCTCATCATCTGTGAGCCCATTAGAAATGGACAATCCCAGACCTACAGAAGTGGAATCTGCATTTTAACAAGATGCTCAGGTTGTGCTTATGTGCAGTTTGAGAAGCACAGGTTTAGGACAAAGAGGGCAAAATCCAAAGCCTCCTGATAAGAAAGGTCCTGGCCAGTTGTGGTGGTTCACACCTGTAATCCCAGCACTTCGGGAGGCTGAGGCGGGTGCATCACTTGAGGTCAGGAATTCAAGACCAGCCTGGCTAATGTGGTGAAACCCTGTCTCTACTAAAAATACGAAAAATAGCCAGGCATGGTGATGCATGTCTGTAATCCTAGCTACCCCCTGGGAGGCTGAGGCAGGAGAATCGCTTGAACCTGGGAGGTGGAGGTTGCAGTGAGCTGAGATCGCACCACTGTACTCCAGCCTGGGCGACAGAGTGAGGCTCTGTCAAAAAAAAAAAAAAAAAAAGTCCATAAAATGATTATTATTCATAAAAAATGGGCAGACATACCCATACATATAATTGACACTCAGATCTGTACAATGTTGAACAGCTGAAAAAATGCCCACATGTATTCCTGTGGCAATGTTATCATTTTTATATTAAATGTGAAGGGACTGAGAAGATGTTATCTAAGCGACTCCTAGTCAGCTGGCCAGCAATAGCCCAACTTCCTGGGGTCATGAAAAGCCGCTCGTAATCACCGGTATGAGGCAATCATTAGAGGGCTAGATGACTCAAGAGCGAAAATCATGCAACCAAGCTCCATTTTTTAAATGCACCTATATTTCCTTCCATCTTAAACAACAAAAACAATTTCCTTCCTTCCTATTCATTTGGAAATATCATTTTCAGGCCACAACTAACCACATTAGAGGACCTGAATGAGAAAAATGTGGAAATAGCTAAAATAAAATTTCCTCTCATCAGTCTGTGGCCTCATTCCCTGCTGATATAGGACCAGGATTTCAGAGGATGTTTGAGGAAAACAGTCCCTGGAGAAACACAATTAGCGGGCGAAGTTCTAAATACTTTGCCATTTCCTTACCATTTTTGTGCCCAATTTGATTCCTGGGTTTCTGCCAGTGCTTCTTGAGGGATGAACACCAAGAGGCTGGGTATCAACACTGGTCCTATTGTGAAAGTGAGGTCAGAAGTGCCCTGGTGAGGCCAACCTACCTCTGTAAGGGTCCTGGGGTGGGTTCAGGTCAGGGGAAGTCGCAGACTGGACAGGAAGCTGTGGAACCGGAACCTGGTTTGGCAGAAGAGAATGGCTGCCTCTCAGGGCCACGCCATCTTCACGATGGGTCCCCACCTGAAAGGGCGAGAGGAACCAGAGAGGTGAGCAGGAACCGGAGGTGCGACAGCTATTTCCAGAGGCCAAGAGGACCTGATGAAGGCTGGCTTTTCAAAAACCATACTCCCAAACGCGTTTCACTAGAGGGCGCTGAAGGACCGCACATGCACCTATAGTTCCCGGCGAAAACACTTAACACTCAGTAAGATGCCGTGCTGTACATTCAGTGACAAATATGGCAGAGTAGCTCAGGCAGGTAAAACGTCAAATTGCCTCCCAGGGTGCTGCAGTGGAGCGCACTGATTCGTACCCATCTGTCTTCTATCATGTCCGCCAACAGATCTGACAATTATCTTAATGCCCATATGCTTAATTGTGAGCTTCTCAATTCCCCCATTGCTATCGGAAATCCTACAGGAATTTCAATTTGGCATTCGACTTTCATTTCAGGGGATAAGATTCTCAGGCCTGCCATTTTTTTTTTTCCATAATGCCAGCTAAGCCTCTGACAGCGGAAGCTACAGCAGTATGGGACACAGCCTCTGCTTGGTACAAATATAATAAAATGTCACCTGGCTTTCCAAAACTGGCAGCCCATTCCAAATTAATGTTTACTGTATTTCATCAGCTGCTGAGTTCCAAATCCAAAGGGGGATGGTTTCTGCCAATGCCACCACACCGGAAAATGTACCAATAAAGGTTTTATTAAACACACCAGTAATGCCATCATTGCCATGCAAGGAAGGATGTTTGGACATTTTTCCATTTTTTTCCTCACTATTCTGACCCTAGAAAGACACCATATTGTAAATACTCTTTATGCTTCCAAGAATAAAATTATAGAGTACAGCATGATTACTTCATTAAAAAAATACTGCTGAGCTTTTTATTAACTACTACTATCGACTCTGGGGTCCAGAGACATTGAACTTGTGGCACTGAGACAGCAACTGCCTACTTCATAGCACATGCCTTCAAGCGAAAACATGAAGCATTTGTCAACTAAGAGGACAATCAGTAGTTCACATTTTCTTTTCTATTTCCAAGTATTTTCTTAGCCTATGGTTAAGTGAGCATTTACACAGGACGGTGGGTCTAAAACACAAAAAATTAACCATACATTTATACTGCTATGAATCAGGTTTATTTTTTTTTCCAGTCAAAAATATGAAACCAGAAAGGAGAATCATCACTCTTGTGTTACCAATATATTTTAAAAGGGTATTTCCAAAGAATGCATCAACAATAAGTATCTGAACCAACAACAAATTCACAGGACCTAATAAGCACATGCTATTTAAAGGCAGCCATGTATTAAGTATCACCTATAATATTTTGCTTTTTACTGAAAATATATTTAAGTAATTGATCCTGAAGTATGCCATTTTTATATTCATGTGTGCATGTGTGTGTGTGTGTGTGTGTGTGTATGCACTCCAACTTTTTTTTAAATTTTGGGTGGAGATGATCACATAAATCATATTAATTGTTTGGATTCAAAATACAGCAAGAATAAGACAACACTTGAGGCTTATGAGCCTCAGGAAGTATAAATGAATGTTTCAGCAGAGAGATGTAGGAAGTCCAGCACTGCTCCCCGGTGCCTGTGTCGCAACACAGAACTTTCTGAATGGTGGTTATTTGGCCTCTGTGGGGTGCTTCAAATGTACTGAGACTGATATCTCCCAAAGAAGCCCATTCCATTTTTACCACAAATTGGCCTCTTTGTAGATTTCACTCACTGATTCTAGTTTCAGCTTCTAGAGCTCTGTGGCGTTAAGTACAAACCTTTTTTTTTTTTTAAACATATTCAACCCTGTTGCCTGCCACACCACTCCTTTCCTCTGTGACTGAAGTCTGCTCTCTTATAGGCAGACCACGCCCACCTGCTCCAGCAACCATTTGTAACTCACTCTCTTATATATTTTAATTTTTATTCAGAAGCATGATAGCTATTTTCCATTGAGGTTTTGATTTGCTATTTTTATATTCATGCATTAGAAAACGGATTCAATCAATGATTATCCTTTCAATCTAAGATGTCAACTTGTAAGCATGAATTTTTACAGGCCTTGATCAAATGGTGGCTCTTTATGTCTGTCAATCAATATAAACCTAAATAATTCTTCGTGCTGATTCATATTTATTTGTATTCCCAATGGATCTAATTTCTTGAATTTCTACAAAGGATGACTCTAAGTCAAAATCACTGAAGGTAACCACAGATTTGAGCATAGAGGAGAAGTGTACTCCTATTTCAGAATCATTAACACTCTCAAGATTTCTTTGCAAGCATCTGTGACATAACTTAAGAGTAATGTTTTGCTTTTTACTTAAAATATATTCAGTTACTGCTCCTGAAATTTTTTCCCTCTAGATCACATTGAGGTAAGTTCTCAAAAGAGAAAAAGAGAACCCATGCAATCGTACATGACAACTGGTATGTAATAGGTACATAATAACTGCAGACAGAATCATGTGTTTTGACTGAAAATACTTGCATGTTATATAGAAATAATAGCCTGTGTAGTTCAAGAACCCCCTCAAAACTCAAGCTATCTTCAGTTACGGTGATCTTTGTCTCTATTTTGTTAAAATCCATTTAATTTTAAATCTTTCCCCTATACAATGACTGTAAACTCTTAAATATTATAAATATATCTGAGGATATAGTTGTTCCAACTACATTTTTGTTTGGATTTTAGGCCCATATGTTACCTAACTCCATCTATTTTCTATAGATCATCTTAAATAATATCAATCATTTTCCATAAAGAATGTTAGAGACAAAGTTGTTCTGACTTTTTTTTTTTTTTTTTTTGGAGACAGAGTCTTGCTCTGTCACCCAGGCTGGAGTGCAGGGGTGCAATCTCCGTTCACTGCAACCTCTGCCTCCCAGGTTCAAGCAATTCTCCTGTTTCAGCCTCCCAAGTAACTGGAATTACAGGCGCCCACCACCACGCCGGCTAATTTGTCGTGATGTTTTAAGACTCCCCTTGTGTCTATTCCAGGTCATGTGAATGCCCTCTGATAGGTCCAGAGCCATGTAATAATGAGCTTGATTCTCCAGGATAGGATCAACTCCATTGCCTGTGGCTGTGGAAGAGTATTCCAATTTGAATAATTGGCTTGGCTTTGCTTGTTTCCTTGGCCACAGATGGCATATTCTAACCCTGTTTTCTTCTCTTTCAGAAACATTATTTCTGGTCACATAAGAGACAAGGGAAGAAACACAGTGGACTGTCGGCACAAATCCATCGCTAGAATAACACAGAAATAGATGGAGAAACTCACACTGTTCTCTGTATATACAAGGGTCAGGGATTTGCCCACTGGCATTAAGGCGGCCCATTCATAGAATGACCCATGTCTGCTTCAAAATGAGCTGGGGCATCCAATGATCTTGGCATTCTGAACTTAAATACGTCATAATGTGACTAGGAGAAAGGAGATTCCCACAAGTCAATTCTAAGCATGACATTTCGTCCCTATTTTTAGAAAATCCATACTTCGTTAAAGCTCTATTTTGATAACCTTTTCATAGAGATAACAATAGTCTAAAGTTAAAAGCCAGCTTATGAAAATTTTATTAATACTCATTGTAAATGTGAATCTTCCCATAGTCACGTATAATGCAGTTTTAGTGATATCTATGCTAAAAATAGAAGATAGAAGTGAAATTTAAAAATTATTCAATGATTATTCATTGATTGATCAGAGAATGCATTTACTAATTTAACAAACATTTTCTAATCTAGCTCATGCCTGTCACTTTGGGAGACACTGGGGATAGAATGAGAAATAACTCAGATGTGGTCCTGGTTTTTGTGGAACTCATAATGATTCTTGGGGGGATTTTTGTATGCTGATCAATTTAGTGGGGTAGTTTTAATAGTAAGGAAGAGAAACCTATTTGAGTTTGTTCAAATAAAAGATTTATCATAAATAGTTTTCTGTAGCTTAGGTTTTGGACTCAGAGAGCTCTTGGGAACCGAATGCCACTCCTCGCCTCTGCTGGGCTATTCAGCCTCTCTCCTCTCTCTGGGGGGACCTCTGCTTCTCTCTGGCTTCTGCCCTCTCATGATGACAGATTGGACTCTTTCTTCATGATACCTCTTGGTGCATTCTTTCTGGTTCTGTACCTCCTGCTAATTTCCTCTTTGTCTTTGTATTTCTAAGCTCAGAATGCCAAGATCACTGGATGGCCCAGCTCATTTTGAAGCAGACATAGGTCATACTATGAATGGGCCACCTTAATGACAGGCATTTTCCCGGTCCAGAGAGCTACAAACGAGGAAGGGGGGATAAGATCATGTAGTCCAAACACAGGCGGCTTGGCCTGTCCCGTCCACATATTGACTGGTACATGTAGGTGTAAATGTCTGAGTTACATTGTATCTTAGGTCAAATTATATTCAAATTCCAACACAGCTATTTGAATTCTCCTGTGTGAATTTGTCAATGGAAATAATTAAATGTCATTAGATATGCAATAATTATTTTGAATCACGTAAGCACCATATAATTTTAAATAACCTTAGTTTCCAAGAAAGGGCTTGACAAACTGATAGAAACACTTTTAAATCACAGAACTTAGACGTCGAGGGCTTGGAGGACCTTGGTTATATATCAGTTAGGTCAAACTCTTCATTTTACAAAGAAAGCTAAGGCCAAGAATGGTGAAGTGACTTAAGATCCAACTTTCGATGCTTAGTTGGAGATCTAAAACAGATTTTGAACTCAGAAAACTTACAACACTGAACAATTATATAGGAGAGGGGAGGAGAGTTAGGGGGCAAGATGCGTTTATTTCCCAGAGCTTTTGTTTTAAAACAGTGTGTGTGTGTGTCCATACATGTATACACACACCTAGGTACAAGCATATAACATACATATATATACGTACATATATAGATAGAGGAAAATCATTTCCTTTTTCTTTATTGCAGGGGGAAAATCATAGTTCATTAACTCAGGCCAAGGCCAAGATGTCTAACTAAATTATAAAATTTAATATTTGCCACGATCCCTCCAACATAAACAGATTTAAAAGACATGCAGATTCAAATTAGGTGGCTGTTGGCAAGGCTGTTTTTATATGGAGATGCATTCAGCATTGTGGTAAATATCCTTGTCCTTATCCTCTAGCTAACAACAAACACCACAAACAAAAAAGACATTCAATATTTTTGCTCTCTTTGTTTCCAGGGAGTATTGTGAAAGTAATTATTCTGTTGTATTTAAGAGGCCTATTTCATGGATGGGAAAATGTATTAAATTTCATTTGGCAGTTATTCAATCCTAGTTAATGTTATCTCCAGAGATAACTGCTTCAAAACAGGCTTTCAGACCTCAGTCACTTCTATTCTACCATAATCCTTCTAAAAGAGTATACAATGGGAACTTTAGGAAACTTGTCATCAGTTTCTAGACCAAGTGATAATGACACAAAACTGGATATACTATTATAAACATTTTGGTACATCAAAATTAAAGTTTGCTATTAATGGCATCTGGTTTCCAATTTTGGACATAGATTTTTTTGGTTTTTAGAAAGAAGAACAACAACAAAATGGGACAAAGACAGAAGTCCTGGTAACTGCAACTTACTGTTACTTTTCTCTGTTGTTTTTCCATTAACACAAAAGAAAAGCTGATGGGTTTTCACTGTAATTAGAAACCCATTGATACAGAAAACAGTTTTGGTGTCTGAACTGTAATCTCCCCATGAAATATCAATTATACATGACAGTTGTAGAGTACTAGATTTCAGTTTCAATTATCTTGCCAGACCTCTGTCATATTAGAGGAAAGCAAACTTATTTTCTCAAATGTGCAAAACACCATTTAGTACAAAAGTGCATCTTTTAAAGAGGTGGGAAGCGGTCATGCAAACTTTTTTAATGGCTCACAGATGGGAATTAGGAAGTTCATGGAATGGCAGCAGTAGATAGATACTGTGAGGAACAACACTAGAGGCACAGAGGCTCTGCAGAAAACAAGACCTACCTCTAATAACCACCTGTTGTGGGAGAAAGAGCTAACATCTGGGACACTCCAACCACAAACATAATTTCCATATTTCTCAGTTTAAAAAATTATCAGATGATTTTTCTTTAGTACATGTGATTAAACCTTTAAGAGACTTTTCATTAACATCAGATCTGGATTCAATTCTTTTGTTTGGATTTTTACTTGATTCTTAACATGTATGTCGGGAGAAGATTTCATAACTGTCTTGAGAACACCTACATTGTTTTCCAGAAACATCACAGCTTCTCTTATGTTCTGTATGAAATGTAAGGTAATTCCTTATTGTGCAATTCTTGGAGATTTATTTAATATTGATTCTCCAGATAATAAAGTAATTTTCAAGAGGATTTAAACATGATCTAAATGATCCTGACCTTGGCAGTGCTTGTCTATCATATGATCAGCTGGGCTGAAACTCCCCTGGATGTTCACCAAAATGGTTAAATGAATGATTCTATGATATAGTTCAAGAAATGCAAACGGATGTGAGCCGACCTCAGTTCATCTTTCTTGTACTAACTCATACGTTCCATCTATTAAAACTGTTTCATTTCTCTCTTCTGTGTCCCACACCCTCAATTCTCGACATCATTTTCCTATACAGTGGAAACCATAACTGGAGAGAGCTCACCTAGCGGGGACACTGGCAGATTAACAGAGCCCATTCCTCTATCTCTTCCTTGCTCCACATAGCAGGCTAGTAAGTAGATGGTATGGAACTAAAGTTAATCCATCCTAGTGAACCAAACATATCTAGCACAGAGAATATGGTGAAGTCTAGCAATTATGTGTAAACAGCTTTTGTTTAAAGGAAAAGACAACTGGACACTTGATTTACACTTGGAATTCTGAATGCCTGAAGTGCAAGCATACCTGTGAGAGTGCACAGTCATGCTGCTGACCTCCACACAGTTTTTAGCCAGTCCAGGTGGCCCATCCCTAAGGATCCCTAGGGATTTACCATTACCCATTGGCCTTTATTTCTTAAATGCTTTTCTTGTTATTCAAGTAACACATGCTTACTGTAATATATTTGAAAAGAGAGTAGAAGTATAAAGAAGCTCACCTAAACGAATGAACCATTTCTTCCCCATCACTTTCCAAATACTCATCTTTTAAATGCAATATTCTCTCTCCATCAGTTGATGCAATATTAAGGCTTCAGCCTGGCTCTTGCTTGCTGTATGGATCCAGTCTAAGAGGTCCACCTTGTGCTGATGCATCCTTCACCTAGACTCCCAGGACCAATGCAGTTCCCTCCTATTTTTAAATTCCTCACTATCAATGTTCAATTACCTACGCATGGCCTCTCATCTGCTGGGTTAACGCCCACATCACTAAGGCTTGAGCAAAGCCCTCCCTGCTCTGTCTGCTGGGCTAGTTTTTTCCTCCTAACTCACCAACTGCTTCTCTTTTATTAGCCTCACAGATCCCCTCACTCTCTGACCCTTCAGGGCTGAGTGGATCTCCAGAAATCTCCACTTTCTTGTCACCTCACGAGCTCACTATGCATTACAGACACCACCCTTAAAACACATTCAAGGTCATTGTTGAATGGTGCAGGGCATAAACTTCAATAAGTTTGTTTTGCTGCCATTCGTAAAGCCTATACTTGTCTCCATTTGTGGGCATCCCATCCCAAGGACAGGAACTGCACAGGTCACTGCACGGGAGTGTAATAGTACAATGTGCAGTTAGATGCTTAGCAAATGATGACACAAATGCTATGGATCTGTGAGACTATGTCTGAAATTTAATTGTTTGATATTGCCAAATATACATTTAGCATGTTTCTATCAAATAAACATTTCACTTAATTTGACAAGCGCCTTATGAAAGTGTACTATATGCAAGGCACTACATGGGCATTTGCAAGGAAAAATAAACACGTCTATGACTTTGCAGGCACTGATTTTTTTTTTTTTTTTTAAGATGGAGTGTTGCTTTGTTGCCCAGAAAGGAGTGCAGTGGCATGATCTTGGCTCACTGCAACCTCCGCCTCCCGGGTTCAAGCGATTCTCCTGCCTCAGCCTCCCCAGTAGCTGGGATTACAGGCGTGCACCTTTACGCCCAGCTAATTTTTGTATTTTTAGTAGAGACGGGGTTTCACCATGTTGGCTAGGCTGGTCTCGAACTCCTGAACTTGTGATCCTCCCGCCTTGGCTTCCCAAAGTGCTGGGATTACAGGCCTGAACCACCGCGCCTAGCCCAGGCACTGATATTTTAATGATGGGATAATATTACTATACAAGGCAAAATACGATGAATGTCATAAAGGAGTACAAGGTCATGTAGGGTTTTAAAAAATGATGAAGTCATACCCGTTTAGGAAACCAGGGACTACTTTAAGAAGAACATGACATTTTAGGCAGGTTTTGAGTGATGGGTCGAATTTTGATATAGATTATCCAAATATATTTTTAAAGAGCTGACGCTTAACACAACTAAATAATATCCCAAATTTAAGTGAAAATTTCATTTTATATCAATAAGTGGCATGATTTAGATACTGTGTATGTGTGAAGAAGCAAGCAGCTAAGGACTGTGTGTTAACATGTGTTTTCATATTGTCAGACTACATATTTCTGACAAAAAGCAGATTTTTGTAAAGCCCTTTGTAAAGCTCAATGGCTTTGCTACAAAGTGAACAACACAGGGCATTTTGGACACAAATGGTACCTCACTGTATGTGTGTATTATTGGCCCAAATGATTCACTCTTATTTAATTGCCATGAAGTCTTTCATCTCGCAGCTATACAGTAATAGTTTCCATATGACCAGTGGCTCTGCTATAAATAAGATCAAAAGCAGAAGAAAGGATTTAATAAAAGAAAATGACATTAAGAGTAGCATTAAATCAGGGGAAAAATACCTATATCCAACTCGTTTTTTGTTTGTTTGTTTGTTTGTTTTTTGAGAATAAAGCACCCAGAGTACTAGGCAGTTTCCCCAATATCTCATGAAAGGTCTTTTTGCAAGCAGTAGGTATCTGCAGAACCCATTGTGTGCACCTTAGAGTGGCAATGATTAAGTTGTGAGGGTACGTGTGAGGGGTAGAGGGCAGAGTGTCCCATTTAGAGTCAGGTTGGAGAACAGGTAATAGACCAAACGGCAAATTTCACATGGTAAAGAGTACAACTGCAATGTGTCAATGGCAAACGTTCACCCATTTCTCTGTCCTTTTCTGTTCTATTTAATGGAGAAAGACTTTTTGGTAATTCAGAGTTTCTCAGAGAATCATAACATTGCTCAATGCTAGTACATGAGTTCTGAGAAAGGAAGTTTTTTTTGGCAAAGCACAGTGACTTGATATGAAAAGCCAACTTCCCAAACAAATTTTCTTCTAGTTCTTAAAAAAAAAGTACAATGTTAATCTCTATTCCCGACTGGATAAACAGCTGCTAATAACCTCCAGCTCCCAGGGGAGGAGGCTTACTTCCTTTCATCTTCAGACTGGTGGATACCTGACGTGCACTGGCCTTTAGTGGTTCCACATGTTTTTTGCTTTGCTTTTTTTCCAGACTGCTTCGGTACGGGTCTTGCCAAGTCGGGTCTCTTTTCCCCCTTTCCCTTAGATTGCATCCAAAACCTTGGAAGATATAGTCAGTTATGGTACTGCTTATTTGAAATAGTAGTTCTTTTACTGTTGGTGTGTTTAAAGAGGAAATTCAAACACCCAAAGGAGACTAGAGCGCCTTGGGCTCTTGTATCTTGAAGCCCTGTGAGAAAAATGACCATTTTAGTTCCTTTCATACTGAGCTAATTATTCACTTGAGGGCTGGCTATGTTCAAAAATACTCAATTTCTAGTAGTATTGCTAGTGCACTTACTTATTAATACTTATAGCCGTGTCCTAAATAAAGGAGCAAACTTCAACACTTTTTCTTCTAATAGGAAGTGCCCTGCAGAAGATTCCAGAGCCAGTCGGCCTCTGAAGTCTTTCTCACTTGCTCTTAAGCACCTGCTTTAATGGTGACCTCAGTTCTATATCTCAAGGTTTAGACATTTTGCAAAACAGCTTTTTAAACAAATACCAGCTGTTTCCCATCTAGACTACAGGGGGAAAATTTTGGGCAGCTTACAGAAACATTACCCAGAGACTACCATTCTCCAATAACTTTCACACACTTTCAGCTCCAAAAGAGACCCGTCCGTGTGCAGAAGCCAGGGAGAAGGCAAATGTGAAATTAAAATGTGGAAACTCAATACCGTGGTTTTTGACAATGTGTCCAATTAACTGCTTTAAAATGAATGTGGCTATTGTATCAGGACAATGCTTCCCTAAAGATGTCATTTCACTAATATTGGACAGATCTTTTGGTTAAACTCAACTTTATAGTTCTAAGATGATTTATGGATATAGAGGAAGCTATAATTATGCACAACTGTGAATGTCAACCAAATAGGTAGAACCCTCGCATTACAGAAAATGT
The DNA here is from genome assembly GCF_000001405.40 of Homo sapiens. NCBI lineage: Eukaryota > Metazoa > Chordata > Mammalia > Primates > Hominidae > Homo > Homo sapiens. Next base: position 55,245,133 of record NC_000018.10, read on the forward strand.
AATGCTACAGCTTTTTTTCAGTTCTCACTCCTAAAGCTGCTTTGCCTAAACCCTCTTCTTACTATGAACCCATTTTCAACTTCTGTTTTCTAAGCAATTAAGATACTTTTGATTTGAAAAATTTACAGCCATAATAAAAGTTAAAATAACACAACGGCCATGGAATGTGAAAAAATATAAAATGGCCAAGGCCTAATCTTGGCTTTTAAACAGTGCCAAGTTGCTCCAGTATTTTCTGTTTTGGTATGAATGACATAACTGAATTACTTCATGAGTTGCTACTTTAATTCCTAAGGGTGGAAAATTCCATGAGTTAACTTAATTTGGATGTAAAAAATATACATGAAAGCTCGCTCTTCCTGTGGACTCTCATGTGAAATATTCGAGCCAACTGCTGGAGCTGCCGTGCTGTGGAGGGGCTTTTCACCCAATGCAGCCCTGGCTGGCAAGCTGCAAGGACTGGTATCATCAGGCAGTTTTCTTACTTCCATTTAGGTGCATGAGCCTTTATTTTCTGTTTTTGGTTTTAAATCATGTTTATTATATGGCTCTGAAACGCCTTTTCTATCCTGTCTCTAATTGTTGAAATTCTATGTGGACTCGAATATGAGCTCAATGGCATCTTCTCCGGGAAGCTTTTCCTAGCGGTCTGAATTGCTCCTTAGGTCATTTCATAATTCTACCTTGCATTATAGTTAGACCCATATTTGTATTATCACTCTACCAGGATAAAAGGCCTGTAAGATCAGATACTTTCTTTTACACGTTTATGCATCCCCAAAAGCATCTGAAGCACAGCAGATGCAGAAAGAGTGAATGAACATATGTATATTTTCTAATATATACAATATATACTTTTCCCTCCAGAAAATCTGCTTTCCTGAGAAAATAAGGGTAATATTGCATTTTTTTAAATGCACAGTTGTGCCTATTCCAAATTATGGATAGTTTAAGATTATGTCCCTGTAACAGTTCATTTAAAAAATGATGATCACTGTGCTATTAAATGTGTCTGCCTGCCTTTTCCTCCACAATTTAAGAAGAAAACCATGTAAGGATGTAAGAATATGATGAGGTTATAGGGTCTATTTTAAATACACGTGTGTGTGTGTGTGTGTGTGTGTGTGTGTATCTTTTATATTTTAAAACTGGGAAAGACAAGGTTTTTGTCTTTGATTTATTTAAAATTCATGGCTCCAAGATGCTAAACACCAGAGAACTAGGATTTGTTTGTCCTAGGTGCAGAGAGAGCAGGGTTTTGAGGTAAACATCCAATGCCAGACTGTTTCAACATCATAGAGTCTGAATTTGAGTAAAATATGTATTCATGTGGAGAGAAGGGGAAATACCTAAGGTGGCCAACCATGTTCACATATGGGCATGCACAGTGTCCTCATCACTTTTCTTAGGGGCTGCTGAATAGAGCTTAAAGGATCTTACTTCTATTGCTGTTTTCAAAATCTTTTGACTTTTCTTTAAATTAATATAGAAATATCAAATGGTAAGCTCAAGGATTCTCAGCTGTTATCACTCATCCATGGCTAAAAGAATTTCTTCAAGTTCTTTTACCTTTCTGTCCTTTTTTTTTTCAGTTTTAAAAAAATAAAGTATGATATTGATAAAGTTCAAAACTTTCGGTTGAGGTTGCTAATCTGCTCTCCGAAATACTTGATAGTTGTGGAGATTAGGAGAGATGACAGAACACTAGAGAAGGCAAATATCCTAATTTAAAGAAAAACAAGATAGTAGCTATTGAAAGATGATGTTGACCACCAATAGCTTGGGTGAAATTCTGTAACAGGGTATTTAGAAAATAGTTTTGAAAGTGCTCTGAAACACAGGAATGGCCTCTCAAACTCAGTTTGGTTCCACCAGAGCAAGGCATTCTGGACAAGCCTCATTTCCTGCTTCACAGTGAGTGCTGCATGCCCGGCTTCTGTGACAACGCTACGGACAAAATGAGCAAAGGTGGGCCATACGGTGTATAAGGAGGGAGACAGAACCAGCTGAGATTAAACTCAAAGGATAGAAGACAGCACTCGTGTAGAAAGAATGTCTGTAACACTGAGCCTCATGGCCTTCTGGTCAATCCCCTCCCCTGAAAATATTGTATTGGTGGCTTTGATGTGGGCATTAGTCACACCCATCACATTTGCCAGCAACAGAGATGGCAGAGTATGTGACTGAATGAGGGCTTCAGGGAAACCATTAAACAGGAATCAGACTGAGGCTACAACATAACATTCAATGGGGTTTCATGAAGTTTTGTACAGACACAACAAAAAGTACACAATGAGACTGGGGAGATAGGTGGCTTATGGATTTCAGTTGATTACAAATTGAATATATGTCAGCAGGACAATGAAAGCATCAAACATAGCAAAACAGGATATTGTTAGGTGGCCTTAATGAAGATACAAGGTACTGAATGGGGGAGGAGATAGATCCACCCTAGTCCACTTGATCCTTTCTTAAGCACTGTGTTCAGTTTGCGGTTCCACACACTAAAAGGTTCTTGTGGAGAAAAAGGCATCCTTGCTAAACTAGGGAGAATGCACTGGGAAGCAATGGAGTTCATGACAGGGAGTCCAAACTTTTTTTCAGGTTAAATATTTGAAGATAGTGATGTTTCGTCTAGAGGGAAAAAACACTCAGCAGACTGTCTTCAAATAACTGAGTTTCTCAAGTGCTTGTTGGACTTGATTTGTGGGCAATTCTATTGGGCAGAAACATAAGGACTGTAGAAAAAAGCAAATTTGGGCTGGACCTAGGAAGAACTTTCAAATATTTGATGAAAATGGACTTTGTGGGCATTTGGAGCTAGTCACCCTTGAAGGAAGGAGGCTGATCAAGACTTGTTGACTGCTTGGCAGGAAATCTGTAGGGAGATTTCAGTAGAGATAATCTCTTAAATTCCCTGAGAGTCCATGGGAATAACTGCTTAGAAATGAAGTATGCACTCAAATAGACACAGAACTTTATGGAATCAAAACCTGTGAAAGCCCAAGAGGAGCAACTGATAAATTGATAAAGATCAAAACTTTCAGTTGAGGTTACTAATCTGCTCTCCGAAATACCTGATAGTTGTGGAGATTAGGAGAGATGACAGAACACTAGAGAAGGCAAATATCCTAATTTAAAGAAAAACAAGATAGTAGCTATTAAAAGATGATGCTGACCACCAATAGCTTCGCTGAAATTCTGTAACAGGCTATTTAGAAAATAGTTTTCTATTTTATCAACTTTATCAACTGAAGATGCTGATGCCTCTGTTGATCATATCTTTGTTGAAGAGGCCCACATAGAAACAGAATCTTCTGACTCCTGCTGCTCCCATGACTATGTACCAATAACTGCCACATCACATCAATGCCCACTACCCTCTCTTTTTGCCAAATATTACTGGTAGAGCTAAATAGCAACTCATTGCAGGCAGCCTAGGGCCAACTACAGAGTTTTCTTGGATTTCATTAGTTAAGTCAGAGTAACAGAATGGTTTCTAATTTCTACCACTCACAGTTTTGAAATGGTTATGGTATTAGGGTAAAGAGGAAGTCGGCTGAGCAGTGTAGGATATAGCACAAGGAGTGCTGGTCTGCTTGCTGTTTTGTCTGGTTTCCTTTTTTGTGTGTGTGGCAGGGTCTCTCTGTCACCCAGGCTGGAGTGCAGTGGCACAATCTTGGCTCACTGCAACCTGTGCCTCCAGAGTTCAAGCAATTCTCCTGCCTCAGCCTCCTGAGTAGCTGGGATTACAGGTGTGCACCACCATGCCCGGCTAATTTTTGTATTTTTGGTAGAGACAGGGTTTCACCATGTTGGCCAGGCTGGCCTCGAACTCCTGACCTCGAGTGATCCACCCGCCTCGGCCTCCTAAATTGCTGGGATTACAGGGGTGAGCCACCGTGTCCAGCCTCTTTTGTCTGGTTTCTAATTCTACTAGTGAGTACCCATGGTTTGGTCACTTCCCCTTCCTAGGCCTTAGTCTTCAAAGAAGGGCAATGGGCTGATTTCCAGGGTACTTTTAGAATCTAAAATTCAGTGGTCTGAGCTCTTAACTATACAAGGAAAACTAACTGAAGTTGTTTGTCCTATGAAGCCCTAAGAGGTAAAAGTTCTCATGTATATAATGTCAGTTAAATAAAAAGATACCACTTTTCCTAAGGAATGCTCTTTTGATAGACTGCATTTAATCCAAAGTAAAACAAAAATTGTTACTGAAAAGAGGAAAACTGGGCAAAGATCCACTTTTATTGGTGATTTCTGAAATGGGTTCCACATCCCCCACCTGCAGGACTCTGAAGGGATGCTGTGGAGGACAGGTGTGTGGGGTGAGTTGCACATGACTCCCCCATCCCTAAGTCAACTGGAGATGACCACTCCTCTACTAAACAACCATGTGATCTTTCACTACTGGATAAGGGTCAGGCCCCTGGTCTTTTAGAGGGCATAGCAGACTGGCAGGGAGCAATCTGCTTAAGTACACATCTTTTCCTACTAGCCTGTGAATTCCTTGAGAGCACAGAACCTACACTTGGTAACCACGGATAAATGTTATTGAAATGAATAAATAGACTTTAAACAAGAAGGATCTGAGAGCTACACTAATGCGATATATGAATAGTAGAGGGGATTTTTAGCTCAATGATCACGTAGTTGCTGACTCTACCAACAAATAAACGGGAACACATAGAGTCACATAAAGACAAGTTTGATGTGGGTTTTGTTCTTAGTCAGTTAAAAAAGCGGTTAGGTCATTTGAAACGCTTCTTTTCAGGCCTCATCTGTGGATGTGAATACTGAATGAGTAACAGAGAGAATTCTATCTGGAAAATTGCCCTTTCCATAATTTATAAGAAATCTAATCATTTAATATCAGGATTAATCATGGAGGTCTCTGAGGCAGAGAGGGAATCATACTTGGTAAGAGTTTCTAACTAGGGTAGTGAAGACCTGGCTATTTCCTTATTCTCCCACATTCAGAGATTTCTGCTTTAATTTTGGAAGAAAAGTGGGTGGTTATAGTAAGAAAAATAACTTGATAACTTAAAATTTGCTACCTCAAGGACCCTGGTAGGGAGAGTTCACACCTCTTAGGCACTCAGCGCAAACATGTTGGTTTAAGAATAAGTGCATAGATAATGTGGGTTTTAATCCAAGCATGCCACCACTTTGGAGGGAAAGTTCTCTGTCTATACATTTGGGAAGAGAGCTGCTCTGGGAACCCAGCCATGGAATACCTGGAAACTTCTTTTGCCAACCAACACTTATCAAGTTTTGAAAATCACAAGCTCCTAGCATTTAAAATAAGTTCTGAAAAGGTGTTCTCATAGATAATCTCTGGAGAGTATGCCTGGTAGTAAAAAAGAGCATTGAATTTGGAGTTGATGTGCTTGAGTTTAAATCCCGCTGCAGGACTTGAGACTAACTGCTCAAACTTCTAAGGCTCACTTTACCGACACCTGAAATGACCACTATTATCATCCTCACTGGGCTGTTGTGAAGACTGCCTAAGACAACACATGCAGAGCGCCTAGCAGAGGGGCTGCCAACTCACACTCACAGAATGTTAAGTTTCCTCGTTTCTTTTCTCCCGTTTCTATGGATGATCTATTTACAGGGGTCGGGGGGAGAGAGACAAAATATAATATGTGAGACTCGAGGAATTTACAACAGTTGGTAAGGCAGAGTCATATCTATAAAAGATGCACAGCTATGCGGAGCTGGTTAAGATAAATATCTAGAAATGGTATGATTCATAGGGCTGTAAGAATAGAGAAAAAAATGGCTAGCATGAGTGGGGTAGCAAGGGAAGGCTTCCTGGAAGAAGAATGATTTGAGTCAGTGCTTTGAGAATGGGTGGGTATTAGGTGTACAGAGATAAGCAGATAGGGCTGGACAAGACAAAGAGATACAAAAGTTCCGAAGGAGAACATACAGGGTGAATTCTGGTAATATGCCCAGCCTTGTCTTGCTGGAAGACTTGTTGCAGATTGGAAGAGCTCAACATAAGGCTTTCGGTAAATGGTAATAGGCTTCAAATGCTGAGCTAAGGAATTGGTCTTTATCTTGTAGAAAATGGAAAGGCAGGGAAGGTTTTTGAGCAGGAAATAAGCATAGCTCAATAATATCATCCAGAGAGCTTGCAAGTATACAAACATTCGCTCTTGTGTTATGAGCCATGCCGCTGTGAAAAAAAAAAATCCCTTTCATTATACTAATACTTAGTAAATCACTGAAGACCTACTTCAGAACTCCAAGGAAAACATTTTATGAATCAAAAGCTAAGGACAATATGTTAGCAATTAAATGAGATAACATAACAGCCGAGGCAGAACCACAGTTTTCCCCACCACAACTTCAAGCTGCTGCAGAAAGAAATGCTTATATCACCTTCCAAGTTATCAAGCCATTTTGTTTTGATTTTTGGAAGGCAGGGAGAAAGGAAATGAGAAGCGTACGGAGGTCGAGAGGATTCAGAGCTGTCTACTCTTTAATCAGAAGGAATTACTGAGGAGAGTTAGAAAGGCGATGTGCTCAATACAAAACCGGGACTGGGATGAGTATCAAGTTACTGCAACTCGCTTCCGCCCAGAACAACAAACGAAGGTGTGTAGTTGGGAATGAGACTCTCACCAGTGCTCTCTGCTGAAGTTTCCGGTGCATACCTCCCACGGCTACTTTATTTACTGCAGCTGGCCAAAGTTTTATAGCCTGTTTCATGTATTAAAATTCAAATGTGGAAAACATTACCAGTATCCTCCTTGAATTTTTTTGTTGTTGTGGGGAAGGGGGATGAGGTTTTTTTTTTTTTTTTTTTGCCTTCCCCTTAAACTTCCTTTTTATTGTGGAATGTATCAAATGGTCAAAGGCTAACTTCAGACTGATTAAATTCAAAAACTATTTCCTTTGTTCTTATGTTTTTGTTTTAAAATTCATACCAGTTTGCACGGGAAAGATAGGCCAAACCAATCCTTTTCACACACATTAGTGTTTCAGGCTGAGGAGCTCAGATTCTGGGGACACGTTGAATGGTTTTCAGGAAGAAAGGAGAGAGACTGCAAAACCCCATTTGGTTCAAAGGGCAGCAGGGTGATGACATGCCATATCTTTGGAGTTACGCTATGATCTGCTTGGCTCTGTGGCTGTCCTTGATTGAATATTAAATGTCTTCAGAGGAGAAAACAGGAACTTATCCTTATCAGCAAAACTGGCGGCTTTATTGCTTTTGTGTGTGTGTGTGTGTGTGTGTATATCAAGATCAAATTAAAGGGGTTTCTATGTAATATTGGCTAATTATTTCCTTTTTTCTACCGTTCTATTCAGTCGTCTCACTTTCGGTTCTACTGAGGTCAGTCCAACTTCCCATCTCCAAAAATAATTCTAGTCTTTTCCTCCCATCCCACCTCTGAATCTGACTCAAAAAGGAGTCAATTCAAAGGTCAAATAGTCCCCAAAAGTATTTATGTATAGTTTAATATTTAAAAGAACCACTTAACCTACATATGGTATTTAAGAAAAACTTTACATATTTATGGAAAAAATAGTCTCTGAAGCAATGCCCTGGGTGCATGTTACATCCGTTTAACATATGCAAAATGAACACAGCTACAGAAATTAAACTATTTTTCTGTTGATTGAGAGCAGATATACAGAAATGGTTATAAGTCACAGATCTGGCTTTTAATAAAGCCAGATTTCTTAATTAAAAGCAGTATGTTTAAACATTGTAGTTAGAAAAAAAAGAGCTGTACAAACGAAAATCTCATATTATATGCATCCCAAGTGTATTTAACACATTACCTGAGGCCAAGCTAAATTAAAATCTAGACTTTTCTTTTGTAAACTCTAAGCAACTGCCATGAACATATAAACAATTTTTATTCAATGATGAATTTTTAGGGCAGAGGTCAAGGGAAAGAAAAAAAGATTTCTCTTTGGCATTCAAAAATATCTTTCCACATTTTAGATGTGAGTTCGTTGCTTCTATTTATAAACCAGTATTTTTGGTTTCAAATTGGTTGCAGATTTCAATACTACACCGTTCAGAATGGTACTCTTAATCTTAGACTTTTATTAAGAGAAACTGAAAGATGGACAGGAGAATACTACTGAGCAAGAACTTAAAAGAACCTCATAATAATTTGTATGTATTTTGCATTTCCTTTTGGGACCATGCTTAAACGAGAAATGCTACAGTGATAATGGAAAATATACCTTCATCCAAGCAACTTTTAGCGAGCCTGTAAGGGGCAAAATAGGACACTAAGGTGCTTAGAGACGAGGTAGAGCTTGTGAGGATCAGAACTACAGAGAATCACTGGTCAAGTTACATTCTCCACCACTCTGGTCACCTCATTAATTGTCATCACTTAATATTCTATTAAGAAGAGTCTCTGAATCTTCATAATCATCCTCAAAAAGAATTATCTCCAAAATCCTTTCAAAAGTAATGAGGAAAAAAATCACAATTGTAATATGGACAAATCTGCTTAAATATAATTCAAATAAAGACTTATTCTAAATAGGTAGTAGTAAAGCTACTCTATTAAATTACACAGTCACATGCAATGTATTTATACAAATAAACATACCATATATTTCTATCTCCCAGACTCAGAATTGACAGACACTATTTTGGCTTCTTTAATTAAAAAAAAAACACTAATATTTGAATTACTAGCAATGTCATATTATAATATGAACTCAAATTGTACACTTTGGCCAGGGTCACCAAAATGAATAATTTCAAACACCAACAATGACCCAGCAATTCATCCTCAAGGGAAACATGTGTCTGCACAAAAACTTAAACATGAATATTTATAGAAGCATTATTCATCATAGCCAAGGAGTTGGAACAACCCAACTGTGTAATGTGGTATGTCCATACAGTGAAATACTATTTGACAATAAAAATGAATAAAGCTCTAATACGTGGCAAACTGTAGAAAAACTGCAACAGTCATGCTAAGTAAAAGATGCCAGTCAAAAAAGACCACCACATGTTGTATGATTCCATATATTCAAAATATCCAGAATAGGTAAATCTATAGACATAGGAAGTAGACAAGTGGTTGCCAAGGGCTGGAAGTGGAGGGATGGGGAATGACTGCTTAATGGGCAACGGGGATTCTTTTCTTTTTGCAGGGGGCAAAAATATTCAAAACCTAGACTATGGTGATGGTTGCACAACCTTGTAAATACACTAAAACACTTGAATTGTACACCTGAAATGGGCTCATCGTATGTTAAGTGAATTATATCTCAATAAAGCTGATTTTTTAAAAAACAGCAACAATAGTATCTATATCTGAAATTCTAACTCTATATGATAACTATAGAGTCTATAAATTTCATCACTTACCATGAGTGAATGTCTGTTGGCTGAAAGAAGGCCGGTTCCATACCCTGAGCCCAGACCACCCATGGCTCCATTATGAGAAGGTCCAATGATTCCATGCATGTCCCCATGACCACCAGGCATAGCTGTGGATGGGCCCACTGCATGGTTCCGGAGAACATGAATAGCATCATCCAGTCTTTCTAAACGATCTTCAATTCGGCTTTGCTGTTGGTTAACAAATGATGTAAAATTTGATTTAGTTCAAAAGGGGTGCCTAAATTATACAAGTAAAATTTTAGTCGACAAAAAACACACTGTGTTTCTAAATACATGTTTCCAATAAAATGTATTTCCTTAAAACAATAATACAAATAGTGTTGTTTCCAGAAAACTGGTAGAACGTGTTAATGTTAAAATTATAGTGTTATTTTTCATGAACAAACTAAATTCAATAATTATTCCAGGACATTATAACATACATGTGCTATATACGGTACTGCCTTTTGAAAGGCAATTTAAATTTATTTTAGAAGAGAAAAACATTCACTGAATTTAAGGAACTTTCTGGCAGGTATTAAGTTAAAGAGTTTTAAACAATTACCACTGGAAAGATGACCTATTTATAGTTTCTTAATTAAATTCTTTTCCTGAAGGTATATTTCTTTGGTCTTCCCTGTGGTATATGACCCAGTGCTAAGTACCAAATCAGAGACAGGGAAAAGCAAATGGATGATAATTTCTTGTTGAGTTTTTACCGGTGTTTCTGGCTTCCTGTCATCAAAACCAGTGGGTGTGTGGTGGTATGCGTGTAAGGGCCTCAAAATGGTTACAGAAAAAAATTATATAAATTCTGTCAACTAAAGTAGTATAAGATTTTAAGACTGAAGAATCACAAACACTTGAATCAACTGTTCACTGGGGGCATCTAACTGAGTTCAAAGCCCCAACTATAGCATAGAATTCGCAACTTTAAACCATTAAAAACCAACCAACCTTTGTTCATCCTTGCCATTAGGATTCTAGTTTTTCACAACTAGACAATGCGTATAGTTTTTAGTGAAGAAAATGTATGTATTCATTTTAAAGGTATGTATTCATTTTAAAAACTGATCAATAATGATATCAAATACCACTCTCCAGTGTACACTTTAAAATATACCATCTCATTGATCCTTGTTTCACGTGTGTATGGGCAGGCAGGGAAGACATTATGATTCCTTCCGTACAGACATGAAAATGAGGCTCAAAGACACAAAGTGAATTAGTTACGTAGTGTCACACTGCTAGGAAATGGTAAAGTCAGAGTTGGAATCTAGGTCTTTTTATTTTAAATCTAGTGACTCTTTGCACTAGATCATGCTACAATTGACTTTGATTTTGAATCGGCTGTGCAAACAAGTGTACCAGCTCTATTGCATGAGAAAAAACATTTCTATTTTATACTGACAGGAAGAATGTGTGTCTAATATAGTAGTCTATGGTACAGAACATTCTGATTTGGTGGGTTTGGGAGTTAAACTACCTCCCCTAGACTGCTAGCTTTGCTACGTATTTGGCCTTGGAAAAGTTACTAAACCTCTTGGAGTGCATGCTTTCTAATTTATAAATATGGGAATGATAATACATACTTACTTCTGAGTGTAAATGTATGCAGGAAAAGAAATCATACATGTGCCTATCACAGTTTCTGGCTCACAGCTTCCTGGTAGAGACAGCAGTTTCTGCTTGTAAATCTCTTCTTCAGTGTTCAGAATTCAAACAGAATGGAAGCTGTGGCCCATAACTATACACCCCGTCTTTACAGTTCTATAGTTGGACGAAGCCTGGTTTTGATGAATAGGCCCCAGAGAATAACTGATGAAGGTAAACACTAAAACAACTAATTATGTGGATGTGGTCCGCAGATTAATTGGGCTGGGTAGTGCATATATGTTTCACTGTCTGGTTTCCTTTACTGGTTAAAATGCATAGCTGAATGATTCATACACTATAGCAAGGAAGAACACAGCAAAGGAGGGAAATCCACCTTTGCTTTTCTTTTCAGATTTTCCTTAAGATTAAGCTGAAAGGGAAGAATATAAGACAACACTAAAGCAGATAGATAAATCTATGTCTTCTTCCATGTGTCATCTCAAGATAGGAGGGAGAAAAGAAAACCTCAACCCCGAGGAACTAAAAGGCTCCTCTCCCTTACTGCTATTCCTTCCCGCTAAATTCATGTACAGCCTAAATGCTGCACAACCAGCATTGTTTCCTGCATATTTCTGGCCCCCACCATCATGAGGAGAGAAAGACTGAAGTGTCAGACACTGAATCATCATGTGAGTATTTATAATAATTAACTACATCCATGGAAATTTTCAGCAATTCACTCCTGGAAGAGTAGGCATTTCTCTACCACGAAGGATACCACTGGGTTTCTACGAGAAGGAAAGCTCCTGTAAACCTGTTATTCTGGAAAGTAAAGCAGAGGTAGAGGGAATCAAATGTTCCAGGTATAGGACCTGGCTGGAGTTCCAGCACTCTGATAGCAGGAAAGTGATTTAATCATTGACAGGGATCTTTCCTAGAGATGGGGAGAAGGCCATTGCCCTTCCAGGATTTTATCTGCTACTAGATATTTAGAGCCCTGGGGCTGCCATTACAGTAGTATCTGGGTTCCCATCTCCAAATAGGAGCAAGCATAGGCTAATGACTCTGGCTCCCGCAAACCTGTGTGCTTAATGCTGACTTAAAGTTACTAACAGGGAAAATCAAAATCTTGGAGAGTAAAGGAGACTGAACAAGAAAGAACATGACCTGAAAATGGGTGGGACAGAGATTAGCAAATGAGACATACCAAAGAGTGTAAGGGTCCTTCATAATTAGGAGACGATGAGGCCTGTCCTCCATTTCTAGACCAAACAGCTGTGCCTGCTGATATTAAAGTGGGAATTACAATCAGATCTAGACACATGTAAAAAGACGCTTGCCAATATTTTAAACAGTCCTTTTGGAAATGGCAATGGCAATGATGATTTTCATTTAAACAACAACGTAAATACATGTAAACTTCCCATATAAGAATTTTGGGACAAGGAAAACATTTTAAATGTAAAATATGTAGACTTTACATAGACTCACAATTCCCCCAGGCTGGCTGTCTCCTAAAAGAGAACATTTAATTGATTCTGAATTTTGGTAAGAAGGGTTCCTGTGGAAGAAAAACTATCACCATGGAATCAAGGTACTTTTAAGGGTACAAAAATGGGATTTTGTTAGACCTTCATGCAAGGCTAGTTTATGTTAAACCAAAATTCTCGCACCAGTGGAAAACAGCTTTGCCACTTGTTTTTAAAACAATCTTTAGAAAAAGATAAATCTTGAAAAACTTTTTAAGGGAATAAGATTAGTTATCAGTGATCCACTAAGCCAGAAATTTAAAGTCAATATACAGCAATGACTAAAAGTTTCTTCTGAAGAAAATAATTTTTTTATGATTCATTAAACTTGAAGGTAAAAAAAGATTGCTGTTAGAATACATATTACATGTCTAACCTACAAAATAAAAAACACTTTAAATGTAAAATAATACACATTCAGTGTAGAAAACTTGGAAAATACATAATTCAAAAAAGGAAAAAATAATAGCTATGATCTCACTGAAATCTCATGCCCCGACACTGTTAGCACTTTTAAAATCCACTCTTCCTGTCTTTTCTGGGTGTGCATGTATATTTTTATGCTAAATAAAAATAGAATATTTTGTTCAATTACTTTTCTTGACAGAATTTGGACAGAGCCGTCGGTGTGAAAATAGCAATCTGTCCCCATATTTGCATCTTCATAAAAGTTCTTTCTTCCTAACATGTGGTCTTCCATGATGCATTACCAAGACCCAAAAAGTGGCATCTCTAGCCTTGTTTCTGTGCCTTTCACTGAGATCATGCTACTCAGGTCGAGGGAATTTGTGATGTTTTCTAGAATGACTGTGCATCCTAATTTTTCTTTCCCACCATTAATCTAGAAATGGATGGCAGAACTGTGAGCACCAGATTTTTGTCCAAGCTCTGCTATTACCACTGGTAATAAACTCAACAACTCAACTCCCTTTTTGGGACTCAGTATTCTCATCTGTAAAATCAGGGTATCAGACTACATTAGTCGTTCTCAAACATTATGATACCATAGAACATTTCTTTTTCTAAATTAGAAAATGAATAAAATGAAAGCTACTTTGTTTGAAATGTGGAAACTGGAGTTCCACCTGCTCAGATTCCTCTATCCCTTGTTGTATCTCTTGTTGTCTCGAAAGGGGGTTACTGACAATTGAAATCATTTTTCAGAGTGTAAGAATCTGGTACAGAACCCGAGGAGTACAACAATACTGAACTCTAGTTTCTATTTCCACCAGGGGGAACGTTTGATTATCCTCTTAAAATCACCTCAATCGCTTCCCAGTTTCAACGCGGTCTCTCTGGACATAGAGACTTCAGAATCCCACTGCCCTCTCTATTCTGTGATCTTCTCATACCACGGAGGCTTGGAAGAGGTTGACATTAAATCCCAGCTAAGCCATGGCCATCATTTCTGAAAGTTTTGTGGCAATGTGAAACCTCCTGTCCTCGACCAAGGAGCTGAGTTTACACTGGGCCATGAGAGCTGCATGCAGGAAATAACAAACGCAAGTAACTCCACTATAAATTACAGTAAGGTAAGGTTTCCATCAGGTACAGATGTGATTTAGGTTTTGTTGCTGTTGTTTTGTTTTTTTAATAAGCCACCTGTCTCCTTACCAAAGAGCAGAGACATGAACCAAGGAAGGCTTTCTGGAAGCATTTATATTGGAAAGACAATGAGTCTCTTAAACGGACCCCTGAAAAGTGAAATTATTTACTGACATAATTCTACAAATTATAGTTATTCAATTTGAAGCCACAGGTCATACGAATGTATTATACTTTGAAGTCAAACATCCCTTCTACCCCACACAATTATTTCACAATTTATTTACAAAATTATAGTTTTCTCTAAACATCCCAATGGCATGTACTTTAAAGAGGGAATTTGGAAAGCCTGAAATTCCTGCAGGAAATGATCCATTTAAATAGTCTATATTTGATGACTATCTAGTCTATATTCATATTCATGACTATATTAACTGAGTTTTTTTCATCTGAGACGTTTTATTGGAATACATTATTCTGCCGTTGGGTGTCTTCTGCAGAGCTAAGAAAAGTGTAAGAAATACATTTTCCATATGCCTGTATATTTTAAAAAGATAATCTAATTTTTAAGAAAAGGTTTGGATGTAAACGACTATACTGTTATCTGGTAATTTGTCTCTCCCACCCTTTGTATTTGTCTGTTATAGGAATGTTAAAGCTTTGGGATTTGGGGGGAAGTGAGTTTCCACCTACAAAATCAGGAAGTACAAGGGGGGAATCATTCTTATAAACTGTTATATGATGAAATGGGATTTGAAATACACTACCTGAGAGAGATGGAGGAGAGCCAACAGGAGTTGAAGGGTTTGATGAAAAGCTGTTGTTAGTGTGATCTGGAGAATAGATCTTAAAACAATAAGGAGAAAAAAAAAACACCCTCATTCATTAAAATAATTCACACTTTTCTAAACTACGAAGTTGTCAACGCAATTCATTTAGAACTTACAAGTTACAGCATACATGTAATAATCAACTACAGTACCAAAATTGTCAAATGAAGAACTTAACAATTATTTTAATTTTTCAAAACAAGAATTACTGATGTGGTATGGGATGGTGGGAAAAGAGCCAGGCTGGGGTCAGCAGACTTCAAACCAACTCTTCGTTCCTACTGGCTGTGTGGCTATGGGCAAGCCAAGCAGATACTTTGAACTTTCCTTTCCTCATCTACACAATGAGAGGTTGAACAGGATCATTCCTAAGATATTTTGCCACTCTTTTGCCAGATCTAGGCGTTTGATTGCATAGCATCAGAAGGCCCAGATGAAACAAAAACTTTTACTTAGGGCACAATGCTAATACAGTGTGAACTTTTTTAATGCTCTCAATGGTAAAAGCCAACTGAAGAGACAAAATCTTAGAGAAAGAAATCTCCACTTACATTTATTTATTTATTTGATGGAGTCTTGCTCTGTCACCCAAGTTGGAGTGCAGTGGCATGATCTCAGCTCACTGCAACCTCTACCTCCCAGGTTCAAGCGATTCTCCTGCCTCAGTCTCCGGAGTAGCTGGGATTACAGGCATGTGCCACCCATGCCTAGTTAATTTTCATGTTTTTAGTAGTGACAGGGCTTCACCGTGTTGGCCAGGCTAGTCTTGAACTCCTGACCTCAAGTGATCCTCCCACCTCGGCCTCCCAAAGTGCTGAGATTACCAGTGTGAGCCACACTACCTGGCCCTCCACTTACATTTCTAAATGACCATGTTTAGCTTTTGACTAAAATACCAGATATACTCTCTGAGACAATGAAGGTATGCCATTTTGTCATCAGGGAACATGCAAGAAATGTTCAATTTTAGCTTTCTGGCAGTAGGTGGGCAAAGCAGAGAAGCTGAGTCCCCCAGGTGCCAATTATGTGACAGTTCTTCATGGACCTCAGTTATTGTCTTTTTTTTTTTTTTTTTTTTTCAAATGCCTCTTTCAAAGTGTTTTAGAACTATTCCTTGCTAAGACAGTCTTAGCTGGTCAATGTGCACCCATATTACTTTAGAGAAAAATAAGACATCAGTATAAAAAACCTATAAACCCAAAGACCAGGAGAATATTCCCACATCCATAATTGAGTGCAGCTTAGTACCATTTTGAGGATGAGAGAAAGAGACTATATACTGGAAGCTTCAGAGCCTTCTCAAATTTTCCAGTGACTGTTATGCAAGAAAGCTAGCATTTTCCAAAAATCAAAGCTATTTGCCATTCATTTTCTAAAATTCCAAATGTCCACTTCTGATTAAAGTTCACCCTTTACAATGGTACATATGGAGTCCAAAGTCAATATTTCCTCACCGAAGCAAGTGCTTTCCCCAGAGCATCTCCAGTCTGGGAGCTGCCGGCTGCCCCGCTTCCTCTATTTGCTGCAAAAACAAAAGGCAGAATATGAAAACCAGGCAGTGAGACGTCTAACAATTTTCTATTCCTGGTCCATTTACTCACAATTTAATTGCATTTTTAATGCTAATTACAACACATTAATCTTTAATTAGCATTAATTTGTTTGCTGAGGTAGATGTCAAATATATTCATGTTACTTTTTTACAGATAAAATATAAACCTGACACCTTGGTTTAAAGATAAAGTGGTTTCCTTGCTATGACTTTCCCCTTGCTGTTGATGAGCTGGTGAATGTAGCAAGCTATGTGACGGTCATTGCTGACAAGTATAGACTACTTTCAGGTCTCTGGAGTCCTCAGAGTCTGGCTTTTCTTTATATTATTTTATAGTAAATGGAATTATCTTCACAAATAACTTCCATCTGTTTTCAAATAAATAGAAATTTGATACATAGCAAAACGGGGTATTCGTCTCACAGTCCTACAGTACACCAAACAAACAAACAAAAATTTCCACAACAGGTCTGGCTAACAAGGAGAGAAAATATTTTTAATGTTTTAAATAACATATATTCTCCACATATTTAAAAGTCTGTGTTCACACTAAAAAAAGTGAACTGGTATGCTACTAAAAGTCAATATGGCCTCGAATTCCAGAGATAAAGTAAGTCTACATATTCATGAAGCTTATCTCTACTGCCTTAAACACTGGTATTTTTATCTACAAAAGAGAAGAACAAAGAGTATTGTGAATAATAAAAGACATATATTACAGTATACAATTCAAAGCCAGCTTTCTTTAACATGTATCATTGGAAGGTATCTTGCCTTTAGAACTAAGTGATAAAATGGGATTTCCAGGATTCTTGTGGTCTTCAGTATTAACAGAATGCCTAGCACTTGGGGTATGTTGTATTTACTAAAGCCTCAACATTAGCAAATAGACATAGTATCTAAATAAAACCTATTAAAGTTCTGAGGGAAGATTGTTTTTCACTATTTTGTGAAATAAGAAAAGGAAAGGTTAAATCACCCAATGAATCCAAGCAAAACTTCATTAAACAGGTATATAATTTCAAAGACTTTCCAGCCCCATTCTTGAACTAAGAGAGCCTTCTTTCTTACAAATGTGTTGTCATCACCTTCCACACTTGTAAAATGCAGTAGTGGGGTCGGATCTTCAGTGGTCCAATTCTATGGCTTTTCCAGGTCATAATTTAATTCTCCTGACCTCTGCTTAGCATAGCTAATTTATGCTTGTTATTTTCATATATTTATATGTTGAGTTTGTCAGATGAGTTTTCTTTTTTGTTTTGAGATGGAGTCTTGTTCTGTTGCCCAGGCTGGAGTGCAGTGGCACAATCTCGGCTCACTGCAACCTCTGCCTTCCGGGTTCAAGCAATTCTCCTGCCTCAGCCTCCTGAGTAGCTAGGATTACAGGCACACGCCACCACGCCAAGTAATTTTCGTATTTTTAGTAGAGACAGGGTTTCACCATGTTGGTCAGGCTGGTCTCGAACTCCTGACTTCATGAACCACCCACCTTGGCCTCCCAAAGTGCTGGGATTACAGGACTGAGTCACGGTGCCCAGCCGATAATGTTTTGATATATACTTTATTTGGTTTACAAAACCCACACCCATATTTATTTGTTAATTGCTAAAATACTGAAAGAAATCTGGCACATGATAAGAAGAACACAATTATCTCGTGACAAAATAAACTTCCATATCACAAAGTTATGATATTAAAATACATGAGTCATTAGTACTCATGATAGGTATTGTATAAGCAAGTTCTTTGAAATGAGGGTCTGACATCATACAATTGGACCACTGGGAGCAGCTCAGATATCAAGAGTATTAAAAATATTTAATATAAGATAAAATACAACAAATTATATCTAGTGTGAAAATGAGAAGAATTTCTGCATTAAGGAGTCCTTTAAAAACTAAAAACATGGATTGCAGGCATGCACCACTATGCCTGGCTAAGGCAGGAGAATCGCTTGAACCTGGGAGGCGGAGGTTGCAGTGAGCCGAGATTGAGATTGCGCCATTGCACTCTAGCCTGGGCAACAGGATCAAAACTCTGCCTCAAACAACAAGAACAACAAACAAACCTAAAAACCATTCTAAAGAGAAAATAATAATGATGTGAAATATAGATGATACTAACCTTTTTTCAGTATGTATTACCATGGTATTTGGGGGTACTTATCTTTTTTTTTTTCCTAGAAGCGATATTTCTTTTCATTATTATATACCTAAAAATTAGATCTATCAGTCAAAATAATCTGTGATATCTGCTTGATTTGAATATAGATTTTCACAAAAAGTTCAGAGCTACATTGGAAAAATCACATTATCTAACAAAGAACCTAAGCCAAAAAAGAACAAGATATTGCTTCACTACAGATAATATCTGCTACAGTAGTGGCTTTCAAAAGATTAATTCTTCCTTTAAACAACTTTAAAATGAAGATTACAAATAATATATATATTTTTATGAAACTAAACAAAGTATTGAAAACCAATACAAATATTTTAGGAGCATTTAAAAACTAAATATATACGCCCCAAAAATCACACGTTAGAAGAGGCAAGATATTATGACCAATCTGATTTCTTTAGAACTACACCTTTCTAACTAAACATTCTATCAGTGCCTGTTTTATGCAGGGAGATATTATGACTCAGGAAATAGAATTAAAAATAGAATCAACTTCTTACCTCATCGCGTCATGAAAATATTTCAGAAAACTACAAAGGCTACCCATGGAAACCACTGATAAGAACAGACTATTTTTTAACATGAAGCGATTTTACCTTGCAACAGCTGGAGTGCCAAACCCAAGGGCTTAAATTTCAAAGCAGTTTACTGGGGCCAGTTTGCCCTTTCACTTGGAATGCCTTTTGTTCTGGTCCAGGAAACACTGGAGAAGCTACATTTTCTAGATTGCCTGAACATGTTAAGCTACATGAGTCTTTCTCTTACAGATTTCTCTTTTTATTTGTGTGACAGATATAACAAAGGGTATAACTGGAAAAGAAATATATTTTAATTCTCAAGTGGCAGAATTTTTTTTTTTTTTTTGCATTGAGAAGTGGGCCATGTTTAGCAAGATACATTAAAGCTGAAAATGTGGGTTTGATGTAACAGGACTTGATTACTCTTTGAGGCCCAAGATTTTTGTCAATTCATATTAGAGATGATCAAAATGTCCATGTAACAGAAAGATGAAAACTAATGCATTTGCTTGGTAAAGACTTTATCGATTTCTAATTTTGGCTCTAATCAATTTATCTTGCCCAAGAGAAATATAATCAGTCCCTAAGTAGAGCTGTAACATACAAATATGAATGGAAGATGAGCAGTTATTAAGAGGAACTGTAATTTTTGTAGGAGGCTTCGACACTGCCTGCCACCCAAGTATTGTTCAGATGGCTTGAACACAGGTGGTGTTGCTGGCTAGAAGATGAAGCAGAAAGAAAGGTTTTGTATCTTGGGTTACATGCTAGACCACCCTCTGTCTCAGCCTCAGCTTTGGGGAAATGTTCATTCCCATTAGAACACACCCTCAACAAAACACTGGGATGAGTGGTGCCTTGGGATCAACTACTAAAAATCAGAATTTGGAAAATGTGTTGCCCCTTTAATGCACACCCATCATCTAAGGCTGGGAACATCATGAAGGCATCAAAAGAATAAGCAGCACAATTCACACTGTGTTTGCCTGAGAGAAGATGACTGCTTTCAAAGTAGGTTTTTCTAAACTGTGTCCGAGTGACCCTCGTGTTATTAAACCATTAGAAACAGCATAACAATGCCATGTGCTTATCTATAAAGATGACAAAAAGAAGGAACATTTCCAGCACTCCTACTACAACCATTTTAAAATACAAACGCAAGTATATAGACTACAATGCACTATTTTTTAACAGGAGGGATTCCTAGGAATTCAGGGGGAAGTTGGGCTTCCTGATCGTGCACAGGAAATGGAGGAGATTTAAATCAAACTAGTTTATTGTTCTCTGCTGGTGGTCTTGGTAACTAAGATGCCTTCACATTGCTGGATACAATTCTTATTACTCTTATGCTCTGTGCTTGTTCATCGCCTGACTACTTCAAGGCTCAATATTCTTGTAAAATATAAAGTGAACATTATGTGACTACTCTAATAATAAAATTACTGTGAAACCAAGTCCTCAAAGAGAAAAGGACATAATGTTTCTACTAGACAAGCCACATACTAACATGTCATTCGAAGTTAAAGTTCTAAGCCAGATTAATTCATGAACCAGATAGATATTCCAGGGTAATCTTTAGCATATGGTGTATTAAATCAATCTTGGTAGTCTGTTCCTTCAACCCTGTTTGGTTTGAGGTTTAAAAACGTGGAAAAGACCACGTATTAGAATGCAGGCCAGTTAAAGACTAATAAAACAATAATAGTTATTATAACCATTATGTTAGTTATATGACCAGTTCTCTCTGAGGGCAAGGGAGTGTGTGTAGCCTCAAACCACAAAGGGTCACACCCTGTGAATGTATACAGATGGTATGTCCCAATGGGGAGACGACGCATTCTCACCCTTGAGCAGTCTCAGTGGTCTGTGCTATGGTAGGAGGTCCTCTTACTTCTTTCCATCAGGAAGGGCTACTGGATATTATTGCAAATAGGAAGGAAGTATGTGGCTAACCAAATGTGTATGGTTAATATCCTGCAGACATTCCTATTCTCTATAGCTGGTATCTAATAACTTACTACACTTCCTCCTCCGTATGTATGCTCAGATGCAGAGGCACTGAACTGCACTGCTTCTGAGAATACCCAGTGGCATAACATTGAAAAAGTTTGAAGAACTGAGTAGAAGGTGCTGATGCTGGTAACTCCCAAAGACCCCTGACAGCTTCTTTCCTTAACTGGGTGCGCCACCAGCTGAACTACTGTGAATCCATGCTGTGTCCCATACATTATATTCCTCTAATTGGAGGGCTAATTAGATGACCTTTTCAATTCAGAAAGGTCTAATATGATCTCCAGAGTTTGCCAGCAAGGCTTGAGAAAAGTAGTGGACTGTATGCAATGAGTAAAATACCTTGTTCTACAATTCTCTTGAAAATCCATGGATGAATGTGTCATGAAAAAAAAAAAATCTCTCATTAATGTAATCCAAGTAAGCTTTATCCTTCTTATGGATTTCTCAAAAAATGATATTGGGTATTATAGGGCAAAAGAAAACAAAACAAGAAACACCTGGTCACTCCCCCAAGCCAAACAAACAGCAAACCTCAGTGGGCATCTTCCACCTTTGAGATGCAGAGAACAGAAGAAGAAAGGGAATGTGGTTACAGAGAGGTTCCCTTCCGAGAGTTCTAGAGCTTGTATCTCACCCCACATGCACTGCGTTGTTCTAGTGTCAGTTCAGGACAACTGCTGACCACCAGAAAGACATATTATAACATGACACTGAGACGAAGGGCAGCAGCCCTCTTCTGAACTGAAAAAGCAGCTTCCTAAGACATCAACACCATGTATGAAAAGACTGCACTGTCTTGCAACTTTTTACCAGGAAAACGTGAAAAATGTGATGTCCATGTGTTAGTGCTCGAACCCCATTCTTAAGGCATTAGTATTGCTTACAGTCATTTTCTACAGAATCGTGTGTAATCTCAAACATGTGTCAGGCTATGTGTTCCCTATTTGCCAATTATTTAATTAGCTCTGTTTGTTCTTTGAGATACAGGCAACGTAATATTTCTTTACTTCCTGCGTTTCAGAATGAGTGAGTATATGCCAAATATTTTCAAAAGTCTGCAGATGTATCCTATTAATCCATACTGTTTGTTAGGGTAGTATCACTAACATCAGAAGAGAAAGCTTCTCTTCTTGTTATACAGACACGCTGCCATCACTGACTTCTACCACACTCAAAAAATCAAACCAAAGCCTAAGAGAACTTAAGTGTGAAAAAACATGGGCCACTCAGACATCACGCAATACTAAGGCTTATTATGCTTAAATTTTCCTCTGCATTTTCACGTACGCAATTGGTGAACATATTATTTTAAAGAAAAACATTCTAGAATGTTCTCCCTTAAAGTAACCTTAAAGTAATATCTGTATCTATGCATAATAATAAAGGTTTGCTCCTCCAAAATGCTGAATTACCATGTCTACCTATTTCCTTAAAGATTATGCATCTTTTTCTCATTCCGCTAGTGGATTTTGACAAGTGCATCCATTATTGTAAAATAATGTATGAAATAAATTTCTAAAAAGCCCTTTTCTGGGTTCTAAAAATCTCATACTTTTGTTTTTAAATTATAGCTCCTTTATTATTGTCAAGACCCTTAAATAAGGCCCTATGGTTTTTAACAAGTTAAGTCTATTCTCAGCATATAGAAGTCACCTATTGCTCCACTCTGGCTAGACCAACAAGTAGATTCTCCTGTTCATCCACAAACTAATGAAGATGACCAGCTAAAACCAAGCAAAACTCATTCCCACTGAGAGCTGTGGCTAAGCTGTCTACAGCTCATGGAGATAACCACCCTATTTCCTGATATGTCCCTTCCAAGTCATAGTGCCTCTCTCTCAAGAGGACTGTTTTGCAAATCAATCAGAAAAAGTTTTTTTTCAAACAGAGCCTAAGTATGTTTTCCTCAACTCAAGGTTCTGCTCCACCTTCATACCTTCCTAAAAAAGAAAATTACTCAAACCACAAGTAGACAGGAAATCTGTCTTGTAAAAGGATGAATGACCGGTCATCCTTCTTTATAACCAGACCTCATGACTGCAGAAAGGGGCTTTCCATTTGTCAAACCACACTGAAGTGAAATATGCTTTTCTCACTCTTTCAGTTCTGCACTGCTTTCTTTCTTCTTGTTTTTCAAATCTGCCAAAACTGCATTGATAGCTAACAAACTTCCCCATGTGACCTCTGTCTGTAGCTCTCCAAGGTCAAACTGATGCAACATATTTGTAGAAGCTTGGTTAGGAAAAGTTAAAAAAAATGGAAACTCTCTCCTCAATTTGCTTCTTAGACAGGATAGCGGAGTGGAGAGGCTGCGAGATAGCTCATCTCAAGTGTGAGATATATTATTGAATACGCAGGGAGGGCATTATTGAGGCAGAAATTATATTTCCAACATTTCAAAACACATCTCTCCTCCAACATCAAAAACTTTCCTACATAAGTGATTCACGCCACTTCCCCAAATTCTACACACTCTCTAAAGAAAACAAGTGCAAAGAGCTAAGAGGACTCAACAGCAGCATTATTCTGTTGCGCCATCTTCTCTCAAAGACATACACTGAGTATTCTCCCCACCGACGCTCTGACAGTGACATTCAGGCCAAGCAAGGAGTTAGTTTGAGCTATAACCGCAGAAAGTGACTACCTGAGAAGTCTGAGGTTTTAATAAGACCCTGGGGCACTAAGCTGTGCTGCTCATCTGAACAACAAGGTGTCAAAGCTGGTTCAGAAGCAGGTAGCTATCTCCCCACCAACTCCACCTCTTCCCTCCAGGGGCAGCTGGACATCCAGCCCAGTTCATTCCTCAAAGTGGGAATACTGACTGGGGAACCACCTATGGAAAAGACTACAGTGAACATCACAAGAAATGAGAGGATGATGGCTCAGTTCATGGGAACAGCATTCTTCTTGGACCTTAACTCATTAGTAAATGTCCTTGGTAAAAATTAATTAATTAATTAATTTAAAAAAGCAGCAAATAATTTCTGGCCAACTGATGCCCACGCATCTCCTCTCTCATAAGTGAACAAATACTTCTTCCCCTCTGAGGGACTCCACAGTGTCACATTCTCCAGGAGATTAACCTCATGTAGTTATTAGCAGTCACCTGAGAATTTCACATTAACCAGTCCTCGGAAGACAGTGGCACATCATGGATAAGAGCCTAGCACAATGACTGGAATTTTGGGAAGTGGTCAATAACTACCATTAAGAGCTATTCTGCTTTGTAGCTCACTAGTCACTGATGGCTCATCTTATGACTTTGTTCACTCTTTTTGAATGTGAGGAACAAGATAGTTTTGGTCTGTTTGAACCCTTGTTCAATCTAATGACTTGCAACGTAGAACGTAGCTAAATTTCAGTGTCTTGTGACGAAAAATATGGTTATGCTCAAGCCAGTGATTTTACTTCTGTTTGGTACATTTGTGTGTTCATTCTGTCATGTGACTAATATTTAGTGCCTAATTGCTATTCAGTTATGAAAGGGAAAAAGAGGTCCTTGATGATTAAACTCTGACACCAATTGTTGGTATCAGAATTGGCATTTCTGTGACTCACCCATTATACTGTCTGTCCCGTTGGCAGGAGGCGTACAGGAAGAGGTGCTGTAATGGTTTGTACCACTACGATGGAAAGTGGACATCGGAGGAAGACTGGAATTGATGTCTGCTGAGGAGTGTGATGGATAGCTCTATAGCAAGAAGCAGAAAAAGGTGGCCATATTTAATCATAAGGTATTTAGTGAGTTATTTTCAAATACTTTTCTCACAACTCTCTATTTTACAATGGAGACAGCTTTTAGAATTTCAAAATAGCCAAGAATATATCTTGTTTAGATCTGACAGCTTTCATTTTTCAAATAATAAGTTATACAGAAACATAGCTTGGGTTTGCATCAACTGTGGAGGGATATAATGGCAATGAGGGACATTGAGAAATGATCACAATCTCGAAATCTACAGATTACTGCTTAAAATCATCTCCAGGGTTTCGGCAACATAAAAGACCACTCTACTATTAATTTTTTTGTGTGGCCTATTGATCAAGTGAAAAAGATTCCACTATATAATGAATAAAACAACATTATGATCCACAGGGCTTATATTACATTTCATCCTGATCTTCTTGAAACTAAATGGCAAAGACTAACCAGTCTCAAATCTTCTTCCTCCCAAATTAAATTTTTTTGAACCCCAGCAACAATAAAATTTAGTAAATAAAAAATTTAAAAAGCACTAATGGTTAAATATCTCTCTTACTCATCAATATGTAACTATTGACTATACTGAATTAAATTAGGACCACATGACTTATTTTGGTTTGAGTACTTTCTTTCCATGCCCCACCTACAAGCAATCCTCACATAGCTGGCAATGAAAGAACAACATCTTTACAGAATCACTTGGTTTAAGACTCTGCTTTGAGTTTAATTATTATATTAGTTTTCCAAATAAGCTGTGTTTCTTGGGTATGCCACAGTGCCTGTAAGGTGGCAAATTAGTTGCAATCCACCCATCTGCTTGGGAATGAACAGCTCACTAAAATGGACATAGTAATTTACAAAAAAGTGCTGAGCTATTTTCAAGATAAAAAGCAGCTTCAAAAGTTATTCTCATAGGCATCTGAATGTGTTATGTAAAGGCAATATATTAAAGCTAAAATACACTTTTTCTTCATATGCAATATATTAATGGATTATGAGTCTTTATTATATCATTATTGGAAATGCTGTTAAAAATTGTTTATTTCAAAATAAGAGATTGAATATGATGCTGATAGTCACGGGTATTTAAAACCCAAGCATTTGCTCACGAGGAATGAAACCATAGTCTCTTGAGTGTTGCCCTGTTTACTCTGTGAGATCCGTCTTGAATTCTACCTCTTTCTTGAAGAGTCCCTGACTACCTCCAACTCTTCCACCATCTCTTCTCTCTAGGTCCCTAATGCACTTACATTCTGCACTATTGTCTTTAACACTTAATTATATTTGGCCTTTCATTTCTTGCTTTTTCTAATGTATTTTCACCTGTATTGTAAACTCTTTAAAGGAATAGAGCTTATAGTTCTGCATCCCACAACTTGTGGCTAACTACTGAACACATAATTATACTATACGCTCAATGAACAATTGGTTATCAGTCAGAATTTAATAAACAGTGGATTGAAGTATAACTTATTTGAGAGCCAACTAGTCTAAGGAAATGAATCTACGTATTAGAGGTAGGATTTTCAAAGACGCATGAATGTTTTTGAAAATATTACCTCTGTATGACCAAAATAGCCCAACTTAAAAGACTTCCGTAAAAAAGTTGAGATGATGCCTTTAAATCTTTCCAAGTTCCTGAGAATGCCTTTCAAATTTTTAAATTCCATGGACCTCTTTCTTTCCTTGACCCCAAAATTCCTTAGGCCACCTGTTAAACTCATTTCTACTTGCCACCTAATGAACACCCAAGGTAGTCCATGGAATTTTCTCCAATGAAAAATATAGTGGGCCCATTCCATAGTACAGCTATTCTGAAAGCTTAGCAGGGATAGAGGTATTTCTGCTATAGAGGTAAGCACTATAACAAAATGGAGGAAAAGAAACAGAATGTGGAAAAAAGAACAAAAAAAGAGATGACTAACTTTAACCTCACTTCTACACAGTCCTATTCCATGTGGAATTTCTGAAGAACAGACGAACTACAAATCTGCCTGAAATGTGCAAAAATCAAAAAAAGAGGAGAAGAATTATAAATATTTAACTAACTATAATAATCAGAAGATGAAACAAAACAGATAATCACATCGGTGAGAATCTTTGGGCCCTTTTAACTTTATGTAAAATGGGCAGTAATTTGGGATTTGACAAAGGGTTAACGCTGAGTTCACAGAATAAAAAGAAAAATTAATCCCCATAGATTATAAAGGAGTGAACCAATGGAATCCATGTAAATCAGTTATTTTTAGAGACTCATAGAAAATTAGTTGTTGAAATAAACTAACGAGATTTATAACTAGATTATTTTACATTAAAAACTATCTTGAAAACTACTGTCATTCAGAGATGTAATAAATACACCACAGAGAATAATGTCTCTTTTAGAGGATTTAGGGATAAACTATAAGAGGTCCTCTTAGTCTCTTACTCCAGCTATTACTGTCTTTCCTGCTTGCTACAAAGGACATGAGGAGTGTGACAAAGTGCGAGGCTTTACATGCCCACTATTCGTTCATTTTAACTTATGATGCCCAAGAGTCCTGTATTTCGTGTCTATTAACAGAGTAATTGTTGGAAATGTTTCCATTACTGATATACTGGTTGATAATTCAAACATTAGAAAAATATAATAACTGGTGCACATAAATAAGAATAAAATCATGCTTTGGGTTTGGGCAGGATTTCACAACCTTAGCACTACTGATCTTTTGTGCCAGACAATTCTTTGCTGTGGAGGCTCTCCCATACATGACGTCATGTTTACCAGCACCCCTAGCCTCTACGCACTGGATTCCAGTAGCATCTAGCCCCTAGTTGTAACAATGAAAATGTCCCCAGACATCACCAAACGTTCCCTGAAGGGAAAAACTGCCATCAGTTGAGAATTACTGAAGTAAGGGTTTATGTTACAAAAAAATAAAAGAAAACAGAACTTCCTTTAAAGGAAAATTCCAGACTCCTAGGACTGTTTCGCCCTGTAGTGCAAAGACCATGCCTAAATCATGCCAGACAGTGAGGACTCTATCCTGTTCTTAAAAAGAACTCTGCCAAGTCATTCCAAACATAAAATCATCTACAACAACCCATTCCAAACTTTAACCGCAAACTCCATTCATCTGAGTGATTTTGTGTGGGTATGTGTAACACAGTAATGATTAGCTGTGGGATTCTGTTGGACAGGCTAAAACTGTAAAGGGGATTTAAAGACTAAACATCAGTAACTTGACAGTCGCTACTGAAATATGTGGATCTTAAGCTTTATAATTACACATTCTGTTATAACATGGCATAAAGTGATGAAGGCAATGATGTTTTTAAAATATTTTATCTTTACAGATAATATCAACTTGGCCAAATTATACCCCAAATAATCCAGGAACAGCGCTTAGCTTTTTCTTAAACTATCCCTTTGTTCAGTATGGGGCTAGCCAGATGCTAAGAATAAAATTATAAGGAACTACCATTATTTTCAACTGAAAGGACACCAACTGCTACTATATATTCAAAGTATTGTCAGTGTCAGATTCTTCTAAGTCACTTCAGTAAAAGATTTTCACATGGTTAAATACTGAAAGTACAATGACAACTAGATATAATAATTCAATAGTTTCACTAACAGTGGGAAAATTCATTAGTATACATTGCAAGATAGCTTATTCATGTCTCCTTTAAAACAAAAACTCTACTCTCTGAAATCTGTTAACTGTTCAGATGAAAAATGAAAATCCTGTGTTTCGTGATAGGTAAATGGCATTGCAAATATGGCTTCTGATATAGCCTACTGGGTTACTACTTCAAAATGATATTTTCTCTCTAGTTCATAATATTGTTTTGGTTCTGTAAAATTTTTTCTAAAAGGAATATAGTTGGTTTCCATTTTGAAATTATACTTTTTGTGCATGGAAGCACATTTTAAAGCTACTTCCCATGCAGTGAACTGGACTAGGATAAAATCAAATCGCCTAACTCAAAACTCTTGAGCATGATAGGAGAAGAAAGAAAGAAACACAGAAGGGAAGAAAAATTAATGTCAAATGGGCAACTCTTAAAAGAACTGAAATTCCAACATGCGGTATAGTGCCTAAAACTTTTATTTGTAATCAAAACTTTCCTTGCTCATAGGACACATACAGTTTTGACCATGAGTTCCCACAGAAGTGGAAAATGATGGTGCAGAAATGAAAATTTTAGCCAAAACGGATTCTAGCATAATAATAGTTGATATAGTTGATATTTCTCTAAGCTTTCACTCTAATATCTCCAAATAGGAGGTGGGAAAAGAGAAAATTTGAAAATAAGTCATCTGCTATTTACTGGAAATGTGCTGAAATGTGAGATAGTTTGTGATTTACACATTCAATCTTGGGAGGTGATACAAAAAGGCCAATACCATTTCCACTGTCTGCCTCTCAGGAATGTATAGGCTAATTGACTACTTAGCATCTCTACCACTAGGACCAACTAAATACGGATTTTCAAGGATATCAGAAATCTTAACTTCTGGAATTTTTTTGATTATTGGAGTAGGAGATCAGATCCTGTTTCTTATCTGTACTGGTTGAGCAAAAGAGAGCAAAGACCACATGAATCCAGAATGATTTCCTTTATCAGAACAGAGAAAGAAACCTAAGTGTAGATATGAGAAGAAGAAAAAGGGGCAAATGCAAGATGAATAGTAGTGATGTAAGTATCACCTGGGATCACTGGATTTCCCATATGCTTTCGCATTTGTAGGATGTGAGGTCCACATATTGTTTAAGCTATGTTCTTGCACAAGGGATTCAAGTTTCATCTTATCTGCATCCCAAATCTCACTCAAGATCTAGGCTCTTTCCTCTCTTTAATGACAGACTTAAGTTCAACAGTGGATTCTGGGCTGTGGTGATATTTAAGGCTAGAAGAAAGTCAGCTGAGTTGTTTCCTCCAGGATAAAGAGACATACTATGATAGATGAATGTAGGTGATGGACAGAGTGGAAATGTTTAGTAATGAAAGACCTAACATTCTAGAGCCCACCAGTTTTCACCTGGAGTGACGCAAAACACAGTATGAGTGGCAGGCTGGGATGGGAATTAAAGTTAAAATACTGAAAAATGGGAATCTGATCTATGTAGAAACCTCATGGTTTCTCTTACTGATGGAAGTCTACAGAAAATACAAACTCCTTCTTTTGGATACATCACAACAGGCCAAAGCTGACATAGGCCAGTCAATGGGAAATGAAATGCTCCTGGGTGATGCATATAATCTACCGACTGTCACTCTGCCCTCTGCAGTACATCTTTTGAAACTACAGATAGAAAAAAAAAAAAAAAAAAAAAAACCAGGAACCACCATGTTAAGATTCTACAACTTAAATAGGTATCTATTTATGTACCCAAGGAAGCTGACATTGTGATAAAGAAGGCACAGAGCAAAACACAATAAACAAAAGAACAATGCCAGAGAGAATCTGGAAGAATTTACAAAGGTGATTTGAACCTGTTATGTCTTTGATCACAGAAACAATACAACTTAAGAATAATGGGTGTGTGCCATTTTTGCACTTATTTGCAGAGTCCTTGTGTATATGCATGGAAAGACAGAGGACGAGGTTTAATCAACTAGCTGTGACATTCCCGTTACCGTGTATGTCTGCCTTACCAAACGTTCATGTGGATGCAGGCTACAGTAGCTGCTGGACTGTGGAATATGAGAAGAGTTGCCCAACATTCCTGCATAGCCAGGCTGATTCATCCCACTGGAGGAGCTCCAAGGGTCACTGCTGTGATGGCCATCTGTAAAGGACAAAGACAACCATGACTTTCTGAGGCATTCAGCCTTGCCTTATAGAATAGGGTTTTTTCATATACTTGAAAATGACTGCCTGTTGTGTTATTCATCTTTGTGTTGGTTAGCTGATTACATCAGAAGACAGTCATCATTTCTTCCCAAGTGGCTCTATATTGTCAAACAAATATAAACACTTAAAAAAGTTAAAGTGTTCTTGGTAAAAATTGAACTGTAAAAGAACAACAGAGTATATTTCTACCATGAATTATGTCAAGTCGCAAGGTAATTACTGCTAAAGGAAACATTTCTTAGAAGTCTTCTAACTGTTTTTTCTATGAAAACCAACTAAAAAGTTAAATTGTTCCTAAACTTTGGGGTGAAAAGTACTTGAGAAATTACAAAGTTGACAAGTTTTAAAAGCATGTAAAGAAGTATTAATTTTAAAAAATCTCAGATTGAAAATGTTTAATTTCATTTTTAACATATACAATAAATAGAATTAAAGTTGGAATTATAATTATATTACGGCATGCAGAGAAGATGAATCTCAAATATATAGTTCTTAGGATATTTTATTTTTATTTTTTGGTGTATAGGTATATAGCTATCTTAAACCTTCAGTAGCAATCCAAAGGGTACAAACATGCCCTAGGTAGCTATTATATTACAGATATTTTTGAGAGTCTCTGGATTTTATAAAACGATTTATGAATTATAGAGGTTTAAAATTATATAAAGTATCTTTCAACATAAGGTTAACCTTTTGTTAACATTCTTATTAAAAACATCCCTACGGATTTTTTCATTCTCTGGGCCTATTGGCCTACAGGTTATTATTAATGATTGCTAATGTTTAGGTTTGGTTTCCCAAGCCTAAGGGAAAAGATGATCTACATTACTGCTAAATTCATTCATTTTTTCTTTGTTTCAATAGTTTAACAAAAAGTATTGAGTACTAGGTATACACTAGGCCATCAGCTGGCTGTTAAATGTATAGCAGATATTGCTTCCTTGAAAATAAGATTATTTTCACCATAACATTTTATATAGTAAAGGCCTATTAAAAAGTTAGGCAATAGAAAAGTTAAATCTGACACTGTATTTCGTGAAGCTCTTTTTCATTGAGTTCTTAAATCCGGAAGTTAGAATTTTGTAACTGGACTCATTTCATATTGGGAGGAATAGTTTGCAGATTCCTCTCTTTAAGAACCATGCAAGCAAAATCATGTCTGTGATTTTGACAACTTCAGAGTTTTAACTAGAAGATGGAAATTGAAGTTACAAATAAGAGGCCACAGTAGTGAGTTTACAATATGCCCCAGACAGTTTCTGAACATCTTTCACCTTAATTGCATATTCCTTCAAGTCTTGAATTCTCAGGGCACCAAGTACCCCTCTACTGAAAGGAAGCTGATGTGGGACAGGACCATGATGCAACTGTTTCTGTGGCCATCATGTGAAAACACATGATTTTTTTTAAAGTTATCATTCATGTACTTGAGCTTTAGTCCTTAGATTACAGAGGTTTAAATGTCACCTTAAATTCAAATATGAAGTTCAAGATCACTAACATTTTAAATAGATGGCACATATGACAAATAAATTGAAAACATATATCACTAAACAAGAGTCTCCTGACAATGTGATACCCTGGGTGGCAATGCGTTTAGGACTGTTAACACAGAGTACTCTGCTTGATGCAGACTTATAAAAATACATATTTTACATAAATTATGCTTTTCACAGTAAATTAATATTTATCACATCCCATGATCTTGGCATAATGTTCTTTTGAAAGAAAGAATAGAATTAGATGTGTGCAAATTAATTGTGCTCATCAAAAATGTCAACTCAATTTTTTTTTTTTTTTTTTGCTTTTCGGGTATGCATATGCAGATAAACAAATTTGTTCCCCATATTTTGTGTGGTCTGCTAGGGAAAGGAGCCTACTGATATAATCTACCTGGCCTCTCCTGCAATGTGCACCCTTCCAGAAAGCCACTTTCCTGGGCAGATAGAAAAAATATATCCTTCCGTCAATGTTTTCAATCGAAATCTGTTTTGAGTGATGGATCCTTGAGTTGCCAATCTCTGTAAGCTCCTGTAGGACAATATCTCCCACTGCTCACAAAACAGGGGACTGATGCTGAGGTAGCTACTGTTTATAACTGAAGGTGATTAGCTTTTTGTCACGGCACAAAACGCACCCAGGTGACATAGCCTGCTGTGTCCCTTTGAGTTACACCTAGGACGGGTCACAAAGTTAAAGGACTTCTGACACACGGGCTCTATTATGCGTGGAACAAATTCTCTCTATTCCTAACAGAGCCATTCCATCCAATTTTATAGATTTCCATGGAATTTCACACGTGAACTAACAAACTAAAAGAGCTAACACACTGAAGGGAAGGAAGATTAGTATCTTTTAATGAGAATGATTTTGAGTGTGTCCACTATATCAGGCTGCTTCCCTGGTACTCTTTGCCCCAAATGTGCTCCCCTTCCTGTGACATGGCCCTTCCTAGAGATGCATAAAGAAGGAAACCCCATGGCCCGTAGACAAGGCTTATACAAATAAGGTTTTCACACCTGGGCAAAAAGAGTTAACATTTTGCACACAGGGGTTCTTGGTAAATTCCACATCTAAATTCAGGGCATTAACTTGGTAACAAGATAATTACATTAGAAAATAAGTGCCACACACATATCAGGATGGAGCCCTTAGGGGCATCCTCCAAGTGGTTCATTCTTGAAGTAGCTGCTATCATTTCAAACATCTTGGTCTTTTTAAAAAATTCATTTATTTATTTGTTTGTTTATTTATTTATTTATTTATTTTGAGATGGAGTCTCGCTCTGTTGCCCAGGCTGGAGTGCAGTGGTGCAATCTCAGCTCACTGTAAGCTCTGCCTCCCAGGTTCATGCCATTCTTCTGCCTCAGCCTCCCGAGTAGCTGGGACTACAGGTGCCCACCACCACGCCTGGCTAATTTTTTGTATTTTTAGTACAGACAGGGTTTCACCATATTGGCCAGGATGGTCTTGATATCCTGACCTTGTGATTTGCCTGCCTTGGCCTCCCAAGTGTTGGGATTACAGGCGTGAGCCACCGCACTCGGCCACATCTTGGTCTTTTTTGAGCAGCAGAAAGGTATACGCTATCAGTAGCAAGACTACAAGCTCAGGGTGGGGGCACACATCCATGTATTTAAACATACTGGACAATTCCATAATTTCCTATATTTGTCTTCTCCCCCAAAAGTTGGGCCTTTTATCCTAAACCAGTTACTATGTTGGGACAGAGCTTTCACCATGTAATATTCCAGTCTGTGGTAGGTTACTTCATCTTGGACCCTTGTTCTTACCTACAAATTAGTAAGTGGGTGAAAATTTTACATAAGGTTATACATTAGGCCAACTTGTTCCCAGTTGGCTAAATCCAGGATGTTCAAAACATACATGGAGCTGAACCACTTCTAAACAAACAGCTACATCGTCTTGGGGATGGTGAAGATGCTGAAATGGTTGGTCATGAGTGGAAGACCATCATAAGCATCGGCTCTAAGTGAAGCAGATCAATCTAATCTTAACCCATTACTGCTTAAAGGGGTTTAATTGTAAAGAAAGACTTAGTACAGTTTTAATTAATACATCAATTTTTAAGGAATTCAATTCCTAAGAAGAGCATGACTTCAAAAATTCTACACTTGCCTACTATTCCATTTCTTCTGCCCCATCTGTGACATTAAGTGACCCAGGAAAATGCTATCCAGTGGCCTTTCCCTCAGAAGCAGCAGCATCTTACCTTGCATGAAGAAGGAGCTAGGGAAAGTGCTGGTTGCTGGTTTGGAGGAAGGATAGCCTGGCGAGTCCCTATTGTAGTCGGCAGTGCTTGCTGATGGAGCATAGACCTGAGGAGAAAGAACCAACTGAGTTTTGCTTTTTGCATTGACCACAGCAGCCCAAGCTCCATTCTTATATAAGAAGTAGGCAGAAAGTGCTACATTTCTACCCTTTCCAGTTTAAATCTGAACAAACCCTAGAAACAGTGCCCTTTCCGAACACACTAAAACAAACACAACAAAACGAAACAAAAGCTCGGTGTATTTGTGCGAACAGAAAATAACCAGGTGTGTTATATTCCAGTTGATGTAAACCATGTCTAGTTGTAAATACACTGTATAATGCCCATAGGGTAATCCTGTGAGTCTAAGCACTTCTTTCTTTTTCTTCTAAACACAGATGGCCCATAAGCATGTGAAAATGGTAAAAACAGAAAGACATGCATCAAACCTCTTTCAAATGGTAGAGTAAAAACTCTACCTTTCAATTAAAATTTTCACTTTTACAGAGAGGAGGTAGGGAGGGGGGAGACAGAGAGAACACAAATGAACTATCCAAACCACAGAAAGTGATAAATATATCTTAGAATATTAAATTCCCATAGTGTCAGCTTTTTGCAGAGATGCATGAAAAAGGCCATTAAAAGCCTGGATCTACATAAGACCACCAACAATCAGTGTGTGCATAGGAAGCGGGAGGAGGGAGCCCTCCTTTTTCATGCTTATTATATTTGTGTGTACAATAAACTTAAAAAGTGTGCCAAAAACCTAATTTACTTACATTCATTTACTAATACTCATGAGACTTGGGAAACCAATTCTTTATACAAATAGCCTGTGTATTTTCTTGTTTATGTTTTTTTTAAACAGGACAGCATAGTAGAAAAGCACAAATTCATAAGGTATAGTTTAACTTTAATTGGTTTTCCCCCTTGCCTTTTCTGCTAAATATAATTTTTTTTAATCCCCATTTTCTTTTGCTCTCAAAGTTCCTCTCTCCAGATGGTCAGAAAGACTGAAACACTGTCATCCTCTTGATGAAAATGGATACCTTCC
Organism: Homo sapiens; assembly: GCF_000001405.40. Taxonomy (NCBI): domain Eukaryota; kingdom Metazoa; phylum Chordata; class Mammalia; order Primates; family Hominidae; genus Homo; species Homo sapiens. Next base: position 55,280,644 of record NC_000018.10, read on the forward strand.
TGCCTCCATTTTGAAGCAGGCAGCGGCTCACAAAATTGGCAGTGAGCCTACAGTGATATTCACAGGTCACAGTAAAAGGAAAAGAAATTCACCAATAAAAAGGCAAGTGCAGGGTTACCAAAAAATAACTCTCATTTTTTTTTACAGTGCACATCGAATAAACACCCCAGAAAAATTATATAATTGCTCTCAGAACACCATGAATCATAAACTAAGCATTAATACAAGGTTTAGGATTTCACAAAGGATAGGTCCACAGAGACAGATGTGGGAAAATATGCATCTACATCCATACATCAAATAAATGCTACACATGCCCCAAAGTGCCCTTGAAAATTGGGAGGTCCTGGAGCTTTAACAAAACAAAAACAAACCAGAAAAGCCCACTCGCACTTCAGAAAACAGGGATTTTTCTTAAGGCACTAATGGATACAAGCCCTATATTTCACTGGACTTTATTTTGTAATTTTCATCACATTTTAAATGTATAAACAGTGATTTGCTTCTATTTCCAGAGGGCTTACAATAAGGAAAAAAAACTTTTTTGAGTATTTTTAAGAAACAAAGAATAAAACTTTGGCTAGGAATCCAAAAACAAACCAATGATCTAAGTTCTGTCAACCACATCTCAGAATTTTCTTGAGAACTATTAACTAACAAAGAGTTTGTGAATTACTACTGAAGGTATTTAGAGAAGGTCTTGAGAATAATCTAACAAGATGAAAGAAACATCACAGGAAAAAGGGAAACTGAAAACTGACGGAATGATTGTAGTGTGACTATAATATATCTACACGCTATTAGCCTGACAGCAATCTGGCCTCAGTATTAACATAAGCTAAGTGTACTATGGAATATACCCAAATTTCAGAAATCAATATATTTATTATAAAACTAAAAAGAATCTCCGACCCATATTATTAAATCATCTTATGTTTTAAAACAATTAAAATCAATTCTTTTCATATATACTTTAATTTTAATTACATATTCTATTACATTATCCTTAAACATATATATCATTATGTCAACACCATTTGATGACACCTAATAAGGTTTATCCTTTTTCTTTTTTTTTTTCCAATTTGGATAGAATTACTTGGCATTGCTTTTGGAAGATAAGGAAAAATCTTTGGTTAATTTTGGTTATTTACAAGGAGGCTACTTTGACTATGAATTATAATCAAGCTCAAATATCTAAGAGTAGGTCACTTACTCCAAATTCATAAATATTGGCTGCATGGAGAAGAGTATCTATGGAATTGAAATGTTTTTAGGATATATTATAGTATGTAATTTCTATTTTTCTGCTGTTTTAGCCAATTGAAGACTTTTTAGATAACATGAAACTCTTTGTTAATAGGCAACGGACCACTGTTTATAGTTTTTTATACAGACAATTTCTACATATTTTATACATTTTCTTTATATCATAATTTACAAATCAGATACAATGTTATTCATCTTCCATTTAGATACTTTATCATTCTTACCTCAAAAGTTATTTTCAAGGTAAGATCTCTATATTTTTGTTTATATAAATAAATAAATATCACATATAACTATACTTTTTTAAAGAAGGGAACCAACAAATTTTAGTTCAACCTCCCACATTTCAAATATAAGAAAACTGAATAATGAAATGGTCACAGAAACATCACTCTTATTTTTCACCATTTGATAGGGTACTTTTTTTTAGAATGGTGGCGGAGACATAGATGGTATTTATGAAAACACCATGATCATAATTTTCACAGTTCAGTTTATCTCTAATGGTTTAATTTTTCATAACCTGGATGACCAGTGAACTGCTTCATTACTTTTACTTCAGTCAACTCTTTTGCCAATTTCTCAATCAAGCTTTCAAAGTATGGGTTTCAATAAGGTATTTAATACTGACATTAAATTCAATAAGAAAAGCTCATACCCATTCAGTTTTTAGTATTATTATTCTAAGTATATAGAAAGTTTAACAACACAATTGTTAAATAAAATAGCTTTATTTAATCAATAGAATAATAACAAACATCCCAGATCTCTTCAAAGAGTTGGAATTATTTTTAATGACTAACACCAGAAAATCAGTCCAATCTAAAATGAAATAAAAATCCCAAATTCTAGTACCATGTACTAGAGTGACCCCAATGATAAAATATGAGGAAAATCTAATGAGAAACAAATATCTATCCTTGAATTTTTCTCCAATAATACGCTTAGATCAAGGTGACTGTTGGCATTCTGATTCCTCCCACAAGAGTAATTGAGAAGTGTGAAACTTTTGTTGCCGAATTGGAAATGGAAAGACTTGGTGAAACTCATAGGTCACAGCTCTTTTAGTAACCTATTTGTTGAGTAAAAACTTCATGGAAAACTAGTAACACAGTATATTTAACATGCAAAGTTAGCGCCATTATCTCTTCTCTTCTAATTCTGAATTTAGCAGACAATCATACATATAGAAATCCTGAGTTTAACAAAAATCTCTAGATAACACTGAACCTTGAACTGACCAAAGTAAACAAAAATGTTTTCATTTTACAGATTTAATTTTTTTTTTTTTTGGTAATCCAAGAAGTATTACTATGGTACATTAGCTGTTCCATTCAATGTTTCCAACTATTATTTCTGCACTCATCAAAGAAAAAAAAATTTAATTTATTCTAAATAAAACCTGTGCCTAACAGAAAAGAACAAAAAGCAAGCACAGAAACCAACAAACAAAATGAAACAAAGGTATGCCTCCTACTCTTTTCCTTAAGAAGCTCTCATTTTTACTGGTCTTGGCATATCGGTTTCACTTACGGACATTTTAAAATAATAATGATTACTCATTTGTTTAGGGCCTCTTGTGGAACCACTTTGGTGGCAAGAGTTCCACATACATTATATCTAACCTTCATAATGATCACACAAGGTGGATATTATTAATAGTATCTGCCCTATTTCACAAGGCTGACGTATCATAAGAAGGTCAAGTGTATTGGCCCAAACCAGCTTGGGTCTGACTGCAAATTCCACCATTTATTAACTAGGCAATCTTGGACCAGTTACTTTTAACTCTGGTCCTCAGATTCCTGCTTGTAAAGTGGAAATGACAATGCCTGCTATGCAAAGTTGTTGTGAGAATTAGATGGTATAATGTGTGTAAAGAAACTAGAATGGAACCTGGCACAGATTAATCATACAAAAAACATCAGACATTAGTGCTGAAGTCTTGTTGCCATTGTTTGTATTATTTGGACAAATGTGACTCAGGAATGTTAAGCTGTCTTTCCAGGTTGCACATTTTTCAAGGGGTAAAGCAAGGATGTGAACTGATCATCAAAGTCTATGTTCTTTCCATTAAAAAATAATTCCTTGCTTTTAAAGGGCAAAAAAGGTAAATAAAACCTATTTTAAGCTATTAACATTAGGCTATACTTGGGTCATAGTTTATAGAAATACTCTTGTGGCATCTGATAATGACCTTTTAAGAAAATAAAATATCGGCCAGGAACGGTGGCTCATGCGTGTAATCCCAGCACTTTGGGAGGTTGAGGTGGGTGGATAACGAAGTCAGGAGTTCGAGACCAGCCTGGCCAACATGGTGAAACCCCATCTCCACCAAAGATACAAAAAATTAGCCAGGTGTGGCGGCATGCACCTGTAATCCCAGCTACTCAGGAGGCTGAGGCAGGAGAATTGCTTGAACCTGGGAGAAGGAGGTTGCAGTGAGCCGAGATCGTGCCATTGCACTCCAGCCTGGGCGACAGGGCAAGATTCCGTCTCAAAAAAAAAAAAGAAAAAAGAAAAAAAGATAATGTCATAATGCATGTTATGGTGAAATCAAGTACTTGTTAAGTAACCTGCTTCCTGAAGGGGAAACCTTAAATCTGAAGGAATAAAGAAAAGTGGCTTCATATCACATCACCATGTGTGGTTGGGTGGTAGCCACCTGATTGTCCAGTAGACCTTTACCACTCCTCCACGTTACTACCCCCTGGTGATTCTGCAAGTACCATCTGCATATATACTTTCCAAAGAAAAATCAGTTCAGAATCACTGAAACGTTGTAATTGAGGCTTTCAGACCCTTCAAGAGAGTTACTGTATGTTCCATGGAAAGCAGAAAACAGCAAAGCAGAATGGAGCCACAGACGCCCAAGTACTGGCTGGGCTCATTCAGTGACTCAGGCCTTGGGAGAGTTCACAGATATCCTCAACTGTGACAGTTAAACACTCAAATGCCAAGAGTTTACTGAGTGCCACTGATGTCCACAGAACTACCCATGTACTTTGATGCTTCTCTCAGCATCTACTGGGGAAATATACTTGTAGGTGATTAGCTTACTACTCAAGAAGCTGGGTTGGACCCTCAACTCTTAATATTTTTTGAAGGACATAGGCCTCAGTAAGAAAAATGAATGGTTCCAGTGCAGTGATACGTCCATATTCAGAAGAGATAAGATGGACCCTGTAACTGTCCTATGTGACCAAGATAAAGACATTGCTAACTAATCCATAAAGCAAGGAGAAGATGTACTCAGAAGACACAGCATCCGGACAGTACATACACAGATTTGGCAGATTACTAGAAATCACCCAGCTCTGGAGTCTGACCAATTAGGTTCAAATTCCAGCTCTCACAATTCCTTGCGAGGACATAACAAAGCAATTTATCTCTCAGAACTTCAGTTATCTTATTTGTCAAATGAACCATTCTTGTGAGGATTAGGGATAATATATGTCAAACATAATTCTTAATCTGTCATGGGCCCTCAATAAATGGGATTATTAATTCTATCTCATAAGAGGTACTCATTGCTTATAATTATTTTTAACAATGGGTCTAGAAAGCTGCTGTCCAATCAGTAGCCATTAGTAATATGTAGTTATTTGAATTAAACTCAACCAAAGTTAAATAAAATTAAATGTTCTGTCCCTCAGTCACAGTAGCCATATTTCAAGTTCTCAACAGCACATACAGTCACTAGTTACCATACTGAACATCACCAACACAGGACTTTCTCATCATCACAAAAAGGTCTACCGGGGAGTCCCAGTGTAGAGTCATGTTCATCCATGAGGAAGGCACTGGGCCATGTTTGCCACTCGCCGTCAGGACAGCTATCACAGTAAGCCTAGCTCATGTAAGACTTGCTGTTGCTTTAGGCTGGGAAAGCAGGAACTCTTCTGGAGTGCTAGTGGGAGGGGCAAGTTCTAGGTATCCCTGCTACCTGGCATATAACTGCTGTTCAATAAATGTTGATTGTAATGAATGGCAGGATACTGGTATCTTAGCTTTATTTATTATATTTAGAGTCCTGAGTACTATTGCATATTTCTTAAAGTCTTTTTTTCTAACCATCTGCCAAAATACTTGCAAGTTGTGCCAAACAACACACCATGGAAGAGTATCTATGACCCCAGGTTTCTGGATATGCAGGAAATAAAAGGAAGAAACTCTTAATCCGCAATTTAGTCCTTGGCCTCTAGTGTTTTTGACAAACGAATTACAGTTAGACATGGTGTGATCACTTTTTATGGACAATAAAAGCTGAATATGTTTTTAGCTTTTTTGCTGTAGTTTTTACAATACTGATAATTGTAATTATCAGTATAATTGGGTCTCTCTATTCTATATTCTTTGTTTTTAGTACTATTTGTCAAAATCTTTTTCTACCTTTTTTTTTTTTTCAGATGTTCCTTTCTCTTTCATGTTACTTTCACATCTACTGCCCTCTGTCTTGCCTCTTGGCGTCATCTTTTTAAAGCTCGAATGAGTTCAACTTCATTTTGTAAAGGAGTCAAAGGAAGAGGTGAAAGGACTTACGCCAGGGCCTGGACAGAGCCCAGGCTCCTGACTTCTCTGCCAGTTCTCTTAGCATTCTCCTTCCTAAAGTCTTTCCTAAGTAGCTAACTTAAAGATTCCAATGGGCAGTCAAACAGCATGAGAGATTAGTCAAGAAATGGAAGAAGTAGAGTTGTGTAATGCACTGTAAGGCGTCAAGGCAGTTAATCATACTCAAAGGCACAAGACAGTGCAGGTGAACAGTCCAAGACTGCAAACAACCAAAAACCAAACCAAACCACAGGATTAAAGCTCATTCACCTCACATATTTTCAGTATTATCAAGTCAAGGAATATTTACTAATGGAGGAAGAAGAATCCTCCTTCACGTCCAAGTGATGGTTAAAGGGCGATCTCCATTATCACATAAATAGGAAATGTGCTTAGAAATAACACATATATGTCTTCAGTATGCTGACAAATAAGAGGGTATTTCTTATAAGTGGAAACATTTCACTGGTGTAAGCTGTTAAAATTGTGACACTTTTATTCTATCTAAATCAGTTGGAGTATTTAAAAGAATTAACTAAATAGTTCTAAGTGCCCCAAAACAATTCATGGTAAGAAGAGTTTTACTCCTCAAATTCTCTTTATTGGTAGTCTGAAAAAAAAAGAGTATTTCACAACTATCAAAAAGTGTAAAATGTACCACTTATGTGTATGATATTCATATTTCATTTTTACTAACTGAGCAATGACCCATCTTCCGTCTACCAGAATGCACCACAAAAATCTATGAAAAAGAATATATGTATTTCCCCAAAAAGAAATTCCCTGAGCATGTTAATATATTTAGAACACAAACCACTTCAAGTATACATCCATATCTATACACCCCATCACAAAAATCGCATAATTTTCCCGGCTTCTAAATATCAGCTGAGTCATTATTCATTCATGAGTACATTAAACCTGGGGCTAAATCCTGTAAATAATTTCAGCCAAGAGGCGTTTTCCCCTTCTCATTCACCAAATTTCCTTTCCCGTTTTAGGAAGTCACAAAACGGTAAGAATTTCAGTCCCCTTCCTTGTCTGTAACTGTCAATCAAATTACAGAACGGAAAAATGTCAAGAGGATCCAGGAGACGGCACCAGGAAGCAGCAGAGACCTGGGCGATCCACAAAGGAGCAGGAGAGGCCTGAGCAGGCAGGGATGGCCAGAACACAGCCCTGCACTCCTCTACCAGTGCACTCAGCCTGCAGCAAGCTCAGCAAAGGCACAGTAAAAAAAGTGAGCCATGCCAATTTAAGTGTGTGCCTTCTGCGTGCAAAGCACACCAGGGGTTACAAAAACCCTGGCGTTCTTCATGGCTAGGCAGCTCTACCTTGTTCTTTCTTCCCTTCATCAAAAGTCAACAATATCCTCTTATGTTTTTCATATAGCTGGCTGCAGTATATTTTTCAAATCAAATTTCAAACTCTAAATAAAAATGAGTTGGTAGCCTTTGACATGTATAGAAATTTACAAGGGGGAAAAAAAACCCTGCTTCAATTAAAACAAAGGAACTTAAGACAGAGCCACTAATAATTAGAAAGAATAATATTACAAATTAAATCTGCAGAGTGGCTCACTATTTTGGAAGTATTTTCAGTGAGTTATTATTCCAACTCTGAGGCAGCAAAACTGCCAGGAGAGATGTGAGTGGACTCACTCTGCTATGACGTCATAGTGATGTTATCATAGCTATAGAACATTTGAGATTTAAGCTATTTTCCAATATTATCCTACTGAATTCCCGCAGCCATCCCAGTGACATAAGCAGGGATCACCAACGAGAAAAACAGAAAAGAAGTCATTTTCAGAAAAGAAGTCATTATTTATATCTGTTTACACCTATCAGCTCTATTGCAGCCAAACTGTACATATACTCATTTTGCTTACATACTAATCCTATTGTTGCATGATCATCCCAATTTTATGGCTAAGGGATCTGAGGCACAGAGAGGTTAAGCAACTTGCTTAAAGTCACACAGCTAATAAACTGGCAAAACTGAGATTCAAAACCACGTAGTCTTGTTTTGGAGTTTGAGTTTTTAAGTACTACAACCGTATCTCCTGATAACTAAGAATTCTCTCCGCGGTGCTCATGGACTCCTACCAAAACCCAGCTTTGTAGAGTCCTAAGTCCCCTATACTGCCTGGCCATTTAGCAGCCTAGGGCTGTTTTGCCCGTAGAGAAGAACACAAGATCATCTCAGTCAGGGCAGCACAAAGGAGGTTCTTGTGTGTTACTGCAAGAAGCAGGACCATTCATCTGTCTTCCAGACATGAAGTTGAGCTAAGATGCAGCAGGTATTAATACACTTGTTTAATATTACTAGAGACAGAGAGAGGCTAAGTAACCGGCTGAGAGTTACACTAGGGTTTAGTGGTGAAACCAGACCCACGACTAAATATCAGCACACTAAACTGATTAAAAACCACCATGTTATTATCTGAACTATTAAAGCCAAGTGTAAATACAGTCTTGTCTATGTGTACTAGCCTCTGGCTCCAAATACTTCTTTATATTTTTACACCTGCATTTCTCTTGCTCTTGGCAATAACTGAGCAGACACTCTATGTTTCCTATTACTTTCAACGTGGTGTATCAGACGAATGCCCACTGCCAACATTATGAGTACCTTGGCCCTAGCTGAGAGTGCCTTAAACTGATTAAGTTACACCTGGCTAAAGATCTCTTGAAACACTTAATTGCCTAAAATTTGGTCCAGGTGAAACCCTGACTTCTTCCTGGTTACACTCCTTATGTTACTTATTCATGTGGGAGTTGGCTTCATTACCAGGCTCAGGGTTGGCACAGATAAAAGACTGCGGATGCTAAGCACATCACAACTCTAATATGTTCTAAACACTTAACTAAGTTGTTTCCAAACTTTTATTTACCAAATGCATTGATGTGCATGTGAAGAAATTCAAGGTAATGTTAAGGAGAACCTGATATATTATTTCAATTAAACATTATTGCTTCTGGTTATCTTAAATCTTAAACAGATGTAACTAAATTATTTCTATCTCTGTTTACACCTATCATATCAAATTCATGATTGTCAATTATGTCTAACAGATCATCTCACATCTCAACACTTTCTCCTCCTTTAGCAACCGACTGCTTTTTGTTTTAGATGACGACTACTGCTTCATTAGGAGGTGCTGGAACATCAAAATAGGTTTGGTTATATCTGCCAAAAAATAGCTTTGTGACCTCTGAAAGCACTGTTTTATCAATTAAATGAGGGCAGCACATCTTCCAGAGGAAAACAAATTCTATGACTCTACAATAAAGACAGAAATTAATTTTAGGTTTACTCCAATGTTGATTGTTATTTCTTCTATACCCTATTGTACATTAAGAAGGCCTGCTAAGGATAGCCAGTTGCAGAAACAATAAGGTAAAAAAGGCATTACCAAAAAAAAAAAAATGTGCAGGTGTGCTTGGACATATGTGTGTGTGCATGTAATGCCGGGCACAGAATAGGCTCAAAACTTTACTAAGTGCATGCATGCATGAATGAATAAACACACCACACATGGGATACACGTCAAACTAAGAATAACATCATAACACAGAGAAAGATAAACATTCATTGGTTCTGCCAAAATATATTTTAGTGCATTCCACTTCTCTAATGTGTTTAGGGCTGAGCTTTCTTTAGGATATGGAATTACCTATAATGGTCCTAAAGATTTTAAGAGCACCATTCCCTACCCTTTTCCCTTTGAATTCTAGTCCACAGGTTGATGCCTGAAGCCTAAAGCTGACATCCTTAAGAAAGGACTTAAGCTCAAATAACTTTAGATGCGATTGGAGTGAACAAGTTAATTTCATTGCTGCAGACTTTTGTCAAGGTACATTACCAAGAGGGGTAAAAGCCTACATCCCTGAAAGAGTTTCCACAGTCACAAACCCACTTTTCATCACATCTCCAATCACTCCCTGTCTTTGGGAAATGCTGTCACAGTTTGTCAGCAGTAATTACACTTCAGGGCAATGAGGTCTCAGATCTTTTCCCAATAATCAATTTTTAGAAAGCATTTCTGGAAAGCAGAGAAGGTATGAGGGTATTGAGAGGTTGTTACAAGAAGGGAAAGCAGTACAAAGAAAAATGCTAACTACATTATAGTTTGACCTTTTGCATACAACCCTAAAGGCGCTCTTCTTATTTCTCCAGTCCCAAATGTCTTTAGTGCTGTGTTTGTACCTAATAAGCACAGACAGCCAAAAAGCCATCATTCCTAAGTACCTATTCCTTCTCAGGAAGCAAGAGCGATCAGGAAGAAAGTTGCATCAGACACAAGCAGAAAGTCACACTTTGAAGAGTCGACATTCAAGCAAGAATGAAAAGACAGTGAGGCCAAGATTCTAACAGACATAAAATGATAATAATAATACTCAAAGAAACATTTCACAAAATACATAGGTACTTCTCTAGATATATTCTTTGATCTTGAACTTAATTACGTAAAGCAAATTTGACAAAATTCTATCATTAGTCATTATTAAAAGTTCACATCTTCATAGTATTTTAAATCAAAAGGACTTTTCTCATCCATTATCTTCTTTAATCATCATTTTGAGATGGATTATCTGTCTAAGTGGTCAACCATGCTACCCATCTTATACATTCAGGAACATAAGCTTGGAGCGGGTTAAGTGCCTTCCTTTTCCATGAGTCACAAGACAGAGTAAGGGCAGGAATGGGGTTATAACCTAGGTCTTTTCATTTGAAATCCTCAGTCAGAAGTTAGCACTTGACCAGAATATCCTTCCAAATCACCTACAGTCTAAGGAATCTGGTGGACAACTTTTCATATTTGTTAAAGATATCTAATAGTGCTAAGTAGAGTTATAAATGAACTCTGCTGTGCTTTGAAGCATCAAACTTAACTCTGGGTGCTTTAAACAGATGCCTTCATCTTCTGCTTACCAAGAGAATTGTTATGAACAGTGAGTTTCCAATCTGGTAAAGTTTTGAACAGGAATCACTGCCATGGTACACTGTAAAATTGTTACCCCATCTTCCCTTTCATAAAGCTGAAAAAAAGTACGAATTATCTTTTTTCTGTCAAAACATATGGCCCTAACTACTTTCAACTGAAAACAAAAGCATGAAATAATTACCAAATGTATGACTCTGTGGCACAGATTGAAATGAAAAAAATAAGTATGCAAGTTGTCAACATCTATGTCCAATCAGCTGCTTCTCTGTCTGTTACCCATTCAAATGCCCACCCTCTTCCCTCCTGCCCGGGGCAAACTTTTAGGTGAAATCAACCAGCAATATTTCACTAATTTAACTCAGAGCAGAGCTTTTAGCTAGCACAAAGCTAGGTGCTTTGGTAAATTACATACAAAAAATTAGAAGGGCAGAATTTTCACTAGGAACTAGTTGGGAGATTTATGAAGTACAATAAGCAACTAGAAAATGTGATAAAGTGAGTAGCCTTTTGTATAAACCATATGAGCTAAAGAAATGTAAAGGAAGTTATCCTATAGGGTTATTCAGAAATACTTCTTAAAGGAGGTGAAAGATGAATTAAGAAGGGCAATAATATTCCTGAGATAGGACCAGAAGACTAAATGATCAACATTAGTTAGTTCACGACTTCAGGCATATTTAAAATATAATTGAGTTGGCTTTCTCTAAATATTTAAATTTTAGGTATTTTTTCATTTGATCTAATTTTTTCTTAATTCAAAAAAATGTGCTACTGGCTACCTCAAATATTCTTCCGGAATGAGGAGGGCATAAATACATGTGAACAACAGCAATTTCTTTAACAATAAAAATTATAGTAAGAATGACCCTTTCATATTTCTTTCCAAGAAATGTAAACTTTGCTAACTAAATTACTTTGTTCAATAATTTTGGATTTTCAAAAATAGAAATGTAAAACCCATACAATTGCTTAAAATTGAGAAGCAGTTTAAAATTCTCAGTGTTGATGAAATTAATGAGAAAATGTCTTTACAAGAAGAGCAGCAGTTTTACACAACAAAAGGCTCAGGATTATTTCTGTCTTTTTTGTCTTCCTTGATAAATTAGCATCTAGTGAGAATTTAAGAGAAATATACAGACAGGTTAAAAGAAGCAAGGAATGTTTCCTATTTTTCTTTTTCCTGGTGGAGAAACATTCATTAAAGTAGATAGTTCTTTGTTTACATAATTAGGAAATATTAGGTCCTCTGTTTGGAACTTCCTAATCTATAAATAGACATGAATGTGTGTGTGTGTGTGTATACACGTATATACATGTGCGTAGATACATATATGTATACATATATACGTATATATGTATACATGTACATATATGTATATACACATACACACATCCATTTATTTACCCACATTATACATCTTTATACGTCTATATTTACACATTATTTACACACATTATACATATATACATACATATGTGTGTATAGCATATATGTATGTGTATGCCTGTGTGTGTATATAACATTAAAATTAAAGGTTTATAAAGCCTAGAAGTAGGGGGATAGGAAGGAACTGCTTAATGGATACAGAGTTTCCTTCTGGGCTGGGGAAAATGTTTTAGAACTAGACAGATGTGGTGACTGCTCAACATTGTGAATGTACTAAATATTACTGAATGGTTTACTTCAAAATGGTTAATTTTACATTATGTGACTTTCACCTCAATTAAAAAAACAAAATAACACACAGTAGTGGGCCCTTAAGTTACATGTTGTCCTTCAGAAAAAAAATATTAGCAAGGGCCCATCTGTAGGCAGATGGAATTCTAGTAGAGAGGACAAGATGATGGCCAAATTTCTTAAGCAGTAAGCCTTGTTATCAGTTGCTACATGGAACATTTAGGTAAATAATGTAGCTATTATTAGGAGAGGAGGCTGCCTTTCCACTGAAATAAAAACTGCTCTCTTACCAAAGTCACTCATGCTCTCTTTGTTAGCAAACTCAATGTTCTTCATTCCACCAAGAAAATCAACCTATGATTTTTCCCTCATTGCCAAAATGTCTTAAGAGAGCCAAATGGCTATAAATAATGATCCCTAATGTGCTCTACAGAGCAGGAGACATCTTTCTAGATTTGGTTCTATCGTTAATAGATAGAGGTTCTTAACCTCTTTCTCAATCTTCAATATTCATTTGAAAAATGTAGTTCATAGCATTTGCCACTGCAACAAGACACTGAGAAAACACTGAAATAGTAGGGGCCCTAAGGTATTTAATTTGTAGAGCATGTCCAGTGCCTGAATGATGCTGAAAATATTTTTTGATGTTGATGAACCTCAGTGTTCTTAAACAGAAAGTTTCTTGACATGTGGATAAGCTATTCAGCTCTTTTTTCCAGTAAGTCCAAACAGGATTGTGTACTAATAGTATAATATGGAGAGGAATATGGAACAAATATTGGGGAAGAATGAGCTCAATTTTCATTAAATGTATTTCATCTTCTAAACTTTCCAAGGACTTTTTTTTTTTTTTTTTTTTTTTTTTTTTTTTAGAATTCATATCTTGGCCAGGCATTGTGGTTCACGCCTGTAATCCCAGGACTTTGGGAGGCCGAGGTGGGCGGATCACTTGAGGTCAGGAATTCAAGACCAGCCTGGCCAACACGGTGAAACTCCATCTCTACTAAAAATACAAAAATTAGCTGAGTATGGTGGTGGGTGCCTGTAATCCCAGCTACTTGGGGGGCTGAGGCATGAGAATTGCTTGAACCCAGGAGACGGAGGTTGCAGTGAGCCGTGATCGCGCCACTGCACTCCAGCCTGGGCGACAGAGTGAGAATCTGTCTCAAAAAAAAAGAAAAAAAAGAAAAAGAAAGAAATTCATATCTTATATGAATTATCCAGGTCGTATCCCCCGATAAATACTACGGACTCCTTAGGAGCAAAGATTGTGGTTTAGAGCACATCCAATACAATGGGTTGCCCAAAGCAAGCACCCAATAAATAGGAAACAAGGAAGACAGCCAAAGTAGAAGAGAACCAGTCCTTTCCTTCACTTACAAAGTTTAAGCAGCAGAATTTTAGTGTTGAAGGGAAGTATACATCATGCACCCTTTTTCAGAAAAACTGTCCTTTGAATCGTAAGTGGCTTCCATAGGTGTTGTGCGTGGGGTGAACTTCTGGCCTTGTACCAGGAAGAAGATATCATATGGAGATGACCCAGATGTGAAAGGTATCACGCTGCAATTCCACAGTTGTCCAGCACTGGGTGTGCAGAATTTCTCAAGAAACTCATCGATGTAGAATTTACGAATATCTCTGACTTGCTATATTTATCTACACCTCAGTTTCTGCATCCAGATTTTCTTTTTATTTTACTTTTATTATTGTAGGGACAGGGTCTCACTATGTTGCCCAGGCTGGTCTCAAACTCCTGGCCTCAGAGAATCCTCCTGCCTTGGCCTGTGTCCGGATTTTTAAAATAACAGTTGCAAGAAATTATAACAAACCAAGAGTCAGTTTATGACTTTAATCTTCCTCCCAAAATTCGGAAACATAATCAGAAGTCACAGGCAAGTTAAGACTATGCATCATCTTTGATGGTGTTTCCTATTTCCACTGGATGGAGAATCAAAAACAGGTTGGACTGACTTATAAGGAGGCACAATCCAGAATGCAAACCTCAAGCGCACTGACTGCTTGAAAAACTCTCCCATTTCACCTGCCCCCTAATTCTTTCTGTTCTTCATCCCGTTGGCCTACACTGCTCATTTTGCCCTTTGCATGTGTTGTACCATGTGTTGCTGTCTTCTGTTTTATATTTATGATCTGTTTTCTGAAATCTCCCAGGCTGCAGGTGTGTCATTCCTTACCTGGTCACTCTCTATGTCTGGTAGATAAGATAATTGATGCTCATTTTCCGGTGATGAGGACGATGATGATGACGATGATGGAAAATTATCTTGCAATGCCTGTTCTCCACTTCTTTACCTTCCTTCCACACTCACTACTTCAATGAAACTGCTCAAGACCTCCTGGATGCTGCAGCCAAATGTCACTTCTATCTTTCAGCAACATCTGACACTGTTGACAATTTCCTCCTTCTGGTCAGATCTGCCTCCCTTGGCTTCTCTGACTCTAAGTTTTCCAGGTCCTCCTATCCGTCTTGACTTTTAAATTCAATTACTTCTCAGGCATACCCATTTGAAAGGCTCCTCGTCACATTCATGATAAAATCTCAACTCCTTAATAGGGCTCACAAGTCGCTTTTTGATCAGGCCACTGTTTACCTTTTCAGTCTCATCTTTTATGTTATCCTTTTGTACCATAAGCTTCTGGCATTCTGAACTACTTCTGGGTCACCGGATATGCCATGCTCACCCCTGCTTCCAGTTATAACCCTTGCATTTTGCCAGCTTAATTCCCATTCATCCTTGCACTTCACTTCCTCTAAGGCCAAATGTGGACTAGTTGTCCTTTGTATATCTACCTTAAGGAGCCTGTACACCCCAATCAATGCATTATCAGTCTAGGTTTTAATAGTCTGTTTGCCTATCTCATGCTTGTCTTGTTCAGGGTTATATTCTAACAGCTCACTCATAGTAGGCATTTGATAAATATTAGCTGAATTACTTTATTCTGTCAAACTTCTTGCCACCATCTGAGTGAAGGAGTTAGGAAAAGTACATTAAAGTGTTTTTTTTTTTTTTAAACAACCAAAATAACTCCTCCTGAAATAGGAAAGATGAAATCTACTGCCTCTCTGTAACTCTCTGAAACTGATAATCTCAGGCGATAGTGCTAGTCCAAAGAACAGATACAGGATTTCATCCAAGTGCATGTCAATGACTTACCATCAGTGGAAGAAGCCTGAAGCTCTGGCTATTTTTGTTCCTTAAATTCCCTGTGTTCTGCTCCTGTACTTAAAGCCAGATGCAGAGGAATCCCAGGATTTAGAATCTCTCATGTTAGCTCTCTTGAGTGCAATGTGGGAAAGAGAATGAAAACTTCCACTGCTTAGAAGTCTGCAGAGCTCAGGGATAAAAATGAGCAGGAACTCAAGTCATGGTGTAAGGGTGAGAGTCTATGATCGGGCTTCTACTATATGGCTAAGAGAGGGCGTCCTTCATCTTCATCATGTTTTACCTGCAGTGGTTTTTGGCTTCAATTTAATAGCAATATTGTCTTTGGAGCCAGTTTCTTAAA
Source organism: Homo sapiens (assembly GCF_000001405.40). Lineage (NCBI taxonomy): Eukaryota > Metazoa > Chordata > Mammalia > Primates > Hominidae > Homo > Homo sapiens. Next base: position 55,296,618 of record NC_000018.10, read on the forward strand.
AATGATACGTTTCTTCTGTTATATGCCAGCCACATCAAAGAGGGCCACATCAGTGTGACTGCTCCTAAGGTGAAATAATCTGTGGTGTTTTCTAAAATGGTCTGAGGTGAACAAACCAGGTAAGAAAATGCTAAGATTTGCATTTCCTTGAAATGCAATGTTATTTTTGAGCTCCTAATTGAAAAAATTTAAACTGCATATAATTAAGTGTGGGGGAGTGCACCAAGGTGGCTCACATTTAGGCACATGGTAAACTGATTTGCCGTTGAACTAGAAGGCTAATATTAGGAATGGGTGAGCCAAGCCATGCTTTGTGTTTGTTCAATGTCTCATACTATTTTTCAAACGTCATGGGCTCAGCAAAACCCAAAACACATTTTCTCAGCACTTCTCTCTATTTTTCAACCCATATGTATTTCGAGAGAAGCTTAATTCATATGTTTCTGATTTCTTTACATGCAAGTCATCAGAATGTTGTTTTGTAGGAACTATTTGATGTCCAGAAAGCCTGTTGAGTCTTTTCTTTGAGGTTTTTTTTTTTTTTTTTTTTTTTATCCCTTAGGATCAGGAAGCCATGATTTCCAAATAGAAAAAAAAAAAAAAAGGAAAGAAAGAGTAAAAACACTCATCAGAATCCCCAATATTTTTTCCTCAAAGGTTCAAATTTTGTTTAACAGAGCGCATAGAGTCTGAGTATAATTCTTTCATTGGCAGGCTTGTATCATACTGTATTTTCCTGCTCCTCATTGACACTGCCTTTCTTGAAGTTAGTAATGTCTTCCTTGTGGATACAAAAGTACAAATTTGCAATGTATGAATAACAAGAATAGATCTTAAAGGGAGGTGGTGAGCTAGCTCTTCACACACTAAGTGAATGCATTCTGTAACGTGCTGTCAGGGCTGAGGGAGAGGGTCTGGGTATTAAGAGAGAGGAAAGTAGTTAGCTCCTCTCCAAGAGAGTCCTGTGAAAATAAGCACAATTTTTCACTCCATTAGGCATTGTGCTGGCATCCTCTTTCCTCAATTTATAACTGTAACTCTCTGATTCAAGTGTGGTCTGATGGTTGTTTGCGTGCATTACAAATTATAATATAATTTTATAAATATTTCTCCATTTGTGAATAACTACAAACAAAAAACAAAAACAACAAAAAAAGAAGCAAACAAAAAAAAAACTAGCAATTTTTAGGACTTCCAAGGACAGTTTGAGTATCCCTACATTGAAACTTTTGGCAAAAGTGGTATCCCTTTTTTAAAAAATAAGGTTTAAGACACTATATATTACATGTAGGAGGGCTTTTATCTTTTAACATCATTGATGTCTATCTAAATTTGATCATTTTAAAAGTTGTCTTGAATGTAGTAATATTTTAGAAGACTGAATCAGATTTTAATAGTAGTGGACAGTCTTTTTTTTAAAGGTGCTGTATATAAAAAAGATTGGCTCCTCTGCAAGCTTTCCTAAATTTCAATCTGCAAACCAAATTGATGTTGGGCACGAAGCATCCAGTCGGTATCTAACACTATCTCATGCCTCTGAAGTGTGTCTCTACAAATATAAACCCACATTTCCCAGCAGACTCTTTGTCCTCTGTGAGGGTAGCCAGATTAGGAATGCTGGTTCATCTGAGTGAGAACTGAAAGATTTCTACCTATGCTTCCTTTCAAGGCTGAGATATCTCTATTCCCTAAAACTCTTTTCCATTTTCCCATTTCAAAACCAGAATGGTGTTAGGGCTGAGAAGATTCAAAACAGTCTTCTCAAATCAAATATCTCTCCAGCACAGCTGCTGTTAAGTGACCCACCATGTTCGAAGACAGGCTCACAACCCATATACTACGGTTTTTTTGCTATGAGCCCCCAATACTATATATTTCAGGAAAGCAATGTTTTTAGAAAAAAACCCCAGCAAATTAAACTTCTCAGTATATCACTCTTCAAACGTAGCTAATAGTGGCATGAGCAGCAAACAGAAATGTTGTCTTAAGCTATCACACTGAATGATGATTTAAGGGTACATATGTGTGCATTAAATATCAGGCAAATAACCAAATAGCTACTACTAAAACATGTGACTAGAGCAAATCACTTAATTGCCAGTTGCTCTGAATTCAAACGTATCTCTGAAAACACTTATCCCATTGTATGAAGATTATGAAATAGCAAAATAAAATTGTCATCAAGACTGTTGAAAAAGTGATTATTTAATACACCAATCTCTACATCATAAGGAGAAAGTTGGAGCAAAGAAAAAAAAACTGTAGCCTCATGAAGATATACATTCAGTAACCATTATAAAGATACGGCCAATTTTCTCTCTAGAGTCGATCAGACAGACATTTCCCTACAATTTAGGTCAATAACTTAAGTTTTTTAGTTTCTACTACCTTTTGATAAAGATCAGCTCTAATATAAAGATAAATATGAAGAAGTATGTCAAGCAGTGTGATTAGGTTTCAATAGCTGGCCTTCAAAACTAAAAATTCATCTCACATTTAAAAAACTTTCTTGGCCAGGTGTGGTGGCTCACGCCTATAATCCCAGCACTTTGGGAGGCCGAGGTGGGCGGATCACTTGAGGTCAGGAGTTTGAAACCAGCCTGGCCAACATGGTGAAACCTCATCTCTACTAAAAATACAAAAAATTAGCCAGGTGTGGTGGTGGACACCTGTAATCCTAGCTACTTGGGAGGCTGAGACAGGAGAATCGCTTGAACCTGGGAGGTGGAGGTTGCAGTGAGTCGAGATCGCACCATTGCACTCCAACCTGGGCAACAGAGCGAGACTCCATCTCAAAGAAAAAAACAAGCTTTCTTGGGGGAGCATGTTTCTGCTTTTTTTTTTTTTTTTTTGGGTCTGGTTTGCTTGTTTTCAGTTTAAAAGAAGGAAGATGTTAATGGCAGCATTTACTCATGAGATACCACATTATTGTTTCAAATGGTATAAATTCCTAATTGTGAGTAATATTTTGAAATGCAATAGCCAAAGTGAAAAAAGTCAAAACCTCATGGGCTGCCCATCTTAGAACAGATTACCAGACAGGTAAATTTGAAAGCATTATAGAAAGATGTTACTTTGAAACAACAAAAAAAATGTTGCTGGGTAACATTCAAAGTGCCTATAATGTTCTTTTCTCCTCTTTGCCTCTCACCATTCCCCAATAGTAGACCCTCCCTTGGCATATTCACAGATGCAATCCCTGCTGAGCCACAGTAATGAGGAGTACCCCCTACCATCACAAATTTAGTAAGAGAGAAGTCACTGTGCATGGGAGATGAGTCTCCAACATCTTCCTTCTGAAGGGAAATGCTCATAGAGACACACATGCCTCACTTGCTTTTCCATCATCTTATGGCCTGGGATGTACAGAAAGATGGAACCCCAAAGAACTCCTATCCATTATCATCATCTTCCTGTCCCTATGCAGCAGATGCACAGATTCCAAGAGGTGTCTTAAATGAAATACACACACATACAGATATACACACACACACACACACACACACACCCCACATTAATCTCTATTGCTGCTATTTTTCAGCATCATTTCGATGTTTAACAATCTGAACTAACAGCCATTTTAAAACATGTCCCAAGCTTCTGGAGGGAATCTGCCCCCTATGCCAACCATTTGTTTCTTAACTGTGGTACACTTCCAACCATCTTGATGGACTGACCTGCTCTGGGACTGAACAGAAGAGTGGACAATTTTTTGTTTGTTTTAATTGAAGGTCCTTAATGTGGGCCACATGTTCCTGGCGGTCATTTGGAAGGCAGGGGCAGGGAATGCAAAGTGGCAGGGAGTTGGGGGTGGGGGAGGGGTAAGTGGGGGAGGGGCTGGATGATGAAAAGACCAGTTCCACAAGCGAAGCACATTAGCAACCCAGAGTGGAAAGGGCCGGAAGGAAAACCCACCCACCTCACCCCTGCGTTCATTCTATCAACCTGCAATTGCTGCAATCAAAACCATATGTCGGTTCTTCCAGATCTTTCTCACAGGACAAACATGCGAAGGGCCTCAGGCCTGGCGTTGCCATCAAATGGTAATTGATACCATATGAGCCACAAAATAGAAAAGCACATGCAAACAGCAACCACTCTCGCGGCACCCTCCTCCCTCCCACCTTCCAATCCCCTGCTTGGCCCCTTGAGAGGGATGAAATTGCAGGTCTTGCCGGGCTGCTAAGTGCACAGTGCACCATGAAAAACAAGTGTATGTGGCTCCAGTAACCACCTGTAAATCAGAGAGAAAGGAGGGTCCACTAGCCAAGAGCTCGTCCCAGAGAACAGGCGAAGGCAAAAGGTCACTCTGGGTTAATACAAGGTCATCGATCATGGGGGAAAATGAGCACAGGTGTGAAGCAGATCACAGGCCCAGAGCAGGGAATGACCCCCCTGGTCCCTCAGCACATCCGGCCTGGAGAAAGCTCGTTACCGCTAAGCCACATCTGTCTTCCTCCCCTCCCACCAGTGAGATAGTGGGAAAGTGGAAACCACTCCCCAATTACAAGGCAATTAGAAGAAAAGTGACCCCAATCCCGTATCTGCTGCTCTCCTTTTCTGAAGCCCTTTTGCATCCCATTGTTCTCACAGCAGAAAAAAAAGTCAAGAAAACCCGCTGAGCTGGGGGTTCTGCCAATTGCTGGTTGAATGTAATACAGTAGGTAAAATCCGTCTCTTATTTCCACCAACACTGACAGAAGTACAAGTAGCATACGGCTCTCGCCTCTGCATGTATATATTTTCTTATTAACTCGATCGGGCAGAAATTTGCAGAGATTTGTTTGGATTTAGAAGTCACAACAGAATGTCAGTTTCACAAACCAAGGCTCATTCTGTGGTGAAATGTACAGCTCTGGACCCAATCGTTCACCGCACACAGCTATTTGTTCCAATTCCTCCAGCAGCCGCTTCTGAACAAACAACTAACTTATTCTAAACACACGCAACGGCTCTAATTTTTCTTCCTTCCCCCTATCCCATTATATGTGATATTCTAGTCTTATAGATCTTATGAAGTTTAAATATTTTCCAGATGGGCCTAGGGAGCACAGAACCGTGTAAACACTTTAAATTATAAAAGGGCCAAGTAAACACTTAAAACAGAAGAGGATGATGATGAGATTCTTCTTTTGCAAACAGTAATCTAGTGAGCTAACACCAAAAACTGTAAAAAAAAAAAAAAAAAAAAAAAAGTGGGGGGGGATTCGGGTGGGGGAGAGTTATCAATTCCCTTTCTCCCCCTCCAAAACTCTTGGAAGATGAGCTGATTCATCCTCGTTTAGGTTGTATCTATTTATATCTTTTCTAAGTAAACCGTTTCTGAGAAAAAAAGATGATTTAAGCTCAATTTACAATTCAATACATCACAATGGTAAGAAACAAAACCGTGGTTGTAACCGAATGATAAATTCCACTGTCCTGCAGAGGGAAAATTAATAAGGCCTATTAACTCCGTCCGTTTGCCCTGATCCTCAGCAGTCCTCTATTCCTAAAAGTCTGGCCACAAAAGACCTGAACAAGGTGGCACTTGCCAAGGACCCTCGGCCACGAGGCAATCCAGGAACATTCGTAATGACAGTCAGCACCAATCCAAAAGAAAAGGACGTGAGCAGATGAAGGTGGTAAAGTAACCCGGGCAGAGCGAATTAAAATGAAAGTTCTGGTGAATGCCAGGGAAGACAGAAGTAGTGCAAAGCAAATGGGTAACATACAAGTCAAAGCAGCACAGTGCAGCCCAAGAGGTGTCAAGTCAGGCAGGCTCAGGATAGACCACTTTGGGGAGACTCTGACCTTACCTCTGCTTTCCCTTCGTGGTCCAGGCAACATAGCCCTGTATCTGAGCATCTGCATTGTTTAAATTTCATCCTGTGGTGTTGTTTGCTGATTGGTCAGACATGGCTGACAGCATCAGAACTTCAATCTGACACACAAGGAGCAAGCAGGACCACAGCCCAGAATTCATAATGGGAGGGAGAGAGGGAACTTCATGCTGGATATATGAAACTCAGACCCGCAGATGTCCGCTGTGAGGCCTGTGGCTGGCCTAGGGGTGGGAGGGCCTAGGATGAGACCGGGAGGAGGGCATGAAGAAGGGGAGGTGGGACAAGCCCAGCCACCCAAATGACCAGGCATGAGGCGTCCCCTGGATAAAGCTGCATCTGGAGCCCGTTTAGCAGCTTCCTTCTTGCCACTCCCAGTTCCTGTGACCTCCTGGGAATAGAGGAGGTCTCCTTCCCTGAATGCCTCTTTTACAGAATAAAAGTGGTGTTTTCAGTTTGGGGCAATGCATTTATTTCTCAAAATATCTGACATTTTCCCAAGTAGAGAGAAGCTACTAAAGAGAGCCCAGTTGTCAAAAGCATCCCATCCAGATTTCTCTTATGGTGAGGAATGGCCTCCAATTTAATGGACTTCCTTAACTCTTTGATAGCAGTAAAGCAAAAAAGTAAAGGAAGAGACAAAAAGGTTGAAGGTGTTTAAGACGTGGCAAGTAAACTTGCCATAGAAATAATGAAAACAGACAGAAAAGAAAGAAAATAGCTTGCAAGTGGGAGAGGAAAGAAGAACCTCCTTCTCTTCCTACTTCCAACCTGGCTCCCAGTACGTACACACACACACACACACACACACACACACACACACACACACCCCTACACACCTGACCCAGCTACTGGCAATGGGTGCAACTGAGTTTACCTGATGTAAAATGCAGGATCGCTTTCCCTCCTGAAAGTTTATATGTAGGATTATCACCTCCAATTAAGGGTCAGTGTTAGTCTATTTAAACTTTTGCCTTCGTGTCCCTACTACATAGAATCATGACTGCAACTCTAGGGAGGAATATCAGTCGAATATAAAAATCCAAGCAGACTTCCTAGGGCTCAGCAAAGAACATTACTTGCAATTTTTCTCTTTCCCAATTTCTCCTTTTCCAGAATTCTTTGTTAGAATTTTGGAGAAGGTATCATGGATTCTGTAATAATTACAGAAGAAGAAAAGATATAAGGTGAAGTAAGGACAACAGTGCAATAAAAAAAGATGGATAAAAGTGGCAGGATTTGAGGATAAAATAATGGCTGGAGAGATCAGGTTATTAAAACAAACAAGTGAAATGGACAGAAAAAAGGAAGAAGACCCTTTGGCTGAGGGGAAGGAAAAGGTTAACACGACATGAAAATCAAGATTTAATAAAAATTAATCCTTGAAAACACCATCACTGATTTAAAATCAATTTGAAATAGTGAAATAGCAAAGCAGGACAAAATAAATCCATCTGGTTTAAAATAAAAGAAAACCTCTACCACAACCTTCTCACCTCTTCACTTCCAAAAAAGAAAGAAAGAATCTCATTTTCCTTTCTACGGTGTAAACATTAGTTATATGGCCTAATTTTCTAAATAAAGCTGGAAAGACAAACCAGTGAAATCCAAAGAGTTAAGGAAAGGATATTAGCATAAAGGAAATATATATGAAAATTAGAGCAACAAAGCAGCAGGAGCAATAGATATAAGTAAAGCTAGAGGGTCAGTGTGAATGGCGGAAGTTGTGAATAGGAAAAGAAGCCCAGAAGGAAGGAAGTGGCCAAGGTGGTCTGCATTTCATTCAGTGAAGAAGACGGTATGAAAGAAACATACTAGGCAAGCATACAGAAATGACTGAACACCAGAAAACATAAACAAAAATATAGGAATTCGATGTGAGAGTAAGACAAATAAGCCTAATGTAACAGAGATCAAATAGACATTGGAAAAACAGAATGCAGTTTGTCAGAAGCATTTAAAAAGTGCCTTAAGATACATAGAATTATAAATACAGTTTTGCTAAAGGTATGCTAAACAGCACACCTTTACAACCACTATAGACTGAGGAGATTATATGAAAAACAATATCATGCATTTCTTGAATCTACTTCCTAATTAAAAAAAACTGTCCCAACTTCCAAGATCCATTTACGATTGCATGAGACAACAACGAACATATCACACGAGGGCAGAATTCCTTGTCAGGAATGAACCTAAGTAATGCAAATGGTAGTTTTTTGGGGCACATTTCATTATCCAAGACATTCAAGGTATTAAAGGAATATTCATGCAAGCACCTCACCCAAGACCAAAGGAAATCTTTGGTCCTTATTCAAAAGGTTCAATCTACTCATGAACTAGATATGGGAAGGATCAGTTGAGAAAATGTGATTTAAGAAGAGAGCATTTGTAGCATTAGCTCTGAAAGCCTGAACCGCCTTTCAAGCTCCTGGCCTAGTTTTTAACTCAGAAGAGGATCAACTTTGTTTCAATGATAAACCAATAATTGCATATTTGGTGGAAAAGTCTACAGCTCTGTCAAGCAGCAAAGGAAGCATGGTGACAGCAGTTTCAGGTGACGGGACACAATAAAAACAATGAGGAAAGAAAATGTTTGCTTTTTCTGTCAACTGAGATGTCAGTACCCATTAATAAATCTATCTGCTAAAGCTACTCTTATTCATGTGGGACATCACCAATTTGAAGTAAAATAAATTATCTTTAATTAAATGGAATTGTCGTCTTCCTCCCGCTATCATCCCCAATTATTACATCCTAATCAGCCTTTTAGGGAGAAGGCAAGAGAGAAGGCTGAAAGGCACATTGACTATAAACAATTTCTCTTTCTGTCAACTGGTAAAATTTTTAATTTTAATTATTGATTATAACTACAATTTTTCGATCTAAGTAATGAAAACCACAAAAATTCTGTCACTTACAGGGGGAACACTGTACATGGTCACTTCCAAATTTCCTTTAACTCTTTCTCTGTGAAAATTTCCAAAAACCAGAAGAAATCACTATGAACTAAGCAAATTATCTATTTAAACCTAATCTATTACTTTTATTTCCAGTACAAAAGTACCAGTTTCAATTAATACTCCAGAATGCACAGCACTAACTGAATGCCAGCTAGGATGTATGTTTTTGGTTGTTAAGCTTTCAAAAACTAGGATTACGGAATGGTATCAATTTATGTTTAGACAAGAATGGTATATACACTTTAAATATTAAGACATGTAACTGGATAAATGGAGGTGGGTGATCTTATTACCAATGCTTACGATTTCCTCTGCCCCAGTTTTCAGCTCCCCTAATTCTCTTTTTTTGTAACTTCACCCAAATTCTAACAAAAGCAATGTGTATTTTTAATCAAGTGATTCATATGAAATATATGCTATTATCAGTTTCCATACTGATAGGATAATGCCCTTCAAAATAAATGATGAAATCAATAAGTAAATGAAGTAGTGTGTCACTCCCACTCCAAAGATACAGAGGTGAACTATTTTCCCAAGAGTGACAAAGAATGAATTTAGGAGCAACTGGGCACACCTTCATTTACCGTGCCCCTTCCGACTCTACTCCCAACAACCAGGTTGGATTTTGTTTGCTTCACTTTTTGTTATAACTATAGACTTTGCAAGGGAGGGTGGGGAGTTTTCACCTTCCATGTAACAACAAAATCAACCACTGAAATTGGGAAGTGAATTATTAATTATTTGTTCTACATAGAAGATAAATGTATCTAGAATAAACAGGTAAGGGTGTTGACTGTTTTCTGACTGCTTAGTGTTACTTTTAAAAATGTAATTTTTTCAGGGTGTAGTACTGTTTTCATTTAGCATGCCTTTGAATTGCCGCCTACAGAAGTAAAAAAAGAAACCACAGCTATACAAGCCTGCTGACTTTCTTATAAAAGAACCAGTTTTTAACTTGTTTATACTACTGATTCCAAATGAATTCAAGATGGTGGCTAGTTAAAGAAAGCAAGCCCATGCCAGGGAGTTTGATCAAAGAACTTCAATTCAGCAATGTTCAGTTTTAATTGACCACTAATTAAGCTACATTAGTCCAAGAAAGGTCTGTATCACTTTGAGTAATAAAGAAAAGAATTAATTTAACCCTGTGTCAGTCAGCTTTAGTAAATTCATCTGAAAGCAACTTCTCAAACGACAGGCATGAAAGAGGTGTCTGGTGTTAAATGCCAAATGTGGTCTACAGAATTCAGAGAAGACCAGGAACTCCGTTTTCAAGGGTATTTGTTACTTTGCTAGTGATGTCACCTTGCAGGTATAATTATCTTCATTACAGATACAAAGATGTCAGCTTTACTCCCTGGGTTGCAAAGGGTTGCTTTAAAATTGGATTCAAAACATGGCATCATACCAGCCACAGTTTTAACTTTCCTGTATTCTAGACAAAAATAGAGTGGATTTGCAAAATCATGAGAATTTTCAAAGGCTTGGAACTCTCCTTCTGGGAAAAGTGAGTTGAAGACTGGGTGGGGGCAGGGGGAATAAAACAACTGCAATAACACCACCAAAAAAGCTCATTATAATTAGGAACCACAAGCTATGACAACCATGACAGCAGCATTCAAAGTCCATGTGTTAAAATAGTTCATTTCTGAAAATCCAGTTGCAAAATTTTTATTTTCCCACACATTGTACATCAAAATTTTTTTATCCACAATTCTGATTTAAAAAAAGGCTTTTAGGAAGAGGGAAAAAAATTATAAAGCAGCAACAAACTCCATTTCAGGATTTAACATCAAGATGTAAGATATAAGAAAACACTGCTTTAAAACTTGGGTGTTTATGACTGGTAAAGTCCTTCACCTTAACTCAGAGGTAAATGACCTATGGTCTTATGACAAATGTCAAATAGTAAAAATATGTTTACATTTTAAAAGTAAACCCAAACGTCAATGGTACGCTGGCTTCTATTTTATATTAATTACCTCTGCCCTCCAAGCCTGCATGAAGAGCATTGGCTGTTGTATCACTGAAAGCCATAAGGGTCAAATACTCTTGAAGAGGTGTACTCTGTGGCCTCAACACACATTATATTTCGTCTTAATAGTTTCTGGCAACCAAAGACTGCATTTTCTACAATAGTATTTAATAAATAACATTTTTAAATCATTCTGCCGGTACTCATTAAAATGCACTTGTTTGTGAAATGCAATAGTTAGCTCTATGAAACCAAAATATTAATGCAAATTGGAATTTCTAAGTTTAAAGTGGTATTTGCATAACAGGAACTAAACGTGGCACAAGCTGAAAGAGTGCACAGCACACAAATGCTTCTCAACACCATAATTATTACAAACAAAATGATGGCTTACATATACACCATTAGAAGCCCAAGGCATCTGCCAGTCTGTGTCACCATAGGCTTCCAGTGCTCCCAATGTCTAGACTGTAGCAACGAGAGGATGATGGGGAAAGCTCTGGAATTGTCTCACCTGTTAAAGTAGCACAGGTACAAGGCACCAACAATCTCATTCCCAGTGCTTAATAATAGCCTAGGGCTAGCCCATTCATCTGTTGCCACCTATGGTTATCACTGAAAAGTAATTAATATGATTTTGAGTGCATGTATGAATGAACATGGTCTTCAGCACTACCAACGCTAACTGGGCACATTTGTCCAACTCAGTGATGCAGGAAATGGAAAGATAGTATGGATGTAGGTATGTACTTACTTAAGTACTACTTAAGTGACACAACTTTATAACAACACAAAGTCAGGTTAGGGACTAAATGACTGCTAAGGACAAGATGGACAGACGTTTTCATTTACTATGAAAAATATTTGGATTATGTGAGTAAATACATATTTTTAAAAAATTTTAGATCCAAGGGGTATACGTGCTTGTTGTTACATGGAATATTGCATGCTGCTGGGGACTGGGCTTCTAATGTACCCATTACCCAAATGGTGAATATTGAACCCAATTTAACTTTTGATAAAATACTACTTTTTACTAAAACAGCAAGAGCAGAGGCATGAGCTCTGTAAAATTTGGCAGACACCAGCTCTCTCGGGAGCATTCTACCCAAAGGTCTTGTCTAACTGTATGTATGGACATATGCCCGTATGGTGGATGTGACACATTCATTAGGCTGCATAAACATTTCTTGGTTGTCTACAATATGCCAAAAGGTCTACAAAGATGCATTAAGACATGGTCCCTTCTGGAGGGTATCACTGGCTGGAAATTCAAGGTCCCCATTGTGTGCAGACAGGCAAAGGGCTGTATCCTTTGAAAAGTTTGTGTAACTCAAGCTCTAAATTTAAATTCAGTTGAGATAAGCATTCAGTAAAGTGCTACAAGGTAGCATTAAAATGTCAATTCTTACATCAGATATTTGACAATAAAGCTAAGAAAAATGTAAAAATATCCTATTGGAATATATAGCAGCAATGACTCTATTCTGTCATGACCCACATGATCTTCAGCAAGTTTTAATCCCTCAATGCTTCCATTTCCCAGGCCAGCACCTCCCCATGGAACTTTCTACAATGATACAAATATTCTGTATCTGTGCTAATACAGTAGCCACTGATCATATATGAAAACTCAGTAATTGAAACTTGGCTAGTGCAACCAAGGAAGTGATCTTTTTAAAGTTTTATTTAATTCTCATTGACTGACATCATTTATTTATTATTATTATTATTATCATTATTTTTAATTTTAGAGACAGGGTCTTGCTCTGCTGCCCAGGCTGGAGCACAGTGGCATGATCACAGCTTGCTGCAGCCTCAGCTTCCTGGGCTCAATGATCCTCCTGCCTCAATCTCCTAAGTAGCTGGGACTATAGATGAGCGCTACCATGCCTGGCTAATTTTTTTTTTTTTTTTAACTTTTTCTAGAGACAGGGTGTCCCAATGTTGATCATGTTGATCTTGAACTCCTGGGCTTAGGCAATCCTCCCGCTTCAGCTTCCCAAAGTGCTGGGATTACAGGCATAAGCCACTGTGCCTGGCCTTCATTTGAATGTTAATAGCCACATGGGGCCAGTGGCTACCTCACTGAACAGGCCAGGCTTTGCCTGTGAAATGGGATGATGACTCCTGCATCACCTATCTTACTGAGGTGCAGTAACGATCAAATTAGAACTGGGTTGAGAAAATGTCTGAAAGAACCGAAGCTTACAACTGTATTTTACTGGATATTAATTATTGCTACAATATTTTCTGTAAGCTTTATTTTAACTGTAAGCCACTTTCCTAATAATTAAAAGTCACAGTAAGATTGGTTTTATACTCCATAAATGTCTGAGTTAAATACCACACAGGCAAGCTTCCTGAAGCATATTCTAAAAACACTGTGTAAGCAAGTTATTGTTCTACAATTATTCAGAGGGACATATGGACTATAAGAGAAATACTGAGAGTGCAACACAGATAATCAATGATTGATCAAAAAAAGGTCAATACTCCCTCAAATAGTTTCACTTACAGGAAATTCATGATTTAAAAAAATTACCATCTTCCAGAAACAGAAATATTCAAATAAAAAAATTACCATAAAAATAGTAATCTTTATTACTTGTCTGGCACACAAAAAGAATGTTAAAATTTTCTTTTCAGTTGCTCACTTTGAGTACAGACAACGCTGTACAATAAAAGGTGGAAGACAGTTCAAAATAAATGCCAGTTTAGGGCAAACTTATAGATGGTTACAGATGTGATGTACAAAGTAAACCTAAACACATCAGTGTGATTTTACTAGAATGTGTTGTACCAAGCTGGACAGGGAAACAGGAAGAGTGAAGTGCAGGGTCTGAGAATGCCTGTGGGAAGGAATTGAAATTCCATTAGCTAATGGGCTAAGCAATAAATGAAAGCATATCTGTACACCAAAGATATACTGCAAATCAGAGCTGCCATTCCCGTGCCCAGCCTCCATATCTACTCTCATTAAACCTTGGAGAACTTTGTATATCATGGGGAGGAAATTGAAGAGTGGCTCAAGTTACTGTGAGGCTTGGCAACTAGCTCCAAAATGTGGCACCTAAGGAGTGAGGTCTAGAAGTTGGCAGATGTAAGACTCAGCCACCAGATCCTGCCACCTTCCTCCACAGGGTGCTACAGAAGGCAACTGAGGTTTCAAAATCACTTCCGTATCATGGCCAAGAATTATCCACATTGAGGAGAAGCGCAGCAGTGGCAGGGAGAGAGGTCCCCAGTTGTGAGGAGGTAAAGGAGTTGCATTATTGGGAAAGCTGGAAAGAACATCTTCAATGTTGGCTTTAAATTTTAATCTTTTCTTGATAACAGACGATATGATGTTATGATGTTAATGATGATGTAAACAATGTCCGTAATGCCAAAAAACTTAAAACATAATTATTAATTAGTTTCTTTATGCTAATTTCTTCTTTCCACTTTATGTCCTGTAGGGAAAAAATGGTAATACACTTCCTCATTTAGGATGATTCAAGACAAACCAATAGTTACACTGATAGAGGGTTCTAAACATTTTAAAAGGTAAGACAAATATATGTTTAGGGTATGCAGACATGTTGTGTTACTGACTCAACATATTCTAACAGCTGCTTTGAAGCCATTCCAGTTGGTTCACAAATAATGTACAATATTTAATACACTATAAAATCTCACGTTTTCATGGTAAAACGTAGAAATACCTGGGCAATGCTATAGTGTGCTATGCCAAAACAAACAAACAAAAAACAATGTTTTGGAAACAAAAGAAAAAAGGAAAGAAAAGAAAAGGAAAAGGGAAATAGAAAGGGAAAGAAAAAAAACAAAAAAATGTTATCCTCTATAAATGCCTCACAATGCCAAGATTTAATTATGGAACTTATTATGACATTATTTAATTCTTAAGGTCCAGATATATCACTTTGCAAGCAGGACTTCCCAACCTCAGCACTTCTGAGGGTCTGTCTTGCACGCTGTTAAGATGTTTAGTAGCATCCCTGGCCTCCAGCCCTAGATGCCAGTAGCAAGCTCCTGCCTGACCCCCACAGTTGTGACAATCAAAAGCGTTTCCAGATATTGCCGTATGTCCCCTGGGGAACACCCTGTTCTAAAGATATATGTTTGTAATCTTAGTCTGTCAGCAACAAATATCCACTTTGATTTTCTTAAATCTTCATATAAACAATGTCCATCTCGAGGAGTATCTTCTTTCAACTAAACAAGGAAATAGCCATTGACACCCATGATCACTTAGTATGTGATAGTCTGACTTTGTGATCTTATGGCCCTCCATAGTCTTAGCCTCTAACTTTGACACAGGTAATGTATGTTCACTCTGGAACTTTTAGAACCAACTCTATAGCAGTCTTGATTATGTGACAGCAAATATTTTATCATTTTCAACTAAATGTTCTGAACTACATGCAATAATCAAAATAATACTCTGCAGAAAAATTTCTGAGGAATAAACAAGTTTGAGTAATAAATAATTGGCATTATCTATTACTGTCTAGTTATGAAATCTATCCATCTATCTACCCACCCAACCATACTTTCTCCAATCCAGCCATACATTCATCATCATAAAACCTGTCATGCTTTCAATTCTGATTGAGTTACACAGGTAAAAAGCCTAGGACTGGCCAAAGAGTTTAATCTACATAGCTCCCTATTGGCAATGCATCTGTGAAGACACTGTTGTCTATACATAATTCCACATCAGGCCAGCCATATATTTTATATACTACATCATCTAACTCGAAACAGGAAAATATCTTAATGTATAAATGTGTTTAGGTTTTCTTAAATTGGTTACTTTGTTAAATAGGTAATCTATTGAGAGATGCAAGATTCTAATACGGATTATCCTGAAAAGGTAAACATTTAAACAGACCAACTGAACCCAGGAATCACCATCTAACTTTAAAACAGGTTAAATGGATCTTCAACATGAAGATTAAAAATGTATTAAAGATTCCAAAAACAAGTGCTAGCCTAAAGCTACTTAGCCATGATCTATTTGTCCTTTCTCATCTGTTTTTCCTTTTTCGTCATCTAAAGATAATGGAGGAAAAGCACCATAAAACCAAAACTTCCTTCATAAGAAACAATTCCGTATGGTTTTGCATTTTTCAATGTCATATCTGAAAGGTAAAGCAGCTTCTCTAGTCTAGAGGTTAGGATATCATAATGATTCATGTAAGTCATCTTTCTTGGGGTTAATTAAGGAAACTGAATCCTAAATGATTTTATCAGCAAAAGTGACACTGTAAAGTTGGGCCAAGAGGATCTGCTATTACAGGAATCCTTTAAAATGTAAACGCTTTTAACAATCATGCATCTATTTCTAGCAGTTTTAGCTCATTCCCTGGAAGCATGCAAGAGGTGTGCTGCACTTTGCAACCTCTGGGAAGTAGGATTACCAGATTCACATCAACACATCTAATTTTACAGTTACCTTATTTAAGTTTTTAATACGGCACAGGTCTTTTTCTCAGGTGTTAATAGAAAAATCAATTTTAAGTCACAACAGCTGTGATCATTTTAAATATCACAGCTGTCATGAGTTGAAAATAACCAATTTGAGCATACAAGTTTCTGCTGCAAATGTAAGAAAGTGGAAATGTGATGGAATTTTATCTTTTACTCCCTCTGAAGCTGAATGTCTAATACAATAGTAGAGTAATAACTTATTGGCTTTAAAATAAAATCAGGCTCCCATTTCTTTACTGACCTAGCAAACAGATGGCTCAAAAGAACAGAGAAGAACATCATTTTTAAGATACACTCCTATGGCAACTGTGGAACATGTTTAATTATGGAAGTATTAACTCAGGAAAGAGTGAGTTAAATAGTTGATATCAAAATTGAGAGTTCATTTATGTAAACATTTTGTTGTGAAGCCGGGGGGAGATTAAGTGGGATCCATGCTACATATTAAGTGTTATTAAAATCTAGGAATTTAAATTATTACACAGGACAAAGTCTAAACTGATATGAGAATAGTGTTAACTAGTATCTTGCAGAAAATAATGGCATTGTATCTATTTCTTTGCAAACTCAAACTAGCCACTGGATGGCATGAAATAAAAGTTCCTCTCCCTTCCCCTTCAATCCAAATTTAATGTCATTACGTTTCAAAGACTATAATGACATTCCTAAAGAACTCAAAATTTAAAAAAGAAAAGGAAAGGACAGGGAAGGCATTATTTATTCTACTGGCTGAAGAAAGTTTAGATTTCTCTGTGTGAAATGAATTACGGACAATGAACACCCAAGAAATTCTAGAATTATAATAACAAACAATTATTGCCACCTATGCTCCAGGGGAGAGCCGGGCTCAAGTGTCTGAGAAATGATATTGCATGATTAATACAAGGAAGAACTCAACCAGAAGAAAAGTATAATCTTATACCAAAGCCTTGGTAATGTTACACAACTTTTTCAAAATGTTTTCAAGGTCTCCTAACATCCTGGCTGATATATAAGTAGAAAATAAAAATTTAAAGTATTTTCATCCCAGATCTTCAATCCTACTTCAATGAGTTTGACATTTCCCTCCCCCCCTTACAAATTCACAGAGTAGAGATAAAACGTTGGCGATATTTGCAACTAAACAACTTGTATGAAAAAAGTTGACACCAATCCCCACCCCATTTGGCTTAGGGAAGCTTAGTGCAGCAGGTAGAGGGAAGCCCTAATATCCCATATTATTTGCATATTAATTTCAAAGCGACATGAAAAACACTGTAGTCTTTTAATCACATCAACACACAAAAAGGCACTACAAAGTGAAACTACACTTGTTACACATTTATCCCAACCCCCACATCACACAAAGGAAGCCTAAGAAAACAGCATCCATCCAGCTCCTTTAATGCTGAGCCTCCACTTCTGTAATAACAGGTGCAGAAATAATAATGTGCTGGCCAATCAACTTTTTCCTCTGATTTGTCAGTTTAGCTTAATAATGCCATTAGGAATGTAAACATTTCTGCAATTTATATTTAAAAGTCAATAAAATAATGGGGTGCAGAATTTATCCTTTTTAATTTTTTAAGTAATACATTTGATTATTTTAATCACATCAGTACTTAACTGGATAGGGTTTAAATACGCATGTAACATCAATTTAATTTGTTTTATTCGTTAGAAAAGCTATTGAGTCATACAGTATTTATTCTCCTTAAAAAAAAAAAAAGACCACACATTCTAGGAGAAAGGGAGTACAGGGCACTTGTATCTTGCTTCCCTTCTTGGAGATGGGATTCTGGTGCCTTCCAAATGTCTTTCAGTAGGAGCATTTTAAAATGGTAACCAAAGAGGTGAAGATCCAATACACACACTAGATGGCTGACAATAAAAAAAAGGAGTGTTTCCATACTGTGGATAAACTTTATTGGGCTACAGTAATAGGACTGTGGTTGGTAAATGCATCAACTATTTTTAAAATGGTGTGAGTTTTTCCCAACATAGCAATTCCCACTTAAACAGGATCATTATTGGTGCAGTCATTCAGTACTCTATAATTCTCACCCTTAGGTTTGTGGAGGTGAAAAAGCCAAGTCAAATGTTAGCCTCCATTGTTAACATCCCCTATTCATTTTCAGGACAGCTACAATGGAAGCAGCTGGAATTCAACTCTCCCCACTCTCTCCCACCAATTACCTCAACATGCCCTCTCTCAAGATGAGTGTAATTTGGTCTCTAGGAAAGCACAGAGCTAGGTCCCTGGAGGATGCCAGCCAAAGCCTGCATTTTTTTTGGTTGAGCCTGAAATTAGACCATCATCTACACTGTTCCCACCTCTGACTTCTCAGGTGTTCAAACCCACTCTTTAGCCCCCCTTTTTTAGGTGGGGAGAACGGAGTTTAAAGTAGTATACTCTCCTAAACAGAATGTTAGAGGCGTAGTGTCTCTTTTAAATCTTTTTGGATTAAATACCTCAATGAATATGTGCAGATTTCTTTAAGAAATTAGGAAGAATAGGAAGAAAACTAGGTAAACAGAAGCAACACAGCATTTAGAGACAGAAATATCAGAAATGTGAACTCTTAAATTCTAATCAGAATGTGGTACTGTGCCATAAATACATCTGCAAATAAAAGGTTGTAGTTTGGAACCAAGTCATGGATCTTTAGCACTGCAAAAAGGAAAGTCTCCAAAGTTTAAGTGGAGTTCATGTATAATTCTCAAACCACTTTCAAGCTCAAAACCAGTAAATTTCACCTTAAGTATTCTTCAGAAGAAAAAAATTGTTTTGCTTAATAAAATGCCATGGTATCTATATACCTAAAATGATATGATAATGTGCCAAATAGTTTATTACAGAATTTGAAATGTTATAAAGCCTACAACTATGGAC
The DNA here is from genome assembly GCF_000001405.40 of Homo sapiens. Lineage (NCBI taxonomy): Eukaryota > Metazoa > Chordata > Mammalia > Primates > Hominidae > Homo > Homo sapiens. The sequence goes on from NC_000018.10 coordinate 55,315,746, forward strand.
ATTTTCTGAAAATTCCAAGTATAACTTTCAGTAGATCACTTCACACTAAAGGAGACAATTTTATACAAGTATCTTTTCCACTTTTGTCACTACTGATCTCTTTTTCCTGGTATACAAACAACTGCTTTTTTTTTAGGACTATGATGATTTCCTAAATAGATTATAAATGTTTTATGAATATACAGATATCCCTTTTTTTTAAGTAATCAATAATGTTTATCATATACAACTTTAGCCTGTGTCATCTTAGAGTTATGTTTGAAGTATTAAGGGCTAATAAAGTGCAATTAAACATATAAAAACTTGAAAAAGCTTAAAACTAAAATTACTTTTAAACTATGTTGACTGTGAAAGATTATTTATTTTGTAACTCTGATAATATTGGAGGGGGAAAAAAGGCCCAGTAATCTTTTATGTGTCCGCATACTGAAATTCTCACAGGTACAAGGCATGCATTTAGGTCAGCTGTGCAGAGCAAATATATGTCTCCACTGTATTTTCTTCTTAAGGCAAAAGTAAATCTGAATTCTAACAACTTTTACAATTGCCAGAACCACATCTAAAATCTCTAAATTTTCTGAATGAGTAAACAAGAGATTCATTTAATAGATCCCTGATGGCAGCATGTAGACCATGTATTTGACCTACAATAGTGATTCTAAAGAACTTAGACTGCAGCATTGTTTTTCTTAGTGGCAGAGCAGTAATAGAAGTTTCAAGTAGGCTTGGAAACACACACATACAAAATTCATATAATGAAATATGACAGTGTCTAAAATCCAACTATGATCAAGCCATTAAAAGATAAGTTATAAAGGAAGACATCACTTATTCTCAAGCCTCCATCGTGGTACTACAATTTAGTAGAAACAAAACAACAACAAAAAAAGCCGAACAGGGGATGTAATGCAAACCACATTTATAGTGGAACAGGAAACAAATGATTCTTCAGCACAATTTCCTGTAGATCAGTTGGAAAGGTATTTAAAAGACTGCATCAACTATTAGATCTTTTTTCCTGACCACTTTTCTCCCCAACCCTCTTTCTCCTATGCCAATGTCCTTTCTCCTAATTCTGCCTGCAATAATGCCATCACCCAGCGACAGAAGGATGCTTTACCAACACTATATTTAAAATGCTTAGACCTAGCAGAAATTAGGAACTAGATAAAATTAACCAAAGATGTAACTGATCCATATTTTTTCCCTGAGAAATTAGCCTCACAGAAACGTTCAAACTGGTATCTGTGAATCTCATGCAGGGATTTTGAAAATTTAATCAGAGGCAGGAAGGCAAGATGTAGCCACAATGTCAAGATTAAGTGTCTGGTGAATTTTTATCAGCTTAAACATAAAGAACAAAATCAACATAATTTTGTTTTAAAGTAATGAAGCATAAAAAAAAATTTCATTGTTATTTTTAAATGGGTAAATTAAAGTGCCAACTATATTTAAAAAATAAGCTCACAAAAAAGCAGTTTTTCCTACATGCTTTCTCTTTGATATGTTTTATTTTATTGAACCAGTGGGGAATTTAAAAATTTGATTACTTTGTGGCCTAAGCAAATTTTTGCTGTGTAATAGCAAGTAAACAGCAATTAAAAAAAATAAAAGCATTTATACTGGCTGCTTTCATTTATAATCATGGTTCTGAAAATAGTAAGTATAAGAAATATATTTTTAAAATGCCAAATGTAATTTGCATAGTTGACACTCTACTGGAAACTTTAAAACCCAGTGGCTACCTATGTCCTATGTGTGGCTGTTCCAACCAACTGTGAGGTTTGGGGGGAAAAAAAAGAGCCATATGTAAAATGTACTGAAAAATGTTATTAGTGGCGTCATTTAAATATTGATCTTTTTATCTTAGCACTTCCTGTGATAAATGAGAAAAAGCTACACTCTTCATACCCCAATTTTCAGCTTTAAAAAATTTAGGTTGCTGACTGATATTGTCACTTATTTACAGGAAAACTTTCTTCTAAGAATAGAGAGTTTCCCAATTGAGAGATTCTGATATTCAAATATTCCTAATTTTTCACCTTAAGCAGGACTCGTAACATTATTTTATTCTTTGGCCTTGATATCAGAAATAATTAACATCCAGTTTCATCTCTGAACTTTATGGACTTGAAAAGCTGCATAATATGACCAACAGTCAGAATATAAACATAAAAAGCTCATTACCATTTACTTTCCGAGATTTGATGATTTGACAAATAACTATTTCAAAACAACTACTTTGAAACATGGTTTGAAGCTTGTTAGTATAAAGCAAAAAGAGCAATTACAATAATTACAGGTTTCTCTCTACGGTTTAACACATGCACATGCTGGCGAGAGCTGATGATGTGATCTTCAATTACCATTACGAGGACATTTCGCCACTTTTGTTTTCAGTTTTATTTGCCATAATTTTATCTTCGTGGATATGCTATAATATTAGATATGTGAAATTTGACCAAATAATCACTTATTAAAATTCTTCTTCAATGAACATGCAAGAAGCCATAAAGATCAAAATTTAGAGCTAGAACTACACTTATTGGAGAGCAGGTAATGCCTAATACTTCTTATAGCCTTAATAAGGACAGACACATTGGCACACTTTGATACAAGCTTGTATTTCCAACACAAAATAAGCTACTGATTTTCTCTGCAAAAAAAAATCTGTTTCGTAGTTCAGAAGTGGTGCTTTAATTTTTTTTAAGCTTAGATTTGGATCCGTTAGTATTTAAACCTCTAATGCATAGAGGAAAAAAAAATCACAAAAATTATTTTATCAAGTTCATGAAACTCTCACCTGAGGAGAAACTGATTTTTAAAAATACATTCTGGTTTATATCCAAAATTTATTCTTTGATAGCTCTTGTGTTACGATTTTTTGTTAAGTATTTTTTTCAGAGTCCACACTTCTGGACAGGTACAGTTGTTCACAGAAACAAGGAAAAATTTTTTTGTGGGATATGGACATGGAAACACTTCATAACTTAAGGTAGTAAAAAAATTCACGTTTTTTTCGTTTGTCCTAAAATATCATTGATTATATTTCTGCTAGAAAGTTAGAGGACAACTGATTTTACAAACCCTATAGTTGCCAGTTCATAAAAGAAGAAACCATAATTCTTGTAATGCTTAATTATATTCTTCCCACAAGCTAAAATCACTGTGTTTTGGAATGATTTTCCATTTTTCTTCTTTTGTTTATTCACAGGGAAAACCTGCTTCCTCTGGCCTCTCTCAGTTCAGGGAGTTCAAACTGAATTTAAACAAGTAATTGACTTGTCACTGGGAAAAAAGAAGGAATTCAGTGCTGTGTTCTCTTCAGAGGAAAACTTGTGCAACAAATAGCTGACCACACTTAACTTCAACAATTCAGGTTCAAACACACATTGGTTAGACATGCACATACACACAAAAAAGCATAGATATTCAACCTCCAAACGATAAGTAAAACTCAAGAAATGTAAAGTCTCTTCGATAGGCATTTTGAACAATTAACGCATGGTATATACAATCTCCACAACATGTCTGGCACCAAATCAAAAGCCACTCAATGCAGAATTAGAGCCAGCAGAATACACACTGTAGAATAAACAAAAATCTGCTTCCTCAGTGTATGCATGAGGGCATTTTAAAAAATGGTATAGAATTGGCCCCTTCCTTGGGACACACACAACTGGACTTTGCTGTCTGTTTCATAAAGCTAAGATGGACAACTGGTAGCCATCCGCAGTTTCAAAAGCTTTCTGCTGGTGTTCCAAATGGCTATTTTTTTTCTAACTATAATGTGTGTACAATTTGCCTCTTTCTAGTGTTTGAATCAATAGAGATACACATCACCAGATTTGTTTTTAATAAACGCCTTAAAACAGTTCCTATAAATACATTTCCTGTGACAGAGCGATCTTGATTTTATGAGTACCATCCTCTCAAAAAAAAAAAAAATCTAACAACCAAAATATTTGGCAACTGAGAGGGCATATTAGTGATATGATGTCATATTCAGCATTTTCTTACGGTGGAGGCAACTGGCAAGCTGTGGGAATGGAATACATATTTTTGAAAATTCCTTTTGGCCAAAAGGGAGTTAAAAGGTACAAAACTTAAATTAAAATTTTGTCAGTTCAGATATTTAAGATGCAAAATTAACAATTAACATGTAAAAGTCACATCATTGGTAATCCTGAAAGATAAAAACCATGGAAACTTATATTCTTTTATAATGTAAGTCTTTCATTACGGATAAGGGCTATCTAATCCCTGAATCTGCTTCAGAGACACTTTTGCTTACTGACTACGATGGCATCATTCACAAAATTTTCATTAAAAGTGCTTTAAAATGAAAGGTGCTGAATAAGTTATGTATGAGAACATCTAAAAGATAATAGGCAAAAGTCTTATCTATATATGAGTAACTACCAATTGCAAATCATGTACTTGTTAAAAAAAAAAAAAGATGTTACATAATCCCAATATTTATGTTTACAGATTTAAACACTTTGATCAAATCACAACGAAAACCATTTGTTTTAAAATTATATTTCCCTTACCACACTTAACTATTTTAATTACACCGTGCTCTTTTTTAAAAAAGATAAAAATAGGATAGCGCTATGAACTTTTGATGATTTACTCGTACTTTTCAAAATAAAAGTAAACGATATTATTTCAAGTTGCCCATTCATAAAACTGGCTTCTTAAATGAAATTATTAATCTTCTGAAACTGCACCTTCAAACAGTTGTGTATATGTATGTATTACAGAATATGCTCATCTAGAAATAACCGTTATGCATGCATCTGTATGTATATACACTCACAGGCATATAGCAGCACATACACATGTTTAATTCGTTTGCGCCAATTGCTACAGCTGAACTGGGCCTTCCTGAAAGCTCTGATCTGTCCCCTTTGGCCCAACTATCCCTGATTAAGATCAATCCAAATGGAAGTTCAAAGTACACAAAGAGAACAGTTTATAAATGGCTGCTTTTCACTTTTCTCTCATTCTTCTTTTCTATTTTAAAACAATAAATTTTTGCTCCTCTATCACCCAACAACTCTTCCCGAGAGCCCCACATACCGATTTGAAAATATTGAAATCCTTTTCCTTCAGTGGGCCCAGACGAAGGAAAAAAAAAATAAACCTCCAGATGGCAAGTATAAACCTTCTGCTGGGGTTATGCACAAAATACCAGACACATTTTTTTCTTAAATAAAGCGTTTCTGTTGGAAGGGGGGGAAATTGAGGGAAGAAGCCACACAGCACAAATAACTTATGACAATACTGTTATATGCATGAATGAACCCGTTTGTTTTTCCTTCCCCATTTTGGCTTTAAATATATATCTAAGCTTATATAATCTACTCCTTAATTTGATCTCTCAGTTTTATGTGTTTGCTCTATTTTAACCTTTCAGGTTCTCTCCACTCTATCCACTGCACTCAAGCTTCCAACTTAGTAAGACTTTAGATATCACAAAACCTCAATCCAGGGAGAAACTTACCCCAAATTTCCTCTCAGCCTAACTTGGGCTTTCTCAATTCTGCTTCTCATATCTGCTTTTCCTTTCTAACAGTCATTTGGAAGGAATAAGAATTTTCCAAAACTCTTTAAAAAAAAAAAATCATACCACCTCTCAACTTTACCTGACTGCAAACTTTCGCTCTAGGATCCACTCTCTAAAGCTCTGAAAGCATCTATTTTTCTACTCTGGGGGAGGAGTGGGGGGAAAAAAAGACGAAGGAGAAGAAGTAGGCAAGAAGAAGATCTTAGGATTGGCAAATGATAAATATTTCATGGCACCCAGGAAGGTGCGGCAGTCCTGCACAACTTTGCAAACAATGATCACCACCTAGGATGCTCATCCCTGCGACAATAAAACTTGTCAAAAATCCCCCTCGCAGCCCGCATTCGCTTACCGCTTTCCCATTATAGTAGTACATCAAAGAGTTGCCGCCCATGCCCGGGATTGTGTATGCGCAGTACATGGTCTCGGATTCTTTTTTCTCCTCAGTACCACTCTAACAACTTTTATTTCAAACTCGCTGTCCCTTTTTTCACAACAATTCCTTCAGTTGCATTTTCCCATATGGCCGGGCCAAGCGTGGTGAATATGCAAAGCAGGAAGAGACCATTCCTGGCGGGCGGGGGAGGCCGCGGCGCTGCTGTCAGACGCTCAACTTTGCGCAGCGGAGCTGGAAGGCAGCCCGGCCCTGATGGAGCTCGAAATCCTAATGCATACGCGAGATCGATTCAACTTTTCCGAGGGGTTTTTATTAGTTCCTCGAATAATGCCGATTCTTACAAATTTCTGCAGTCTTCACTTTTTTCTTTTTCTTTTCTTTTTTTTTTTCCTTTTTTTTTTTTTTTTTGTTTTGTTTTGTTCTAGGCACCCTTTTCTTCTCTAAAATTTCCACTCAACTGCCTTAGGGTAAAAGTGGAACAGGGTCCATTATTGAGCAGAATACAAATGCAGTTAATTGACTCCCCCTCTCTCTCTCTCCCTCTCTTTCTTTTTTGTTTTAATTTGATTAAAAAGCGAGTGGCAGGAAGGGAATCGTATGATGCACATCTAATAACTCTGCCATCTGTCTCTGCTGCTGGCTAGCTCCCAGCATTGTACGCAGCTGCCTGAGAACTCGACTCGGAGAAAGGGGAGGGAAAGGGGAGGGAAGAAAAAAAAAAAAAAAAAAAAAAAAACACCACGTCTCTGACCTCGCTCAAAAGGAGAGAGGGGGCAGTGTTTTCTGACTGCTTGGTCAACAACCTACAAAACGGGGTTGCGGAATGAAACAGAGTAGCAGTGCGGCCCGCCCCGGGCTCCGCGGGCCCCGGCCTCCCCGGAGCTGGTGGGAAGCGCGGCCGCCCATGAACTTCACCTCGCCCCGCCGCAGACAGCCGCATGGGCCCAGAGCCTACGGAGGGGCTGGGGCGCTGCTCCCCTCGCTGGCGCTGGGCGCCCCAAGGGCGCACGTTCTCCACTCTGGAGTTGGGTGCTTTCACTGTAGCTTTAGACAATCTACTGCAACTTCACGCTATTTGCTGGGCTCTAAAGCAAGTTTATTGGTACCTTCGAACCGACGAATATCTTACAGCTGTCAGTTTCCCCAAAGGCACCCCTGAGACCACATTTTCAGAGTTTTGCAGCATCCCCGCAGCCCAGTATCTGTATAAATATTTTAGCAAACATCTCATGCACATTTTTACTAAACTTCGATTTTGCTAAACTTTAAGAACGTGAAAACCTTTGTTCACCTTTATTGATCACAACTGAACAATAGAATCCTTATAGATGGCAAGGTTTCTCACAAGCAAGTTGATATATTTATTTATTGTCTTTTAAAAATATTATACCAATCAACAAAAAGGCGGGGGGAGGTACAAAAAAAGGAAAGAAAGAAAGGGAGGGATGTGGGGAGAGGAGATGGGCTGACTTGAGCTTGCCAAATTCAGAGCATCACAGGAAAGGAGGGCCTCTGGGAATTGATCCCAAATGAAACTAAATCATTTGCATATGCCGAAGCAAATGCCACCCGAGCATACATCTATTCTCAAGAATCAACTTTAATAATTCAAAGCACCTATTTCCTTACAACTCAATATGCTAACAAAACACATACAGTATTAATAAACAAGGAGGAATAGTGGTGTTGGTTCCGAGGAGCAAAGCCCGGGCTAATGGTGGAAAGTTTCCCCACTCTCTAAAATAAACACACACACACCGCACATCCACACACACGTATCGAAGGCCCAGAGGTTTGTCTAACTCACTTGCTCTGCATTTATTCGGAAGGTCCCCAGAGGTTTGTGTAAACAGTACTTGAATTATAATCACACATTTCATTCAAATTTCATGCTTTGAGGATTTTTTCCTCATTAGAACAGTTAGTTGTCAATCTGACAGGATCACATTTGTAACCTTTAAACCACCCTCACTGCTTAATACACAAGGCCAGGGTACCCACCTACCAGAGGACAGTATGTAAAAACCACCACTTAGAAAAGAGGCTGGAATTTAAAGAGATAAGTTGGGGAGTTTCCTGGTTGTTGTTTCTTTGTTGTTTCTTCCCTTATTGAGAAGGCTTTTCTAGATCCTAACTTTCCATGGGTAGACTGCTAGAAAGATCTCTAAACTCTTTTGATAAACAATCATTCTGCTTCATCTACGTTAAATACCTTTTCTTACCTATTTTGCAAACATATAAATGCCTTCCTATTAATTATGTAAATATAAACCAAATTGTCATGGCTTAATGAGCTACAATTCCTATTTTTAAAATTGAAGCTCTCATTTCTTTTAATATATTGTTAACATGTGCATAAATAAATATTTTTAATCTGATGAGGTGAAATCGATTTTTAAACCCTGACAATTCAGCACATAAGACTGAAAAAATTAAAATGAGACTAGAACATTAAGCTTCTGGGCTTCATTGCCTAATGGAAACGAGTCTAAGATTTCAAAAGCACAAATTTACAATGATTAATAAAGATATAATGCTTTGAAAGGTGATCTACGAATTATAGCCAGTGAGACACTGAACGTATTATCATCCAGTGATGTTTGGTTTTGGTTTGCTGACCTTGGAGTACATTTCAATCACAGAACTCAAGTCAGTGGCTTGTCAACTGAGACATTTCTGCGATCTCAGCCTTTGAAGTTTTCTTTGTGACAGAAATATCATCCATGATAAATTTTTAGTGTGATGCGTGGGGAGTTAGAACAGAAGTATAAGAACAACTGAAGCTATATGCATAAATCCATGTGTTTCAGAATAATTTTAAAGAAGTCTTAATCTTAAGCAGCCAATTTTTACAGGACCCTGAACTAGTCTACTGCTTGTTTCACAGACACAGTTTTCACAGTAGTGTATAACTGGACAAGTTACCTTGCCAGCAGTAGGTAACTTGGTTACCTACTTGGTACCACCCCCACCCCCCATGCCCAGCCTTGTTATCGCTGAAATGATGGGGAATGATGGTTAGCCACACTATACAGAAAGCCACCATCCCTCTCTGGTGCTTAGACAAAGCACTATTGAGGACACTGGGGGTAGGCAATGAACCCAGTTGTCTTTTTCTGCCACTTTTGGGGAAAAAAATTCTTACCAGCAAACTGTCTAGAAGTGTTGACCACTTAAATGAAACCCACACGATTCTTATTTTCTTCTAGAATCTAAAGTTTACAGTTCTTTTGTAATTTTCCAAAAAGTCTTTGACAGATATATTTGAGGTGAAGCAGAACTGACAACACACACATACATTTGTTATAAGAAACTGGGAAATATTTGACCTAAAACCCCCAATGCATTGGCATAGTATTACCTACAAGGTAGATGTTCAATAAAAACTTGCCGAATGAATGAATAACTGCATTAAAGAATAAGTAAATATTCAGAATCTACATCACTTGAATGAAGAGCTATATTCAACCATTTCATGAACAATTATTTAGTGATTCCCAACTTTGGGTTAAGCTCCATTTGGGGACATGCACAGGGTTCACAGACATGTCAATTTTCTTCCTGAGAAAATTGAGAAAAGAGAGAAAATATGACTAAAGAATAATGCTTTAATTGTGAAGGCAATCGCACATACATTAAACAATTAGATAACAAACTATTACAGGGTAAAGAGCTGAACTATCCACTCGACCACAGAGCTCATTAGAGTAGATTCTACCTTTATTTCTGAATAATGATAATATTACATGGTTACTGCAAAGTGCAAATAAACCTAATGAACATCTACACACACACAAACTGCCCTGCATATTGCAGTGTAAGGCAGGCAACTCAACAAATAGAAGCTGAATAAATGAATGAATGAAGAATGGTCATATGGAAGGAATTCCCATTTTTCTCCTCCCGAATATAACTTGGTAGAATTTGAACAACTCCATGTTTCTGTTTAAGTCACTGAACACGGAAAGTTGTTTTTTGTTGTTGTTGTTTTGTTGTTGTTGTCTTTCTTTTTTTCAGTATAAGACATTGCTTATTTCTACAATGCTGACCTCTTTTGCCTAGCATGGCTGAATTAGCTAAACATCATATCCTAAGGAAAATAGTGATATTCATTAATATACAATGATTACATAACATAGTGTGAACAAGCCAGCCTATAAATTAAATAACCACCTCAGGTAAACATCTACCCATCAAAAAGATATTTGCTAATAAAACGACACTTAATACATGCACAGTACAGTGACACACAATTTAAAGAACATATAATAATTGCCTTCACTTATTTAATCTCCATAACTAGTACTCTGTGGCAGGTATTATCATTCCCACTTTAAAGACAAAGAATTAAGGCTCAAAGATCCTTAGATGACATTTTATAGATCAAAAGCTACTAAGACACTGGAATCAGGGTGTGAGCAAAGTTATTAAATCAGAGCACTTAAACTTGAGGGTCAGACACATCTTGATGAGTAACCTTGCTGCTCCCCAGCAGTGTGACTCTGGCCAAGCTGTATCACAGGTTTGAGTGTTAGTTCCTTCATCTAGTTAATACACAGCTTCTTTTGAGGCTTAAATGAGAGGACACCTAGTTCAGAGAATCAGCAGCATGTTATAAAGGAGAGTGCATTTCCTTGTGTCTCCTCTGCTGTTTCCTCTATGCAAGAGTGCCTTAAAGAGCAGCAGCAAAAAAAAAAAAAAAAAAAAAAAAAAAAAATCTCCACCTAAAATAGACTTAGGTGAAGTCTGCTAAAATGGAAAAAAGAATTATAAAAATACAGCACCATGCTAAACTCTTCCCAATGGAGCAAAGATATTCAATCACAAATCTTTTTGGAGCACCAAACACGACTGGCCTGAGAATTATGTATGTACTTAAAAATATAATTTCTGCTGATGTGTTAGTACTCAAATCTATGTTCTCATCTTTAAACTTAGAGGAATAGTAAATGTTGCCAAGCCAAGGAATAGGAGGTTACCCTTGTCCATTGAAAAAAGGAGTATAGTTTATTTAGAAGCTAAACTAATTGGTATTTTTTGCTCTCCAGCAGGAGTCACTCCTAACAAAAAATTTAATTCATAAGCTAAATTAAGGCTGATGTTTAGTTAGTAGATGCATATATATGGAATGTTATAAAAAATTGTAATAAATGGTGATAGCTTAGACCCAACAAAGGATCCATGTGTCATATTCAACTTAAAACTGCAATGACAAAAATCCCTAATAGGTATGAGTACAACTTCATAAAAGATCTAATTACTAACAGGAGGACGCAGACAGACAGACACACACACACAGAATTTATTCTGATGACAATAACTTGAGACAGCCTTGCAATTTAATAATGAACACCAACAAACCTCTTACGTGTATATTCCCATATTTCTTTGTATTGAAATCTTAAGACTATGAAATAACTGTTTTCTTATTAAGCAATTAAGATTTTTACTTTTTCAATTGGGATCCTAATTATTTTAAATTTTTTTTCAATATACACACGTATCTGGAGAAAATATTTATCTCAGATAAACACACTTATCGGATAAGTAGAAAATATACTTATCTGAAGTAAATCCATATTACACCAAGAAGTCAGATAAAGCACAAATCATCTCAATCTTTTTAGTGGCATGAACTTATTTTCTTGGCATCATTTAGATATTCTCAGGTAAAATACTTTTAACTATTTACATGGTTCAAATATGGACACATTTAGTTTGGAAGATGCTTTTATCACAGAAAAGTATCAAAATATCAGCGTAAACTGTGAAATCTAATTTTATTTGTGTCTTTTTTAGTGACTTCCTATGTTATCTTGAATTGGTTATTTTTATATGGCCTGGGTTCATATGTAGACATTCAAATGGTTTATCACATGATCAAATATTTATTTTCTGAGTGACTGGTCAGATAGCTTGTATTCATATTGATTATAAAGTAATTCACATTGATTACTAAGGTAAGCAATGGGTTGTTTTTTAACTAGATTTTTGATCCATAAGTAAATATTTGACTTCTACCTTTCTGTGGCACTATTTCCCTTTAGAAGAAAGAAGAGACTTCTCATTTTGCTTTATGTGGCATTATAAAAACTCACACAGACATATATGGTTTGGAGAGACAGCAGCATGCAAAATAGATGCAAAAACCAGATTCTCAAATTTCAGTATACAGTGAAATCTGATCAGATTCATTTCCCCACTTTTCCACATATTTTCATGTCTGAGGTAAAGAATTCAATGAGTATGCCATTATCTACATGAACATAACATCTTCTAGGAAATTCAACAAACCAGAGATACAAAATGGCATCACCCTGCAAACAAGGTAAAATGTAGCTAATAGCATTATGTGATATGGCAAAGTGTAATACCAAGTAGCAAGACCAGAATATATAGATTTTTAGGTTTAATTACACTGGAACCTACACATTTGACTCAAAGTGAAATTCACTTCTTCCTTCCTCAATTTTTTGCAAAGTAACTGCAAAAGTCATAAATTTACTACTAAATCTCTCAAATATTAAATGAAATTAGGCAAACATAGTGCAATTGACACATCTGAAGACTAGATGTGATTTTTATTTAAGGAGAAAAGACTTCATTATGCCTCTTATTTTTCCCCAGGCCGTCAATCTTTTTCCCTTGGGATAAGTGGAATGTTCTTAAAAAAAAAAAAATAACAAACCCTTATCCTAACCCAGTGTAATCCATAGCCAGTCTCCAAGTTTGATACAAAAACAAACCATTTCTATTTTGGTACAATGAGGAAGCATCACACTGGACAATGTAAAAACAGAGATGGAGGAAGTTGACTCAGATTGCTGCACTTCCTAGATGAAGCTGGTTAGCGAGCTTACCACAATCACCTGAGTCAAATGAAATTCGAGGACAATTGTTTTTTTCCCTCAAAATGGTACACGTGTAAATGAATTCCCAAAAAGTTAGAGGGGAAATCCTGGTTATGTTTATTTGTCTGGATGAAGGATGATAGTTGAGAAACTTTTAACAAAAAATGGATGGATGAAGCTGACTGGAATCTCAGCACAGGATGTTCTCAATTTTAAAAAATTTGTGAATAAATATCAGGCTTCCCAATGCATTGCTCGATAATCAGAGGGGAAATGTGATTATTACAATGAAAATGGTTTTCATTCTAAATGAACTAATTATCTAGGGTTTATTAACCCTCTTTGGGGGTGAAGATTCTAGCAATTTCCTGAGGTTTCTAACTGTTGATTACCTTTGTTCTTTCACATCATGGAGCAATAGGACAACTTGCTAGGCAGAGAACAAACAATTGTCAAATACTTTAAATGGCCACCTCTGACAAACGGAATGAAAAGAGTAGGTATAAAGGAAAAACAAAACATAAATTTTAAAATGCAAGTGAATGACCATACAGTGAGAGCATCCAACGTACATCCATCACTGAAGTGCCTTTTCAAGTTCGTGTTTAGCAGATCTAAGTTCCCTCAAGGCCAATCGATAGCCTAAAGCTTAAGCAGGTCATTGGTCCATTCCTAATCTAAATATGGTGTTCTTTAACTCAAAATAAACTTGAATTTTAACGACTGAGTTTTCAAAATAAGCACTCTCTTCATTCTGTTAATCAAAAGCACTTATATACCCACCCCACACATAAACACAGACACGACCAGGAAGGAACAGGTGAGACAAGTTTTGCATCATCTTCTATTAAAAGACAACAACTTAGAGTAAATCCCACGAGTAATCTAAAAGACTTTTTTTAAAGAGATAATGTGCAATTTTAAAAAATTCTGGGTTTTCATTAAATAACAGTGAAAGAAATTCATAAACTTTTATTGAGCATAAACAGTACTAAAATAAGAATGATTTGGGAAAAAAATTGATATTGATAAATTTTGGCTTTTAACATTAACCCAGCTGAATCAGGTATGGGTGATGAGTGAGAAAAAGTACTGTGGCAGTATTGGTCTTATTTCCTTCATTTATGGTTGGGCCAAAAATTGATGTAAAAGTCATCAACTAGCTTTACTGACAGCAATGCCAAAGGCCAAATTATGGTGCTTACCAACCAAAGACATGAAAATTGTCTCTATTTGTTTGACAGGGGTATTTGTTTTCAACAATGTCAGCACTTTGACCTCTTCAGGCATGATTATCAAATGCATTTTGAACATAAAACAACTTTAGCATTTCTAAATATGAGTCAAAAGGACAAACAGGTCAACTCTCACCCTTCCCTCTAGTTGAAGATATCCCTTACTGCCGAGTGGGTTGTGTTCTCTAACATCTGTTCAAGAACTGAATGCCACATTCTTTATGGGGTCTGGACCTGTATCTACTTAGTACCATCATATAGTAACTGTGTTGTGTGCAAGGAAATGGTACAGAACATATGATAAAGACAAGAGTTCCTCAAGATATACCAATTTTGTACATGGGCTGTGACCTTCAAACTTGCCAGCAATGTTGGATTTTTTTTTTTTTTTTTTTTTTTGAGATGTAGTCTCACTCTGTTGCCAGGCTGGAGTGCAGTGGCACGATCTCGGCTCACTGCAACCTCTACCTCCCGGGTTCAAGCAATTATCCTGCCTCAGCTCCTGAGTAGCTAGGAGTACAGGTGTGTGCCACCATGCCCAGATAGTTTTTGTATTTTTAGTAGAGATGGGGTTTCGCTACGTTGGCCAGGATGGTCTCGATCTCTTGACCTCGTGATCCGCCTGCCTCGGCCTCCCAAAGTGCTGGGATTACAAGTGTTAGCCACCACGCCTGGCATGTTGGATATCTTTAACTAATCAACTGCTCATATGTTCTGCAATAAACATATGTCTACTTTATTAAAAATCTAAATGTATTGTGTCCACTACATTTTCTTTTTTTTTGAGACGGAGTCTCGCTCTGTCACCAGGCTGGAGTGCAGTGGTGTGATCTTGGCTCACTGCCACCTCTGCCTCCCAGGTTCAAGCAATTCTCTTGCCTCAGCCTCCTGAGTGGCTGGGATTACCAGCATGCACCACTACCACGCCTGGCTAATTTTTGTATTTTTAGTAGAGACAGGGTTTCACCATGTTGGCCAGGATGGTCTTGAACTCCTGACCTCGTGATCCGCCCGCCCCGGCCTCCCAAAGTGCTAGAATTACAGACGTGAGCAACTGCCTGAGTAAGTTCTAGCTTTGTAACTTACCTGCATAAGTTCTAGCTTTGTCTAAATCTGTTTCCTTATAAACCAATAATTTTCAAATAACTATGAGTTAAATTGTGACCATATAACCTTTGTTCCAATCCCTAACTTCTGTGTTTATGTTTTTATTATAATGTAATATCTCTGGCAAATAAATCTCTGAAAAACATAAAAACAATCAAAAGTTGTTTCTCCAGTTGACCAAGCAAAACTCCACACGGTCCCTGAGATTTTCAGGGAAGAGACAGACAGAAGCTGCTAGACAGAAGCTCAGTGGAGTATCTGTGGTCCCTGTGATTTTCAGGGAAGAGACAGACAGAAGCTGCAAGACAGAAGCTCAGTGGAGTATCTGTGGCCACTGTCTTAATCACACCAGATCTGCAGCTCTCTGTGATCCAGAATCAGGTTCTGTAGTCACTTCCAGATAAGGACTATATTCTAGAATATAGGATTCTCCAGCAAAGTTCAGTGCCTTGTTAAATAAACTAGGCATAGGCATCTACCTTGCTGCTCCCAAATATCTTAAATTTCTAAACAAAGATGATAATTTAGCTTTCTTTGTCCTGTGCTCCAACAATATAATCTGCACACAATAGGAGCTCAATCACACTTTGCTCATTGAGTGAATGAGGAACAAAAAGAGATTTATTTCCTTCCTTTCCACAACAACAGAAATCATCATGTCCACAGAGAAGAGAGTTTGTCGGAAAAACACGATAGCCAGCTGTAACTTCCATTTGAGAATAAGTCTTCATGAAATGGGAAAATGAGCATATTACTAGCCAACAATTTTCAATAGAGCTATATCTACTTTAGACTGATAAAACATGCACACAATATGAGGACCTGTTCCCCTAGTTTCCAAATGTTCTAATTATTATTTTTGATTTCATGAACCTGGTCTGTCCTTTACCTAGATTATAATCTGCTGAGGATCAGGGATGAACCAAATTTTATTTGCTGTCCTGGCAGAGAGTGTATTCAAAAACATATACAATTCACAGAAGAAGGGGGCGTGAGGGATCTAATTTACCTTCCTTTCTCTTGTATAGCGTGGCTACTCTCTCAATACAATAACTAATAATGCCAACAACATGCTAAAGGCATAAAGATGGACACATCTATTGTCACTTTTGAGAGGTGATACTGTTATGCCACTTATTATGTGTGATGCAGACTTCTGTTTGTTTCAAATGTTCTTTAATTTTTTTTGGCAAGTCATCTTTACTTATTTAATCTATATTCTACTTTGAACATTCAATTATAAACATTTTCTTAGAGGGACACCATATTCTATGGTTAAATATTATTTCCTGATGACGTAGAAGAAAACAAAGGGAAGAAACAGGTGCTTTCCATGTCATTTCCACATATTTAACTTCTTATTTGTTGTCCTTTCCAACACATTCCGTTTATCTAGATTTGAGGCAGTACAGAAAAAAAAAAACAGCTTAAAAAATTATTTTGTTGCATTGTTAACAGAAATATATGTTCATAACAAAGGACCTCAACAACAATTACAGTAAGCCAGGTGGCTGATTCCATCTGTATATCATATATTACACTGTTATCATGGACCACATGATTACATAATTTAGGATGCACTTGCTATCACTGTATTTTTAAGAGTCATATAAGCTCTGTGTTTATTAGTCTGCAAGGAGAATCAGTGGTACCAGACCCTTATAAAGCATTACAAAATGAACTCTGATTTGTACAACTACATGTGGCCATACACACTTCGGTGCAAATCTTTCCAATGGCAGAAACATTGGCCATTGCTGTCCACCTTCCAGGAGGCGTGGCACTTAGTAGGTGTGCTATAAATATTTGTGAATTTTTCAACCTCGAACTTTAAGCTGATTCAGTGCCAAGTGAGTGAAAACTTCTGACTCACGTCAGTGTTTCTTTCCCTTTGAGGAGATATAGACTCCATTTGACAATATGGTAGGAATTATACTCTGTATCACCAGTTACTTCTGTGATGTATACACTTGATGAATATAATTTTGTTGACTAGAATTCTAAGAGAAAGGCACTAAAGTTTTATAAAGGCCAATTTGAAATAAACTTAAGATCTAAATACACAGAAGCCCACATCTTTTATGAAACAAGCCTAATCGGTCAAGTCTACCAAAAAATTTACTAAATATATGTGAACAATTAAATAAAACCTTTCAACATTCTTAACAAAGAAATATTTTGTCTGAAAGCATATTCTAAAATAAGTTATCATTCTGGATGTTTTAACCTTTTTTTCTTAAGGTTTCCTAACTCATTGATATCAAAGAGACACCTGGTAGCAATGCTATAGTTAAGTATCTGTCTGGGTTTCCTTCATAATTCCTAATTTTCAGATACTTGTAAGGAAATTGCCAGAATCTTAAATGTGCTATACAGAGTTGTCTGTAAAGATGCAAATATCATTTCTTATTCTCCTTATATTCCTTTCTTTCTACAAAATTTCAAAACTGCTCAGTCATTTTGAATCATACAGTGTATAAAAATAGACTTTTAATACTTGAGATATTTTATCTCTATTGTCTATGGCACTTTCTCCCACCAGAAAAAAAAAACAAAACAAAACAGAAAAACAAACAAAAAAAACCCTCAACTCACCTCCGCATTCCCCAATATATCTTAATTTCTTTGAATAAAATGCAGGTGCTTCATTTCAAATGGGGTCCAAAGACTGACATTTAAAGCTAACATCTTAATAAGTGGCTATGATGCTTAACATGTTGGCATTCACAGCACTTCCACTTGCCCCATGTAAGTAAAATTGGGCCATACCACCCTACTGTGTATTACATCTAATCTGGATTCTGTAATCTCAATTGCGATTATCCCTTTTGTTGTTTTCAAGACTGCAAGTTCACAGTGAAGTTGAAAGGCAGGACGAGGTTTATTTTATAGTGAATATTGTTTTTGCTCTCTGTTGTTGAGTTTGAAGCACAGCTGTGCAAAGTAGTTTCAATGAACCAAGGAATGGTCCCAGAACAACCAGCTCAGAACTTTGCCCTGAGTTCACAAACTATAGGCTACATGATAATTATATAAACTCCTCCAGAACTGTGACCCCTTTCATGAATTTTTAGCTGGATCTGTCTCAAGTAGTATTGATTTACATTGATCTCAAGGGTATTTTTTTTTCTCTGATTTTTACCCAATTTACACAGCAATGAACAAGGACTCAGCCTAATTTCATTTTCTATGCAGTAACTAGTGTTATTTGCATTCCATAAATGAAATGGAATGTGGGGACACAGACTAAACTGCTAATTCAAATAAAACCATAATATTAAGAGCATTATCTTTTATAAAAGAAACACAGTTTTATTTAGTAAAAGCATTATTCTTAATAGTAAAAACAATAAAACATCCTAAGCCATACTCTACATGTCTTAAAATACCCCGAAATAACTTTTATAAATAACATATAAGTCTTGTATTTATAATTAAGTGTGCACAGTAAATGCACTCTTTAGGTATAGTCCAATAAATTATAGGAGAAAAAATTCTGCCATAGTTTCTAATCAAAATCTCCAATTGCATAATTCCAAGATAAAAATGAACCTTAATTTAAAGCATTAAAAACTCTGAGCTAAGACCCCCAGCTTAGAAAAGACATTCCTTTCAAAAAAAAAGAAAACAGCATAACCTCTTACCTACTTAAAATTTATTCTAAATAGGAGTCAGTGCCTTCACCTTTCTAGAAATGAGAGTATATGCTTCAAAATAATAATTCAAAAATAAAATAAGTGATACCAGTAATTTGGGTTGTCAAGTTGAATTAATAAATTATTACTGGGCCAACCTGGAACCAAAATTATCAATCGTTCAAAATAATTCATAGTCTGTTCTAGGAAACATCTTAATCCTAGCTTAGAGAAAAGTCACTGCTCAGGAACACCTTTCTTCAGTGACTAAGAAGCTCAGAGGCACTCAATTTCTAATGTCAAAGATACCCATTTAAATGGCTTAATATCTAAACATATCCTGACAAATTATTCAGATCTTACTTTTCAAATGTGAGAGCAAAGGGAAAGTTTGGCAAATTGGTACTATGTTTTAAATTTAATCATAAAATCAATTCTTGGGAATTGCAAATAATGTCTTAGAAGTCAGCTGAGGACCAGATTTGGCCACTGAATGCTCTGTGACGCTCTTGCTGAAAGACAAGAACAGAACACACACATTCAAGCAGGAAGTGTGCCGGCCACAATCATGGGACTCACACCCAGGGAAACCTGTCCTTAATTTATCCCGTCGTGTGTAGATTTGGCAAGGATCTCCAAATATCATTTACATACCATATGCCCTGAATTACCTAGGCACAATGGCTGTGGATAAATATGTTTCAGGTCTGACTGTTTGCTTCCTTTTATAAGTTTTGCAGCTTTCATTTCATTTTTCACATTGCTAAATAATTTAATGTAATATTGCGTGTTGTAAAAGAATGTTGTGTTAAATCAATAAATAGTTCATTGTGTCCTGTGATAAGCAAATAAATGCTCCTGAGGTAGGTGACCAGGAGACATTATTTCTCCTATGAAAGAATCAAAGAAGGGAAATCAGCTGTTTATGCTTTCAACTCATTTTAACCTTTGCCTTTTTACTAGGCATATAAATGCAGGCATTCAAAAATAAAGAAGACAGAAATCATACAGTCTGACTTATGTGAAACATACAGAACCGGTCAGCAAGTTTTCATGTCTAAAAAAGACCCCTGAAAATCTATTCTTGGTCATTCTTGTATTTGTTCTTCTTACAGTTTACAGACATTATAATTACTCTATGCCTTAGTTTCCCTCTCTTCCATAATACAATGGTATTAATAAAAAATGTAGTCATATTTGTGTAGATTTTCAAATGACACTTAGATTAATAAAAATGTATACTTAAACTAAAAAGATCAAAAGCCTAAAAAAAGGCTTGGAGCAGAACTACATACATATTTTTTGTTGTGTACTATAAATTTGACTGTATAAACTTCCAATTAAAAATGACATTCACACCATCATTTTTGATAGAATTTTGCACAGTAGGAATACTCATTAATGCAGGGTAATACAGTGTGATAAGCAGCTTAGACATCAAAATAGTAAAAAGGAAAAAAAAAAGCCAGTTGGTCTACTTTTTATATGAGTAAGATAAAACTTAAAAAATTAAATACCTGAAGAAATTTGAGAAAACATTTATTGGCATTTTAAAATTATGTCAAATCAAGAGCATCTATTCTCTTGTCAGTTTCTACTTCAGAGATCTCAATTCTAATAAAAAAAATCACATTTCCATCCTATGTTTGATCATGATACATTAAATGCATTTCAATATTCAAAATGAATTTAAATATAATTTTAATACTTTTACTTATTCTACAATTACCCTCCTAAATAGAGAGTATGTCTGTGTATACATTTTTTTTTACTACTATATGAAGTATCTGAAATATTTCAATTTTTTTCAGCATTGGTAAAAGAAAGGCAAAAGCCCATCAGCTACTAACCATGTGCACGTGGGTCATTTTATGATCTTTAACTAGAAAATACAAAATGATCATATAATTATCTATTGTATGTTAAAATAAATGGCAAATGAGGTTTGTCCATATACTAGGAGAGAAATAAATAAAAGGCAATCGAGTAATTTCAGAGTATTATCAAACAATTTTGCTTTCTTTAGGGGGCAAGAAAAAGAAAGAAGCTACCATTTGAAGGCCAGCAATGAAAGGGTTAACAGACATATGCTGTATAATTAGGAGATGCATTAATGATTATGAATAGTAAATGATTTGGTGCAAAGAAAAAAATTTTAGTCAAAGGGACATGTACCTATCTTACATGTTTATTAGTAACTGTATATAACTAGAAAATTCTGCTATTAAGAATCTTGCATTATTGGTGTAAATACTTCCAAGGGTACATCAAATTGTAATCTTTCATACGACATCCATCAAACCAGGCTGGAGATTTTGACAAACATTAAACACAGTAAGGAGGCAATTATGTATGCATGATTTAATCTGCAACTAATTAATATGCAAATTTATTCATATGTTAGTTACTAAATTAAAAATGCAAAGAAGCCCTTATGGTGATTCTCGAAATTTTGCACAAACAGAACATTTAAAATGTAAGAAAAATGAAGTTTTTTAGAAAACTATAACACACTTTTAGTGTCCCCAGAACCTGTTGCATTAAGAAGACTCAAAAATATGTGTTTAAATACTAGATAATAATTTAAAAGGTGTGCTAATTTTACGTGAGAATGTGGGAACAGAAAGGTTAATCAGAATTCTCTCGAACTCTTAAGAGATACACTCTAATTACCAGACAAATGGTATTCTATTTCTAAGCTTCCTTCCCTGCTTTTGGGTTGTCAGAAGTTGGTCATCTTACTGATATCTTATATAAATGGTTAGGAGTTTTGAGGGGAATAAATAGTATTTGAAAGCAACCAGATATAATGAAAATTTAGGGTAACTCTGAGACCATTTGGTGTTCACTAAACATACAATTCGCTCAAGATGGCAACTCGCTCTTTTTGCCTTTGGGGAACAGCTCTTTGCAAACAGAGAAATGGGAGGAAAATCTTGAGAGAGGCTAGAAATTCTACCAAACTCTCTTCCAAATGAATCTTCAAAGAAAATAATGTGGCTAACCAAAAAGCAACAACCTCCCAAAAAAGCAGAAGGTAATTTTATCTGAATTCAATCTGGCTATTTTAGTCCTACATTTTCCAGACAGTCCAAAATTGATTTGAATCCTGTATGTGAGATGAGGGGTGCGGAGTGGTGATAATTTAAAAATATCTTTGGGTGTCTGTATACAAGGGAGTATCCCTTCAAGTGCACTATATATTATTCTTTGGTATTATTGCCTTATGCCAGAACCTGATTCCCCTAAGACTGCCTAGTGATCAGCAGTGAGATTTTGTATGGATCACCTCTCATCTGTTTACCTTTTTCATCCGACGTCCGATGGCCATGTACATACACACAAAGCTCCTGGAGCTGGCTCTTGGAACAGCTGTACTGGCCTCAAGAAATCAACACAAGTCAACTGTATGAGGAAGCACAATAACAGCATCTACGGCTCTTCCTAGGGCACTGAACTCTCACCCATGTTAAAAAAAAAAATCACCATCAGTCTCGCTGCTGCCAAGTGACACACAAAAAGGAAGTTAACCATTGGCTGTGACTTGCATTCACAGTCTGACTCTGATTTCCCTGCTTCCCTTAGCCCATTCTGATGCCAAGCGGACTACAGCTTGCCCATTTCATTTCGACCACGGCAGCCAAAAAAAGCACTGCCCCACCGTGCGACGACAAGCAGTCTGTTTTGATATTAGTACCTCAGTATGTGATAGAAGAGAGTCAGATGTCCTCAAACTATGTGCCCTCCCCCGAGGGACTCTCTCCTGGCCCTCCTTGGCCAGAGAGATGGCAAGCGTGCCACAAATCCTTAGCTTTGAAAGCACAGGGGACGGAGAGGCACTATCCGCAGGCTCAGACAGAAATGGCCATGAGTGCCTCTTCTTCCGGGGAGAGGATTCAGGCCCTCCAATTCCACACTCTAGTCTAACTGGAAATATTAACTCAGATTCTATTCACTCCCTGCCAGCATACAAAACACAAACTGAATTACATAAGAAAAAGAGTCATTTTCTTATATAATTAAATTGTAGTAAATGCTAGTAAGTAAACATCAGGTTTCCTTCTTTTTCTTTCATGAAAGACAGAGGAATATATGGGGTTCCCGAAAATTGATTTTTTCATTGATTCTTAGGGAGGAAGATGAGAGTGAAGTATTCTCCCCCCCACAACAAATTCTGATTTATTTGCTAAATGTACGGAATCTGACTGTAACCTGGTTTAACCTCTGAATGTGCCTTGTAATGTTCTAGTTCTCTCCAGCACTAATAGATCATGCTTTTTATAATTCCAACGAGGCATCGTCAGGTGAGGACTGCAATTGCTGGGCATTTCAAAAGTCTGAGAGTACCCTGGGCATCTTTAATTTTTACAGGTGACTCAATTTTTGTTGTGACCAGAACTGAACATAAAGCTTTTAAAAGCTTAAATGTACACATTTATGCATTCATTACACAGTGTTAAATCTAATTTGTTCTTTTTACTGTCACAGGAAGCACATGTTTAAAGCAATCTGTTTCCTCATGTGAATGCTTTCCTGTCTGTTTAAAAAAAATTGCGACACACTTTACCCTGAGTAACCAAGAGGTGATCATAAATATCCCTAAATAGCATTAAACAGATATGAAAGACATTAACACTTTCAGAATGCCAAAGTAGTATTAAAAAAAAATTCTAACAGATGCTCCTAGGTCAAAAAGTGAAATGTGTGTTTCCTGAAAAAACACTCTCATCAGAATCATAAATGAACTGTGAGTGGAGAAGTGAGGTGTTGCTGAACAAACCAGGATCCTTTTGGTGAGGAACACGGCAATCCACTGCCAACGTGTACTTGCCATAAAAAGCCAAATCGAAATGGAAGTTTGATGAAAACCAATATCCTTTGTAATCCACAAGGTGGCAATGACTACAAATGAGGGGTGGCTAAATCGGATCTATCGGCTTTCCAGAGAAAAATTATCTCTGTGAACTGAAGCATCAGTCCCTGTTCAGGGTGTACACGGAAGAAGTTCAGGGCTCATCAGCCAACAGGGACTTTTCCCGAGGAATCTAACTCAGTGCCTGGTTTTTCTGCAAATTAAAATTGGCTGGGAAAAGACATTCATTGTGGAATGTGGAGACCACGCTTCCGCTCACACCTCCCCCCTCCCTACTTTCAGCAGATGTTTTTTTCTTTAAATGCAAGAAGAGTTAACTAAATCAGCCTTTATATATAAAAAAAAGTGTTTTAAGTTTCTCATAGCCGATGATCAAAAATACCTTTTCTTTTGTGAATTCAACAGGGGCACTGAGAAAAGATACATTATAATGCGTCAAAGGCTACAATCTAGCCATTCTTTGACTTTACCTTAAAACATCTGTACAAATATTCCTGCTCAGTGTAAGAAATCTACCTAAGCAGTCCTAAACAAACTGAACTCTGTTTACTTTATAAAAGAAACAGACTGCCACACAGGTCTACCTAGTCCACACATCTTCATCTTGCCAGGCAAAGCTAATATCTTAGGCCTAACCTTCAGTTTTGCGGGGGGATCTATAGCCAGCCCCACCAAGGGGCTGTGCATCACTTGGGCAGACCCGTTCCCGGCCTATTAGAGAATACCACTGACACAAAACAAAAGAAAAAGCACGTATCTCCTTATCACTTAGAGGCAAGGCTGATTTAGGCATAAACAAATTATTGGCCAAGGGAACCACAGTATAAGCAGCTCCGGGCATCACAGCCGATGTACCAGTTCAAAAGAGAGAAGATAAAGTATTTCCAACACAAACTTTGCAGACCACTAGGTCTAATGATTAAAAGGGCTGACTACGTGTCTTGGTTTGATAGAGATGGGTTTGCAGAGCCTGGGAAACACAGGGAGACCCTGTCTCTACCAAAAAAAAAGAAAAAAATTAGCCAGGTGTGGTGGTTGTGAACCTGTGTACCCAGCTACTCAGGAGCCTGAGGTGGGAGGACCGCTTGAGCCTGGGAGTTTGAGACTGCAGTGAACTATGATTGCACCACTGTACTCCAACCTAGGTGACAGAGCAAGACCCCATCTCAAAAAAAAAAAAAAAAAAAAGCAATATTACATAATTTCAGAAAAAGCAAGTGACCTCTGTTAGGTAAAATTCTTTTGAACATAGCTGAGACCCTGGTCTTAGTTTCTATTCTACTGCTAACTACTCCTAAGTAGGCTGCCATGTTAGATTTGTTTCTCAAATGCCAAATGAAAGGTAGTTACCTTGTTACTGATAATAGCATGACAGTGCTTTTTATTATGTGTAACAATAGTATGTAACATTCAAGGATATTACATAAATGCATTCAAACCCCAATGAGTACTTATTTTACAAATAACTGTGTAGCTAGGAAGTGACATAGCCCCCTAAAAACCCAGTTGATCAGATTTCATACTCTAACCACTATATTATACTGTCTTTGTTTACACAGATGCTCCCCTGGACTGCCTGGCATACTGATTTGCTTGGGCAAAAGTTATAGGACATGACTATACAGAGATACTGATGATCACTCTACAGTGAAATGAAATTTCTGAATATTAATTTATTGTAGATAGTCAAATACTTGCTAACTTAATGACAACCTTGCTGTAGAGAGCTTTTTGGTCTACAGAGTGTCTGAAACGCTAGGCAGCATAGACAGCACTATGGTTAAGAACACAGAAACTTTAGAGACAGGCTGCCCAGGTCTCACTCCCAGCTCTGCCACTTACTATGTGTGACCGCAGACATGTTTCTTCACCTCTCTGTGTCTCATTTTTAAGTCTCTTGAATAAACAGTAGTACCCATCTCACAGGATTTTTATAGGAATAAATGATTCAATAGATGCAAATGATGTAATAGTGTACCACTTAGAACATGGAATAAGTACTCTGGCATGGAATAAGTACTTTGATAAAGGTTTGTTATCAGTATATTGACACCACCTTATTATGCAGGCACTATTTTATACCTGCTTTGTAGACAGAGAAGCAGGTTTGTGACCTAACCAAGGCCACTGGGTGTGTAAGTAGAGGCTGTCAGACGTTATACTTGAAAGGTCTTTTTATGTCTAGTGCAGTGTTTTTTCTACCTTGCTACACCACTTTTACTACTATATTCATTCACTGGAAATATATTTCAGAGTAATACGCATAAGTAAAGCAGTGAGTCTGGTTTCTATAGGACAAAAAAAAATGTATCTAAAACATATCCCTCACTCTCGTAAAGGTGGTGACAAGTGAGTAAGGGCAATCAGCTTAAGGGACAAAAGTCCATGTGTTACACTTTGTGGGTTATTTTATTTTTCAAATGCATGACTTTCTCAAAAGGCTACACGGTATACTCTTTAAAATGCTAAGGTTATTCCTACAAATTGTGACGCAAGTGACACAAGACTGCAAATTTCATTAAACGTGAAGAATCTCAGTTGAAAAGCTCCACGATTTAAATAAGAATACATAGAAGAAAAAGACATGTTCCATGTTACATGGTGTGTCTAGTTTTTAGCTGCAATGAAAAATACTCTTTGAATAAGTATAAACGGAGAAAGGAATGAATGAATAAATGAACATGCTTTTTTCCCCTTCTACCTGGGCACTCCCAGCTTGTTACTGTCGGGTTTCACTTACATCAATATTGGGTGAAGTTACTGATATATTTACTAAAGGGAAAATGAAATAGCATTTATTTGTAAAATAATTACTGACTGCAGTTTGAATTTTGTAATCCCAACTGTATCTGTTAATAATAAATATTTTTAATTCCATTTTCTTTGCTGTTATCAATTAAGCCACAGATTATATGTGCCAATGTCTTATACACCTCTAAAAATAAAATTCATATTAAGATACATGAGGGACCCCAAGGTTCTGGCAATGCAATTTCACTCCTGAATCATATGCCTGAGTATTAAATGGCAGAATTTCGAATTTATTTTATGTAACAATACTTTCAAATAGTACAATAGATACAGAACTGTGCTTTTCTACTTGACCAAATCGTTTAAAAAATTTAAACTAACTCAACAAGTCTAAATAATCAGGCCATAAACATTCTCCTAATAAATTTCAGCTTTAGTAGTAACGCAAAATGAGCTAAACACTGCTGCCTCCTTAGACAATTTTTTTCTTATCCTTTAACGTCTTGAGTTATTAAACTTTCTTAAGCTAGAGCTCCAGTTTTTATACTCCACTTGTTATTAAATTATTTTGTACTTCAAGTTCGTTTCATAAAAAGCAAGCCAGAAAATATTATTGTACTGTGTTAATGTACCTGAGCACCTGTGAAACAACCCAATTCTCCAAACAGGGTTACTTGAAAACATTAATGCTAAGAATCTGCCACCTACTTGAAACTGCTTTCTCATAGCAGCTAATGATATAATGATATACTGTGCCAATCGGTAGAATGAAAGACATTACAATATTATTATAAGCGTAATTCAGGAGGCATATTTAGAATGATATGGGCCATGGAGGGAGGAGGCTCCTGTAGACACTTAGGTATTCTTTCTCAGATGCCATCAAAATAATTGTTCCAAAGTAGCATTTTCCTAAAATCCCTAATGGTAACAGTGACACTTTTTGTATGTGTATGTGACGAATGACACCAGTTTTCATGATTAAATGTACTTGCAAAGGTCATTTTTATGAGAAAATATAAGTCTTTCTAATATGGCTCCATGTTTCACAAAGGAAATGCCCTTTAATCACTGCCAACATATGGCAACACACTGAGAAATTTTCTTTACAGTTTGCTATGAAGAGAGCTTCACTACGAAATGTTCCTATTTCCTGCTCTACGGAATAATCAAAATAAATTTAGTGAAATTTAACACACACACAGTTCCTCTTCTTATTACTCTGGAAGTAAGCACTTATATATCAAGTTTCATCCCTAGTGGCTTATTTATGATTAATTCCTCAGATGACAAAGTCAGACAAGAGACAAGAGTGGGTGTCACTAAACCACTTAAGTAGAATTCTTAAAATGTTCCTTTCAAAATACAACTTGCACATTCTTTCAGAAGTGAAATCTATCCATCTCACCAAATCATAAAGCATCTTTATTTTCAACCCTGAAATTTTACAAAATGCAGAAACTTCTGCACTACCTTAACTTCTCTGAAGAGGGAGTATATGCTCAAGTAAAGCATCAAACTCCTCAAATAGCTCTACACCTATGCAGCAGCTGCAACTTAAAAAAGAATCACTCACATGCTGCTGTTTCCAGATAAAATAATTAAGTATTTAAAACTATAAGTTTTGCACCACATTGTATAAAAGCTCCTATTCCTTTAAAAGAAGCACACTCATACACATGGGTGCACACACACACGCGTGCACACACACATCCGGGGATAGTAGAAATTGATCAAGGCTGAAAATCCTGTGCTATTGCTTTGAGGTGCAATTTTATGTTCAGTTTAATAATCCAGTGCAGTTATGTAAAAAATCAAACAAAAGCCAAGACAAAGCAAGTGTCTGTCAACAGCCTGACAAGTATGGATTCTGCCTTAAGAAAATACAACTTTGACAATTCTTGAAGAGACTCCTTATTCTTTTAGGATTACTGCCACATCTTCTAAGAGAATCTTATTTAGCCCTCCAATTCCTGATTCATTACTTTCAATGAAAACCTTTAGAATTATTCAAAACCAAGAAAACATAGAAAATGCAGAAATTGTCAGTGATCTGGAAAAAAGGAGAACATTTTGCTATGTTAGCAAATAAAACTATTTCAATCAATTAAATTTTAAAAGTTAAAAAATGGTATTCAATCAAATTATCAAGGCATTTATCTACATTATTTCGTAAATATAAATTCACAGTTAAGCTGGATGCCATAGAAAAAGGTTTTATTTTCAAAATACATGCAAGCCCTGTTATAATTCTCTCTGGGTAAAGCAGCCCTGCAGTGGTTTCCTACACTTCTCAGTAATTTAAACCACTCTCGAGTCCAAAACTTCACACCAAAATATACTCTTCAGTGAAAATGATAAAGTTCAAAATAGCAGTTCCCAGAAATGTATTTCTCTTTTCTCAACAAGTCCAGTTTTACACTAAATGCTATTATTGTTTATGTTAGCAGCTGCTAACATCTTAACGAAAGTCCTGATAAATCTTAGCATGCAAAATACTATTTTGAATACTTGATTAAAAATAAAAACACATTGGAGAGTAGGAAGATACATCAGGCACCACTCCTTAGAAGAGATCACTGAGTAGAAAAATGGGGTGCTGCTGGCCAGGAAGGCTTCTTTCTGGGGGAAGGAATGAACTGGTGGTGTTTTGTTTGAGTGTTTGGGGCATACAACCTTTTTGTTTGTAAAGATAAAGCAGGAATAGCTCAAAAATACACAAACCTTTCATCCACAGTTAACCTTCATGCTTGTCTTTTCCTTTATATTTCTTCTCTCTTTCTATCTAAAATATGCACACCAGAAGCCTTCTTTCTTAAAGGGTGCAGGATTGGGCTTCAAGGCAGAGAAGAGGAGGATAGTGGATGAAGGAGCTCATTATTCCAAAATTCCAAACAAAAATTCAGAAATCCTTGAGCAAACTTCTGGGATATTAGAATGCCTAATAGTATGTATGTTGAGTATGTGCAAGCCTCTTGTGTGCTTTCTGAAAAATTTTTAATGGAACAAAAGCCTCCAATCAAAACAAATATAAAGATTCTCCTATATTTTTTCATATATCAGCAATTCATAAAAATCATAAACTCTATAGTCTCAATGTGTAATAGAGAAGATAAGATTGGTTTTCACAAAAAAAAAAAAACGCACATGCTGAACTAGAAGTCTGGTTTAGCAAATTCAGCATTAACTGCACACACACAAAAATACTTTCTCTGTCATGAATATTTTCTCAGCTTTCACTGTTCCCCATTGTCATGTTATATATGCCGTGTAAATTGTGTGAATAGTTTTGTCCTATTTGAGATGACTTAATTGTGCCACTCTTAACCTCCTTCTTGCCTAAACATTAATAAGCACAATTTTAATATCCAAACCTCATATTCCAATATCTTTAATTAGAAAATGGGCACACTAAGTTTAAAAGTGAATACTGAGAGCTATCTTAATATTTTAAACACTTAACAATTATACTTCTTCACAAAGTATCTATCCCTGCAGGGATGAACCTTGAAGAGTTTCCTCCTTTTACGTCTTACCACACAATCGGCTACTTCCAGACTTTCCTAAAAAGGATAGAGCCCAGATGGCTGATATTTCGTTCACTTGTGATCGATATCATATTTCAATAAAACTTTCATCTTAAAGAAAATTGTATTATTACTTGTTAAAATTTGTTGACATGAAAAAGCATCGTTCTGATTTCCCTATGATCAATTTCAAAAGTGATGTAGGAAATTATATATTTCTGAGTTCAGTACTGATTTTTTAAATCATACATAATTTCCAGCCCACTAATAAGGAAAAAACAGTTTACCAATATCTCTTTTAAATTGTTTGTGATTTCTTCAAGCACCTGGGATAAAAGGGGTTTTCCCTAAATAGCTCAAGATATGGATTCAACATCATGTTTGAAATCTTCAAATAGGAAAGTTTTTATATAACACAAAATACATAGGACATTTAAGGCCATTAGCATTACTCATTTTTCTTGATACCCCTAATAATTGCTTCTGTAAAGGAAACTCTAATCCATACTTAAATATTTCATTTTATTTAAGAATTCTTTCCTTATGAAAATTGGTGAACCTAATATCTAATACACATTGTTTTTATTTTTCAAACCTACCTACTGATTAACTAATGTCACAAATATTCTTGAAGCGTCCAAACCTTATTTTAGAATCTTTATAGTAGTAGAAATTGTTTATCTTGGGATCCATGTGTCCCAAATTATCTCTGACCACTTAAAGTTTGCCAGGTCCTCCTGAGTTTTAAAACAAAACAGACACACAAAACCCCTCTGTACTTTAACGTAGAAAAAAGACTTTACTGAGAAGTACAGCTTTAGGAAAGATCACTGGAGATGAGAGGTCATAAACTATTTCTAAGGATAAAATATCCTATTTCCAGAAAAATCTGATGTTCAAGAGATTCCAACTGGGGTCATGGTGAGACCATCATTAAAGATGCAAATCGGATTACAAGTGGAGACAAATTCCACCAAAGTCTGAAGTAGAAAGTTTGTAGTTGTTAACAGTTTCTGATAAAACGTATATAATTTTGAAATATTTCAAATTCTAAGATAAAAGTTTTACATGTTTACATGTTGATGGGCAGAATAAAGTTTCCAAAAGATAATGCCTTTGCTTTGTTTCTGTGTTTGATGAAAGTATCTTAAAACAGCACAATATAAAATTTTTTGCTACTTTCTAGATTTTAGTACTTTCATGTTAATTTCTGTTAAGAATCA
Source organism: Homo sapiens (assembly GCF_000001405.40). Classification (NCBI taxonomy): domain Eukaryota; kingdom Metazoa; phylum Chordata; class Mammalia; order Primates; family Hominidae; genus Homo; species Homo sapiens. The sequence continues at coordinate 55,346,917 of NC_000018.10, forward strand.
TAAATCATTTTTTTCCAACTTTAATTTACTATAGTACATTTTTCTGTGTATGAATTCATGATTCAATGTGTATGATTATTAGGTTATATAAAACAAATTTGTTGAAATGAGCAGTAAAGTTGCAAAATATTGAGTTTAAGATGAAATATGGTTTGAAATGGAAAACCAAAATGTAGAAATCTAGCAAAACAAGATGTTCTCATGTAGATTCAAGAGCTTAGACATGCAAAATAAATTCTGACATCAACAAAAGACAACACTTTATTACTAAGGTCTTCGCAAAAAACGAGGGCTACGAGAAATTGGGACGTGACTAAAAAGAGCAACATACTAAAATACGAACCGAGAAGATAAAAATGTACTGCAGTAATAAGCAGAGCTCTCGTGGGCAATTAGATAGCTGTCTTTCACACAGGCTTTCCTTTAAAAAAAAAATCACCTTAGCAAGTACTGGTCTATGTGCACTAGAGGGACAGGCTTCCCCCCGACACGCTGTGCTTGTCCTGTAGACCCTGCCTGGTGGGTCTTCTGTTATCCCACCATCGTGTCATACTTCCACAGTGACGTGAGGTCTCTAGGTGCAGCACACAGTACAAACACACATTCGTGGATCCTGCCAGATCCATGGCATGATGTCTGGCCAGGCCTACGTTTTCTCTCTCCCACAGATGCTGCAGTGTTTTCAAAACAGGGCTAGGCAATCCCCTCTCTCTCCTGATTGCCTGGGAGGAAGACCCAGCCTAATGGCGGCAGAAGTCCAGTCTCTGTACCACAGGCGTGTCACAAATAATACCTGATGATGCAGTGTCACCGTTTAAGTTTTCTTCCTTTTATTATAAGGGAAAGAGAGGGCCCACTTCAAAATGGGGGGTAAAGTGAGTTGCCACAACAGATTGTGACAGATTTATTACTATTTGTCATGGTAAATATGTATCAAAGAAAACATATAAGTGTCTTATGTAGTCATAATCACTCCAAAGGAAACCTTTTATTATCTCCAATCTTTTAGTATCTGTTATACAAATACTCATACATACTGAAACAATTTAAGAAGTATCTCTTATCAAATAGTCATAATTTTATTTGAGCTTTAAAAAAAGCATGGCAGAGGTCTAAAAATATAGAAATACAGATCTGCTACTAGAAAAGTGTGACCATGTCTACTGCAGACCTTTTTTGGAATCAAGTTAAAATAAATATTTTGTGTGGTGGTAAGCCATGTGGATCTTGTTGTAAGTAATAAGCAATTGATATTTACAACAAAGCTTACATAAACTAAGTTAAATTGCTATGAAAATAGAGCTGGGATTTTTTTAGGTAATGAGTAAATGGATGATTAAATTATAAAATTACCTAAACTTGTTCTTCTTGCTCAAAAAATTGCAATAAAAATTTCATTTTGAATTGTATTTTCTTCCTCCTTATATTTCAGAAAAAAGGCTATTCATCAAAATGTTTCATAAGGACCATGAAAACATTTAGTCAAGATAAATCTTCTAAGAAGAGTAAATCCTAAACTGACCACTAAAAACAGAAAATTAAATAGAATAAAACTAAATTCCTAATTCCCAAGTTTTGTTTATTGGGAAAGAAAGGAAAATTATTTTTATATTTCTGAATGTATCACGACATAGCAGCAACACCTAAATTGTCTTAACAGCAAAGAAAACACTGTACCAGTAAAATTTTCTAAAGGGGCCAGTTAGCTATAGGGAAATACTTAAACATTTACAACGAATTATGAAAATTGTTGTTGACAGTGATTAAGCAGATACATACCATCCAATGCCACACCAATGCACTCCTTAGAAATTGTCTAGATTTCTGCCTAATCTTAGCATTGGATAAAACAAGTTAATTTGAATATGAAGCATAAGGAGGGTATGATAGCTTTAAGTTTTTTATGGCTTTTATAGGACAGTTATTCCATTGTTTCAGAACATTCAAAGGTCCACCAAATGCATTTAATATTGTCCATATTAAGTTCAGGCATGTTTAAAATGTAAACAGCTGTTAGGACTGTATCATTTGAAGTTGTCATAAAACCTATTAAAAGCTAAAGTTTCATCAACATTAAATCCACCCCTAACTTCAAGCTTAAAATATGCTTATAAAATCCTTTGGGCATATTAGTCAATTTCAATACAACACAGAAATTCAAACAATAAACAACTGAGTACAATTTTAAGTGACTTATTGCTAGTTGAAAGTGACTATACACCATTGGCAATCTTATTTACACAATATTTTTCTATATTTATGAATAATTTTGTGATGCTTCTTCAACATCACCAACTCTATGATAATCAGCATACAAAATTTACTCTTTTTCCTGATAAGACTTATTCTGATATATTCATTTAATAATTGTTTGGATGAGCTGAACTGAAATCAAGTCAAATACACAGGTGTTTGGGTTAATCTAATCTTAGCACATTTGCAAGACCTATTATTCTTCTAATACATTAAAAATGAAATGAAACTAATATGCAAGCATTGATTGGTAATATACTTTAAGAAATCTAAATATGATTTTATATTAAAGTATAAAAACAATAAGTCTCAGCATTCTTTTCAAAGAATACTAGTACTCTACAGAATTAAATCAAAACTTTATATCACAGCAAGGAAGAATGAAAAAAAGGAGGAAGGATAAAGAAACAAAGAAAGAAGAGAGGAAACTATGTTTTCATTTTATATGAGGAGAAAATTACTAGAAATGGACTAGTCCTAAATAAAATTAAATACAATTATCTAGGAACGTAAGAATTCAAAATATGATATCATGTATTGAGTTGTGATCACAACCAACTTTTGCTGTACTAGGGACCTGGGGGTGGGTGGGGGATATCAGCAACTTCTGCATAGAGCTCCAGCTGTTAAAAAGACCCAGAATGCTCTTGGTTACAGCTGACTACTTCTAGTTGTCACCTGGTAGTAAAGACACAAATGGCTACTGATGCAGCTACCTTTGCAGCCTTTATTCAGCAACCTCTCCAGAAAATAGAGACATTCTTCCTGCACTCTGGGCTGAAACCCATGTAAATTTTTCCTAAATCCTCTCCACAAATCTCCTTTCGCATGCAAATCCATAAATCATCATAATACTGACAAAGAATTTAACCAACACATGAAACTAATACTCATTCTCTTGCAAGCCCTGTACAGGTAAAACTCCTCAAACTTCAGGCACCTTTTCAAGGCTCTCTTTAGAGCTTAACCTGCTGAATATCAACATAACCACCCAGTCTTCCAGGATGTGCAATTAATCACTCCAATGTGGGTCAGGTGGCTGGATGTGCAGGTCATTTCTACCTCATCCACCTTCTAGATAAACGTGCTGCTCTGGGCGCATGGAAACTCATTTACTTCTATCTCCTTCCCATCAATACAAAACAGAACAAAATAAGCAATATACAAAGCAGAAACAAGCAGTACTTACTGAAGATGGCAAACCTGGAGGAACTTTTCGAACTTTCTTTGTCTGTACCTCTGAAAGAAAATGAAGATGCTTTCAGCTCCCAAATGCCCATTTTCCTAACTAAGATAGGTTAAACCACAAAGACTTCTAGATGATACCACATTTCCTTAAATCATTACCTTAGCAAACTGTAGTTACCACGATCACATTCGATTCTAGCAGAAATCAAATTCTGCTTTGTTCATAAAAATGAAGATATTTAACTTTTTGCTACTTTGATCTTTTAATAGCTTCCTTATGGGTGCAGCTAAGAGAAAACTAGACATAAGCAGACACCAAAAAAGTTCTGCTACCATAAGCTGTTAACGTACCTACTCAGTGTACTAGGGGGGAAGTCTCCAGGCTGACAACTGAGCCAAATTTTATGGTTTTCTTGGGGTGGGAGGTAGGATGGGGGGGCGATATTTTAAAGAAAGAAAGAAAAAAAGAAAAAGGCATAATCATCCCTCAGGCATTCAAACAAAGGAATACCTTACCCATGGCACTACTGTGAAGAGGCCTCCTTCGGGGATTATTGCTAGAATACTGATAGTACTGGGAACCAGGTTTGGTGGGCGAAAGGGTTCCTGGGTTGCCCATATCCATGTCACCTCCAAGGAGACTCTGCTAAAAGGTTAAAAAGGGAAAACAAACATATAAGGTTAATTTTTTACTTTCACCACCTCCCAACTGATTGTTAGTACTTAAACCAATGCAATAAAGCAAACAGCATCTGCTAAGCTGAGACAATTAAAACAAAACAAAAACCCAAAAGAAAGGCAGTCTAAGAAGCTATCACAAAGTTTGTGAATTTTTAATTCTTTACTTTTAGGAGGAAAGTAGATGATTCCCTTTAAACAATATTTTTTTAAGTCTTTTAAGATGACTCACGTTTTCATTTCACAAAACAAATGGCATTTATATAAGACTAATGTTTCCTTTCTCTAGACTGAGGCTCATATCTGGGAACTATTCATCCCCTTCCTTAACAAGAAGAACCTCATTTTGTGAACGCACACAACTTCCCCTGGCTGCATACACTGGGGGTAAGTGTAGCCTATGAACTCGACTGAGAACCCTGCCTCTCTGTACCGCATATCATGATTCTCCACGAACTGACATAGCACCCACAGAAGAGAAAATGCCAACTGAACCAAGAGGAAATTCAAATCCTCACACTAACTCTCAAAATTACAGAAATAGCAGATATTCCAAGCTAACAGCCACAAAGGACTTCAGAATGCCCTCTTGAGGTCTATCGGAAGCTAAGACACATCCCACAGATTAAACATTTACCTGAACACTAGAAAACTTCCACAATAACCTATCACAGTGTGACAATTATTAAACTTCTAAAAATGATGACATCAGAAAGATTATATAATATTACATTTTCTAAAAACTACATAGAAACTTACCCATAATATATAAATCGCTTGATTATACTCTGCATTGAACACATTGTTCTTTTAATTATTCTGATATGCAATAAAACAAGAGTAGATAGTACCATTTATATTAAGAACAAATTTACTATTTAATAAAGAAATTTTAAAATTAAGTACTAAAAATCTAACTTTATCGTTACTTGTAATCAACTTTTACTGACTGAACTAATTACTGTCCTTGATAAAGTACAGAATGTGTTTTCCCTAATCTAAATTCTAATCACCATGTCACTCACAACAGACTTAGGGATGCTTCACTAACACACTATTCACATGCAAAATACTCTAAATAGGCCAATTATGACTCTGCCCCTGTTCCCTGGTTAACCCGCTGAGAACTGAAAAATTTCACAAGGCAGTCACCAACTAAAACAAAGGGTCCTTGTTTTAAATTAAGACAGTCTTTTTGATTCCTAAATAGCTCAACAAAGTGGCATGTCTTCTAGTGAAAGCAGTTGGTCAAATATGACCCATAAGCTGGAAAATCAAAAATTCAAACCTCCCCTTTCCACCGCCATATAGCTAAATATCATAAAGAGAACCTCTCTATTCCAAGGGGTTTTTCTGAGTGTTGGATGAGTCATATATAAAGGACTAATCAGCTACTGACAAGCTCGCCTTTACTGATTCCAGTTTAAGACTTTTTCAAGAGATATGTAATAAACATTACTTCAAAATACAACTTCAAGGATGAGATTTCAGATTGAAAGCACATTTTGAGTAATAAACTCATTGCTAGTATCTTAATGTTTACCACATAAATACCTGATAAAACCAGATTTATCAGATAAAAATCTGACATCTGCATGCTCAACTATTGCCTCTTTTGAACTTATGAGACATATTAAAACACTACACAATGACAAACTAAAACATAAGGCTTATTATAATAAAGTTTTGCATAAATCAGAAATCTAGTAACAAATAATTTATCATTTAGGAGTGGCATTCAAAAGTTTTTGAATCTCAACCTAAATTTCACTCTTCGCATTTCTTATTAACAAAGAAAGTTACAGTGAAGTCTGTGTCCAAGTTTTCTTTGAAATTTCCATCAATAAAGCTGTGAATGATTTGAAATCACAACCTCCTTACAGTTTGGTAAATCTACGAATGAGTCTTCATTTCATTGGAAAGAGGAGTTTGAAAATAACTTTGTATTCTAGACACAAATCACCCCTATTTCTTCATTTTTCTTTCTCTAGAAGTATATTAAATATTCAGAAAACGGCTAAGCAAATATGTTGAAATGCTTGCTTGTGTTTTTAAATGAGTTTAACCATTGGTTAATTCCTCTTGGTCCTGGTGGCAAAGGTTTTCACTCTCAAGAAATTAAATGCATTCAAGGGGTCAACCTAAAAACACACACTTGCTATACTGTCTTTTAGCAGCATTCACAATAGAGCTGTGAAAAATATAAAATAACTACAAAACAGCTACAGGCTGTGGTTGACCTTATTGTTGTTAACTTAAAAGAAAATAATTTCATGGGCCAGTCATAATAAATCACGCATCCAACTCTTACATATGCAGGCGCAAGGACTATGTGCAGTAACATAGCACTAGGACCAGATAGCACTTACAAACCTTTAGTGGTTCCTGTTAATCTTTATTTTTTTCACAAAGCACATTCCTGTTTCTTTCTCCTTAGACCTGTTTGTTCCTATTTCTTTCTCACTTGGACAATAGAATCATTCTTCTAAAGCAACAAAAATAAACATTTCCTCACATTTAAGGGGGCCCTAAACACCTCCTTAGGGAAAATGAAGATAAAAATATATGTGTTCTTATTGTAGAGTATACTTATAAAGCGAACAATGACCATTTACTATTGTCTGGCCTTTACGTCAGATACTTAACTCTCTGTAGCAATGAGAAAGATAAATTTTCCACTGGCTGAAAAACCTGAGTTTATGAATTTTAAAAAGTGAATGGCGTTTGATTTAAAGTAAATTAAATTTTGCACAAAATGGATAAGGTATTTGTTTATATTATGAATTTACCTGCATATATAGATATAGCTCTGAAGACAAGTTTCTGCTTAATAAAAGTTAAGCTTGAAAACTACATCTACTTTCAAAATGGGCAAATTCATCCTGGCCTTAAATAGGATTATAATGGTTTTAGGTTTTTCACATTGTGCAAGCTCATGTTCTGCGGTTATGCTGGGTCCCAGTAGTAGGCTGCCCGAATCTGCCAGGAAACACTGGAGGCAGATGTGGCATCTGGCAGAGCTAACCTGTAAATCTTAAACCCATAGTTTAGCATTTTGCTTAACTGTCCACAGTGTGATGAGACAAGCCCTTCCCCTTACTCGCTCCTAATTTTTTTTCCCAAAAGACCTAAAATACTGTAACCAAAGAATAAAACACACTGACTTTATCAACCAGGTTGGAATGTTTTGGGGTTCACCCTCTGCAGCCAATTCCCCTGCAAATGGCCATTCCTAACTTGGCCATTCAAATCCCCAAATACAGCACTCTGTGAGTGTCTTTTTCAATTAAAATTTTGTTGTTTGTTTTACATCGGATTTGTTTGTTTTACATCAGATATAGGTCTCAGAATGTCTTTCGAACACATTCTCAACCCTGCCCCCATTCCTTTTCAGGGGAGCTTCTTAACAGCCTTGATCAACCACTGAACTTTGCTTATACAACCAAGAAAGCAAACCATGAATTAAACTTGAGTAACAGAAAAGCAGCATATATCTCAAATTAGATTTATAACTGAATGGTAATCAAAAATAGAACTCACTGCTTGAAGCTTAAATTATCAACTTTTTTCTAGTTAAACTAAAATCATCTTGCTCTGAACTATTATTTCATTTCAGTCAGCACTTTAAATGTAATGGGTGGGTGGTACATTTCTAAAAAGGAAGATTATATTTACACTTAATTATAGATATGACTGAGATCAGAGTACGATGAATACTGCTTTTTTGGCTTATAATTAATGCATCTAATAGGTGAATGACCTTGAATTTCAGAGTTGGAAACTGGAAGAGGGGAAAAAAGAAGTAGGAGAAAGAAAATCTCTGGAGAAAAGCAAATGTGCCCCTGGTTTCTCAGGGCTTTCTCGATTCTGCGTCACTCCCATTACGTTGTGATCCGGTATCAGACACAACATCTTGGGGGGATGTTGCAGAACAGAGAAAAGCAGTCTCAGATGAAACCAGATTAAGCTCTTTTTCTGAACTATTGCCAAATGCTTGTGAGTCTAATTCATGTTTGGGTATTCTAGTACTCACACAGCTGCAATTCCATTCTTTCATCACAAACCTAAGTGATGTATAGTGGCTTTGTATGGTGAACTGACTCTATAAAGCCAGGATTTTTTAAAATGTTAATATGGAAAAAAATTCTGAACCACTATAAAACTTATGAATGCAAAATATATGTGTAGGTATCTACCAGACTTTGTGGCATTAAATGCAAAATACACATTGAGTGAAATTACAAGTTAGATTTGTTTAAAATACCTTTTATCACAACCTAGGTCATTTCTACATAGCTAATTCTGCACAGAATCGGGTTTTCAAAGACACTGCTGAATAAGATTCCTAACAGCCATGGGGAAGTTTCTGTAAATCCCTGTCGAATAGTTGCTGCTGAATGTGCCATTCTGACCACAGAAGGGCCATTGCTGACTTACTACAGTAGCAGGAGGGGGGCGATAATTTTGCTGCTGTTGGCACTTACTCTGCAACCTAGAATATATCTCGCACCAAAGGGCAATGAAGAACACAGTATTTCCACCTGTCCACTTTTGAACTTCAAAGCTCAAAATTGAAGGTCAGTCTTTGGACAGTCTTCTTTCCTGATTCCTGAAGGTCCAAGAGTACACCTTTATAATTTATTTTTATTTCTGTCCTATGCTTGGTTTCAACAAAAGAGGACTTGGGTAACTTACAAAGACCAAGATATCTTGCAAATCAGGGACTTAAAAAACTGCTGTGCTGCAGAGAAATACAAATTACTGAAATTATTATTTAGCAAACATTTTTAAAGGTTTTTTGTCAGTGTTTTTTATTTCTACATTAAACATATCATGCACATTGTGTCTGTAACAAGTCAGAAGTAGAAGTCAAATCTATTAAGGAAAGAGGGAGGGCTTTAAGGTCAGACCAATCTGGTTGAACCTTAGCTCAAAGAAATACAGACAATGTATTTGGGGGTGAGTTATGCAACTGCTCTAAACCATACTTTCTTCCCGTGTAAAAAGGGACTAATAAGAGCTCTATCATAGGGTTATCAGGAATAGATGAAACAACATATGTAAAATGTTCCGCAGAGCCAGGGTCCAGCACAGAGCTTACCTCTTTCTTATGTCCCACACAAAACAGTCCCATATTACAATCCACTGATTATTATTGAAAAGATGCACCAAAAGTTATGAGTGATCATTAGATTCTCTATTTTCAGATTAAAAAGTACAAGCTGTGATAATAATTTGGAAAAGTTACTATAAAAAGTTAAAAATGAGTTATATATGGGAGTCTACATAACAAAGATGATAGCCTTATGGCCTAGAGCTACACTGGCAACAAGAAATGACTAGGTTTTTTCCATATTTAATAAAGAAATTGCCCAACAATCTTCATAATTAAATTTAAGTGGCCATGTTCCTGGAAATGCCACAAGGATGAGTTCAGTGGCTCCTTTAATTTTGCTTTTGCACGCATGAGCAAACTGCTACTGTTAATTCAACTATAGGTAAGATCAAAACTAGTTACAGTTAACCAACTAGATATACAAAAATAAGAAATGTGTTATATGCGATAGAATTTCATAAATCTTGTGATGTTACATTCGAACTCTTGCTACAGTATTGGTCACTGATAAATAACCTCAAATATGGTTCAATTTTGTGTTTTGCCACTTACGAGGGTAATTATAGGCATTTAATGAATTATTATGTTATACTTATCAAGCGTTGTTTTAAAAAAAATCTTTTACTTCTCCATGACATCACAAAAAAATAAAAATAAATGAATGCACTCCATAGGTTTGGTTGGAAATGTACGTAATTCCCAAAGAAATCAATTGCCTTAAACAAAATTATTTATTTTAGTAGTGATTGTATTTCACCAAACACTCAAAAATTCAAATACATTGTCTTTCCTTATAAGGAAACACACCACCTTATATTTAAATGTCATAATGTGATGCAAAGGTTGCCATGGTAACTAGTACTTAATGTATAACAGAGTAACAGTCAAGTAAAGACTCATGCATTTTGGTATGGAAATTACAACTGCCCAAGGGTTGGCCAGGTTTACGCATATACCTATTTGACTCTCATATTTTTAAAAAAGAATATATTATTTATTGTATACACTAAAGCGAGGAGGTTTTTTGATGGTTTCTGAAAATCCATTCTGGAATCCCAGGTCATCTATTATATATTAAAAGGGGGATTATATTTGTTGGCGGGAAGGTAGAAATTTAGCAAAAAGAAAACATTGAGACAATCAGTAACCTATAATAAAAAATGGATTTGAAGAAATCTTATGTAAACAATACAGAATTTAAGAAAACTATCTTCTTTGTCAGTTTAAGCTCCTTCTCAGTTCAGGAAGTTCATTTAATATATAATTCACTATGTAGTGAGTTGATATGCTATAATCACTACTTGCCTTAAAAATGTTTCCTTCAGCAATTTTGTGCCAAAGTAAAAATAGAACAATTTGAATATGACCTGTTAACATACTAGGGAATTAGCAACACTTTTGCTATAAATATAAACAAGTAGCTATAATAAATGTGCTGAAAAATATATTTGGCCAGGTTGCTATTTTAGCAAAATAAAGGCATATCAAACTGTCACAAGTCAGTCTTCATCATATTGGGTGGAAGTTCCATTTCAAGGTTGTTGTAAATATCTGCCCCTCTGAGCAACGATATATGACAGCCATTTTTATGTAGGTTGGCCTCCCTGGAAACAGGAACCAGGGTCATGTGGCCTACCCAGCACCCCACATAAAGGCTCAATTATAGCCTAATGGCCAACTCTGTAAGATATCACTATAACAAAGTGTCCCGCTAACAATCTGAACCTGTAAATAAGGTGACACCTCCATCACATGATGGGCGGAAATTGAGATTATCTGGAGAAGTAGTAAATGCTCAATGTAATCTTCAACTCATCCTGAAATTATTTAAGTCCTGACATTCCTTCCAAAGCTATGCACAGCTTCAAGCCAGTCTGCACTCGATGAGCACTAACTCTTTCCCTCCCAAGATTCTTTCTTGAATATCTGACCAAGAGTATATGGCGTAAAGGTCAAACTAGAGGATATGGCAGCTAAAAGAGGAAATGACTTCTTCATGTTTTAACTTTCTACAGTGCCTGGCGCAGAGACCTGCCATGGCACATGCTCACTAAATATTGAAGTAAATGCAGAACTAATGCTATTGATCAAATCGAGGTCTTAAATAACTACTGTGCTTCTGTTTTTTAGCATAAATCTTATCTTTGAGGCATTCCAACTACTACTGCTGCTCATCATAACCACCATAGTATTAGCATAGGTAGTAATAGTAGTATGAGGAGGAGGATGGGTGGATGTGAATATAAGAAGAGTGGCAAGGACGGTAGGTATAGCAGGAGCAGCAGCAGCTACAAGTCACAGTGTCTGCTAAGTGCCAGGCACAGGTGCAGATCCTTTACATGCTAACAAGGCAGATGCTACAAACCCCAATGTACAGATGGGGACATTCAGAGTGGTTATGTGACCTGACCAATGCCATGTGGCTGGCAAGCAGTGGAGCCAAGCTGGGAATTCAGTTAGGCTTGACTTCAAAGCCTATGCTAGTTCTCTGCTCCACACTCACCCGCTATCTTCTGTAAACTTGTTTTTTCTCCCTCTCCCACAACCATTAGAAGGCTCATTTTTAAGTCAAGAGCTTATCCTAAAATTTACTTCATAGGAGCCCATCTAATTAAGTAGGGTCAGACAAGCCCTGGTGTGAGTGCCACTTACCCCCTGGATAATCCTGGACAATCTGTCTAACCTTGGTGGGCAAAACTCCTTGCCTGGGAAATGTTGTATAAGAGTGCCTACCCATGGTAAGAATTCAGTTAGATAATACAAAGTGCTTAGCAAAGTTCCTAGCACTTACTGAGGCTTAATTGTAAGGAGTATATTTAAATATGTTGTACATTTTAAAATCTTACTATATACTAATACAGAATGTGTTATATTATAATGTAAGTTTGGAAGAAATGATGTGATGTATGGTATATAAGTCATGCATAGATAGATTATATATATTTCTAATAGGCCCAAGACATGTGAGGCTGTAGAACAGCATGCCCGCTTGGACAACTGAAATTTCAGTTCTTTAGTCTGATCCTCCCAATATCTCCACCTCTGCTCTCCACAGCTGCCTGCCATTCATCTTTAATCTTGATCTCCACAATGGGGTCAATCATCTTCTCTAAAAAGTTTCAAATTATTTTTCTTTTTGTTTATTATTATTTCTTTTCCCCCAGTCTTCTTTCATTTCAGTCCTCTTCCTTCTAGACGTTTCCTTCCACTTCATCTGAAAAATTCAACTGTTGTAACATTTATAGCCTTGTATGGAAAGTAACTCTTTTTCCTCCTTTCTAATCTGTGGGATCCTCAAGCGCAGAAAGTGAACTCTGATCATCTTTGTATTCCTGGCATCCAACAGGGTGGGCCCCGGTACACAGTATGCCCTCAGTAAAGGCCAACTGGATAAAATAATTTATTAGCTATGGAAGATGCTTGCATGATTTCAACCATCCCTAGTATAAATATGCCTTCTCCATCTCTACCCAGTAGACACGTAATTCCTCCATCTCTATATTCAGTCTTGTCCTCAGCGTTCCTCCTGTGCCTCTGGAGTGGTTTTTAAGAACATCACCTCATGAATGCTTCATACAAAACATAAAATTTGATCCTTAATATGCAAAAGGCTCAATGCCTCTTTTCCACAAAACTTCTGCTGATTCCTAATTACACTCTCAGTCCTTTAAAGTACATTTGAAGAGTAAGAACTTGTAATGTCTGTGAGGAAATCAGTTGTATGTTTTTCTAGACACATGATGGCTTACCTTTGTTCTTATCTATGACAGGTTTGGTTGAAAATGGTTAAATTTCTATAGTACATGGGGCTATTAAATGGTTCATCATTCACCCAAAGGGCCCGGTTCTAAAAAGAATTTGGAACAGGTGGGATAATGCAAGCCCTGCCCAGGAGAAACAGATTCAGTAGTGCCGTATTCTTTCAGTAGAAGAAACATTGCAGGAGAGAGGACAAAGAAATGGCAAGAGAAGGGAATGGTTATTGTGGGAACATAGCATATGAAATAGGTTAGGAGAACTTAAAACAGCTGGCTAAAAAAATGACTTCCCTTAGTAGGTAGCAAGGAAGTCTTAACATGACATTGAGCACTTGGAATCTACCTTCTTAACTACTGACAATAGGCTGGGTCAGCTAGGGTCAAAGCCACAAAAATAGCCATAGGAGACTAGAGACAGAACTTAGATAATCAAGACAACAACTTAAGAATTGAATTAAAATTTTGGTGTGTTTCTTCATAGGAAGTGATATGGCCCCATTTTTCTTAGGCTACACATGCATCAATTTGAACTCTTCCAACAATGCCAACTTTTCCAGAATGGCACCATTAAATACCTAAAAACAATCTTCTAACACTGAGGTCACCAAACATTTTTCTTGAAGGACCAGATAGAAAATATTTTAGTCATTGCTGGCCATGTGGTCTCTGTTGAAAACACCCAACTCTGCCATTGTTACGCTAAATCAACCATACATAATATGTAAATAAACAGGTCAGACAGTGTTCCAGTAAAATTTTATTTATAAAAAGAAGCTGTTGGTTGGATTTGGCCTTAAGCCATAATTTGCCCGCCCCCCACCCTTTTTTTTTTTTTTTTGAGAGAAGTCTCACTCTGCCACCAGGCTGGAGTGCAGTGGCGCAATCTTGGCTCACTGCAACCTCCAACTCCCAGGTTCAAGCGACTCTCCTGCCTCAGCCTCCCGAGTAGCTGGGCTACAGGTGCATGCCACCATGCCCAGCTAATTTTTGTATTTTTAGTTGAGATAGGGTTTCACCATGTTGGCCATGATGATTTCAATCTCTTGACCTCGTGATCCACCCGCGCTGGCCTCCCAAAGTGCTGGGATTACAGGCCTGAGCCACCACACCTGGCCTGCTAACCCCTTTTCTAAAAGAAAGCTACAGGACATATTCTCAACATTTGATTGCACTGCTGGGATAGAAATGTCATGAGATTTATGGATGCTATCTTCAGACTTCCCTCTCCCCATCATCCAACCTCACCTAGAACACTGGTGCACTGTGGACAGAATTGGCCTTCTAAAATCCAGAGCTGCTCCTGTTCCTTCAAGGAGACCAAACTTCAGAGCTTGAAAATGCTGAGCCCCCAGCTCCACCCATAGCCAATCTAGTAGTAGTCTACCTCCCAGCCCTCTCTTTCCTCTTTCACACATTTCTCCACTAAGATGCACCGAATACCTACTATGGGCCAGCCACTGTTCTAGGCACTAGGAAGACAGTCCTCATCTGTCTCTTCCCTTCCCTGCAGCCTACCTATAGTCAGAGTCACATGGAATTGCTCACGGTTCCCTAATTACTCTCTTGCTCATACAAACGTTTCTCTGCACTTTTACAAAGGCTAACCCCTCTTCCTGGAAGACCCTTTCTTCCCATTCCACAGCAGAGAAGCCACTTGCAAACAACCATGAGGACTGGTCAAATGTCATCTCCTTGAGACTCCTTCCCCAGCTATGCTGGGGAGGTCCACTCCTCTACCCCGGGCTTCAGGCCACTCCCTATCACAAGGCCTTGGCATTACAGGCAGATGTGGGAGGGAATGTCCTCACTGTTGAGTCCCAAGCACCAGCCCAGGATGCCACTCAGTAAAAGGCAGCAATCATACAAATAACAGCAAATATCTATACAGTGTTTGGTATGCCTCAGGCTGTTGGCTATGCAACTTATTTAATATGAAGAACCCCTCAAGGAGGGGATTCTACTAATACTGCTTTACAAATAAGGTGGGCTGAGGCAGAAATAACTGAAGTATCCACCCGAGATTATCTGAAAAATATTCGAAGATGCATGAATAACCAAACTGTGTGAATTCCACTGATCTTTCTTACATCTTCTGGACTCACACTGTTCCTGGAAATCTCACATCTGAAATTCTCAATAATCAACTCATGCTTTTCCTGAAATCACATGCTTGGAGCCTCCCAACTGTCTTCTCCTGTCTTATCTCCAATGACTGCTAGTTTCAGAACTTCAGCTCTAGTCAAAAGAAAATGGCCAGGTGTAATGGCTCATGCCTGTAATCCCAGCATTTTCAGAGGCCAAGGTGGGAGAATCACTTGAGCCCAAGAGTTCAGGAGTTGGAGGCTGCGGTGAGTTATGATCGCACCACTGCACTCCAGCCTGGGCAACAGAATGAGACTTTGTCTCCAAAAACAAAAACAAAAAAAAAAGAGGAAGGAAGGAAGGAAGGAAGGAAGGAAGGAAGGAAGGAAGGAAGGAAGGAAAGAAGGAAGGAAGGAAGGAAGGAAGGAAGGAAGGAAGGAAGGAAAAAAAAAAAGAAGAAAACATGTATCTGACCCTGACCTTTGGACTCCAATGTCCCTTCCACACTGAAACAGGGACTGTCTCTTTTTCGAAATCCATTCCGAACTTGCTTATTCCATAAAATCTTTGTAAAAATAACGGGCCTCCAATCATTTGGTTTACTCAATATTCACACACAAAACATTATAACCAGCCTTAAATGCTTATGAGAAAGATGCTGTTAAAATAACAAACAAGCAAATAACTTTACAGAGTTAGAATAGGACTGTGATCTTTAAGTTTCCTTAGAGTAATTGTAGAGCATTTGCATTTATAAATATTCTATTTTCTCTCCACGGATGTAAGACAGAAATATTCTTATTATGTTTTCTTATATTTCTCATTATAAATATATTTAGATATTCAGCATACGACACTGACTTGCTGAACTAGTTCACAAGCCAGTTTAACAAAAATCATGAAAGGATTCAGCAGTATAAACACTTCTAAAAGACCGAAATAATCTTGTATATCAATTTTTAAAAGAAAATCTTTTCACACAAATATTTCCCAGGAAAGTATTTGCATAAATGTGATTGGATGACTCAAAATTAAAGGAGACTTTAATGCAAATTCAAACAAATTCCAAAGAGAGAAAAATGGATAGGGTAGAGAAGACACAAATTCTAAAGCTTATCTGGAATATTAATGCATGATAATAGTTAAGAAAATTTTTACAAAGATGTAAGTTGAGAATATATACATTTTAAACAAAGTAAATTAAAGCAATGTGCGGCTGCTGCCAGATCAGGAAATATTACAGAAAGATTTATGGCGAGGCTGTCATTGAAAAAAAAATCAATGAGAAAATGATAAATTATTCAATAAATGGTAACTAAAGTTTGTTTAGCATTTAAGGGGAAAAATTTACGTTTTTGCTTCACACTTCATACTAAAATATGTTTAAATGCAAAGGTTAAAACATAAAAGCCTGAGAATAAAGTACAAGCAATTAAGTAGAGATGGCCTTTGTTAGCTATGACATTAGAGCTAGAAAAATTAGAACATATTGGGACCCAGACTACATACTCGTTTTTCAAAACATTACCCAGCTGGGCGTAGTAGCTCATGCCTGTAATCTCAGCACTTTGGGAGGCCGAGGCAGGTGGATCATTTGAGGTTAGGAGTTGAAGACCATCCTGGCCAACACGGCGAAACCCCATGTCTCTACTAAAAATACAAAAATTAACCAGGCGTGGTAGTGCACACCTGTAATCCCAGCTATTAGAGAGGCTGAGGCAGAAGAATCGCCTGAACCTGGGAGGCGAAGTTTGCAGTGAACCAAGATCTTGCCACTGCACTCCAGCCTGGGAAACAGAGCGACACTCTGTCTCTAAATAAATAAATAAATAAATAAAAATAAATGAAAACATTATCCAAACCATACAAAGTTGAACAAAAATCTTTCTTAACAAATATTTAATGAGAAGATACTCCTAATAAATGAAAAGCTCTTACATTGTAATAAGAATAAAACTAAATAGACTGGGGAAGAACATGAACCATTCCTTTATAAAAGGAATGAATTTGAAATTTGGCAATAAATATATGACAAGCTATCTGGCAAATTAAAATAAGACAAATTTTCAACTGCCAGTGAGGAAGTTCACTTTCATATATAGCTAATGGGAATGTAATCTGGTATAAACTTTCTGGAAGGCAAGTTAAAATGTACTGCAGAATATTAAAAGCATATGCCTTCTGACTTAGAAGTTTCAAGTTAAAAATTTTAACTCTATGGATAATATTGGACAAGTGTACAAAAATACATGTGCATAGATGCCTATGGTAACATTATATCTGTGAAAATTTACAAAAGCCTAGCAGGAGTTTTATTAAATTAATGAAGATATATAAAATAATGTGG
This sequence comes from Homo sapiens, assembly GCF_000001405.40. NCBI lineage: Eukaryota > Metazoa > Chordata > Mammalia > Primates > Hominidae > Homo > Homo sapiens. The sequence goes on from NC_000018.10 coordinate 55,364,339, forward strand.
TAAATTTACATTTAATGAAAAAGCATGTTTTTAAAAGTAGCTTCTGTAGCACATGACCTGTTTTTCTAAAAAGTATCTTCAAGTTTAACCATTCCCTACAATTCCTCCATCCTCAGTCAAATCATGATGTTCATCAGAATATTTCTCATTCTGGCAAATTCTGTGGTTTATATTTGTTATAAAAAATATAACCTGAGTAACTTCACAGAGTCCTCCAAGGGAACTTTAGGTAGCGGCAAAAGGCAGAATGAAGATTATCTTCATTTCAGAAATCTCTCTTGAACTTTGTTTACTGCAGGATAAAGACTAAGGTGATTATATCTGTGCATGCACACACCAGGTGAAAGCTGCCAGGGGAGTCTATCAGATATTCAAGAGCCTTCTACAGAATGTACTGAAAACAAATCTTTCAAGGTCTATGTATATGAGACAAGACCACTTGACTGATTTTTAAAAATGTATAAGCTAAGTTGATTTTCATTTTCCACATGGAGACTGTCATTATTTATAATTTACTAATGCACATTAAAAATATATAAGGGCTGGGCATGGTGGCTCATGCCTCTAATCCCAGCACTTTGGGAACTGAGGCAGGCAGATCACAAGGTCAGGAGATCGAGACCATCCTAATACGGTGAAACTCTGTCTCTACTAAAAATACAAAAAATTAACGGTGTGGTGGCATGCACCTGTAGTGCCACCTACTCAAGAGGCTGAGGGAGGAGAATTGCTTGAACTCGGGAGGTGGAGGTTGCAGTGAGCCGAGATCATGCCACTGCACTTCAGCCTAGGCAACAGTGTGAGACTCCATCTCCAAAATATATATATATATATATATATATATATATATATATGTGTGTGTGTGTGTGTGTATATATATGTGTGTGTGTGTGTGTATATATATGTGTGTGTATATATATATATATATACACACACACACACATATATATATGATGGCTGGGCTTAGCAGATGTGTAGATTCTCCTATTGCTGGGTCCCACTTTTCTGTTAAGGCTTACTTCCTTACTGCTTTTGCCCAAATTATTTCTTGTAGAAGCACTGGATAAATGCCTGCATTGCTGTCGAGTGAGAACAACTTCAGAGTGGGTCAATTCCACAAAGCAGAGTGGCAAAAGCAGTGATCATGCTGTTTTCCTCATCTGCCAAAAGTCAGCTCCCTAATGCTCTCCCCCAGCCAACAATGGACCTCAGAGCGAGCCCATCAGCCTTTCAACTGAATAGGCTTTGAGGCACAAACAGGATAAAAATCTAAAGTTTTGGCTGGGCACAGTGGCTCATGCCTATGATCCCAGCACTTTGGGAGGCCAAGGTGAGTGGACCACCTGAGGTCAGGAGTTCAAGACCAGCCTGGCCAACATAGTGAAACCCCATCTCTACTAAAAATATAAAAAAATTAATGATGCACGCCTGTTATTCCAGCTACTGAGGAGGGTGAGGCAGGAGAATCGCTTGAACTCGGAAGGCAGAGGTTGCACTGAGCTGAGATAGTGCCATTGCACTCCAGCCTGGACAACAAGAGCAAAACTCCATCCCAAAAAAAGCAAAACAAAAAACAACAACAACAAAAAAACTATTTTTGTGTGGGACGAGCTAATTCTAAAATTGTTTATAGATATAGATATAGATATAGATATAGATATAGATATAGATATAGATATAGATATAGATATATAAGACATATATAGACCATGTGGATAGGCCTTCTTTATTTTATAATTCTAAATCTTCTATGAACTGAAAGAAGGAAGACATTTATTTGAGGGGTTTAAAAACCATGAAAAGTGATTCTTGATTTATTTGTTATTTGGCTTTTGTTTTTCTTCAGAAAAGGTAGATATTTATTTATTTGTTCATTTGAAGGTTCACAATCTTTCCCTCAATTGAAAAATTCCAGAAGGTTTGAAAGCTGTACTTTGTGACAAAACCTGAACTAATGTGAGAATATCTACGTATCTATAATTTTTGTTTTTGTCTTACTAGGTGTATCTATTCATATGTTTTGCTATAGAAATAATAATCTATATATACATTGCGGCTGTTTCAGACTTCACTGGAGAGTTACACAGGACATGTTATATACACCATATTAACTTCATAAAATGCAAATGATTCTTAAATTGTGAAATACCTATGGCCCCAAGGGTTCTAAATAAGAAAATGTGGTGTTTAACAGTCCTTTTCCTACAATGTGCTTAAAGGCATGGCTTAAAAGAAAATTTACTACATCAATCATCTTTTAATTACTTTTAGAGATAATGTCAACACCTAAACCTATTTCACGAAAAAGTGTCTTTCAATTCCCTTAGAATATTTGCACCCAGCCTGCTCAATTTTGGCACATGTATTTGAGCACAGCCAGTTTGTCCAAACCTAGTAGGTCCTCTACAGGAAGACAGTGTAGCATTTTACTTTATTGTTTGCCATAGGGTCATTTTTTTCATTGCTGGTGAGCATTTTCATATGTTTGCTCCATGGTCATTTTTTGATTTACTGCAGAGCATGCTTATACACAAATTTCCATATTTCCATATACATATACATTTCCATACGTATATAAGCATGATCATAACTATTAACAATTTTGGTTGTTCTGATTTGAAAATCACTTACCTGGACATTTAATTTTAAGTGTTATTTGAAGAAAGTTCTATATACCCAAAATAATTTATGGTTCAATCACCCAGGTTTTACTCACATGGTAGAGATGAAAGTCATCTCCCTTAGGACCCAAGGTGATCTTTGCTCTGTAATACGTGTTGCACATTCAAAGCCAAATTCCTCTAAAATTTTTCAGCACACAGCTCTAAAATTGTCAGGGCAATCTGGTGTAGACCAGCTGTGTACATGTGCTCATGGGTGTGATTAATTATGTGTGCTTATGTGTATGCGAGTGTGTGTATGTGTAATATAGATATAAAAACAATTGATATTAATTAGCTTATTTGCATACTTTCTCCATCCCAACACACACAAACCTATCTGCCATCCTCCCTCCTTCTGCAAACATACAGTACAAGTCTTGGAAATTCTATTCCTTTGCCTGAATGGCCAATACTGGCTAAAGGGGTTGAGGAAATTATAATGTATCAAGAACATTTTCATAGTTCAACCAAGTTGCAGGATTCTGCTGTTTGGTGGCCCCTTCACCAATGCAATGTAGGAGTGCCTATGATGTCTTTAGAGGACATGTACAACCTATAAGGTAATTTCTTCCATAAACATTCTTGTCACATTTCAGCAACTATTCTAAGCACTGAAGATAACTGACAAATCAACGTCCTCCTCATTTATGAATGTGCAGGAAAACATGAACCAGGAAATATATTAGAAGAGTAGGATTTAAACAGTTGCCTCTTCTAGTGAAATGAGTGAAGTTTGCAAGGCACCCTCTATATTCAAACAGAAGAAAGAATGTAAAATACCCCACAAAAGCTGTAAAAATGTGCAAAAATGAATGATTAATAGATAGTTAAACTCTAGATAAGATTTAGTAGGGAGAAGAAGCTTCATTAAACCAATTTACTTATGGCTATTTTGCAACCTCCAATGAAATAATCATCAATAGATCCTAAAACAAACAGGTGAAAGACAATGTAAAACTCTGTATTAGGGAGATCTGGTGGGCAGCACATGAACTCACTGAACAATCTAAGCATCTTGAGAAATGAATGGCCACATACTACTTCTTGAATGAAGCAAATAACATATCCAAGATTACCCATGAAAAAACCTCATAGTGTTTTCAGCCGGGCGCGGTGGCTCATGCCTGTAATCCCAGCACTGTGGGAGGCCAAGGCGGGTGGGTCACCTGAGGTCAGGAATTCGAGACCAGCCTGGCCAACATGGAGAAACCCCGACTCTACTAAAAATACAAAAATTAGCATGGTGGCACGTGCCTGTAATCCCAGCTACTTGGGAGGCTGAGACAGGAGAATCACTTGAACCCAGGAGGCGGAGGTTGCAGTGAGCTGAGATTGCGCCACTGCACTCCAGCCTGGGTGACAGAGGGAGGCTCTGTCTCCAAAAACAAAACAAACAACAACAATAACAAAAAGTCATGAGAGTTATAGATGTTATGTTAGTCTCATTCTCCCCATTAACCCAGCCTCACCTAGACATTCATACACTGCAAACAAACTTGGTCTTCTTAAAAAAAACAAAAAAACAAAAAACACAGTGTTTTAAGAAAGTTTTCAAATTTGTGTTGGGCCGCATGTGTCCTGTGGGCCATGGGTTAGACAAGCTTGCCCTAAATGCAAGTATCAGCTTACAGGAAGTATGGAGAACAGATGAACATGGTGTATGACACCACAAAGAAGCAATAAGCCAAATCCATAATGTGGGCTTTCTACAGGAAAATGGACCCAGTTTAAATATTTAAAAAGAGGGAGACTGGCCATGTTGTAGATTTTAAGAAGACTTCAAAGTCATGATAATCAAATGCAACGTGTGAACCTGGTTTGGATTCTGATTCAAACATGCCAGCTGTAAAAAGGCATTTGTGAGACAACTGAGGAACGTCAGTTCTTAATGCTATTAAGAATTCCTAATAGTCTTGCTAGCTGTGATATGGCACCATGGCTATGTAAAACAAAGGAGGGGGCTTATTTGTTAGAGATGCTTCTGAAATATTTATAGGTGAAATAATATGCTGTCAAGGCTTTGCCTTAAAATATTTCAGGAACATAAAGTGAAGGGGATACTATATAACAAAAGACTGGGAAAATGGTGACGTCTGTTGAAACTGGATAATGAATACATAGTAGCGCATCTTATAATACTCTATTTTTGTGTGTATTGAAACCTTCCCTAATGAATAAGTACAAAAAGTTTGACATGTCAATAACATAAATCCTACATGTTTTGAAACTTAAGGAAAGAGATTAAGACTCAAACTGTCTTCTCAACACCAGCAGTGGGGTTAAAAATCTACTGATTCCTTTAAGATTTACATTTTGTCTCTTTCTCAGTGTAACAGAATTTTTTAAACTGCCATAGAGACACACTCCTTGGAGACACCAGACTGAAGGTCAAGCAGATGGTCAGAGAAAGAACCAGAAGTCCCACTTGATTTGAGGACAAGGCTACAAATGTGTCCCTTTGGCCCCTGTGCCACAATGCCAGTTTCCTTTTCAAGTTAGAGGCGAAAGTGGCTGAGGTCCATGAAAGAGGATCAGGTAGCACATGACAGTCCTTGCAAGGAAATACACATTCCCCACAAGCACATCAAGATAACCAACTTCATACACTCTCCCTGTGAATTCATGCTGCCCTCACACCTGCACAGGTGCTCATCAGGAAATTTTAAAATATTTAAATATTCTAATTTTGGCATTAAGACAAAAAAAGTTGTTGGGGGGCGCAGATATCAGCAGCTGTATTTTTTAAGCTGACATAAATAAAAATGTATTCATTAAATGTTTATAAACGTCAAAATTCAGTAGCTTACTAAACCGGGTTCTTTAGCTACTGCTGAAATATCAGCTTGTCAATCTGCAGAAAGGAGCTGGGCATTTTTAGCTTTCAATTAAAAAGTGAACATCAGAGTTTTATTTGTGTGTGTGTGTGTGTGTGTGTTTGAAAATGCATTCTGCAATAGATCAAAGGGAAGCTGCCACTGCCTCCAACACTAGTCTCAGGTACCAGCCTGGCCATCCCATCGTGGAGGGCAGGCCTTCATAGCTGGAAGGCTGCAATAGCTTTACCCACAACCAGCACAGTCTGACCCCAATCTCAATATTACGTTAAAAAGAGAAGGCCGGGCGCAATGGCTCATGCCTGTAATCCCGGCACTTTGCGGGGCTGAGGCAGGAGGATCGCTTGAGCCCAGGAGTTTGAAAGCAGCCTAAGCAGCACAGCAAGACTCAGTCTCTACAGAAAATAAAATAGAAAAAAAATTAGCCAGGTATGGTGGTGCACACCTGTGGTCCCAGCTACTTAGGAGGCTGAGGTGAGAGGATCACTTGAGTCTGGGAGGTCAAGGGGACGGTAAGCTCTGATTGCACCACTGCTCCAGCCTGGGCTCAGTACATAGGTAGGTAGGTAGGTATGTAGATAGATAGACAGATGATAGATAGATAGATAGATAGATAGATAGATAGATAGATAGATAGATAGACAGACATATAGACAGATAGATGTAACATAGAAACACTCAATTGACTGAACAAAACTACAAAGAGCTTAAGTGAGCACCTTAGCCAGTCCTCCTAATTCAAAATGGGCCGCTCACCATGGCGATGTTTTTCTCAGAACAAGAACTTTAGGATGCTCAGACTGTACATATAGTGCAAATGACAACTCTCCCCCCCAAAATTAGAGTGCAGTGATCTAATGAGGCCTCAAAGCATGAAAAAAAGGATGAAAGCATCTCCTTAGATAGGAATAAAATCAATTTGCACAAAAAAGAGACCAACTAAAAAGGTGTGGGGGTGAGGCCACGAAAATATTAACTAAGAGCCAGTTAGTAAGTAGGGAAATAATGAACAGAGAACAGGAGAGGGAGAAGGAAGTGAAGTAGGTATGAGTTAAACTGTAAAATGTGTTTCCTTTACAAAGTTTTTGAGAATGTTTTATACTATGCTATATACTTGTGTGGGGGGAAATGTTATTTTTCTTATAACTTTTGCATTGAATTGAGACATTTCAAGTGACCTGCCCTGATTCAAACCTGAATGTCTAATATAATTCCAAATGAACATGTCATGTAGAAAGGCTGTATCAAAGCTTAGACATATATGGTGTGACTAGCTATTTTGGTATTATTGAGGTCTCTGGAGGTATTTTTATTCCTCCTCCACTTTGGCCACTGTATGCTTCTTAATACCTCCTCCAGGAGGCAGCCAGTTATACCTCTTCATTAGTTTGTGATACTTGGTCTTGGTAGAAACATGATCAGAGGGCAGGAAAGAGTTTGAAAAAAGAGGCTAAAATAATCTGGATGAGGGGGCCATAGGGCCAGTAGGAGTCTTGCCTGTCGGGAGTCAGAGGAACCTGGGATCCAAGCCTCCTTAGACAAGACACTTAACTCCCCACAGCCTTGGCCCCTTCATTTGTGGACAGGAGACATTCACTGTACCTACTCAAAGAGATGCTTGGAGAAATAAAGAAATCATGCCTGTGGAGACTATCACATATGTTAGTACAAAAGGAGTGCTTCGGTGAGAGCCAAGGAAGCTTTGTTTGTTCATTCACTTATTTTTTTTTAAGTGCCAACCAGGGACCAGGAACTTTACTAGATACCAAGAGCACAGCAGTCAACTCATGCCTACATTTACAGCATGGATTTTAATCAATGACAACACTTCCGCTGGGAAACACTCCTCAACACTTCCACTGGGAAGTCTGACATAGAGACGCCTCTCCCCAGGTTCCTCTGCACCTAGCACGTGTCTCAAACATGCATGGAACTGAAATCCACCCTATGCTGAAATTATTGTCACAAGTCTCTATTGTTACCCACTTGCTTCCACTCTCAGCTGTGAGGTCCTGGAAGCTGGGGTTTTGTGTCTCTGGCACTGAGGGCTGCTTATACATAGCAGATGATGCAAATTTAGCCAATGGATTAATGGAGAAATAAATGAAAGAATAAATAAATAAAATGACTTATAACCTCTCAGTTTTCTAATTTATAAAAGGAGAATAATAGCATCTCCTTCCTTATAAGGTACTGTATTTGAAAGCATTTAGAATGTGTAAAGTTCCATATAAAGGGGTTGGCTTGGGATGGTAGATTAAACATAAGCTTCTACTTTTCCTCTAACCTCATATGTCATAAATGATACTGGGTGTGTGTGTATGTGTGTGTGTGAATTTAGAAGAGATATACATGCCAAATAGTGCCAGAAAATAAGGAAGAGTAGCTTCGGTGGAATAACAATTTTGAATTATTCTTAAAGATAAAAGTAGATGGATTTGCTCTACAGAGGAAAAATAAATAAATCACAAGCCAAAAAGCAGCAGCCAATCAAGAAGACTGCAAAGAAACAGCTAAATCTAGGATGCTCCAATCCCAGGGTCAATACATACATGGAGCTGGAGTGGAGTGTGATGCAATAATCGGGTGATTAATTGGGGTGCTACATTTAGAGCTGCAAGGCAAGCCAGAACAAAAATGTGACAGAAAAAGGGGATACAAGACTTTAAAACTCAAATTTTATATGTAGCCAAACTTGCCTTCAAAAAGGTGAGCTAACTACAGGCAATTTAGAAAATGCAAAGACTCTGAAAATTTATACCCCCACACTTCTGAAAAAAATTACATAAGGATATATAACTGTATAATGACAAATCAACCCAAAAAAACCCAGAACAACATGGTCCACAAAAATTAGCAAGATGGGGCAAGGAAACGCTAGTAGACTCTATGTGACTGTTGATGCAATTTAAAACGTCAAAAAGGAAACATATCAACCTCAACATGAGAGGTAAAGGGGAGGAACAAAGGGAGAAACTCAGTAATTAAAAATGTGCTAACACTCTCCGTCATCTTTTTTAGGAAAGATACAGACACCAAACAGATTTAGACTTTAATAGAGATATATAATTTGAAATATGTGAGTTAGAAAGGCAAGAATAACTTTCACAAGAAATAAGATGTATAATTCCTGCACCATTAGAAAAAAAAAGACCTTTTTTTAAGCAGCAAAAAATATAAAACAAAGGAAATGTGATCAAGCCAAGGAAAAAAAGAAAATTAAACTATGTTTATTTGGATATTATATTCCTCAACTAAGTTACAGTGGCTGTCACATTAGGCTAGAAAAATGTAAAGCTAAATGCTGTGTATAACAAACCATCAAAAATAAAACACAGAGACTATGAAAAATAAAAATATATAAAAAATATGTAATATAAAATCTACAAAAATAAAGCATGTAGAGAACATTACTATACATTGAAAGCCAATCTAAGGCAAAAATGTAAAAAAAGAAAAAAGTTGGATATTTCATACTGATGAAACCTATAGTCCACCAAAAATATAAAATATTCCTGAACTTCTAATCATTTATGATACAGCTTTGAGATATATTTTTTAAAATATAAATACCCTGAGCGGTTGGTAAATCCATAATCAAAGTAGAAGACTAGAACAAATATCTCTCAGAAATTTAAATCAATTAGAAGGACAATAAGTAATAAAAGGTTTAATATATTAAAATAGGGAAAATAGGCCGGGTGCAGTGGCTCACGCCTGTAATCCCAGCAGTTTGGGAGGCTGAGGTGGGAAGATCAGTTGAGGTCAGGAATTCAAGACCAGGCTGGCCAAAATGATGAAACTCCATCTCTACTAAAAAAAACAAAATGTAGCCAGGTTGGTGGCACATGCTTGTGATCCCAGCTACTTGGGAGGCTGAGGTGGGAAGATTGCTTGAAACCGGGAGCCGGAGGTTGCACTGAGCTGAGATCGTGCCACTACACTCCAACCTGAGTGACAGAGTGAGACTCCATCTCAAAAATAATAATAATAATAATAAAATAGGGAAATAGTATTCATTATTTTCAAATGCATATGAAATGCTTAAAAAAAACTAAGCATTTTTAAAAATCCTACTAGATTACCCCCAAAGTAGGAAATATCCATGCCATTTCCCCACTCAGAATGCAATAAAATTAAATAGTAAAAACAAAACAGTAGCACTGCCAACATGAAAAACATTTTATTAAAGTGGGACTGTGAAAACAGTGTTTTAAGTAACTCTTGAACTACACAAGAATGCAAAATAACATTTAAAACAATACACAAATAAATGATAGTGATAGCTGTATATAAGAAAATCTAAGGGATGCAGCCAAAGCTGTAACCAATGAAAAATAATGGCCTTAAATTGCAAGATGTAAAAATAAAAATTAAATGAACAAAACATACAATATAAAAAGCTAGAAAAAGTGCAACATATTTAAATATGATGAATTAATAAAATTTAAAATTTACTAAATTTAGATAAAACAAAATGTAGATTATCAATGAAACCAAAAGAAGGTACTTGAAAAAAAAAACCAAAGAAAACACACAAACCTCTGGCAAGTGTAAGGAAAAACAAGAAGAGAGAAAACAGAAATCAACATAATTACAAAATATATTTGCTAAATAGATAAGGAGTTTTTTAAAACAAGAGAAAGTATGTATAATTTTATGTAGCAAATTTTAAAGTCTGGAAAATGGATGTTTTCTAGGATAACAAAAACTATCACAATTGAAACACAAAGAAACAGAAATGGAAAAATTAGTAAAAAATCCAGTTCTGAAGTACTAGTCTTGCCAGGCGCGGTGGCTCACATTTGTAATCCCAGCAGTTTGGGAGGCTAAGGCAGGCAGATGGCTAAGTCCAGGAGTTCAAGACCAGCATGAGCAACATGGCGAAACTCCGCCTCCACAAAAAAATACAAAAATTAGTGGGATTGGTGGCATGTGCCTATAGTCTCAGCTACTCAGGTGGTAGAGACTGCAGTGAGCCATGATCACACCACTGCACTCCATTCCAGTTTTGAGGATAGAGTGAGGCCCTGTCTAAAAAAAAAAAAAAAAAAAAAAAAGTCCCATGCAATTTCCCCCAAATATCAAAAATTCCCCTCTTATATAAGCTATTTCAGGACATAGAAAGAAGAAAGAAAATTTCCCAATGCATTCAACAGGAGCACATAAAGCCAAGATGTCAACTAGGCAAAGCAGCACACAAAAAAGAAAATGACAGGCTCCTCTCAAGGTAGAACCTTGAAACAAACAACATCCCTAGATAAGACGGGATACAAGGAATTTAGCCACCAAATTTCTGAGATAAACCCTGTTTCCATTTTATATTAAACCCTGCTTGGCCATTTCATGAAAATTTTAAATAAAATATATAAATATAAAAATTTAAATAAAATAAAATTCCACATAAAACAACAAAATAGACTTTTACTTCAGGAATTTTGAGAGGATGATTTAAAGTTTATACACACACATGCACACAAGCATACACATATATTTCTACTATATACATATATCTCTTTAGTTTGAACACACACATTCATTTTAAGAAGTGGTGGATCATAAGAAAGTTTTCTTAATCTACTAGATGCCTACAGAAAACTTATTTAATAATGAAACACTAGAAGATTCTTTGCTCAAGTCAACAAAATGCGAAGCTGACCTGTATTCCACTATTCTCTTAACACTCTCCTGTAAGTCTTTGCCAATGTACTAGCACAAGGAAAATATAACAGAAAGACACTTTAAGAGACAACACTCCCAATATTTGCCAATGATTTTCTTCCTAAAAAATCTTAAACAACTAAAAAAAACTACCAGAGGCTAGTAAGAAAGTTCTGGAGTTACGGGTTATAAGATTAACAGACAATAAAAAAGACAACTTTCCTATACCTCAGCTAACCAATGAAAAAATCATAATGGAACAAAAATACAGTTTAGGAAAAAAACACAAAGAATAAAATTAACAAAAACATTTAAAAGTATGAAACTTGACTGAAGCCACAAAAGAAAATTTTTACAAATAGGGAGTAGGAGAGAGGGAAATTCTCCTAAGTAGAAAGGTTCTATGTTATAACTAAGGCAATGATCTCCAGATTAAGTCCTTTTATATTTTACTCAACATTCTCAAGTGTCTGATATTTTAAGAAAGTATCCATGTATTATTTTTATTATATTTTCTTCTCCTTTTTTTTTTTTTTTTTTTTTTAGACAGGGTTTCACTCTGTCACTCAGTCTTGAATGCAGCGGCGGGATCTCAGCTCACTGCAACCTCCACCCCCAGGGCTCAAGGGATCCTCCCACTTCAGCCTCCTGAGTAGCTCAGACCACAGGCATGCATCACCACACCAGGGTTTTGTCTTTTTCTATTTTTATTAGAGACAGGGTCTCACCATGTTGCCCAGGCTGGTCTTGAACTCTTGGGCTGAAGAGATCTGCCTGCCTCGGCCTCCTAAAGTGCTGGGATTACAGGTGTAAGCCACCGTGCCCGGACAATAATATTTCTTAGAACATGAAAATAAGGAAAAGAAAATACTATGCAGTTTTATCACAGTGCATTTTGAGGCCTGCAAGAAGGGGTGGCTCATTGGGCCACTGGGGAGTGCCTGAAACTAGGCTAAAATGTTAGTTAACTCAGAATCAGGTCTAGAATCCAGAGTCTGACCTCCAACCCAATTCTTCTTTTCATAACATGACTTCAAGTCACTTCTTTGTTTCCTGCTCAAACCTAAGTATGCAAAGAGGAGGTGCCATTTCTCAACTATCACAAACTCACAACTGGGGCTTTCCAAATGACTCTTCATAGTTTCAGTTCTCTTCCACTTGCATATATCACATCCGACTTTTCCAGACTTCACACTGGCATGCCAATGTCCCACATTCTTATTGCACAGTCCGGTTAACCTGTGTGGACACCTATTTGATGGCTGTAGGAAAACTCTTCCCAAGAACCTCAATATGTTCCTGCTGTTTAACCTGAAGCACAGCATATAGTTTCTGCCACCAAAATAATTAATCAAGCCTTTTTTACAGATGGTAGAGAAACCATTCCTTCAAAACATCATTTAAGGGCTTAGCTTTCCTGTGAAAATTTCAGCAGGAACTTGCTATCTCCACCCTCTCATTAACGTGGCCAGTAGGAAAGGCACAGCACACTTGAATAATGGCTGAGGCACTAAATGGTGGGTGTCATTACACTGTAAACCAGGGCCCCACACTTTCAGAGCCATTGCCTACCTACCAGTTCTTCCCAGAGCCCATCTTCTTGTCTATATTTTCCAACTAAGTGACTCTCCATCAACATGTTATGACTGAGTCAAAGCGTCTGATTCACTTGATGAGCTTGATGAGGTAAAATGTAGATAAAGATGCCCAATGGAAAGCAAAAGGTTTAAGAACCTTCTCTGGTGGGATGGCTTGAGCCCAGGAGTTCAAGACCAGCCTGGGCAACACAGCTGGCAACTCATTTCAATTTACTACCATCACCCCCACCAGTCTACATCTCCCTTTACCTTATAATAAATATGACAGGTACAAAACAAGCCACTCTTGGAGATAATTTCTAAGAGCTTCCTCTACCTAATGGACACGTTTTTCTTGGAATATGGAATCAAATGATTCATTTTATCCTGTTATTATCAGGAAAAATATAGACCCAGACTCAAGCACAAGTGGGAAGAAATGTTATTTTAAGTAGTTGTACTTACGTTTAACTGATACAAATAGCCACTTGGCCTACCCCAGAAAGTTTTCAAAAAGCTTAATGAAGCACCATAGCCTTTATGCAGATTAACCTGGCTATTTCAAAAAGGACTTTAAACCCCATCATGTTACCACTGTCCAGGGACCCAGTGATGGGTCTGCCACATCTATCATCCTTTTAAAGAGAAAACTTCATTTTACTTGTGGCATTGAACATCTACAAAAATAATCCAATAAATGCTGTTACCATTTGAAATCAAAGGCAATTCTATACTGTGTTGAACTTGTATTACTTTGTGAAACAAGACACATTGCCAGAGAGTGAATCTTTGCCACCATTAACTACTTTGTAGCTCTAGAAAAGTTACTTTATTTCTTCCATTCACGCTATAGAATAAAAAGACAATGTAACATTTTATTAATGTTACTGTGCCATTTTGTAACTTTTTATTAATGTTACTGTGTTATTTCCTTTTAATAAGTTAAAAGAAATACGTGGTTTTAATACCTTGTTTTCTTTTAATATAAAATTAGGCTTTGAAAACTTAAAAAAAATAGAAAGGCTACCTTCTCTTCTCAGCAGGAAATTGCAAAGACTAATGTCACTAAAGTTATGAGTTGGACCAAAATGAAAAGTTTCCCTAAGAATACTTGACCCACAGATTGAGAAACAACGACCTCTTCAAAGATACTGCCCACTCTTGTGCACCCAAAGTTGAAGATATGGTATAGCTTGGCTAATAACCATCAGTTTAAAAATAATATTAGACAACATTTACTGAGCACAGTCTGTAATTTAACACACTCTTATAAGTGTCTTACATACATTAAATTATTTAATCCTCACAAAATCATATGAAATATGTGCTAATGTTAATGAAGAAGGTGCTCACATTATTTAAGACACTCTTCTAAGTGTCTTACATACATTAAATTATTCAATCCTTACAAACCCTATGAAGAAGGTGCTGATATTAATGTCAATTAATAGATGAGGAGACTTAGGTATAGCAAGTTTAAATACCTGCCCCAGGCTAGCCATGTGACTAGTGCAGCTAAGAAGTCTGATTGAAAGGCTACATCCTTCTCCCCTACCCAAGGCATCCATTTAGTGTGACTTTGGTCTCCATATAGTGGGACAGAGCAACCGAATTATGGATTATCTAACATAAAGTCAGACCTTTTCTCTTCTCTTACACATGGTACACAGAAAACTATACTACTTATTATCAGCTCTAGAAAAAAGCCAAAACAGTTTTGACCCGGAAGATTTAAAACTAATCTTTGCTTTCCACACTTGGACGCACTAGCAAGAACAGGTTAATGCAAAGAAGAAAGTGTTCAAAGAGAAGACGTAGGGAACTTGGTCTTTTCAATAGAGGCTAGTTTGAGAACCACAAAAGTTGTTTGAACAAAGGTGTCAAATAAGATGTCTCTTACAAAACTAGCCTAGCACTAAAATCATCTCAACATTCTATTTACTAAAGATGTCACACTCTCAGTTATGTGACATTTTCTGACATATTTCACTTCTATTCATTAGATGACCTCCCTGTTTCAAAGAACATATTTAATCTAATTGTGATTAAGTATACCAGTAGCAGTTATTTATATTGAATTATAAATGTAGAAAAGTGTGAAGAACTTATTTCTTTTCTTTAAAAGGTAGCATCTTAGCAGGGGTCGGGTAGGTGGAGGGTGCGAAAGGAAGGCTGAAAAAGAAGCAAAACATCTAAATCCACATAATACAGAACACAGAGTAGTTTATTAACTCAACAAGCCCATTGAGCAGGTTGTACATTGGACAATGTGCCTGCACAGATGAATAAGAAATAGTCCACTGAAGCCTCTGAAGTGTAGGGGAGGAGCTGAAATCTCAGGCAAGAATTACATCTCAGGGTAGCAGAGATGCAGCAGCTCCAGGAGCCCTGGGAAGGGAGTGTGTCCCTGGGAAGCAGAGGAAGCCTCCACATCAGAAAGCCTGATTGAGAAAAGTCAGGGGATTCACCAGGAAGAAGAGGAGGGAGGAAGGGGACCAGCCTCCAAGTGCATAGCCATTCCCCAGGAACAACGAACATTTCAGTTTTTGGGGTTTTTTTTGGTGGAATAGTTAATTCAGTTAATTTACTCGGCTTGATGATCATTTTCAATGCTCTCATTCCAGAATGCTAAAACACAGGACTTAAAATACATAATTAATGATGTCTAAGTCAATTTAGCTGCTATAACAAAATACGAAAGACTGGGTAGCCTAAACAACAAGCATTTACTTCTAACAGTTCCGGAGGCTAGAATTCTAAGATCAGGACCAGAATGGCTGGATTCCAGACAAGATCCTCTTTCTGGAGGGGTTGGGGAGAGAGAGGGTCTCAGTCTATTGCCCAGGCTGGAGTGCAGTGGCATGATCATGGCTCACTGCAGCCTCGACTTTCCGGGCTCAGCTGATCCTCTCACCTTAACCTCCTGGGTCACTAGGACTACAGAGGTATGTGTCACCACATCTGGCTAATTTTGTTTTCTTTTTTTCAGTAGAGACAGGGTTTCATCGTGTTGCTCAGGCTGGTCTCGAAACTCCTGGGCTCAACTGATCCTCCTACCTCAACCTCCCAAAGTGCTTGGATTACAGGTGTGAGCCACCACGAGGGTCCTCTTTCTGATTTACAGATGACCATCTTCTCGTGGTATCCTCACATGGAGAAGAGAGAAGGCTGGCTAGCTCTCTTCCTTTACTTTTCTTTTTTTTTTTAAATTATACTTTAAAGTTCTGGGATACATGTGCAGAATGTGCAGGTTTGTTACATGGGTATACACGTGCCATGGTGTTTTGCTGCACCCATCAACCCGTCATCTACATCCGGTATTTCTCCTAATGCTAACCCTCCCCTCGTCCCCCACCGCTGACAGGCCCCAGTGTGTCTTCCTCTTCTTATAAGGACATTAATTCCTTCATCGGAGGTCCACCCTCATCACCCAATCATCTCCCAAAGGCTTCACCTCCTAACACCATCCCACTGGGGATTAAGGTTTCAACATATGAATTTGGGGAGTGGGGATAGGACACAAACAAGCAGCCCAAAACGATAAATAAAAGAGTAACGGAAATGTCAGGTATGTAATAAATGTCAGTTCCGTATCCTGCAGTGCTATGCTCATGCCCCACTGTGAGCAGGGATGCTCATTCGCATGGTGAAAACACTCCCACTGTGGTCAATCTCAAGCTACCAATGGTTTAACAAACAGCCCACGCAATGCCTAAATATTTAAACTATTAACATCTATCCTTCATACCACAGATTGTGAGTCAGTTTTAGGTCTTAAAAACTAAATTGCTTCAGGAGCTGGTAGGAAAGTAGCGTTTCAGAGCTATTCATTTGAATATTAACCCGTTTCCTGTGTGATCTAGAGGATACTTTCCAATCATCTTGCCCTCATTTATCAATTTTAAAATTAAGTTAGCATTATGTTATTCTTGACATCTTTTCTAATTAGGGTCTAACACAAAATATATCTCGATTTTTTTAAATCACATGTTAATTAACTAAAAAATAATAATTAAGATTCAACTCTCTTCTCACCCCATCAGTTTCAAAGTAAAGAATAGCACGAAATGTCTTGGGAAATCATTATTAAATCTAAAAATGTTATTTACAACAGCATTTAATAATAAGTGAATATGTATTAAATTTACATTCTTACTGCATTCACATTAACGAGCTTAAAGATTTCACCATTTTGTTGTTGTTGCTGTTTTCTAAGAAAAAGCTAAATCCAGATTCATATTTCAAAGGTGAAAACACCCAGGTTTGGAGAACTATCACAACCAGGCCAAGGTCTCAGTAAGCCACTGTAACATTAGCTGCACTGACAGCTTTTAAGCTAAGCTTGCTAACTAAGTACAGGCCTATGCTGCAATAGCTGAGCCTGCTGCTTTGGCATTCTCAACAACCACAGAGTTCACTAAATATGACCAAATGGTGCTACTGCAGCATAAAGTGTGGCATATATTAAACCACATGTGACAAGTTGGGCTTCTGTGCCTTGTGAAATCACCTATGAATTTAAGTGTAGTAGGCAGAAGACAAGTGTAGCATTCAGAAATACAAAGCAAAGGGAAACCAGCTATGTGCACTTACAGAAATTCAAGTTTCTCCCTCAGAAATATCAACAAAAGATGTGTAGAGTATCGGTTTTATACTCAATCCCGCTTTCATTACATTGCATGGAATTTAGCAGCAAGAATGGGAGCGTCAGGCTACCCAGGTTCTATCTAGTTCCTAGCTGAACTCTGAACAAGCAACTTATGTCTTCTTTTTACTCATTTGTGAAATAAGGAGCTGGATTTGATGATCTTTAAGGTATCAACAAACTCTAGAAGGGTTTTTTTTTTTTTTTAAAAAAGGAAATTCTAAGTGATTTACTAAAAACTTTGACTAGTACTGGACTAGGTGAGAATACTTCTGGCTTAGAAAATGGCAAAGTCCCTTGACCTTCCTTGAAAAAGATATCTGACATTTTGGATACAATAAAACAAAAATAATTCTATAGAGAAAAATTTGATAAAAGCTCAGGAGTGGAAGTTACTGAACTAGAATATTCCTTCTATATTGGGATATATATTTGCATGCATTTCTCTCCTTCCTCAGTGGGCATTAAGTGTGGAGTTCTGGGAGGGTGAGCTCCATGCATGAATTGTCTTCCTAAAGCAATTTGAATCTTTCAAAGTGATTAAAAAGGACATCACAGCTTTAGTCAGCATTGAAACAAAGAAGTCACTTAGTCACGTAGCCTTTCTCAGTTAAAAAAAAAAAAATCTTGCTTCCTCCCCTCAGAATTGTATTTCATCACCTATAAGATGCCACTGAATGTCAAAAACATCATTATCTATTTCCTACCAAGAGAGGAAAAAAGTTGCCAATTGAATTGGCATACCATAAATTTCTGAGATGTTGAAATGTGAAAAAAAAGTCTTAGAATTAATTAAATATGGAAGCCTATGACTTTATCCATAGTTTTCCCAGAATGTTACCCAAAACCATCTTCCAAGGGGAATCATAAGCACGCAGGTGAGTCATGTGTTTCACCTGACCCAATCCTCTCACTATCCTGATCACCTTGTTTTAATACTAAAAAAAAGGAAGTCATTTATCATCTAATAATAAACATAAATAAGAAAAAAAGAGTTAACAGAAATTAAATGTGTACTTCTCAAATGCTTTCTGTATTTATTATTCCCTTCAAGTACAAAGAATTTCTGTCTTGTATGTGCTATTTTGGGAGTATGTTAAATATTTGTGATATGGCTAAAGGCTACCAGGGCATAGTCTCCTTCCTCATTACCTATTCTGATAGTTACAAAACCCTGAAGCTAGAAGGAATCTCATACACTATATAGGCCAAGCCTTCATTCTGCAGAGGCAGAACAGAGCTTTAAGAAACAGCTACTTAGGATTTGAGTTAGGACAAGAACTCAGTTATCTGACCTAGTCTAGGAGGTCAGAACATTCTGCTGAATTCATCTATTATAATCTGTGAGCAACAACTTGGAAAAGGAGTTGCCTGAAATTTCTCTATCTACTTGCCTGAAATTTCTCCAACCAGTTTAATGACGCTACCTTTCGCCAATACTATTCCTCAAATAAGCCCACATCTGTAAAACACTAGAGTATAAACAGTCTGAAACAAATTACTCAAGGCTTCTCAGATCTTCTTTTTCACCCAGGTTCAATGATGAAGGCTTGCTAAGTTGCAAATCATCAGAGGGGAGAACAATGCAAAGCAAAGAAAGAGTAAAAGCAATTTATCCAATACCCACACACTGTCCCTTTCTAAATCAAATGTTCAAATAAATGCAAAGATGTATTTTCCTCCTGATAAACCTAGGATACCACTAAATCACTTCCAAATATAGCAAGCACCCCCATCCTGCAAGCACAGGTGACTCGACCCACACAAAGCCAGCTTGTCTGCATATTGTACCAATCCCAGTAGATGCTCAAATAGAGCTTCATTTGAAGACACTACGACAAGGCAAATAATTAAACATTCAAATTCCCAAGCTGATATCTGTATAATAAACAATCTACCCATCACAAAGTCCACCTTGATATCTCTGGCTTACAGGAAATGTCCCAAAGAGGCAGTCCACGTTACTACGGGGTTGGCCATACATTCCATGCTACTGCATAAGAGATTCTGGAATCTTACGCTAAAAGGGCAGTGTCAGGCCTGGCGGTAAAAGAAAAAGAGTAACCCTCATCCAAACTACACACATCCAAAGCACTACTGTCATTACACAAGCCAAATCAGACATGAATGATGTGACCCAGCATTCAGGCTTCAGTGTAACCCCACCATGAAACACTGGGTCTACCTTGAAAATGAACTTCTCATCCTCTTCCAAGTGCTCAGATGAACTGAAACCCCACGAACAATCACTACCAAGAAATAGCACTTCCTACTGGCCTGACTCTTCTGACAGAGAATCTCATGTCTTCCTCTACTAAGAAAGACTCACAGTCACCTTAAAAAGTGACTTTTTGGTCATTACACCTCAGCCCAAGATGGTCAACGGGTTAATATTCTTTTCTGATCTCTTCAATTATGCTGCCTAGAAGTCTGAGGGTTGGCAGGCAGGGCAACCTTGTCAGAGCTGCAGAGAGCTCTGCAGATGTCTCTGTTGTGTTCACTCAAACTGAAAAGGAGAAAAGATGGCCCTCTGACAACAGACAGCTGTCAATTAGATGGCACGCTCACACTCAGTAGGCCAATGAGCGGCAGTGGAGGTGACAAGTGCTTGGCTAATCAGTGTGCCTATAAAAAATCACAGCCCTTCCCTGCGCCACTCACACCAGCACATGAGGTGACAGCATGTGTCGTCTTCAACTGCTCCTGTTCTCCCTACCCCCAGTGTCATCAGTACTGTGAGAAGGCTCAGGTCAATGCAATATGCCTAGAAACAAAAATCAGACCAACAAAAACTGGCATAGGGAAAGAAATCCCTGCAGCAAAATCACCCAAAAAGGGAAATACATTGATACACTAACCTATTCAGAGCTGGTTCACATTGATACTGAAAGAAGACAACCCATTAGATGCTGTTAACAAAAATACTATCAGAAAAGAAGAGCCAAAAGAAGAGCCAAAGTTATCCATCCACCTGACCTTTTTCCCATCCTCCATCTTGTCTTTTTCTCCTCTAGCCACCAGGGGGCACTTTGGGGCTAGCTCCTTGAGGACACTGGAGATTCTGAGCTTTCACAAGTACCTCAATATTGGCGGTGGGGTCAGTGGATGGGGATGGAATGAATCAGAAAGTAGAGCTAAAGGAGAAACCTAGGGATTCTGTAGAGCAGAAAGGTGAGTTCCCAAAATCTTCAGCTCAAATATACCCCTCTAATCTAATCACTAAATGCTGAATTCACTAAGAAACTACCCGAGCCCGACAGATTTTTACTCACTAATGACAAAAAACAACCTCTCTTTCCTCTTTCTCCCTCCCCCTTACCCCCTTTCTCTCTTCCTCTGCCCCCACCCCGTCTCACTTCTCTATTGGTTTCTAAAAGAGCAGCTGATTGGAAGTAGAGAAATCAGGAAGAAAAACAAGGGGTGGCAGGGGGATAACTGGTAACTATAGAGTCAAATTTGTGGCTATCCACCTGCAGCACAGAGACAAAACAGCATCAGCCTGTTTTAGATAAAGATGAATTTGAACAAAATACAAATACATTTAAACTTGACCCTGATTTAGTTGGGAACTTGCATGGCCATTCTATGCCCCAACTACTTTTATTCAACTCTTCTTCTTCACCTATGCCAAATAAGAGGCCAATCTGCCTGCCATACCCAAAAGAAAACCTCCAAATGTTTTTCATAAAATAACTTTTTTTGTTAGATGGTTTCTCTCTTGTCACCCAGGCTGGAGTGCAATGCACGATCTTGGCTCACTTCAGCCTCTGCCTCCCAGGTTCAAGTGATTCTCCTGCCTCAGCATCCCGAGTAACTAGGATTATAGGCGTGAGCCACCACACCCTGCTAATTTTGTATTTTTAGTAGAGATGGGGTTTCACTATGCTGGCCAGGCCGGTCTCGAACTCCTGGCCTCAGGTGATCTGCCCGCCTAGGCCTCCCAAAGTTCTAGGATTATAGGCATGAGCCACCGCGGCCAGGTAAAATTACTTCTAAAAGACCACTGAAGACTAAAAAGGTCAAGTGGAAAGGTAGATATCAGGGATTAGAGTCCTTCATCTTTTGCGAGTCAATGAAAGAATTCACAGCAAAGTTCTGCTCCAAGGCTTGTCCAGCCCTGCTCAAGTTCTCAGGGCCCTAGAGGCTCCCAGTTTCAAGGCAATCAGGCCATCGCTACTGGGTGCCAAAGCTGCAGAATGTCCACACGGCCACTGCCATCAGCTCATTCCTGGAAGACAAAGCTGCCTTTCTTCAAGGGAAATGTAAGGAGCCATTCAATCTCAATCTGCATTCATGACCAACAAGCTGGAGTAGTGCCAGAACAGAGCCTGAGACTGGCCACCAACTCTCCAACATCAACACCTACACCACATTAGTCAAACCAGTACAGCAGGCCCTACTCCCAGCGCCTCCCAGGTACCTCCAGAAGCATGCTGGGTCCCCACCCAGGGAGTCCCCACGGCTCCGCTGAATGACTACATTGCCAGAATGCCAGGCCAATCTGCTGAGTTCATTAGGGTTTGGGACACACCTGTTCCCTCCTTTGCCATGACTCTTTCAAAGCTATAATACCATCCACTTAGACCCATGGACAGCAAAATACGCCAATATCACACAGCCATGGACATTCAGACCATTTCGTATTCTTTACCACCATTCCAGCTAGTACTAGAATGGGTATCTTCTGACCGAAAGCTTTTTCCCTCTTGTGCACTCTTTCCTAAGCATAAAAATCCAAGGAGCACAATCATAATTTCTTGGTCAAATGCCAACTTGCAATCTACAGTTTTGTAGTTTTTCTCAAATCTCATCAAGTACTAGTTTATTGACTACAACCTTTCATTGTTAATTAAGAAAACAATGCTTACCACAAAAAATAAAATAAAATAAAATTCAAACAATACAGGAGCATATCAAGGAAAAAGAAATATGTTTCAATATATGAAAAGTAAGGAGGTCATTCCAAGCAGCCCTACTCTTCCCCATGCACAGCCTCATAGCAGAGATAAGAGCAGCTCCCGGAGTGCTGGCTACTCTGCTATCTCCTTAACCATCTGAATTTCTCTTTCACCAGTTGAAAAACCAGGAGGGCTCAACCCTCTGTCATTGAGTCTCCACTGTTCCTGAGCATTTCTGGGGAGACTGGAATATAAGGGGTGCTCCAGTTGAGTAGTAACAGCAGCCACATCACAGAGCCAAAGGAGGCACTGGTTTGCCAATGTGTCCATTTCCTCTTAAAGACTCGGATACACACAGGCACCATTTTTACACTAGAACAGAAAAAAGAGGGAGAGAATCATTTCTAGAGAGGAGGAAGTTATTATTAAGAAAAAGCCTGGGCTATAGAGTATTAGGACTGTGGAAAGGTCTGACCACCCATCCACCCTTTGAAAGTCAAAGGGTAGTTCATGGGATCCTCCCACTTATGGCTCCAAAGTTTTTAATCTCTAAGTTCATTCCACATTTTCTCCATGGAACATGATATAGGTGTGGGCTCATGCTTCTGGCAAATGGGCCTTCTGAGAATCACATCTACTGAAAATACAGCATTGCCTGCCCTAGTAGCCTGGCTCAGAGTTTGGGTCTAACCAGAACAAGGGAGGCCTTATCAGTCCTCTGGGGGCTGAAGATAGTCAAGGCTCTCTCTAGTTTCATCAGGGACGACTGACACCCTACCTTACACACTAGCTTCTTAGTTATTGCAAAGCTTTTACATATTTAGGGAGCTTTTCCATCAAAATATTCTGGAATGGCTAGAGGCTCAGACATATTAATGATATCTGCACACATGTGCTTTTTATCCAAGTTCACAGCTCCTGGTCACTGAGGGTAAACAGTGTTATCAGTGATTATTATGGATTTAGTCAAGTATATTTTATTCCTGTCATTTATAAGCACTTGTGTTGGCTGGTATTTACAATGTCGGGATTCTGTCACTTTGGCAACCTTCAGAGACAACATTTTTCCAGTGTTACAGTGACATTTCAAAAACTCAGTATTTACAAGCAAACGACACCCTCTGGCTCTGTGACAGTATGATTCAATGGTAGCTTAACAAAGGGACAATCGTCTAGAAATTTCCTCAGGATGTGTTTCCGGCTGCTGCTGGCTATTACTTCATGGTCTAGGTGACCTTTTGCTCTTTGGAAGAAAGCGGGTACAAAGACATCAAAGGAAAACTTCCGTGTTACAGGCTAGGAATTTTACTTGTATTGTGTGGCTGTGTCTGAGCAAGGTCTGCTTGCTGTGTGATGACGACCAACCTCAACATCTCTGAGCTTTAGTTTTCCACTTGCTACAAAGCGGCACTGGATGCCAGATGATGTCTAGGTCCTTTCTGACTCTAACATTCTATCTTTAAGGATTTCAATGTTATAAATAAAAGCTAAGTCCACTGTCATTCATTTTTTATGTCCTACAACAAGGTTACAAAATTAAAATCATATAAAGTAAACATGAAGAGGAAAAGCTTGATCTACTCAATGCATCCACTTCTTCCCAGTTCTCCCCATCCTCTGCCAAGTTGTACCAGGGAGAGTGAAGGAGAATGAAACTTGGGGGATGAGATGTGGCTGGTGTTGCACTTCTCCCCTGAGCTTCAGGGCCAGAAATTTCCAGGAGGACCATGGTCCTTTTCACCACAACCAGAGAGTAGAGGTACCACTGATGGGCAATAGATAGCATGGGCGGTACGCACCACGCTATTGCAACTGGTACTTACTTACAGGAAACATTCAAAATATTCTTTTTTGTCTATGTAAAGACAATGCTCCTGATATACAGATTGCTAGGTTCTTCATATCCTCTTTAGAAATGCACATTTTTTCTCATTGGCAGACAGAGGTCTCAGCCTGGTAACTAGGTAAGTGCCTCCATGAATGATCCCTAAGTTAATAATGAATAGAGAGCTGGAACCATCTATGAAAAGACTCTGTGGGCTACTTGCTATGACACAAAGCTACACCAACTTTATCCAGTGCTAAAGAAGTGACAAAGAAAATGCCAAATCTGGATCCAAAGGAGTTTGTTCCCCAGTCCCATCTCTGCCTTCAGAGTGAAAACAAATCTCTCTAAATCTCAGTTTCTTTATCAATAAAACTGGATTAAAAATAATCCCAGCCTCGGCTGGGCACAGTGGCTCACAGCTGTAATCTCAGCACTTTGGGAGGCCGAGGCGGGTGGATCACGAGGTCAGGAGATTGAGACCATCCTGGCTAACACGGTGAAACCCCATCTCTACTAAAAATACAAAAAAAAATTAGCCGGGCATGGTGGTGGGCGCCTGTGGTCCCAGCTACTCGGGAGACTGAGGCAGAAGAATGGCATGAACCCGGGAGGCAGGGATTGCAGTGAGCCGAGATCACACCACTGCACTTCAGCCTGGGTGACAGAGCGAGACTCCATCTCAAAAAATAAATAAATAAATAAATCCAGCCTCAGGGGTCATTGGCATGGTTAATTTAAGTCAAGAAATTTGCATGGAAGTATTTAAATATAGTAAGTTACATGCTCACATACAATTTCTTACTATTGCTAGTTCATTCATTCATTCACTCATCCATCCTGTGACTCTGGAACAAGCACTTCCTGGGTGCCCCTGTTAGACACTGCAGATAGAGACGGCAAGCCTAGCCCTTGCCCCTAGCCTTTGCCCTTCTCTGGCTGTAGACAGTGTGATGACTGTGAGGAAAAAGAAGTGCTCCAAAGGCTTCCTGAGCACAGAAGAGAGGCAGCTCGCTCTGCCCTGGTTATAACATCCAGGGTCCCTGAATCTTGAACAAAGCAGGTGAGTTAGCTGGTAGAACAGATGTAAGGCAAGAAGAAGGGGAGGCAAGGCAAAGGTATTTCAGGTTCTTATAAAGACAGAGAGAACCGTGAAAGAACTCTTGAGGGAACTGCAAGCAGCTCAGTAGGGCTGGAACATGAGATGTGAATGGTGAGTACGAAGGCTGAGGCTGCAGGCAGAAACAGGGGCCAGGATACCACCATGCTAAGGACAGGCCCCAAAGCCAAGGAACAATGTTTTGTGGAGACTGTCACTCCAGCAGCAGTGGACAGGAGGCATGTGAGGGAGAAGGTGGGTAGAGGGATCAGAGCAGCACGGGCAGCCACGGTGGTGACTGGGGGTCTAGGAGGCAGCAGCAGATTTATTGGTATCTTGCAAGCAGAATTGATGAGATCTGGAAACTGAGGACTTTTGGAGATGAGGGAGACCGAGCAGTCTCAGATGGTGGCTGGGAGTCAGTCATCACACCAAGGGACACAGATGGAAGAACTAATCCCGACGGACTGAAATCCAATCAATGGAATTCAAATTCAAAAGCACAATACCAAAGGTGAATTATCTATTTTTCTCAACTCACAATTTGGTAATTGCCAAATTTTACTCTGGCTTCTTGAAAAATAAATCCAAACACATGTAAGAATACGAATTTGGAAAGTGATAAATACTTCCAGATGTGGTGGCTCACACCTATAATCCCAGCACTTTGGGAGGCCAAGGTGGGAGGATCACTCTGGCCGGGAGTTCAAGACCAGCCTGGGCAACACAGCAGGACCCTGACTCTTAAAAAAAAAAAAAAAAAAAAAAAAGAAAGAAAGAAAAGAAAAGTCATAAATACTAAGGCCTCATGGTTACTATACTATTAGCTGAAGTCATCTACCTAGAGAGCATGTGAGGATCTTCAGTGGGACACAGGGTGAGTTTCCTAATAAATATCTACTGAACACAGAAAGTCAGAGTTTGGTAGAATGTATTATTGTTGAATGTTCTAAATGGTCTGATTGCTGGTTAAGGCTCTATACAGCTGATTTAGGATAACTACATTTTATTTCTAGAGCTATATGTGTAACTATCTAGAGGAAAGATAAAATTATCTGTACCAGTTGGCTAAGGAAGATATATTAGATGGAACTCCAAAGGAGCCTCTGATCTTGGCATCTATGAGCTTCTGAAAGGTACATTATAAAATTTTAGAGGCTAGTACAATTACCTAAATCATAATAAGATAAAAACCTGCTTCATAATGACATATGGATGGAGACAGTCTGGAGTCCAAAAACTGATAGGGTGTGTGTATTATCTGCAAAAGGACATTAAGAACATGTTCTTTCGAAATAAATCAAAGAATAATCCCTCCCTCTATACATAAAACTCCAAACTTAAATGTTCTTTCCGGTGACAAATGGCACCCAGGACTTGCACCCTCAAAAAAGACTCAAGCGAGTCTTACGTGGTCGCTAGTTGGGAGTAGCATTCTGGGGAAGAAGTTCATGTTAGTGCCTTCTCTTTGGCTGAGACAGTTACATGGCAGAGATGCAGAAAGACTCCTTGAGGGACGATGTCATAGCAGTGGCAGCTGTTGACATTCTTCTTTGCCACATGTCATTGTCCATACAAATCTTTTACCACCACTGATGTTGTATTGTACCAGTCACTCTACACATGACAGTTCTGAGCTGCTTAGCTCAGTGTGACAAACACAATTCACAGTTCAAATGTAATAGATAATATATATTTCCACAGGAGTGAACCACATCCCAGGGATGGGACTTCAAAGCAGTGGCAGGGTGCAAGTTAAGGTGTATTCCCCAACTTTCATGAGTTTTGATCAAAAAGTTTGTTTACAATTCATAATATATATATTTTTTAATTTTCAATATTTTTCTATATGACAAAACTGAAACCCTTCTAAGACTTTAAATTCTGATTCCCTTAGGGTTTGATATCTTACTTGTAAGTGATGACCCTCTCTAGGACTCAGCCCTCCATTCCGTGAAACCTGGCATCTCTGTGAACCAGCAGTGGGGCACAAAATACCCTGGGAGAACACAGAGTGAGCAGAGTCTCCTGGGCCCAGGTAAGCCCAAGTGGAACCAAACGACCACTCACTGACTTGAATCAACATTCCTATCAAAAAAGAAGAACATTCTGCCAGGCGCGGTGGTTCATGCCTGTAATCCCAGCACTTTGGGAGGCCGAGGTGGGCGGATCACTTGAGGTCAGGAGTTTGAGACCAGTCTGGCCAACATGGTGAAACCCTGTCTCTACAAAAATATTAAAAAAAAACTTAGCCAGCCCAGGTGGCACACGCCTGTAATCCCAACTACTCGGGAGGGTGAAACAGGAGCATCGCTTGAACCCAGGAGGCAGAGGTTGCAGTGAGCAGAGATTGTGCCACTGCACTGCAGCCTGGGCGACAGAGTGAGACTTCATCTAAAAGAAAAAAAAAAAATCTTTTTTTTTTTTTTTTTTTTTTTTTTGAGACAGAGTCTCGCTCTGTCACCCAGGCTGCAGTGCAGTGGCGTGATCTGGGCTCACTGCAACCTCCGCCTCCCAGGTTCAAGCAATTCTTGTGCCTCAGCCTCCTGAGTAGCTGGGATTACAGGCATGCACCACCACACCTAGCTAACTTTTTGTATTTTCAGTAGAGATGGCATTTCGCCATGTTCGTCAGGCTGGTCTCGAACTCCTGTCCTCAAGTGATCCACCCACCTCGGCCTCCCAAAGTGCTGGGATTACAGGCATGAGCCATCATGCCCGGCCCAAAGAAGGAAATTCTTTATTTAAACATGTAACTATTTTCTATCCTGACTGGTTGTCAATACTGCTACTACAAGCCAGGCATGGTGGTGTGTACCTACAGTCCCAACTACTCAGAGGGCTGAGGTGGGAAGACTGATTCAGCCCAGGGGTTTGAGTCCCACCTGGACAACATAGAGACCCAATCCCCAACAACCCCACAAAAAAAAAAAAAAAAAAAGAATATCACTGCTTGATTTTCGATTTTCTACCTTCTCTATAACAGTCATCACCTCATATTTATCCGTGACTTGATCCTATGAAATCATCTACTTTCTGACTTTCAACAGAGTCTTTCCTCTGACTCTATGTTCACTTTGGGACAGTATTCACCTCTAACCACTCCCTCGGTCCAGTTATACACAGTTCATCTGAATAGCACAAAATGTTGTTTTGTTTTGTTTTTTTAACTAAGAAACTATAGATAAGGAACCTGCTTACTGTCTTATAACAGTGTGTGTGTGTGTTTCATATATATAGACATACATAATTCAGATATATACGATATATACACATATATGTTTCCCATATAGTGGGCAACTTGTCTTTTTGGATTTTTTCTATGAAAATATAAAGCAAAAAAATTCTTCTTGGTTAAATCACTATATATTGGCATGATTAACTCACATGAAGACCTATACAGATACCTTACATAACTTAAAATAAGTTTAGGCTCACATTTTTATATCGGTAAATATTTTACTCTTATTCCTTCTTTGGATAAAAAACTATTTTGCAGACATCTATTACTGACTCAATCTTCAACAAGTATTAAGACTGTTGGCTGGGTGCAGTGGCTCATGCCTATAATCACAGCATTTTGGAAAGTCTAGGTAGAAGGATGGCTTGAAGTCAGGAATTTGAGACAGCCTGGACAACAACGTGAGACCCTGGCTCTACAAAACATAAAAAAGTTAACCAGCCATGGTGGTATATGCCTGCAGTCCTAGCTACTCAGGAGGCTGAGGAGGGAGGATTGCTTGAGCCCAGGAGTTCAAGGTTGCAGTGAGCTATGACTGCACCACTGCACTCCAGCCTGGGTGATAGAGTGAGATCTCGTATCTATTATTTTCTTAAGAGTAAGTGTTAAGTTATTTAATCCAATAGGAATTCATCTGCATATGCTTTGTATGGCCTACTAACTCATTTCCTCTTCATATTACTTCCTATTCTACCATTATGATGATCAAATGGATCTCAAAGAAGTTTGTAAAAATCACAAGCCACAACGTGAGTTATAAATTTGACCCCAATTTTGTAACCTTTGCATGTATTTATTTAATAATCACTTCAGAGTTAAAGCTGCATGTTAGGGTCCTTTCCCTTTGATTTTATTCTGTTCAGATTCTCAAAATGTTTGCTTCATGCAATTTGCATAATTTTTTTAATATGTAAAGATGAGGGGAGAAGGAAAACAAAAGTGAGAATGGATGAAAGTAACTTACCATCAAAGTACGAGGAAAGCTAGCTACTCAGCTAAATAAAAATAACATATTTAGTGATTTGTAATGTAAGAATAAAATGAACTCACTTGGGTCTCAAGAGGTCTGCAATATGATCTTTGCAAAAGGTAGCTTGCCAATTTAATTGAGGCAGGAGTTATTTAATTTTTTTACAGGTATAGTTTTCAATAAAACTACATATGCCTATAATACTGCAATGGCAGATGTGTCTCGATTATTAGAGGTGGGCTCGAGGGAATACATACAATGGATCTTGAAATCTGTAAGCAGCTGTTTGCAGGGGGCTGAAATGATGGGGAGGGCATTGTTCCACACACACATGTTCTTTAAGTGCACCAATATTTTGTTATTTTACTGCAGGTATATTACAGAGATGAAATTTAATAACTTACTGTATACAATGCCAATAAAACTAAAAAGATTCAGTGCCCTGCTGTTCATTATCATGGTACAAATGAGCTCAGGATATTCTGTGTGCTTGCACAGTAAAACCCCAACACACAGAGACCCCCCCATGTACAGAACTCTAGAGGGTGGGTCCTGCCTAATAACCTCAATGATACTCCTACATAATTATTCCGAAGCACGGAATTGTTATTGTCGCAAATGCATATAAACATGGCTTTGAGGTAGCTTGAAAATAACATATATCTGGTATTCAAGTCATAGAAATTGTTCATTGGAAGATGTCTTCTAAAAGGAGAGGAAAATGGAGATAAAGGGTATGTAGCTTTCATTAAGAACCCTAAGAATGCTAACAGTGATAATATATTCTATTCAACGAGATCTGGTGAAGTGCCGGGCGAAAGTCGCTCTCCCGCCAAAATGTAACTTTGCCCTTTGTTAAGTACAAGAAATGTCTGACAAAAATAAGTGCCATACTATGAAAAAAGCAACATTTGCATGTTGGAAATGCTAAGGCAAATGCAAAGAAATATTCTTGTCGGTTTCTGTTTTCTCCTCCCTATGAAACTACTTCTATGAGATTAGAAAACAACACGCTGAACATGAAAGGTCCATGCTTTAGGAAGCTCAGTTGATCTGTGAGTGAAAGCACATGTAAACAAACCCACGTCAATATCCACAGAGCGCACACAATTTTTCAAAGAATGGGGTGCTTCAATTCTAAGCAGGTTATCACTATCAGGCACGGCAGCAGACTCAACGATATATGCTTCTTTTCTAAAGTCTTTTTTTCTGAAGTCCTTAATAAGTCCATTACTTCAGATTACAGGCTTCTGTTGCTATCTTTCAGTGTTGCCAATATTTTAATTTGGGGGTTCAGTTTTAAAGAGTTTCAGTAAAAAGCTCTCAACAATAAAATAATATCAAGCATGACGTTCAATAAATATTTCTGTCATTTCACATTGAAACACTATCCTGATGTTGAATTTTGAGTATACTGCCTTTCTTACAGAAGGAGGCTATAGAGCTACACTGATCTCTACATGATATGTAGATACGTTTCAACATTAAATTATATCAGATACACCTCAGCATTAAATCAATTATTTCTTTAGTCATTAATTGATTTTTCCCCTTTGTCTTTACACCTATCAGAAACATAAAGATGAAGAACTGTAGTCCTAATTGCTAGAAGCTATTTTAAAAACGCTTAATGGTTTTCATAAGAAAAGAGAAGTTAATCCCATGATTCTGGTGAAATTTCAATTTGGATACTAGGAGTCCATTTCTTCGGTGTCTCATAAATCATCTCAAAGCAATTTCAATGGCTTTTTATGCACTAACTGCCTGAACTGTTGTTGTATAAAACTTGCCTATGCTCCTAGCACATATTCTGTTGTTTCATATATTTTACTTGAGGGCTAAATGCCATAATCGAAAAATTATTGGGGCATATTTAAGAACCTGCTAAAGGTATTGTTTCAGAATCTCGCTGTATGTAGCTCTTGTGTTTTTGGAACAATAATGTGATCTATAATGAATCCAAATTTATATAATAGCAAACCATATTCTGCCTACATTGCACAAAAAGCAAAGCCAAAACATAATCTATACATTTTTAAGAAAGTGTTCACGCTGTTGCTAAAATGTGAATTGGCATATTCCACCCCAGCCTTTTCACAGGAAATCCTCATTGGTTTTAAGGAAATTGCACATGCTAATTCTGAGGATGTTACTGAATAGATTATTCATATAATCTTTTTTTCCCCCCCTTAAGGCTGGGCAGTCAGGAACGATGCGATCTGCCCTCCGCTATGCCTTTCCCTACTGACTGTTCAGAGTTCTAGCTAACCCTGAACGGAGCTGAGTGCAGCTACTCTGTTGTAGATACTGTGTCAGGCCCAGATCCCCCAGTGGGCCTGGAATCGACCAGACAGGGTTTTCTAGATGAGAACTAATATGGACTTCTGAGCCTAAAAACTCCTTCATGGGCTTAAGTAGCAGGGAACCCAAGTTGGAAAGCACTGGCTTTGAAACAAAACATCTTAGAGTTCAGAGTCTGGCTCTGAAACTTACTTGAAGCAAATGATTTGAGGTCTACTTGCTTTACTTCTCTGAGCATCCCTTTCTTAATTATTAAGGGACAATAATATTAACCAACTCAGAGATTTATATTGGCACCTAATACTAGTTACTCAGGCTTCCTTTAGATTAAGCCCAAACTATCTTTTAGAAATTCACTCATTTTGACATTCACTATCAACCATGTCTGGATTGTGCAAGGACTGAGGCAGGGATTATTAGCTGATCCCTGATAGCGCAGCTTCACAGAGCACCACAGCAACCCCCTCGAGTCGGCCAGTCAACTACTGATGATCAACCTTGTGAGATGTTTACTAGCAATTATAGAGTGGCAATATGAGAATCAGAGAAACACAGCTAGGGGCACAGAGGTTGTTGCAAGGTTCCAAATTTCACCAAAAGAATACTGAAGTTTAGTTTACAAGGAAACATGCCTACAATTACCTCCCTCCTCTTACAATTAAAGCCTCTCTGACCATCAGCCTGAGCCATAACTACTTTTCTTATCAATATACCTTAAGAGATTTCAAGAATACTTTAATGCTTCCAACATCCTCCAGGTAAGGAAACATTAGAAACAGTAATTGTTATGACACTTATATAAAATATGAAACATGAAACTGATAGTGTTAAAATGAATGATGAAAGAAACTGCCCTTTTATAGAAGAATACTAGCTATAAATGTGGAAGGAATGATGGAATTTTAAAAGAATCACCAGTTTGAAGTCTTCAGTTGAAATAACTGATTCAGGCAAGGGTCATCAATGTGTGCTAAAACTATTAGGTCAAAGGTTGTTGGGAAAAAGGGGTATCTGTCCATTGCTAAAGTATCAATACAAAGACTATTTGTTAATTGCAGATGGGGAAAGATTCCTTTACAATGGAACAATCCAGTGGTCACCACTTTTGCCAAGTGATTAAAGTTAGCATTACCAACAGCAGCATAGCTCAATATTCTGTTGGAATGTAATTTGATATACACAGCACCCCCAATGAAGTACTCCAGCCGAAAATGTTTAACCTGAACCTGCATAAACCTTTAGAACTAATTTTAAATTTGTAGGCAAAACAAGTGATGAACAAAATTAAACAGCACCACAAGGAAACGAAATCTAATAATTCTAGAAAGGGGAATGTTTTATAGGACAGTTGGCCTGGTCTCTTTAAAGTCACTATCATTCAAACAAACCAACAAAAAAATTACTTGGGAAAATCCCAAGCCCAGAAGTTTGAGTCCAGCCTTGGCAACATAGCGATACCCCATCCCTAAAAAATAAATTACACAATTTAAAAAAGAATACAAATAGAGGAACAGCTCTAGTTTAAAAGAAATTATAAAGAGACATAGAAATCAAATGACACGCGTAAATGGCATTTTAGTTGCCTTTTTTAAGAAAGCTACTGAAGACATTTGCATGAGGACAACTGAAGAAATCTGAATATGGACTGAGATTAAGAAACTACTGTTAATCTCTTTAGGGATAATAACAGTATGTTAGTTAGGCAAATGTCTTATTTTTAAGAGACATGTACTGAAAAATCTATGGGTGCATTCTTATTAAATCTGCAACTTAAAATGGTTGGTTCACTGAAAAATATGTATTCTTATACATATTATACATACACACAAGAAAATACTGTATAACAAATACAAACAACTGTTTAACCTAAATAGCAGGTATGTGGCATTCATTTTATTATTTTTTCAACTGTTCTGGATGCTCAAAAATTTATGCTATGTAAGGTTAAAAATAAAAATAAATAAATAGAGCTCGATTTTCCCCGTTAACATCCAGGAAGCTGCTGGTGGGGATAGAAGGGAAGGTATACAAGATCCCTTGGTTTTTCTCCTGAGTATCTAACACACCACTACAGGGTCAATAAGTATTTCTTAACCAATGCAATGAAAGAATGGACCCATTCTCCCCTTTGATAAGTACCGGCTGACTTTTGAAAGAAGGGTATATACCCATAACAATCCCCCAAAATGAATAAGCCGCTGCCCGAAAAATACCGCTCAGGGACACAGCTGCGATGACATATATACTGCAAACTCAGGCCCTGTGATGTCTGAAACTGTCACAATTTAAAATATCCTGTCCTACCATTCACACTGCTACATTTCAATGTTCGGACCAGGATGCTGACCTTTGGTTCCAACAACACCTCTGCCAGAACCACAGATCATCTATAATTCCCTCATTCAGGCCTTTCCAGATATACAGGCCTAGAACAGTGAAGTCACCAGGTGAATGAGACGATTCAACCCCCCAAAAAGTCAGAGTGGGTGTCTCTCCACGGTATGACTTTGGTGTCCTTCCAGAGCCTGCACAGCATGTTAGAAGGAAGAGCTTCCAAAGGACTTTTTTGGGAGAGTGCAGTTTTCTGGTTTTCGTAGGCATGAAAAAGATGCTCACAATATGGTTCATGTACATTGCTATTCAGACCTTACTCCCTCAAAATGGCTTCCAAAAGTGATGCTGAGGAAAGAAACACTAGGTCATTGCAATTTTTGCCCTGCTAGGCACATGGTACACATTCAGGATAAAGCAGACATGGTCCCTGCCCTCCAGGAGTTTACAGAATCCTGTGGAAATCAGCATGCAACAAACACATAAAAATGATGGCAAATTTTAAAAAGCACGATGAAGACAGGTGCTAAGGCCCTGCAAGGGAGAGCTTCCCAGGAAGGATGCATAAGACCTCGATGGATGTGCTGAACACTCAGGATAAACACTTAGGCATCTTAGTAAATTAAAAAGCGATGTGTATTTCTGCTTGCGCAAGGCCTAATTGGCCTCAATTGCCAATTTCGTAATAAACAAAATAATTTTGTACGGTTTTCACTTACATCCTTTCTATTTTGACTTTAGATAAGAAAAACTAAAAGAGGCCAAAAGTTTAGAATTAAGTCATTTGTAATACCTATTGAATCAAAAGTAAAAATAACAAGACAAAGAAATCAATTCTGAAATGTGAAATTCATTTTGGAATCAACTACATGCTTAATTTCGATGAACCAAAAATGAGCAAGCCTATGGGCAAACTAAGAAAATATGTTTCCTCCCTGGTCTCCAAGTTTCTGGAAATTAACAACAACCTCCTAGATTAGGTCTAATTCTTAAATTCCATTAGTCATTTTAAGATGTAAACATTAAATAACTGTATCAGCAAAGTCCTATTTGATCACTTGCTGAAGAAGAAAAAGAATTTGGATGAGGTTAAAGCCTTGGACTTCACTAGAGAAAACAAGATATGGGCTGGGACATTCAGTTGTGGAATTCTATATAAAGATTTGAAGATTTTCACTATATCACTAATTTTCACTGCCTTTTAAATGAAGTTCATATGCAATATATTTCCATGCCTTGAATAATCAAATTAATGCAAAAAGCCTAAAAGCATTTTCAAGGTCATATGTTGAACACAAGTCATTAATACAGGGTATATTTCTACAGAACATTCTAGGAAATGATAAAACCTAGCTGCACATTAGAATAACCTGGGGAGTTGTCAGAAAAGCACAGGCCCAGCTCACAAGATTCTAATTTGATTGGTCTCAGATAGGCAGCTTTCTTTCTCTCTCTCTCTCTCTCTCCCCATCTCTCTCTCTCTCTCTCTCTCTCTCTCACACACACACACACACACACACACACACACACACACACACACACAATACTAAAAATGAAACCATGGCTTTAGACCTGGGCTATATCCCAGAAAGAAAATACAAACAATTCCTGATAATCAACTCTAAACTTCCATTTAAGGGGAGAAGTAATAACAAGTATTTGTTTTGATATCATCATCTCATTAAAAAAATAGATTTTAGCAAAATTTAAAAGTTTGCAAATCACCCAACATTCTATTCAAAGCAGCAAAAAGAAACCAAAACAAATGACATTTTTTCCCTTCTGGCATTTGCAATGATGCCCATTAAGTTTTAGTTATTGGCTATTATAGTATTAAGGTTGGACTAGCTTGCAAAAAACTTTATTCCCACTCATTTTCGTTTCTGTCAGACTTTCCATTATAAATTTCATTTTCTCTGCCAGTTAAAAGGAGTATGAGGTTACCATTTGGCAAGAACATGTTAAGCTGGGTGTGATTTCTGTACCCCAATTTGATTTAAATTAGTTTTGTCATATTTAGTAAGAACTCAAAAAAGTTCGTTTGGCTACTTTTGCTTATCTATTGATTCATTTTCAACACAATTTTAAAAGTCTCAAAAAGTCACCATGTTTATTTCTGATAACTTCAGGTGGAAATGCATTAATGAAATAATATCTCATTACTATTTTTAATGAAAACAACTTAATTGCTAATAAAGAACCTGCCGGCTTTCATTCTTCTGCTAAAATATATCCATTTAAAAAAGCGTCATATGTCCATCAGTATTAGTGTTAAATCCTTAGGAGAAATCTAAAATATATATCTATTTTTAACTTGATATATTTCTGAAACAACACACGTCTCACAATAATAATGTATTCCTCCAGGACAGCGCTTTGCTACCTGTTGCTTACCACCACTCTGTCTCTACACCAAACAAAAGGCTATTGAGACTGGAAGAAGCATGTTTCCATATAGCACTGCTCACCCCTTTAAGTCCATAGGATACACTGTTATAATACGATAAAGCAGCTTTTGGAGCTCCTTAGGGCACACCATCTGAAGGTTTCCTATTCCGTATCTCAATCATGTAGTAAACAGAAGAAAACAAAAGCCTCCCCTCCACGAGTCACTCACCTTGTCACACAGTGGGGAATCATTTCAGCTGTGATCTGCTATTTAGACTTGAAGCCCAAGATACTGAGATTTTGCCTTTCTCTTTGGTTTGCATAGCTGATGTTGTAGACAGGGATTCAAATAACAATACGGCACAAGAGAAACTGATTCACTGGAAGACACACTATGGTCTGTTCTATTCTCAAATTTCACAGAAAGCAGAAATTCATACTCTGTACATTTTTCATCTTCAGTCCCTATTTTCCCTCTGTCAGCAAATTTCCAAAATTTCACTTTTATTTATCCCTAAGTAATCACACTGTTTATGGAGATTGCTGCGACCACGCTAAGCACAGAGATAGTAGACTCTTGCAAGACTCACAACCATGAAGCACAAATTAAGAATGAAGGAATCTCCACACTCCACGGCTACATTACGAAGGCTTTTTAAGAAAAGCATATGCAGTCATAGTGCTATATACAAAAGAATTTTCCTGGACATTAATGCCTCAAAACGAACCTCCCAAGGCCCAGAAATTCAGCCATCACATGCCAATCCATCCACCTCTCTTCCACCCTCTGCCCCTTTCCACTTCTCACCTTGTGTTTGGAAAAAAAAAAAAATTAACTTCAGTTTCACCCGAGGGAAGTATTCCCCACAAACGGAGAAAGGAGGGTCTGTGTTCTGCACATACACAGACAGACTCACACGGTCTGGATGATGCTTTCACAAGTTAAGGGGCCTCACGCTTACTCAGCAGAGGAAATCTTTGTGTCTGTGAGGAATCACGCCAATTCCTATTAGTAAGAAAGGATACAGGGGTGAGGAAGCCTATTCTCTCAATGACCAGAAAAAGGGGCCCAGCGAAAACAGAGACCTCTGCCATGACCATCTGCAGAAAGGAAGGATGTTGTCAACTTTCTTCTCCCCAAAACTCTAATGACCTCCGCCTTGACCCTCAGAAACCAGACCCACAGGAACACGGTCTTCTGCAGGAACTGAGAGCTTTACACCAGAGACACAGCACTCAGAGGCTTGTCGCCCAGGCTATCTAGCCCGAACATTTGCACTCACATTCCAAAGATGTTTCCGTTGCGCTGGAATGGCTGTAAATTTCTTTCCTGCAGAATTCTTTCCAAACAAACTGCCATGAACTGCACTCCGGCAGGAGCTCTTAACCAAGCACTGTTCACCTCAATGCAACAAATCTTTCAGATGCCGAATATGACTGAATTGGTGGCTGGGCCAAGGGAGTAAACTTTAAAAATGCAAATATATACAGGGAAAAAACAAACACACCAACCCACCAGAAGTCGTACCTTCCTATGTCTGGTACGTAAAGGAAACTTTCCTCATAGGCTCGATTTAATTACAAAAACAAAACTTTGCTTACATTTTTCAGGGGTATATTAAATGGGCTGTTTAAAATAAAATTAAAATAGATTTTTTTCCCCCATCAAGAACATCAGAGGGTGAGAGAGTTCAAGAGAGTAAGCATCCCCTTTCCAGCATTTGAAAAAAAAAAAGTACATTTTGTTTGCGTGAATAATAAAAACAGTAGAGAGCTCTGAATATTAAAGAGGATTATTAAATTCCATCAAGAGTTTTCCAAAGTAAGAAACCAATGCACTTATAAAAAGGAAGTATAAATTTTTAAAAAAGATTTTAAATACATGATTAATACTGATACTGAACTGAAAAAGAAAGCATCTATAAAAACTCAGTTGTCTTGAAACAAAGCTTATACTTTTAGCTATTGACAGTATTTTTAGAAATAGGCTCTCTCTGGAGAGTTTAAAGTATACAAATGCAAAGTGCCCAGAGACACAAACACACACATGCTATACCTTTGTATTACACTGGCATTTTATTATTTAATTAAAGTACTCTTATTTTTCTAGCTCACGCATGCTTCCCTTGAGACGGCTTTGCTGTTAGCCTGCTGGCCTTGACTTCCAGCCAAAAACAATTCAGAAACAAAAAGGGACAACAAATCATATTTTCACAGACATTTTTATCCCTCAATACAACCCTGTTTTCACACAACATCATACAGCCCCTATGAAAACTATAATTTAGGGCAATAGCCACCCGAAACCCAGGGTCTGACACATGACTCCGCGAAGTATTTCCTGCGTAAGAAATTCTTAAGTTCTTAATTGCAAATAAACTCTTTTAATAGAACCACTTTCACCGACATTGCTGGTTTGCAAACAGTGCCACTGGTACCGGCTGATGGATTAAAAAATAAAAACAAGCCCATGAATGTAGTTCTGATACAGCAGCGATCTAAAGATGAGGTGTTTATTAGTTCTAAGCTCTGTGTTATTTCATTACTTAAAGAGAGAGCCATCATCTGACTTGCCGGTGCATCTTTGGTGTCACAGTTTAAAATGCATCATCTAATTTAGAAAACAAACTGATTTACCAGGTTAATCCTCTCAACCCTTCCGCAACAGAGATTCTCACTTACCTGGTGGCAACCCTGTAAGTTTGATTCTCTCCCATAAGATGAGTATGAGCCCCTTTCTGTTTTACCTGCCAAGAGAAACGACAAAAAAGTGTAAATTGTGTTTTTCCTTAAAAAAAAATCTCCTCCAGGTAACAGACATCTACTGCTCTTCCCCGATGTTTACATACGTAAAGTAGGCACTACTGGCAATGTATGCAAGCAAGAGAGGGAATAACACTTCCTCACTCTGGCTATGATAAACTGGAAAAAAATATCCTTCATTCCTATTCTTAGCCAAACTGCTCCACACTTCCAAAAACTGTCATTCCAATGGCCTCCACTTTCTCTAACAAACAAATCGTAACTCCTTATTTTCACTTTCTCTTGCACAAAATTTAAACAATTTCATTTTTATTTACACAGCAGGCAAATTATCTATGTAATGACCCTAGCCTAGTAATTCCCATTGATTATATTGACACTTAATAGTGAGGCCAAAACTAATCAATCACAGGCTCTCCAGATGGTGAATTTAGCAAAGAAACTATTCAAAATTCTGAGTCTCTCTCTCTCTCTCTTTTTTAAAAACTCCCTTTCCCAGGAGTGAACCCCATCATGATCAAGATGATGATGGAATTTACATTTGGGAAACAGGGCTTTTGAAAAATTGCCTACTCTGAACCCAAGTTCAGATTCCACCAATAGACCCAGCAGGACAAGGGATCATGGAATGTGAATGTCTTGTTCCAATTCTAACAACCCAATTTTTATCTGTAGACTGCTCTACAGAGATCTATAGACCCTTCGATGCTATTCGGCCACATCTAAGAATAAAATCAAGGGTGTTCATTTGTTTCTTTTTAAAGTTTAACCCCAATAATCATTAGGGAGGATAATGAAATCACATTACAAGAGATCTAAGCAGTAGAGTCCAGATAGTGACATGTGGAGAATCATTGTAGAAATCTGTCCATACCAGAACATTAAAAGGGGCTAAAAGAGGCAGGCAGGTGCCTAAGACCCCACCCCACGCAAGTCTAAAGGATACTTCTTTCGTCAAGACTGGAGCTTTACAGTAATTGTACTTGATACATAGGACTACAGTATTCCTTTTTCCAACAGGAAAACTCTAAACTTGTATTTTGAGAGGCTGAATAGATTTCCTTCTGAAGTTTACAACCCCCAAGTTTTCCCCTCTCAACTCAACACGAATGCTAAAAGTAACAGTAGTCTTTTTATCTTTTAGGTCAATGGCAATGGCAATGTTATTAGAGTATGCCTTCCTGACCCCACACAAAGAATGTATCTTTGATACATTTATATCCATAAATTTTTCTATGTGGTCAAAAGGGTATCCTGTATCCAAGTCATTACATATATAAAATGGATGGTGGTTTTCAAAGAAAGCCAAACCTAAGTCTTAAAATTAACCCCGTTTCCCAGTATTAACTTTTCTACTGATTTTAATGAATCTTAAAGTTGGGAAAACACCTCCGCCCCATTTCTGGTCTAGCGCTCAGCGCAAAGTATAAAATCAATGCCCCATATCAGTTTCAATTTCAGTGAAACAAGACACCATCGCACAGACTGTCAGTCTTAGAAGATCTAACAGAATAACTTCCATTGTATGAGGATTTTGCACTGAAGAAAAGATAAATTTATACTTGTATCAGCAGTGTGAATGGTCACAAAGACATATTTACTCATCTGTGTACATCAAATTTAAGCTACTTATACCCTTTAACTTCTCTCTATAAATATTACTAACAGAAAAGGCTCGACCTTCATGAGCTATCAAAGGACGCGTGTCCTTCCTTAAGCTCTTGCATCTAAGAATGCTTCAATATCACCATTACATCACTTACTTTGATGTAATATTCACTTGTTTAACAGGTAGATAGGCAGGCAGGAAGCTGGGCAGGTAAGGAGGCAGGCAGAAAGACAGAAAGATGGATAAAGTAGAATCTGCTCTGACTTCCTAAGAAACTGAACATCTAGTGTCCTGTTTTGGTAATTTCTAAAAATCCAAATTGTAAAATACAGTTTAAGGAAGAAAAAGCATCTATTTTTTTCTCTAGAAGGAATTCCTGAAGCTATCCCCTGTAGAATTTCACCACTCAGCATTATTTCCCAACTTGACTCCAACACACAGAACAGGAGGGAGGAATCTTTCTGCCAGGATTTGCCTCACTTATAGATATAAGTTGGGCTACTCCTTCCATTATTTTAAAGATAAAAGGGCAGGATTTTAAAAGGAGAGAGAGAATAAGTAGGAGAAAAACAAAGAGAGGAAGAGTGGAATGCAAAGAGCAAGAGGTAGGAAAAGAAAGAGGCAGGAGGGAGAGGAGGAGGAGAAGAATATGAATTCACGCTGCAGAGTCCCCAAAGTACTCTTGGCTACATGGAACCCAGCATTCTTTACTATCATATCAGATACAGACTGCTTAATCTTAATTTTGCTTGTTAAAAAATATTTATCCAGATACAAAAATAAACCCACTGCAAATTACAAGTTGTCAGGGTTAAAAATCTACTCCTGTTTGTGTGGGGGAGGATAAGAGACCAGCATAGACATGAATCATTCTCAGTAATTTGAGTGTTTCCATGACATCAATGGGCACCCGTCCAGGGCTCTGTCGAAGTCTGCGAGGTACCAAAGAGGCAGCACAGCCAGCAGGAGGCTGGGAGGTGGACTTTTTTTTTTTTTTTTTTTTTTTAAGGATTATGCTCCTTGTAAAGATTTCATCTGTAGCATCCACTTTTACCATCAAATAGATCGGTCCAGAGATCATGAACAAACACATTTCATTCTGATAGTGTAAGCTTTTAACTTTATTACATCTTTTTGTTCCCCAATTCAACTATAAATCTGCCCTCAGAGCCAGAACCCCTGTTTGGGAGCAAAATAATCAGGCACTGTGGATAAAGCCCACGCACCTTCTCAAACATAAAATCGCGATTCCTATCATTTTTTTTAAAGACTAAAAGCAGCCATTTTAAAAGGACACCTCAGTTTCTAGAAAAGAAACTATCTTTTGTGTAAATTATCCATTAAAAATTAGCTATGGTCTTGATGTTGATTTTCTGCTTAAAATTCACTTGGAACATTTGTTTCAGATAATAAAATTTTCAAGAGCGCTGATAACATGTTTGAGTAGGATCCTTAAGTAACTATCTGTGCTCATGAACACAAAAGCTCTTAAATATCTGTGTTTACTCTATGTCAGGCATGGATTTTTGTCACTTATACCAACTGGCTGGCGCGGACAGCCTCTTTCCTCCTTTCTCCATTCTTCACCACCCGCCTCCCCCCATCCCCACAACCACAACGGGGCTTTGAAAGAGCTAAAGATTCTATTTTTCCAATATTTAAAAGAGATAGCAGTGATGAACAAACCCGGCGCGTTCACTGCGGAATTTTCGAGACAACCCTCCGGTACTAGAATGCGACAGCCGCTGCGGATATTTTTTGGCACAAAGACAATGGTGGCAGTGCCAAGCCCCATGGCTAAAACTACTCAAAAGAGGCATAAGGGTAGCATTAATCGCTCAAGTCTTTTACTGCATGGAGTACTGTTGTCCATATTTTTAAAACTAAAAGTACCCGTTAGTAACATTTGTTGTATGCCCATAAAGATGGGGTTGGTGCGGGGGGCGGGGGGAGATTCTGAAATATATACCAGAAACAAATCTTGTCAGGCATTTGATTCATTTTTATACCTAAAAGGACCAAATGTTAAATTTTGCTGCTGGTGACGATTTGCCGTGCATGAAATGAATATGACCTAATGGAGTACACGAAGGGCTGAATGAAAGCTATAGAGAGGATTTCATAAACTAAGTCGACATATTGGCTAAACAACTTTCTTCTGCAAAAATGATGTATACAAGGGAACATGTAATACTATGTCACAATTTTTTAAATTAAACAAGGAAAACGCTGTAAATGAGCAGACACAACATCCGTCAATCAATCCTTCTGGAGACAAAGGAGATCAACATGCAGCCCCGTCTACAGAACAAGTCGGCATCTCCAGTGAGCAAACAGTCCAGGAAGTCAACATGTGTTCTGTCCAAATCGAACCCGTCCGCTGCTAAAGCCTATATTTAAATTTGATTATTAAAAATGGCACCAAATGGCAATCAATAAAGGATTCACTTGCTTCCCCTGGCCCAGAAAAACTAATATGAGCAGGAAAGGCAAGCAACTTCCATATAAAAAAAAAAAAAAAAAAGTCAATGTTTTGCTGATCTATTCAACAATCTTTTATCTTGCTGTCCCAAGAAGGAGCAGGAAAATTTGCTTTTTATTTGAGGGTGATATGGTTAACAAATGTCTATAGAATTTCAAATTGAATATTTTTATATTCTTGTATTATCAGCCATTTGACTTCCAATTTTTCTTCCGATACATCCATGGTATCCTATTGTAAGGGAACTGGGTGACAATGAAAATATTACATGAAGGGAAAAAAATGATCTCATAAATCCATTCCACTCATAGGGATACTTCTAAGAAGGATCACCTTTGGTAGATTACTGCCCCTGGATACACATGACAGTTCTAAACCACCTAGAAAGAGCTAGAGACAGACGAGCAACTTATCAATAAAATGATTTCTAGAGATAAGCTCTAACAGAGATGATCCCTCTTGTGGTTGACCAGTAGGATAATAACAGGGTCATGTTTGGTTGTGTAGCCTTTCATTTGTAAAATGCCACTTTAAAAATTATATATAAATGGTAGGTGTTTCACC
This sequence comes from Homo sapiens, assembly GCF_000001405.40. NCBI lineage: Eukaryota > Metazoa > Chordata > Mammalia > Primates > Hominidae > Homo > Homo sapiens. The sequence continues at coordinate 55,408,190 of NC_000018.10, forward strand.
CACCGCTGAAATAGATTCATCTATATGGGAGAATATATCATCCCGTGAAACGCCTTGATGAAAAATTATCTGATGCTGCAGGACAACACCAAGCAAGGCTGTTTCACTGTTAATCCTCATTCTGGGAACTGAAGAATGAGCCTTTTGTTCCCTGGCATCAGACTAGGGAACTCATCATAAACATGTTTGACTCAGAATAAATTTCTGTCCCCATCCCCAGTCCCATCCATCTCTGATTACCCTGTGAATCTATATATATGTAGAAAGGACTAGTTCATTAAACAACAACTGAACTTTTTAGTAGTTCTGAACACATACATGAGGTTATTATTTACAGTCCTTCATCGTTTCCATGCCTGCCTTTTCCTTCCCTGTCCAAATAAGAATAGCTGTGTCCTTATCATGTATTAACCACTGCTCAAAGCTCTACATAAAATGATTCATTCAATCTGCACAACCCCATAAGGCAGGTAATAGAAACACCATTTTGCAGATGAGGAAACTGAGATCTAGAAAATTGCCCACAGCCACACAGGTACAAGTGACAGAGCCAGGATTCAAACCCTGGCAGTTTGTTTGCCCAGACTGTGCTCTTAGCACTATGCTATGCTGCTGGTGTTTAAACTCTGGGGGAAAAAAAAAAAAGTATAAATAAACTAGAGGCCCGACACTGAAGACTCTCAAATCCCAGAGCTCAAAACACTCATGAATTTGATATGAAATTAATGAAAGTGTCTTATAGGCAATGATAATTTACATTTACATGGTGTTTTATTCCTAAAAGGTCTCTAGGTACTTTATAGCTGCACAAATGATACACATGGATTCTGTGACATCTTACAATAAACTGCCACCATCTCCGCACATTAACACAAAGCAACTAATTAACAAAAACATGGCAGAAAACTGCATTTCTACACCTCTATGTGAAGACTATGTCTTTGTATTAAGATGTACAGAAGAGTAAAAGTAAAAATATAATTATAATACAGGACAACCCAGCATCACTCAGTGTCATCTATAGAATAGTGATCCCACAACGGGCTCCAAAAACCAAAAGGGAGACTAATTAAAAGAATCTACGAACTGTTACAAGCTATTGCCCTGCCCCCCAACAGATTTACATTGTATCTAGCATGTTAAAGACTCTTGAGAAGTACTGCAGTTAAGACATTTAATTCAGGGTTTTCTTTTTTTTTAATGAGATGGGGTCTCACTATGTTACCCAAGGTGCTCTCTAACTCCTATGCTCAAGGATTCTTCTGCACTGCTCTCCAGAGGAGCTGGGATCACAGACATGAGACACTGTACTTGGCTTTCAATTTAGTTTTATACAATGTTTCCTAAACTGACTTGAGCATACATGCCCGTCCCCATCTTTTTTGTGTCTATTAATACAAGAGCTGATGACCTTTCAGAACTACTATTATTTACAACTTAACACTAAGAATATATCAGGTTACTATATATTTGTAGTTTTCTATCAGATAAATGATGTAGGTTCAAAAATTAAATTTTTATTTTATTTAAATTGATATGAAAACATTTTGACTATTTAATTTGCTGGTTTCTATTGGCTTATATGTCTTACGGTAATCTGTGGCCATGCAGGTATAGCTTCATTGTTCTGACTAGCTAGTCAACTTTACTCCTGATCCCAGTTTGGAGGTGAGACTCTGGGTTTACAAAAAAGCAGAAGCTGACATTATTCTTTCAATTTCCAACATTTCAGAGAAGAGTACTGGTTCTCTCCTACAGAATCTTACGATACAGGGACAACTCTGCCTTCATCCACAGTCATTTAAAAATCTAAATGTAAAATAAATTTGTGCTAAAAGAATTACAACTCCATTCCAGCAAATAAACTAGTCATCCAACAACCTAGGAAATCCTATAAAGACAAATGGGGGAAAAGGTAACTAACTAGGCACATAGCTTGTATGTATCAAGGGATAATGAAAAATGGGCAGTAAACCATTTTTTTCTGGAAAAGACTGGCATTAACTCTCTCTTCCGCTGATGTTCTTTTAGTCCTAAAAATAGAATACTCAGTAATGGCCTATAGCTCTGATCCCACTGGAAATTGGGGAGTTTTGGCTGCATTTCATCACTGATTCCCCTCATCTCATCTAGGCATTGTGCTGCCTTTAACACAGTGTGGGTACTGAAACCCCAGATAGTATCTTAAGGTGCCACCAAAAGTCTTCACTTCAGGGCTCTGCCTAAGTGAAGAATTTCAGATTCTATATTCAATTCTCCATAGAGCACTTATATTTGTAATGCACTATCTCGCATGCAAATTTAACTTACATTATTTAAGGCAACACACCCTAAAAGCTCATTAAATGGGCATTTTAGTCCATGTTTTTATAGACGAAGTCACTAAAATTAAGGGTAACCAGCTCATATAGTTAAAAAGGCTGCACAGATATGAAGTGGTGAAGTTAGCACACAGACCTCCAGTTCCAGTACCAAGGCTTTCCCACAATATGCCACCTCCGTTTGGAGTTTTCTAGATGTATCATTATTAGTGCCTACTGTAGCAACAACCATTGCCTTCTCACTACCGTAATCCTCTCCCCAAATAATTTAAACTCAATTCATAAAGTCAAAGAGTTCTCAAGTTCCATGATGGATGAAAATGTCCGAATCGATAAGCATTTTGAGTGAACATCCTACAGTCCATCAAAAACTACCTTTTCAGTGCAGAATAAAAATATTGTCCTAGATGATTTCACATGGCCCAGACAACAACAACCAAAATCAGCCCCTCACTTGGCATCCTGCTTAGGAGAAGTACACACATTATCAAATTAAAGCACATGAGTTTTATGCTTGATTTTCCGAACGCAGGAAAATCTTTCATTGAAAATAACACTAATTCCACAGAGTGTGCAATTAATCAACATAATCATGGGGATAACTTAGCTGTTTGGGGAGGTGTGTCAAATAACTCTTTAAGGCCACTAAAGTACCACTTGAACCACCAAAGTAATGATTTTCTGAATCAGCAATTTGTACAAGGGTCCCCTAGAGACCTGAAGGACTAAGGGCAACCCTGAAATCACTCAACTTACTTCTAATGAGTAACTTACCATTGGCTTTATGTGAATAACATCTTCACAGTGATGCCTACCCTATCTTATATTTTTACTGCAGTTTGAGTCTATGATAATTGGATATAACCAAGGCAATTAAGGACTTGTGTGGTCTTAGAAAAAACAGCATATGCATTTGAAAGCTTATTTTTTATTCAAAAGAACATAATAGTTTTTCATATAAAAATGAAAAAAAGCTCATCTTGCAATACATGCTAAAGGTGTCAAAAGCACGCAGAAATAAAATATTTTCACTATGTTCTTAGGCAGAAGGAAGACTTGTGATGAGATGGTGAGTGTGGAGAAAAGCAATTTCCTCAAATTCAATTCATGGCTAAGAAACCTTGCTGATCAGGAGAATTATCAGCAAGACTTTTCCTAAAAACAGATTCCTGGGTTCTCTTCTCCATGGTACGTGAATTCGGTAGAGTCTGGCATTCTCTCTTTTTATTTTTATTTTTTTCTTTTTAAGACAGAGTCTCACTCTGTTGCCCAGGCTGGAGTACAGTGGCATGCAGTCTCAGCTCACTGCAACCTCCATCTCTTGGATTCAAGCAATTCTCCTGCCTCAGCCTCCCGAGTAGCTGGGATTACACGCATGTGCCACCACATCCGACTAATTTTTGTATTTTTAGTAGAGATGGGGTTTCACCATGTTGGTCAGGCTGGTCTTGAACTCCCGACCTCAAGTGATCTACCTGCCTCAGCCTCCCAAAGTGCTAGGATTACAGGCATGAGCCACCATGCCCAACAGATTTTTTTTTCTTGCAAATAAAATTCCACTGGTTATTCTGACCAGCTAGGGAGACAAGCAACCAATTTAAGTGATAGGCACAGCTCTATAGGTTACATTAGCTAAAACTCCAATAGACCTGGTAACATGGTAGATAACAAAAAGTAGATTACTACTAGCACTCACCTATTTACGCAGAGTTTTTTAAAAGACAAGGACTTGTTGATCCCCAAGGTCATTTCAGACAGTTACATTTCATGGGTTAGAGAAACCTTTCTCTGGCAGCGTGCTAGGCCTTTAAATGTGCTCATCTCCAATAATGAAGGCTGTTTTTTTTTTTTTTAAGAAATCGATTTTACATTGCCAAATCGATTCCCCTAATAAACAACAGTATCCCAAAATATGAGAATCCCGGAGTTTTGTTAAGGTTGCTCCTCATTGATCAGACCCACTGGCCCGCTGCTCTGAAAGCATCTCTCTTCTATCTCAAGAGTGGATGTCACCTTTAGAATCCAGGATCCAACTCTAGTGAACCTGACCTGGTTCGTTCATTTAAAAGGGTCCTTCTACCCCTTCTCTGTCCACGTTCTGTGGAGGCATGACAAGTCCACAGTGAGGGAGAAAATCCGGTCCTTTCCCTTTCATTGGAGGAGATGGGTGACATTTCTGGCTGAATGTAATAGAGACAACATCATCTGGGCAAGACTTTGGTGCCTGGCTAAATATTTTGGAATTTATTGGAAAATATGAAGGAAATCAGCAGCCGCATTTCACCACACAAATCACTTTTAATCATAAATTATATGCTGCTCACTTAACTGAATGTTCCACCAGAGTCTTAGCAACAGTCAATGTAAAAGATAAAAATGATACAACTCTAAATAAGCCACAGTGAGATGGAAAAGAGAGGAAAAGGTTTGTTTGTTATAGAGTAGTCTACATAGGCACTTAGTTGTCTATATAGAAAAATTATGTATTTTAGCACCATGGTACACAGGTGATGGCCTTAACTTTCAAGCTAAGTTTACAGTGAACAAGAATATAACAATGTTCATCTCTTAAACTATACACATTGGATATGATACTCAAAACTACATCAAAAGAATGGGGGGGGACATGACAATGTTATATACGGTATATAGATATGTATAATACATACATAAACACACATATATAAGTGACATTTTTAACCCCAGACAGAAGATAATCCAACTGCCATTTGTATACGTATCTGTAATATATTAAATGATCATTTCTCTAGCCTTAGCACTGAATACAATTGACCTATATCCCCTAAACATGCACTACTGAGAGAAACTGGAGGGGAGTGGGAGGAACAGCCCAGAATTGAAAACACATTCCAAGGAAGACAAAGAGTAGGAAGATTGCTAACCATTATATTTATAGAAGAATGATGTTTTCCAGCCAAGCCTGCTCTTCAAGATCAACTTCAAGAGAATGGGCCCATAATAATAACCAAACTGCCAGATACGCAGGGCCACACTCCCCAGAGTCCAACCAGCCTGCAGCACTAGTTATTGTTCAAGGAAGGGGAAGGTTGGTAGATGAATGGTCCCATGCTGCAGTGTTTAAGAGAAGCCTCTCAATGACTGAATCTAGGAGCATGACTCAATCAAGAGAGGAAGGTGGGGAGCACAGGAAGGAAGAGGAGAGGCAGAGGGAAGGATGAGAGGGAGGAAAAAGAGAAAAAAGAAAGCAGACAAGGAGTAGCCAGAAGAATGACCTCATCCTATAAAAAGTATGCAAGAAAATAAAATGCATTACATATACTATGTTTACAGACCACAATTTTTAATCCTGAAACTTGCAAAAATTATCATCTGAATAGTGGTGAATGAGGCCTAAAAAACACAATATAGGGAATTTAATATTTGTTGGGTGCTTTCTGTGTAACATGTGCTGGATGCAAGAGAGTCAACAATGCACATTATTCTCAAGGAGGTAAGAGTTTAGATGACTAAATACCAGGAGTAACACAATGCTATCCACCAGTAAGGGATATAATGGGAACCCAGAGAAGCACCAAGAAAGAGCACCCAATACAACCTCATTGAAGACAAGGTGGTAACAGGAGAGACATGTATGTGAGATTTCATGCAAGATGACATTCTAACAGAGGTAATAAGGACTTAATATTTGTTAGAATGCAATTCTTAGTTATTTGACAATGTTAAATCAAAGTAAGTAAAGACTATTAAGTAAAAATTTATATCATTTATCCAAAACAAATTTTAAGGTAACTGGAACCTAAAATTGCAAAGGGGAAAAACTGAAAGAAAAGAAAAGAAAAAAAAAACGTAGATGACATTTCTGCCCTTCCACAGCTCTAAGTTCTTTGATCACTCCACGGTTGGTTTGGAAGTTTTTATGGCTTTTGCTTACAAATTAGAAAAATTTGCAATGTAAGACAAAAGAACTATAAAAATCTAAACTGCCTTCTCTGTACAACAAATACCAAACTGACTCCATCAAGTCATTTAATTTCAGAGATACACAGAAATCACTTATACAAACTAAATTATTATAAAGACTTTGATGGAGCCTTGTCAACAAAAATTGTTGCTATTTTTAAAAGACACACTCATTACACAGAGCCCTGGCCTTCACTACCAGGACCCAAGGATGCTCTCCACCCAGGCAATGGTAGAGAGGCTGACACTCTTCCTCTGTAACTGCCCTTGTATAGTTTAGTCCTGTGTCCTGGGAGTAAAGAGACCATCAGTGATTTGTTCCTTTAACATCTCATACTCTATAAACAGCAACTGCAAAAGCAAAACAAAACAAAAAATATTTTACTCAAACTACCATTCTCAATGTCTGCCAGTGAGCACAGCTTAATTTGGTTTGCAAGGAAACCAAAAATGCTTTTATAAAGTATTATGATGTAAATATACTCATTTTCCTTGGCAAAGCAAGTGAAAACTATCAACCAACCATAACAGGAATTTTTCTACTAGGGATTACCTACCACATCCATTACAGACAAATAATCATATTTCAAAATTTCAATGACTTATCTATCCCCTTTTAAGTTCTATTCCCAACTTAGTCCAACAAGAATACTTCTCAAATACAATCAAGGCAAGGGGAATATGAAAGCAATGAAAATATGGTTAATCGTGATATACAATCAACCACTTAAAAAACTCAAGAGTATTACACACATTGCATGTTATTTGAACTATCAGGACTATCTATTTACCAAAAACACACCCAAAACAAAACCTCACCTTTATTTCCAAATAAAAACAAATTAACGGCCATACTCAGTATTAAGCTACAACTTTATAATCATGGTAAATATCTGATCAGTTGTATAAAAATAAATTGAAACAAAACAAAAAACAAAAAAAACCCAACCTTGAAAAGTAAAAGAAAGAAAGAACCTCACACACCAGTCAGTTCCTATGTGAGCAGCCAGCAGAGGGCGCACATGCCCCAACAAGAGCCGGCTATGGCCAGGCACTCCCCAAACTTATTTAGTACTAAGTCTCACCAAATCTGTATGGGGGAGGAGGGGTACAGTCAGCCGATGAGTGGCATTGATAAAACTAACGTGCTCAATTTAGGATCAGTAAGAAACATACATAAGTACACTTTAGTATTAAATACTGACTTTAACAGATATTTCTTAGCTGCTCGATGGAAAGTTGTTCATTAAAAAGATTTGTACAGAAGTGAGCTTCTGTCAGTTTTCAAGGCCACAGTAGTTTTTATTGCCCTATCTGACCTGTATGAGGACTTATTTGTAATGCAAGGATTTATGGAATTAAATTAAATATTAAATTTCTAACATAATTAACACATATTTTTGTGAGTATATTGAATTACACTTAGCAAAGTCTCTTTTAGTGTATGTATATTTCTGTGTGTCTTATACAAATCTATTAATTAACTTTTGCAACCCTAAAGCAATCAAATATGTAGCATTTAAAGAATAAATTGAGATACATAAGTTCCTTATTTTCCCACTGGTTTGTGCTTGATTGATTACTTGTAAATTGTCTATTCTGTGTCTCTATATCACAATATTTGCTTTGGGGTTTACAGTAGGTTATACCAGAAGAGTACCTCACAGCTATGTATGTACACACACATATAGGTAGGGCACTGTTTATTCTTTTAAAGAAGTTTTCCTACAGATGCAAAAGTCACAAATTGTTCCTACTGTTTTCCAAGCTTGTTGAAACAATAGCACAAATTGAAAAAAAAATTAACTCATAAAAGCACCAAATTAAAATGAACAAAGACTACATTATTTACTTTTACAGATAAAAATTAAATAGTCCATAACACATCCAATCTCTAATTTCAAATAGGTTAGAATGAATGGAAGGTCTGCCCCTAAGTTTCAAGCTAGAAAGCCTGGTAGGATAATTAGCTGCCACTGTCCCTCCACCTAAATGATCATTTCACTTGATCTTAGCCAAAAGGCTAAGAAGCGATTCCTAAATGATCATTTCAACCTCACCTCTCTATTCACGAAACAAAAACAATAAAGCCAAGTAACATTTCCATCATAATATATATATTTTTTAGCATCCTTCATAAACTTGAGAGAACTTAATTTATAGAATCTAAAAACCAGGTGGTCTACGTTACATGTAGGTCACAATAAATAATATGCCTCCTTTGGCCAATATGGCTGCACCATTTTTGCCTAAGTTAAAATGACGATGTTTCATTATTCCTAAGCTCTCAGTTCTGAAATGTTTACACAATCTGTTAAGTCCAGGGAAATTTAAATGACTTTGACATGCAGCCTGCTAAGGCCAGTGACGGGGATAATGCCTCTTTACGTGGGTAAAATTTTGTGGCATATAGGTCACTCTCTTAAGGGGAATCAACTGTGTGTCTCTTCTTTGCACTTCTACCACAATCCTTCATCCTGCAGCCTGGAGCTGAGAGTGAAATGCAAGAAAGGAGCCGAGTGCTCAAAGCAAAAATCTGCTTCCAGGACAATCCATTATATCTGACAAGTTAAATGTTCCATGGTAGGCCATATGGCATCAGAGCAGGCCCGACGACGGAAGAGGGGAACTCAGCAAATGCATCACAATTAAGGAGTTTGGCTACAGACTTTACTTAGAATTACTTATTTTTTTTATCAAAGTTTAAATGCAGTCCCTCACATTTTCAACTGAATCCCTTTGATGAGACCATTTTTCAAGAAGTGTCACAATTTCTTTTCTCATCCCGCGACTGTGGACACTTAAATCTACAGGTAAAGGTAGACATGGCCATTTTTACCAAATGGAGTTTCAAAGATGAGGACCTGCAGCTGCATTTTTAAAACGTCTTCAAGACAAATGCTATGTAAGCCCTATCTGCTCACTAGATTAGGATATTTAAATGAAAGTGATCATTGGATTAGGGCATTTAAATGAAACTGATAGAACATTAAGTAAAACTAGTTTTCAATATTAAGTCTAAAAAATCTTAAAACCTGTACAGTCAGAACTGACATATTCTCGTTTCTTCTGTGGTTTACTTATTATCTATCAAATGAATGAATGGACTGGACTGACTCTGTCAGTCTCTCCTCCTAGCATGGCACCAAAAAGGAACTCTGTACATCCTGCTAATACCATGTCCCAGAGACAAGTTTTATAAGCTCCCTAAGACACTCTGATGATTAAAACTAAGTTGCCTAAAATAATATTTGTCATTAGGGACAACGTAATGTAAAGATTTGTACTTAATCAAGATATGCATTTATTACATTAAGGCAGAGGAAGATAAAATTGATAAAATCACTGAAATAGTTAATATTATGCTACAGCATGTTACCACTCATTTAAATTAAAAACAAATGTTTTTATTTCTCCCAAAGAATTCTCGGGGGAGAACTGTACCTATAATAAAAACTGAAACAGCTTTCAGTAGAAGTATCCAAACTCATCTGCTCCAATGGTAATTTTATCAACTCCTTTACTTCCTGAGGATGATTTTCTTGAGCAAATGTGTGTGTGTGTGTGTGTGTGTGTGTGTGTGTGTGTGTGTATCTGTGTGTGTAGTAATAGGTAGATTCTAAACAATAATGATTATCGTTTAAGTATTCACACTGGTTTGCAAACATGAAATTCATAATGATTAAGAGAAACATGCATGAATTTTTCCAAAAGAGAAGATGTTAAGATTCATTTCCCTAAACTATTTTCATTCTCTATTTCTCCAGAGGGTCACTATTTCCCTCAAATGCATCGCTTTTGCCTTAATTAAGGATAACATTGCGTCAATGAGCCTGTATATACTTTATAAGAATGAGTCATTTTGCTTTATGTTGAAACTTATGAACACATTTTTTTCTGGTGGTCTTAAACTTATCATTTGTTAATAATCTAATGTAACATTATATTTGCATCTCCCTTATTTTTAAATATGAGATGATTTACTGAATTATAAAAGATGGTATGTGGGGTATGAATTGGTCATCTGCATCCTGTATTAACAATCAATTGTTAAGAACTGTTATGACTCCTTATATTTCATTAAGTGCTTTTCAACATACATGCTCAAATGAGCTTCCTCATAATCCTGTTAGGTAGATACCATAACAATTATCATTTATACTTTCATTCTGAATATGAGAAAAAAGGGATACTTGGTGGTTAATTTATTTGCCTTAGAGCACACAGCTATGAAAGAGAAGAGTCACATCTTTTGCCCAGGCCTACCTAAATGTCAGCATTATATTTTGTCATGCCATACTTGAGGAAGTAGGAGCATTAAAAAGATACAGTTTTACTTATGTGCAAGTTTATAGATTATACATTTTTACTTTTTATCTAAGAAAAGTAGCCAAATTCTTTGGTGTTGTGTTAGTGCCCAGTTTGAAAAAGGACACACCTGGCACATAATTACACTTGCCCACACACACACATACATACATATTTATAAAATGTAGCCACATACACCTCAGCACCAACAGAGTGCATTGGGCCATTGTGTACTGTAGATCCTATTTCTGTGTATCCAGATCCACACTTTTATTACTAATTAAAATGTCCAGATGGTAAAATAACACCTGATCCGAGGGGCTTTTAAGTACAGTAATTGTCAATGCTCAACTCCTACCTTGTTAACAAATTGGAAAAATTGGCCTACACTGAGTTTTACACATACTGTTTCCAAACCATCAGTAAAATGTAGCTGAAACTTTAATAATGTGGACAGAAAATGCCTACATTAAACTCAAGAAAAAGATCTGACATTCAAATCATTACCACTGGAAGAAAGCTTATGGACTCCAACAGAAGGAATGTCATATCATAGCAATACAATTGGGTTTTACCAACAAAAAATCTACAGTAGAGGGAAAGAATGACGTTAGAGGTATTCAACATCCAACCATTTCATGAGGCCCTTTCTTTACACCTTTTGTTTTGCAGGTTCACTAAATGATAAACAATTCTTAAAATATATTTTGTCTTGTCAAGTGTTTTTTCATTTTAATGTATGGATTCAGATCTTAATCATAAAGCAAAACCTTTATTATCTTATAGGGTTTTTAAATATACAGATTCCAGAGTGACCCCTGAAATTCAGGTTAGGCAGTGGCTCATGAGTAATATACTTAGGGAAATCACAAATGCTTTTAAAATGTTTAAGCAGTTACTTCCTAATCCTAAGTGGATTCTTTTTTCTCAAGCAAACATTTTTGCAAATATTTAGGTTGCTTTGATACGCAAATGTTCTCCCAAACATTTCCACCAGCCAGCCACTGAAATCTCTCCACAGACCCCAACCAATGGGAAAGTTTGCAAGGGAAATATGAGAAGCGACTGAACGGGAATACTGGCAGGAACACTGGCTTCGCTGCCCACAAACAAATGTTGATTTTGTTGCAACACCTGAAACAAAACATCTGGGTGTCTTAGTGGAACCCCTTCTTTAAAATTCTCAGTCATGGGGCTGTAATTCTCATTGACTGAAGCAGTATCTTCTAGGGAGGGTAAAACTGATCACCCACAGGTTTCCTATTACAGAGTTCAATAACTCCAGTAAATGTGGCTTGCTGCTGGACAGTGGAAATCCCATCACTTTAAAAAGAAAATGCCCACAGGAATTAACACGTGCAAAACAGGAAACGGAAAAAACAACAAACAATGCCATGACAAAGGTCCCAAGCCTTACAGGTATAATAAAGGGAAACACTTTCAAAAACGTTTCCCTAAAGGAATACACCAGGGGAGAAGATGTCTCTAAAGTCATCTTTATCATCAGCTCAAGAAATAATTCATGAAAATGAAGGTTTTCTAGAAATAAAAACAAGAAGGTGGCACATTCAAAACTAACTTGTCAACACAGCATGATTACCATGATTATGTGTAAAAACAATCTCCAATACTCCCTTTCCCTTCCACACTCTACTCCAAAAACATCTTCTAACCCGCTTTTGGAAATAATGGGATTCCTTGATCACGGGACAACGAATCACCCTGAAGTTTTTCTCCAGTTTACTCAGTCACATAAGCCACCAGAGGCTAACCACACTGACAACAAAAGCAAGTCCCAGGATTCCGGGGGCTAATACCATGCTAGGCATTACTTGGGAAGTTATGAGTTGGTATACATCTGTGAATTTGGTGGGAGGAGAAAACTAACAGTAAATTTATCAAAGCCAGTGGAACGTTCAGCGTTATAAAATTACAAGGATCTGCTTCTCGGCGACTAACCTGCTTTTTCACTTCTGCCATCACTTCCTCATTTACACATATTAGAAGCTGGTCAAAGATTTCATTAGATGTGGTTTTGACAATAACAGCAAAGTGCCTAAAGCCACAGATTTTTAAATGAGCCCCAAATTCAGATTTGGGGGAAAAAAGAACCAATCACAGCAGAAAGCGCTTTAAAAGAAAAAAAAAAAAAAAAGAAACATTATCTTGAGCAGTTATTCTGCACTTAGTTGTACTGTGTGAAAAGAAAATAAAAAAAGCTCTATAAAATGTCAGAATTAACCTATCGTTTCAGATTGCTTACAGGTGAAATTCTACCATCTGGATGGGCAGTTTGCCCACACAAAAAAAGAAATAAACTAAAAGGAAAAAAAAAAAGTAAAACCTTCTTTTGCCTGCTATTTTACCACAATAGATTTTACAGGAGAGAGGACAGAGCCACCATAATCTTTAGACATGGACACACACACATTTACACACATGCCTGTGTACACACACACAGGTTCATGTACAAACTGTGACAAAATAAAAGTTGGAAGAAGCAAGAGATTGAAATAAAATTCTGTTTCTTGGAACCCCAAGAGTTTAACAAGGAATGAAACCCAGTCATTCTTAATCACATACAAGGGAAAAAAGATTTATTTTAAAATTTTCGTGAAATAACTGATGATTCTTTCTGTTTTACTGAAATACTCTAAAAAATAAGGCCCCGCATATCAAAGTTTCTCTCTTCCCTTAACAAGGCGTATTATAATCTTTATTTATGCTGGGCTAGCAACTTTGGGAATTACAATTTAACTTTAAATAAACAGGAAACTGCATCTTAGGAACTCCCAGAAGTCATTTTATTCATCTGAGAGTGAAAATGCTTATAAACGTTATAATTTATAAAGAAGTACACTTCTATTTTCCCTTTTTCTTAATCATTATACAAACCTTTTATTAAAACATCTGCCTCAGCAAAAAGACCAGTTTTAATAATCATCATTTTTTAACCTAAAGATCAAATAGAAAATGAAGTCAGACTCTGTTTAAGTTTTTCTTTCTAACCTTGAGGGCCAGATAGAACTTTCAGTTTAACTTCAGGCTTGTCTGTCAAACATGGTACCAGGTTGGCATCAAGTGTACATTTGCCAACCTAAAGTTCCACATTTTGAAAGCAACACACAGAGGCTTTCATAAATTAACAGCTCTCTGTGTTAAATATTTGTCGATATCTCTGCTCTGGGGTTTCTGGGTTTCCATTTTGATTGCAGAGTGTCTCCTAAAATTACATTTGAAGAACAACACTAAACCAGAAGTGTTGAGTGAGAGAATTATGGGCACATTCTCAAACTCTTACACTAAACCACAAAGGGAATAGATTAAAAAGAAAAAGCACAAAAAAAAAAAAACCACTATCATCCAAAAAAAAAAAAAAAAAAAAAAACCCACCCTGAATAGAGAAATCGAATACTTGCTTTTCTTTCGACCTTATGGGTAGCACGCCGAGGGAGGCACCAGAAGATCTAAGCCCAAATACGTGATGAAGAGTCGCCAAAAAGCATGTGGATGAATAAACTGTTGTGGCGTGAATCTGCCAGCCAGAGGACAGAACACAACATGCTGGGGCTTGGCTGTCCTAACATGTTTTACTATGTACATTTAAATAGTCTTGAAAGGGAAAAGGAAAGAAGGGAAAAGGTGGAGGGTTTGGGGGGTTTTTTTTAATATTAAAAAAAAAGTTTGCCAGAAATTCTCATACTTGGGTCACAAATAAAAGTACTTTCCTATTATTAAAAAAAAGAGAATCTAGTTCTTAGGCTAACACTCATCACATGTTTCCTATGATGGAAATTTAGGGGGGTGGTTTAAAGAGTTAAAGACTCCCTACCATTAATTTGCATCTGGTGCTTTTAGTGTGTGTGTGTGTTTTTTTCTTCCCTGAAAAGTTGGCAGAGCCGCCGATTTTCCATAATGCAAGCATTTGGGAATTGTGAGCGGAATGAAACCGATCCAATCTCCTGACTGCGACATGAATTTTCATTAATTACAACCTTGTCAGCAAAAGCATTATCAAAGCTGAATATGAAAATGCTAATGAGTCCTCATTTGCATATTTTTCTTTGTTGGAATGTCATTAATTATTACATTTTATGATGATGAATGCAGCTGTCGAAGCTCTCCGATGCATAATTAGCCATCAGAATGCCAGGAGCCGATCAGCATTTTTGGGTGAAAAAAAACAAATTTCACTTCCACTCTCCCCCAACCCAACACCACCAAACACACACACACACACGCACATGCTCACACACACACGCACACACAGACTCGGAGCCCTGATGATGACAGTCCTGAGGCCGGACTTTGGGGGAAGTTGAAAAGGGCTAGGTTAAAGCAAATTTATTTTTGCCTTAAAATTATTTTGTTTTTAGGCGATAATGGTCTTATACAATAGAAGCAGTTCTTAATAAAAAAAAATCGTTATTCCAGCTTAATTAATGCCACGCTTAATTATAACACCATGATGTCAGCGGTTTTAATTAAGTATTGGCTCCGTTACAAAAAAAAATCCTCACTGCAGTAAGAGTCACAATACACAGAGTTGTGCAAATCATTTCTGCGATATTTTGGTCTTCCGTGGTTCACGAACTATTCAGATATTAACAGGCAGCATTAAAACTCCACGCACACACGCGTGCGCAGGAGAGGCACACGCGCGCGCGCACACACACACACACACACACACACACAATCAAGCAAAGGGGAAAAACCGTACTTTCCTACTACATTACTTGGACAGACTTTAGAGCTTACCTACTTGACCACTTTTTTGAGCTAAAGTGTAAGTGAAGATGACAAAACATAGCTCATCCTCTCTCAGCCTCTGGGAACGGTGTTTATAAGTAAAAAAAGAAAAACAACACAGAGCAGATGGGACCATTACACATGACCAAACCAATCAATCACAGATGAAGGGCCCAGGTGCAGCGCAGCCGTGCAACAACGCACCATTTCACAGTCTGTCAGACACACACACACGGTCGTCCATGAGTGACCCTCCTCAGCTCCCCCCGGACCTCATCTGGGGCGCTGCGCCCCTCTCGCCTGCCTACACTCCAACTGACGTCTTCATAATCGCCCTGTCTTTCTATCTGCTTTGGCTCCTGTAAAGAGAGGAGGATGGAAGGGGTGGTGACTGGGCGGAAGGGGGGATGGGAGGGGAGATGAGGACAGGGGCTCACATCATTGTCACTTATGAGGAGTCCGGTCTTCCTCCTTCTGCCATCCCCATGGCCCCTCCCTCTCCAACCACCATCAGAATCGCTTTTCTAACCATCATTACGCTCATTAATTTTTAAGGGTGACTGCTTGGCTGCGGCACCCCAACTGTCTGCCATTAGAAATAGAAATTTTGTGTGTGAGTTTCTTGCCTGTGAGGAAAAAAGATGTGTGTCACTCGACAAAGTCATGATTAGATGGAAATGTTAGAAATTAATTAATTGGAAGTGGGTAGGAAGACTTTTCTTAGCCCCCTCCAGATTAGTTAACATGAGACTCTAGTTACCCACAAGCTTCCAAGGAATCAGCTCTGTCTCAAGATTTTGTGTCTTAAAGAAATTCCACAGCCTTTGGCATCCTATATCACAAACTCATCCAGGAATCACTGAACCCAAATGAAATTGTACATTTGTAAGGGTCACAAGCTTACACTGGCAACATAACTGAAACACCAACTTAAACACAAAGTTAGGGACAGGCTCCCTGCTTTAAACTCAGAATTCCTAACTCACAGCCTAACTTTCTATGGCTTGCAGCTTTCCTTTCTTTAAAACAAAACAAACAAAAAGCACAAAAATATCAAACAACAACTAAGGGGGGAGCAGAGAAAGACAGTAACCAATAGAATCAAAAGGATAATACACAGCACTGAGGCCCACCTACCCCATTTGAAAAAAAACTTCATCACACCACATCAGAAAAAAGCAGATTGGTTTTATTGATCCAATGAATTATTTAATCATGTCTTCTTCCTTAAGTCTAGGTAATTTATAACAGTTTTTGAGATCTTTTGATACAGTACAAATATTATAAAGAATCAACTATATTTACTCAAAATATTGAAAATGGATACTTTCCCCAGCTTTAGGAGATGCCTGCTCATCCGAAGAGTGATTGAATGTTCTCGACAATTTATAATTTATTTTGCCTATTTAGAGATGAGAAGGAGTTTAGGAAAGCACTCAAACCCTCCAAAGAACAACTATATGACTGCAAAATAGCTTAAAGGATTTATGTCCCAAAATGCTCATGACATTTTAGGCATTACTGAAAATTTACACTAAGAACAAGAAAAAGTTTAATCAAAATAGACCACACAATCCAGCCACTTTAAGGATTAAGTCAAGTTGTCATTTATGTGAAGCTTCATGTAATGGTGGAAAAAATGAAATAGAGTACAGGCTAAGTTGGGTGAGAAAGTGTCCTACCTAAAATCTGCATGCCATTCCATTTACAGGCAAAGGCAATTTTACACAACACTAGGCAGATTGGATTCGTTGAAATGAAAGCTTTGTCTCTTAGCATGGGCCCTATCATCAATTCAAACATATTTTCAGAATGGTTTGATGATGCACTTGTTTTTGGCTTTTTTTTTTTCTTTTGAGGATTCAGTATGCTTCCCCCAGCTCTTCACCAATGAATTTGTCCTTTGGAAACTTTTAAGTATTGAATGAATCTTTCCATTCCCCAATGGATCCTATAATTTTTATGCTTAGTCCTTGTTAGCAAGGAACCTCATATCTGAAGTCAAGGAAAAAAAAAAACAGAAAACATATTAACATCTTCCATAGCTATGTAGGAAGGGATCACCTTGTGTTTTGAATGAGTATATCTTTTCCTCAAGGAACAGACTCTACACATTTGCATTAATAAATTTCTATTTTCAAGCTCAATAGAAATTGCAGTACAAAAAGCAGATGTGTACGTTGGGCTCTTTCAAATTAAATTTCCAAAAGCAGAGCCTATTCTAGCTCAAGATCAAAGGAACTAAAACACGATCTCCTCCCCCTTCCAATATAATTACAGAGATTTCATTTCTTTTGTTACAATGAGCACAACAGGTAAATCTTAAACCTGAGGGATAATGATCAGGTGCTACAGCTCAGCTTTGCTGGGTGGCTCAATCGCTCTGCTCAGTGCCCCTGCTGTTTAAACTACCACTCTACAGGAAGATGGGAAATGCCTAGTGCTCTACTTTATTCTTGGAGATTTGTTTCCTTTTCCACATCAAGACTACGCAGAATAGCTCTGAGATGGATACAACCCATTTTACAGCAGACTTGTTTCTAAAGAAGGGACATGTCCATCCTAAAACACAAACCAAGACAAAAAATTTTATATATATATATATATATACACACACACACACACATATATTTTCATACGTGTCTTTTATTGGTAGGCTACCTAAAAACCCTTTTGGAAGGATATGGGGTATAAATAATAAATAAGTGAGAACTGACATGGTTGTGAAATGTCATATCCTGGCAGTCCTATAAAAGGACAAGACCCTAGGGAGGCAGAAGAAAGAGATGCAGCCACAGATCATCCAAAACTGAGGTTCCACAGAAAATCTGTTCCACTTCAGAATGATTAGCATCATCTACTTCTTTGGGGAAGACAGGTGAAGAGAGAACCAAATTTAAGTCAATACCCACAAAAAGAGTGAACTTTGGGCAAGCACACCCTCTAGGCTTAAACATCCTTGAGAGCAACTGCATTCTACATTTGTATTTCCATCTCCCTTTTAAAATTCCTGGTACCTCATTTCATCCTTTGCTGCCCATAGGCATCTGTTCCCCTCTAATTATTTGCCATTTAGAAAAACTCTGCTTAAATTCCTTGTGCATCTGTCCCTTGCTTAGTGTATATTTGTGATGTTTCAATATGGTGCTTGATTTTAGAGCAGCCTTGCATGTAAGTACAAAAACTTTTCCAACCCAGAAAAATATTTCAATACCCTCTCCCCTAAAGAGTATGCACAAATTAAACACTACCAGTATTTTATAAAATAAATATGTACTTCTATATATATCATACTAATATACAAACATATACAAACACAGACACACAAAGACACAAACACAGACACACAAAGACACACACACACACTCCTCAAAGCTTCTAGTGTGTCTACCAACCAGTGTCATCACAGTATAAATTCCAGTAACAATGTTCTTTCCCAAAATACAGTCTTTTACTTTTAAGGAGCTAAGGTTTCCTAGCTCCTGAATTATTTTTTGGTCATAGATGAAATAAAACACTATTTTGCATGAAGATATCATTTCAAGGATATCTACCTCTTGAGAATATAAGGGGGAAAAAAACTTTAAAAACCAGACAGTTCAATAGCATCAAAAACCCCAAATCCAACAGGTTTAATTATTTCCTATATCTCTTCTACACACCCTTCCTTCTCCTTGCCCATTCCTTCATTCTTCCAGCTTCTTTTCCCTTTTCCATACTCCATTCCTTAAAGAAGAGGTACTGGATGAGGGGAAAACATTGGAAGGGGAGCCTGGAAATATGGCTTCTAAATTTCAGTTCTGCCAATAGCTAGCTGTATGAGTGTCCATTTTCTCATCTGAATTAGAGTAAATGATTCCTCAGCTCCCTTGAGAAATAGTTACTATTAACTACATTAATAATAAGAATAATGATTTTCCCCGTGCCAAACACTTTGCAGTGTAGTGAGATGATTAGCAAAGTGGATCTGAGAGTCAAACCGCCTGGGTTTGAATCCTAGCTCCAAACATCATCCCTGTTTCCAATGAACTGAGAACCCTGGCAAGTTACTAAATATCTTGATGCCTCCATCTTCTCATCAATGAAATAGGACTAGGAATAACATCTACATCATGCTATTGTTGTGAGGAACAAATAAGTGAAGACACTGAACGCCCTCAACATTTGTATTCATTCCTTCTCATCTGTCTCCACCTACAATGAAAGTTTACAGAAAAGGGAGTATCTTATGTTCACCACTATATTCACATAACCTAAAATAGTACCTGCTATTTGTATGGAATTGGTAAATGAAAAACTGTTCAGCGAATGAATGAATAAATGAACAGACCAAGAAATGTGTTTTGTTCATCATGAGAACCAATGATTCTAAGACTAAATACTTAACTAGGTGTAATTTACATGGGATTTTGCATGACCTCTGTCTTCAGGAAACTGATAATTTATTACGTGAATGAAAAGTGCAAACAACTATAAACAATAGAGAAAAATCACATTAGAAGTACATAAAAGAAATACTTTGCCAAGTCAGATGAAAGACAACTCAACTCTGAGGGATGGAAAGTCAGTTCCTATTCCATGATTCCACCAAGAAAACTCTCTGAAAATGTCAACAGTGACCACTAAAGTGGTTAAAGCCAAGAGACACTGTTGAGTACTCATCTTCCTTGATGACCAAAAAAGACACACCCATCCCCTCCTTCTTAAAAAACTATGCTTAGCATAGCTTCTATAACATCACATTTCCCTTCTCTCCCAGTCCCTGGCATGCTCTTTTGTTCTCAATTGAATGTCTTTAAATCTTGAAAATCCTTCTACTGCTAGGCTCAAGGCCCACCTGTTACTCAAGACTCCATAAGCAATCTCATACCATCAACTGGCATCTCTACAAACAGCTCTTCAACTGCAGACTCTCCACTCAGACATCTCTGATCTGCACACCCTTAAATTCAACTGTCTACTTCATGTCTTCACTTGACTGGTTAAAGGTACCTCAAAATTAACACCAAACTCATGATCTTCTCCTTTCGACCTAGATATTTTCTAACATTCCTGGGGTTTTACAGAAACTAAAGAAGAAATGAGGTTACATTTGTTAAGAATCTCCTATTTCTTAGCTTCTCTGCTAGATGCATGCATCTTATTTAATTTTCATTACTATGCTCTATCATTATCTTCATTTTTAAGAGTATTAAAGCTCAGATAAACCACCTCCATTTCATCACAGAGCATGGATTTCAGGCTACATAGCTCAAAATTAAGAGGATAAACAATGTTTGGTGTCAAAAAACAATCTTAATCCCTTAGTTGGAGCCTTATTGCCTTGAAGGGGTTGTCACACGGTAAGCTTCCTGACTCTTACTGGAGAGAGATTTTGGTGAACTGATGAGAGGTCTACTCTGGAGAAGGAGGAGAAGATATATAACATCTTAATAGAGCAAAACAGACAACAAAAAAGAGAAAAGTTACAGAAAATAAATATAAGTGGGAAAAAAACTAATTAAGCAAAACTGTAAAAACCGAGCATATTAAATATATTTTGTCAATGAAAAGTTACAATGATGCAAATTTTTTAAATGCATAAATATATCCATAGCAAATATAGGAAAAAAGAACCATCAAAGGCCCACAGACGGCATATAAGTGAAATGAAGCCTTAGCAGGGTTGTCTAAAGTGAAAAAAACCTCACCTAGTAGTTGAATCTCTCTGGCCAGGGCCCTGGGCCATCCACACAACACCAGGACCAGAAATTTCATGGAGTCTTCTCCTCTATTCTCCTTTGTGGGTCCCCACAGAAGTTCCAAGTCCTGCCACGTTTTTGCCCAACATGAATGACTATACTTCACACCTGGCTTAGGACAAAACATGTTCCCTTCCCATGTACTAGGTGAAATATCAGACTCTGGGATTGCTCTCACTCAAGAAGAAACTTCCATCTCTTCCATGAGAACTCCTAAAAAGCCCATTTGGGGCCGAGCACGATGGCTCACGCCTGTAATCCCAGCACTTTGGGAGGCCAAGACCAGCGGATCACAAGGTCAGGAGATCAAGACCATCTGGCTAACACGGTGAAACCCCATCTCTACTAAAAATACAAAAAATTAGCCGGGCATGGTGGTGGGCGCCTGTGGTCCCAGCTACTCGGGAGGCTGAGGCAGGAGAATGGCGTGAACCCGGGAGGCGGAGCTTGCGATGAGCCAAGATGGCACCACTGCACTCACTCCAGCTTGGGGGACAGAGCAAGACTCCATCTCAAAAAAAAAAAAAAAAAAAAAAAAACAATTTGGTCAGTTCATCAGTGAGTCCTCATCAATCCAGGTGACTTGCTCCCCACCTCCAAATCCTGAAGATTCCACTATTTAGGTCTTGACATGATCTATCAGAAACTATCACAGTTTGGCTTACTCAGCTATTCACAGACACGTAATGGTTGCCTGTCTCCTTGGAGTGAGGACCTCTGTGATTGGAATTCCTCTTTTTGCATATGGACGACTGGGGGTTACCAGACAGAGGAAACTAGACATGTTGATGTTAAATGTTACGTGGTATATTTTTAAATATAATATTAATATTAGAACATTCATCTCTCTGTATTCACAGCTTCAGACCTTTGATGTCTCCAGCTGTCAGGGAAAAATACTTTTCTGGCAGAGGGAAAAGTAGATCAGGCACTCTTATCTCTATCAATCACAAACAGATCCCGTTGCATTTTCTGGCTCACTGGAGAGAATTTCTCCCTTCCAGTACTTGCCATGCCATACAAACTATGATTTGTAACAGGAAAGGACCCTGAGTAAGTGGGGGGAAGCAGAATGGATAAAAGGCTGTTCACCTTTTAGCTCTCATCCAGAGGCCACAACCCTGGCAAAGCCAATAATTTCCAAGTTTTCCAACAGCAAACTGGAAGAGGCAGATTTTTAGAGCACAAACAATTGCATTTGGGCTCCCAATTTAAAAATGACACTTGCAAGCCACACAAACCTCCAAAGCAGATGCCCTACTGAAGATACATGGGTGACCCAAGATCACGCAGCTACTGAGCAATGACATTAAGGAATCAAACCCTACTGGGACTCCAAATTCCCAGCTCTTCCCATGCCTGCACTTATGAAGACAGAAGCAGAAAGCAGGAAAAAAAAAAAGAGTAGTGAGCGAAACAGAAGGCAAGTTAGACGTTTTTAACATTGTGGATGTTGAGGGAGACAGGTTTTAAAAGACAAAACGAACAGGGCTAGAAAAAAATCATGGAATTTGCTGTGCCACTCTAGGAGATGCCAAACTGCCTTGGAAACTAAGTAGTTTTTTGGGAAAGTTGCTGGAATATATCATACTGAGGTATTGACACATAGGCCTGAAGTGGGTCCCAACTTTCACATCATCCCAGGAGATTTGAAGTAAGTGATCACATTTCGCCGAGAAACCACACTTTGATAATCACTGCCAGAGAAGAGAGGATCCATTTGCACATTTTGAAGCAAAGGGAAAAGGAGTCAGGGGAAAGACAGATGATGAAAGAAAATAGAGTTATGAAAAGAAAGGTCCCAGGAGACACAAGTTAGAAGAAGCTGAAAGATGCAAATGCAGAGGGTTGTCAAGAGAATAAAAACGAAGCACATTTTCTTCTAAGACATGGGGGAAAAAGGAGCCAGTTGGAGTTTAGTTGCAGCTCTTCTAAGATCACCTACCTCAAATCAAGGAACACATCTGAGAAACCTGACATCTCATCTAAATTTGTGGAACCCCTACATCCCTTTGATTCCACCTTCTTTCTTGTTTTTTGTTTTTTCAGACGGAGTTTTGCTCTTGTTGTCCAGGCTAGAGTGCAATGGGGCGATCTCGGCTCACTGCAACCTCCGCCTTCCGGGTTCAAGCAATTCTCTCGCCTCAGCCTCCCGAGTAGCTGGGATTACAGGCACCTGCCACCAAGCCCAGCTAATTTTTGTATTTTTAGTAGAGACGGGGTTTCACCACGTTGGCCAAGCTGGTCTTGGACTCCTGACCTCAGGTGATCCGCC
Organism: Homo sapiens; assembly: GCF_000001405.40. Classification (NCBI taxonomy): domain Eukaryota; kingdom Metazoa; phylum Chordata; class Mammalia; order Primates; family Hominidae; genus Homo; species Homo sapiens. Next base: position 55,431,526 of record NC_000018.10, read on the forward strand.
CACCTCAGCCTCCAAAAGTGCTGGGATTACAGTTGTGAACCACCGTGGCCGGCCTCCACTTTCTTTCTTACTTCTCTCCTTCTCTGAGGACTACCTGACCCATGCAGGGCTTTGTATTTCTGACTGAACGGTGAAGACTTGGAGTAAACAAGATGGCAGCAGGCGGTGATGAGAAAAAAAGATGAGTTGGACCCAGGTCAGGAGAGGAGATGAAGCGTTAAGACTGCAGGTGCTGGTGGTATCTCTCAAGATCCAGTGTTTCTTCTATTTCAATAAATTTTACTGTGGCACAAACTGGGTTTCAAAATCACTCATGGAAAATGAGATAACTAATGTCGGGGGGGTCTTCCAAAGAAATGGCAACTAGAGAAGCAAGAGGACATAGGGAGCTACCAAAAGGCGGTGCACGGATATCTCTGAAAGTCAACACTGTGAAAGTAATAGCACAGTGCAATGGGAAATTTAGGTTTTCAGCATTTAAAAATGATAATCTGGGCTGGGCAAGGTGGCTCATGCCTGTAATCCCAGCACTTTGGGAGGCCAAGGTGGATGGATCACTTGAAGTCAGGAGTTCGAGACCAGCCTGGTAAACATGGCGAAACCCTGTCTCTACTAAAATATACAAAAATTAGCTGGGCCTGGTGGCACACGCCTGTAGTCCCAGCCACTTGGGTGGCTGAGGCAGCAGAATCACTTGAACCCAGGAGGCGGAGGCTGCAGTGGGCCAAGATCATGCCACTGCATTCCAGCCTGGGCGACAGAGTGAGACTCTGTCTCAAAAATAAATAAATAAATAAATATGATAATCTTCCTTTGCAGCGCTGAACAGAGATTTGTACTTATTCATCCTCTTCATGAAGTAAGTAGCAGGGAGGAAGGAGAAAACCTAGCCCCACTGAAGACTTACTGTGCTTCAAATCTTACACTGGGCACTTTACCCTATACAACCTTGTAAGGTTGGCCTTGTTATCTCCATCCCACACACACAGAAAGGGAGACTGGGGAGTTTAAGTGCTTGAGCCAGGATGCAAACTCACATGTCAGTGAGTGTGGAAACAGGGTCTCCCAAAAAGTAAACAAACTAGATTCATCATCTGTCAGAGAAACTCACTCCTCTACTCGCCCCTCTCCACTGAACATACATGCTACACCGATTCTACTTTAATTCTGATTCTCTAAATTGCTTCTAAGTGCTTTCCTAATATTTTGCTCAAATTTATGAAAGATTGTAAACTACTATGGGTGTAAACACTGACCTGAATTCCACAGAGGAGTCTAATTCCAGGCCAGCAGTGTGCTTGGCAAATACAAGTCCTCACCAGATGCACATATTTCTATTAATAAAGCAACAGGTCTACACTCATCAGCCTCACTTATCACTTATTAAAAAATAATGATGACAATATTTTCCCTTGATTTTGTGACCTGTAATCATGCTTCTTGTAAGGTCTTTTTAAAAAGATTCTTGCTGTGGTTTAGCAGTGTGCTGAAATACATGTTTTTAAAAAAGTAAAAAAAGTGCAGTAGTGAATTCGGTAGTCATATCATCTCGATAACTTATATTTATATCTAATACTTCTAACCTGTCACATCTACCTGTGTTGCCCACCAGAGAAATAAAGTCTGATGGTTAAGAACACATGTTGCAGAGTCTGGCAGAACTGTGTGCTAAGCCCAAAACATACCAGTGACCAAGAGTGGGTCCTCCATCTGGATTATTTTAACCTTTCTGTCCCTCCTACCTTCCTTATGGGTAAAATGCAGATAACAAATGCTCCTCACAAACAGTTGCTATTAGATAAAATTTGCAAACAGCAGCACAGTGTTTGGCACATAGATAACTAGCAGCTACTGTTCCCAGATTAGGATAATATCAATAAACATGTATGGGCTTTAGCAATAAACATTACAGACACTGTTGGACAAAAGTGACTATCACTATTTACAATTTAGCGTTAATGGACCACGGATTTACTTTGCTGTTATGTGGACAAGTAAGCTTTATATTTGTACCACAGATACAAAGACCAGACATTGATCTGGACTGTTTTGAAAATACATGCCTCTGGTGATATGGACTGAGAGACCAGAGAGCCAGGAGATTAAATGCCTCGCCAAATATACCCAACTGTGTGTGCTGCTGATGACAGCAATGTCTATGCAAGAGGCGGCACACGTTTTCAACTTTACATATTTGCATTATGTTACGAGGGAAACTATATCACATTAGTGGCTCCCCAGGCTTTTCACTTTTGCTATTCTATTTTAGTTCCAAGCAAGCCTCCTTGGTTTTATGAGCTCTTCTCTCTGCACCTTTCTCCCTGCTTGTGTCCCTTATGTGCCCAATCATCCATGCGCACGACACTGACAGAGCCATTTCCTCTTCAGCTGTTACCCTTGAGTAGTTTTCCAGTCCTTTGTAGGCTAACACTTTAAGGCATAATTCCTACCCACTTGCAACTTTTATTCTAAAGGAAATAAAACAAATCAGCCTAAGATTGCCAGAGTAAAACAATTTTTTCAAATGCTTGTCATACACAAAATAGTCTCATTCAATGGTCTTAATGTATAGGGCAAATAAACGAAAGCAAATCTTCTCTATTCACTATGCTCAACTACATTTCTCCTTTTGCTTCTATGCACTGACTTCTAGTATCCTCTGCTCTTTATTAATTCTGCCAAAAAAAGTGTTCATTGTAATAAAAACTCCTTATTTACAATAATTCATCTTGAGTGACAAGCAAATGTCTACTTCAATCACTATGTAGAATTTTTTTGTTTGCTGGCTGCATGATAAAATCTTGAGATGTTTCTGTTATTGTGATATTGTTCAAAACTTCAAGGAAGAATTCTGGTTCTGGTAATGTGTTTTCAAACAGCAATACAGGACATTCTTTTTTTTTTTTTTTTTTGAGATGGAGTCTCGCTGTGTTGCCGAGGCTAGAGTGCAGTGGCGCGATCTCGGCTCACTGCAAGCTCCGCCTCCCAGGTTCACGCCATTCTCCTGCCTCAGCCTCCCAAGTAGCTGGGACTACAGGCACCCGCCACCACGCCCGGCTAATTTTTTTTTTTTTTGTATTTTTAGTAGAGACGGGGTTTCACCCTGTTAGCCAGGATGGTCTCAGTCTCCTGACCTCATGATCTGCCCGCCTTGGCCTCCCAAAGTGCTGGGATTACAGGCGTGAGCCACCGTGCCCGGCCAGGAATACAGGACATTCTGATCACCTCTCAAGTATTCGTGTGTGTGTGTGTGTGTGTGTGTGTGTGTGTGTATTTTAATTTTTGTAGGTACATAGTGGGTATATATGAGGTATATGAGATATTTTCATATAGGCTTATAATGTGTAATAATCATATATGGGTAAATGGAGTACCCATCAACTCAAGCATTTATCCTTTATGTTACAAACAATACAATTATACTCTTCCAGTTATTTTTAAATGTACTATTAAATTATTATTGATTATAATCACCCTGTTGTGCCATCAAATACTAGATCTTATTCATTCTTCCAACTCTTTTTTGGTAGCCATTAAGGTCAAGTATTCTTATTTAACAAATAAACCTTCTACTCTTAAGTTCTACTCTGGTGAACTTGAAATACTGATTGCACTAAACTGTAGCACCTTCTCTCAAATGTGGTTTGCTTGCTTGCTTAGCCCAATGCCTGATGCAATGTGAGTGAGCAATAAATATAAATGATAGGTAACCTTCAACTTTACCTGTAAATATGTTGAGTTAAGAATAAGTCTATCTGTAGTTATCAGCTGAGGACTGGAAATGATTGCAAACTTATTTTTATTAAATAGTCTTAGATTTGGCTCCATGATATTGGCAAATGCTGAGTCTGTAACCATTTGGACTACACATACTTCTGACCCATTTTCAAAACCACTAGTGCCATGTTTACTGTTTGTCTCTTCCCCATTTGAATAAAATCTCCACAAGGGCAGGCATTATTTTCTGCCTTGTTTCCTGAAGCCAAGTACCTGACACATAGTGCTGAGTATGTATTTGCAGAATGAATGATAAACACTGAAACATGGCTTGTACAGCCCTTCATGAGCTGGCTCTCATGTTCATGTAGAGCCTACTCCTCATACCCTTCCTCTTCCAGTGATGGGAAGGAGAAATGCACAGTCCTCTCTCTACTTGTAGCCTTCTTTAGATCTGGCTGCCATGACTCAAACACGCCTCCATCCATTCCCATGCCAGCTCCCTCTGGCTGGCTGTTTTCCTGATCACTCAGATCTGAACTTAAATGTCAACTACCCTGAGTTTCTCTGTGCTATGTCCCTCCCTGTAAGGAGCTCCCACAGGACCCTATATTTCTCTTGGCCTGTTCACTACATCCTGTGTCTTACAGCAGACAAAAAGCAACTCCAAGTATGTGGTGATAAAGGGTGTATCTCCAACACCAAGCTGTGCAAGTATGTGACACAAGTCTGATGCTCAATAAGCATCTGAGGAATAGACTTAATGAATGACTCAATACTATCTATGAAAGAATCATAAGAAGCACCTACCTACATCCAGAAAAACTGATAGTAATCACTACATGATACAAGTCAAATAAGCTTACAAACAACATAACTTAAAATCCAATTATGCAATATGTTTTGAGTCTTTCCAAAAGTTATGGGTATTCTTGAACCATTAATAGTGAGATATGCCTTCAAATAAACCACCAATCAAGATTCTGTGATTAGAAAAAAGTTCCTGGGTAAAGAAATGGTTATTAACATCCAGAGAAATAATTTTATATGATTAATAATTTAACTACTTTATTCATTAAAATAAAACAGCTTTAATTCCCCGTAAAGGTTACATTTTCAACTTCCCCAAAATTCTCAATAAAAGCAGGTTTTAATAATTTCAATGGTAAAATGGTATTCTATGATGTAAGAAAACAAGTAAATAAAATTTCTAAATTCCATACATTTTCTTTCTGTTTGGGCCACATATTACAAGACACAGAGGAGACATTAACCAATTTTCTCTCTGCATCTTAATTTTCTTAAATATACAGAATTCAACAGAAGCACAAAAGAAGCAAAATGAAAGATATATGAAATCTAAGAGGTGAAGGTCTACCACCACAGTCAAAATGTTAGCCGGGGACCTCATAGGAGCCTATGAAATTGCAGTGCTGAGCAGCCTGAGGTCAGGTCTGTATCCAGAATGTGAACAAAACATTACCTGTATGTGAAAAACCCACACAGACAAAAACAGTTTTATTATTCCAAAGGTCACTGGACATACAACTAAATATCTTTATTATCCACGTCACTATTTTACAGACTGAACAGCAACAACAACAACAACAAAACTCATAAAATCAAACAACTTGGAGTTTGTATTTCTTTTACAGAACAGACAGCCTTAAAAAGTCTTTGACTGCACAAAATAAGTCCTAGAAGATAGCAGAGATAATATTAGAAAGTGTAACAAAATCACCCAAGTCCCTGAGAAAAACATTCATGCCTACAACCAATATTGAAGCTAATTTCTTAGCATCCTTAGCTATTTCCCTAACCATTTTGCATAAGGCAAAGATTCCCACTTCACTGTTGCTTGGTCTTAGCTACACATTACAAAAAATAATGAATGGGGGTTCTTTTCGAAATATTTATAATGCTGACTTCCCTCTAATTTGGCTTGCCTTTTTTCTAAATTGGTAAAAATCTGCTAACCCTTTTTCCTTTAATACAAGAAAAATCACACCTACCACATACGTATGATGTTGAATTGTGAATCTACAGCAATGAAGGTTTCATTCACAACATTATTATAGAAGCAAATCTTTAGGGCCAGTAGATTAAATCTATCAATTTGATGAACAATTAAAATATAAAAGAGGGATAATTTCAGCCCATTCTCTCTCTCAATGGAAATATGCACGATTTTAACATATTAGAAGTTATCCATTTTCTTTGATCTAAAAATTATTAATTTTTTGCACACAAATATCTTAGTGGTAAATAATTAGGTGCTAAGTAGGTGATGATTCACTTTTCCTGAGTGAAAAAGGATTTAAAAATAAGTATTGAGTTCAAGAAAAAATAACAATTTTGAAAACAAAATTGACAATTTTTTGAAGCAATGTGTAGGTCAGAAATTCCTGTTTAAATAACAGAAGCCTAGATCCCAGCCCAGGCCTCTAAACACAGAATCTCACAGACGGAGCCCAGGCATCTGCAGTGTATGAATGGGCCACATGTTACTCAGATGCACAGCAAGGTTGAAGAACTGCAAAGTGCAATCTTATTTCTCATGGGGTTCAGGAGTCCTGGGCAGACATCTCAAGAATGTCACTCATCAGATATATGTCAGATATATAAGGCATCAGGAAATGGTAGACTATAGTGAAATTCAAAGTAAATATAGGTTTAGGCCAGGCACAGCGGCTCACGCCTCTAATCCCAGCACTTTCGGAGGCCAAGGTGGGCGGATCACTTGAGGTCAGGAGTTTGAGACCAGCCTGGCCAACATGGTGAAACCCCATCTCTACTAAAAATACAAAAATTAACTGGGTGTGGTGGTGCATGCCTGTAATCCCAGCTACTCAGGAGGCTGAGACAGGAGAATTGCTTGAACCTGGGAGGTGGAGGTTGCAGTGAGCAGAGATCATACCACTGCACTCCAGCCTGAGTGACGGAGTGAGACTTCGTCTCAAAAAAAAAAAAAAAAAAAGTAAATGTAGGCTAAGATTGACCACAGCTGCTTCCTAGAGGCCTCTGCTCAGCCCCTCACTCTCTCCTCTCATTAGTCACTCAGCCATTGAGGTGGGGTTGGTATTGCTATGATTATAGTTGTCTCGCACATGTTAGTACCCCCTCAATAAGATGGCAAACTCACCCAGGGCAGGGACCAAGTCTGACAGTCCCCAGAAGAGTGATCTATTCCCAGAAAAAAAGCCAACCAAACTGCAACTCACTCTACATAAAGAAACGCAAATGTGAAAAAAGAAAGTGATGTAGCTCAATGGACCCTTCTCCATTGGATGAAGTCTAACAGCTTTCAGAGACACCTGAACATGGAACATTACATATGAGAATCAAGGGACCACGGGAGTCTGTTTCAACTAAAAGACACCACCTGCAGTCCTGGTAGGAAAGGTAGCACTGGAGATTAATTTTACCAGAAGACTTTTGGCCATGGGAACAAGGACTACAGGACAAAACTGTGTACTGGATGAAAGTTTCTTCAGCCCTCTCCTACACACTCAGAAGCAGCTTCTCTGAAACATTCCATACTCCAGTCCCACACAGCTGTTACAGTAGTATCTGAAGGTGAGAAGAAGGGACCGAAGTGAAGCTCCCTCCTCATAACAGTGTTTGCATTAATGAGTATCTTAAAGTATTCTTTGAACACTAAGCAAAGACAGATTAATGCTGAGAACAGAAATTGAAAGGTGTTTTTAGTAAGCCCAGTTTTGCTGAGCCCTAAAATTGACAGAGGCCAAGAGAAGGGAGTGGGTGGTTCAAATAGAGATGGGAGTTATCAGCCTGGGATGGAGGTGTGTGCACCAGGGCGGGGCAGTGGTTGAAAGGCAGGGGGTGGGAAAATGAAGAAAGGAAAAAGTACTTTTGAAAGTATAGCCTCTTGCTCAGGGCAAAAACTTCATGAATTCCAAAACAGTAGGAGGTTGAGGGGTTTGCAAATTCCTTCGTGGCCACTGGTGGGGAGCAACAAACAAGGAGTTTTGTTTGCAGCACAGGGGATGGAGGAGAGCTTGGGAAGAGAGGGATCCACATCTGAGGATAAGGGCAAAAAGCAGGCACCACGCTGAGGACAGCACAGCACACTGAGCCAGCAACAAAGGAGGCTGCCCCTCTCCAGACCTTTGCCCATCAAGTAGCTGGTTAAAAGCAAGACCAGGGATGATGAACACACTGAAATCAATGCCTGGAAAGAGGTGGGGTTGCTTATATGAGTGAGGAAGAAGTGACTTCAAAAACCCTCAGAAAGTATCTAGCTTTTCCATCCCAGTAGTCCAGGATCTAGCGCACTCCCTGGCACTAAGAAGCATCCATCCAGTAAATACTGGCCCAATCAAGGACTCAGTGATCACCTAGGACACAAAAATCATCCTTAATAAGCACAGTAAACATTCAACGCTGGGCATAATGGGTAACTCGAAAAGAACTTAGCAGGAAAGATGTCTTGGTTATTCAAGGCCACTTAAACGATCATTTTTCTTTTTTCTTTTTTGAGACGGAGTCTCACTCTGTCACCGAGGCAAGAGTATAACGGCATGATCTCAGCTCACTGCAACCGCCGCCTCCTGGGTTCAATCAGTTCTCCTGCCTCAGCCTCCCGACTAGCTGGGACTACAGGCACGTGCCACCACGCCTGGCTAATTTTTTGTATTTTTAGTAGACACGGGGTTTCACCATGTTGGCCAGGTTGGTCTCGAACTCCTGGCTTCAAATGATCTGCCCTCCTCGGCCTCCCAAAGAGCTGAGATTACAGGCCTGTTAGCCTGATAGCTGGAAATTTCTTACTGTGTGTCTATTCTTACACAGCATAACTTTGGGGTGTCTGTTTATTGGATTTATGTCTGAATACGCATGCCTGTTTCCACTCTGGGTGGTGAGCCACCACGCCCAGCCACAATCATTTTTCTTTAAGTATTCTATCTTACTTCCTTTAAGGACAAGTTTCAAAAGGGCTAGTCTAACAAATTAACTAGATAAAAACACACACACATGAAAATATTTCCAGCCTTTCTAAGTGATGCGGGTATGTTTTTCCTCTTCTTGTTAGCTTCTTTGTTCTCACTTCTTGAAGATTTTTAGGTGACTACCGCTAAGCTTTGGGGTTTTTGGGGTTTTATTCATTTTCTTCTTCTCACCCCTTGATCACCTGTTTTAGCAGGATCCTGATTTCTTTTGTATTTCTTCATTCTCCCCTGGGAAATTTGTGTCTGTGTCTGACATCTGTCCCCAACCACCTCCTCCTTTGTGAACACTGGGGTGAAAATTTCATTTATTTTTTAGCAGTGTCTCCATCGTCCGTCAATACATTACCCTTTCTCTGTCTTCCAGGCTTGACAAACCACTTTTCAGGCCCCTTCTTCAGGTACTTTGAGAAACAGCTCATTATTATTTATCATGATCTCATCGGTAATCTTTCTTCTTTTTGGCACTCTTAATTTGGGGATGTTTTCTGATATTCTCAACATCTTCCTGTAATCATGCCAGTCTCCTCTATAACACTTGATGTCAACTGTGCCTCTTTCTTCGTAAGTAATTGCTCTGTGCTCTCCAGTTTTCCATCCTGTTAGCCTGATAGCTGGAAATTTCTTACTGTGTGTCTATTCTTACACAGCATAACTTTGGGGTGTCTGTTTATTGGATTTATGTCTGAATACGCATGCCTGTTTCCATTCTGGGTGCTTTTTCCTTCACTACTTGCTCCTTTCCCCCTTCCCCCCTTATTCTTCTTTATAAGGTCTAACCATCAAGGCCAACTTTTACATTTTGTTTTGAGGGATAAAAAGGCTGTGGTTCTGCCTACACATGGCCTGCATTTCTCAGTGTTTGAATTAATGGCTCAGATAATATTTGCTATGAAAAGCATCATTTGATGACCAAATCCAGTGCAACAATCCATTAGGTCCCAACTCATATGTGTGCTCCAAATTTGCATAACCAAATCAAGCTTCCTTGCTCTTTCTTTCTCTTCTCTTGTTTGACCACAGACTTGCTGAAGCTTCTAGCTGGATTATCACATGCTCTTAAAATACTCTCCCATTCTCCACTTCCAATCATATCCTTTGTTTCAGATAAAACTTAATCAACAGGGGTTTTATGTAAGTTTCCATTTGTACATAATGATAAATAGTTTAAGCTATATTCAGTACATTCACGATCACTATTTTTCTTTCTTTAACATACGCAGATAAATCACATTCTATCCACCCTATTATTTCCCATGATTATGTCCATGTTCTGGCAGTCTTTACTATCTGAGAGACAGAATTTAACTCCTTTCCCACTACAATTTTTGTAACCTTTAATTATTAACCAATATTAGCTTTTCTCAAATTTAAACAATACAAAATAGAACAGCTTGAGCTAGATGGTAGATACCACCCAGTAAATTTGTTATTTTCATTATAATGAATAAAAATAGTAAAATAAGTACTACTACATATTATATATAAAGTAACATATGTATTACATAATCGTATAATAAGTAAGATACAGAAGGATTTTGCTCCTTCAATGTGGATTAGACTAAGGGTGCTACAAAGCAATATTGAGTAATATAGTCACAAATCAGTGGAAACTCTTCAGCAGGCCACAGCATAGTGTGCATTTGTGTGCTGCCCTATTCTCCAAAAAGAACGTTGTCATACCCATTTTAAATAAATGGGAAGTCAACTGAAACTGACTTCTCTAGGATCACTAAGAAATCGCGGTGATCCAGTCCCATGCGCTAATTGGTAATGCTTTTAAGCACATTTCACTGGATTTTCTTATAGCACTAATGTTTCTCCACTGACACAACTTAGCAGGCAATGTATTTACAGAACTATAATAGCCTGAAAAGAATTAACAATGAACAATGTGCAAAATAGTCCATTACAAGCTTACACTTTAAACAAGCACTTACAATGAAGATTAAAAAAACAAAAAACAAACAAACAAAAAAACTATCTTGGCTATTGGGTCATTTTCCAGGCTACTAACTGCTAAACCATGTGCAGAATGTGCTTCCAATTTAACCATCCAGATTTTCTAAAAAGGCAGATAGCTTTGCTCTGCAGGCAGAATCAAGTTGGTCTTCAATTTGATTTTTAAAACAAAGCAGTTCTACAGAAAACCACTAAGCTTTTGCTACAAATGATCAGAAAAAGAATGAAAAGGGGAAGTAGGTTTTATTTTAAAGACCCCAATTTGTCCATCCATGTAAATGAAAAATATAACTTTATTTTATTTTCAAAAAGGGTGACAGAGAAATAAATTCTACAGCCCCATCAGTTTCTAAGGATTATTGGCCACAAGTCTCGGCTCTTCTGAGACATAGCATTGGCAATGGGTGCCAATGCAAAAAATAACACATAGGAAGTCAGGATGATTTTTAAAAGCTACAGAGAAAATCTGCAGTGCTTCCTAACTAATAAAGCACCTCTCAGGTCTTATAAATAATTGGATACAATGAAATCTGAGATCTCAGAATGCATAGCTTCCCTCTTCCGTCACACCGGATCAAAACCCATATACAAGGAAATGACCGGAACAGAAGCCAGGTGCATAGAAGAACTTTTGCATTTCCACAAACGTGCAAAGAACTTTATCACAGTACAGAATGAACACATGAAGCTCTGCACCCTTCTGCAGCTCTAGGTTGTAACCAGCCCAGAGTCTACAGAAATCCTACACACTGGTATAAATGAACCAAGATGGACTAGCTTTTTAAATATACCATTCGTACTTCTTGTGGGTGTGACCAAACAGAGGAAGCTGAAAATGGTTTGTCCAGTGGGAAGTCTGTAGCTGCAAAGTGTGCTGATGACCCTGCTGGCTTGTCACCATTGTGACGTTTACTATAAAAACAAGTCAGGTTCATCTAACCTTGGTTCGGGTCAACCTGGACCTTGTATGGGGTCCCATTGCTTGGTTTTAAAACAGGTTGTTGGATACTAATCTATGCCCTTCCTCTGAGTATGCCTAGCTGTCAGGTTACTGTCCAACAATGGAAACCTGTTCTTAAAACTCCCCTGTGAGCTCACACATCACCCTCCAGATAGCTTGTTTATCACAAGAATCATGTTCCTGAAAATTTGCCATGAGTCTAATTTTCATAGTCTAATATGGGCATTCCTTGGCAAGCGGTTTGTAAAGCAAACAGTTACCTCTCAATCTATCATTAGTGTTAACCCGAATTTTCACATAACCTTCAGCACCTGTATTGAGTAGCTGGCTCACTTTGGAATTTTCTGCCTTAAAATTAGGTGTAGGTAAAGAGACATATTTTCAGGTAATTTTAAGCTTTTGTTGTTGTTGTTCTTGTTTTAGTTCTTTTCTCAAGAGACCCAACAAGGTAGCCAGTTAACTATCAGTCAATGGCAAATTTAGTAATCATCATATCCTATCTATTGCCTGGTAAATTTGGGTTCATCACACAACTCAAAATCAAGAACCACATTTCCTTCTTCCATTCGTCACAGATGAACCACTTGCCTTAAACTTTCTCTCCAGAAAGAGATACTGAAAGTATTCCAGAAAGAATACTGAGAGAAAGGATCCACAATCACAAAAATAGCGCCATTAACTCCTTATATGCCCTACAATAGTAACAGGGAAAAATTACTGAGTGTTGATGATGTTCTGGGGATTCCTCTATGCATTATACATGCATTACCTCATTTACTTCACCCAACAATCCCAACAGATGGATTTTATAATATCTTCAACACAGAGATGAGGAAACTGTGACTCAGAGAAAGCAACTTAGATGTCACCCAGGTAGTAAAGGGTGGGCAGAGCCAGGATATAAATCCAAGAGTTTGCATTCCTAAGCATCACACCATCTCACTTCCTATATCAACAGAGTGAAAGGACAGAATTATTGCACATTTGCAGACCAAAACCAACATGAAGAAATCAGACGAGGATACGTATTAAGTCCCATTCTACACAAAGATGTGGAAGCCCTGGATGTAAAGCAATTAATGTTAAAAACACTTAATGATTTTAGTGGACCACAAGCTCCATTTTCAGTCAATGTTAAAATATGAATGTATACATGGAATCTTAGACTGCATTAACACTAAAAATGAGAGCAGATCCACTATTGATCAAACCAGATCTGGAATACTAGGGTAAGACTTGGATTCACCACTTGGAGGGAAAAAGAGATGAACTAGAACACAGCAGAGGATGGTGACCGGGAATACAAGGTGTGATTAAACCATGTTCTACAATGTGTTGAAAGTTTTCCAGTTGCGCTTTTGAAGGAAGCCAAGATTAGCATCCTTCAAAACATGTGGAAAGAGAGACAATACACAATACTAGTTAGCTTCAGAGGGAAAAATGAGTATTTCAGGCTGACAGCTACAGAATTGAGAACTTTCTAAAAGTTAGAGCTGTCACAATGCAACAAATTGCCTTGTTGGTGGTGGTTCATGTCTCTCTCTGGGGAACTTATCTACTCCCATGACTTCAACTATGAAATATTAATATTGTGTGCCAAATCTGCAATCCCAAACCCAGAATCACAAATCTGTCCACCCACAGACATGTCAAAAATTCATTATTTCCAAAACTGAACTGACCACCTTAATCCCCCATGACCTACTTCTCCTCATATATTCTACATCTTAACAAATGGCACTGCCAACCACCAAGTGGCCCAAGCCAGACACCAAGAAGCCAAGGACGACCCCTGCCTTGCCCATCAGTTACCAAGTCCAACCATTTCCATCATTTTAATATCACTCAAATCCATCCTCCTCTTCATCTTCATTGTTCCCAGTTCAGCTCAATCTCATCATTTCCTCTTGGAATTGCCTTAATCACCTCCTGAGTAATCTCCTTGCCCTCAAGTTGCCTCCTATTCACAGTTGCTTGAGTGTCCTAAATCATAAATCATATCATGGTATCTCACTATTTAAAATCAATCCTTGAGTAGTTTACCACACGCTTCATTGAAAATCTGACATCTTCCACTCCTAAACACAAGAGACCCTTCATTTCTCTGGGGCCAGGATTGTATTCCAGCTTCACCTGTGTATTAGAGCATTTTTATACTGCTATGAAGAAATACCGGAGATGGTACAATTTATAGATTTTAATTATAATTTATAAATAATTATAATTTATAAAGAAAAGGGGGTTTAATGAACTCATAGTTTCACATGGCTGGGGAAGCCTCACAATCATGGTGGAAGGCGAAGAAGAAGCAAAAGCACGTCCTACATGGTGGGAGGCAAGATAGCATGTGCAGGCGAACTGGCCTTTATAAAACCATCAGATCTCGTGAGATGTATTCACTATCACAAGAACAGCATGGGAAAAACCCACCCCCCATGATTCAATTGCCTCCCACCAGGTCCTTCCCACAATATGTGGGGATTATGAGAGCTACAATTCAAGATGAGATTTGGGTGGGACACAGCCAAGCCATATCAACCTGTCATCCCTTCCTCTGTGGTACTACATCTCATAGTCATCTCACAGAATGACTTCAGTTCCAGTATTCCTATTACGTCTTCCAGCTCCCAAGGCTCTGCTCAAGCATCTCTACCAACTGGTAATTTTCTTTCCATCAGGATAGTTCTAACCAACTCACCTTTAAGATGAAGCTCAGGCATTACCACGTATATTATTAAGAAAATTCATGTTGATCCATACAATAGCCATTCCTAACTCCCTCCTCCCTTGCCTGTCTCTTGAGTCAGAGACCCAACCATGGCTCTAAGAGTTCACATTCCAAGCTTCCCTTGCAGCTATGAGTAGATGTCTGCTAGAGGTTTAGCCAATAAGTTGTTAGCAGAATCCTGCTCAAGGCCACCAGATTCTGGTAATGTTTTTCCCCCTTCCTGGATGGAATAGGATATATGTAAGGATAAATGTTACCCTAACCTCTGCCTCCCCTGCCTCCTTTAGGGGACTCTAATGTGCTGTGTGAGGCTCAAGAGCCAGCTTGCAAGAAAGAAATGCAAGAGGAGAGGAAAAAGCTGAAGAATGAAAATCAGCATGCTAAGGAGGGCAGAATGGGAAGAAAGAAACATTGATTTGCTGAACTCACACAGGCAACCTCCTGCCTCCAGACACCTCCTAAAATGAAGGGGAAAAACCCCTTTGTTTTACTAACCTACCATTGTTATCAGGTATTCTATTAGTTGCAGCTGAACCCATGTTTAGCTGCTATTCCACCTCTGGGAATTCTTTCTAAATTCTCTACAAAGGAGGCAATGCAGTGGTGGGTAAGGACAAGGCTTTAGAGTTCAGCAGATCTTGCTTCAAATCTGGATTCTGCCACTTACCAGCTACACAACACTGGGCAAATAACCTAATCTCTCTGATTCTCAATTGCCTCCTTTGTAAAATGGTAATGACAATGTCTAACAAAGAAGTTTATTATAAGGAGCAAGCAGGATAATATGTGTAAAGTACTTAGCAAGTGCCTGGTACACAGTGAGTACCCAAAAATCTTAGCCAGGCCAGGCGCGGTGACTCACGCCTGTAATCCCAGTACTTTGGGAGGCCGAGGCAGGCGGATCACTAGGTCAGGAGATGGAGACCATCCTGGCTAACACGGTGAAACCCTGTCTCTACTAAAAACACACAAAAAATTAGCTGGGCGTGGTGGTAGATGCCTGTAGTCCCAGATACTCAGGAGGCTAAGGCAGGAGAATGGCGTGAACCCAGGAGGTGGAGCTAGCAGTGAGCGGAGATCGCGCCACTGCATGCTAGCCTGGGGACAGAGCGAGACTCTGTCTCAAAAAAAAAAAAAAAAGGAAAAAAAGAAAAAAAAATCTTAGCCAAGCTGGACACAGTGGCTCACACTTGTAATCTTTGGGAGGCTAAGGCAGGATGACTGCTTGAGGCTAGAGGTTCCAGAGTAGCCTGTGCAACAGAGCGAGACCTTGTCTCTACAAAAAATAAAAATAGAAAAAATTAGCCAGGTGTGGTGGCACGTGCCCACAGTCCCTGCCACCAGGAGGCCAAGGAGGGAAGATCTTAAGCCCAGAAGTTTGAAGCTGCAGTAAGCACCCCTGCACTCCAGCCTGAAGGACGGGGTGAGACCGTCTCAAAAAAAAAAAAAAAATTAGACATTATTATGAGGAAGCTGATGGTGGAGTATCCCTGATATGTATGCAACAACACCCTGGGAACACATGGATTATTTCCCCAACTCTCTGAATTGTAATTATCTGATATCTACCTGATTCTTTTATTAGGATGTGGGCCAAGTTGAAAGCAAGAAAAGTAGCATGCCACTATCTAGTACCTAACATAGGGCTTGCAGATCACCAGCTTCCCAAAAGTACTTGCTGGGTGAATGACTGTACGAACCAAAGACTCATTTGAGTATTGAAGTTTATCATTTTGGGCAGCTTCTAGAATAAATGGAATTTATATAAATGGCTTTAAAAAATACATATACTGAGGACCATATGATTGCAGACATATCGATAACATGTTAATTTTATTTATCAAGCAGCCAATGAAACTTTTAAAGCAGTAAGATAGTCTGCTTTGCTTTCACAAATATATCATTTGCCCTTTCCCTCACTGCTGTAAGGGAGCACTTCCTCTATGTCTGAAAATGAAGACAGCTAAGATATGAAGTGTAAAAACTGCTTATGATACAACCAAAGCCAAAAACTGAACTTGGGATCTATGTTTCATCTTCTCTACCCCTTCCAACGTAGCCACTAGAAAAGGCTTTCGCTCTGAATATTTACTTGTGATGAACTTATAAAATGAACAACCCTATTGTTTTGTGGGGGGATGATATGGGGGGGGAGGTGGCTTCTTTGACAAGTAAACTGTATCTGAATATTAGAATGCACTAAAATATTGTTTCTATGCAGTGTTTTGCCACCTACAGTCAAACCCATACAAAATACTATTGTCTAGGAACGCTCTCTAAATGTGACTGCTAAAATGTCACCTAATCACAGTGACCATGGAAAATAATATTTGTTATAAAAACCAGTCCTCCTTTCATCATAAAGGTTTTTCACGTGTAGTGGGAGCACTTTATTTTTCTACAGGCGGGAATATTCCCTCACAGTAAGGAAAGGTGATCTGCTCTGATAAAACTTTAACAGGTGCTGAAATTTATATATTCTATTACAGCCTTACAAGCCTACACCAATTATTAATTATCCGCCTAAATGTATACTACTTTACACATCCTGCTCTTTAACTAGAACACTCAGAAAATCCATTGTACGTTGCCTGACTAACGGACCATGTCTTGAACGGCTAAATGGCCTAGCAAATGCAAAGATTTTCCCATATGTACACTTTACAGTGTTAATGTAGACCCACTGCCTACACAAACCAACTGCATTTCCACAACCACATTCCACCTTGAGGAACACAGGTGACTTAGGGGAGGCATCTATCTGTGGACAATATCAGCAGATTAGAGTCAGTTTATAGAGCAGCTTCTCTAAAGTGCTTGCAAGCAACATTACCGTGTAGTTACTACAGTTGTAGAGATAGTGAGTACTCTCTCTTATTCTGCTCTGTGAATATTTCAAAGAAGTCACATAGAGGCTTTTTATGCCAGAGCAGGTGTGAACTCAATTCCACTCTTAAACTAGTATCAGCTCAGCTGAGAGAACAGCCGTAAATTTTTATTTCAGAACCAAATGAAACTCATGAGGGTAAGGGGCAAAATCTCATTAACTATTAAAATGTCTTGAAAAGACTGGGAGAAGGCAGCTTCTTTTATTCTCAATTGGTGTTCAAACTATACCTACGACTTTGCGAAAAATGGAAAATGTAATCACACAAAAGTATGTCTATTTAGAACTGTTTTATTTCAGGAGAAACAAAAAAATTCAGAGAGCTCTCCCACCCTCTCCTGGCCACATCTCCATGAGTTAGGTCAGTAACAGAAGCAAGGAAACTGAGATTAAAATGAAAAACAGCTTGTTCAAAATCACACAAAGATCATTTCGTAAACTATTGTGTACCAGGTTGGGTTTTTTTTTCCTGGTTTTTCTCTAGCTAACAGGGATCATCCACAGCTACTGAGGCGGTCTGCCAAGATATTTAAGATCTGTGCTCACTGCATCTCAATTTCCAAATAATATTTGTAAGACCATCAATAAATAAGGAAAAAAACTTAAGCATGAAAAAACATACACACCATATAAAGTATGAATTTAATCCTGTCAGTAGACCAATTGTTAAAGCTTTCAAAAACACGGATATTAGGCTCATTTCCAATTACTCTGAAAGTTCTGAAGGAGACAGGGTCACTAATAAATTTTCTTCCATGATTTGGTATTGCCCAATTAAGTGCAATCAGTTACACATAAAGAGTTTATGCTTATATTTGAAGCATTCAGATTTGGCTACTGAGCTGTTAAGAGTACAGCTTGGTCTGAATAGCCAAGGTGAGGAAAAGGCACGGCCAGTCAGTAACCTAGTAATTTCGAGACTCAGAAAGCCAAGCCAATGCTGATAATACAAAGCTAGAAAATCTTACTTTGTGATCTATCGCTCTAAAATTAGCTTTATATGTGTCTCCTTTTCTCTTATCCTTCAATTTTTCTGTCTCCCCCTTCTCCACCAAATGTTATCAGATATTACACACTTTCTATTTTCATTCAGCTTTAATATGGCCCACGAGGGGGTGGCATTTAATTAATCACTTCCACGTTCTGCCAGAATTCACTACATGATGCTCAAGTTAGCATATCACTTTTGCCAAGCTGATCGGACCCAATGAACAGAAAAACAGACTAGATAACATAATAGTAGGTGTAATAATAATTTGCATTAACTGAATTTTAGGGCCAGGTGGCTTTACGTTATTTCTTTTAAACACAGGGCAACTACTTAGATGAGAAATTTCATCACAGTGCTAAAGAAACTTGCCCAAGGTCACAGAACTGGAGAGTGGTGAGCTGGTGCTCACAGCAATGCCCAGCTGACCACAGTGCTCTGCTAGGTCCACCATCCACCACTTCCCCCATGTTAGTTCTCTTGTGGCATTTTCAACCTACGTGAAAGCTTTAAATGTTTTATCTTAAACATAAACAATATAACCAGCTGTATTTTATACTACTTTCAAATGATGCTTCCTTGCAATTTTTCCTATTAATAAATGTGTCAAGGAATTAAGGAGTGATTAATAAGCAATCATCAAGAAGATGAAAAATGTTCGAGCTGTGTCTATTAACCACTTAGAAATAAATTTAATTTAATCTCAACCTATGCTCCATATATTTTGCAATTGTTAGTTCCTAGGCCTCATATTCCGCAAAAGAAAAGAAAATGAGATCCACTGAACACCTCCTTTTACTCAAAACAAAACATGTTTCCTTCGGATTCAAAAACTCTTAAGAGTAAGGGGAATGAGAGAATAATCCAATACAGAGGCAACATTCTATACCAAGCGTCTGTGGAGTAAAGGGAATGAGAGAATAATCCCATATACAGAGGCAACATTCTATACCAAGCATCTGTGGAGAAGAAAGAAATGAAGTGGAATAGGACTGTCTCCAAAACATTCCCAAGAATATGGAAGGTATTTGTAAAACTATCTCCTTGATGAAAACCATGGTACCTTGTAGTGACTCCATTATTCAGATGACCTACAACACAGGCAAAGAAATCTGCATTTGTCAGTGGGTTCTCCCTAGTCTCACCACTCAAACACCACACCAGGGTGTTCTTGGCCTTGTGTTTAAAGATGAAACTTGAGAACATTTAAAATGGAGAGAAACATGGCTGTAGGCAAATATTTCACAAAAGGGAGCATCTGAATCCAACACAGCTGTCCCCAAAGAGGTACTTATTTTATAGGATTACTGTTTTGTGGACTGGCTAAAAAAGAAGCCTTTTCATTTTGGTCTTGATGTTTACAGAAGTGAACATTCTATACTACCTCCACCTGCTCCTGCCTTCTGTTCCAATCTCTTTAGAAGGTATAGGTATTTTAAAATTGCTACCACCCAAAACCCCAAAGTCTATAGATTTTTCCATTCATTACCCAGACGAAAATGACAGATGACCAGTGGTTAGCCTTGCAATGCCCTAACAGTTACACAGCAGAGCACAGTGATTACAAAGTGTATCACATCACCACATCTTTCTCAGTGAGCCTGGGAGGGGTGGGCCAGGCTGGCATCCCTGTCCTCACCTGGGAAACCAGAAAACGGGGGCTCTGAGGAAATTTGCCCAATGTCCCATCACCCATCACTAGGAAGTGAAAAGCCAAGAATTATGCTGAAGTGACCCCTGAAGACCTAGAATCCACTGTCCCATGACACCCTGTAAGATGTGCACTGCTCAAAACAGCTCCTTTGCTTCTTTGGTTCTAAGAATATATAATGTGAACAAAGAAAGCAGTCTTATTTTTATTGAGGATGAATACAGCACTTAAGGTGGACACAGAAGTTTCAAGGATGTGAGGTTCAGGATTCCCTAACTATACTGATGTTATTCTCCTGAAGCCATGGAGTAATGAGAGGTTTGAGAAACACAAAGTGTTTAATCGCAACCCCGCCACCCAAGATCCAGTCCAGAAGTAGGGTACTGGTTAATACTGTCACAGACACATTTTAAGTATAGGGCTTATGCAAAATTCAGAGAAACCATCTTCCCAAGGAAAGACTTAGAGAATTGGCTGGGCACAGTGGCTCACACCTGTAATCCCAGAACTTTGGGAGGCTAAAGCGGGAGGATCACTTGAGCCTAGGTGTTTGAAGATGCAGTGAGCTATAATCATGTCACTGTACTCCAGCCTGGGTGACAGAGTGAGATTCTGTGTCTAAAAAGAAAGTAAGTAAATAAAAACATGAAAATAAATAAAAATGTAAAAACCTAGAGAAAAACTTTTTCTACTAAATAAAAGCAGCACTGTTTATTTCACATCCTGGTTACCTTTAATGATAGATGGTCCTTCCCCCTGCCTCTGTTCCAATGGGTCTGATTCATGACATGAGACTGTTCAATAGGGTTGGGAAACTTCTGGACAAAAGTTGGATCCAGCTCTCACCATTTCATCCAGTCTTGGCATGTTGTCTAAAACTAAATGTCTTTTGGCTGCACCTAATCCTCCACATTAAAAATCAACAACTGCAATTGTGTACATATTAAAAGAAAATAGAGGGTTTTCTCCCCTAGGCAGTAGGCATTCTTGTCTGACTGTTTCATGGTGACATGGCAGGTTGCTGGAGGTAAGTTCCCTGGAAACTGTTTGGGCAATGGTCCAGGAGAAAGATCTTTGTCTGTCACTTGTAGCAGCATGTCCCAGGGACGTGCTCCAGGGTGCCAGGCCTGCTCTGGATGGGTGCAGCAGGAGACACTGGGAGTAAAGCCTGGCCTTTGGCTCTGCCAAAGACCACCCAGGGGACTGGAGAAAAGAGTGGTTGGTGGCTGGAGCTACAGGCCTGTTGCGTGACAAGGGTGCCCTGGACAGGCTGGCAGAAAGTCAAGCCAGAGACCTAAAAGAGAAGGTCCTGGGGAAAGCAAAGGTAAGGAGAGCTGGCTTTGGCTGGTTGCTGCCTTGCTCAAGGGCTTAGGACAATGAAGACACAGGCCTTGAAGGTGAGATGCAAACAGCAGACCTCACGCTCCTTCCCATGCAAGACGCTCATGCCTGTACTTTCTCCATCTTCCTCTTTACAGTATCTTTTTTCCTACTCCATCTTCCTCTCTAATTTGCTGACCAGAAATTAGAGCTGAGACATCTTTTTATATATTTTTATTACATGAAAGTTAAGGCCTTGTTCTTAATTTTCAAAATTATTAAATAGAAAATTATATATTTTTCTCTTTAAAAAATTAAAGTGTGAATTGAACACTGCAAGTTAGTAAGCCCAGTATGAGTCCCAAACTTGCTTCTCTCCTGTCTATTTCCCAGGCTGCATTCCCAGCCCTGCCCCAACCTCTGCAGCTGGAGATGGCCTGGGTTATGGGGAAGCAGTGTGGTGGGGAGACACCACTCAACTCACCCTTCCCCTTCTTTCTGCATCAAACCTGAACTTGACACAAGAAGCTGTGACCCCCATCTTTAGACAATGAGGGGAAGGACAAAAGAATCACAGAGCCACCAGCCCTGACATCACTGAGCTGCAAACCACTTCCAGCAGGGACCTACCACCAGATTTCTAGAATGAGAAAAATTATTCTTAAGCCATCATTAGTCACATTTTCCATTACTTCGAAGCAAAAGCATTCCTACCTGATACAAATTGCTTTTTACTTTTATGTGAAGCTTAAATGATTTATCTTCTCTTTGGGTCAATAACTTTCTATGTGAGAAATCTTCCCCTGGTATTTAGAAGGTCTATACATCTCTGTTGGCCATAGTTTTCAAGTAACATTTTTCTGTTTAGAAATTCTTCTAAATGTTATACGACTTGGATTAGTAAACCTAGTTGGACTCTAAAAGTGTTTGAGGACCACAGCATTAGCTGTGCTATATCACAGAGTAGGCCGGAAAGGAAACAAGACCAATGAGAGAAGAATGGAAATGTCCTCTGACTGGACAAAAGGAAATCAGTTATCTTAGCTCAATACCAGAAACGCAACTTTTTTCAATGGCCTTTCAAATTATTTATAATAATAATAGTAATTATTATTATTATATAATTACAAAAATATAAATATAGTAATAAGTATTATTATTATTAGCAATGGGGTCTCTCTCTGTCACCCAGGCTGGAGTGCAAGTGCAGTGGCACAATCACAGCTCACTGTAGTGACCTCAACCTCCCAGCCTCCAGTAGTCCTTCCACCTCAGCCTCCTGAATGTCTGGGACCACTAGTGCATAAAACCACACCCAGCTAATTTTTTTATTATCTGTAGAAACAGGATCTCGCTATGTTGCCCAGGCTGGTCTCAAACACTTGGGCTCGAGCAATCCTTCCACCTTGGCCTCCCAAAGTGCTAGGATTACAGGCATGAGGCACTATGCCCGACCCAAAATATTATTGATTTTACTTATTTCCGCTTATATATAAAATAATCTGTGGTGTACTGAAAACTGAAACAGGCCACACTGTAATATGGCCCGTTTCCTATCTTGGCAGAATATTTTGCCCAGTCAAGGATATAGTCCTATAGAACAAAATGTGAATTTCTATATGACTGGCTCTGGTTTAGGGTCTTCTTCTTGGTACAGTAAGGTATAGGCCTAACTTTAATGTATGGGCTTTTCATTCAACGTTTAAACCCTATCTATCTAATTCCCTGATTCACTCGACAGTCATTTATTGAGGTCCTACAACCTCTATGCTAAATACTGATCTATGCACAGAACTTTTCTCCTGGTGACTCAACTTAATGAGTTATTATTTTATTTATCCCCAACCAATCCAATTCCTTAGCTATAGATCTGGAATCAGCTGAGATATAAAAGGAATATCTATTTTAGTTAGGCTTTAAAGAATTACATTTGGAAAACACATCACTGGCAAAGTCACTTGAAGGTATTCATAAAATAGAGATGAATGGATTAGAAAGAACAATAAAACATCTCCAAAGAGAAAATATAGTATAAGGATAAAATGACATATCAGAAAGATCAATGGACCATTAGATAATAAAATTATCTCAGAGATCACCTAAAGAGCTGTTCCTCCCTCAACCTAAAGATGTGAAAACGACCTGACCAGAGGACCCACAGGCAGCTGTAGCAAAACAGAATAGAAAACTCAATTCTTGGCTGGGCGTGGTGGCTCACGCCTGTAATCCCAGGGCTTTGGGAGACTGAAGCAGGCAGATCACTTCAGGTCAGGAGTTCAAGACCAGCCTGGCTAACATGGTAAAACCCCATCTCTACTAAAAATATAAAAATTAGCCAGATGTGGTGGTGTACACCTGTCGTCCCAGCTGCTCAGCAGGCTAAGGTGGGAGGCTCACCTGAGCCCAGGAAGTTGAGGCTTCAGAGATCATCCTACTGAACTCCAGTCTGGGCAACAGAGAGAGACTCTGTCTCAAAAAAAAAAAAAAAAAAAAAAAAGAAAAGAAAAAGAAGAAGGAGAAGTAGAAGAAGAAAGGAAGAAGTAGAAGAAAGAAAAACTGAGTTCTCCTGACTCCTGACTACCAGCCTTAGCTCAACAATCAAGATTGCTAAAAACACCAGCGATGAGGCTCAAACGAGTCATACTTGTTAATATTTCAGGAGGGCATTTTAAATTTAACATTAAAGAAATGAAAATTCCCAAAGTAAAATCAAATAAGACCACAATTAATAATTTCCTTTCTCAGAAATTACTTGTGCCACATTATAAGTCCAACACTTAAGAGTTGATGTCGAGATAACATCAAGCTGAAAGGTGTTATTGGAAAAAAAAAAAAAAAAAAGAAGCACACCAAGATGTCCCTAACTAATGAACTAGCAAAGGGGCCTGCTTGTATCACTACCTAATTTCGCTGCATTTAAAAAGTGAACTAAAATTTCTAGAGCTGACATCTATATTCACAGTTCCGTTCTTATGAAGTTACTAAAGATTATTTGACCTTTGGAACTTTCAAACATCAAATGATTGCCATTATTGTACAGGTTTTACTATTTTCTAATACTCACACTTCTGCAAAGAACAAAATATCTAACCATGAAGTCAGGTAACATCTCATTCGTGCTTTGAAAAATTATGTTTCTTTGTAGTCATGCTTTTCCTTTGTACATTAAGGCTTCCAAAAACACTTTTCCTAGTAAAAGCTGATTCATTGGTTATTCTCTGTTTTACAATGAAGAGTAAAACTCCCTGTATTAGCATGTACTCACATTTGCTGTTTTACAAGAAGACTGTGGCACCTGCTTCTGCCACTGGGATTTGAAAACACTCACAACACTTCACCTTTATGCTGGGCTAAACTCAGGGTAGCCATAAACACTCTGAAGTAATACAAACCTAAATATTCCTGCTAGGCAAACGGAGCGGTGGAACCGAATTATAATGAGCTAGCAGCTGTCACAATATGACCACAGTAACCAAATCAAAATATCAACCGCTAACCCAGATGAGATTCAAAGGTCATCCTGTAAGCCAGCAGCTTTCTTCAGTTCTGCCTGAAACCTCAATCTAATCCAGCAGAAAAATGTTCTGCTGAGCTAGGTTAGAACCCAGCTACCCTATGGCGGTAAATTATTTAATGCTCTGGGAGAGTACCATGAGTAGGACTAGAACCAAATACCACAGTAAGGAAACTGAACCATTCAAAATGGGCCATGTGAAAGCATAGCCCCGATGCTGAACTAAGCTGTAGCCAAATGTACAAAAGTATCGCTTTTCACACCCTTCAGTCACAAATGCATGTATGTAATTTTATGGGGCAACTTGCTCACTTATCCTCAATCTAGCTTTCAATCGATGCTCTGGAATAATAAAAGGAAAATGGAATGCTTAGCTCCTTCCTTGGAGCAAACAGTTTTAGCTAGAAAATATATTGTCTACCATTGTAAAAATATCTGGACAATTACCTGCAAAAGTTTAGTGCTTGACAAAGGAAAAAAAAGTTTTTTTTAATGTCCATATTCTTTCCATACACTTCTTGCCAGGATTCTCAAACTATTCCATAGCATATAAATAACCCTCTTAAAAAAACAGAGGAATTAGACTCATCGACCCTTTCTACCATTAGCATACTCTGAAAGGTATCCAATGGACCACCTAGGAAGGTTTCATCAAATTGTTTAAAAACTGCAATGAAGAAGTCTCCAATAGGTCCAGTGTACATTATAATCATTAATAATGATAGGCAGTCACAAGGAAGAAATGATTTATTTTCTCCAGATATAAAACAATGCATGGAATTTCAACTAAGGCAAAATGCAACCTGGCATGTATCTACACAATGAAAGCAACGAGTGAGTTCTTAGTAAATGTCAGGTAAAAGTATATGAATTGGTCAATGTAGGCAGTCAGTACTGACATCTCTCAACCCTGCCAACATCAAAACAAACACAAAGGCTATTCACACCTATTTAAAAAAAATTTAGGAGCTTGCTTTTTGTTTCTGTTAGTTAGGTTCTTCTTTAAAACACTTACAAGTATCAACCACTAAAACCCTGTATGACAACTATAACCACAGACAGGAATACAGAACAATCTTATAAACCAAGAAACGTCATTAAGTCTTCTAGCATGATACATACATTGTGTGTATGGGTGTACATGTGTGTGCATGCATGTATAACCACACATGGGTGTTTTATTTACTTTAGGGATTCACAAACTATCAAATAGTGCATTTTTCCACACACACAAGATTATTTCTAAAAGAATAAATTAAAACAAACATTTTATTACTTTTTTTTGAGATGGGATCTCACTTATTGCCCAGGTTGGGGTGCAATGGCATGATGTCAGCCCACTGCAACCTCCGCCCCCTGAGCTCAAGAGATCCTCCCTCCTTGGCCTCCCAAGTAGTTGGGACCACAGAAGTGTGCCACCACGCCTGGCTAAGTTTTTGTATTTTTGGTAGAGATGAGGTTTCACCATGTTGCCTAGGCTAAAACACTTTATTACTCTTATAATTTATATCCCACTTTGCATAAATGTGAAATAGAGACACAAATGAACTAAGTTTTGGAATTTCAGTGCCAAATAGAAGTATTATGTTTAAAAATCTGTAAAATGCAAAACCATTCATGTGAAATCAAGAAGTTCAGAGTTGTAATAATGGGTTTCATTACCATAGAGGTTATAAACAAATATACTAGCAATGCCTGTTATCATTTCCCTAAAATTGTATACTGCCATAAAGAACAAAATACATAATTAATGATAATCCACTCTCAAAAGGAAAGAGTAGTCCAGTACTTTTTTCTTTCTTTGCAATAAAATAAAACCTTACTAAATGAACAGTTCACCAAAAAAAGGAAAAAAAAAAATCAGGTCATCTGCAGTTAATAACTCTTTCCTATAAAATTAGTGTCACTTATTTCTGTAGCAGACGCCTAATTCAGTCACAGGCTTGATTGATTTGACAATAGAGAATCTGCTCCAATAAAGTGGCTGATTTATTTCTGATGCTATAGCTTTTACCCTGATGCGACATCACAGCAGAATTAAGCCTTTGAGACAGAAACAAATACTTTGTAGTTTTAACAAAAACCAGTTAAACATTCTGAAAGTGGAGACTGGAGTGTTGTCAAACACTTATGCTAAAGTCTACTACCTTCTTTTGGTAGAAGGAAAATATCCACAAAGGTCACAACATGGGCTCTGGGTCTGGACACAAAGTGCGGTTTAGAACACAGCATATATGCTATGAGTTCAAACTGTCCCCTACACCAATAGATCTTACTTTGTTTTTATTATCATTTGTAAATTAATTGTCGTTAATTTCTTGAAAATGATCTATCTTTTCTTTGTAAAGCTGTAACATAACACCAAATATGGCTCATCTGAAAAGTGGTTTCATTTTAAATAAACAGCAGCTTGGGCAAAATCAATGAGAATCTTTGTTCCCCGAATCTAGCCTTCAGATACGCAAGCCAATCAAGAAGGCATCGGGTGTGTGAGAAATTATAGCGATGGGAAGTTTTTAATGCAGCATAAGAGTCAATTCTCTTAAAAAAATTATTCTTCTCTAAACTAAAAATGTAAGGTATTTCATACTTGTTTCAATGTCTTTTTCTCCCTTTTCCATTTTTTTTGCATACCGCGCAATACCCTCTCGCTCTGAGGGTGACTTCCCTGACCCCAGTCTGACACTGCGCCGTTAATGTCAGATAAACCATTTAGCCCAAGCACAATTCTTTTCTGTGCAAAAATCTGCTCGAGGTGGAAAATGTAGCAGTTTGTAAACAATAAAGAGCCATGTTTCAAACCAGACAGCTTATCTAACAGAGAAGTCCTTTCACTGGGAACAGTGGGTGGGGGCCTCGTGGACATAGTAGCATTTCCTATCACAATGCAGGAGACTGTCTTGGTCTCCATATTTAAGAGTTTAATGGGAAGGAGGGCAGACAGGATAAAAGAGCAAAGCTGACATGGATTTGCAGCCTAAACAACAACTAAGTGAAAAGAATCAGCTCTCTCCGCTCTAGACTGTCAGGCCACTTATATTTTAAATACTATTTGGGTTGAAAAACTAATTTGATTTGTAAAGCAGTTGCCCATGAGGAAACATGAACAGAACAATCATTTAATCTGTTTGTACTGCTTGGTGTATTCTGTAATATTAATTTATCAAGTTGTTCTTTAGAGTTAAAACTTTTTTCACATAGATAACATAAGCGTCTCCCTATGAGTATTTATTTATTCTATTTTTCTTACTGTAGCTCATTGGAGGATCATTTTAGGATCCAAGGAAGTTAGTATATTATTTAGGTGCTACTTCTCAAGACTACATTTTCAAGTGAATCTTTTATTCTAAGTGGTTGTGTGGAGATGAATAGAGAAGCAAGGGTGTTAGAAATAAAATCATAACTATTGACACTGAAGAGTCAAAAGCTGCCTTTTAAAATCTAAGTTGATAAATATATCTGGTCACCTGTATCTACATATCCTGAGAACAAGAAACAATGCACCTTTCTATCAACAACTGATAAAGAACTGGGATTCCTGCTTGAGTTACAATGTTAAAACGTAAATATGAAATTTACTACTTTGAAGGCAAAAATAGCACAAAAATAAGAACATTCTATGACCAAAACCAACTTTGTGGTTCTCAAAGTTGGTAAGATACTCAAAGGCACGAACATATGATGTTACCCATTAAAAATAAGTTGCTAGTATTTATCTGCTTTGACTATTTTGTGTTAAATATCTGAAATCCATTTAGATGGATTTGATGGTGATTTTTCAAAGAATGCCTGAGATTCAAGGACCTGAAGTAACTGGTATAGCTTCCAAAGCTTAAAATCATGACATTCTTTAGAAGCATTTGCAGTTATGGTCTCAGAAAAATATAATCATCGCTGTGTGTGTTTCCTTGGAGTGTTGTCCAACAGATTGTACCAAGAAATTTAACTTCACTTATTGACAGATTCTCAAGAGAATTTGGCCAGGTTGAGAGATTTACTAATATTGTTAAGAACTCATGTTTACTAGAACAAAGATCTTTTTTTTTTTCAATCAAAACTAAAGTAGCCAGCTATTGGGACCTTTTAAGCCATTAGGAATCATCTTTTCATTGCTCAAGTTACTGCTGTTAAACAAACATCCCTACAGGGTAGCCAAAAGCAGAAAAACATGCTGAGGATGCCAGGATGAATGGCATGCCGGAGATTCACAGACAGCCTCAAACTAACAGGTAACTTGCTTTAATAAAGCAGGATGGGGTCTGCCTAGGCCATTAGCACTAAAGTTCATGCCTTGATAAATATACAATCAGATTTTACAATTCAACTTGAATGCACTACTCTGATTTAAGCACACTAAGCCCATTAACACCATTTATTTTCATAACCCCTTTAGCAGAAATCACAGTTAACACTGACTATATATCACTGCCAACCAACAAGCCCAGTGATATTTTTATTCTAAATATTCACCACTTTGACTTCATCTACCTTAACTTAGGAAACTACTGATACAACATTGAAACTGTGGTCCGTGCTTTAGGTCTAAGGAAAACAAAATTTCCACATAGATTCAGTATCACTAAAAGCATTTCATTCCATATGCTTGTAAAACTTAATCCTTAATGCACTATTACCAAACACAGACTGCCAATCCTCTCTGCAATTTAAGATTATTACAAGTGAACTGACTAAATATCCAAGTTTCTAAAAGCAGAACCTCTGTCTAGGACATGGTTTTACCTTCTATAGTAAAACTTGAGCATTCAAAAAGTGTAAGTTAATTTAAAATGGGTCTTACTTTGTATTCTGGAATTGACAAAAGGTGGAGAGAGATTGTCATGTGACCCAAGGTCCCTGCTGGTCATGTGGTCATAGGGAGTCCCATCTCCATAGTTCTGTAAATAAAATGACAGTGTAAGTTATTATTTTATATTAATAAACAGCACATAAACAAACATAGCTCCACTACCAAAACTTCTCCCCTCCAAAGAAATTGGAGTCCACTATTCCCTCCCTGGAACTTCACTAGAAGGAATCTGCACTTTCACAGGTATAGTGGCTAAAAGAAAGCTCTAGAGTCTACGAAGTCCAAATTTTCCTCATAATAGCTGAGAAATCTTAGGAATAATAATAATGGTATCAACTGCATGGAGTTGTTGACATGATTAAATAAAATAGTGTATGTAAGACACCAGACACATACAAAGTATATTGCTTATGTTAAAAATTATTATTTTAATAAGGCCACATTAAAGCAAAATTGTGCCACAAGGGAAAATTAGGCATAGCATGCAATGAATTGCTTTTCAAAGACCAAGATAGAGCCATTCAAACAATAACATTTGGTGTTAGGATACTGAAGTTTCAATGTTTTATTATAGTTACTATTGTGGTATTGTGGTTGTAAGAGAACTAGATTGTCACATAAGTAATTAACACATAAGAAAGTTAAGAATATTAGGGTTTAACTAGGATATGAACATCAAAACATTAGCATAAATTAGCATTTCTGGAGTTGGACAAAGCATGTCACAAAAAACAACCAGTTGTAAGGCAGACAAATTTTGACAGAAATATTTCATTATTACAATCAGCTTATTGTTTTAAGGGGAATTTAAAATTAAAACAATGTTCTTAAGCTGTCCAGTTACTTAATTTTAATGGGGAAATTTGATAACGCAATAGGAAAGAGTTAAAATCATCTATACTACATGGTTCAACTTTCAGTCTACTAAAGTGCATAAAGTGACCAAAAAGGGGGGAAAAAGTCATTCTGCTCAGCTGGTGGAACTGCCCATGAAAGTCTAAGTCAAATTTACTCAGAGGTATCGGTTGCATGTGAGCCAAAGGGCAAAATCTGCCCACACAAAAGAGAGGGCTGCTGCATGAACAAGGAAAAGACACATCCCCTCAACCTTAAGGAAAACTACCCCGTTCTCAATCACCTTTCCTCGTGTATAACAATTAACTTGCCTGATACTGTAATCTAATTCTGCCAACATGTCCATCTATAAAAAGAGGCTACATTTTAAATACCCATCATAGTACACTCACTCACTCTATACCAGGCATTGCATAATGCTAATTATCACTTATTAAGTGTCCTCATCCTAGATAGTGTACTAAAAGCTTAATATATATTATCTAATTTAATCCTCAGCACAGTGCTGTAAGGTAGACACTATCCCCATGTTAAGATGAAAAAAGAGAGACCTTGAAAGTACGCCTGGGTATAAATCTGCCACAAATGATTTGTCTCATGCAAACTTCTGGATTTAGAAAATATAAATTACACAAAATTGGTTTGAAATTATTCACCAATATATTCCTTGAGAAAAATGGCAGGACAGCTAACAAAAACCAAAAGCTAGTTAGTTTTAATCCTAAATTAAGATGATTCTAAACAGACCTTGTTTTCTGAAACACAATTAAAAGTACCATGTGTACTGAATGGATAAATCATAAGAAATTGTGAAAATCTGGATGAACTAAACAATTGAGGGGAGTTCTATGATCTCCACTTGCTGTCAAGGGGAATGGATTTATTTCTGCAAGTGCAGACTGTAACATGAGGAGGAGGAAAGATTTCCTCAACCCATCCATATAAAGCATTAGAATGTCAAGCTCGACAGCTGGTGTAAGGGCTCACAAAGTTACTGGTAAGCTTAGAGATCCTGCTGTACCCTGAACACTAGACTAAGGATCACAATGCCAAGGACAGGTGGAAATGTCTAGCTCTGACTTGCTGAAATGCCCTCATTTTGACAGCTTGATTACCTTCCCTGCCTCTTATGCCAAAATGGAACCTTCCCCCAACCCAAATTTGTGTGAACACTTACAGTAAAATGTTACCCTCCCTGCAGAATGCTTCATCTATATATATATAGCTGGTTGGGAAAGGAAGACATGCTGGTTTTACCATGTACACGAAGTGTACTTTTAATCTGGGGCATTGTATGTACATCATAAAAACTGACATGGATTTTAGAGGGCCTAGCAATGATTCAGTTAAAGAAATTTCATACAAAATCATGAATATTTAAACTGGAAGAAACACAGATGATCCTCTGGATCTACTTCCTCATTTTGCAAAATAAGAAAATGAGGACCCAAGAGGTGAAATGACATGCCCAAGATCATATACATACAAGAAACACGTATTGCTTAACCACCCACCCAACTCTTATTCCATGGTCTTCCTATTACATTCCTATTACATTATATTCCTTGGGTCTTCCCCAAGAAACAACCAATGCATGTAGGAAAACTGTGGAGAAGAATAGCAAAAAGTTGAGGGCAAATAAATGAATGATCCATCTAGTGATCAAAGTCCCTACTGGTGGAATGATAACATGTCTACATAGCGAAATCAACTCAGATTCAGTACGTAGATTATACTGGTAGGATAGAACTTCATAGTGTATCTTTGGGATTATTCAGTAGTCTATTCACACCAATACCTTATAGGGATATTAGGAATTTTTTTAAGTTTTTCCATCTACAACAAACAGCATTATGTAATATGGATCAATAACTGACAAAAGAAAGACCAAACATGTAACGAAGGAATTTTCTTCTGGTTAGCAGAAGTGGAACAGGTGTCAAATTGAATAACAGCATCCAATAAGAGAATGGGGGAAAAAAATTCCAAAGTCAAGCTGATCCTCATTAAACTTAGTATGCACATATATGCGTGTGTGTTTGTGTGCGTGTGCATGCCCATGCCTCTGTGTGTGTGTGTGTGTGTGTGTGTGTGTGAGAGAGAGAGAGAGAGAGAGAGAGAAACACACCTTCTGTTTGTCAATTTACATATGTGGGATGTCTGGTTGTGGGAGAAAAGATTAGATATACTTACCCTGGACGGGCTTGGATGTCCTCCATTCCCCCAGGACCCTGAGCTACTTCTGTCTTCTACATCTAGGGACAAGAGAAAAGTTCTTTAGGCTTTCTTGCAGTAATTTTTTCTTTTTGTATATGCACTTTCAAATTAATGTTTCAAATTAATCTCCTGTTGCCTTTAATTAAGAACCAGGCACCGGGCTACCATGATGATAGTGGCTTCTGACCCATCTACTTAAATTAACTCATTTAAATTCACAGTAGAAATGAACTGGACCCTCAGGAACCAGAGGTATAAACATAAAAATTACTTCCATCCTTCACAGTGTTTGATAGCCTCAGTCTTTATAGATGTGAAACTGTACTTAAAGTTTTATTACAATCTTTTGGATAAAATAAGTTTAAAAATGCACTAACATAACTTTAATGCAAAAAAAGTTAAATTAAGGTAAATATCCACACTAACACCTTTAGCATCCTCGCCATAATGCTCTTGGATCCTTTTTGTTCCATAGCCCAGGCTTATCACAGAAGACACCAGACATGCAACAGAAAATGAGACTGAGAAAGTATTCAGTAGTCTATTTCCACCAGCACATTACAGGGATATTAGGACTGAAACAAAACTTTTTTTTAGGTTAAGACAATACTGTCTCTGTCTTTCCTTTTTTTTTTAAACTAGACATACCATTTGGTCTATAATCCTTAATCTGGGTTTTGATATGTGGAAATGAATGTGGTTATTCCATTATAAAGCAATGTTTTGTTTTGATAGATGACAGTGAAAAGACCTACATGAACCATCGAAAAGTTGGAATTCTAAACTCAATACCAGCAAAGTTTTAATGCTGAGTAGATTACGAAATGTTCCATCCACGCTCCAAATGGCAAATACGCAGGATGGAAAGTCTAACAGCTAAGTTACCATATTAATTGCTTAAAACATAAAAGTGTTTTAAAGATCAGTTGCTCTATATTTAGAAATGGCTGTGAGATTTTTGATGAAAGGGCCTTCATAAGTATAAAAAGTTTCACTGTTATATTATTTTGATCACGGCTGATAACAGACGGCCATCACAAACACCCTCTGACAGAAGTGGAGGAGGAAGTGTGAAACTAAGGTTCAGGAGACACAATCCCATTTATTGTGTTTCCTCACATTTCAGTGATACTGTTTATTCTCTTAATGCTCTACTGTCATTCCTTTTATTATTACTGCTATTTTATTATCAGCAGAAGTAATCATAGTATAATTAATTTATTTATTTTGGGATACAGTAGAGTACATGGTGTTTCAGAATATCTTAAGAGATAGAAAAGCAACAACAACTAAGTTATTACCATTAAATTAACTTCTCTTTTTTTTTTTAATGACAAATATTATTTCACTTCCTTTTAGTTGGTGCTTCAGCAGATAACACAAACTGCAAACAGATGTCCCCTATGGACAGTTTAAATCAGTGCACTGTGAGCTTCAAGGCATGTCAAGAAAGCTCTCGGGACTGCACCAAGCCTAGAGAAAAGGTGTAAAACCTTCCCCAGATCTGCTGTTTAACAATCCAACATGCTGGCCTATCCTGTATATGTTGAACTGAAGCACACAAAGAAGCTACTTACAACCCTCTGGGATTCGCACATAAATAAATTTTGTAGCCTACACGGTTCTCTTAATTCTTAAACAAAAACCAAATATTTTCAGCCAAAATAAAAAGTGTATAAATAACAAAATCTCTCAACCACTGCAAGCTTTTAAAAGTCTGGCGCATCTTGACTTTCTTTTCACCTATAACAGCCAGCTTGGATTCATTTGAGAGATTTCTCCTCTTGAATTTGGCCAAAAAGTAATGGAGGAACAGATTTGAATCCCTATAAGTACCATAAGATTTCAAATTGTTTGGACTCATTTTATCTTTTCAATTTTAAAAGAGGATTTTAAACATGAAAAGTAGGCAGAGACTTGGAGGAAAGAGGACGCTACTGCCAGGTCAGTGGGGCTTTTGCATCCCAAAGGACATTTGGCAAAGCCACCCAGGAGACAGTTTTGGTTGTCACAATTTGGGTGTTGCTAGTGGCATTGATCACACAGAGGCCAAGAGTTGCTATTAAATATCTCATAATTGCACAAAACAGCTCTCCACAGTAAGAAATACCCTGTGCAGGGCACAGCAGCTCACACCTGTGATACCAGCACGTTGGGAGGCTGAAGCAGAAGGATTGCTTGAGGCCAGGAGTTTGAGACCAGCCTGGGAAACACGGCAAGATTCTGTCGCTACAAAAATTTTTAAAATTAGCCAAGTGTGGTGGAACTTGCCTGTAGTCCTAGCTAATTGGAGGGGCCGAGGCAGGAAGATCCCTTGAGCCCAGGAGTTCAAGGTTACAGTGAACTACGATTGTGCCACTGCACTCCAACCTAGGCAACTGAGTGAGACCCTGTCCCTAAAAATATATATATATATTTTTGGTGTTCTGACCCCAAATAAAAATTGTGTTGAGATTGAGAAGCCCTGTGCTAGAGCAAAAGGAATCAAGTTGGAGAAAAGATGTATTAAAATTTGATTTATAATTTAGTAAGAACTCTTATTAAATACACAGTTTTTCTTATGCACTTTAAGCTAGACTTGAGCTGGAATGTACCAAGAGACCTTCATATACATCTTCTGTCCACAGAAAAAAGGAAAAGTAATGGTCAACCAAGCAGCCTGCTAATTAGCAGGCAGATAAAACACATCAACACTTGAGTATTCCCAACTGGGCAATTTCAAAAGCGAGCAATCCACTAATTAAAAATGCTGGAAGTCTAGCTTTTTCAAAGCAGGTTAAATACTGGCTGGGTTCCTTCACAAATAGATTCCTGACCAATCGGATCTGACTGCTCTTTTTCCACCCTTTCCCATTTCCATCTTTCCCACTTCCTGACCTCACGCTGCTGCACCTTTCTTTCTTTGATTGCTCTCTGTTGAACAGGCTTCCCCTTCCCTTGGTCTCCTGCTGGATCTCAAGGATGAGGACAAATCACTAGCTCTCCCAAACCTAATAAATAGAATAATCATATGAATTCTAATTATATTTTACCTTTGAAAAAAATCTATAGGACCGGTGCTCATTTATCCATATCCATAGAAGACACTATAAACTAGTGTTTCCATAGCATGCGCAATGGTAATTCATAATGAATGTAAACATGTTACTTTGAAGTCATTTTCTTCCATCTTCCCTCTCCTTGAACTTTGTCAGGCCTGCCCCTTAGTTAGCATTTCCTCAATAACTATTCCAGTGCACCACCAAGTGCATTTCAAAGTGTATCCGCCACCTGAATCACCTGTATGCCCATTTTTAAATTGGCTTATTAGGGTCCGTCTCATATCTACTCAGTCTGAAACTCTGGGGGTGGGGCTGAGAAAACTGTTTTTAACAGGTCCCCAGGTAACTTTTATGCACACAGGAGTTTGAGAACCACAGGACTACTCCACTGTAACACAAGACAAATGCATGCCCCACACCACCAACAGCAGCCTCTCTCACTCCATATCTTAAAATTGCTGTCTGGGTTGCTGGTTTCAGCAGCATTCACTATACACCTCCATCACATGAGCATCCAAGAAGTTCTTGTCCAGACTCATTTTCATGTAAACCTTGCACAGGGCCTACACCTGGCCATTCCTTACTCCTGCTAGGGTACCAGGACACTGCACGGTCTTTTATACCACCATGTTTTTGTAACTGCTATTCCTTCTGCCTAAACTGTTCCTCACCTCTCAAAGAAAGAGTAACAGCTCACATGTGGTGAGCTTGAATGTATGTCAGACACTGCGCTAAACTCTCAAATGCCTTACTAGTATTCTGGTTTTATATATCTGAACTGAGGCTCAGATGGGTTAGAAAACTTGCCCAAGGGATCAGGAAATGGCAGAGCTTGGACACAAAAGGAGGCTGAAGCTCTGCCCACTGCTGTAAAGACTCCCCAGTAAGAATGTCACATCTCTGTCTAACCAGCTGAACGTTCCCTCCTGTCACTTCTCCCCACGCAGAGTGAATATATTTATTTGGGAGTTTATACCCAACTCTTGTGTCCACAAAAGATTACAGAAACACATACAACACAAAATATACGAAATCAATATTTGAAGGACCCAAGTGACTGCAAAATAAAAGTAGCAGAACAGTAAGGCCAGAGGTATGATGAGTTTATCAAAATGCACACAGTGAAGGACTGGCTATTTGCTAGAAGTGGGTCAAAACTTTAGAAGCTATTAAGTAGACAAAGCAGAGAGGGAAACAAGATTGACAATAACCATCAGATAAAAACACACAAAGTGTCCAGGAGAAGCATACCTAATCCTGGTATTAAGCCAGACAGAAAATATCTGTGAGCTCCCAACACAGAGGACAGAATATCCCATAGCAGCCCATAGTATCAACAGTAGGCACAATGATAAAACTTGTATGGCTGGCTCAATACGATAGTTCAGCAAGTACACAGAATTTATTATCCAAATAACCATGTGAATATATATACAGCTATAGAGCTATATACTTATATCATACCCAACTGTGATGTACGTTTATTATAGGAAAGAAACATACTTGACACAAATAACATCTTGTGTGGTACTGTACAATGGTGGGCTCATTAGTTCTTTATTGAAATGAGTTAAAACAGCAGAAAGTGAAAAGTAAGATAATATTGTGGTATGAGAAGTGTTTACATCTAGAGGTGAGACTAAACAATATACAGGAAATAGATGTGTGAAATCCATTAAGGCAACATAGTGACAAATGAAAAACTGCCTGGGATGAAGCTGCTGAATCTATTTAGTTCTCGCCCCCCCCCCCCTTGTTCTATTGCCACCCTTTTTCCAAGATGGGAGAATAAAGAGAAAGATATTACCCCGGGCAAAAAGAAAGGAAGAAAGCAAGTAGATGATAGAAATTCCTGTTCCAAAAGACTGAAATGGGCTCAGTTCAAGATTTTTCTAATTTCTTATTTTACCCTAAACCAAGATAGATTTAGTAACTCTTCCATGGGATTGCTGGCTGCTTTAGGAGGCAATCTGAAAATCCACAAATTTTCATCTTATTTGATTCATTCTGCATGAGTCCCCTCTACAGTGTCTGACACATTGGTCGGGTGCAATGGCTCATGCCTGTAATCCCAGCACTTTGAGATGCCGAGGCGGGCAGATCAGCTGAGGTCAGGAGTTTGAAGCCAGCCTGGCCAAAATGGTGAGACCCCATCTCTACTGAACATACAAAAATTAGCTGGGCCTGGTGGTGGACGCCTGTAATCCCAGCTACTCAGGAGGCTGAGGCAGGAGAACTGCTTGAACCCAGGAGGTGGAGGTTGCCGCGAGCCAAGATCGAGCCACTGTACTCCAGCCTGGGTGACAGAGCGAGACTGTCTCAAAAAAAAAAATAATAAATAAAGTATTTGACAGATCAGTGCCAAAACACAACAGTTTGGGCAGAACTATGACCAAACACTCTATTTAGGGGAAAGATGTTCAGACATAATTCTTACCTTCTGCGATTTCCCATCCACATTCATTACACTTGTAATCCGATTACTCAAAGCTCCACTTTGCTCTTGTGGTCAGCAAGATCAAAACTATCAGACAGACTAGACAAACTTTAGAAAACACAGCACTGGGAGTTGGGATAAAGAGCTGGATTTCAGCAGGGACTCTGCAGTGACCAGTTCTCTGGTCTGAGCAAGTCACTGGCCTCTCCGTACTCATTTTTGTGAACTACGAAATAAGCAAGTTTGATTTCCATTCTTGGAAATAGGGCAGGCTAGTATATTTGGACAACTCTCCCACAGAAAACTAAAAATGATGGATAACAGTTTTTTGAAAAATTTTAAAATACTGAGCAGACAAGATAACAAGGAATCAGGGAGCCAAAATCAAAGTGAAGGCTGGAACCCAGGGAAGAAGAAAACACATTTTTTGCCCTGGGGACATCTGTCAGCCTTGAAAATGTAATGGCCTCTTGAGTCAAGGAGAACAGAAGTGAAAACCCAAGACATACCCCAAAGTCAGTATTCTAACAGAAGATAAGGGGATGATAGTATTTGCAAGATTAAGGAGTTATTGTTAAAGTAAATGAATTAACTAACATTTGTTAAACACTTAGGAAAGTACTTGATCCGTAGTAAATATCTACCATAGTCACCAGTATTTATCATGAGTGCCTAATTTAATAATACCCTCCAATATCTAAGAAAATCTGAGCCTTACATTTTTATGACTCCTTGTTCTGCTAAACAGGTCAGTGATTTTTAAATACTCTCCTGGATCTTAGAAACACCCAAAACGTTTAGGTTAAACAATCCTACCTTCTCCGTGACCCTGTATAACACTATCAGAGTAAGAATTCAGTAAGCATTAGATTTATTCAGTGGCTTAGTTTACCATTAGAGTATTCTCTTTATATCTCAGTGTACTTCTATGTGTAATACACAAATGACATGTTGTCAGAAGTTATGTATGCTGATCAGAGTCCCAAGCTAAGAACACAGACTAAATACCATGTAACTTTCAGCTTGATTTGAAATAAACAAGTATGAAAGTTACCTAGATTGATTTGACGTAGAGCTGTGTAGTTGTCCTTTCTATACTCTGAGCCTACAACATGCCAATCACCCAGGACCCTAGAGTTTTATGAAATTAGAAAAATGCCTGAAATGGTATTTTGCATTGCTCTAAGTCTACAGATTCCTGCTCTTGTGGAAATATATTGATTTCTTAATAAAAATTTCAACACATTCAGAATGCGTTCAGAGATAGGATGTCAAGTTCTTCCAGGAAAGATAATCATTCTGAAACACAATGAAGTCTACACTGCCTCAAAACCTTCTTCCTGCAACAACAGACACTATTAAATATCCTCTACACCATTATGGAGACTCACAGACTGCGTACATCTGTGGCTCCTACTAATTTCCTAGTCCAGGAAGAACCCTTGGCTGAGCCCTCACACAAACTGAGATGGCATATGCTCTCCGTCAGTGCCAGATGAATTTAGAGTTCAAAATATTTCATCAGCAAAGAGCGTGTTAAGGATGTGCACATTTTCATTAGCACCCAGTATAATAAGAGCTCTAAGTAGAGTAATTTGAAGTCAAATTTGAGTACTATTACAGACATAGGAAGAGTTGAGGAGATTCAAATATTGACAGATGATGTCCACACAAGCATGATTGTTTCTGTTTTCTATTAGACATAAGAAATGGTGCTTCAGAATGAGTGATCTGGGCACTAACAAGAAACTCGACAAGAAGCTTCCAGCACTTCCCAAATCTGACTAAGCAAAGGATGAGGGTTGTGTCAATGCTTCCCACACAAATGTTAAGATGTGTCAGGCCAGGTGCGATGGCTCACGCCTATAATCCCAGCACTTTGGGAAGCCGAGGCAGGTGGATTATGATTTGATTACTCAAAGCTCTACTTTGCTTATGTGGACAGCAATCAAAACTATCAGACTAGAAAAAGTGAGGCCAAGAGTTCGAGATCAGCCTGGGCAACATGGTAAAACCCATCTCTACTAAAAACACAAAAATTAGCTGGGCATGGTGGTGCACACTTGTAGTCCCAGCTACTCAAGAGGCTGAGGCACTAGAATCACATGAACCCAGAAGATGGAGGCTGCAGTGATCCAAGATTGTGCCACTGCACTCCAGCCTCGGTGACTGAGCAAGACTCTGTCTCAAAAAAAAAAAAAAAAGATAAGTCAAATATAAAGAATACAGACCTGGGCTTTCCATTTTCAGATGACTGCTGTCAACCCTGGCTTTCTCAGAGCTAATGGATTTCCTAACCAAATAAATCTGAAACTCAAAGGTCAAGCATGAGATCATCTTAGAGTATTTTTCATATGATAAGAAAAGTTAAAGGGTAGATATGCTGGTGAGAAAGTATAGTAGGAAAAAAGTGTTCGCAGACAATTACTGCAATATTTTAGCCTTAATTAACATCCAACTTAAACTTCCATTAATAAGTCCTTTAAAACAGTATTATTTTCCTTAAGTTCAAAATAACCTGTTTTTCAAAAATGAACACTACATTTCTGCTGCTTAAGATATGGAGTTAATTCCATTGTGTGCTGTCATAAACAGGGAAAGCATCTTCCTATAACATAAAATTCAGATAATGAGAAAGTAACAAAATGAAGTGGGTAACTGTTATGTTACAAATATGTCAGTGGTGTTCCTTATATTGAAACTCAGAAATCTTTTTGAAGCTCAAGGTGGTAAACAGTTACATTATGCAACTGAACCAAACGTACATTGAAGCCTTTATATTAATTTATATATTTGGAGGTGTCAACGATCATCTAACTTGAATTATACCCTAGCTTGAATATATAATGTGAAATGCTGAGAGATGAGTGCCATTTAGCAACCTTTCAAGTGTATGGGACTGGCTAGCTGGGGTCTTCCTCTTGAAGAGAAGTTAGTCGTTTGGGGATCCTACCTTTTAAAGCAATATCCTACAAATAAGAGCCATGAATAACTCAAGCAAGAGTATAACGTGAACTATATATACCTTCTTTGACTTTTCGAAATGTGACCAATCTAAAAGCACTTAAAAATCAGTCTTAACTAAGACAGTTTTCTTGGAGAGTAAACATTGTGAATTGCGTGAGAATAACAATTGGAAGTAAGTTACCATATCTGAAGACTTTGAAAAAAAAATCAAAGTACCATCTAACTTCAACATTACACAGATAAGTTTCAAAGTACTTAAATAAATGTGAAAATATTGCAAGGAAGTTTTTAAGTAGGTGTTTGGCACCTCCTAAAGACATATCACCTTCTAAAGATATATCACAGAGTGCAAGAAATAAAAGGTAGATACTTTAGAAAACAAAGTGTTAAACAACTAAGGAATACATTTAAGAATATGCTTCATTTCCTAATAAAACTGAATATATACCTCTGATAATGTCTACATGTAATTACGTGTGTATTTTTCAAACCATACATGTAATATTTATAGTGCAAAATCCATAATATTGTAATGACTTCAGATATACAAACTGGTATTTAAAATGCCTATTTGGTAAATAATTTATTGAATTTATTCTTGGGAGAGGTTAGCCAACATGAAACATGGAACTGTTTCCTCTTTTCTTCTTTTCTTTCCTGATACCTCTTTTCTCCCGAGGGTGCCATTTGTGAGGTTCTGAGAAGGGGAGGCTGGCTTAATTGAAATATCTGTAGGCTGTAATTGCTCTGCCTAACCACAATGGTCTACTTCTCCCAAACGGCATTCTTTCCTCTTGCTTTCTCCTTTTTCTTCTATTTCCTTTTATACTTTAACAAAATCTACTTCTCCTGTTTGTTTTATTGTCATTTCCTATTCCAGATGCTTGACTAATATTGGTGAAGTCAATAGTTTTACATATTCAAAACTCCTCCCTAAAATCCAGTTTTCCACCACAACCCCTTTTGCTTAAAATACTCACTCCCATAAACTGATTTTCATTTTACCCTTTCAACATGGCAATCCTTCCACCTATGTTTAACACTGCAGCCTATGACCTGGCAATGACAAATGATCAATCTTGCATGTTATCTTCAGGGGTCATGTCTTAGTTTTAGGCCAATTTTCTCTGTACTTAGGCTCAAATGTGCAAACCACACTATATTACTCTGCAAAACATCAATGAGAAGGCTTAATTAAGTAACACTGACAGATAAATCCATTTCTTTCATAGTAATCAAATCAAAGCAGGTTGACATAACACAGGAACTTAATGCAGTTATTCCCTTGTAATTGGAAAAAGGCCCTTTACTTCTCATTAAAGCAATCTTCTGGGTACTGGCATAATAAGGAGGCTCAGAGCTTTAATACTGCCCTATAAAAGTCTCAAGATACAGACCCCTTAAGCAAACAAGCCAGATTATCTAATTCCTTGATCACAGCAGAACACGCAGTTCCTACTGTTTTAAACTACTAATTCTTTATCTCTCCTACAATTAAAAAGAGGTAAATTAGTATCAAACACATATAATGAAAATCTGTAAAAATGCATAAACTGTTTACAGTTGTATAAAT
This sequence comes from Homo sapiens, assembly GCF_000001405.40. NCBI lineage: Eukaryota > Metazoa > Chordata > Mammalia > Primates > Hominidae > Homo > Homo sapiens. The sequence continues at coordinate 55,474,118 of NC_000018.10, forward strand.
CTACCTCCACATGTATTTGAAGGGAAGCAGTCTATTAAAATGAATTTGAAATACTTTACACATCTGAAATTGTAATAGCTTGGATCACGGGAAAATCTATTTTACTCCATGGGCTCAATAGGACATGTATTGCCTAAATTTACAGTGTGATACTTAACCATACAGTACAACCTTGTTCATCAGAATTGTAAGAGAATGAAAGTTTTAGTAAAGCATTTAATTTTTGTGGTACGAAAAAAATATTAAGTCATCCGGTCAACTGTAGGCTGCTCTTATTCATCTAAACTCCAGAAAAAATGCGACAATATTATACCATGTTCATATCCCCAAACTAAATAAAATAAATTTCCACTCTTTCAATTCCAATTTTGAGGGTGTTTCTATTACTTATTTATTGGTACCTGACCAATCTTGAAATGATTCCAGCAACTCTTTCTAAAAGGATAATTTATAATCTAGGCACTACATGGTGATCTCCAAATGGTGGCTGACCACCCAAATACTCCAAGGAACCTCATAAAAAACACAGATATCCTAACCCCACCTGGGAACTGATCAAGAAAAGATCAAGGGTTGAAGTCAAGGAAAATGTATAATTTTTTCATTCTTCCCATATTTTACATTTTTATTTTTTTTAAGTTTTGGGGTTTTTGTTTGTTTTGTTTGTTTGTTTTTGAGACAGGGTCTCGTTCTGTCACACAGGCTGGAGTCCAGTGGCACAAACACAGCTCACCACAGCCGCAACCTCCTAGGCTTAGGAGATCCTCCCAATTCAGCCTCCCAAGTAGCTGGGACTGCCACACCAGGCTAATTTTAAAAGTTTTCAATTACAGTGCAGTTATAATTATATAATATGTTGCTTCTGAACCATGTGTAAGTTGCATCAATTATATCCTTTTGCACCTTAGTACTTCTGTGTGCACTTCCTAAGAACAAAAACAGTACTATTATCAAAATCAGAAAATATACTGTGGGTACTTAGATCCAATCCATAATCCATATTCCAATAGGGAACTTCCTCCCTCTCCGGTAGAAGACAAAGTCCAGGATCATGCACTGCACTGAATTGTCTATCTCTTTTATCCATTTGAATCAGACATAATTCCTCAGCCTTTTCCTTCTGTGATATTAGAATTTTGGAAGAATACAGGCCAGTTATTTTATGGAAATGTTTCTCAATTTGGGAGGATCAGATGCTTCCTCATGATTATATTCCAGTGGATATAATACTACAATAGTGGTCTGGTGTCCTTCCCAGGACATCACTTCCAGAGCCCCTTGATGGCATGTTGGTCTGCCCCTCATGTGCTATGCCAATTTTGATCACCTGGTCAAAGTGGCATGCAAATTCTGCAATGTATGATTATAATTTGTCCCTGTTGAACTAATCAGTAACCTATGGAAAGATTCGTTAAGAACATTCAAACTAATTTTTAAGTATGTGCTTATTGAAAAAAATTAAAATACAAAAATGTATAAGGTAAAAAGTGATAATGCCCTCAAGTCTCACTTGTACCACTCTTAGACAAGCGATAACCCATCACAGCTTCCTATTTCCTTACATATCTTCACGTCTCTGATCAACTGGTTTTGACAGCCGCAGAAATGTAGGGCAATAAATGCTAAACTTGACTGAAGTTTCTGTTCTATTTGAATTGGTAAGAAATATTCTTCAATCGTTGATCATCTAGTGACATTTCAATGGAGACAATGATTAGTTGTAGCCCTGTGACCTAGGTGGGAGTGGGGAGGGCAGGAACAAGAATATATTTAGGCATATTTTACTATTAATTTTGAAGGAATTTGGCCAAGATGAAGACAAGATGGACTGATCCACTTGTGAATTAATGCAATGTATAAAGGCAAGTTAAAGAATCAGTTTTGGAGCCATGCTATCCTAACAGGCTATTTGGTGCCTCCTCCCACCACATTCTGTAAACCACTGTGTAAAAAGGAGACCTGCCATTTCAGAGGCACTTCCCAATTAAATTCAAATGCAGAGACAAGCATACTCATGACACAGAAAAATTTAGTGTGGTTTCCATGGGCTGACGTACAAAAAAAAAAATTGGAAACATCTAAAATATTTTAGAAGGGGGAGATAAGTTGAGTTGCCACTTTTAAAAGAATATATTCCCACATTTAGAGAGCAGGTATACAAATGAACTAGCCACCTCACAAAGTGAAGAGTGAAGGGTGACCCCAAAAAAGACTGTGAGAGGAACTTTGCCATTCAATACAGCATAAGCATACCATACAATATTGAGTGAGTTAACTTGTTATAATCAATATAAGGTAGAAACAGTCCCTTTAACCTTTAGATGAAGCCCTCGTTGTTTTTTTGTTTTTTGTTTTTTGTTTTTGTTTTTTTTTGAGATGGGGTCCTGCTCTTCATCTAGGGTATATGTAGTGCAGTGGTGCGATCAGGGCTCGCTGCAACCTCAACCTCCCAGACTCAAGCAATCCTCCCACCTCACCCTCCTGAGTAGCTGGGACCACAGGCACACACCACCACACCCAGTGAATTTTTTGTAGAGACAGGGTCTCACTATGTTGCTCAGGTTGATCTCCGACTCCTGGGCTCAGGCAATCCTCCCACCTCAGCCTCCCAAAATGCTGGGATTATAGGCGTGAGCCACCATGCCCAGCCTACAGCCCTTGTCATTTTATAAACTGAACAGTGCTGACATATTTCAACTGTGATTTATAAAGGCTGAGAAAATGTTCCTCACAATTCCACTTCAGCCAAATGCCTGGCAGACATTGGCAAAGGTTTCTCTTACTTGGGCTTATAAATGTGTGTGTGCATGTGTGTGCATGTGCCTGTGTGTGTAAAATCAGCATACACACACACACGATACACAAACTTGCATTTCCTAATAGTTTCTTGATATCAATGATGGTGTTTAAAACAGTTCCCATATGTTACAACTTGTTCAAATGATACCTCCTTATTTTCTATGAAATTGGTCAGAGGAGTCTGACTGGTCATTTGGTCTCACGATAATGTAACCACAATTTTTAATTATGCTTTCTGCTTCCTATTTTTTATATACTCATCTCATTTAAAATGCAATATCTGGGATCATTTAAAGTATAAAATTGGGATCAAGAGAAGTTACCTACCTAAACACGAGCAGACTAAAATCATTTTTCAAAAGAGGAAAAAACAAAAATCACAAGAAAATTGGTAGATGCCCTATATAAAAGAGGCTATTTTGCATAAGACATACTTTCACCCTTTCATGCTATTACGATTACCTGTTTAATTCTAACAGAGAATAGAATACTTGCTAATGTTCACAAGGAATACTTGCTGAAAGAAGAAAGGTGTACGGTGTTATAATGACTGAGTTTTCACAGCTAGCAACGTACATTTTTAAACCATGTCAGCAATGAAAACAAAACTGTGAGTCTCCCCTCTGTGTGTCCTTTTTCACAGGGCAGTGCCCAGGCATACTGCAACACCATTTCACCACCAGGGCACACGCAGTTGCCATCAGTTTAAGAAACGCCCAGGACTTTGCTAGCAGGACAGGTCTATGACGGAAAAATGGACCAAGGTTTCCTCTAAACCATGCTGCTTCCCTTACTTTCACTTTCAGGTTCTATAAAACATGTTCACTACTGAAGTAGTGAAAATACATCTGCCTTACTTTACTAGTCCAGCTGAAAGAGATGAGAACGCATCAACTGATGATTTCTTAGGTTTAATCACATCAAATTCCTGGGAATAGGCATTTTTGGTTCTAGTAGGTCTGCAACTTGGATGCATCCTGCCTTTTGCCCATCTGATAACTAGTGGAATACCGGTCAGAAAGAGATGAGCTGCTCTGAGGTACTGGTCTTACCAATTCAGTAAGTGGAATGGTAAAAAGCTGTAACTCTTCCTCAGGAATGGAAGATATGTCATTAGTGTGAAAGGAGATAGAGGCAAAGACCTGAAGAATGACGATAACCAGACATCTTGAGAGAAAACAAGAAGCAGGGAAGGGGTTCCGGGAAAGCCGGAGCTGTCAGTAGAGAATAATGATTTATCTGATGAGATTAGCAGACAGTTTGATTAGAAAAGATGCCTTTTTAACACAGCAAAGATTGCAATGTTACTTTAAGATTTGTTGTAGGAAAAAGCCGTGCCTGCCAAATGTGGTCTGTAACAGCACAGGCTAGCCATGAGTGATACAGTGGGAAAATAGCCACTAAGCCAGATTTTATTTGATTTGTACTGATGATTTTTATTAGAATACATGGATCATTGCTTCAACCTTTCCATGTAAAACCAAATCAAATTCAAAAACTCACACATCAGTCACCTAACCTTATGTCATTCCTTCTGCTTTACTCAAGTTGAGCCACATTTCAGCTGATCTGTCCCCGATAAATTGTTCAGCTACTCAAAACTGTTGGGCCAAATTCTGGGAGGCAAGTGGTACACAAAAGAAACCGCGAAATCTGCAGTTACAAGTAAGAAACCTACAGAAAAGAAATACTGCAAGCTTCCGAAATGCAGAATGAATTCAAAACAATATACAGCCATGCAAAACAAGACAAAATGAATTATCCTTATTGTACCAAATGAGTTGTAATTTGTTTGTAAAAGGCCCCCACTTCCCCCAGCTTTTTTTACTTAAGCCCTTTTCAATTCAAGACACTGTAAAGAATTTTGCAACCAGAGAAAGTCCACAGTTCTGTGGCATAAGGAGATTTAAACTGCAACAAACAGTTTTAAAATTAAAAATGTTCAAACTTTAAGGTGAAAATTATAAATGTTAAATATTATATTGGTGGGAAATCTCTGTATTATTTAGAAGAATTGTTTCATTAAAAGGAATGAAGTTTAATTACATGAAATATGGCAATGGGTTTCCAAAGAAAAAGTGCCAATAATCTACTTCCCACCATTTCTTTACCTTTTTTGTTTTTGCATTAACATTTTCCCTTTCTTCCTCAAACATTGCAAGTTTCATTTTAAACCTGTAACCAATACTTATGTCCATTTCTAGTTAACAAATCAGTTCCATCTTCTGATTTCCTTTAGTGTCCCAAACCACTCTGAAATGCAAGTTATTATTTTCTCCTCAGAGAAGGTAAATAACTTCCCCAATGACAGGCCATCAGCAGTCCAATGAAGACATGAAGACCCAATGTCTTCATTGGACTGCTGATGGCCCGTCACTGGGAAAGTTATTTATATGTGGCTCATGCTCAACCTCTGGAAGACACTGGATTTTATCAAATACCCAATACCTCTGAAAACTAGTGGTCACCAAACTTGCAGGCCTCTGGTGTAACCCTCTGTGGCTAAAGCCAGGCTATGTTTTCACCAATCCCCATCTCTTTCTGCCCGTGACCACCTAGGAATCTGAAATTCCCCATCTTCCTTTGCAGTCATGGGATCATATGACTAGGATTTGGCCAATAAAATGTGAGCAGAAGTAATACTTGCCTTGTCCAGACCTGGCCCTTAAAATTTCCCATGTAATCGTCTATGCACCACTCTCCTTTTCCTCTTTGATCAGCCTGATGCCAATATCTAGTGAACTCCAAGGTCCTAGGGGATAGCAGACCTGAGCCATGGAAGAAGCCAGGCTAGGACCAGAGCCCACCCACGTTGCTCTGTGACACCGGAGGGTAATAACCCTCTGCAGTGTTAAGCTACTGAAGTTTGGGGATTGTTTGTTCCAGCAATTAGCATACCCTGACTAATGCATCTTCCAAAACAGACTTCCGTGAATTCTGGCACTATGATTCTATCTTCCAAGTAAAGCAAACATACGCAGTTAGAGCTGGCACCAGTCAGAATTCTGAAGCAGGGGAAACTGGTCTTTGAACTATCCTTCTTTCCCTTTCAGACTTGTTTTCCCCTCTTAGCATTTCCTCCCTCTGAGCACCAAATGTTCTCAGGCTGCTCAGTCTCGTCTGTCTCAAGAAAATAGACACAAGATATTCATTATCCATTCTTTCTCTTAACCATTACCTTTTGAATACCATGAGCTGCCTGCTACCTGGGAAATTCTGAAGAACATCTTTAACATCTCACATTGAATGTATCCTCATCTGTAAAATGGGAATGACCGTATTTACCCTCCAGTACTGTTGTGATGATTACAGATAACAAGGAAAATGTTACCATGGAACCTGGAACACAGTAGGAACTCCAAAAAAAAAAAAAAAAAAAAGCGGGGGGGCGGGGGGAGGATATTATGTGTATTACACTTACTGTTATGGTCATAGCATGATATTTGACACCAAAAGGATACAAAATGTACATAAAATAGGACGCTTTCTCTCTGAAATATATAATCTAGATTGGGAAGAAAATCTTACGAAAATAAAATACAGTATTTGGTTACTAAAACAAACATAGCAGAATTTTTGAGAAAGGTGAGTTATATGGGCTAGAATCAACACTTGCAAGGTACTGGTGATTTAGGACAGAGTGATACTAAATTTCAAAGGGGCCTAACAGAAAGGTTCATGATTAACCTAAGGGAATAAACTGCTACACCTCAACATTTTTCATGTCACCTTGTGTAAGGCGTGGCCCTGTTCCCGGTCTCTTTATTGATTCAGTTATTAATTCTGTGTCAACCCTAATACAGATGTCACTAAAATCAAACAAACCCTAGTATCACAGTGGTGGGGGACAAGGATTGATTTTACTTTGTACAAAATCTGGCATAGGCCAGGCGTGGTGGCTTATGGGCCGGGTGCAGTGGCTCACGCCTGTAATCCCAACACTTCGGGAGGCTGAGGAGGGTGTATCACTTGAGGCCAGGAGTTTGAGACCAGCCTAGGCAATATGGTAAAACTCTGTCTCTACTAAAAATACAAAAAATTGCTGGGCGTGGTGGCAGGCACCTGTAATCCTAGCTACTTGGGAGGCTGAGGCAGGAGAATCACTTGAACATGGAAGGCGGAGGCTGCAGTGAGCCAAGACTGTGCCACTGCACTCCAACCTGGGCAACAGAGCAAGACTCCATCTCAAAAAAAAAAAAAAAAAAAAAAAAAATCTGGGATGTATGTAATTTGGAAAGAAGGAAAGAAAGCAGTGGCATCCTGGTGAGCTCTCCGGCATTATATGTGTATTTCTCTAACTCCATTTCAATTTTGTAACACACTGGTAACTCGGAACTGGCACAATGTTGGAAGTATTTACACCATGGAAATTGGCAAAAATGACCAATAACGGCTTTTATTCTTTGAAAAAGAGGTTATTAAACATTTACCACCACATCAATGAAAACAATCATTCATTGTGAGGTATTTGTACTCAAATTGCTTCATTTAACTTTCACAGCCATTACTCAGGTAGACTGTATTATCCTCATTTTACAGATGAAAAATCAGGCCTCACAATGGTAACTGATTGGCAAGAAATCCTGTTGTCTGTGCTCCCTGCACGAAAAACCAGGATGCTTACAAAAGTGAAGAACACCTGGATTTCTTTTTCTCAGTATATCGAAAAGATATTCCCATGAAGACAGAAAGCTGTACTTTAAAAACATCTAAATTCAGGCAGTACTCCTCCCAAAACCTTTAATTTTCTACTCGGCTTCATTTTGCTTCTCTACTCATGTAACTCTCCACTTAATCAATATATACTTCATTTTTACCACCCTGACTCCTAGACGTCCAATTCAACATTTTGGACCTATGTCCTTCCAAGAATAATCCCTTACAATGTCTCAAGAAATAGACTTATGCCTAATGACTGCGATACGTTATGAACAATCTTTAAATCAGTGATTCTTCATACACCTGTCCTCACCAAGGTAGTCTATTCCATCTTGGCCTGAGCTACAGTTACAATGAGCAAGTATGGGTTTAGAAAGAGCTGGGAGATTCCTTGAATTCAGATGAGGTTTCTGATATTTATTTAATAATGACTGTTGTCAACAGCTAGCATCAGGATTGGAGAAGGGCCTAGGGGTGAGAAAAGCCTGAAAACTTCAACAGGTATCAGGTGCAATCTGAGATACAGTGGATCTACTATATTAGCAAGGACAAAATGGTTCTTTGTACCCCTCACCTCTGACACTTCCATGTCAACTTCACCCTAAAGCAGGCTTCTCTCATGGTCATAGGATTCCAGATCTACTTGCTTCCTCATTGACTTTCAATGGCAGCAAGTTCAGTCTATAAAAGAGCAAAATTCCTGCTGAACTTTGTCCTGATTGGGACCATCATGGAACAATCCCTAAAGCCAAAAAATACCATGCATGGATTTGCTTAGGCCTGGATGACCCGAATTAATCACCGTGATGAGAGGGATAGGATTACCTTGATTGTTTTAGTCCAGTCACAGTAGTCCACCAGGGATGTAGTGATCCCACACAAATCACACAGATAGCACACACTGGGGAAGGAGTAGAGTATACAGTAGTGAGACAACCACAGGTTGGAGACAGCGCCCCAAGAACCACTGGCATATTAATAGTGTACAGTGTATTGCTTAAGAGGTCTTTGTGAACAGACATGCAAACTCCCTCCTTCAGATACTTCAGTCTTCCTATTGATGTCAGGATTAGAGCAACTTTCTTAATTGTGAACATCAAGGTCATCCTGATAACATACCCTCACGCCCTCGTGTTCTCTCTTCCAGTTACCTTGATTGCCTTTGACAACACTCAAGTACTTCATTGGCCCTTCTGCTGCAGAACTTGAACACGTGGTTCTTCAAATACAGTACTTTCCTCCCAACTCCCACCACTCCACTTTCCTACTATGACTATTTCACTCCTCTATCAACTCAGCTGAATCATCATTTCCTTGGGTCAGCTTTCCTTGTCCCCCCTGACTAGCAATAAATGTCCTCCTCAATCAAGTGTCTTGTCCTTCTCCTTCATTGGACTTGTCATAGACGTAATTTTATATTTTTAGGATTCTCAAGTAATGTCTTGCCCACTGAAGAAAAAGCTGCATAAACACAAGGGATGTGTCTGGTTTGCCTTCTATCCCACCCTCAGTACCCAGCACGGGGTAGGGGCAATAAGGCACCCTCGGCGACTCTTGGTGAAATGGATGGCTGTGTCTTTAGCCCCTCAAAGGGGCCGTCCATATATCCAAAATGCCAGCTGAATTCATAAAGTTACGAACCATTCTGCAGTGCTCCTGTGACTTTGAGAAGAATACCTAACATGATGAAAATGTATAATGAGTTTTCATCTTGTCCACTGTTAGCTAGAGAAACTACAACCACAGGTATGCTATAAAGGTTAGTTTGGCACAATACATCTTTTCTCCATAATTTAAATACTCATTCGTTTCACAAATATGCAAGTACAGATTAAGATTCAGCAAGAAATATGCAGATCAGTCCTCTTAACACATTGAAACACTTCACTTGCCAGTCACATGACCAGATGGAGTTAATGTACAAGTCTCAAGCTCAGTGATTTCTATAGTAAAAATGCAGTGAAACAGTCAGACTTCATGTATGCCTTATCCCCTGACAGAAATAATCTCTTATATGGTCATTGTAAAGGGAAATATTTGCCTCTTTATGCTCACTTTGATATGCACCCTAGTGATTTGATACATATTATATAATCATTGGCCTCAGGACAGAGGAGAAAACAACTGTTACCTCTACAGTGAAACAGCTTTCTGTGATCAGGTGATAGCAAGATACAAATTGGGTTAGGCATTCTGCGTCACTTACTTGGATGGCAGTTATAGCTCAGCATTTTTTGGAAAACCTTTCCCCTATAACTTCCCCATTGATGAACAAGAGTACCATTAATATTTAAAGTTCTGCTTCATTTATAATAACCAGAACCACCACACTAACAATAAATATCCTAGAGCAGTTTACTGCTTTCAATTTTTCAAAGCACTTTCGTGCACAGTATTTCATCTTCCTTTACAACTTTATACATCAGAGAAAGTCAGGGCTTGGTCCAAGTCCTCAAGGCAAGTTATTGGAAAAGCTGGGAGGAGAACCTATAATTTCTCCTTTCAACCTCTTTCCAAACTGCCTCTTACCTATTTTCTTATGTTATGAGAGAGAAGTGACATCTGCAGAAACTGGAACTCCAAATTTGGATGAAAGATGTTCTCTGTAGAAAAAGTTATATTTCCTCTTTCAAATTAATTATTCAGAATCCCAATTTCCTAATTATAAGGGCTTTTCTTTTGGGTTAAATATGCCCCACAGAAAACCGCAACGGTTTAAATTAATACTGACTCTGAGAAGCATTTTAAATTCATTTTCATAGACTTTTTTCCTCTTCCTCTACCCAGAAACATAGAGAATATGTTTAAATTAAAGATGCATTTGAGAGATGACAATTCATATCACTTTGTAAGCCATACCTGAAAATTCTCCAAGGCAAGAATAAGTAATCAAACCTATTAACAATTCACCTATGAAGAAAAGTGCTGCTGTAAATAATGAGTTTAGGCAAAGTCTATAGTTCAGTCCAAGTTGCTAAAATCTCGTCTTTTTCTTAATTGTGCATGGCAGTGGGGCCCATAAGTAAACTGAGTGCGGGCCTTGGAAACCAGTCCTTGTGTGGACAGAACATCTATTATAAAAGCTCACTCACATGGACTTAAGCATATGACTGTACCCCATGTGTTGTGGTAGAGAAAATAACAACAGATTTAGATAAATTTTAAAAATACAAACATGACTTCCTTTTTTATTCAGAATGTGAGTTTATCAGAAGATACAATGACACTGTTAGTTCTGTTGGTCCAATATCTATTTTTCTCTTCTTCCTTCTTAGTAGAACGTGCAGCAGTTTTTGGTATAATTGCTATTTGTTCACATAGCCACCACTCCTCCTAGTGGATCAGGAACAGGTGACCTCATTTCCAGTTCCAGAGGGAAACCCCCAAGTCCTACAGCCAATCACACCCCTTGCCTTCCCCAGGCCAGATACTGGTTTCAAAATGAGCACTAAGACACAAAGGTGCAGCCTCTACTGGGTTCTTGGAAATATCTCCCTACTCCAAGGAAAGAGACACATCAGTAGACGACCACTTATCCTCTTTGATGATTTTTCTGTTTGGATGTGATGCCCAGAACCAAAGCAGGAATTTCCTTATCATTCCTAGGATGAAGGCAGTACACGGAGGAAGGAAACCACCAGAGATTTTGGAATAGGTAACGTAATGTAAGACATTTCCCTATGTTTAAGTCCATTTGAGTCAGGGTTTTCTTTTGTTGCAGCTGAAAACATCCTAAAATAAACAGTAGATCTCCCCCTCCACCAGCACCCCAGTAGGTTTATGAACTTACTGCTCACTGAGGTTCTTTAACAAGAAATACCAACTCTGGATAAATCTAGACTTCATCTATCCAACGGCAATCCTCTCCTGGCCACTCATTTTTGTCTAAGTCCACAGAAGCATCATTTTCAGGAAATGTATAAGTTACATGCTGCATAATTCCCCATTTAACCCTTCTCTGATCTGTGCATGCATCTTTGCTCTCACCTCTCCTGGTCCCTGTGGCCCTCACATGAATAGAATCAGCCAGCAAATGCCTAATGAGCACTTAGCACAGGTAACGTTAATGGCTACAAAAGGTAACTAAAAAGCATTTTTTCTTTTGGATTTACCAATATCATACCTACACACATGCTACATACACAGACTAAGGACTGCAGAATTTTCCTCATGTATTTAGCTATACGCATTTTTCTGGGAAGACAGTCTACAGCTTGCATTGGATTTTCAAAGCAGTCCCTGACTTGATGAAGGTTAAGAACCTCACTCTGGATCAGCTACCATTTGGCAAACCACACTGTCTGGATGTGTCACACACACAGAATGTGTTCCCCAGAGCTTCATATTTCTTGCTTGAGGCAAACCATCTTTAAGTATTAATAATACTGAAGTTTTACGGTATTTTGGACTAAATAAAATTTTGTGGGCTCTCCTGGAGCCTCAAAGGCCATTTATATTTTCATTTCAATAGAAGGAAAAATAAATCCTACTACTTAGAAATATGGGACAGAACCTTTCTGTTTGTACCTCTTCAAATAAATTATGAATCCTGAGCTCAAAATTTAGTTGAAGAGACAAAAAGTATATTTGAAAAATAACTAATACAGGGAAAAAGTTTTAAGTTTAAGCTACAAATGGTAAATAAACACCAAGGGATTGTTACTGAAATAGTTTTTGAAAAGGAGACGGAAGTTTCCTTGAAGCAGGACTCTTAAGAAAAGGCAAGAAGGAAAGCCGGGCATGGTGGCCATGCTGCCTGTAATCCCAGCACTTTGGGAGGCTGAGGTGGGCAGATGGCTTGGGGCCAGAAGTTGGAGACCTGCCTGGCCAACATGGTGAAATTCCATCTCTACTAAAAATACAAAAATTAGCCGGGCGTGGTGGCGCACACCTGTAATCCCAGCCACTCAGGAGGCTGAGGCAGGAAAATCGCTTGAACCCGGGAGGCGAAGGTTGCAATGAGCCAACATCACACCACTGCACTCCAGCGTGGGTGACAGAGTGAGACTCTTGTATCAAAAACAAAAAACAACAACAAAGAAAAGAAGACAAGAAGGAAATCAAATATTGGAGAGCACAAAGAAGTGAATTCCAAGGTGTGGCCAGAGAACAGGTGAAATCGTAGAGCCCAGGTAGCAAAGGGTAACGCTTTAACTCAAGACGCATGGAAAAATCAAGACCAGTCTTATTTCACTGAAGAGTGAGTCTAACAAAGTCATGAAAGGTAAGAAGATCTGGGACTTCTCCATAGAAATGCTTCAAAACATTTTACTTGACCTCACTCAATGTAACTAACTGCAGCCTTTGCCAACCCCCTCCCCTCCTTTCCTCTTTTAACTAGCACGTCTCATAATAAGGACCTGAAAACAGGTTCCCTAACTTCAGCAAAGGTGCCCACTCCAATCTACTATGAGCCACTGACAACTGTCACTTCTCCATACAAAAATCTTCAGTGGCTCCCTATTGCTTTGGGTATAAACTTAAAATTCCTTAGGCTAGCATTTAAGGTGCTCAGGATCTGTGTGTACTTTCTTCTCATGTTACTTTACACTGGCACTTCCTTCTGTGCCTCAATCACACCAGACTCCTCACCGTTACCTAATATATCCCTGGCTGTCGAGTCTCGTGTCTTTCCTCAACCTGGAAAACATTCTTTCCCACACAACAAATGCATGAAGAATGAATAAATAAATGCATAATGCCATTGAGGAAACACTCACACACAGATATCAATCAATCAATTACATACATACATATATTTATATTTGTTGGTTGGTATCTTTGTTTATTGATCCCCACCAGGATGCAAGCTTCAGAAGGACAGGAACTCTGGGCACCTATGAACCAGGGTTGACACCAATGCCTGGCTAAGGGCTCAATGAACATTTGTCATGTGAAGAAGTGCATTTATTAAACATGAAAATTCAGAATCTTTGTCACAAAAAGAAAACAGAACCAAATTCATATAATTTGACAAAATAATCATCAATAACTAAAAGAATGTTTTTTAAATGGTGATAGAAATATATTATTACAAGATACAATATAATAAGTAAGAAAGTATTTTTTCCCAGCAAGAGATTCCATTGTATGCTTTATTTCTCTAAAACACTGAGTGAGGGGATCGATAAAAAAAAAATAGACAAGGATGGGATAACAACTTGATTTGAAGCATAAAAATTTCTATGAGATGAAATTCACAAATTATTACCCCTTTAAAATGTAAAACAGATTTGAAATGGCATGACTTGACTACCTGATATATAGTTTATTACTGGTTTACCCAAGGGATTGTATACAAAGCTCTCCATTTTCTTAAAAAAAAAAAAGTAGAACCAGCTGGTAGATATATACAGTGCCCTTCAAAAGCCCCTGTTAAAGCCACAAATAATTGCAAAACTTGTTCAAATCAAATGGACAATTTATTTTATGTATGATTTTGCAAAGCCTTTACAAATATCCATGGATGGCTTTGCACCCCATTTGAAAGGATTTGCTATAAAACTGCACTGGCATAAACAAACAAAACTATTCTCAATATTTATACTTATAACAGAAACCTATGAGGTTCTATATTCAGTTGTGGTCATGAAAATCCTTACTCCCTGGGTTTTCATTGGCTATAGTCTAATATACAAAACAAACAGGGTTTTCCGTTTAAATGTGACACACATACATTCCGTTTTGGTGTCCGTATTTCAAGCATTTTTCAAAAATTCAGTCACAAGGGAGAAAAGCAAAGAGATGTATACATTTTAAAACATACCATAGCCTTCTGTAATATAGAAACGATTACATAAACAGGAGTGAAATTGGTTTTTTTAAAGTCTTTCCTCCAAGTTTTTGGCCCCAGAAGAGGTTGAGAATTAGGAGATGGAGAAGAGAGGGAAAAAAAAAGGAGTATTGGCCAGTAAAATGCCAAACAAAGCAACTGAGCTAGGATAAAAATTGAAAGGTGCTTGCCAAGACAAAAGCACAACTTAAGCTGCAGCTCTGTCCTCCCAGAGACTACACAGGGCAGGGAGCCTGATGCTACTAACCTAGGGTTTCTAATGATTCCAATCCTGCATCCTCACATCAGAGGACAGGAAGGAGAAAGCAAACGGCTGTTCAAACAGCCATCACCAAGTAAAACAAGGGACACTCCCTTGGCTCCTGCAGCTTAGGTATGCCTCAGGAACCTTTTGTTGTTATTGTTCTCTTTTTTCTCTGTCTCTTTGTAATTCAGAAGTGTAGCTTCCACGTAAAGAAGAGAAGTCAAAGGGAGAAAAGACTTTCTTTACAAAACAAGCTTTCCAAACACACCTGTCCCCTATTTTGACGATTGTGTGTACCTGTGCTGATATTAGAAGCATGATCTGTAATCCTCCAATTTACCCCACAATTTCCTGTCACCTAGAATCTCTGTGGCAGTTCATTCTCTAAAGTTCATACAAATACGAATCCCAAGAGTGTGGTTGGGGACACATGACAGAGGCTGGTCCAGGGCCACCACTCCCAGTGGAGCCCAGGAATCTGCAGTTACAAAACACATCCAGCATATCAGGATGTGGGGGCACCCACTTTGAGAAGTACTGGGGCATCAGTTAGAGCCACAGTTTTCCTAATTCCAACTGTCCCTCAGATCTGGAGCACTGTTGAAAATACATATTCCTGGGTAGCTCCAAGAGATACTGAAGCAGATTCTTCTAGATGGGGCCCAAAAGTCTGAATTTCACCAAGCCTCTCCTCTGCCCACCCCTTGACCTCCCCACATACTGTCTGATGGCAGGAAGTGAGCTGTAATCTCTTTCAGGCTCTTTGGGAGGCACGTTGCCTACAAGTGCCACGAGCTGCAGTTGAAGAGAAGATAATAAAGTTCAGAGCCTCAAGTACCAGGCGAGTATCAGGGCAGATGTTAGTCATCACCCCAAACAAGAAAAGTGGACCCACAGTGCACCAAGAACTCCAGAGAACCGAGTGGTATAAATGATGAAAGTACTGATAATCTGAACTCAGGAGGGGAAACTACCAAAAAAAATAGCTGAAGACCAAACAAACAAAAAAACAAAAGAAACCTTTTATGAGGGAAAATGATTTGCCATTTTCCACAAGGCAATCTGCATCCTGAACACAAATAAATGCACCACACAAGAGGATGTAATTTTGAAACAGACCTAGAAATCCTCAACGTTGCTTTCAAATCTCCCCCACAGGACTCACCAACACTCAATGAGAGTCTGTTCTTAAACAACCTGAAACCACGAACACCTAAGCACATGTGAAATATCAAAACAAAACACTTCCCCCACATCCCAATCCCGGCTCGGTGATGAAAAGCAGTCGTCATTTGATTCAATCAGACCACATTCAAAGCAGGTGGTTCTGAGCATTATTTGAGCACACAGTGCCAGCTCCTTCTCCACACGCACCAAAATACATGCGGATACTTTTTTAATGACACATGAAGAATTAGAAAGAACGGTTTCAAACCTTTTTGTGGGTAAAATTTAATCCCCACATTTTTAGTTAAAAAGCATAAAGAATATCTTACTGAGAAAATGTGCCTCAGAAGAGCAGCAAAGCATAAGGAAATACCAAGAAATTAAAATAAGAGTTGTGTGAAGTCTTCATATCAAAGCCAGTCAAAATGGGATTTCTGCGGTTATTTTGCCTCTCTTTGGCAGGCTCCTTTAAAAAGGCAGATTCAAGATATTTTTTATTTATTTAGATATATTTATTTATATTTGCAAATTAGATGCCAAAACAGCAACAAACGTGGGCTAGAGAGGCACATATTTCTGAACTCCAATCCCTTTCTATTTATTAACTATATGGCAGGAGTAATATACTTAATCTTATAGCTCAGTTTGCTCATCTGTGAAATGGGAATAATATATACTGTTTGACAGATTAAATGAGATTACTGATGTACTATACTTAGCAGAGTATCATACACGTTGATATGAATAGTACATGCAAGTGTTTATTATCAACAACTGCTGAAATTAACCTTTATTTGACAAAAATAATTTAGATAGTTTGATTTAGAATGGAGCAAAAAAAAAAAGAAACTGAATAATCACATAAAATATGACTTAATAACTTATTGTGTAGTTCAGGCACGTTAGCAACCTCATTAAAGGCAGACACCATTTCCTCCACTTTCTCCATAAGGCCAGAGAAAGGAATACGGAGATGACCTGACCATTCCACATAAGTAAGTGCTTAACAAATTCTTCAATTTAAAAATAAATCCCATTTGGACTGCACCAGTATTTTTACAAACATCTTCAGTGCGGTATAGAAATGTTGACATAGAAAAGGAATGACTGAGAATGCTATTTAGTTGAGAGAGATTAGAGAAGATATTGGAACAGTATTAATGGAAAGGTTAAGAAAAAGCAAGGAGAAAAAAGGAAGTCTTTCAAAAGATGATTTTCCATTAAACTTCAGTTGATTATGGGGGAAAAAAAATCCAGGCTATTAGTCTGCAGTGTTGGTTAATAGTTTTCCTTATTTTGAGAAAACAATGAAAACTAATGAGTTACATCCAGCAGCTTTAAAAAATGAATTCTGTGCATAATTCGTAAGCCCTTCACCACATGCCTCTATGCAGTCCTTCTTTTAGTTAAGGTTTCAAATTAAGGTTATTATTTATGAGAAAAAGTTGGAGAGACATTAAGAGCTATAACAATACCCCCAGACCATCATGGGGGCGGGACGGCGGTGGTTCCATTCACAATGAATGGAAGACATACTCCAGGCCAAATATTTAAACAGGGGTGCAAAGGATACACACACAGCAATCCGCAGGCACCTGTCACTGCAAAATTCAACACTGACACAATCGAAAGGGCATTTATGTTCACAAATCAAGCAATTATATCCCTAACTATCCATCTGCATATGCAATTACCCAGTCTGTTGCACAGAGAAGCAGATTTTTGCAGGTGTTTCCTTACCATCTTTCCTTCAAAATCCAGTTGCCCTTTATGTCCCCAAATCTGGGCACATACCAGTTCTCTAATTGAATCTTCCTGGCACTATGGTGAGGATCAAGTGTTATGTTTTCACATACCGCGCTCACACACAGAAGATTTTGTAATCTAATCAGGCTCTTGCTCCTGATCACCACTTAACTAATAGTTTAATGGGCTCCGTTTACACCTTGATGTTAAAGCATGTGCAATGTGCCTCATGACTCCTTTGATGAATCTGTTCCTAGGTTCTCTGACACATTCCAATTTTGCATATGTACTTTAAAATCTCAGCGTTAAAACTCTGGTATGCCAAGTAAAGTTAAATAAACAGAATGACAAAGCAGTAGACAGAGAAAATGAGCATGTGTGGTTGAGGGCAGTGCATTTAATCAAAAAGGAGCTTTTTTGAATTTTGGAATCATAGAAATTCAAATTGCAAAGTGTTTTCTATACTCAGAACTTGTTAAACATTTTGTTCCGATTGGTGCAAATTGTGCGTCTGTGCAGTCCTATTATACTTGAGAAATCAATAACTTCTCAGCCCTGAGGAAATCTAGGGACCGGTTCCCCTTTATGTCAATCTCAGACCTAAGTTAATCTCAGACTCAGCTTCATAGAATCTGAGGAACAGGACATCAGATGGCATCAAATCCAATAATCATCACAGGAATAGAAACCAAGGTCCAAGTAAGTGCAAAGATATACCATGTCTCAGACTGTGCTTAAAGGATTGATTCTAGAACCTTCTTATGTTTGAGAGTATTTCTAACTTTAATTTCTTCACTGTATGAATTTAATGTTCATGTTCTGCTACACAATCATTTATATGCATGCTTCTTTAATTTCCTAGATTTTCCTGGATGTACAGTTAAACAACAAAGTCTATTTAAAATAGCAGTAATTTGCAGTTCTAGAAAAGAGAAAAGTTGGGGGGTCAAACTTCTTTCTTCCTTACAGAAGCTTCTAAAAACATAATTAATATGTTCTTTTTAACAAATATTCTACACTACCTTTAAAGCATTGTTATTTAGATTTGAACAAGACACAGATTATTTTCTACTTGCTGTAAATTAGGCAAGCCTGCCAGGCAAGGAGACAACCAAACCTACAGCTCAAGTCTCCTGACTTCTTATCTTCATACCAAGGATGAGATATTGCTGGTCCTGAGATAGATCTTATTTGCCCTGCACAGGATTCTTGGAAATGTTAACTGAATGAATGAGGGGGCACGAATGCCCCAGTTGCCCTAAACTCACCTCTCCTTAACATCTGCTTCACTCATTCATACTATCTGGCTAAAGCCCAAAGTCAGGTGCATTGTCAAGGCTCTGCTCTATACTCACTGGTCACCACTGTGACCAAACTGTTAAGAGGGTAAGAGAAGGAGACACATACACATATCCACCAACACCTCCACCCACAAAGACAGGCCTCTCTTGGAGAATGGACAAAAGCCATCGATAGAGCCAATTTCACATCTCCATTGACATAGCTACCAATATCTGAGAAGATATAGCTATTATTTGGTATTAAAATACTCGGGTAGAGGACCTCCATATCTGTTCACATGTTACCAGTAGTATTTTTCAAGACGACAGGACAGTCAGCATGAGTGGCACAGTGACCCTAGAAAACTGTCCTAAACAAAGTCTATTTTAAAAAACAAGAAACTAAATACCATTACCAACTTGAAAGGCCTTAATTTAAAAAACCTTTTGGGCTGAGTTAGCATTTCACAAAACTCTTCTGCAGAATGTTCCACATGGGAGGTATTTCATGAAAAAAGGAGTTCTCTGGTCAAAGCAATTTGGGAATCATTACAAATAATATCACTCTCTAGGGGTGTTTTACAATATTTAATGCAGAATGGACTGAAAATAAAATTTCTATTAACATGTCTTGAAACAAGCTTTTTTTTAAAATGCTGGTCTACATTATTCTTTCAGAAGGCTCAATAGGAAAAGGGAAGTAATGTAAATGATAAATTACTGTTTTCTGAATTATATGAAATACATTAAAAGCAAATAATGGAATATAGTATAGGCTTCAATATTTACACATCTCCTTGATAATTCTTGAACACAGAAAAATGTGGGAAAGTTAATTTATAAATTACTTGATGAATCTTATTAATATATTGTTTACTTAAGTTTGTGTAAATTAATACAAAATTACACAAATACACAAAATACATATCCCAAGTAAAATATCCAAATACCAAAATGCCTTTGTCTCTCTGCAAAAGATGTGACAGTAGGTTCTTGCCTTCAGTTTTTGTAGTCTACAGTTTCTGTAGACTAGTTAAGCTAGTCCTTAATCCAATTTATTTCCCCAGGTCAAAGATCCTGCACCTGTCCCATCAACCCAAATATAAACAGCAAGATATATTTCACATACATTGAAATAATGTGAGGTGGTGAAACCAACAGACTTAGAAGATTGAAAAATATTGGACTTGAGGTCACATTTGATTTTGTAAATGTTTTCCTCATTTTTATATTACTTTGCATATACTCCCCTACTTAAATATTATATTCTTAAATAACTACTCCAGTTGGCATTGACAGCTAGATTTTTACTTCTCTGACCAAAACACAGCAATGTGATTGAAATATTATGGACACACACACACACACACACACACAGATTAGTCAGGCATGTACAACCAGGAAGAAAAAGAAGTGAAGCAATTTTAGTCAATACAAGCTCTTCTCCAACTAATAAAGTAACCACAAACTGTACATATATTCTATTTGAGAAAAAAAAAAAAAGAAATGAAAAACTGTGGAATCACATGAAAGGTGGTTTGGATGCACACAGAGGAAAAATGGCCAGTGAGAATAAAGGGACTTCTCAGCTAAATAGAGAGTCTTTTAAGATTAGTATTATGATTTAAGTCTACTTCAAAATGGTTTCAGCCTTATTAAAATTACATTAAAACTAGCCCTGATGCATTTGCATTTAAAGGGTTGCCTCACTCTACTTAGCAGGCGCTGAATTCAGTCCCCATTGATTTATAGTATTAGGGCACTACAATCACAGACATTTTTCAGGATAAAGGACAATAATACCCTGACCAAAAGGGTTTAAGGATGCAAGTCATCAGGAATGTGAATAAGAGAACTACATTTATTTGCACAGCAGAACACATTCACCTGCAACATTAAAACAACCCAGAGAATGCTAGACAAGGGAATTACTCTTCTATTACATGGAAGCCTTACCAGTAGGACCACATTCAATCATGAACATTGTACCCTTGTAAGAACATAAATCTTGAAAAGGAAAGAGATAATAAACTATTTTGTTATTTTAAAGCATCTCAGTTCAAGTTATTAACTTTGATCCTTTCAATCCTATACTAATAGAAAGGAGTACCTTATTGCAACATCTATAAAGATCTGAAACAGATAATGAAGCCTTTCTTTAAAAAAAAAAAAAAAGAAATCTACACAAAGAAACACAGCTCAAAGAAGTGGGAGTCTTTACTCTCTTTTAAAAGACTATAAATGCATTCTTAGGTCTGGTTCTTTAATCATCAAGAGCTCAACCACAGGGTTACTGGTTTATTATTTTAACCAATTCACAACCTGTTTGATTCAGACTGTTGACTCATTTAAGCCAATAGATAAGTTGTTTCAGTGTTTTGCACCAAGTGACTTATCAAAAACCTACATTAACATGAGAGAATCAAAAGCCAGAACTAAAGTTCCCATTTCTGTCACACTTAGCCAGCCCAAAAAGTCGGTGGAGAATATAAGAAGGTATTTGGGAAAAAAAAAAAAAAAGAAGGTATTTGAGATACAAAAGTTGGATACTTGGCCACTTATTTCTACTCCAACTGTAGAATAATTTAACTTTTAAATCTTGTCCTAAACATACATAGATGTGAAAGAACTTTAGAAGTTCAAAGTGTCACATAAAATCATTATATTCATTTAATTATGAGAGTTGTTCAGCAAGTACAAGGTTTTATGAGAGCTAATTCTGTTCTACAGTTTAGTTATTAAAAGAAAAATGTGAAGCTAAAAATTCCTGGGCTGCAAATAAATATACTTTTAAGGACCAATGTTTTTAGGAACAACCAAATCAGTTTTTGGAGATGTCACACTTTGTACATTAGTTTCAATATCAACACAGAAAAATACACATTTAACAGGCGTGACAAAAAAGGACAACAAATAAGATTGATGTTGTAGAAAACAATGTCAAAAAATTGTATACTAGGCAGCAATTCCTTTAACAGCAATATAATCTAGACCTAAGAAAAGAGCCATTTTCCACCGCTCTTTAATTATGAAAAGGAATTTATGTTCATTTTTTTAAATGTTGATTTCTGAATCATTTGAATAATTCACGACCTGTCCTTTACATGGAGGTGAGTGGTGAGGTCTTTTTAATTGAGGCAAGAATCATTTCCAAGAGTCGTCTGAGTTCTTCTGCATTTTTCCCTTTCCTAGGTTTGGGCATCAGGAGGTATCTTCAGGTTCTCTCTTCGTCTGCTTCCTAGTGTATAGCCACAAGCCTACTATACTGTGATACATAAAACCCAGAGATGTGGCAAATGAAAGTGGGAGCAACAAAACTACTACAGCGTAAGCCTGTAATGCAAGGCGGAGGAAGGAAAGTAAATGCTTAAAGTTTTCATACAGCTAACTCTGTTGATAGCTGCCAAGTAAAGAACCTAAATTCAAGTGCTTTATAATTGTTACAAATTGTGCCAAAGTACAGCGTGTTACAATAAATTATGAAGCTTATCTAAATTATAAAAGTAATTAAACTTTCCTCAGATACTCATAACTCTGCCCTCCATAAATTTTCTGTTCATTGCATATTCAATACCTATGTGTTCCAGTAAAACAAAAAAACTAAAAAAAAAAAAAACCAGAAGAAAGAACAATCTCCTAAGAACGATGATGCACAAATAGGCATACAGCATAATCTAAACTGCAGAAATGCATGAACAGTTCCTCTCAAGATCTTCAACCATAACAAATGTTAATAAAAATATTTATACTAGAAACAATTCTCAGCTTTTTTGAAGTTTTGTTTTCCTCTTATTATTATAGACATTTGTTTTAACATGAGTTTTCTCCTCCATCCCAACATTTCCTACTGCTGCATGATGCCATAAATCTTTGTTAGCATATTACTGTACAATCTGTCACAATAATAACAAAAATAATGAAAGCCATAGTAACCCAGTTATATAGTCCTTGCCACTTGCAAGAGTCCCAACTTCTTTATATACTCTAAATAGTAGAATATATACAGGATCCATCAATTGCTGAAACACAGCAGTCTACAATGGAATACAGCTGCTGCTGAGAATCAAACTGAACAAGAGCTGTAAAATTACAAAAAAAAAAAAAAAAAAAGTTTAAAGCCACAAGAGAATATATGGAGGATACCATTTCCAAGTTTAAATTTAAAGAAAGACCAAAAATGGCATCCTGATACTCGTAAGGCAAAAAAACATCGTTCTTTCTAAAGGTTCAACCATATTTCCACTGGGAGCAAATCAGCCGAGCAGGTGTGTTAGTGATGAAGGAAACCCTTATTCTATTATAAATATCTTCAATAATCAGCAAACATGATGAACAAATTTTTTAAACACATATAGGTTAAAGAACAAGTTTGTCAAAGGTTCCCAGAATTTTGTTTGATTTTTGTTTGTGTACCTAGTTTCTGAATCCTAAATTAGGCACTTCTATTTCAGTACATATTCCAATTTAACAAAAACATTTATTTTATAAACAGAAAAGGAAATGAGCTTGAATAAGATATATTTATGCAATTACCATATCTAATAGTCAATTACATGTCCTTATATGAACAGATAAATAATATATGCACATACATTTATCAATCTTGTCTATGAGGGAAAGAGAGAAGAAATTAAAAGAAGAGCAAACTATTATATACGGCATGCAGTTTTCATTATTTCATATTTGCATAAGGGGATACAATATTTGTCTTCAATAAGGCTACAAATTACAAATGATTAGTTCAGATCTTTTTAAACCAAACTAAAATATACAAGTTATTAAGTATATCATTCAACCTAGCAGTTATATTTGTTATAACTATTTACCTTATTTTCCTTATTTTATAAATTAAAAGCAGGAGGAATGTTTGAGTTCATGTAAAGCTATTAAAACATTAATTATTTAAAGATCAAGTTAAATGTTTTAAAAACAGAAGACCTCACAATATCCAGCGGGGGGAAAATTATGAGAAGTGAATGAGAGAACAGAAATCAGATCAGATGTACTGTACTTTAAAGTATCCATTAACTAAAGCTACATGAAATTGGAAGGGGAAAAAAAAACCTCTGACATCCACATGAATACCAAATTAATTCATTATGATCAGTGCTACTACAATGAACACAAAATTAATTCATCACAGTGGAATACACAAAGCACTACCCACTTGTTATACCTACTGACAAAAAATAATAGGACGATTATCCTCCACCAGGGTGACACACGTGGCCATGGGCACTGCCAGCTTGTCAGTCACACAAGTGTTTCCTTCCCTGGGAGTCTACACCAAGATATTTTTACAAGGAGGCTCTTTATCAACCACATTAAATGAAGCATAAGATGTGAAGACCTAAATTACCAATGGTTTTCCCTCCTGCTGTTGCTCCCTGCCAGGGCTGGGTCCGGGGTTAAGCAAGTACAGCACCTGGGGGCAATATTTAAGGGGGTGCTCACACACTCAGACTTCTGCAAGCGATGGCCCTCGCCTTACACAACCC
The DNA here is from genome assembly GCF_000001405.40 of Homo sapiens. Taxonomy (NCBI): domain Eukaryota; kingdom Metazoa; phylum Chordata; class Mammalia; order Primates; family Hominidae; genus Homo; species Homo sapiens. The sequence continues at coordinate 55,498,304 of NC_000018.10, forward strand.
TGACAGTGAGTCCCACAGCCCTACACATGGTAAGCCTAGACTTTAAAGCATAATCACCTCCCTTATTCAGGGGCCCAGGGTTTCTGCCATACCAGAGTAGACCAGCCAGTCCTAACACCTGCCAGTGTCATGACCATGGTCAGCTGTCTTCTCTAAGGCAAGCGCTCTGGATGTCAGTTTCTTGAGAAAGCCTTATGTAAACTTACGAGCGTGAGACCAACCATCAGGGTTCTGGGGTCTACCACAAGACTTCGCCATAAGATACGGAAAAATCAAGATGACTTCGTGAATCCCCCCTTTTTACCTCCTCTGAGTCTCTAGTGAAGAGAAATGGCTGCTGACTTTTGTTTCCCACGCCATCAGAGATACAAGGACCTGGCACCTGAACCTCAGGGGCTCCGTCTACTTCCACTTCTAGCACCAATGGCTTAGTGTTGTAAGAGTGTCTTTGCTCAGTAACTTCAAGGGGACTTAGCAGGTGGAAAGTCACACGTAAGACAGGAGAGAAACCTTTCCTAGAGAGGATGAGTTTCTCCTTGGTAATGAGAATGTGATGTAATGTATCTTCTTCCTTTTATTTGTAAGTACCCCTTAAAATACCCCTTAAATCCCTGTGGGCAGTTAGGAAGTAGAGTTTTCATGTACCATCCAGAATACAAGATTACACTTATGGAAATCTTTCCTCTTTCCCTTGACATGGTGAAAGTTTTTGTTTTTTAGATCTTCAACGATGGGTTCATCTCAGACCCTTTTCCAGAACAGGTCCAAGAAATGCAAATGTTAGCCAATGTAATGAAAGGCACCCATTTAATATCACAACTTGCTAAAGAAGAAACTTGTTTACTCAGAATTTTTCTTGGAGTATACAGGGACTCAAAAGATGGATGCTCCTTCCTTTGCTAAACTGCAATTTTGTTCTTCATCCTTATTACTTAGCCTTTGTGGGGTGCTCATGCTATACCAACACATCTGCACATCACAGATGTGATACTCAGGTAGGAAGAAACAGGAATCTGATACAACGTGAGAGCCTAGCATTCTACTCCCACCTGAGAACAGGGTACCAATAAATGTGAAAGCCTTAGTAGAGGCAATACGTTTAAGCTCTGTGTGTGTGGCTAGGGAGGCACAGTAACAGAGGAGTTTTAGCACAGGGTAAAGCATATTCTAAAAGAAAACTAGACTTTTTCAGCTAAACCTAGCTCCATCTGTTTATGTAGGACAGAAGTACTCTAACTTGACTGTACATTAGAATCAACTGGGGAGGTTTTAACTACTCCCCCCACCAACAATTTAATTGGGGGTGGGGTCAAACATCAGTATTTATTCTCCAAGCTCCCCAAGTGATTCTAATTTGCAGCCAGGTCTGCAAACCACTGATATCCAGGCCAGATGGCCATATATCCTGTACCTGGGGAAAGAGCATTTTTACTGTGAGGGGACACAAATCAGTGAATAGTTTCCAAGCCCGGCTGGCTATCTGAATCCTACTGGGAGCTTTTATTAAAATACGGACTACCAGGCCTTGCCTCTAGACCTACTGAATGGGAAGCCCAAAAAAATGAGGTTCAGCAATGTCTGCATATTTTAAAAACATGGCCAGGCACAGTGGCTCACGCCTGTAATCCCAGCACTTTGGGAGGCTGAGGCAGGCGGATCACACAAGGTCAGGAGTTTGAGACCAGCCTGGCCAACATGGTGAAACCCCATCTCTACTAAAAATACAAAAATTAGCCAGGCATGGTGGTATACGCCTGTAATCCCAGCTACTCGGAGGCTGAGGCAGGAGAATTGCTTGAACCTGGGAGGCTGAGGCTACAGTGAGCCAAGATTGTGCCATTGCACTCCAGCCTGGGCGACAGAGGGAGACTTTGTCTCCAAAAAAAAAAATCTTCAAATACATTTTGATTGTCATCTGGGGTTAGGACCACCGACCTGGATGAAAGTCAGAAGCTCTTACCCCTAACTCGATTGCCAACAGAATGTTTCATGTTTAGACGAGTAATCTTAGCCTGCAAAGAATTAGGAATAGCAGGGGAAAGGAGTGGAGGAGGGGAGAAGTATTTAAGAAAAAAATAAAGAGAAAAGAAATTTAAGTGTCCTCTAAGCACCCACAAGTCTGCTTCTTAAAGTGCTGATAATGAGCAGTGTGTGCTGAAAAGACCAATGGAACTAAATTCTGAACCAGTTCATTTCGGCACATCCTGTTTATACGACTATTTAATGAGTCATTCAGCCAGGATGATTTTCTGTCTGAATATGTTAATTGCCATTTTTTTCATAGCTCTCTATTAAACAGTACAGATAAAATAGGCATGCTCATGTTTTTAAGCGCTATCAGCCTCTCACCCTCAAGAGAGTGGGCAACAGGAGTAAATAAGGGAAAACTTTCTCTTTTTTCAAAGTGTTTAATTCTTTTAACATATATTGGCATTTGGGACCCCACTTCAATTCAAAAGCATATGTTAGAGTTAGCATTAAAGTGAAAATGAAATGAGGTGGTTCTCCCCCATATGCCACTGGCTTCATTATATCACAAAGAATGAGCTCAAATAACAGGGCAGCAATGTGAACCTTCTTGCTGATAAATTCTCCTACGTTTAGGTCAGTATGGATATTTGGGGAAAGACAAGTGATAAAGAAACAGAAAAATTCTGACTCACTCTGATATTCCTTTATAAATCAATGTATAATGATGATGATTATTACTGAGAACCCTGGAAGATCTAGGAAATGGGTGAAAGGTCTAGTTAATGTTTAATGAGTGATTAAAAGAATTCATTTTTATATTTCATTTATCCCTAGAGGATGCAGAATTTAGAAATGTAAATTCCAAAACAACATCAATGCAAAAAGTGAAGCAATAAACATCAGTGCAAAAAAGCCATATTTTCATGCACATTATCACTTAATAAATCAAGCCACTCTTAGTATTCATTTTAGCATTTATGCAGTTTCCAGTGCCTTAATTTTAAAGAATTTACATTAAACAAATTACATATGATTATACTGCATTCGGAAGGGAAAAAAAAACCACAACCAACCTTAAGGCCATAACAATATATTTTATTTTTAACGGCTTTGTTTACAAATATTAAATGGTCAAATCAATAGTGTTCTCAATGGCTTTTTGACATCTCAAATTTTTCATAAATGAAAATAAAGCAACTGAAAAGATGAAACTCTAGTGGCAAAGGTTTATTGGTCTTTGTACCTCATTAAAAGGACTTTTATAAATCACGTTTGTTCTTTTGAGTAGCAACTAACACGGCTGAAAAGGACAGGTTGGGTTTTAAAAGAGACAGATATGACCTAAAGGGAACACATTTTACTGTAGTGAAATAAACTGAGGAAACAGTTAGCAGATTAAAAACCCCTTGAAAGGAAGCATCATCTTTGGGAGAAAAAAAAAAAACCTTCGCTGAAGAAAACAGCTGGAAACAGGAAGCTTTTGGGCTTTCATCCTGCCTGCTTTGATTCCACCGCATCCCCATATCATGAAAAGGCAAAGAGACTGATTTCAGCTGTGTCTTCTTTCAACAGAAGAGGGAAAAGGCTTTGTGGAGTGTGAGCAACCCCATCCAGAAGACCCCCGCCCACCCTAATCATACAAACACTAACAATGAAGTGGAGAAAGAGAAATGGTGATAGATAAGTAGCAACTCAGAAGTAACATTTTACAGGCTGTAACAATGGAAGGAGAATATTTGTTCTAAATTAATTGTTTCTCTCAGCAATTCTCATATGAATTTGCAATCCCCTAAGTGAAAAACACTAACCAAGGTAGATATACTAACTATGACAGGTTTTCTCTCTCTTTTATGCCTTTCTAACCTGGAATTTCCAGGAATGCATGACGATGAAAAGTTTCTATTTCTGATATCCACCACATTGTTGTGGTCATTTTTCTTCATTACAGAGAAAAGGAGTAGGTGTTACAACCCCTTATGGTCTGAAATCTAAAGTCACTGAATTCTGGTTTTCACTAAATTTAGATATCTAAAGTCACTCTATTTAGAGATCCAAAGACCAATAAACCTTTGCTCACTGCAGTTTCATATGAGAGGTCCTTTTGGTCATCTCATCTAGATTGTTCCTCACTGCTACCTTGAAAATATTTGTATTCTCATGACATTTAAAGGACAATGCAGCATAGTAAAGGAAAACTTGGATGAGAAGCTTACATCATCCTTGGTAACTACATAACAAAGCAGCTCAATAAACAAGATCATACAAATCTAATACACCCAAGTCACAATTTATTCTTCTGTTGCTATTTTGGGATGCCTTTTAAAGTGGGGATTACAAAGCTAGACAATATAGGGGCACATAAGTGTAAAACTCTGACTTTGAAACTGCAACCGATGTCAATATAAAATTACTATTTTATTGAGGTATCTCTCATGCTCTTCACAAAGGAGAACTGATTTTCACACAAGTTAAGGAAAGGAACTTATATTCAAGTTACATACAAGTTAAGGAATTAGCTAATTCATTTTTCTAAAACTATTCTTAATAGACAGGAAAATTTCACAGCATAAGAGGTTTCAAGCAGGATATGTAAAATGAATATTAACTTCATCTTAATCGACGACTTAAAGTAGGTATCCTGAGATATTCAACCTTACAGTGGAATACTTTGATTCCATGGTAACACTTCAATTTCTAAAATATCTACAGTTGACACTTGGTATGTGCCACCTCCTTACCAATGGATATGAATTACTTTTGATTTATCCTTATTCATTCTAAATGTCTCTTTTTGGAACTGCCTTAGTTACTAGTGCAACATTAGTATAACTTTGAGAATCCTCATGCAAGGTTATTTTAACAGGATACACCGCTAAAATAAAAGTGATCCTCACCAACAAAACAAAATAATTTAGTTATTTGTGTCAAACTTTGAAGGTCTATAGAAACAATGCAGTGGATATCAGAAATAAAAACATTCTATCATCATGCATTCCTGAAAATTCGAAGTTAGAAAGCCGAAAATTCGAAGTTAGAAAGCCATAAATTCAGTCTAGATTCTCCATATTTTGGGCATCATCAATTTCATCATCATCATCATCATCATCACTAGCCATCTTCTACACTTATGAACAGAATTTTCACATATTATTTCATTCATTCTCAAAAGCAACCTAAGAGGAAGGCCAAACAGGCATACTCCTCCTCATAGAATAGATGAATAAACTGAGCCCAAGAGGGTAAACAGAGATTCTACTGACAGCATCCAGATCTCTGACAGAAGTCCTTGTGTTATCCACGAATAAGTACCTAACTCTGACTCATAACTTCCAACAATACCTAGAAAAATAACCAGCTCAAGAACCGCAATTTTCAGGTCAAAGTACAGAATTTTTGTTATTCCTAACACATTCTTGGGGAACTCCGTTTCTTTAGGCAATATGGCCCTGTAGACTTAACAACATACAGGAGGGAGCAGAGATTGGCACAGTCAACTTTTCTTTGAAATCTATTCTAATGGCCGGGCACTGTGGCTCATACCTGTAATCCCAGCACTTTGGGAGGCCGAGGTGGACGGATCACTTGAGGCCAGGAATTCGAGACCAGCCTGGCCAACGTGATGAAACTCCATCTCTACTAAAAATATAAAAATTAGCCAGGTGTGGTGGCACATGCCTGTAGTCCCGCTACTGAGGAGGCTGAGGCACAAGAATCGCTTGAACCCAGGAGGCAGAAGTTGCAGTGAGACCGATCCACCTCACTCCAGCCTGGGCAACAGACTCTGTCTCAAAAAACAAACAAAAAAAGGAATCTATTCTAATTGCCCTAATGTACTCCTATCTCTGCTGCTCTCATATGTATTCGTTCTGCAACACTTACTGATCATCTATCAGGTAGCAAGGACATTGTCAACAATATAAGTCTGAATCCATAAATGCTGCTCCCATGAACTCTACAAAAAGATAAGAAACGTATACATGGGAGAAAAGAGAACTCACATCTGTTGAGCATCTATGAAGACTAAACCATTTCCCAGCTCCTTCCTTGAATGCTCACAACAGTTACATGAAGATGAAAACTGAAGAGTGCTAGTTACCAGTAACTTTTGTGGCACTAGGCTCTCCTATGAAAATTAGAAATCCTACTAATATTTGAGTAAAACTAGCTAAACATTTCAATCACTAAAGTTATCACATGCTAATAAGTATAGACACTGTAATTCTTCAATGCTTTAGAGAAAAATATGATTATACCATTAACAATTTAATCTTTTCCTAGTCATTTTAATCTGCCAAGGCTTTGATTTAGAAACAAAATAGAGGAGGCAAATCACTGTATTGCCGAACATTGGTATCAATACCAAAAATAAACTGAGGCACACATACAAAAACTGACAGAGCTATAACATTCTCGCTCATGCATATTCGCTGCCCCTCTCTGCATCTGCCCCATACACAGTGTGCCCACACTGCCTCTAATTTGTGTTGTCTGTTGGCAAAATGGACTGTAGTACCAACTTTAAAAACCAATCGAAGTATTAAAACAAAACAGACAACCTCTCCCATATTTGGCAGAAAAACCGTAATTCAAATGTTCCAAGCCTCCCCCAAGAACAAGCAATTATAAGGTGCAGAAAGGCAATGGCTTTAAAACAACATGCTAATCCTAATATTAGTACCTTGAAAAAAGGAAAACTGCCAAGATGCTGGAATAGTGCCCAGTTATCCGTCTTACCTACAGCAATAAAACTGTCCTATAAATGTGAACAAGACAGTTAGGATACATTTTGGGGTTAGGTTATTGGCATTTTTTTCCACCTCACCATTCCCTAGGAGAATAAGCCTGACCTATGGAAGCAAAACACAGCAGATGGTAACTCAGCCCAGTACCAAGAGTACTTAGTCAATCCAAATAATTCACACAAAACTGAAGCAAGATGTTCAATGATTTATGGCGCTAATTTCACAAGAAAATTATGGAATCCTTCTCTTCAATAGAGCCACCTTTTTATTGTCATATGCTGGATAGCTAACTAAAGTGTCTAAAAAGCAATATATTATTATATTACTATCAACAATACATAATAATGACATAATCATTAATAACATAATAATTATTATAGCTAACACTTATGCTGGGTACTCATGTAAGTAATTTACAAGAAATAACTTATTTAGTCCTCAGTATGATTCTATGAAATAACTACCGCCACTGTACAGATAAGAAAACTGAGAAAAAATAGCAACCGGGCCGGGCGCGGTGGCTCACGCCTGTAATCCCAGCACTTTGGAAGGCCGAGGCGGGCGGATCACGAGGTCAGGAGATCGAGACCATCCCGGCTAAAACGGTGAAACCCCGTCTCTACTAAAAATACAAAAAATTAGCCGGGCGTAGTGGCGGGCGCCTGTAGTCCCAGCTACTTGGGGGGCTGAGGCAGGAGAATGGCGTGAACCCGGGAGGCGGAGCTTGCAGTGAGCCGAGATCCCGCCACTGCACTCCAGCCTGGGCCACAGAGCGAGACTCCGTCTCAAAAAAAAAAAAAAAAAAAAGCAACCAGAACAAATAACTATGACATGGAGAACCAACCTTCAAATCTGGGAAACATACACCCAGTCCATGTGCCTAACTAATCCAACAGTATAGGAGTGGGTTTAATCTAAAGATTACTGCAAAAATGAAAAATAAAATGTATTTGCAGGAAATAACACTAGACCTGGATTCAGCTGACCTGACTTGTTCACTGTGAAACCTCAACAGAGACACCTCTTTGAGAAATGGTTTCTTCATCTCTGAAATGGAGTGAATTCAAAGCTGGAAAGCTTGTGCTTCCAGTTTTAAAGATCAGATTCTAAGGATAAAGCCTAAATCTGAGTTTTGCTTAAAGACCAGAACACTTTTTATCATTGTTCTAGATCAAGAAATACTGATGACCTGCAGTGGAAATCAAACAGCAGCAGTTTCTCTCTGGTTCAATGATCCTCATCCCACGTGATTCTATCATAAAACTGTACTTCCTCTCTTTGCAGAGAGGATTAGGCTACTTACTAATAAGTGTAACTCCAATAAACCTAGGAGGACCTGAGGCTGCTACTTCCCAGTTCCCAAGTCAAGTCAGGCTTTTGATAATATATTTTATTTATACACACACATATATTCAGATGGAATCATCCAATCAGCTTCCTGATTCTAAAACTGCATTTTCTTTCTACAAAATGAACCCAAATGTCCAAAGGAAAACCATCAGCTAGGATAATACACACACATTAAAATGTCCACATGCAACACACACACACACACATATACATACCCCACACACAAAAATATTTCCACAAGCAAGCATGCATTCATTTATTTAAACATAATCACAGTACTCACTCTAAGAGAGGGATAGGTTTTAAGATCTCCAGCAGATGCCTGAAACCTCAGATAGCACAAAATTCTATATACGCTATGATTTTTCCTATGCATATATACCTATGATAAAGTTAGTTCATAAATCAGGCACAGTGAGAGACTGACAACAATAACTAAGAGTAACATAGAACAATTATAATATACTGCAACCTCAGCATATGATCTTTCTTTTTTTTTTCTTTTTTTTTTTTTGAGATGGAGGCTTGCTCTGTCACTGAGGCTGGAGTGCAGTGGCACAATCTTGGCTCACTGCAACCTCCGCCTCTCAGACTCAAGCAATTCTCCTGCCTCAGCCTCCCAAGTAGCTGGGATTACAGGCGTCCACCACCACGTCTGGCTAATTTTTGTATTTTTAGTAGAGATGGGGTTTCACCATGTTGGCCAGGCTGGTCTCGATCTCTTGACCTCAGGTGATCCGCCCGCCTTGGCCTCCCAAAGTGCTGGGATTACAGGCATGAGCCACCAGGCCTGGCCTTTTCTTAAGTGGGGAACTTTGCCCTTGTAACTTATAGGATGCACTTCATGGCTTTCTTTTGGCATATCTGAATTGCCAGATTCACTACTTTTGTGCTTTGGGGCCATAGTTAAGTCAAAAAAGGGTGACTAGAACCTGAGCACTGCCATAGTAACAGTCAATCTGAAAACCTAGAGGTGACTTATAGGCAGGGAGTGTCTGGAGTGTGAATCTGCTGGACAAAGTAAGGATTCATGTCCCGGATGAGATGGCAAAGGACAGTGCAGATTTCATCAAATGGCGAGCAATTTAGAACTTAGGAGTTATTTCTGGAATTTTCCATTTAATATTTTTGGACCACAGCTGATGGACAGTAACTAAAACTAGAGAAAATGAAACTACAGATAAGGGGGGCGGGGGGACTACTGTATTCTAATTATCTTTTTTGCCTACCTAGGGGTTCCATATTTTGATGCAGTTTAGTTGGATATCAGGCAACTACACATGGGTAGACAAAGAAATGAACACCTTTGCACCTGAACAGCAACAGCTAAGGGGACACACACAGAGGGAACCACTGAATTCTAACCTTGGCTGAAACTTAATTGGGTGTGGATTGGGGAGAAGATTTCTGGGTGTATTGTGTGTGCTGGGAGTAATCTATCAAGTATTGATTGGGTTCAAGTGTTGGTGCTGAGGAGTTACCCTCAGCTTCTCCATTCCCCTAAAAATTCTCTAGGCTGAAATAGCCTTTCTAGGCATTCACTCAAGTAAGGTGGAGAAACTGACCCATGTAACCGGGAAATGACTACAACCAGGAGGAGACACTGAGGCTAATGTGTTGCCTATAAAGTCTCATCCTCAAGTTGATGCTATCCAAGAACAAATAACAGAACCAGTGCGGGACAGGGAGGCTTCCTGACCAGAGGACCAGCAGCAGTGGAAAAAGGCAGCCGGGGAAATGTACCCCCAACACACACAATATACCCCAAAACTTTCTCCCACCCCCCACCAACAAAATGCCTCTGGCAAATAACACCTTATTATTTGATATGTGCAACTGCAAACTCATTTAAAGTAAAACTAGAAGCACCTTTAGAAAACTTTGCTGCTTTAAATTGATCTATAACCTACTCCAGGTCTACCCGCCCTTTCTTTTAACCAGGCTGCCATTCCTAAATTTTCCTCCGTTATAGCAATTCTACCACCACCACTTCTGAAAATGGGTTTTGAATGTTAATATTTTGTTGGATTTTCAAATGTAATGATTATTTCTAACAAGAACTGAGAAACTGCTCCATTATATTTCTCCTCTCTAAATTTGATCATGCTAATAGCTTAAAAATACTCACTGAGCAGTTACTATGGGCTGAACACTGTTCTCAATGTTAGATGCATTCACTCATTTAATTCCCATAGCCCAATGAAGCAGGGACTTGTATTATCCTCATTTTACAGAGAAATTAAATAACTGTGTTGCCCCAGGTTACAGGTAGTAAGTGGTCGAGCTGAGATTTAGAGCCAGAATCCATGCTTTCCAGCCCACCCTTCCCAGCTCACACTTGCTCTTTAATTATAAAATACCAGAAATCGGCACAGTAAACATTGTTGCTGTGCACCTCCTTTTATTCCTAGGAACACTTAATAACAAACTGCAAATAACAAAACCGCAATACACGCTAAATGCTACAAGGTTTCATTTCACCATCCCTGCAAGAAATTTGCTTACTTTTAGAAATTATGTGCTGACTTTAAAAAATCCAAACAAAATGTAAATCGTATTTTTATTAACTGTTAAACAGATTATCTGAAACATTAGAGTAAATCTCCTCTCAAAAATCATAGCAAGACTCCTGTATGTTATTAAATCTCTTTACATTTTAAACAGGAAAAATACTCCATTTCTGAGTCTAAGTTCCTAGCCCTTCAATAATCCACACTAAAAATCAGATTAATTGGAATTTAAATATATCTGTGTGTGTCTTATTTCTGTAAGTCCTTAAGGAACATTATTGTCCACTGTTATCCCCAAGTCTTGCGGACTTCGTAAAGGAGTACTAGACACAGGGCAGGTTTTTAAACCATTATATAAAAAAAAACTTTGATATAATCTAAGTTATTCTCTTCTCTGGTAAAACTGTAGCTACCTAAAAGCAAGTAGGTACAGCAACATAAAACACTCACACAGACAGACACACACACACACACACACAAACACTCAAACACCACCACCACATACTCAGTTAAGATGCTGGTAGTATCGCTACTTGTTTTTTCAGCTTTAATTCACTGTGTTGAAAACTACTCAGAAAATATTTGATGTCTCTCTTGACAGTACAGCATGTAGAGGCAGCCCCCAGAATTATAAACCAAATTGCGTTTAAAAAAGAATGGACTGTTGAAAGAATGATCCCCACTAAAAATACAGTTTAAAGGCAACTAAGGTCATCAAGAGTAAAATGGCTAGTGGCTTAATGTGACATCCAAAATGATTCCCCCAAATCTCATCCCCTTTATACTAAAACAATAGAGGGTTGCCTCTAATAAGTTAATATCATTCCTCAAAATCTTTATTGAGAAGCACCTTTAGACCCTCAAATCTGCCTCCCAGAGGAATTCCATCAATCCAGACATTACTGAAGTTCTGAGCCAAAAATAAAGGGAAAGGGGCGGGGGGAAATCACAGGAAGTTAAACTGTTAGGACTGCAGCCAGGGAAATTCCTTTGATAATCAAGCCCTACCTTCACCCTGAAGCGTAGCTTTCAAGAGTTGAAATAATAACTTTCTTTGGAATTCTTCATCCATGAAAATGCCTGGGAAAATGATCTAAAGCAATAATCCTAAGAAATAACCAAGAGAAATGAAAGCAAAACCAAAGATTTTTAACACTGGTCTTCCATTTTCTGACACTGCTTTTCATGTTTGTCTCCTTCAAGTTTCTACTAAACCAAGGCCAAGTCTCCCCCTGATGTTCTATGCAGCACCACTTACTGAGTAAGACTGACAGTAACCACATTTTCTGACTCAAGGTTAAAGGTGCACATTCATAAAGTAAAACTCCAGATATAGCGCTCAGTCTGCCCCTTAGACTGACTGAGTCACAGCAGAGGATCCAGAATGGTTTCCATTCCTCTATTTCTCCGTCTAAAGAGTCATGACATTTTCAGGCATTTTGGTAGAGATAGCAAAAAAAAGTTAGAGCTTAAAAAAGCAGAAATGTTTATAATATTCCACATTACTTTCTCATTTATATGTGTCCAACCTGACAGAAATTTGAAACCAAAATCCTGAACCATGCATTTCAACCTAGAAGCCTTTGTAAAAACCCCAGTCAAATATGTCCAGCAATTCAAACTTCTAAGGATACAGAAGTCGATAGATCAAACATTTTAATCAAGAGTAAGCTTTTAAAATACAAGTTACATAAATATTTACCTCTGCTGTCCTCTTCCATATGAATAGGAAGTAATAAATTCCCCCAATATATCTGGTGATTAAAATTCTAAAATACTACTTCGTAAACTTTTAAAGTTTGTGAACTGAGACCTCCACTTTAAAAGGCCTTTCTTTTAAGGGGCCTTCCTTGTTACTCTCCTGTGCTCCATGGAAACAGAACATGAGTTAATGATGACCGTAGATTTTAATTTATTTGTATATATCAGTCAGTAGAAGGGGAAATGATACTGGCTGTGTGTTTATGAGCTACATTAGAAATTTGAACAATAGCAGACCTTTTCTGAAACAAAAATAAAATATGAATCAACAAGATCTCTGCCAAACAGAGGTCTCAGGACAGCCTTGTTCAGTCTTCTGGGAATCCCACTGCAATAAGCACAATAAAAGCAGGACGTGCCTCATTTCCTTCAACCGTTCAACATGCCTCTCTTGGAGATGTTTGTAAATTTCCTTCCTTTACGCATCAAGCTGGCAAACTGTCGTCATTTCTTTGGGGTAATAATATCCTGTTGATGTCTGAGTAGGTCTGTTTTGATTGTTTCTTCCACATAACACATATACTTTTAATATCATTTTCAACACACAATACACGGAATTATTTTTCAACATACTCGAACACAGTTCAGCAAAGTATAACCGGAAGCAATGAAGGGCAGAATATGTTAATAAAATCCTAGTTTTATTTTTGGATTTGCAACTTAGATGTAGGTAATAGAGTAATTCCAAAAGTTTAAAAAAAAAAAAAAAAAAAGCATTCTCTGCTGTTTAGGAAGCTGAAAATACTTACCTCTACTATTTTAATAAGGTATATGTTTTCATTCAGTTCCTATACTGGAGTATGGGGAATTTCACATAGCAAAAGTACCAAATCAGCATTAAAACACTGACTTGCAAAAATGGCAACTTTTATTTTACTGGATATACAAATTGTACCAAGTACTTTAACAACAGAGTTCTAAATTCATTCTGGAAGTAAATTATGCTTCAAATCCAGTCAAATACCCTGAGTGATTACAAATTTTTATCTAAATAAATATTTTTTTCAAAACTTAAAATGTATTTGGACCTGACAGTATATTTCTTGGACAAAGAAGTTTTACCTAAACTAAATTATTCCTGATTGAATTGCATTTCTCAATAAAGTTACATGACATAAAGGGAGAAAATTATACACAGTGACAATTTTTTAAAATAATACTCAAAAAGTAAAATAAGACCAACTCTCAACTAATGTAACTTGCACTTAGGCAGACATTCTGGTCCAAAGACAGCAAAAACTGATTTGTGAAATACTAAAAATAATTAATCATTGCTGCAAAGCACTAGATTTGGAGCTAAACTAAATGGCATGTACCATTCACTACAATTCCAGATAACACCTTATTTTACACATGTAATAAGAATCATGAACATGAAAAACGTTCAGTGTCATTAATCCAGAAAATGCCAATTTCTAAAAGAACACAACCAGATACTATGTCGACTACCACGTTAATAAGATAAAAATAATACAAATTGGCACAGCCTTCCTAGATAGCAACTTGGCAAGATACATAAAGAGCCTTTCACCTAATAATTCCCTAGGAAACTATCCTAATAACATCCTTGCAAATGCAGACAAGTGTTTATGTGCAAGGAGTTTAAGATGTGGTCAACAGTTGCAAACTCTTAAAATAAATTATGGAAGATCCATGTGATGGAATATTACGCTGCCTTTAAAAATCACACTTTCAAAACATTCAAGGACATTGGAAAATATTCATGGTAAAATATGAAGTTTAAAAGCAATAAACAAATTTCATGTTATGTTTTTAAAAACCAATGGAAGATAGAATCTACACAGTAATCAAAATATTAACATTGGCTATCTCCACAATGAGGATACGTTACATTTTAATAAAAAATAAAATAAAGGGGTAGGTGTGTGTGTCTATGCATATATGTGTGTATGTGCATATATAGCTGTATATATATGTGTATGGTGTCTATAGACAGATATTTAATTATAGTTTCAAATTTCAAGGATCTCATAGTCTATTATTAAGAATTTATCAAAATCGAGTGGGAGTGGTATATATAGATGAGCCAAGAAGGCAGAATGCTGGTAAATATTGAAACTGTATGATGGTGACACAGAAGATTATTCTACTACTGTGTATACATTGCATGTGTTTAAAAATTTTTCAAAATAAAAAGTTAAAAAAATAATTAAAAGGCAAGAAAAAATACAGTAGCATCATAAGATCAACCTTGAAAGAAATACTGGTACTTCTGAATGAATAGCTAGTAAGATTTCAATAGGCAAAGTAAGTGCTTAAGGGTAGCAGGCAGGATACTGAGCAAATAACACTGAAGAAAGGCAATGACCTTCAGGATCAGGCCAGTGAATAACTGGTAACAAACTCATGGTATCTTACTGCTCCTTCTAGTATTAGATGAAATCCCCTGATAGAAGATAAAGGGGCACCATCTTTTGGATTTCTGTCAGGGTGTAATTCTCCTAATAAGTGGGCATTTCACCTATGCAAATCTTCACCTGGCATGAAGACGATAAAACAGCGTCACTGACTAGTGCTGACTTCAGGTCCCACCCTTGGTCACTGAAGGAAAACTATTCCTTTTACTGGACAGTGATTTCTGCATAATTCCCATGGGTTCTTTATTCTCACTGGACAAAACCTCTCTGAGATCTAGGCATGATGAAGAGTGGAAAACAAAGAGCTCATTTTTAAAACCCTCTACTCATGTCTTATCATTCCTAGCCCTCAGCTTTTTTTTTTTTTTTTACATCAATAGCCCATCTCCATATAAATGTCTAATTTTGCAACACTTTAGGTGCCACAATGACTGTGTGAATGAGTCAGAATATGCATTACCAAATAGTGAAAGAGTGTAGTTTTCCTAACCAATATCTATTTTTGAAAAAAAAATTTTAAAAGCACATTGCTTCTTATAATTTTTCCATAAATATCTAACTACTCTCAAAGCTACCATTTAGACTACAAATGCATCCTTCAGTTTGTTAAAGAAAATTTCCATCACTTGCAACTATAAATTTGGAAAACGCAATAACCTTTAATGGCATACAGGATATGATTTTGCTTTCTCATATTTAAAAAAAAGCTGCTTATTCCTGAAGTAATTTTTCAGAACATATATAATTTGTTTTATAATTTTAAAGCTGATCCCCAATGTTTGATAATTCTCTATCTCTTCTTTCTCTGTGTTACAATCCCAAAATCTTTTAGTTCTCTTTGAAAATACATATGCATTAAAGTTTGAGGCCAGACAGCCAGCATATACTGGTAGTCTCTGTTAAGGCTAATTGAGTTATCATAAACATGCAAATCCCTTTGTATAGAGAAGCCTGGCTTTTCTTTGCCATCTAAGATGAAACTATAATCTATAAAGATAAGCAAAATCTATGTTCTTGATTTGCTTTGCATGTAAATTCTTTCACATAGATAAGCTCTTGACATGTATTCCTCTTCTGAAAGATCAAAGATCATTCTTCAAAAGCCAGGTTTCTCTCCTATCTTCCATCTCTTCTCAGATTTCTACTGTATCTTTTCCCCATGGCTAATGTTCTCTGAAGAGAACCAAATTAATGAACACTGACATTCTTCATACCTATTTTAATGGCATCCTGTGGTGACAATGCAATAACAGGACTATTGTGGCATCGAGCAACATGGTCTCCAAGTTTACTTCCTGACAGTGACTCAATCACTGAGCATGTGTTTGAAATATTATGCATTCATGCATGCACATGCACATCCATGAGCATACACACACATCTATCCATGCACACACACACACACACACACACACACACACACACACACACCCCAATCATACCTACCACCATGCTGGTCAGTACCCACAGCCAAGGAAAAGTAAAGGCCTAAAAACTAATCTAGAAGATGTAAACGTGGTAACAGTTAATTCAAATAAATCATTAAATATAAAAATTTAAAGAAATACACAGCTGCTGATTATCTCAATTCTTAAACTTTGTTCTTACAGGTTCATCACAATTAAAGCCTCTTCCAAGGTGAACTCTGCTCAGGGCAGCCGCAGCATTTGATTTTTTTTGGACAGAAGCTTTTGGTAAGTAAAAAGCAACCAATAAACTGAGGAAAAACATATGATTTAATAAAAGGAGCACACGTAAAAATATATGGATGCACAAAGCAATTGATGTATATTATTTACTCTTTTTTTACAATATTTATAGAATAGTACAATTTTTATATAATGCATACATCATCTGATTATGAATAATACATGTGTAATATATGGTTTATTACTATTAAAATTATTACCATATAATGGTAATTGAATTTGTGCCAGGCATAATGCTAAGCAATTAATAAACATGCTCATTTGATCCTGCCCCACTCTATAAAGACCTATAATATTACTTTCTTAAGGATGAAAATAACTTCAGCAAGATTAGGAAATTTGCCTAATTTCAGAGGAAAACACATAAACGTAAAGCCATAAGACAGTTACCTGTTCTTGTTCAGCCCTGTATCCCAACACTTAATGTAAAGATGGAGAAACAAAGTTAAAAGACCTAAGAAAGTCAGGCAAGTAGATGAGAGAGAAAAAAGTCAGAGAATCCAAGGTAGGAAAACAACCCAGAGTATAAAACTCACGGAAAAAAATGGCCTCACCAAGTTAAGTATGGTCACACTCATTTGTTCATTCATCAGGCATGTACTGAGTGTTGACTATGTTCTGGTCACTGAACTACGTGCAGACACATGGCTGGGGTGCAAGTTCTGAAGACATGATCCTGACCACTCCAAAAACTACAGTTCCGTCAGGAAGACTAAGCATCTCAGCAGCTGTGATTGCTGGCATATGCCCCAGCATACAAGAGGACAAGCTGGAGGGACAATCAGATCAGTCTTCTGTGTTAAGAAAAACTCCCATGAAGAGGTAGACATGAGCTGAGTTTTGAAAGAGAGTAGGAGGTATAGAAGAAGGCTGTGTTCCAAAGTCCAACGCTTCAAAGAGGTAAAGCAGTAGAAAGGTCAAAGCCAATCACACATGCTACTGATGACGTTTTGAGGTGGAATCTTCAGAGAGTGTTGTGGAAAGAAGCCAGATCATGGCACATTATATACAGAATGTCGTGTGAGAAAACTTGGCTTGAAAAGGACAGAACAAAATGAAGAGAAAAGTTAGTCTCAAAATTTGGAGGGGGGTGGGCGTATTTAAATTCATCTTTAAATTTAAAAATCCATCTTTAATTTTAAGATAGGAGAAATGAGCATATTAAAATGCTGAAGAGTCAGGAGAGAAGAGGAGGTTGGTGATTCCGGAGAAAGACTCCTGGTGAACATGCCCTTAGATGTAAGAGGATGAAGGTAACAGCTATTGAGACTAGCAAATATAGACTTGATTAAAAAGTCAGATTGGGTTTAAAAGAAGTTTCCAGAAAATGGTGGTGGTGGTGTGTATGTGATAAAAGACAAATTCCAAAGGTGTGTGTAACAGCGATCATTCAGTGATGACTTACGGAGACAGGGCTGTAGATGGAAAAGATGACTGGACGTGAGTTTGGAAGTCTTGTTTGTTTATTTTCTAACTGTTACCTTGAACAAGTCATTTAACCTCAACCTCAGTATCCCTGACTCTTAAACAGGGATGACAGTTCACTTAACTTTTTCTATGACATATCTGAAAGCACAGAAATTGGTTCATGGAAAATGCTCACTAAATCTTAGTTTGGTCTTATCTAAATCTAAAATAATATACTGTCTGGTTTTTTGGGTTTTTTTTTAAAGGTTTATAAGCAAAATGAAGGGAAAGCTACAGCTTCCCATTAGGTGAACCCAACCAGAAGACTGAGAGAACGAGAGAAAGGCAGTCTGATTATGCAACTGTAGAAGGTTAGCCTCTTGAGACACAGAGCAGGATGGAGAGTGATCCGGAGGCCTGGATGGAGAAAAACTAAGTAGGAAACACGATGGTGAGCATTAGAAGAGGAAATGACTGTAATCTTCAAGAGTGTGGTCAGGGAAGGCTTTCTGATATGACATTTGAGTGAAGAGAGAGATGAAGGACCCAACTATGGAGAACCTGAGTCAAGTGTTCCTAACAGAAAGGATAACAAATGTGAAGACCCTGAGGTGGGAGCTTGCATGGTGCATTTGCAGAACACTAAGAAAGAGTGTGGCTGGTGTAGAGTGGGAGAGAAAGCAAATGATATCACAGAGGTACCAGGGAAGCCACATACCATTTTAAGGTCTTTGGCTTTAACTAAATAAGGTGTAAGGTCAATGAAGTGTTCTGAGAAGAGGAGGAATAACATCTGAATTATGTTTTAAAGATCACTGCTCCATTAAAAAACAGACTAAGGTCAAGGGCTAAAGCAGGCAGTCCAGTTAGCAGACTATTACCAGAGTGCTACAAAGTCCTAGCAACAGAGGTTAGGAAAAGTGGTTGAATTCTTAAAAGTCAGAACCTTGTGGGAAACGGTTATAATAAGAGCTCCTAATGAATAACACCATCCTTCACCCATGATTTTGTGGAGTTTCTTAGCACCCTGATACTGGACTATGCCACATGACACGCTTTGACCAATGGAGTATCTGCAAGCATGATGTAAGCAGAGACTTAAAAAGTGCTTACTCATTTGATCTTGCTCTTTTGTGCGGCTGGGTGATTTTCTACCATGATGTGAAGAACCCTGAGCTATCCTCTGGAGGCCTAAACCACATGGAACAGAAGTGAGCCAATTCAGTTGATGGCTCCCTAAACCAACCAGGCCCTCCTGTCCACCCGCCATCAGACTGTATCCTCATGAGTGACCACCATTGACATCAACAAGAGAACCAACTGGCTGAGCTCAGTCCAAGCAGGTAAACTACATACAGATTTGTGTGCCAATAAAATGGTTATTGTTTTAAATCACTAAGTTTGGGGAATGTTTGCTATGCAGCGATAGATAATAAATATAAGCTAACAACATTTAGGAAGACTTTAAATGTACAATATAAGAGAAAATGGAGATATGAATAATTCCCTAGAGGTTAAGTCTGAGAAATGAAAAAACTAAAGGTGTCTTCAAATGAGATGGGAAGGCTGAGGAAGAAAGTAAATCAAATGTAAAACCCAGAGGATTTATAAACATCCTCAGTGCAAGCAAAGCTACATATACTTCTGTTTAGGTATAAGCAGTAAAGCAATGGTGACTCCTCAGACACACACAGCAGCTCCAATCAGGGAAGTGTGAGAGTCCAGGCCCTTGCTGGTTAGAGCTTTCTCCATCTCTCTTCTGTTTGACCTTGCATTTCAATTTTTGCCATGACCAAGAAATTGAAAGTAACAAAAATTACAATAAATAATCATTTATGTAAGTTTTCATATATCCATTATTCTCCAAATAATACTTTTTGCACAGTAACTTTTCTGCCCATCATTTATCCTAAATGATTACATGAATTAATGGCCTACCGTTAAGTACTTATTGAAACACCTTGAATGCCTGCTTCAAGATTTAGATCTTGAAACTAGCTGTGGTCTTTATATGCAAAATCTCTAATGACTTCTAGAATGCATGGAGTTTATCTTCCTTACATTCCCAGCAATATGATGATTTGCTGTCTGTTATATAAAATGTTTAAATATTTATAGCTAATATGAATTCATCAGGTACAGTTAAGTAGAGCAAATTTAGTTCTATGAAACTACACAATTTCACAGAAACAAAATTTCAAAGACTCTATCAAGAAGCTATAAAAACTGCATATTAGAAAATAGAAACAAAAATGAAAAAACGTGTGCAAAGATACAGAAATAACCAAAATCACCAAATATGTAGGAGAGACTTAAGTAAATGATGGTAAGTCTAACAGTTTAACACTGGTCATTAAAAAATTCAGAATGTAAACTATTGGAAAACATATTCTGTATATGAAAAAATGACACAGAAAAAGAACACAAAAGTATGTAAGCACTGAATAAGAATGTTTTAATTGCTTTTGATCATCCAACAAAAATTTTTTTAACCGTGAGATAACACATGTGAAGCAAGGATGAATAACCCAGAAATATGAAAATTGTGTGAATATATACGAAGGGACACAGACAAAAATCAGTTTATCAGTAACATAACAGTGTTTTTAAAAAGTCATTGGAGGATTTTTTGCTGTAAATCTGTTTAAGTGTATAAAATCTGAAAGAGAATAAAGAAGTGTGACGGGGTCCTTGTATTTTTTTGTGTGTTTTCTCACAATTATCCAACATTTTAACAAGCAGAGGTGTCACGATAGCATCTTGAAAAGTAAGATTTAGTTCCCTATATTCTTACATATTTACACATATCCAAGCATGCCACACAAAAAAGAACATTCAACCCAAACTCACCAGACTATTATCTGAATGTCACTAGTCAATGCTCTTCAATAGTCTTCAGCACAAAGAGGGAAAAATAGGTGGAAACAGGACATTATGAAAGTAAATTACATAAGCAACATTAGCAACAACATAAGACTCCCAACAGGATCATGAATCTTAAAAAGTTAAGACATGTTCTGGCCAGGCGTGCTGGCTCATGCCTTAATCCCAAAACTTTGGGAGGCCCAAGGCATGCAGATCACTTGAGCCTGGGAGTTCGAGACCAGCCTGGGCAACATTGTGAAACCATGTCTCTACAAAAAAATACAAAAATTAGCCATGCATGGTGGCCCACACCTGTATTCCCAGCTACTCAGGAGGCTGAGGTAGGAGGATTGCTTAAGCCAGGCAGGTCAAGGCTGCAGTGTGCCCTGATGGTACCACTGCACTTCAGCATGGGCAACAGAGTGAGACCCCGTCTCAAAAAAAGAAAAAAAAAAAAAAAGATGTGTTCTAATGTTGAGAAACCATTGTACCAACTGTCCCCATTTCCTCAGCTGTCAAACAGATGGGATCTGAATCTCTCTCAGAGATACTTTGGCAAATTTGAGAAATATAATAAAAATAATTATTTCAGAGCCTAAAATAAAGCCTATGTAAATTCATAATATGGAGCATTGACCAGCCATAAGACAGAACTGTGCTACTGTGCACACAACTCACTTACATGCTGAATTGAGATACTCTAGGACCTTCACATTCTTCCTGCATTTCCCTGCTTAGCATATGTGTAACTTCATCTATGGTTCATTAGCAGTAGTCTTCATTGATGTCATGAATAAAGAACCCAAGAAAATCCAGGTAAGTGTCATTTCCCAACTGCAAAAGCAAGTTGTTGAAAGTACTCCATAAAAAATATAAAGTACGAACTGTGGTTGCTAAATGATTCTAAAAAGAAGAAAATGAAGCACTTCACTTCTTTCTTCACACTTTAGCAGGGAATTGAAAATTCAGTTTAGTGCTATAAGAATCTTCTCATCCCTCCACCTTCCCATCCCCTGAAGACCTCCCCACACCCAGTACACAAATACACTCATCAACAATTGAAAGCAATGCCATAAATGAATAATTCAAATTGATTAAGCTACCTAAAATGAATTTTTATTTCCATTGAGGAATAATAATTTTCCTAGAAATTCTCTGTTCAATATAAGGCCAATGATAGCATAAGAATGTCTCTAGGAATCAATTTATTCTTTCAAATTTTGACCTTTAGAAGACCAAATCAAAGCAGTATCTTATCATCTCGGCATTGATAAAGTACTGTAAAATAAAGCTTGTCTATAAACGCATTGAGTCACTTAAATAAAAAGCAATATGTTTCACTTCTTCAGCTATATAAATATAGATATGTATATATAAAAACAAGTATCATCCCACATCCACATATATATGGCATGTGCACATGGGAAGGATCGATGATGTTTATAGATGTCTATATGTATTTATATAGAGATATACATAGGCTC
The DNA here is from genome assembly GCF_000001405.40 of Homo sapiens. NCBI lineage: Eukaryota > Metazoa > Chordata > Mammalia > Primates > Hominidae > Homo > Homo sapiens. The sequence continues at coordinate 55,520,481 of NC_000018.10, forward strand.
CCAAGCAAAATGTTCGTTGTTTTTAAATTCTCTGATTTTTGTTGGTAACAGTTATTTCTTGTTAACCACATAGTAAATATGAGACTATCACATTATGTAAACCATGCAAAGCTGATTGAGTTACATTTTTCCCTGAAAAACATATTCTGTGAATTTATAAATGAAGATGCAACTTTTGAACCGGAACACACGGCTTTATTTATGAGCAAAGAACTGGTTAAAGAAAATGTGATCATACAGAAAGGGCAATGGGCAGGTTAAGGAGAAAATACCAAGGGAAAGCCTGCCATTCATTAGGCAGGAATCATAACAGAATTGTCTGACATTGCTCCACAGTTTTATTCCTATTACCAGTTAACCATAAAATTTATGTAGAAAGATTTCACTGTGAAATCAGTGTTCCTTAAGCCACTATAGGCTTGTGACATTTTTTTCTTTCAGCCTATTCGTCGCAATTCAGAGTCTAATTATCCAGTTTGTGAAATACCTAGGCCTTGGTATCTTTTCCTTTTCTCAAATTTCTTATATGGCTTCTGCACTATGTCTTTGTGATAAGGCTGAGGGGGGTCAGAAAAATGGTGACATTCCTATCAACCAGCATTGCTACTTACTAGGAATTCTGGAAGCGAGTTTATTTGGAAAGACTGAAACAGCTGTCTAACAATTTTCCCCCAGAAACAAAAATAAATGGAATTATCGTTTCCTAACAATAGATTATACATCATGCAAAAATTATGACAAATCGGATTCAAGTAGGAGTATTTTTAGCATGAAAATAACTTTCTTCAAACAGTTATAGTAATAAAAAATAATGAACTTAACTCATTACCTTAAAAGCATGTTATGTAAATGTTATCTTCTAGCTTCTAATAAAGAATAACACTTTGATTTACATTTCATGCACTGCAATGACCTTCAATAGAGATGTCAATAAGCCTCTTTACTGCTTTACAACACCAAAAGCAAACTGTACACATTAAGTCAAATCTCATAATGCAAAACCTTCTTTCTCCCATGTGTTTGCTACCTACATTATACGTTATCCTCCCAAGAAAATCACACCAGAACTGTCGGCTTACTCTCACCTGAACTTTATTTCTCCAGCTTCCCCACAGTGAGTTGACTGATAAAGGCCATGTGCCTTCTGCAAGGCCATCCACCATTGCTCTAAAAAGTGCAGGTTACTTTAATAACCCTTTTACCTTTGATAGAGTATGACATACACAGCACTTATCAGATGCAATTAGGTTTATAATAAATATCTAGACAGAAAATTTGCTTAAGACACGAGTCCTCAGGATTTGTCATCCTCTTTCTAAAGTCTCATTTTTAAAGGGAGTTTTTAGAAAGCTAACTAACTACTGGAAGACCGCTGCCTTCCTGAACCAGTATGGTTGGATGTGTGGCTTAAACAACATACATTTACAGTCCTCTGGCTTTAGACTTGAGAAGAAGCACCCATGAACAGTCGGATGGAAACAGCTACCATCCCCACGGCTGGGGAAACAGGGAAGCGGTTGGGTTTCCAGAGCCTGTAAGCTCAGAGAGACGTGATGAGGAAGAGACACCAGCAGACTGGGGCTGTTATCTCCAAGGAGGTTAATTTTAGGAATGTAGACAAAACTAAAAACTGGAAAAGACTGATGTTACCAGAGTGATGATAACAAGAACAGGAAAGGCCAAGTTCTTCCTCCTCTAGCCTTCTACTCTCCCTCCAGCGCCTCCTATTGGTAGAGGCTGACATGGAGACCAGCATACCTCTTTACAAAATATATGTAGTTAGCCTCAACATCACAGAATATATTAAGAAAGGCAGATTTGCAGCGTCCTAAAGTTTAACATGTTAAAAACTGTGTAGTGAGAAAAAAATCTGCACAATAAAATATAGGGAAATATGTACTCATAATTCAGAGGGAAATTATACTTTGAAAAACATTTTCACCCTATAAAAAATACAAGTGGAGTCTAGAAAACATCACATTTGACAGTTATATAAAATAGAATATTTCTATAAAATAGGTGTCAACACAAAAGATTTGTGAAGAGATGTAAAAGCAGATGGATGTAATAGGAAATATTGTAAGAAAACTAAAAATGCATTAACAAAATTAAAATTTGCATAAAATTGTAGAAAAATTGTCACTGATGTAGACGACAAACTTGAAAAGTTCTCTTACAATAATACATGGAAAAAAAGAGATAATAATAAAAGAGGGAGTACTGAAGATCAAAGATGAAAATATCTACCATAAACACACAGTCATCATGAATCGCTTATGCATGAGAAACATGTATTATTTTGTGGGAGTGTTTAACACATCTTTCTAGGTTCAAAAGAGATCTAGTTAAGAAAAAACTTTAAAAACTGAAAAGCAAATTAAAATGTACACTACAGAAAATAAGCCACATTTCCAACTATTACAAATATAAAAATAAATCTCATCTGAAATACTGAGAAATTCCTAAAATATCATTTGTTGGGACACTAAGAGTATAAGAAATTTTAAGACACAGAAAATACACTGTTTCTTTACTGGCCACACTTTAATAAAACTAGAAAACAGTTATGAAAATTTTAAAAGCTAAACTTGATAATCTCTTTGAAATTTAAATGAGAGTTCAAGTTAGCTATTGTATTAAAAGGAAAAAACTGCCAAAATAACTTCAGAAACTAGTAACACAGAGAATATTACATTATCAACAAAACTTATGGAATGCAGCCAAATTTTTACACAATACAAATTCATGATCTGGAACATAAGAGTGAAATAATTTAACTCAACAGTCAATTTAAGGAAAATGACTTCTATAAAACTGACCCAAGAAAACAAAGGAATAACAAATGTTTAATGAATTAATAAATTAGAAAACAGAAAAACCATAGTAGTTAAATAAATTCAGGAAACACTACAGCACACATAACCCTGGCAGGTCTTATCAGTTTTTTAAAAATGCAAATACAAAAAAAGAAAAAGAAAAATATATAACAATAAGTATGAATTTATTTAAATAATCTAAAATTGCATACATATTTTAAATTGTATGTATATGTGTACAGATATAAAGACTACCACCAGGCAATACAATCAACTGTTACAGTACTTAACTAATAAGAGGGAATTTTTGACTTTCCCTTTTTATTTTTTCACTATTTGCTAAATGTTCTGCAATACATAGTATCTCTTTTACAATTTTTTTAAAAAAATAGCCCAGGCAATACAATCGACTGTTACAGTACTGAACTAATAAGAGGGAATTTTTGACTTTCCCTTTTTATTTTTTCACTATTTGCTAAATGTTCTGCAATACATAGTATCTCCTTTACAATTTTTTTAAAAAAATAGCTTGAAGGGAAAGGATTTTTCTGTGATGTTCATGCCAGACAAATAAGAAAATTTTAGTTCACACAGATTTAAAATGAAAAATACCACCAATATTCCAATTGTTCTAGTACCAAAACTAAAAGTCAATTATTTTCATGAAACTATCTGCAAACTTACACTTAAATATTCACTGAAAATTTAGAAGGTATTGCCGAAATCAATCTTTCCAACATGCAGATTTAATAATTTTTAATATTTACATAGAAAAGGTCAGGCATGTTATTTTGCTGCCTCTACAGTGTGAATAGACCTAAATGAGGTTTCCTGATATCGGATTGAGTATACAGAAGAAAAATGATTAGTTCTCTTTATAAAATATGTAGAACAGGCAGCTCTTCTACTAGATCACGTCCTGTTGGTCAAGAATGTTTTTCTGCAAGACTCAGATATATTGTTACTATATGGTATTCATTAATAACCACCTTATTAATCAAATCTTACATTTGTGCTGAGTGTATATTCTTCAAGATGCTTTCATACACATTATCTAATTCAATTTAAAAAAAAAACTATGAGTTAACTAGGTCAGAAGTAGAATAAAAACATTCTTCAAACATTAGACTTATAATGGTGTTTCATGAAAAACCAAAGGTATCTTGCTAATCATTTTCAGATATTCTTCAAGTGTTCTTTTCTTTAAATGAGCCTTTCATGGTCAAGAAGACCATGATTATTGATTAAGTAATCAATATTGATTAAGTTATTGATTAAGTAAATCTGATAAATCTGTATAAAAATACAAAGGCAGTCCCCTTCATCATTACAAAATAAAAATCTATTGATGAAGGACTATCCCAAGAAGTATGCTAACCACCCCTTAGGCTAGTTCTGCCTCTCAGCTGGATTTTATACATCCCAAGCACTACTGTGGTGGTCATTTGGCAACTGAAGGCCAGAGAATAATTTCCCATCTGGTGTGCTGCTCTGAGTATCCCATTCAAGGCCTAGTCTCTAGAAGTTTAAGAATAAAAAGTAACCAAAGAACTGGGAACAATGGTCAATTATCTAATTAGCATTTCAAAAGACAGTGATAAAAAGGAATAATACTCTGAGGCCCACAACTCAAATGAACAGCTGTGTGTGACAAGATCAGTTCATTAAGGCTTCAGAAGTTTTCCAAGCCCATCCTAGGTCTTCCTCCATCTCTGGCTTCCTACTTCTAAGCATGTGTATGCCTTTCTTCTAGCTACCCACCATATCCCCTTTCCCCCTCTCTCTCCTATCTTACTCTAATCAGCCCCCTTTAATTTCCTATAAAGCTAGCTTTCTTAACTACTATATCAGATTTAGGTACAGTTTTAAATGTCTCCTGTGTTTTTTTCACATGCCATGTTCCAATCAATTCTAAATCAAGTGAGTTTACATTTTGAATCAAAAAAAAAAAAATCTCAATTACATGACATCGCTTCTTCATTCCACGTAACCTTTGATTGATTTTTTTTTCCTGAAGGTTAATGACTCTCTATAAAGAAAAATACTCTTCTACCCATAATGAAGAAATACCACACTCTAAATCAAAGACCAGGTAGAGAGACTCCCATTTCCTCAATTTTATTTTGTTGCTTAGTAGTAGAGAAAAGTAAATTCGAGGGCCATATTTGTGGTAGAAATCTGAAATGTACTATCATCTTCTCCAGTATAATCCTGCAAAATACAATTAACCCCATTTTATAGATTTGAAAATGAGACACAGTAAAGTTAAATAATTCATTAAAAACTGAGTTTCAAACCCAGCTGTCTTAGGCACAAGAGGCAAAAGAGGTCCCTCAACTGTGCTACCTTCCTATTAAAATACATGATTAAAAAGGCTATCACTAGTTAGATTAACAGTGAACCCAATTTCCACACCTCTGGCCCAAAACTTGCACATGTAGCAAATGACGCCGATTTACACAGAAATGGAATAACTCAGTTCATTTCCGCCTTGCCCTCGGCGGAACCTAGGTGCTGGATATCCATGTGGGCTTCTCTCTACAATAAGGCTTACCCCAGTTTCATGGAAGAAGAAAGAGAAATGAGGCAAAAGAAAACAAGGTGGTAGTCATTATTACTGATAATAATTCTCTGGAAACACACTTTCTTGAAGATACAATAAAATTACCATCAACACCCTTGAGCTGCCAGTCTCTATTCTTAGTGTGTGTGCTTTACAGATACCAGCATTGACATCAGGCATCAGGTAGCCACTTATAACATTTCAGACATCCTTATCAACTTACAATATTTGTGTGTGTCATCAGTAGCTATGTGCCATCTTTGAAGTTCCACTGGACTCAACAATGTATTTACAGAACCACAAAGGGGAGAGAAATGTGCCCCACTTCAGGAAACAAAAACAAAAAATGTACTCTACTGCTCACATCACACTTGCCTATCTAAAAAGGGTTTAGAACTTCACCCTTCACACATTCAGAAACATCACCATAATCCAAACCATTAATATCCAGTGCATAACCCAGAGGTCTCTATAATATACTATGGATATGTATAGCCTTATCTGGAAATACTCTTTAATTGAACCTTTGTTCATTCATAACCAATAACAGTTCTTACATTATTGGTGATTTCTAACATCTTCTCGAGTCTAAGATATTCTAAGAGTACATAGATAACAAGAGATCTAGCAGAGGTTACTCCAGTAAAGGTTACTCTGGCTTCTCATGCTTGGCACTTATTTTACCTCTGACACCACATGGGGCAAGATTAGTTTTGGGAAATTCTTTGTCTATGGAAGGCTCAAGGATTGATCCCAGGAAATGTTCTGTTCCACAGACAGCAGAAGGATTTTTAATCCAGAATCCTTGCAGCAATCCTGAGAAAAGGCACTGTGAACCCTTGGGCCCCTTTCATTACTCTGAGATGCTTTAAGGCTTTCAGATTATTTACCAACACCAGGCAAAGTCTATGGCCAGATCTAACCCTCAACTGGATCCTAATTGATTTTTCCAGGCAGTGTGCCTTAACCTTTGCTGGGTCACAAAATCCTCTTGCTACCCAGATAAGCTCCACAGATGCTTTCTCCCAAACATAAAGGGGTATATATACATTTACAGACACCTCTCTCCATGAATTCTAAGTCAAAACTCCTGGTCCAGGCTCAATCCACCAAGATGTTAGAACCAACCTATCCCAGGGAGTCTGGACAGATATTTTTCACTCTAGAAGCGTAAGCAAGGCAAAATTGTGCACCACTTAGACAAGTGTTCCTGTAAACAATAAAGAAAGGAGGAGATAGGTGAAAATAGTAACCTCACGCATCTGTGCTTCCCTCTGCCAAGAAGTCTGCAAAGCCCACCACAAAGGTCCCCTCACTCTAGCCCGCATCCTTAAGGCAACACTGACCCCATAACAAACATCGCCTTCACATACATGTCTACAAAACTGCAACGGCAGACTTACCACCATCGTGGTGGGTCAAAGAGAGGTTCATCTAAATCAGGTGAGCAGAGGGAGGGACTGTAACAGCTATCTGGAAGAGTCTTTGTCCTGTGATAAAATCCACCCATTACTGTTTCCTCTCCAGAAAGAAAAATAGTAAGGAATTGTTTATATGCATACAAGCACGTTTCTCAATGAATAGGAAATACGGAGGAAGCAGACCAAAAATTCACATCCCTGGTTCTTCTAAGGCCTTGTAACTACCATAGATCATTGGAATTCATCATTTTCTTGGTGCAGATTCAACAAGGTGACATGTCAAACACACAGAGACAAAATGCACGAGGTATTTTTTCTCTAAATATTCAAGGTACCAGCAATTAAAAAGCATAACACCACGTGCATGATAAGCTCTCAATAAATACAGGCTGAATGAATGAGATATCAAAGTTATTGAAAAAGAGAGTTCTTTTTAGGAAACCGATGTATATCCAACTTGAAAATCCAAGAATTTTTTTTAGATTGGCCTCCCCCAAGATTTTCAATTGCCAAGATAAAATTAAAACTGGTAAACAACAAGAGGAAGTTATGAAAAGTGGTCAAAAACGTATTTTCTGTTATAAAAAAATGTTTTAAGTATAGACACACCCTAGGAGCAAACCAATTGCACTGAGCCTGAACTAATTAAGCTCCTACAGTCCACAGCCAATTTGGGAGAAAAAGAAGCCAGAGCTAAGATATTTGTACCTACTTGAAGGTAACCTTGAAACTCTTTTGTTGAATCTTTAGAAAAAATTTGTTACACACAAAAAAAACCAAAAGTGTATGACCGTATGATTCTAATTAGCAGAGAGTGAGAGGGTTAAAGTTGAAAAATCTGTCATAGAAGACTGCTATTTCTCCTACCACTGCAACTTCAAGAGCACAGAACTGGTTTCTCCATGATCTGGAAGCTGCACGATATTCTCTGGACACTTAAAGAACAAATAATTTAGAGGATGGCTATGTTTAAGATCTTAGGTATCTAATGTTTGGTAAGTAATTTGGTGGGGGTAAGAAAATCAATTTCATTTAATAAAAATGAAGTCTAGAACTTCACCCTTCACACATTCAGAAACATCACCATAATCCAAACCATTAATATCCAGTGCATAACCCAGAAGTCTCTATAATATACTGTGGATATGTACAGCCTTACCTGGAAATACTCTTTAACTGAACCTTTGTTCATTCATAACCAATAACAGTTGTTACATTATTAGTGATTTCTAAAATCTTCTCGAGTCTAAGATATTCTAACAGTATATTTTTGACAAGATGTAAAAGCAAAAATATGCTAAAGCCACAGACTTGGATCTGTGTACAGCTAATGTTCAGAATCCACAGAAATTGGACAACACCAAAAATACTACATATAAGTGACTATAGCACTAGTGTCATTAAAGGAAAGCTGACCCTAAGCTACGTTTCTCCAAGGAATTTATGTCTCTTCATTATTGACTATTTGAAATTCCAAAAAGAATCTGAATGAGTAATATGGGTTGTTGTAATTTTCAGTGTCTTTCCCATTTTTTACATTTCTTTTTATTCTGATGTCCTTGTTTCAGTAAAATCTCATTCTTGACTATCAACAACAACAACAACAAAAGACCTTGGCTGGACACAGTGGCTCATGCCTATAATCCCAGTACTTCGGGAGGCCAAGGTGCGTGGGTCACCTGAGGTCAGTACTTCAAGACCAGCCTGGCCAATATGGTGAAACCCCATCTCCACTAAATATACAAAAATTAGCCGGGCATGGTGGCAGGTGCCTGTAATCTCAGCTACTCAGGAGGTCGAAGCAGGAGAATTACTAGAACCCAGGAGGTGGAGGTTGCAGTGAGCCAAGATCGTGCCATTGCACTTCAGCCCGGGTGGTAACAGCCAGACTCGTCTCAAAAAACAAAAACAAAACAAAACAAAGCAAAAACTCTTTTTAGAAAGTATGAAACATTTAAAACTAAATATCTTATTCTTTAGATATTTCTGATTTTGATACCAATAAAATATTTAGCTTCCTAAACTCTAGGAAAGCTACAGTTTAGATTTTCTCAGCATCTCATGAGTAAACAGTTCTACCTTTCATTTCTACTATGATATTTCATCCTTAAAAAATATAGTGTGAATCATTTCAATCTCTGACTTTTATTTTTCTATAGGCAAAGAAGCAGTGAGAGAGAGAACGAGAGAATGTATGAACGAATGGGGTCTTAACCACGATTATTAGATCTCACCAGTTACAAATAATCAAGTTAGTTATGCCTCCAATTTTTTTTAAATAAAAAGGAATGATACAGTTAGCATTTATTGTTTTAGATCAGTTTTCAAGGCAATCTTACCTAGATTTACTTCCTGCTGAGCTAAAATCTCTGCAGGGAATCTGTGAGTAAAATTATCACTGACATTAGGAAGGAAAAACACTGGCAACTCCGCGATGGCTACAGTAACACATTTCTAAAGGGAAGTAAATTGCCAATGTTTACTCTTGACCAGGGAGAAAGGAGCCTGTCACTAGCACACCATGCTAGGAGGAGGACACCAACATTTTAAATATCTAGAACATTACAAAGCCCTCCTTGTGGCCATTTCTGCAGGTGATTCAGTTAACACTCCTTTCATGGCACATGTCCTAGAACTCAGACTTAGAAAAGGACCTAACGCAGTTTTGTGTTGCCAAGCACGCAAGCAGAGACTGCTGTTTCTGAGATAATACGTTAATTTCTGAAGAACAAAAGGTTCAAACCTGACTACTCCAAAATAGCAACCACTAGGCTGCACAAGACTGTGTAACTGATTAGGGCAAAATAACCTGCCAGTAAGAGGCAAAAACTTTGTCATGAAGACATTAAATAACTTTGCATCCACTTTCATACAAAAATTGAACGGCAATTGTGGATCTGTACAAAGAAGCCAAGCAACAAAAAATGGGGACTAAAACAGGTGATTGGAAGGAGAAAGTCTATTCTGAATCAAAACTATGCTATGCATCTTGGCTCCGTGCACTTTAGGTTTATTTGCACACTCTTTTTAGAAAGAGTAGGGGGTTGGGATTCAAGGCGGATGAAAGAGTTATTTATGAACAGACGGGACACCAGGATGGGGTGGTAAGAAAGCTATGGAGGAGTGTCTGGACTTGTGGATAAAGGAAGAAGCAGACATATGGGGAAATCTATATAGAAGAAACAGAGAGAGTGAAGAAGAGGCTAAAACAGGCAGATGGCTGGACGGTAAAGGAATAGCATTATGCGGGGGCTCTGAAGGAGGGGAGGTGGCCCTGAAAAGGGGGGGGGAAACAGCTAAGGGGGAAAAAGAGGGTCAGGAGGTGACTGCTTAGAAAGTTTTTTTGAAAGTTGCAAAAATTAGATATGGATAAAAATATTTTAAATATATATTTAAAAGCCAGGAGGAAAAAAACAAAATGAAAAAGATATCCACTTAAAAAATATATTCACATGAAAAACAGTGTTCAAAATTAACAGCAAACATTTCTGACAGAAGTGTGAAGAAATTATAACTAATAAAAACTACAGATCTATAGAGAAGGGTCCTCTTGAAACAGACATTCTATGAAACTACCACTAGACTGCAAATGACACTCTGGTACACCTTTCTGAATTGCATTCCTGAAACAGAGTAGGCATTTTCTGGGATACCAGAGCATTTTCTTTTTGCATTTTTTTTTTTTAATTGAGACGGAGTCTTGTTCTGTCATCCAGGCGGGAGTGCAGTGGTGTAATCTCGGCTCAGTGCAACTTCCGCCTCCCGGGTTCAAGCGATTCTCCTGCCTCAGCCTCTCGAGTAGCTGGGAGTACAGGTGCCCACCACCACACCCAGCTAATTTTTTTGTATTTTTAGTAGAGATGGGGTTTCACCATGTTGGCGAGGCTGGTCTCCAACTCCTGACCTCAAGTGATCCACCTGCCTCAGCCTCCCAAACTGCTGGGATTACAGTCATGAGCCACCACACCAGGCCTACCAGAGCATTTTCTATACCATCTCTCGTAACACTCATTATGCTGGATAAAAAGTATTTGCTTCCAGCTCTAAGGATAGGTACTGTGACTTATTAATCTTTATATTCCCAGTGTTTACCATGATGATTGGTATAAAGAAAGGATCGCTAAGTAGAGAATGGGGGAAGGAAAATAATTAAAAGTTACCTTATAAATCCCAACAAAGATAGCAAAATAGAAATATAGAGATATGGATGTATACACTGTATATATATAAACACACACATACATATAAATCATGCATGGACACATGAGGATAATTTTGCTACTACTATGGCTACTACTATTTTGTAGAGGAATAGTATTTCACTACTAATATTCAGCAATTTGCTAAATGTGATCAATATTCAGCAGATTAATAAATGGTATCTGTGTTATTCTATCATGTGAATGACTCCAGTCCTCACTGGATGGCTCAGAATACCAATAAAGCCTAGAAAAGTTATAAATTGTGCTTGGGTATGTTCCACTTTCCAAGACTTATTATGGAATTCATAAGCATTTAAGAATAAAGACCCTCTTGAGACAACTAATACAGACACACTTTGCTTAGTCTGATAAACATCAGCCATGACCAATCAATACTATACTCAAACATGGTGAATATAATCTGGCATATCTGTTTAGAAATTTTTATTTCGGCTTCTTGCTTAAATACAAAAATAGCTGTCAAAAATATAAAACTTGCATAGGATGCAAATGTACCAAATTTGTATTTCATTGAATAGTTAGGGTTTGCCACCACAAATGGCTTTAAAGTCGGATTTACTCCCATTACTAAATTCAAAGAAATAAGAAGGTAATTAGGAGTAAGCACAGAGAAGTGGGTCATTTTAAGCCACATAAGGTCCATATATCTTAGGCCCACAGTGTTATTTTCAAAAAGGAATCACCTAGCTTGTACTTCATGAAGTGAATCTTCAATGAACAACCATCAGTTCTGGTGATATGATTAAATATGGATTAAGGAGTTAATAGTCATTGCCATCCTCATCATCATCATCATCAACACGCCATGGCTAGATCCCCAATCCTTAAACCTCAGGTGCCATCTGCCAAGTCACAGCAACTTCTAAGGAGCTGTCTAGTGGGCCCTTGGTGGCTCTTCCAAACCAATCTCTTCCAAATTAAAGTGAGGGCACAAGGGAGCTAATTTCTTTTGGAAGGCTGGTACCAAGGAAAGCTGAAAAGCCACCAAAGGAAGATAGAAAACCGTAATATGACCACTTCTGATAAGTACTGTCAAACCTAAACATACAAAGATGTGTCCTATTCTCTCACTAGTTTCATAGATTTGGAATATAAACAATGGAGCTGCAGGTCATGCACACTGCAAACTTCAAGAGGCAGTTCTAGCTTAAAGGATGGTCCCATCAAAGGCCCTTCTAACCCTAAAGTTCTATAATTCCACTGATATGCACTGAGTTCTACTCTGAAAAGGCAATTCCTGTCCCTTTACTCTTCGAAAGAGTTCACAGAAATGCCATGACTGCCTGGGATTGGTCTCCTATCTAGTAATAAGAGCTCTGAATTCTAATTTAGGTTCCATCCACACTAACCGGCAAGCATGTTTCCAAATTCCACATTCCTTAACTTACCTCTCTGTGAAATGGAGACACAATAGCTGCCTTCTTAATAGGGATGTACATAAAGGTATTATAAAACATGGAAAAAAACAAAAAATCACCAACACAGTGTAGTTATATGACATAAGTGTTACTATTTCTGCTCCCCATATGTTTCCATTCTGCCCTCCTTTCTATCAAGTGGCACAATGGAACAAAATGTGGTTCAAAACAAAACAAAACACCAGCAGGACTACATGTTTAACTATCCTTAATATACTTCATGTTCAAAAATACAACAAGAAACACCCCTGATTAAAGTCTGCCAATCAACAACCGCAATAAAACCAGCCTCCCAGGGAGCGTATGGCTGCAGGGCATGCAACCCACCTTCCCCCATTATTACAGGCAGGCTCAGGTAAAGCACTCTGGCTTCTATCAAAGGGCACATCAAAGAGCAAATATGTACCCTCACATGTTTAGAATTGCTATAAAACCTGAAAATGCAAGATCAATGCAACAGACCACGGGGACCCATAAAGCCCAGAGGAAGTCAGTCAGGGCAGGGTCTACCTGGTTAATGTTATCCTGAGAGGGTGGGTTCTCTGGGCACACAGCTGGAACCCATTAGAGCCTCCTCAGCTGCTCTCAAGATCACCTCATAGCCTCAGCTCCCAAAAGCTGCAAGTCTGAGCTGGAAATTCATAAGACAGTATCTTCAAAGATAAGTTTTCCTAGACCTTCTCCAACCTTTCTTGACGTTTTTCACAATGAAACATTTAGTGAAAATGTAACTGTGAATTTCCATGTAACAATGTCTAGCCTCCTTCCAATACACAAAAACAGTACAACACAAGTTTCTTAAATGACCACTAATAAAATCCCTTCAGTACCAATCATTTTCTGGGGCCCAAATAAGGTATCAGACTGTTCTTTTCATCACCATGTTTCTGTGTTCTTCTTCCCTGTACCTCCACCTCTTATCGTCTCATCTACCTTTCCCTTGTTCTTTCTTTTAAGAAAATACTTACTGAGCATCCACCCTGTGCCAGGCACTGAGGACCCAGTACAGGTTAAGTATCCCTTATCTCAAAGGCTTAGGATCAGAAGTGTTTTGGATGTCTAATTTTTTGGGATTTTTGAATATTTGCATATACATGAGGCAACTTTGGGGTGAGAACCAAGTTTCAACATGAAATGTATTTTATGTTTCATATGCAGCTTCATGTATACCTTACACACATGGGCTAAAGGTAATTTTACAAAATATTTTTGATAATTTTGTGCATAAAACAGTTTGCGTACTTTGGAACAACAGAAAAAGCAAAGGTGTCACTATCTCATGTCAGTGTTCAAAGGTTTTGGAATTTGGAGCATTTCAGATTAGGGACGCTCAACCTGTAATGCTTAAGACTGGGCCTTCATGGAACTTACATGGGTAGTGAAAGGGAAAGCAATGCAGAGACACACCATAAATGAATGCACAAATAGGTCCCATAGACAGTAAGTTCCATGAAGAAAAATACAGCAAATAAGGGCACTGGGGGTGCTTTACTGAGGAAGAGACACATAAGTGAGGGATGGTAGACTTGGGAAGGGGCTCCAAGCCCCTCTACTCCCTCGTCAGTTGCTCCCTCCCCTGTCTGCACTCATCAAAAGACAAAGCTTAGGCTTCTGACCACTAGAATGTCCACCCAGACTTCTTCACTGTTTTAGAGAATAAGACACAGCAGAGTAGCGGCTGGGACTTAAAAGAGTTGCCTTCTTTCCTTCTCTGCAACCCTACTGCTCTTTGTACAAGCAAATCAGGACTCTTCTCAAGTGAAACTGAAAATTCAGCTTAAAAAAAACCCCTTTTCAAGACTGTGAAATCTACCACATCGGTAGCTTTTAAAATATCATGATGTAACTTTATATTCCACTACATGCCTGTGAACATGTCAACAGAATGACACAGTGGTGAATGAATGAAAAATATCACGATGTAACTTCATATTCCACTACATGACTGTGAGCATGCCAATAGAATGACACAGTAATGAATGAATGAGAAAAACTAACAGTGAGCACCTACTATGTGTCCAATCTATTCTATCTCACCCTTTCTCACAACAACAAATGTGCACAGGGAATTCTTGTCATCATCATTTACACTGAGAAAACTGAGGTTCTGTTTCCATTCCTTGTGCCCTTTCACAATTCCTTATAAAGGCACTTTACCATAGCCAACACATCCTGGTTAAACTACAGAATTATAATCTGCATTAAGGTTACCAATAACACCACGTGAGACACTGTGTTCCAGTAGTCAGCTAAGAACAGTCTTAAATCATTTCAGGGTTCGTGCTCTCTTTGTTTTAACTCCAGTGTGATCTCTACTGGTGTATTAAAGTCATGAGTTAGCAAACTCTTAGCAGCGGACTCAGCCTATGAAGATATAAGGGTCTGTCATAAATTGTTAAGGTGGGAAAACCTTAGCAGTCTTTGAAGAATTCAAACTCTGCACTAAAATGAGAAAAAAACCTGCAGCGACCATTTTTGTTTTACTTAAGTATAAACAGCAGTAATGGGAAGGAAAATGTGTAAGCCTAGATTTTCAGAACTGCTATATTAGAAACAAAAGTTATACAAATTCTTTTTCTGATTATTATAAGGAAGAAAATTATAACACTACCAAGCTTTAAAAATTAGTTTTCTTACTCTTTTCATTGTCTGTGAACTCTACTGGATCAATTGAGAAAATGTGGCAATAAAATATATTTTTTCTTGGAGGCAAATCCTAAAACAGAAAGCAAAATCATCTCCTTTTTGCCAAAGGCACACACTAATTGAAACAGAAATAAAACATGAAATGGAAAAGAGATAAAGATACAAAGTTATTTCTTGGTCCAATTAGTAGGTAGAGAGTTAAACAAATTATCAGTTCAAGGCATTCTATGAGTTTCAGCATTAAAAATCAGAAGTAAAATAGCTGTAAAACAACATGCACCTGGTCTTGATAGTAGACTCAACAGCAATTTCAAGAAAGTAATATTTTACATCTGGAAACAGTCCGATGACAAATGAGAACAAACCAGTAAATTCATAAAAGGATCTTACTGAAGATTTTATTTTTTTAAAGAACAGTGTTTCCACATTCTCAATCTGAGATATATTTTACATAAAACTGTACTTCATACTCTTCAGCGGACTAGCCTGGACCCAATATAAAATAACTAAAGTTGCGTTATTTTTCACAATTCATGTTTCAAACAATCCCCTACATTTCAAAGTTATAGTACTCCCATTGGCAAATATATAGAAACAACATCAATGCTAATTTTTTTAAGTTTTTCACATCATGGTCTTCAAGCATCCCAAAGAACATTTTAACTATTAATAAATCAATATTTTCCTACTATAAATTACAGAAAACAATTACTCTTGAAAGTTCTAGAAACAAAATTCCTCCAATAGTCAAACGTACATTCATATTTAACAACAGTAAGGGTGGGAGGAGGAACTGTGATGACCTCTTTAAACCTCTTTCAGCTTCAGACCATGAAACCATAGCTCTATAGGAACAAATCTACAAAAGAACACAATTATACTTAATACAAACACAGTAACCTAGTGCCATCCTAAAAGCATACTTTCAGAACTTGGTGACTCTGCAAAAACATACTTGCAGTCAACACAAAGAGTTATTCAGAAAAACGTATCGGAAGATAAAAAATGTATAGTTATTAGAATGTTGCCCCAACATATAAGACATATGACAATGCTGTATTCAAACCATATTATTAGAACTATCACAAGACAGATTTCCAAAGACTGCCGATAGAAACAATAAATACATTCAACAAACAAATGTTTTAAAATTTCTGAGGAGTAAACATTATGAGTTTCATTGCCAGTAAAACTGAATAAATTTGCTCAAAGAACAAATTTTGTATGTATGTATATTACAAAGTATGTATCTTCCATCATACTTTTAAAAGTACTTCCAGTTTCTGGCCGGGTGTGGTGGCTCACGCCTGTAATCCCAGCACTTTGGGAGGCCGAGGAGGGCAGATCACGAGGTCAGGAGATCGAGAACATCCTGGCTAACATGGTGAAACCCCATCTCTACTAAAAATACAGAAAATTAGCCGGGTGTGGTGGCGGGCGCCTGTAGTCCCAGCTACTGGAGAGGCTGAGGCAGGAGAATGGCATGAACCTGGGAGGCAGAGCTGGCAGTGAGCAAAGATCACACCACTGCACTCCAGCCTGGGCAACAGAGCGAGACTCCGTCTCGGAAAAAAAAAAAAAAAAAAAGTACTTGCAGTTTCCAACTGGAAAGGCTTTACAAAAAAGCCAACTATTATTTCACCAATGTTTGCAAAAACTAAAAACAAGCATTCTGATGTTCTGGCCATAGAACCTTCCTTTCTCAACTAGTTCCTTCCCTTTTTGCCCAGCTTTTAAAATGATGGAATGTTGGCCGGGCACAGTGGCTCACGCCTGTAATCCCAGACCAAGGTGGGCAGATTGCTTGAGCTCAGGAGTTCAAGAACAGCCTGGGCAACATGGCGAAACACCATCTCTACAAAAAACACAAAAACTACCAAGGCGTGGTGGCACGTGCCTGTGATCCCAACTACTCAAAACGCTGAAGTGGGAGGATCACTTGAGCCCAGGAGGGGGTCAAGGCTGCAGTGAGCCATGATCATGCCACTGCACTCCAGCCTGAGTGAGAGTGAGACCCAGTCTCAAACAAAATAATAATAAAAAAATTATGCACTGCTAAAGACTGCCATTCCTATAAAACAGAATAAAATGTGTGTGTACGTGTGTGTGTATAAGTTTGTTGCGGAGTGTGTCTTTACATTAGTTGCAGTGGTCAAGGATCTTAAGAATTAAAAAAGGTTCTCATATTTCAGAAGCTATTTGTGGCAAGGCTGGTGGGCATTTTGTCATTCAAAGGGACAGGCTATTGAGGTCTAAGCCCCTCCTATATAAAGAGTTCCACTTCCCCTCCCAGCCTTCTATGGGACTTATGCACCCAGGAAGGATAAATAGATTTTTAATTCACAAGAGAATGCACTGCTCCTATCGTACATGGTGAGTGACCCAGGCATGAAGGTATGAAAGTTATCCTGTCATTGGCCTTTGTTTGCTAGTCTGGATTTTGCTAGTCTGCGCGCGCGCACACACACACACACACACACACACACACACACACACACACGTCATTAGTTCAAATCAAGAGAAAAAGGGCAAAGGTGTCAGGAGTGATTTTGTTGCCACTAGCTCATTTGATTTGCATTACTGGTAAATGAGTATGCTATCATTTGCCTCTGCTTTGCTTGACAGATGTCTATAATAAAATCAATGTGAAATGTATTCTTGAGGGGTTTTTAGTCCAGCCACAATAATACTGAATGTAACTCTAAAAGTATAATCCACCAGTACCCCCTAAAAGACAAACTATATAAAATAAGTCTTGATCATGCTCCTAGACTTTCTCATTGATTGGGGACATTTTTCCTATGCAAAAAGACTAGGATCCTTTCAAGGCTCTCTTTCTAAACAGATTAATATTTATCCTTACTATTTGAATATATGTAAAACTTTGTTCTAACAAAGAAGTCTGAATGTAACACTGTAGTTGGGGCCTGAGCCAGAAGACTCCACAGCAGGAAAGTTTTTAAAGGATTTCTTCAGTCTCCGGAAGGAATCCAAGACTAAGGTGACAATCCAGGTCTACCAAAGACAGAGGTTTCCCAGGATACTGGACTTTTAGTGTTGGTCATCCTACTGACATATCAGTGCCTTACCCTAAATATTCAATTCAAAGGGAAACAGAACAATTATAGCAATGTTAGACGTATCTTAGCGAGTGATCCTTCAGCAAACAGCAAACACAAAGATGAACACCAAATCACTCTTCTGTGTATTCTCTAGATGGCTGTATATCTATCTTTAAAAAAATTGTAAGATTTTACAGGCGAAAATGAAAGAAGGAAGGTTCGGTATTTCTGACAGACATTCTCCAGGTTCACGAGTCCATTTCGTATTTAATATTACACTCAGAAAAAGAAAGCAAATATCCACATAATAATTGATCTTAGAAATGAGAGGGGATTTCTAGTCTCAGCAATATGATGGTTCAAATAATACACTCCTCCAAACACACTCTCACACACGTGCGCGCACACACACTCCATTTAAAAAAAAAAAGCCTGGATAAAACATGATGAGAAAAAAGTTAAATACATACCCAAACTCAAAAGAAATGGAATTCTGAGAGGGAATTTACAGCCAGAACAAAAAACACAGAACTGGAAACATTAGCAGATCTATGGGCCCTAAGGGATAGGGGCTGGAGTTTTTAAACCCACAGAGGCACAGGTCCTAAGACCCCTGCACAAAGCCAGAGATTTGGAAAGGCTACTGATTCTTATGTCACTGATTCAGGGAAATGGCCAGAAAACATGTCTGGCAAGGGCTTTGGTGGGCAAAGAAAGAGTTGCCTATGAGTAATCCAACCCTGAAAACTTTTCCATATGCAGTTGCAGAATCTAAATTTATACTATTTGCTT
Organism: Homo sapiens; assembly: GCF_000001405.40. Lineage (NCBI taxonomy): Eukaryota > Metazoa > Chordata > Mammalia > Primates > Hominidae > Homo > Homo sapiens. Next base: position 55,539,422 of record NC_000018.10, read on the forward strand.
AGTTTGGGAACCACAAGCCATAAAATTAATGTAAAAACTAATGCCAAACCAATGAAATTCCTGAGAAATTGGCAGAAACTAACAGAAAACCACTTTGTAAGAACTGTCCCATAACCCAGAGCACAAACTTCCAAAGGAGACAAACATCCCAGATGAAGATGAGCTCACAATCAAAAATTAGAAACACACACAAACTTATCCACTGTGGACAAGTCAGTAGACACACAAAGGAGGATTAGTGCCCCCAAGATCTTGACAAATAGAGTAATTTGAAAGAGATTTTTTAAATGATCATATTTAAAGTGTTAATACAGACAAAAATAATGTACATCATAATGAAAAGATAAGTTTGAATGGGAATCAAATAGAACACCAATAAATTAAAAATACAGCCATTGAAACAGAGCTTGAATTATACAATACACGAGACCAATGAAAGCTAGGTAAAGTGAAAAACAGATCAGAATAAATTACACAGAAATCGTTCATTTATTCAAAAAATGCTTCCACTTGCGCACCGGACATCCATTCTGAGTCACTCTTTCAAATGCTCAATATACGTTATTGAACAAAACAGACTATGGTCCTCAGAGAGCTTATATTCTAGTGAATGAAACAGAGATGCAAAAAAAAAAGTAGACTATATTAAATAGACATAAATAGACATAATATAGAATGAGAATTGTCCAAAACCTTCTTAGAGGAGTTTCATTAAAAAAACAGAGGAGGAGTAAGGAAGAGGCAATACACAAATACTAGTTGAGAAGATTTCAGAATTTTTGCAAGGTATGAAGTCAGCACATTGAAGAAGCAGACTAAATAAACAAAATCAGATGCAGACATATCACAGGAAATCTGCAGAACCCCCAAAACAAAGGGAATATCTCAAAACAAAAAAAACAGAATATTGTTTTCACTAATTATGATATTTTGTCTAATAGAGTAAATGACTGTTCACTATCTGCCCAAAACAAATTTAACACATGAACTTGATGACATCTACTTTGACTGCTTACAAACATCTTTACTTATTTGCAGGTCTTCATTACAGAGAAATATAATTAATGTTTTTTGGCATGTTGTATAATCTGATACTCCTCCCACAGTTTGCCTAATCAAGAGTAAATCATAATATCTGAGGAGTTATAAAAAACATTATTATTACATATTTGCAAAAAATAAGAGAAATTCCTGGCATATAAACTTAGTATTCTTCATAGAATTAGGCAGTTTTATTCAGTTAACAAATATTAAGTCCCTACTCCACAAGCATTAACACTAAGACATATAAATATCACACAATTGAGAAAGCAAAGGGCATAACTTTTATTTCACAAACATCTATTTTGTGAATAAACTATTGTTTTTTGATATTTCAGGATTTCGTCTTTATCCACAGGCCTTCATTCAGTCTTTCCACTTCAAAAATTCAATCGCTGACTATTACTTTGAAAAGGATAGTCCTATATTTATTTTGTTCAAATTATTTTATTTTAGAGAAAAATATACAACAAAACAAAGAATATATTTTAAGAATAAGACTTCAGCCATTGCTAAGGTAATTGTGTGTTTGTGCCCATGTAAAAAAATTATCTCTTTCATATAGTGAGTTCCATAGTATACAATTTGAAGACCACTGAATTAGAAAATACTACCATGTACGTAATAATGACAGTGTAAAGATCTCTCTTGCCTTCTATGCCCATAAAGTGATACATTCCTGTTAAATGCTCTATTCTTGATTTCATTATACACATTATTATCTTTAACATCATTTAACCTTCACATGGCATTTTATACTGCAAATTGCATTTTTAATGTAGTAATCACAATTGTAGGATTCCCTTTTTACACTATTTATGTTATCCTAGTTCAGCTAGTTTTAAATAATCACAATCACTATAAATTAGGAGATCATGATCTCATTTTGATGAGGTACACATAAAACATTTAAAAACACGGATACCAATAATAAGTGTAGTTTATAGGATAAGGTTTACTTATTCTGTATGTGAACTGAAAACTCTCAACATCAAATTCTCTTTTCTTAATAAAAATCATGTTGATGCTACAACATTAGATTTTGGCCCATAACTAAACCTGTCCTTTAAATTCTTACACATATATATCCTAAGCATATTTCTCTGATACAAAAGTACATTTTTCAGAGAATGCAGTTAAATAATTTACAATAAAAATTTACTTATAAAAGATCAAGAAAGACAATCTTATCTACCAGAACCTTTGCTACAAAACTGACAGTATCCTCACTTACAAAATAATGCAGTTGTGAAATATTCATCTGCTTATTGGATCAAGATGGATCATAACACATTCATCCCTGATTATGAAGCCACACTCATCCCTTCTGTACTTATTTGTCTCTTCAGCTGATTCAGCATGGCAAAGGAAGGGAGAATACGACGTTATTTAACACAGTTAGAAAAATTATTAGATAATGACACTCATATACAGTTCCTCTCATGCTTGACTAAGAACAACTAATACCACTGAGAATGTAGATTTATATTTACTACCACAGCAGCAATGGAGAAACCCGGAATACATTTGGATGAATGTGTTGATAGCTGGTACAAGATTCTATAAGCTTTTATATTTGAACACAAGCAAAGAGTAAGTCCAGTAATTGTGCATATCTATAAATGTGAATGTGTAAAATTAGGTGTAAAACTGTGAACACAAAACTATATGATGTTATAGTATTCTTTACTTCAAAAGAGATTTAGGAAAGAACTACTAAAGTGTGTGAATATAGTGGCAAATAAAAGTTTCTTTGTTTCTGAGTTTCCATGAGTATAGTTCCCATAAATGCCATCAACTGAATGTTGGAATATGAATAAATTCATACATCCACATAGAATCTTAAAAGTTAATTTTCTTGACTCATTTAAACACAGATCTTCATATGGCAAGGGGGTTGGAGTAATAGAATCTCTGTATCTTAGGTACTGAATTCTAACTCTTCTATTACTTTGCAGATTTTAGGAAAAGAATCTATAAACTGGCACCCAAAATGTACTGTAAAAGATACAAATGAGTCAACCAAGAAGACATGTTTCATATTCACTACATGGATGAAAAACTTTGCAAAATACTTACCAGTAATAACATTCTCTTATAGAGACAACATAATCCAAAAATTAACCAACATTTTCTTCTGATTTTATTTGCCCACCATTTAGATTTTTACCCTCCTACAGATAGAACAATAGCCAACACACACACACATATATGTACACACAATCTGCCATGTATTAGCACTGCAATCATGTCCACACTAACTAAATATATTTTCATACATTTATGAAGGCAAAATCCAATGGAAAACACAACATTTTAAGAAAGTCTATCACCATCTAATCTGTAAAATACATTTAGAAAAACTCAACAGATACCGTTTTAAATTTACAGGCACAATTTATGAGTCTATTAATTAAACATCTAAAACTCTTAACTTAGAATCAGTTGGGAACACCCATTTGTCTGTTGATGATATGGAAAACAAATCTCCCAGGCACTCCCCATTTACTGTCAAGCACTAAGCAAAGAGGTTTGCACATATATTCTCCTTTTAGATCACAGTGACCTGACTGTTCCCATTTTACAGAGGCTCAAAGAAGTTAAAATTGTTTGGACACAACCATTCTAAATTAAATGGGATGAAATTAGTATCTTTGTAACAGTGGAGACAATTATATTTACATTTATATTTACATCATCATCACAACCCTACTGGGGTAATGAAATAAAGAGAAAGAACCTAGTCTGGATCCTACTTTGCAGCTATATACCCTGAGGCAAGTTATTCAAATTCTCTGAGCCTCATTTTTCTTAGATGCAAAATGGGGATAACATTATCTACAAGGTTGGGGAGGATTAAATGAAATTAAATGAGATAATACACTGCCTTGGCTAATGCCTGGTACAAGGCAAGTGCTCAACAAAGATAAGGCTTCTCCTTATCTTCCCTAACAAAAATTTGCTTTGACAATACACCTAGAAAGTAAAATGCTCTCCTTTTCCATTAGAAAGCAGCAGAAATCAGCCATAGTCTGCATTCATCAAACCTGTCAAGCTGTTCAACGTCCATTATTCTTTTTTATTATATTTAAGGCACTTAAAATAATCTCCCAGTGATTTATTCTCCTTTTAACTAGATGCAGTAATTAGAATATCTTTTATGATACAGCAGAGTTTTCATTTCAGTCAAGGTGTAACTGTTTTAGAAAGCCACCGTTCACTGAAGAATATTACAACCCAGAAACTAACTGCTTTTATTCTCATCTTGAATAGAAGCACAAACACAAAATGAAGAGGATACATAGTGTATTTCTATAGCTGAAAGACGAAAACGCTCAAGCATGCATGAGCCAATAATTCCCAAAATACCTTTCATGAACTGAAAAACAGATATGTATGTTGCCATGGCATTCGGCAAAATTAATACATTTGAAATTTGGATTATGTATGGAAGAAAAGTCTGGTAAGTTTTTTTTTCCTTTCCCATAATGTTGGCATATAACCACATTTTTTAAAAGAATCACCCAATATATAGTTCCCAGAAGAAAAAATAAAGAACAGCAAGAAGTTCAGTATATATTCAGCATCCCAAGTAAATGCAGAGATTATGTATTATTACTTGTCAAATAGAGGATTGCTTTACAGTAATTCTGTTGAATATTACAAGAGTGCTGACGACATGTATGTCAAGATTCCAGCCCTGGCTCAGTCATTAGCTAGCTGGATTAGCCTTGAGTAAGTAATTTAATTTCTCTGGGATTCAATTTCCTCAATTGTAAAATGATAATTTCAATGATAATATTTGTTATGCACTTCCTGTGTGCAAGAGCTGTTTTAAGTACTCCATGTATGTTTATTCCCTCATTCAATCCTCACAACATACTAGGGGGCTGAGTATCATTATCATTCCATTTTTGAAGAAAGGTAAACAAATCACAGAGAAGTTAAATAACTCACACTAAAGTGGACTCCCCTGCTCTTTAAGGATTTTGCTAAGTTCTCTCCCCATTACTTAGAGATAAGATCATTTCTAACATCCCTCACAAGAATAAAACCCCAAGATTCTATCCTTTCTCTTTTGAGGACCATTCTTCATTCTGACTTCTCGAAATTCTGTTTGTCTTCGTGGCCTCATTGTAAGGCTCTTGGGGTCAGATACTAACTATTATATATTACAATACCACAAATAAAGACAAAACTCTGTAAGAATAAGCAAACTTGATGGTTTGTAAGCAAATTCCTAAAAACAGTAGCTGAATTCTTATGATGCAGAAATTAATCACCTGCTGCCCTATGGTTCATAATCTAACACTTTAAAGAAACCAACATGCACACCTACGAGTTAACTCAAAAGACTGGCGTCATCAAGCAGAAAATGACCAGATCAGCACTCGGAGAGCGGATACAGGAGTTTCTTTGATAACATGTGAACTTACCAGTGTTTCTAGAGTACTACCACAGCAAGTACATGAAGTGTCTACCTGTAGATGTACATCATGCACAGCCAGGTGTTACGAACAATTGTGCATGTGATAAACTGCTAGAGGTAATAGACAGTAGTGATTGCACACAGAAACTCTAGAAAGAGACTAAAGTGCTGACATTCAAATCCTGGCTCAGCCAAATAAAAACTCTAGGACTTTGGAAAAGTGAACCTAACCTATGTATGCATCAGTTGCCTCATCTGCAAAACAGGGATCTGCTACTTCACAAAACAGTTGTGAAGACTGACTTACAATATGGAATATGCATGGAAATGAATCTGTCACATAAAAAATGCCACTTAGTATTCTGTGTGTATGCATACATAAAATTCTCCTCCACATCCGTCTATGTAAACATTTTTTTGATCATTTACGACAGATTTGTCTTCTAGTCAAGCAACAGGTACCAAGGAAATGAACCTTGGCTCTTAAACTCAGCACCAAGTTATCCCATTCACTTGTTTTGGTTGTTATTGTTTGGTCTGGGGTTTTTTTTGTTTTGTTTTGTTTTTGTTTTTTTGAGACACTGTCTCACCATGTTACTCAGGCTGGAGTGCAGTGGCGGGATCTCAGCTCACTGCAACCTCTGCCTCCCGGGTTCAAGCAATTCTCCTACCTCAGCCTCCCAAGTAGCTGGGATTACAGGTGCCCACCACCACACCTGGCTAATTTTTGTATTTTTCAGTAGAGACAGGGTTTTGCCATGTTGGCCAGGCTGGTCTTGAACTCCTGACCTCAGGTAATCTGCCTGCCTCGGCCTCCCAAAGTGCTGGGATTACAGGCGTGAGACACCACGCCCGGCGCCATTCACTTTTTTATTCACCCACTTAATGTATTAAATACTCTGTGCCAGACAATATGCTGGGAACAAGGGATACAGCAAAGATTAAAGAAGATGCGGTCCCTGTCTCTAAAAAACCTGTCTACCAGCAAGACGAGATTTTAAAAAATAATTTCACTCATAGGTTCTGGTATTTTTTTCCCCCATAACTTAAGAGTTTCATTCAGGGCTGCACACTGCTTCCTATCAATTTCTGTTGACTTTTAAAATCCAACATGACCTCCTATACATAAAGACATTTAACATTTGAAAATAGAGACGTAAGTGCAGGGTCCAGTGGCTCATGCCTGTAAATCTCAGCACTTTGGGAGGCCGAGGCAGGAGAATGATTTGAGCCCAGGAGTAAGAGACCAGCCTCCGTAACAAAGTGAGACCTCGTCTCCACAAAAAAAATTTTTTAAATCAGCCAGTCTTGGTGGCACGGGCCTGTAGTCCCAGCGACTCAGGAGGCTGAGGTGGGAGGATGGCTTGAACCTGGAAATTTCAGGCTGCAGTGAGCTATGATGATGCCTCTGCACTCCAGCCTGGGCAACAGAGAGAGACCCTGTCTTTAAAACTAAATAAAAACAAATAAAAATTAAAATACAGATGTAGAAACAAGAATAATTATGAATTAAATATTTAAAAGTAAAAGAATCATAATGAAGAGTTCCAACAAACAATATTATTTTTACTGTATTTGCAAAACCAATGATAAGTCAGTGTTTCCAAAAATATCTTCATTATAAGCATTAATAATGAGAGTGACCAGAAAAGCAGAAGCACCGAAGTTGTAGTGGATTGTATTTCTATTTGTTTTTCAATAACAAAAGAGGGCCTGGAGAAGATATAAAGAAGGATAAAGTTTAACTTTTGAAAATCTACAAATGGGTTCCCCAAAATTAACCAGATGCACAGCATGTTCCTATGATCAAGTATCAGCAACCAAAAGTAGGTGAGAAAAATAATAAATTTTCAGCTTTGAAGGCTGTAATAATATCACCATTATAATTCATCCCAATATATCAACACAGGCTTTACGTTAACAGACTTACTTTCAAAAATAGACATAGCACCACCATAACATTTCTTACTTTCAGTCTTTGGAAAGAATGTCAGGGAAAGCTCCCAGCACGTGTTTCCATCAATCAGAGTAAGTGAAGGGGAGAAAAATGGAGAAAAAGAAACAGGGACAGAAAACCACAGATCCTGCATTGTGTGGGCTGAGGAAGAGTTGAGTTCCAGCTCCTGAGGAGAAAACATTCTCCAAAGTTCCGCGCCGATTCCAGACAGATTCCCCACAGCTGTTGAGTCACCAGTACTTTAAAACAGACAGAGCTTTACTACAAATCCACTTAAGCAGTTTTTAAACTTCAAACACCTGATTTGCTGAAGCAAGGAAGACTTCCCCTCCCATCTAAAACTGCACTTCAGTGTCATTGCACTATTCCTATTCAATGTTATCACTGTGTCTTTTTAAAACATGATGGCATAAAATAATATTCTATGACAGGATTCCTAAAAGCCTGTGACTGGATGCATTTTGAAATCACACTATAAATTATTCTGGGAAGACAATTTCTGTCAAACTGACAGCCATGTTATATTTACAATAAAACATTCTGATGGGTTAGATGGAACTGGTCACTTGTTTGAAAACATTTATTAAAATTTCTAGTTGTTTTGACAGCCTGAAGATCTAATCAATACAGAGCTCTGTAGCTCACCACCTACAACTATGACTGGTGTCTATTTACACTCATTGTGTGAAGAGTGTAAGGATCAAGAAAACTACTTGAAAGGCTATTATAATAAATAAGTCAATAAATAAACAGGTGCACACTTTCCTAATAAAGCCTTGTCTATATTTACATTGTAAGACATTTAATACTTCCTAGGCCATCTTTTTGATGAATTGTTTGAAACGTTGTAAGAAAACTTTTGCCCTGGGAAATTCAGTTCAGCCAAATAGGCTGACTGACAACGCTGTAAAATGCTCGCTTTGTGACCTGCTGCTCTGGTCTCAGGCCTCTTTAGAAAACAAACTGCCATTTTCGCAGTGATTCTGTGATATATAAAAACAAAGATGAGGCCATAAAATAACAACTCTATTTTATCAATTTAGACCAGAACTTGAATTCCCATCTAATGTCATAGCACTCATATTCTTTGCAACCAGGGAGCTGAAAAGAAGTTTTGTGACCTCACCAACCCCATCCTCCCCATTTCAAGAACGCAGCCAGCTTCTATGTGTTCAGATGAAACCCTTACTCCGCTCAGTAATCTGAACAAGTCTGAGTGATGCTTTAAAATGTGAATATGTAAAATTTAGGTTAAGATTTGAATCCCAATTCCTTGAAATAGAAAATGTGTGAAATGATTTGCTGGGCATATTGCACTTCGTTTATTTTAATGATTAACATGTGGATTTACTGCTTTGTTTTCTGACAATTCTGAAAGGGAATCCCAGGGAGGAATCACACTCCATCTAGGTGGTAATCTTCACTTAGGTGGTAATCTCCTAGCTGTGGTCAGCAACTTAAATGATTTGCAAAATAATTACGTTCTGTAGCCACACAGATCTTGCCAAGAATGGAGTCAGAATAATTTATTCCTTCTGGTTCCTGGTGGCATGCTAGCATATGCTGAATAAATTTTGACCCCAAATGCCTACACTGTCCCCTGATTTTGATTCCTCTCACTAACCTCAAGGATATCTTTTTTTTTTAACTCAATCTAAAACTACTAAACCAATGGTTTACATTCTGCCCCTTGCAATAAATTAGTTATGTGTTACTTACTGATGTGGATACATTCTGAGAAATACATTAGGTGATTTCGTCATTGTGAGAACATTATAGAGTGTACCTACACAAACCTAGATGGTGTAGCCTGCTATACACCTAGGCTATATGGCATAGCCTATTGCTCCAAGGCTACAAACCTGCACAGCATGTTATTGTACTAAATAGCCACAGGCAAGGGTATCACAATGGTATTTGTGTATCTGAGCATATCCAAACATACAAAAAGGTACATTTAAAATATAGTATAAAAGATAAAAGATTGTACACCTATATAGGGCACTTGCCATGAATGGAGCTTGCAGGACAAGAAGTTGCTTTAGGTGAGTCATGAGTGAATGGTGAGTGAATGCAAAGGCCTAGGACATTCTTGTACACTACCGTAGACTTTATCAACATTGTACATTAAGGATACATTGAATTTTTTTTTTCTTATTTTTCTTTCTTTGGACAGGCATGGTGGTTCACACCTGTAATCTCAGCACTTTAGGAGGTCAAGGCAGGTGGATCACTTGAGCTCAGGAGTCTAAGACCAGCTTGAGTAACACGGCAAAACCCCGTCACCACAAAAAATGCAAAAATTAGCTGCACGTGATGGCACGCACCTGTGGTTCCAGCTACTCAGAAGGCTGAGGGAGGAAGATCACCTGAGCCCAGGAGGCGGAGGCTGCAGTAAGCCAAGATCGCACCACTGCACTCCAGCCTGGGTGACAGAGTGACCCTGTCTCAAAAACAGAAAAAAGATTTTTCTTGCTTTAATAAAAAAAAAAAAATTGACCTTAGCTTACTCTAACTTTTTTACCTTATAAGCTTCTTAACTCTTGTAAAACTTTTTGACTCTTTTGTAATAACACTTAGCTGAAAACAAAACATACTATATAGCTGCACAAAACATTTTTCTTTACATCCTTATTTTATAAGCTTTTTTTACTATTTTTTAAACTTCTTGTCACAAACAAAGATGCAAATGCATACATTAGTCTAGGCCTACATAGGGTCTGGGTCATCAATATCAGTCTTCCACACCTTGTCTCACTGGACAACAACAGCATGGCGCTGTCAGGGGCAACAACAGCATGGTGCTGTCATCTCCTATGATAACAAAGCCTTCTTCTGGAATCCCTCCTGAAGGACCTGCCTGAGGCTGTTTACAGTTAACTTTTTTTTTTTCCTGGAAGTAGAATGAGTACACTCTAAATAATGATAAGAAATATAGATAGGAATTTTTCAGCTCCATTATAGTCTTATGGGACCAAAGTGGTACATGCAGTCCACCACTGACCGAAACGCCATTATGCAGTGCATGGCCTTATTAGCTTACTCCCGGTCCAGATGACTGTTTTGAAAAGCAAGAACTATATACAGATAATATCAAGTCCAATAAATCATGCCCTTGCCTAGCATGACCAATACGGTAACTGTGGATATATCTCCTGGATTCCAGAGGTAAATACTATTCATTGAAGGACCATTAATGTAGGAACTTTTAACATGAAACACTTGTAGAAAACTATAAACTATCCAAGTTATATATCTCGTGATTTCTAGAAATCTTACTCTAACTTCTCTTAGACACACATCAAGAGACTCACTCCTTTCTAATTTGTGTTTCTAAAAGTGAACAGAATGAAACAAGTGCTGCAAGCAAAAAACTACGTATAATAATTATTTTAATAGTTTCCTTTTACATAGTAGCATGCAAACTGGTTGCTACTTTAATGTCAATATTTACAAACTTATTTTTCTGGACTCCTCAAAGTCAGTGACTTTATATTACATTTAGTATAACATGGGCCCGTTTACCATCCCAGCACTATTTATTCTAGTTCCTGACCCCTTATTTCACTGCCAACAATGCGTTCCTCCAATCCCTGTTGCTGATTGGGATCACATGGACTCCCTAACGGTGAGTTACCAAGCTGCAGATAATTTAGTAGGTACAAATATTTCAGTTACAGTCTCTTCTTTGGTAAAATTACACTGGCCAGAAATTTGGTCTTGTGTGCATGTAGTACAGCGCCACATATACGGACTGCGTTATATAAATAATGAAAATTAAATTACAGGATTTTAGGGACACATTCCAAACAATCCGTTTTCCTGCCAACTACACTGGGCGCATGACCAGCTGTGGAGAAAAGAATGTCCTCCTCTTCTTAAATCTTTATGTAGCCCTTTTCATTGATGGTGATAAAAAAGGGTTGAATCAGCTGTTACGCCCAACCTTCTAAAATATCCACATCAAAATCTTAACACTTATCCCCAAAAACCTCTCTGTTTAACGTTTAGGGCTGCATGGTTCTGAAAGAAATGTCCATTCCCTCCCTGCTTCAATGTGACCAAAATGCCAACACCAAACACATCCTCATGTTATTCTTTTTTTTTTTCTATGACACGAAGTCTCACTCTGTAGCCCAGGCTGGAGTGCAGTGGCGCGATCTTGGCTCACTGCAACCTCCGTCTCCCAGGTTCAAGCAATTCTCCTGCCTCAGCCTCCCGAGTAGCTGGGATTACAGGCACCCAGCACCAAGCCTGGCTAATTTTTGTACTTTTAGTAGAGATGGCATTTTCGCCATGTTATCCAGACTGGTCTCCAACTCCTGGCCTCAAGTGATCTGCCCACCTCAGCCTCCCAAAGTGCTGGGATTACAGGCGTGAGTCATATCACCCAGCCCTCTTTACATATTATTCTTCAAACACCTCAAAAATCATTCTCCTGCTGCATGCTGTGGCTCCTGCAATCAATCACAGCTAATACTTCTGGTGCTTTCTGTATGCATCACTTTACACGGACTAGCTTATTTACTCCTCGCAAATCCATGAAGTGGACACTCTTGCCATTTTACAGATGAGCAAACTGAGACTCAGAGAGGTAGGTAAGCTTTTCCAAGGTCACAATGTTAGCGAATGGCAGAGCCAGGCTTCAACCTCAACGGCCTGACTCCGGAACCGAGCCTCTTCAGCACCACCCAGGACTCCTCCAACCTGTCCTAACCACAGTCAAGTTCTCAGGTTTCCATCTCCACGAGAAACTTCCAGTGTTCCTTCCGACTCTCCATGGCTCTGTACCTCTGAGTAATCTTTCACCGTCTCTCCTGCACATGGATTATTCCTGCACCTCATACTTGCCAAGTTACGGTCCTCAATTTATTTCAAATATGCTTCAGAATATCTCGTCCTCCTCAAAAGCCTAGTGGAAAATAAGATGAAGGAAATAGGACTTTTTTTTTCCTCCTCCTGCTCAACTGTGAGGGAAATAAGATTTAAAAGAGCACAAGGAAAAGAGAGAAAAACAAACTCCTGGCTTCTACTTTTTCTGGTAAAACAGGAAAAACTATTTTCAATGCTGAATTAGGCCCCAGACTGGTAGACTAAAAAATGTCAAATGACAATGACAATCACCATTTTCAGTCAGCTCCCAGGAAGTCCACAGTGACATATAAATATCTAAAATTCAAAGGTAACTCTTGAACACACTTTCTTTCAACACTCATTTACTGAAGGTTCTCTAAGTGCAAAGCAATCCTCTATTTAGCTCATTCAAATATCCCATTCCATCTAGGATTGCTTTTGGTCTATACGTCTCCAACTACAGTGTATGCTTCATGAGGTCAGGTACTAGTTCATGCCTATCTCTTTATTCCTTATAGAAACTAGAAGTTCACACCCAGAAATGATGGCTGAAATAGAACTAAATTGATTTCTGTTGTACTTACAGTAGTTTATGAATAAAATTAAGGTCATTAATATATAATACATAATTTAAGTTTAATCTTGACATGTATGACATGGGAAAGATGTTACACTCATCTTTTAAAATTAGCTACTACACCTCTTTGTCAGCCCCAAGATGAACTTACTCTAAAATGAATTAATTACTGACTTGTGACCAATTTTTTCAATGCTAAGAAGACATTTTTTGAGTGATTTCATTCATGCTTAAGCAACACCACCTTAAAGCACTGGGCTTTTATTTTTTCAGTCGCCAAGAGGAGAAAAGGCCAGGCCACGGGACACACCAGTGCTGACTGTGAAAACGCTGCAGAAATGAAATGTAACTGTACCAGGAATACTGTTTTTATACATCGCTTAATGGGCAAAATGCCACTGAACGCATGGCTGCAGTTCAATTGACGTGTTCTGCCATCACCAACAGCTGCAGAACCCCCGGACTGAACCGCAGCCTCCCCATTAAAGCTCGTTTCATCCATTGTTACTCATAATATGATCTAAAGGAACATTTACAGGATCTCATAGAAAGTTTAAATGTTGTTTGATGAGAGTCATTAGACATTTAAATCAGAAATGAATGGCACAGCAAGAGAAGCAATCACATACACCTAAAGTAGAGCACAAAACTTACAGGGTTTTCTCTCTACTCGCTCACTGCTCATATTTGCACTTGCGTACATTATAGGAAGAACAGAAACCACAGAGGGAGAAAAAGCACAGAAGTGTCACATACTGTTTCAGGTATATATTCCCACTGCTCAGGAGCCCAGTGGAAGCACATCCTATGGTATCACACACACAGATCATTTCTATAAGAGTGACTTAGAGACAAACAGCAAAATTCCACATTTGCAACCAACCAAAGCACTTAGATAATTCTGAGGAAAAATATATCATATATACATACATAGCAGTCACTTCATGTCCTCTTTTGGTGGTTTTGTTCACTAGACTTCATTTAGGTAACAACGTTTGCTTCCAATAAATCCTCAACATCAAGACTCTCAGAGTACTTGACAGAAAAGAAGGCAAGGGAACATGGAATAAATGATGACTGTGACTTCGCAAATATACCCCTCAATACCCAAGAGCATTGCTTTAAAATTGGGATTTCCATCTGGGTATACAGAAGTGGTGCCCTAGAATACATAATGATACAGGATAAACATCAAACATACGTCATCCTGAGTTTCAAGTTCATGGATATTCTTTGTTCCAGCATGCAAATAAATTTCAAGCTTTGGGTGGCAATTTTCAGCCAAGTCCCCAACTCCCTGTGTTTATGTATTTACTCTCTGTCTTTAGTTTGGGTGGTAAAGTTTACGAAGCTCAGCAGTCTGTCTTGAACACAGCAGATCAGTAAATATCCAGCATGAGTAGTATGATGTATCATAACATTCAAGGATTTGGGTGTGGTGAAGGTAGCGGCTGCTATAAGCATATTTAGGAGATCAAAGACTTAAAAACTGTATTAAATATGCAAGTCCTAAAATAAGACTCACAGAATATTAGGATGTTATAACCCTAGATAGTATCAAGACCAATTCAATGAATCCAATTTTTCCACTTACTTTAAGAGAAAGAGAAAGGTATGTAAAAGATGATAGTCTAAAGGAAAAGAAAAAAACAAGCAAGCATCTATCCTGGTCTCAAAGCATATTGCAATCATATTCATTATTAAATTTTTGAAAATACATAAAGAAAAATTAGTTAGATGGTAGTGATAAAATTATCTAAAACAAAACATAAAGTCACTCATAATTTTTTTAAAAAAGATTTGCAGAACAGATTTAATGACTAAAAGAAATCTCAAAGTCAGCATAGTATATTGAGATGACAGAACCCTAATTCTACTTTTAAAGGATTATAAACATTATATATTAGACTCTTATGGGTAATGCCATTCCATTCTGTGCTTAACTATCTCAGTAAAATTTAGAAATGTATTTTCTCTTTTAATTTTAGGGTGGAATAGGAGGAGGGGAGAAAATAGAGCATCTATTGAGAAAGCAGAAAAAATTTGAAAAAATTTAATTTATTAATAAACACTAGTTTATTATAGTTTATTAATAAAACACTAGTTTTATTAATAAGGGTACACACTGAATTCTAACTTCCCTATATATTCTTCTCTGGTTTACAGTGAATGGAAGTAGTGGTTTATTTCTTTGTAATCCATGAAATTCTTATATTTTTTATTTTCTGCCTTATATTCGTGTGTACTCCTCTGAACATGACTTCTCATGTATAAAACTGAAATAATCAAATTATTTCTGAGGATTTAAAAGTATTAAAAACATATCTGTGGAAGTACTCTGAAAGTTCAACAGAAAGCACAGATATTATCACACTCTTCTTTGAAGGAAGCAAGCGGCTGCCATATACAATGTGCATGTACAACCCCAGGGGGTGCCATGCAGTGGCCCTGGCATCACCTGGAATTTAAACATCTTCCCCAGGCCCCAGAACAGATCTTCATATGCATTTATTTCTCCATAAAGGTTTGTGAAACCAAAGTGAATTCTGTAACTTCACCATTTTAAAAAGGAAACTAAATGAAAATGTTAATATAAAACATTAATAGAACAAATAGCAGATGCTGCCTATTAATACAAAAACATGAGTGACAGGGATCAACAGCAGGCTTTTTCCTTCCCTTTCTTTATTCAATTCAAAAAATACTTTGGCTTGATATCTTAACTGCAGGTAATTTTTTTTCCTGACCCATACTCATACTTAGATTATGTTTAAATAATTCACCAGGAAAATATGTTTTGAAGAGCCTAGCTCTCATTCATATTTCTTTTCCAAAAATTTTTTGTCCTTCCATTGAACTCTGGAGGCAAGTGGCTGACTGTATCAATCAGCATATGTTCTTAGGTTAACAATAATTTGTCACAGCTAGACACTCAACTCACAAAATGCAACCTGTAAAAATGTGAAAATCTCATACTACAAATTCAAACAATGCGAATACTAAAAAGAAAGCTGCCTACCCAGGCAGGGAAAGCCATCAGTTTGACTACCTGAACTAGATGTGACTCTCCAACAGACTGAGAAGTTTTCAAATTAATTTGGTCACTACTGTAACCATATATCCAGGGCACAAAACACATTAATTCAGCTTAGAGGGGTCGAAACCATAAAATGGTAACATTTTCAGAAATACGACTTTTAGATCTAATAGAAAAATATTTAGGGTGAATAGTTGATCTGATAGTACTGCTGGTACAGATTTGCAAAAACTATGAACATAAATACACTGTACATAATGCATTCCCTCAACAATCTGCCCACTGAATATTTTATGCATATTGTGTGCGTTCTCATAAAAACTGTTGTTATCCAATTCCTACAACTGCCAGAATTAAAGCCATAAAACTCTCAGTTAAAACTGAGGTAGAGAAGTCTCTAATCCTTCCTTCTCAATATGTTATATCAAATGTCTTTTAGTAACTGCATTAGAAAGCAATTACAGCTTAATAGCTGTCTAAATCCATTATCGGTGTACATTTAACCTTTCAATATTTAAAGATAATATTTAATTTGAGCAAATTAATGGACTGCCTGTGAGACCAAATACATCTATTTAGTCTTTCTGGTTTCCTATCAATGATATTTCTCTTTAGAGACTGGGTCTTGTGACAAGAAGTCTGGTAAGAATGGAGTTCTTTCTATTTGTAGTTTAAACAGATATTAATAAAGGAGAAGCCAATCTAACCCCAAATGAGAAGTAATGTCCTTATTAACTGCATGTGTCTTCTGCCATTAACAAAGCTGCTTTTAATTCTTTGCAGATTAATTTGTATCATTAATAGTTAAGTGAGCTTATATACCTTTATCTTTCAGTGTGATTTTTTTTTCAAATTCCACATTGTTTATTCTCTTTGACTTTCAAAGGAGTGAGTGGTTTTCCAGAATAGCATTTTTTTCCACAATGCTCTGTATCTCACATCCCCTGCTCAAGAGCAATAGTGTTTAAGAACTATGATAATGGCTTCCACATCTCAGTTATATTTGATGAGACTAGATCAATCAGTAAAAATGCCACTGTAAAAAGAATAGAGCCTAATTTCTCAATAGTATTATATTCATAAATGTAAATAAATAAGATATTAAATTCACAATAGTAGATATGCAGCTATCAATAAGCAAATGCAAATTCTCCAACTGAACAGTTTCATGATTTAAAGACTGTTGCACTGAGAATTTCTTTCTTTCTTTCTTTTTAAAATAGAGATGGGGTTTCACCATGTCACCCAGGCTGGTCTCAAACTCCTGGGCTCAAGCTATCCACCTGCCTTGGCCTCCCAAAGTACTGGAATTACAGGCATAAGCCAATACACCAAACCACATGGAGAATTTCAAAGGGAACTTTTCCCATTGTATAATAAATACACATGTGTATATTACCTTTATTTTCTTAAATAAAGGTTAAAGTTACTCATGTTGCTAATTAAAATAAAATTACCAAATCATCATACCTCATTACTGTTATTCAGTTCAGTTCATGAGCATTTAGCATCTACAAATCTGTAAAACTTAAGAGAATTCTGTTGACATTTTAGTCACATTGACAGGTTAATATAATCTAAACAAAGTACTTTAAGAGTAATTTAAAATTTAGCTTGTCCCCATCACTTACTTCTCCCATTCCCAACTTTATGTAAGTCTCTGGGAATCTAGGAACAACCCCCTATTTATTGCTCATCATCCAAAAACACCTCTGCTTTTGCTATACCCATCTCCTAAAAATGTAACTTCCATTTCAAAGGACCATTGGATCAACTAATTCATATCGGTATGTGTAATTCCTGTTTAATGCAATGATTTTCTTCCATGAAGTATGGCATCAGTTGGATTTTTAATACTGCTTCTTTATCCAAATCGATGCTTAAAAGCATCTAACGTGTTCTAGTTGCCCATAAACTAATGCAAACACACAGACACACAGACACACAGACACAGACACAGACACACACACACAAAGTAGGGAGCAGTAGTGTACACCTGTAGTCTCAGCTACTCAGGAAGCTGACACAAGAGGATCACTGGAGCCCTGGAGCTGGAGTCCAGCCTGGGTAATATAGGGAGATGCCATCTCTAAATGACAAAAACAAACACAGAAAAAGCCACACTAATAGAAATTACTGATAGGAATGGAATGATGATTGCATTTATTTATTTCATTTATTTTATGATTAAAATTCTGAAGAAAACAATCCAAAAGACAATTAAAATGTAACTTATATCAAGGAGGAAAATGAAAAAAAGAAAAAAATGTTCATAGCTGCTATCAATTTTTTTCTTGTTCAAAAACAAATCTAAATATATTTAGAGAAAATACATTCACATGGTTCAAGGGTCAAAATAATACAAAAAGTTATCTATTTGGAAGTCTCATCCCCATCACACTATTCTTTACTGCCTTCCCCACCCCTACTCAGGTAACCACTTTGGTTTCTTGTGTTTTTTTAAATGCAGATACAACAAAATATAAGCATATATTCCTATTTTCCCCCTTTTTACATGAAAGACAAATTGACATGTAAACTGAAATGACAGTTCAGTCTGACATGTCCAGACTGAAGTAATCACATGGAGTGGGAATATTTAAAAATTACATGAGCTGGGCTGAGTTCTTTAAATGCCAGAACTTGGGGAGACCAAGGTGGGAGGATCACTTGAGGCCAGGAGTTCCAGACCAGCCTGGGCAACATAGTTTGATTCAATTTCTACAAAAAGTTTAAAAATGAAAAACTAGCTGGGCATGGTGGCATACACCTGTATTCCCAGATACTCAGCAGGCGGCGGTAGGAGGATCACTTGAGCCCAGGAGTTCGAGGCTGCAGTGAGCTAGGATCCTACTACTGTACTCCAGTCTGGCAACAGGGTGAGACTGTCTCTAAAAAAAATCAAAAACTAAAAGAAAAAATTTCTGAGCCAGTAGAAACTTGTATCTCCAACCAAAATGTAGAGGTTCCATATAAACTACAGTTTATTTTATGATGCTGTATCTTCCAAATCTGAGTATGTAGGAAAATCATCATAAATCCAGCAAAAAGTAAGCCAACCTACTAAGAACTCTAAATTGGAATATTTCTACTGTCATTTTCCCATTTGAATCTTATTAATTTTAATCAGCAATTATGAAACTAGAAAATAAGTAACAACAATGGATCTCCCTAGTAAAATGTCTATAAAATCAACAAAATAATTTTGAATTACTTATGCCCATACAAAATCTAAGTATTTCTCAAAAATAAAATTAACAACACTAGAGTCACACATCCTGATTATAAAAGTATATGGATAAGCTTGAAAGATGCCCTTTAATTTCTTAATAGATTACATTGGGCCAATCGAAACAAGAATTAAAAATCAACTCATTAAAACGCAGATTCTGTTAGTTATTGTTATCGTTTTTAGGTATGGTTTCCATGGGGCATTTCTCTTTGAAAGGATGTGATATACTTATTTAGGTCACTCTCCAATGGCACAATGAGGCTTTATGCTAATGATCAATAAAAAAGTGACTTTAATGCATTCTAGTACTCACTTTCCTAGATGGGGAGATTGGTTGCCTGTGTGACTCTTAATGGCAGGCAGGAAGAGAGAGGGCTAAAGAAAAAGCATACATTTTGAGAAATATGGCAGTAAAGTCATTGAATAGACTATTTCTGGATAAATACAGATTTCTGGATAAATAAAAAGTATGGTTTGTATATATCTCCCCCCTAAAAAAAAAAAAAAAAATCAGTCTGATCAAGGATCAATCCATACACCCACTAGGCATTCAACCATGAGACCGTCAACATCAAAGCCAACTAGAACACGTTCCCCAAAGCAAAAAAAAAAAAAAAAAAGTAATTGTAAGTTAGACTTCTGCTTGTGGCTATCAGAAATGTTACCTTAATTTGGCCTTAATGACCCATAATCACTTTTAGCATATGCCTTTTAAGACTGCTATTATTCAGCTTGATCTATGATATAATGGAGCAGAACAGAACTGTAGGTATAATTAAAATAAGTTCCTGTAAAAGTGGAATATGTAGTACGTTGCTAATGTGTAAATGAATAAATAACATAATTAGGTGAAATGAAGTGCACTTATAAACACGGATACTTAAACCGAATCATGATAATGTTGTGTGTACATGAATATATTCTTTAAAAAAGGTTTATTAACCAAACAGTAGGGCAAGAAATACAAAGAAACTAGGACCTATAAAATTAACACCAGTTAACATTGGCTTCTGAATATAAACTGATAAAACACAACTTAAATTACTTGTAGCTGTCAAAAATGTTAAAAATTATCATAGGGTTTTTTCTTTAAAAAAAAAAAAACTTATTTTGGTAGAAATCAAATTATAAGTGACCTAGTGCCTTGATTTGGGCTCCAAAGTTTTATGCTTGGTGCTAAAGGGTGGTTTTGTAAAATTAATAATTAAATAAATCTTTTTTTCCATTCCGTAAATGTAAATAAACCTGCCTTACAATTAAACAGAAGCACCTTTCTGGTTGTACTAGGAAAAACATGAATGTTAACATTCACCCAAAAATGCTGCCTCCTGAAGCAAGAAAAAGAAGCAGACAAGCCCAGCGCAGGGGGTGGGGAGTATAAAGTGCACATGTGGGGCCTTGATTCAAAACACAGCTGCTGGATCTAATTTTAGGCCAACTGGCCTTGCCATTGTCTCTTAACAAGAAAAATTTCCCCACTGAATATTAGAAGCTGTAAAATAAAAGCACATAATAATATATATTCATTAGTTAACTTATCTTCACCATTGCTGTTTTATATAGAAAATATGTAATGCAACCCATCACAGAGAAAAAATTAACCAGGGCTGTACAGACGATTTCCGTAAATGAAGTTTTATTCCAAACAAATGACCCATGATGATCCAGAAATACATGGACATATATGCAGTGCGTAATGCAAGACTAACTCACATGTTCAATAAAAGAATTCAAGTATTTGTGAGCACTCCATATATGAACATACATGAATGAAATTACCGACTTTTCATAATTCTAATAAGGGTATTAACTGCTAACATTTATTGAGCTCTTAGTATGTGCTAAATTTAGGGCTCAGTGCTGTCATCAGAAGAGTTAATTCAATCCTTACCACTCTAATGGCAGGTAGGTCCTTTGAGGAGCACCATCTTACAAATGAGGAAATTCTATCCGAAGCCACGTGACTTCTCCAGCATTTAGGCAACTGACATATGTGGACATCTACCAGTAAGAAGGCTTCTCTGATCATGCCTAGGCAACTGACATATGTGGACATCTACCAGTAAGAAGGCTTCTCTGATCATGCCTAGCCATCTCTTTGAGGAAATTATAAATAACAGTATGGCACAATCTCATATACTCCCAGGCTCTTAAGTAATAAAGTCATGATAAACTTCACATAAGTGCATCCAGAGCATTTGCTGCCACCATCAAGCAGGATGATGAAGTATGTGTCTATCTGTGAACTCCTTTTTTTTTTCAGAAGGGAACCATATAAAAAGTCTGTACTGTTCATAAAGTGATCACTACATCCTTATTCCTAAAACTGTAGCAAAATATTGAAATTTTTATGTAAGATGATTTTCCTATAGAAATGTATCATATCTTTCATTAGATTCCCAAAGCATTCCATGGTTCTGAATATGTTCAAATTCCCTGGCTTTCATTGCATGGCCCTAGCCAAACTTTGAGTATCCCATCCTTCACCTGTCTTCATGACTCCAGTTATAATCTTACAGAACTACCTATGATTTGTAAAGTTCACAATTGCACAGACATTTCCCTCAGCTCAAGCTGCCTTTCAATCTTCTTTTGTCTAAGAATCCCTACTCATCCTTCAAGACCCAACTGCTCAAACTCTGTGCAGGTCTCTTGCCTAGCTTCCCTCTACTCCAATGATACAGATTTCCTAGTGGTGCCCTATACATACATGCTTCTAATTGAGAACTTATCATACAATAGGATAATATTTTATATACATGTTTATCTCCTTCAATGTGAGTGCCTCGAGATCCAAAACTATTTTATTTCTCATTTTTTCTATCTCAAGCTTTCAACACAGACCTCCACACATCTCCATAGATGGCTCAATACATTGGCAAAATTAATTAATAAGTGAATGTGTAAACAAATGCTACAAAAATAATCAGTTAAGGACTCTGTCTAACACAGTGCTATACGATGCAAAATTCCTAAGAAACAATCTTTGTCCATAATGATCTTCCTACTTAATATTTATCTAGTGATGTATTTATACCCATCCTGGTTCCATAAAGAATCTAATCTATTCCTTATAAAATGTATTTCACATACATGACATGTTTCTCATAACAATCTTCCTCTACTTTTAGTTTGTGTTTTAATTTTTAGATAGCTTGTCTGTTAACAAGAATAAGACATGCTCACTCCAGTATATTAAACACATTAAAAATATGAAGAAAACAAAAATCCCTCATACAAGAAAACTGTCCTCATTCATTGTTTAATTTTTCTCATCTGTAAATTCCAGGACCTCAAAGTGATGTCCAGAGCAATAAAAAATTAGTGAATGAAAAGCCTGATCTAAAATAAAATGTCAGTTTTTCAAATGAATAAATTCATTAAGACTTAAAGTATATTGTCCAAGATCACATTGCTGATGATGGAAAGGGCTAAGAGGGGAGGCCCTAAGATACATTTCTTTCATCTAGGGGTCTACAAACTACAGTCCCCTGGGCAAAATACAACTACTGTCTGTTTTGCAAATAAAGTTTTATTAAAATACAGTAATGCTCATTGGTTTCTTTGCTGTCTATAACTGGCTTCATGCTACAACAGCAGAATTTAGTATTTGCAACAGAGAGTCTGTGGTTACAAAGCCAGAAAGATTTACCATTTGGCCCCTCTCAGAGAAAGTTTGCCGACCCCTGCTCTAGTCCACATCATTCTACTTTCAGAAACATGTTTATTCTCTAGTTCTTTACTGAGGAAGGATGATTTTCATTTTTAAAAAATGTCCTTTATAGATACCTATATAGCTAAGAGGTAAAATGGTAACATTCATAACATAAGAGACTGAATATTAGCATGAGGCTTTTTTAGCTTTATAAAATCAAACCACGGAAATGTATATTTGAACCAGTGTCCTGCCAGTAACCAAAATATACAGCAAAGAAGGCAAGAGCCAGGGAAGGCCCTAGGGAAGTTCTGGACAAGAAGTTAGTTCCCCTCACAACTGGGCAGCCCCCTCTCTATCTCCCCAGCAGTGTGTCCCCCTGACTTCCTTGTACCCTCTGGCCTTTGGTTTGGCCAAGGGCACACCCTACCAGTCCAATAAAACCAACTCACCCAATCACATTTTCCATATCTATTTCACCTTCTTGATTTTTGCCATAACTAAGTACTAAATGTACTTGTATATGGTTAATATTTTTCTTTATAAATAATTAACTTAAAAAAATAAACAACTTAGCCTTCTACCATAAATAATATCTATAAGTCCAGGCCTAGTTGTGCTAGTTACATTTTTTCTAAAACATATTTAACCAGAGATAGGTAGATAGACAGGCAGATACATAGATACATAAATTATACATACATACATAGAAAGAAAACAGACTGACACAACTACTGGAATAAAAAATGCTTTGGGCCAGACACAGTAGCTCACACCTGTAATTCCAACACTTTGGGAGGCCGAGGCAGGCAGATCACTTGAGCCTACGAGTTACGGACCAGCCTGGGCAACATGCTGAAACCCTGTCTTTACAATAATACAAAAATCAGCCAGCTGTGGTGGTGCACTCCTGTGGTTCCAGCTAGTTGGGAGGTTGAGGTGGGAGGATCACCTGAGACCAGGAGATTGAGGCCTCAGTGAGCCGTGATCACACCACTGCACTCCATCCCAGGCAACAGAGTGAGACCCTGTCTCAAAAAAAAAAAAAAAAAAAAAGTCTGCGTTTTTTCTTTCTCTGGCTAATAAAAAATATCCATCAACAATTTAATATTCCATTGTGTAACTTCACAGAGAGTCCACTTAATCACTGATTGTTTAATTTTTCTCATCCGTGAATTCAAGGACCTCAAAGGGATGCTCAGAAAAATAAAAAATTAGTGAATGAAAGCTTGATCCAAAATAAAATGTCAAAAATGCCCTGCACTCTCTAGAACTTGACATACATATTATGAGTAATACACATGAAAGAACTTTGTGAACTTAAGGAGTTTGCTTAGAGAAGAAATAAGGCAGCAGATATGGAAAGAGTTCTCTCCTTAGAGTTCAAACTCCTGGACTAAACTTAGGCTGTGCCCTCCACAAGGTATGGCCTTGGCCAGCCTAGGGGAATCTCTGAATCTCAGCTCCTCTTCAGTGACTCGGGGATAACTAGATTTCAGGGCCTAACATACGATATTAAGGTAAGAGAACGTGACATATGGTGCTCAGTGAATGTCAGTTCTCCAACCCCTGATTTGGGCCAATATTTTATCCAGCAATAAATACTATGCAAAGTGTATTTGCAAATGCAAAAATTATAATATCATCAGAAATTTTTATGACCTTGAAAATTCATTAAATGAATAGAAAAGACATGTAGTGGTTTCCAATGACACTATGACTAAATTTAAAATGAGCATGATCTCACAGAACTATCATTCCTATTAATCAGCAGATTCTATTCAAAATATGTATGTTTATGGAATCATTTATTAAGCAAATTCAGCACGCACTGAACCAAAGAGTCTTGATTAAACTAGGAAATAAAAGAAAGTCGCCGTGAGAAAGTGGCATTTCAGATGAGCTCTGAATGGAATCAGCCACGCAGAGTGAGAGAAGATGTGTTCTACTGCATGTGCAAAGGCCCTGAATCAAGAAAAAGCTTGACAAAGTCCAAAGCCTAGAAGAATCCCAATGTAGCCAAACAGTATACAGCAGCAGAAGGAAACCAAATGAGGTTGTAGAGGTACCTCAAGTCCATATTAAGGAGAACAGAAGTTATTCTAGGCACTATGAGAAAAACATTGAAGCTGGGAGAAAGCATGCTCTGTTTGACTTTCTTATTTAAAAAATCACTCTGGTTGCTGTGAAATATGGATTCAACAGGGAAGAAGTCAAAGTGCAGAAAGTACTTAGGAGGCTACTAGAGTAGACCAGGCAAGAAATGATGGTGTCTTGAACTCAACTGGTGAAAGCAGATGTGGAGAGCACAACTCACAATTATCATGTGAGATGGTAACACAAATGATAAGGTCAAAGTGTCCGGAACTGGTTTAATCATCTAGGTGCATGGCAGTGTCATTTCCTATATGCAGAAGCCTAGGGAAGGTATACATTAAGGAGACAGAAGAAAATCAAATATAACATACAGATGGCTCTACAAACTGACTCTGAGATGCACAGATCATACTGGAGCAATATATACGTGAGCTGTCATCTTGGAAACAAGAGATGACTTAAGAAGATAATGTACCAGAGAATAAAAGTAGACATGTACTGGATGCCTACTATGTGTTAGAAATGGGCTGAGTGCATGGCAAGTGTTATGTTAATGAATTCTCCCAACAACCCTATTTCTATCCATTTTACAGTGAGAAAACAAGGTCATATTGCTAATAACCAGATGATAACAACTCAGTCTGATTCCAGATTGAGGCACTGCACCAAACTGCCTCTCAATAGAAGAGAAAAAGAAAGCCCAGGTAAGATCCCCAACATTTCCTCTTCCAACAAAAGAGAGGCAGAAAGAACACTAGGAGAGGAAACTGTGTTGTGCAGAATCTAGAAGCACAGAGTTTCCATTTTTTTAAAAAGAACATTTTCTCTAAAGTTGCTGGGAAGAATGGGAGTTATAGGTAATCTTAGCACAACTAGTTTCATTGGAATAAATGGTGACAGAAGTCAGACTGAAAAGGGTTAAAGAGTAAATCAGAATTCTGCTTCCAAAAGTATGACAATACACCCAAGGCCTCTCACACTACAAAACAACCAATGTTCAACATTAAAAAAAAAAAAAATTCTCCAAAAGTATAAATGCAAGAAATAAGGAAATCTTGAAAGCACCAAAAAATAAAACAAAACTTGAGTTTTCAATACTGAAAGGTAGGCACAAGAAGCAGGGATGCTCTGAGAGCAAATGCCAGTATCAGCACTGTGATAAGAAGACTAGGACTCCCAGAGTAGGAAAGAGACTATGAAGCAAAAGCAATTCCTCTCTGGAGAAAGTATTCTCACTTTAGACTCCCAGATTTTCATAGATTCAATACCCACCAGATGTGAATTCATAAGCATCTCACAAAAGCAAAACAAAGAAGCTTAAGTGAGGGTTAGTAGAAATAACAAGACTACCTCAAGCCCATGGAATTTAAGCATTGGATTTGTTAGAAAATATCTATAAAATTGCATAGTCTATTTTACAATTATTAAAGAAAATGTAGCATATATACACAATGGAATACTATGAAGCCAAAAAAAAAACCAGAATAAAATGATGTCTTTTGTAGTAACATGGATGAAACTGGAGGTCACTATCTTAGGTGAAACAAACCAGACATAGAAAGGCAAATATTACATGTTCTCACTCATAAGTGGGTGCTAAAAAATGTATAGACATGGATGGCCAGATACGGTGGCTCACGCCTGTAATCACAGCAGTTTGGGAGGCTGAGGCAGGCGATCACGAGGTCAGGAGATCGAGACCATCCTGGCTAACACAGTGAAACCCCATCTCTACTAAAAATACAAAAAAAAAAAAAAAAAAATTAGCCCGGCGTGGTGACGGGTGCCTGTAGTCCCAGCTACTCGGGAGGCTGAGGCAGGAGAATGGTGTGAACCAGGGAGGCGGAGCATGCAGTGAGCCAAGATCATGCCACTGCACTCCAGCCTGGGCGACAGAGCGAGATTCTGCCTCAAAAACTAAAAAATAAATAAAAATAAAATAAAAATAAAAATGTATAGACATGGATGTAGTCTATCAGTGGGCAGAGAGACAACGGAGATCCGGAAAGGTAGAGGGGCAGGAGGCGGGTGGCTAAGAAATTACTTAATGGGTACAATGTAGTCCTGACTTGACCACTGCACAATCTATGCATGTCACGTTTTGTACTTGTACCCTATAAATTTATACACATAAATAAATACATATAATACAAAAACTGTCATAAATACAAGAAGAACTTAAAGACAGAATCACAAAAATGAACAAGAAATAAGAAAGTATTTAAAAATTAGTAGGCATAATTTAGAGAGAACCAAATGGAACTTTTAGAAATGAAAAAGTAAGCAATGAAATAAAAAAAATTAATCATTGCATTAGATAACACGTTAGAGAAACCTGAAGGGAGAATTTGTAAACTGGAAGATGGGTCTAAAGAAATTACCCAGAATGCAGCAGATACAAGGGGACTGAAAATATGAGAGAAAAGTTAAGAGAATGAAGGACAGAAAAGAAGGTCAAGCACACATGTAATCGGAATCCCCAAAGAAGAGAACAGAATGAATAAAGGAGTCAGAATATTTAAGGAAATAAAAGCTGATAATTTTTCTGAATTGGAGGGAGACATGAAGCCACAGATGCATGAAGAACAATGTAGACCAAATAGAATTTTAAAATTCACAAATAGATACATTACAGTAAAACTGCTAAATGCCAAAAAACAGTCAGGGAAAAGGGTAGATCTACTAGAAAAGAATGGCAATCAGAAAGATACTGAACTTCTTATGAGCCACAGGGAAATTCAGAAAACAGTAGAATAAAACCATCAGAATACTAAGAAAAATAAAATGCCACTCTGCATATTTAAAACATAGCAACATGGAATAACTGAAAACAAAAAATTAAAAAACAGATATATAGACAAATACTACACAAAAGGGAAGTGCAATAATTATACCAATATCAGACAAAACAGAGTTTAAGATAAAAGGGCAGAAAGAGAATAGCCACATACAAACTGAATAAAGGGTTTAATTAACCAGGAAAATATAGTAATTCTTAAAATGAATGCATGTAATAATATAATTTCAATATGTATAAAGTCAAAATAGAAATACAGGGAAAAATTTATAAATTCATCATCATAGCAAATTATTTCAATCTACTTTTCTCAATAACAAATATGTCAGGCAGATTTCGAATATTAGCAAATGTAGAGATGACTTTAAGACACAATCAACAGAGGTGGGTGGATCACTTGAGGTCAGGAGTTCAAGACCAGCCTGGCCAACATGGTGAAACCCAGTCTCTACTGAAAATACAAAAATTAGCTGGGTGTGTTGGCACACGCCTGTAATCCCAGCTACTTGGGAGGCTGAGGAAGGAGAATTGCATGAACCCAGGAGGCTGAGGTTGCAGTGAGCCGAGATCGCGCCACTGCACTCCAGCCTGGGAGACAGAGCGAGACTCCATCTCAAAAAAAAAAAAGGACACAATCAACAAGCTTTAATTTCTGGACACATATAGATCCCTGAATTCATAGAGTACACATTCTTCTGAAGCACACAATGGAACTTTTAAAACTGATTCACAAAATTGGCAACAAAGCAAGCCTCAACAAATATCAAAGAACTGTTGCCATACAGAATAGTTCTCTGACAACAATTAAATTGTAATAGAGGTCAATAATAAAAAGATAAGTAATACATTCATTTGTAAAATTTTGAAGGCACCAAAAAATATTGCAAGTATCAAAGAAGAAATCATACTGTAAATATTAAAATACTTATAAGATGATGAAAATGTAATAAATTAAAACCTATGTAATACAGTCACCACAGTCATCAGAGGGTATTATATTGCCTTAAATTCTTATATTATAAAAAGAAATTATGATAAATTAGTGCACTAAGTAGTCAACTCTATTTAGAAAAAAAAAAAAACAGAATAATAAGCCTAAGTACATAGAAAGCAGGAAATAACAAAGATTAAAAATTAATGAAGTAGAAAACACACAAGAAAAATAATCCACAAAGCCAAAAGTTGGTTTGAAAAGAGTAATAAATAAGAAAAACTTCAAATTAGCTTGATCATGAAAAAAAGAAGGAATACATAAATAAAGTTATGAATGAAAAATGAAAATTATGGAGTCAGCAGAGATTAAAAAGCTAAGAGAATACCTTTGTATAACTTTATGGTAATAAATTTTAAAATGTAAATGAAATAGAGAGAAAACTGACATATATTACATATATATGTATACAACACACACATCTATACACACACACATCCATATAAGTTTATATATATATTTAATTGTTAAAGTATCTGCAGAAAAAGTAAAGCTCTCACTCTCAATATTATTATATTTAAAAATTATATCAGTGGCTTAAAATCTTCTTATACTAGGACCAATTTTACAGATAAGTTTGACCTAATTTCAAAGAACAGATTGTTTCATCCTTATTTAAGACTATTCCAGAGAATACAGAGTGAGAACACTTCCTTATTCTAACTTTGTAGACAAAACTAGACTTAGAAAGTAGGAGGAAAAAAATATTATATGCCAATCTTACTTGTAAGCATAGATGTAAAAATACTGAAGAAAATATTTGAAATTGAGTCCAGGACAATATTTTTAAAAGAGTAATGAAGCTACATCATTAATTTCATCCACAAAATGCAAAGGTGGCTTACCACAGGAAAATATACGGATGTCACTCACGACATTAACAGATTAAAGGAAATAAAGAAGTCATCATTTAATTTTATGTAGAAAAAGTATTTGATAAAATTCAATACCTGTTCATGATAAAAACTCTTCATGAAATATGAATAGAATGAAACTTTCTTAATCAAGTATCTATCAACATCAACATCACTATTCATGGTGAAAATCAGGAATAAGACAAGATAATCAGTATTGCCATTCCTATTTAACAGTGTACTTAAGGTCATATATAGCACAGTAAAGACAAAAAAAAAAAAAGGCCAAGTATTGGGGTTTGAAAGGAAAAAACAATAAAATTGTCTTGAGTCACACATGATGTGACAGATCTACAGAAAAAACTCTAAGGAAAACACAAAGACATTTTTAGAACTAATAAGAGAGCTCAGCAACATGGCTGAATATGAAAATTGATATACAAAAATCAATTGAATGCCAGGTGTGGTGCCGGGCAACTGTAGTCCCAGCTACTTGGGAGGCTGAGGCAAGAGAATCACTTGAACCCAGGAGGCAGAGGTTGCAGTGAGCTAAGATCACGCCACTGCACTCCAGCCCGGGCAACAGAGTGAGATTCCATCTCTAAAAATAAAAAATAAATAAAAATTTTAAAAAAGACTTTCTATATACAAGTAACAAATAATTTGAATAATTAAAAAAATATACTGGTAATAATAGAAACAGAAAAATAAGGTACTGAAGAATAAATCATCAGAAAATGTAAAACTTCATGGAGAAAATTATAAAACTATAATTACGAAATTACAGCTAAAAAATTATAAAGAATTGTTTTGAGATATCAGACACCTAAAACAATGGAGATATAAATGAGTAGAGATAATCATTAAATGCATAATAATTCTCCCAAAATTGATCTTTAGTTTCCATGCAACTTCAATAAAAATGCCTCAAAGGGTTCTCAAAGACCT
This sequence comes from Homo sapiens, assembly GCF_000001405.40. Taxonomy (NCBI): domain Eukaryota; kingdom Metazoa; phylum Chordata; class Mammalia; order Primates; family Hominidae; genus Homo; species Homo sapiens. Next base: position 55,569,891 of record NC_000018.10, read on the forward strand.
TGACAAGCTGAATTTTAAATTCACGTAGAAGAACTCAGGCTCCACAATAGCCCAAAGTCAAATGTGTACATATGGGACACGAAAAGTGGGGAGGAAGGGCTTTACCTAACAAACAACAAAATACAGTTATAACATTTATTATAATGTGATACCGAGGCAAGGTAGCCAAACTAACCAAGTAGAATAAAAGGCCCAGAAGGAAAGACCCCACAAATACAGGAACTAAAAATATCACAGAAATAGTATTGTGAATGACTGGAGAAAGGATGGACTTTTCAGTACGTGTGAATGGATTTCCACACAAAATCAATCCCAACTGCATGGAAAACTTAAATGTGATAGGCAAAATTATCAAATCCTTTTCAGAGGAAACATACAAGAGAATATATGTACAACCTTGGGGTAAGAAGGCTTTTCCAACCCTTCAAAATAATTACGTGACTATCTTAAATTTAAGGACTTTATCAAGAGCTACCATAGAGAGAGTAAAAGTCACAAAATAAGAGAAGGTATTTGCAGCATGTATGACTAATAATTATCATCCAAAAATATATCAAGAACACCTAGAAATCAATAAGAAAAAACAAATAACCCAATAGAAAATGGGGGCGGGGTAGATTCCACAGAGTGGACATGAATGATCTGAAATAAATATATACAAAGTTGTTTAACCGAATTATCAAGGAAATGCAAATTAAGACCACAATGCGGCCCTGTGTGGTGGCTCATGCCTATAATCTCAGCACTTTGGGAAGCCAAGGAAGGCAAATTGCTTGAGCTCAGAAGTTCGAGACCAGCCCGGGCAACATGGTGAAACCCCTTCTCTACAAAAAATACAAAAATTAGCTGGGTGAGATGTGTGTGCCTGTGGTCCTGCTACCCGGGAGGCTGAGGCAAGAGGATAACTTGAGCCCAGAAAGTCGAGACCAGACAGTGAGCCGAGGTTGCAAAACTGCCCTCCAAGCCTGAGCAACAGAGTGAGATGTGAGACCCTGCCTCAAAAAAAAAAAAAAAAAAAGACTATAATGGGATACATTTTCTATTTTATACCAGTAGACTGCACCAATAGTAATCCTTTATGCTACAGGTGGGAGTGCAGATCAGTAAGAATCTTTAAAAAACAACTGGACACTATCCTGCCATGCTGGACTTTCATGTAACTCTACAAACCAACAATTCTACTCATAGATATCCACTCATATACCCCACAGAGAAAGTCTTACACATGTGCATCAAGAGAAACATACAAGAAAGTTTGTAGTTCCAAAAAAGAGGAACACAAAGGTTCATCAACTGGAACATGCATAAATAAACTACAACCTATTCATCAGCAGAGAAAATTAACATACACCACATGCAACAACATGGACAATAACATACCAAGTGAAAAAGCAAGTAGCACAAAACAATCTATCAGTTTTATAATCCTCCAAAACAAGCAAAACCAAACAACATACAGTATTGTTTAGGGATACATATGCCAGTCACAATACTACTTTAAAAAGGGCATGAGAATGTTTCTCTCTGGCAGGAAAGATAGGGGAAGGTGGACAGGGAACAAACCCACAGGCCGGCCAATGGATCTGACATTGCTCCAGTACTTATGTTGGTGGTGGGTTCATAGATGTTCACTCCATTATTAAGCTTCACAACTTACATTTGTTACACAGATTATTCTGTAGGTATCAAGTATTATAAGATAAAATATGTTTTCTAATATTTGCTTGGGGTTAAATTTTGAAGCATGCAGTAGCAGCCTGTGTAGAAAACACTTAACAAAAGTCTTGCTAGGAAGGAAGTCAAGAAAGAGGCTATGGCCAGAGGGGAATGTGAATGAGAGGTAGAGGGTGTTTTTTTTTTTGTTATTATATGTTTTGTTTTTAATTATGAAATAATTCAAGCATAAAGAAAACACACATCATAATTCAGCCTCCAACCCATCCCCAGCTCTGTCAATCTTAATATTCTATCATATTTTCTTTTCAAAAAAAAAAAAAAAGCATTGTAGATGCTGTTGAAACTCTCTGTGTCCCTCCCAAAAGAAAGGTAATTAATTATAGTTCATTTCGTTTTAACTAAGAGTTACTAAAGCATCCCTGGATGCTGAGAGGTACTCTCTAGGAGGCAGAAACAGGACCAAGCACTGCCCACTTATCTCCACACTATGCTACCAATTCACCTGCAGTGGGCATGTGCTTTCAGGAGTTTTTTGCTTGGTATAGACAGTTCTATGTTCGTCTTGTTTCAGCACCCTCGTTTGAAGGACACAAAGAGCTCTAGGGTCATAGAACCAACTCTCACTAACTGACACAGATATCAGGATCCAACCCATGCCCACAGTATTACCCCAAGTCTCTAACTAGCTGGTGTAACCAATAATGGAAAGAAAAAAAGTAATATTCTGTTCTTCAACTTCAACAGAGAATAATAGTGAAAGAATGGTGATATTTTTCCTAAAATGGACTAACAAGTATCCTGAGTTGGGAGGTGACTTCCAATAGTAAACAATAAAATAACTGAGAAAATGGAGTGAGGAGGGAGGGGAGAGAGAGAGGTGGTCAACAGAAGAGAGCCAAATGGAATGTTAGCCAGGATTTGTAAAAAGGGGAAGCTTCATTTTGTTCCTAATCAGGAGTTACCAGGTAATTTCCTCCCTGTGACAAAATGCAATCTAACAATACTGCTGCAATCCCAGATAGAATACCACATAAATTAAACCACTCTCCTAAAGTCCACCAACAAAGACATTCAGTAACTTCTGTGGCTGTGCTACCTGATACCTGACCACAGGCAGGAGAAGTGAATTCAATTCAACAGGTCTAACTAAACCATCATAATGTTTACTGCTCATAAGAACATAGGCTATAAAAAGCCTAAACAGGGCTAGGCTCGGTGGCTCACGCCTGTAATCCCAGCACTTTGGGAGGCCGAGGTGGGCAGATCACCTGAGGTCGGGAGTTCGAGACCAGTCTGACCAACACGGAGAAACCCTGTCTCTACTAAAAATACAAAATTAGCCAGGTGTGGTGGCACATGCTTGTAATTTCAACTACTGGGGAAGCTGAGGCAGGAGAATCACTTGAACTCGGGAGGCAGAGGTTGCAGTGAGCTGAGACCGCGCCATTGCACTCCAGCCTGGGCAATGAGAGCTTAACTCCGTCTCAAAAAAAAAAAGCCAAAATGGTACTGAAGACCATTCAATAAGACCCACTTCCACCCCTGTACCCTCGCAGAATTGCAAACTCAATCTAACTTTTCTCAGAAAATAAAAGAGCACTTCTCTAGTTAGTGCTTGGTTGCTAAAAAGGCAGTGGCTATCACACAGCTGAATTAGGTCTCATAATTACTGTCGGAATGTATAAAGTATGGTAGATTTTCAAGTATTAGAAAGTTATAGGAAGTTTCACCAAAAAAAAAAAAAAAAACAAGTAGCCACTATGAATGCTCCCCAATGACCTAAAGGTACAGATTTCAAATAAAGTCTACAAAGTTAATTCTCCAACTTTACCACCCACACTGTAGAACCAGCAACCCTGTCTCTCACCTAAACTTCTGCAAAAACTTCACAACTGGTGTGGGCCACCCACAGTGACTCCCCTTTGGGTCCATGTCCCAGACACAAATCTGATTAGCAGCACACTGTCAAGGCTCCCTGTGGCTCAGTCTTGCGGGATCTGACACCTACCAACCCCCACCAGCCACAGCGGCTGGAATCATGCCCTACCTGTCAGCCAAGCAACCTCCATCCACTTAACTCCTCCTCATCTGTAAGACCACAGTTCACCTGGGCTGATCTCTGAGCCCTTCCTGACTGCTCCCCTTGATCAGATATCCCTATTGCAAACTCTTCTCAGGCCACACACCTCTCAAATGTAGTACTTGACCTTCTTTGGCTGATTATCCATTAATGTCTGTGTCCTCCATGTAGGCAACATCAGAAACATGCCTGTCTTGCTCATCATTTTATATAGAGCTGCCAAAGTATTACCTGACACATGGTAGATGCTCAATAATCATCTACTTAATTTTAAAAGAATATTTTACTGTGTATCAATTTAAACACAAATATTAACATAATTCAAGTGTGGGGATAAAAAAGATAAGCATGTATATCTAGTGTCCTAGAAGTAAATGAGTACCATCTACACATCCAAAATTTTAATTTCTGCTCAAAAAGGACGAATGGAACTTAATTCTCATTGCCTCCCAGACAACCTCTGACACTAAATTTCAGAGTACATTCCTAACACTACACTTCAAGGGCCAATTTCCATAAGCATTCAAATCCATTCGCCTTCCTTTATATTCACATAGAACATGTACACATATACAGAGATTTTAGGATTTCCGTTTCAGTTAGAAATGTGAAGTCTGTACTTGGTTATATTTGAAAAGTGTCCTTTGAAAAAGTATACTTGCATATTTCAACATATTTTATTTTATTTTATTTTTGAGACAGAGTCTTGCTCTGTCGCCAATACTGGAGGGCAGTGGCGCAATTTCAGCTCACCACAAACTCCACCTCCTGGATTCAAGCCATTCTCCTGCCTCAGCCTCCCGAGTAGCTGAGATTACAGGCACCTGCCACCACGCCCAGCTAATTTTTGTATTTTTAGTAGAAACGGGATTTCTACAAAATAATTAAATCATGTTGGCCAGGCTGGTCTCAAACTCCTGACTTCAAATGATCCGCCTGCCTTGGCCTCCCAAAGTGCCGGGATTATAGGCATGAGCCACCCAGCCTGGCCAACATCATTTATTTCAAAAGTACCTTCTTTGAATTACTGTAGAACTTTTATTTAACAACTGCAACATAATGTCCCAGTGCTGAAGTTGAAATTTGTTGTTCTTTGTAGCACCATAATTTCTAGCACTATAACTTGTATCTTGGCTCTCAAAAAAAAAAAAACTTTCACTGAATGAATGAATGAATGAATGAGTGGACGAATGAATGTGCACATAAGTAAATTAAAGGTAATAATTCCTAATAACTCTATCGTTACTCCAGTGAAACACACTCACACTGAAAAAATAATAAGAACATGGCATGCATTCATCCACTTCCACTTTTCTGAAGCTTTCAACCTTCTTTAAACAATCAAGCCTTAAACAATTATGGACTATCTCTCATCTTATCCCAATTCTACCAAAATTACTAAGGATTAAAGTGTAGAATTCCCTTACAAGTGGGACACTACAAATATACACCCCATATAAAAGAGAAATTGTTCAAAATGAGCCAGAAAAAGAATAATAAGATGTTAATAAAATCAGGGGAAAATTAGATGTCAGAAGAAAATTAATCTTGCAGTTAGAAGTAACTAGATTGAAGAATCACAGTGGCCATAAGAGAACAGAAAAGCATTCAATGGTTTGGGGCACTAGTGGACAATAATGTCCAAGAGGGCACATAACAAAGAACAATTATTCAAACAAGCATTAAAACTGACATCGTTTAATATTTCTTTTCAAACTTACAAATTGGGTTATGTATGAAATTGGATATTCAACCTGGAAATATTATTACCACCTGCTGACCAAAGCTTTGAGTTTCAGGTTGTAGGGTTGCAAAATATTTCCAATATAAATCCTTTACTTTTTGAAAAGTGAAGAAAAAGGTTGAGGAATTCATAGGTTCTTAACTGAAATCTTTTACATGAGTCTAGAATATCCTCTTTGTCATAAATTTTTTTTTTTACTCTATACCAAGCACAGTCATTCATTAATAAATTCTTCCTAAGCCAATATCAACCATCATTTGAATTTTTGGCTTCACTATGGAAATTGGACACACATGCTAAGTTAAGATACTTGCAGGTCACAGAGAGAAAGACACTTTAATCTGAACAATATTTGGGGGAAGGGATGGTATACACATACACACACACGTGTATTTTTCTATTTGTGATGTACTTCTGGTCAGTTTCATTAAAAGGTATATCTGGCCACTTCACAATGTTTTTACAAATATTACATTAGTTTTTGCTAAGATCACGGTATCTCCGGAAAAGTTTTAAACGCATTTCTCAATATATAATATGGCAAAGATAACTATCACATTTCCATTCCAGCTTTTGACCAAACAATGTGACACTGGTCATGGTGATGCCAGTGATGATAATAAAAATTATAATGATGAATTTTTGCAATCTTAAAATGTTTTAAATACAGCAGTATTCCTTTTTAAAAAATGTGAAAACCCCTCTTGAATTGTACTGGTGAGTTTCGATTTTGTTTAGTTTTGAGGTGCAGCCTTTAAGATTCTACCACTTCCTCAATATGAAACAGCTACTTACCAGCAAACATTGCAAAAGAACCTAGATTTCCAGAATTTGGCTACATGAACAATTTTCTCCAAAGCAGCTTCATTTGGCTCAAGAAAGTTTCCACTGCTGAGTGATATTATAGGAAGAATTTTGGGAAGTAGGGACACAAAATCTTCAATTTCCATCCCGACACTACCATTAAAAACATATACTTTTGGATGGAACTGGATTATAATCGGTAACACCCCCGAGTGAAACGCAAACTCAGTCAAGAAAATAAACGGCAACCAAGACAGGGGTTTTTGCCTGGAAATCATCCCATGTGTCTAGACCAGAGTTGACTCCACTTTAGAGCCAAGAAACTTCTCTTTCTGGGAGCTCTCTTTAATCTACCCTTTCCAGTTTCTTTCATCTGTGCTTGGTTCACAGTGATCCTGATATGCACGCTCAGTCTCACTACCTACTTGTCAAAATTCTACCATTCCTTCAAGGATTAGAATTGAGTTTTCCATGAACCCTTCATTATTAATTTCCCCATGAAAGAAATAAGTTTTCATTTCTCTAAACTCCCACATTATTGTGTCTTCCCAATGCTAGATGTTAATCACATTTTTACTTTTCTATTTTCTCCTGTTAGAAGAAGCTTGTCCAACCTACAGCCTAACACAAACTCGTGAACTTTCTTAAAACATGAGGTTTTTTTGCAAAAGTTTTTCAGCTCATCAACTATCGTTAGTGTATTTTATGTGTGGCCCAAGATGATTCTTCTTCTTCCAGTGTAGCCCAGGGAAGCCAAAATATTGGACACCCCTGTGTTAGAATATATGCCCTCTGAGAGAAGGTTCTCTCTTCCATAAAGCCCTCTATGTCCTCTAATTGCTAACATGGAGATATGAGAATAGCAGGTACTAAATATATATATATATTATATATACATTTATATATTTATATATGTATATATACATTTATATATTTATATATACATTTATATATTTATATATGTATATATACATTTATATATTTATAAATGTATATATACATTTATATATTTATATAAATGTATATATACGTTTATATATTTATATATGTATATACATATTTATACATATATGTGTATATATACATATATATATATGATGATCCATCAATCAGAATTAGACTAGATAGATGAAAAGCTGACTAGCTAGATGCAAACAACATCCCATCTCCATTCCCAACATATTAAAACCCAAGGGGACAAACTGAAGCTATGCTACCAGTCTCCAGATATAAATATAAATAAAGATACTTTTCTAACCATAATCATTATCAATTTTTACTCATCTTAAGTGAATATAAAAGCAATTACTGACAAGGTATGCCAATTTGCATGTTTTTCATGGCTTGCTCCTCAGCATTTTACACACTGTATGAAAACTGGATTGTCCAGAGTTTCAATAACCTGCATAGATGCTAGGTCTTTTTGCACTTTACCAGTCCTGTAAACACCCCATACTTAAGTCTTCACATGGGAAATTTGAGATTAAAAACCTTCCATTTGGATGCCTTGCAATTCAGCTAAGTACCCCCCAAAAGAATGTTTAAATGAATGGAAGATTAAAGCAAAGCAGAACATTCTAAGGGGTATCCTGTAATGGGGCTTTGTCACCACCTTCTCTGTTTTTATTGAGCAAGTGGTCTTTTCCCAAGGAGCAGAAAGTTTATATGCCAACCATCAGTCCAGTTTAACTATTTGAAGTTTAAAATGTCAGAGAAAAAAGTTTGTAATGGAAATGCTGACAGGCCATGAAGTAAAAAGGCACCAGCAGGTGCTGCTGTAACCCAGGGTCATAATTCAATCAAGCTGGATTTTGACGTCATCCGTTACAGAAAAAAGCCAAATGGTTTATGAACAGCACCAGATCCCCCAAGATTAAATTACAGCCCTGATATTTAATCATGGGTCTTACTTTGTTATTTTTAATAACACAATACATTTTAACAGTTATTTGTCAACTGCCTTGGCCAAATTAGAACACGTGATGACAAGTGGGCTGGATTACAACGTCCATCTTTCACAATCTCAATTTTTAATAATTTTTTCAGAAATGGTAGATTATACACATTTTTCCCTTCTTAAGAAATATACAGTTGGTACCATCGAATTGAGTCCAAGCCTTAATTAAAAGCAGCATGAGGTCTTTGACCAGAGGGTCAGGACATGTGTATTTGTGTCCTATTACAGCCAATAACCAACTGCATGATTTGGGCAAAAGACTTTTAACCCTCCCGAACCTTGGCTCCTTACCTAAAAAATAGAGCATCTCTAAAGTCTCTTATAAATGTAAATTTCCATAAATTATTTACTTGAAAAACAATATTGTGTCATTACTTTGGGATTCCCTGAGGATTTGAATGCAAACTTTTTATAGCAGAAAAGTTGACGGATTTTGTATTTCAGCTAAAATTACTTGGATCAAAGAGACATTCTGGCACATGAGAATTTATAAACTAACATTTTTAGAGGCAATGTCAGCATCAGCAAGTGAAACAGGTTCTTTAAAAAGTAACGTACAAATACGGCTGCACAAATACTGCCGCACATGTGAAGGGGTGTTTGCAAAACAAATCAATAAAGGCACATCCAACAATGGATTGCAGTTAATAAACTACATATAGTAATTACCACCAATGCCAGTCCAGAAAGTCATTCATTAAATGTTAATTGTCACACAAAAGTACAAAAGCACCCATTTGAACAATCAATCGTGTGGCTGCACCTTTAAATAAAATACTTTCTTACAGCCCTGAAATTCACCCACATAAACTGATTTTAAACACACCTGGGTATTTGATATGCTGATTAACTGGGCCTTTATCTTTGAAATGAAAGTAAACATGACAACCTTTTCAACATTTTCACTATTCCTGCAAGTCTAATATAAATATATATATATATATTTACCTATATATAACTTATAACAAAGTGTTAATCTTCTCCAAAGATTAAATTATTATTTCTCTTATATCTCTCTCCTAAGTATTAAGAGAGATATGGGTCAAAAGTATCCACATAAAACCCATGTGCATACCTTATTCCTAGTCAATTGGCTCACGAATGTACAAAATGGGTAGCTCACATATAAGCTAATAAACCTGGTGGTCAGTTGTGAAAATTTTACCCAGAGTAATAAGAAACCAGTAACAAAAATAACCTTTTAAAAAATCTGTAATGTATTTTACATTTTCTAATACTTAGCACTATCTAATTAACTTGGAAGAACAAACACCTGGCCATAAAAAATAGCTCATAAAATACAAAAAAAAAAATAATAAAGAAAGGGCAGATTTTTCTGTTCCTACTTAGCTTCATTTTCATGCTATGTCTGTATAAAATCTGACTTATTCAACTTACATATAGATTCTAAAGGTTTGGCCAAGAACATTTTGGTTTAAGACTTGTAAACTGAAGAACATTTCAAAACACACCATGTTCCTTATTAGGCAACTTAAGATCTGTTATCTTGGCTTATGGGAACAGATCTAAATAGCATCATAATACTAAACGTTGAAAATCACAGGCCTGGGGCCACCAGGACTCAACTCTATGACTTGGACGAGGTTGCAAACTTCCAATATAAAATGTAGTTTACCATTAGGAGTAAATGTTTGATCTTTAAAGCTTACAAAATTACTTTGTTTATCATAGCAGATGAAAGCAAAAAGGAATAATTTTAAGCTCAAAACAAAACTGTTTATATGACAGTCTTTACTGCTCCATGATTCTAAGCATTTAAGACAGATTCGAGCAATTAACAGCATAAACTTTCATTACATAGTTCTATTATATATGTTTATGTGACTTGGCTGTTCATCTGTTATTTAAGTGATTTCCTCATTACAATAGTAGGGTAAGGATAATTTGCTGATGCTGTCAAAAATGTTAAGCATTTCAGTTTCAACAGTTCTTGGATCCCCACGCTTGTTTAATGCATTTTATTTACTTAAGTCAGTGTCAAATAGAGTACTGCTTCTGCCTTCTGAATTTAGAAAATGTAACATTTTAAGCACATGTCTGGTAACAGACATATCAAACCTTCAAAACTGCTTATTTTAGTGATGCAGATAGAATTGAGGGTATTGTTCTTGAATATTAAGTTTCAAAGATCTAACAACGAACTGCAAAACTTTTTTATATTTAAAGACAGGAGATCCTTATTTTTTTACATATTAATACATCAGGCTTGGTTACCTCAAATTCTGAATTGATTAGCTACATAAAAACATGTTTTCATTGGCATCCATGTAGACTATCAACTTACAACAGAATGAAAGCACAACTTTTAAAATATCTACTGTATTTTCTTAGTAAAACTAATAAAGATATGAGAAAGACATATTTAGTCACATTGATATCTGTCATAAATTGGAAGGGTAGTTTATTTGGATACAAAGGCGGGAAAAATAATGGATATGGTTGACATCATTACAACATTAGACACATTTTTAAAAATGCTATCTACCCTAAAGATCACAGATAGCATTTCGTGCGAAGCCTCAATATCACACTGTTTGCCTATATAATCTTGCAAAAATGAGCTGTCTGATGTGTGTGTGTGTGTGTGTGTGTGTGTGTGTGTGTGTATAGAACTCAGGACTTTGAGCTAGACAAACCTGAGGTTAAAACCTAATTTCATTATTGGCTGCCTTAAGATCCAGTTGTTTAACATCTGTCTCTGTTTCCTCAGCTATGAATACAGGATAGTAGTAATCCTTGCATCTCATTAGGTTCTTGTTAGGATTTAAAAAATACAACAGGTATAAGGTACACAGCACACCTCTCTAACACACTGAGAAGCACTGTGACATGCTCACCCACACTATTATTTTACCCAACATCATGCAAAACAGTCACAGGGAAGACCAGGCAAAAGAGAATGATCAATAATCCAAAATTCAGCTCCAAACCTAAAAAAGTTTTCAGAAGGCACATGCATATACAGAAGCATTTACATGCACAAATATCAGCACACTAATCCTCAAGCCCCATTACGCAGTACAAAGGACAGAAAGACAGCAGTGAGACCAAGGTTATTTCCAATAAAGGATTTGCAGGGCCATAGAGAATTAGCAAATAAAAACTTGTTTTTTAAAATAACAAATAAGAAAGCACAGTTTGGAACTCCTTATCTTGGGCCTCAGTTTTCTTTGCCTGTATAATGAAGGCACTGGGCAACATTTCTAATGGGTTTCTATACCCAAAATTCTGTGATTCTAACATAATGGGTTTAACGCCACTGTACTTCTTTTAACCTGTTAAATTACTCTGCCCTTTACAAAAAGCCACAGAACCCTTATGAATTATACCATTTACGATTTTAAGGGTGTTTTCACTCACTTATACACACACACACAATATTAAGCAGCTCTCCTCAACAAATATCTTTAAGGGGAAACCAATTTTTTTTTCATGCCATCACTATGAACTCAAAACTAATTCAGGATGTGACCACGTTAATTTTCTGTATCATACAAAACTACCCACCGGACTGATTTTTTTCCGCCTCAATGAATTCACTAAATTGGCATATTATGTTGGTGTCATGTGGATATAGGTTAGCTAACTTAGGTAAATTTCAGGCAATACTTTCCTCTTCCAAAAATGACCCACAACAGAGATGTGGTGTGTTTTAACGCTGCTCTTAATTGTTCAAACACTCGTTCATTTGACAATCTTTTAACAATACCTGAACACCTCAGTAAAACTAAACAGTCACAGGGGAAAAAGCTCAACTTTTAAACTAAGGGAGAAAGATGTAGTATCTGTCATAGACCAGCAGTAAATACATGTAACAGATGTGACCAGACCTGATCTAACAAGTTCTTTAGAATGTATCATTTTAGTGGCCCAACTTTAAAACGACTTTTTAAAAAGATGTCAAAGCTAGGATGTTTATCTTTTCCTCACAAGAGTCAAAAGTAACCAAATAAACTGTCCTTCTGCTATATCAGAAAATTAAGTCCATACTCATCAATAAATTATAGACTCTTTAGATGATTTTCTTTTTTTGGTAACTTAGGTATCCTACTTTTCAATGAGAATAATTTTCCAATCATCCAGGCATGTGGATGCTTTTAGTTTGTTTTAAGATCAATGATATAACGGATATTAAATCCCTTTGTTTAAGTTACCATATAGGTTATAACTATTTCTTAAAAATAATTCCAGAGCCCACCAATTTTCCCTGTTAAGGTCATCGAAGCTCTGAACCATCATGGCTGAATTGTTTTAGTGCTTTCTGCTGAACACCTGCAAACATCAAACAAAAACTGCTAGTCCTTTCCTGGGTTGACAAAAGCCTTTCATGTGAAAAATGCTCCCTGGGAATGTCAGGCTGTAGCTCAGGTTACATTCCATTCTCCCTAGCAGCCTCACCATTTCTTAAGGTGGTAGGAAAAACCATGTTTGTGAAATGAAAGATTAAAGGGAATATGGCCACACTTTATTTTTATTCTCACATTGCAAATCACTATGGAGCATCCTATATTAATGGAATCAAAAGCTATTGGGAACTTTAAGCATGAATTATTACCATGCCTCACTTTGAAAAACCATAGCTGATTTTTCAAATAGGAACAGTCTACTTATAGTTTAGATCTTTCCTAAATCCAAGTTTCAAAGCAATCCATGAAAGGGACATCTGAGTCCACTCAAGACAATGGATATTAACTTGAGGTAAATTTAGAAAATTATTTCTCTCTCCAAAGTTTCCTAGTTGATCCTTCCAATTAAAGGGCAAAATGCAGTATTCATGATTTTTAAAATGTATTACGCTTTTTAAAAGATTTAACTCTTTTAAGTGGAAATACAACCCGTTTTCTTAACTAACAGCCCTGTGTTCAAATACTATCTTGATAGAGGAAAACTGAACACTCCAATCTGTACCCTACATATTATAATCACCATCATACTACATGAAATGAATACCCTGCATTCTCATTCAGGCTGCCAGAATAAAAGGACCATTACACTTTTTACCCTTACAAGTAAACATTTGGTCCTGAAAACACCATTTCTGGTACAACGTAACTTAAAGTTCCACACCTTCAAAATAATCACTGTGTATGCATTAGAAGCAGTGTAACATGACTTATTAAGAGTGAAGTCTCTCTCCAGGTTTGCATGCATGAACATATGTGTGTATGTGTATGTGTGTATGTGTGTATGTGTGTGTGTTATTGTCTTCAGAACTGTGTAAGTGTTGATATATCATCACTTACCAAAATGCATTAATACATATTCAACTTATTAAGCCTGTACTCTCTATAAACATTTAAACATCACAGCAAGAACTTTATTTAAATGTGAACATAGAAAATGGATCAGACATACAGTTGTCTTTTTAAATGTAACACAATCTCATATTTCTAAACACCTTACTTTATTAAATATCTAATGTAATATACTTAAGTTATTCTAAATGCATATTTTCACAACATTGCAAACTAGTTTTTTAGCATTGACTTTAAAAGTAGTCTATCTCTGTGTCTGTCTGACATAAGCTACTTTTAGATTGAAACTGAATACACATTTTTAAGTTAAGTCATAAAAAAATTACTGTCAAAAACAGTTAGTTTTGATCTTGTCTAACATGAAAAATTAATTTGCCCACAAAAGATACTTGTCCTTACCTTTACATCAAACATGCATATTAATATTTTCCATCTTAAAAGTTGCATAGAGGATACCATACAGAAATTTAAAGATATAATACTAATATAAAAACTATCCCAAATCCCTAAGTGGAAAACATAACCAGGTCCAGGATAGTAAAACACAAACATATTGTCTGTCAATGGTCCTTTTAATCAATGTGCACCAGAAAACTAAAATAAAAATACAAGAAGCATCTCACATTTTTTAAAACAAGTTATCGAGACACAAATTCCCTAAACTTAGGCAGGCAATAGAAGGAGAAGGAACTTATTTGGAAATGAGCAACTTTTAAAGCCATTAGTTTTATAAAAATATACCAATTATACAAATCACATAAGTGAACAAACTTCTTTCATTGCTATAGCACCAAATGAATATTAAAAGATGTTAAATTATATTCATAGTTGACAGACAATTCCACTGGCATCTCACAGTTAAAAGATGTCAACATTTACCAGTCTGACTTAAGAATAGTACTTGGCCTAATGTACTGTTATATACCATTGCCAGAACTCCTAAAATACTGCAGCTGTTTAACAAGCATAAATGGACTTAAGCCACGGACTTAAAGGATAGCAGGCAACAATGTATAACTTTTTCTTATTTGAAATTCATTGGATTAAAAAAAATACATTTTAAATGAATATTTTCACTCTGCACTTTTAATAAGAGATATTCGAATAGCCCTGTAATAAACCCCTCCTTAGATTCCAGATAATCACTGTGCACACAGATTCCTTTGTGAATAGTGCTAGCATCTTTTTTAAGCATCACCCAAAGATCTTTCATTTATAAAACGTAAAAGTCCTTCCAGATTTGCAACTTTAAATACAGTAAAAATTCATTGCACAAGTAAATCGTTAGGGAAAAAAAAACAGCTAAAGCATCAAAAAGGGTATTTTAAATATAAATGAATTCATATTTAGCCTCTAAGATTAGCAAGAGGCTATTTACAGCTATGGTTTACTACATAGCATTCATTTGCAGAATTAAGTGTTCATTTCTTTAAAAGGGTTAATTGTATACAGTACCTAATAAATGATATTATTTACAAGGGATTTTCCCATTTTATGAATGTTAGAGATTTTTTCCCCTTATTTTCAAATAGAAAACATTAATTTATTCCCCATGTTAACACTGGTCTTATCTTCATGTGTTTGATTACAACTGTATTAGAAAATTGCTCTTAAATTAAGTGATGGAATTTTGAGAGAGTTTCCTTGACTTAAAAAAAAAGACCTAATTTTAATCGCACAAGATAACATTTTGTGTAAGTTATACCACTGATGGGTAATGCAATAACCGTATGATTACAGGCTAAAATTCAATGACTTTTTCAGAACTCTTCAACAGAGCCAAAAACATACAATTGAGTAAATAAACAGCCCAGAACATTTAACTTAACACTAAGAAAAGAATTTACATACTTGAGCCAGTAAAATGTCCACTTGCCAAAGAAGTTGGTCCATTTTTCCCACTGCTCACAGGAGGTGAAAACATCTAAAAGAAACAAAGAAATATTACAGTTGAAAAGAAGACACTTGTGCCTTCAGAGCTCCTCAAAGATCTTTCATACTGTTACCAAACAGCTTAGAGTTTATGCTAAGGGTTTATTTAGTAAAATACATCACCATCCAACTTAAAACTAAAAGAGAAACAACATTACAGATCCCACCCCAGCCCCCATTATCACTCTGTTCTTTCTTTTTCCTCAGGTTCATTAGATGGCCAAGCAGTACTACTGCTACATTTGGAACAAACACAGTCCCCATAATGTTATCAAGATTCAGGTTGGAGGCCAGCAGCCTCTCTAGAAAAACACTAGTTTCACCAAGGAGAAGAAAAAAGTTGTTTTGTTTTATATTGAAAACCTTGGCCATAAACGTGGCAATGTCCATTTCCATCTCGTATAGGATTTGCCTGTCATATGTGAACCCAAATAAAAATAAAAGTGCCACCTGCACTAAATTCTCATTTCGTCTCTAACAGGAGAGCAATTTGAAGCAAGACTCTCTCTCTCTCTCACTCTCACTCTCTCTTTCACTCCCTCTCTCTCCAGCATTTATTTCGACCCTAATTGGTTTCCCTCTTCTTCGACGTATCTAGTGGATAATGCACACCTTCCCTGAGTCAGAGCCTGCAAAAAGCAAAGGAACGAATGGAGAAAGTGCAACAAGCAGAAAGGGGGCTGCAAAGCTGCCTGCCTAGGGCTACGTTTCCTGGCAAAACTTCCGAAAGCCATTTCTCCAAAAGAAGGTCTAGAAGAGGAGGAGGAGGAGGAGAAGGAGGAGGAGGAGGAGGAGCAGCAGCAGCAGCAGCAGCAGCAGCAGCAGCAGCAGCAGCAGCAGCAGCAGCAGCAGCAGCAGCAGCAGCAGCATGAAAGAGCCCCACTTGGAAGGCGGTTTGGATTTTATTTGTGTGTTTTGTGGATTCTTTTTATTTTGCTTTACAAATGCATCTTACACCAAACTCATCTGGCATTAAAAATGAATTCATTCTCCTGACATGTCTGGGACTTGGTTTAGGAAAAGGAAGCAAAGGGATGGAGAAGGACCAAGTACAGCCGTAAAACTCCACAAGTGTGTCAAGTTCCGCTTTGTGCTGATCCTACGACTACGAAATTTACCAAAACAGTCCAAAAGGTTCTAAAGAATGTATGCTCAGCATATCCATACTAGTTTTAAGAATCCTAGGAAAAGATGTAACTAGGAGGTAAGATGTAAGGAACAGGTCCTACCAATCCAAAGCATCATTAGCTTAAAACTTTAAAGAGACAACTGGGTCTCCTATTTTCTATTTTCCATTTCCAAAAACAATAAATAAAACGAAGAGTAGTGTGCAAAGTATTAGTAGTCTCAGTGTTCAGACATGGCCAAGTTTTAGGGGTGGTTTAGTTTTAGGGGTGTCTATTTTTGCTTTCCACTGGGGTGAGATTCCATTATTTGGGGTAATCAGTGGGTAGGGAATTGAAGGCCAGTAATAAAACTCAAAAAAAAAAAAAAGCCTGAATCTTCCATCACACCACAAAATTATAGTTAAAAACTTGTCAAAAAGACCTTCATATTTACCAAGGATTCAGCCAATTAAAAATTATTACTGTCCTTTAGATTCCTACTGGTTTCTAGCTGAAGTGTTTGGGTTTTTGTTTTGTTTTTTTCACAGCTGTTGTTAGTTTCCACCGTTCTTTCTTACCGCACTGAAATCCAGTAAATCACTCAGCTCTTTGTCCGTCCCTAAGGCAGCCATTCGCTGTTGGTGATGCATTTTAGCAAAATCACACAAACCTAGAAACATGGAAATAACCGCAATCAGAAAATCCAGTCCCAATCCTTGGAGAAAACACAATCGGATTTTTGGAGACTGGGGGGTTGGGGGTGGGGACGTGGGGGCGGGTGGGATTAAGGTGGAAAGGAGGAAGGGATGGGAGACTTGTTGTTGGGTTGGGTTTGGTTTTGTTTTTTTAAGATGGAATAGGCAGCAATAGCAAAAAAAAAAAAAAAAAAAAAAAAAAAAAAAAAAAAAGCGATATTGTATTTCCAAAGAGACGATCAAACTGGTAACATCCACTATAAAACCAAATCAGGGAAAGAAAAAAAAAAAGCCGCTCTTCAGCGCATCATTTTATGCAACAGGAGGTAGAGCGAGAAATGAATGGATCACAGAGAAAAGAGAAACTACTGAGAACGATCCGATCTCAACTTTCCCCCCACCCTGCACCCCACCCCCCTCGCACACTCACACTCGCACACGCACACACACTCGCACACACCACTCCCCTCCGCTTTTCAAAGTAGCTATCAAGAAATTAAAGATGAGCGTCTCTGGAGTGAAAACACGTCCAAAGGGGGAGGGGTGGGGTGACAGGGTTGGGGGGAGCGGAGTGGAGGGTCGGGTCCTCTAATTGTCCAGCACCCTAATTTGTGAAAGAAAGGGGTTATAAAAATTAAAGTCAGGCCCCTGGCAAAGTCCTCGGTCCCTCCGAGGGGGCATCAAGGGGAGGGGCGGGGGGGCTGGCGGCGAGGGGGAGGGAAGCGGCGGGAGGGGAAGGGGTGTCTCTTCTGGGAGCGCCGGGCGCCGGGAGCCCGCGGCGCGGGAGGCGCGGAGCCGCGTGCGGGGCCGCCGAGCCCGAACCCCGCGCCGCCGGGCGCCTCCGCCCCGCCGAGCCCCGCAGGCGCCGGTACCTACCGCCCGCGCGCGAGAAGGGGCTCTCCGTGCACCGCCGGCGCCGAGGCGGCGTTCATGTCTAACCGCCGCCGCCACCGCCGCCGCCTGCTCCTGCGCCCGCTCCCGCGCCTGCTGCCTCCCCGCCGCCGCCGCCGCCGCCGCCACTACAGATCCGCAGACACACAGCCAAGATCCCTGACTCTTAACACCAACTCTCTTCTCCGGGGAGGGGAGGGGACGGAGGGAAGGGGGGAGGGGGAAACACGCCGAGGCGCACGGAATTGCAAGTTCAGCAAAGAAATGGGTGGGGGGGCTCCGGCGGGGAGACGCGACTTGCTCCGGGTCGGGCAGGCTAGGATGCATCCCCCTCGCACCCACCCCGAGGGGAAAAAAAAAAAATCTCAACACCTCCCCCGCCTCGCCAAAAAATACAAACGAAAATTCATCGAGCACCTCATTTTTCCTCAGATCGTCAGTTACAATCTGAAGCCTGAACAGTTCAGTTTTTGCCCGTTGCATCCCTCGGAGGCACTTTGAAATTTATTCGAGTTTACATCCCCTCACTTCTTTCTTTCTCTTACTCTCGTTCCCTCTCACTCACACATCCACACACGGCAAAGCAAGTTTATACTAGGCTGCAAATACACGTGATGCAAAAAGACTTTGCCAAGAGGAACAATATTTTTCTTTTTCGTCTATAAATCAAGCCACATTTTCCTGGGGAGATTTTCGTTTCGGTAGTTTTGCGTTGGGGGCGAAATCTGAATTGCATACTTTCTTTCCCCTCCCTTTTAAGTCACAGAATAGTATAACTGCAAACTTCGAAAAAAAAAAAGGGCAATTTTTGGGGGTGGATGTTGTTTTGTTTTTGCACTTGAGTTCCTAGGCACGCTAAGTCCCTGTTCGCCAGCACTGTAAGTTTTTAATTCAACATTTACCATTATAGGCCCTGCATGCTCTTAAAACATACTTTTTCACATCACTTTTTAGGATAAAATTTAAGCTTCATAATTCTATCGTTTCGTAATAACAAGCGTGCTTTATCCGGTATATGCAACATAAGCTATTTTAACGTGTGTTTGAAAAAAAAAACACACATTCTACAAATCCTGGTATTGCTAGATGTGCGAGTACATACACAAAATGCATGCACACACTTTTTCCCATTGGCAATTATTTAATAGGTTGTCCCTTTTGTTTTAATAAAACATCGGGATCGACATTTTAAAAATTAAATTCAATTACAAACAGTTTACTCTGACGGCAAATTGAAACGTTACCTTAAATGGCCACAAATATTCTCACAATATTCCAAGGAAAGAGACTTTAAAAAGAGAGACAAAAATCTTCTGCAAGTACTTAGTATCTCACATGTGTATCCCCAAAAAGTATTTTAACTGGTACTCAGTCCTGCTCCAGGGATATCCACAGATTACAAGATTATGCACCTGGCTCTGGTTTTTGCATTTTCCACCATAAAACTGCAACAAAATTCCCTCCCCCAAAAAAGAAATCATTAAAAAAAAATCCAACAACTTTTTCTTATTGTTTATAAAAAAAAAAATGAACACAGGATAGTTATAATTTTTCCTCAAACAATTCTTGTTGGTGATTTTTTTTCTTCTCTCATAAAGTCTTAAACTTGTTCCAAGTTTAGAGGTGTCTCATCATCATCATCCTCCTCCTCATCATCATCACCATGGACTCCCCCGTGGAGTCACATTGATAATAATAGGTTTCCCTGAAAGATACATTGTAATCCATTCACATCCGGGAACTGCGGGCTTATAAAGAGAAGGAGCTGCGGCCGCGGCTGCTCCTCCAGACAATGACTGGGAAGGGGCGGGGCGGGAGCAGGCGACCATAGAGTGGTAAACAGAGCGCCTAGAGAGGCGGCCAAGATGGCGGTGCTGGTCGACCACGCCTCCTCCGGGAGCGGAGGCGGGTGGCTGTTCTCGGGTAGGCGTCGCGCGTGGGGCGGCACTGTGGGAGTTCCCGAGGCCGAGGTCGTTCGCAGGCCCCATTTCCCTGCGCTCTTATTCGTGTTGCCGCTTCTTGGCCGTCCTTGCTCTTTGACACAAAAGTGTAGTTTCGGCACAAATTTACAAATTAAACTCCACAGACTTCCGCAGGGAAGTGAGATACCCCCAGGTCTCCCTGAGGAAGGCTCGGGAAAGACTGGGCCGGCCTCACTCACAGTAAGCCTGACCCTGGGTTCTCCCACTGTGTGGAGCCAGATTTCTCAGCGAGCCTTGGGCGGCATGGGAAAAGGCCTCTGGGCCAAGTTGGTCCTAGGCTGGAAGAGGGATGTGGGTCCTCTCCTCCAACTCCCCCACCCTATCTTCTTATAGAGCGCTGGAAGTGTGTGAACTTTCCAAGTCCAAAAAGTCTTCACTTGGCGAAGACCTTCATCTATTGCTTTGTAGACTCAAATGTAGTTTGTGCCATAAGCCACGACTGACTCAACCCATTTCTGGCCAAGCAGTTACCTTCTGTAGCCTGTTTTCTGGTCTGTGTAAAGCAAATAACGCCCACTTTACGAATTTTATAGTGGATACAGATAAAGATGAAGCCACCACGAAAGAAATAATTCCTTTTCATCTCTTAATTCCTTGCTAAATCAACTGATACCGCTAACCTAGCCAATGGAATTTTAAATGGAAATTTCCCTACTCCAAAACAATAGCTTTTAGTCTTTGCAACAGAAAAGCAAGTAATAATAATGACAGATAACACATGTGTTTACTATATGCTAAACAGTGTTCCTATAACTTCACAAATACTGGCTACTTTAAGCCTAAGAATAACCCTATGGAGTATGTATTACTACTGTAATTTGTATATTGGGCAACAGAAGCAAGTAAAATTGAGTAGCTTGACCCAAGGAAGAAGTTTTGTAAGTGGTACAAACTTAACTAAGTCACACAACTATATTGAGTGACAGAGCCCACCTTTGAAACCAGACAGTCTGTGATAACAGTCCACATTCAACCATATTCCTATATACCATCTGGCAGTGGGAACATCCTAATCTCCATTTGCTGATAAAAGTTTGTGGCAGTAACAGAGTTCAGATCAATTTCGGCGATCTTTTACTTACATGTAAGTTTTTACAGAACAAGAATTAAGGCATTTATTGGTTGTTTCCTGTACATTCACACATGGTGAAGATTCCTGTCTTCCATCCCCATTCGGTGTTCTCATCTCAAAATAATATCTTACATTTAGACATTACTTTTTGCTGCATTATCACAAGCATCATCCCCAATTCTCAGAGTTAACCCCTACAGGTTCTGCTTAGATGATGTAATGAAAAGATCACAAACGTTGGGTTAGGAGAAATTCCACTGGCTCTACCTCTAGTCATTCTTTGAACTAAGGCCCAATGTCAATGTCTTTTGCTGTAAAATCCAGAGGTTAGATTAGATAATCCAATAAAACCCCTTCTAGCTTTTAGGTTTTTAAGACTCCTCATTCCGCTGAATTTCTTTTTTTGTTTGTTTGTTTTGTTTTGTTTTGAGATGGAGTTTCACTCTTGTTGCCCAGGCTGGAGTGCAATGGCACGATCTTGGCTCACTGCAACCTCCACCTCCCAGGTTCAAGCGATTCTCCTGCCTCAGCCTCCCAAGTAGCTGGGATTACAGGCATGCGTCACCCCACTCGGCTAATTTTGTATTTTTAGTAGAGATGGGATTTCTCCATGTTCATCAGGGTGGTCTCAAACCCCTGACCTCAGGTGGTCTGCCCACCTCGGCCTCCCAAAGTACTGGAATTACAGGTGTGAGCCACTGCACCCAGCCCCCTTCTGCTGAATTTCAAGGGCAATAAATAATCTATCCAGAAACCAATGATAGGATGAAGTTTGGGATCTAAAGGTATCCAATTGCTAGTCTCGTTGCTTCTTCGTTTTTTGACCCTACAATCAGAAAACCAGGGAACAACCCTTCGTATTTTAAATTTCAGGGACAAATGTGGGTGTTTTGTCTTCTTTTTGTTTTTGTTTTTCCTTAATTATCAGAGAATAAATACTTATTCTGTCACAGAATTGTCACAGAATGTTATACTTAGAAGATTGGAGGCACCTAAGAAAAGGAGAACCAAGAGGGTCCTGTGAAACTTAAATAAAAAAGGAGGGGTAGTAGGCATGTTTTGGGATGCCTCTTCAATTTGCAGACTCCCTTGCCTAGGAACCTGTTCATAAATCCTCATATAGAAGTATGTCTTAGTCAATTCAGGCTGGCCAAAATACCACAGACTGGGTGACTTCAACAGCAGACATTTGTTTTTCACACCCCTGGAGGCTACAAAGTCTGACATCAGGGTGCCGTCATGGTCAAGTTCTGGAGAGGGCTCTCTTCCTGGCTTGCAAATGATTACCTTCTCACTGAATTCTCACATAGTGGAGAAAGAGAGAGCTTTGGTCTTTCTTCCTCTTCTTATGAGAACACTAATGCCATCATGGAGGCTCCCCCTTCATGATCTCAGCTAACCCTAGTTATCTCCCAAAGACCCCACCTCCTAATACTAGCACATTGGGAATTAGGGTTTCAACTGAATTTTGGAGGAGACACAAACATTCAGTTCATAGCAAGGTAGAACTTGATGGGGGTGCCACATGACTCCTTCTTGCCCCAGCCCCACCAGCCCCAGCAGATTGGACCCCAGGAGCGAAGAGGAAGAGATTGACCGTAGCCTATGGTGAGTGATGGATCACGCCCATCTTGTAGTCAGTGGGCCAGACCTGGTCCCAGCAAGCTAAGCCATGTGAGAGCCATGGTTATAGGGAAACAAGAACCATGAGTAAGCAGAGGAAACTGCTCTTCAGATAAGAGAGAACGGTCTTGGGAGTTCCAAGAAAAGCAGACAAACAATTAAGTCCTAGAGATTCTTTCCCAATTACTATGAGGAGTCCAGTATTCCCTGTCCATGAGATTGCTAATTCCTGCAATGTTCCCCTTCCCCAGGTGAGCTAACCTAAGTACTTTTCTGATCCTTACTACTAAAGAACTTAATACAAAAAAGATTATTTACATTTCAACATTGTCAACACTGTCATTAACATTTTTTTCTAAAGTAGTGACCGCTATTCTAGGGGGTAAACTAAAAAAATTTGCTTCACTCACACATGATAGAGATCCTATCTGATTCATTGTGCCACCTATACTCAGAACAGCACAGACAAGTGTCATTCATTCCCTTTTCTGTCTCTTTGTGACCTTGGGCAAGTTTCACATTATGTCAGATGTAAAAAAAAAAAATTATAACTATCTTAAATACCTTACATGACTGGTTAAAATCAAATGAGATAATGTAAATGAAGGTGCTTTGTAAATGACAAATTTCTATCAAATATAAGGCATCATTATTGCATGAGCTGAATTAATGCCTAAAGATAATGCTTCTTTCACAGTAGTATGGAAGGAGTGGCAAATATTGATACCCCATATTTGCCACTGGATTCATAGACAAAAAACATTATATGTTGAAGGGTACTTGGTCTAAAGCCCTCATTTGTAGTTGAGAATGTCAGGGCTCAAGTGGGATGACTGGGCCAAGGTCATGTCGTTAAGGAGCGGCATAGCCAGGCAGCCCTCTGGTAATCCAGAATGCCCTACCATTCTCCTTCAAATTCCATCCAGTTTGTTCTCCCCGAGTCCCACCTGTGTTAAAATAAACAAGCAAATAGCGCCACAAACAACAACAAAAATTTCCTCTCTGATGCTCTAATGAAATTCATCCAAAGATGCAGCAAGTAATTTTTGAGCATCTACCTTGTGTCAGCAGCCATTCTCTCAGGACCTGAGGCAAAAATGTAGGAAAAAAAAAATCAGAATGAAATAAATGTCAAGGGCAGTCTTGATTGAATGGCTAACTCACAGTAAGCAAGATATAGCCTGTGGCAAATGTGTAGAAAGGGAAGACTATCCCAGCATATTTTTAGGTTGATAAGTCAAATGGGTATAACTAACCAGCTAGGACCTCAATCTGGAGCCCTACTCACACTGTAAGTCTGAGTCAGAAAGGCAGCTGGCAACAGGGATGGGGAGAGCTTCAGCCAGTTTGTGTGAAAGAAGTCCAGAGATTTATGACACACACAGTCCTCTACACACCCCAGGGCCTTTGCATATGCTGGTCTCTTAATTCTTTCCGTCACTGTTCACAAGGCTAACTCCCTGTCATCCATCCTTCTGGTCTCAGCTTAAACATCACCTCCTCCTACAGACCTTCCTAACTATTCTGTCTAAAGTAAGTACTCAATCGTATTATTCTCTGCCATAACATTAGCTTAGGGCCACTGTGCCCAAATGGGATCCTCATGTTGATGCATTTCCTTTTACATTGACCAGCTCCCTCATCAGACTGTAGACTCCATGATGCCAGAGTACATGAATCTTGTCCACTCCATGTCTCTACACCCATGCAGTGCCTGGCACATATAAAGTATTCAATAACTATATGTTAAATAAATGAATGAAGAATCTGTCTGTACCCTCAAGATGCACACTTTACCCTAAAAAGTGCAGCTTTCATATTTTTTCCAGTTTTTCTTGGGGTTTCATTTTAGCTTGATTTCATTGTTAGTAAATGTTGCTGGTGAGTTTGATTTCCAGCAGGCTACTGACTCCTGTCGCTTAAGCTCTAGACCCTAAAGATGTAAGTACAATAATTGCCTTACTTTACCAAGCCATGGGGACAGTGTCTTCATTATTTTTAATACAATACAAGGTGCTGTCATCGTACTGCTTCACTATTATAACATTTTAACATTTTACAGAGGAGGAGACTGACGCAGCCGCATATGGCAGAGCTGAGATTTAAACATAGGTAGACCATGCTTCTCCTTACAGCTCAGTGACATGTGCCATGGCTTTAGGTCATGGACAACTGCAGGGAAGATCTGCATGCGCTGAACTTTAAACTTGCAGCATACACAAGGGAAGGCAGGACCACCCAGGTACAGACAAAATACTCTCTAGCTGACAACCTCATTTCTTCTCTGGATCTCCATTCCTGCCCTAGTCTCCCACTCTGCAAGTCCTCCAAAAAATGACAAAACCCTTAAAATAGAACACTCAGACTGCAACAGAGAAAACAGTTTTATGATTAGAAGGAGCCTTCTCTGAGGCTGCCACTAAATCTTTTGAGTCTTATTTAAATTAATGTAACTTCATGGACACTAAGAATGAAAGATTGTCAAAGATGCGTTTTTCCCTTTTCCTTTCCCAAACCCTCAAAACACCTAAAAGTAGGAAAAATCAAAATTCTGCCTTGGCAGGATTACGATTCAATTCACTGTCTTTCCTCAACACCTTGTACCATTATTTCTGCATGGGTCCCACTGTGCACAATTATTGGTTTATTATGTTCTCTGTTTTCAGTGCATGTTCCCCCTTTAAAGGTGAGGAGCAGGTCTTTGTATCCTTAAGACCCAACACACTGCGTAGTGCATAAGTATTCCTCCAGGAATGACCCAGAAAATTAAGCAATTTTAGAAATCAAGTCATACATAACAGATTGATGTTTAAGATAATAAACCTTCCTTACTAGACCTAGACATATACAGAGTAGAATTTAGATTTTGCCTGCTTTTAGATGGTTTGGGAGTTTAGGAAAAGGAAAAGGAAAAAAATAAAATTTCAACAATCTTTCATTCTGAGTGTCCATGGAATTTTGGTAATTTAAAGAAGACTGAAAAAGATTTAGTACTAGCCTTCTAGAAGTTTCCTCCTAATCATAAAACTGTTTTTTCTATTGCAGCCTGACTATTCTATTTTAAGGGTTTTGTCATTTTTTTTGGAGGACTTGCAGATTTCTAGGGCCAGAATAGAGATCCAGAGAAGAAATGAAGTTGTAGGCTGGAGAGCATTTTGTCTGTACGTCGGTGGTCTCGTTTTCCCTTGCATGTGCTGAAAGTTTAAAAATCAGCATATGCAGGCCAGGTACAGTGGCTCGCCTCTGTAATCCCAGCACTTTGAGAGACCGAGGTGGGTGGATCACTTGAGGTCAGGAGTTCGTGACCAGCCTGGCCAACGTGGTGAAACCCCGTCTCTACTAAAAATACAAAAATTAGCCTCGAGTGATGACTCACGCCTATCCCGGGTACTCAGGAGGCTGAGGCAGGAGGATAGCTTGAACCTGGGAGGTGGAGGTTGCAGTGAGCTGAGATGGTGCCACTGCACTCCGGTCTGGATGACAGAATGAGACTCCATCTGGAAAAAAATCAGCACATGGAAATCTTCATTGCATTGGCTGTCACTTAAAGCTATGGCACATGTCACTGAGCTGTAAGCAGAAGCTTGGTCTACTTTTGTTTAAATCTCAGCTCTGCCATATGCAGCTGTGTAACCTTGGATCTGTACCTCTAAGCCTCTCTTTTCTCATCTATTAAAAGGGTATAATGCTCTGTCATAAAATTATTATATCAAATTAAATATAAAATACTGGCAAAAGCACTTAGCTCATTCAACAGTTGTAACCTAGTAATTAGGATACATATGCTTTAATGCCACATTTTTCATATGTCGACTAAAGTGTTAAAACTCAGGAAGTTTGGATCCATTAGCTTTTTTTCACAATGTGTGGAACCTTTAGAATCGTGCATGTGACAACAGTGATCAGATGTGCCTGAGAAGAACACGTTTCTTTAATGGTCATGAAATTGATTTAGATCAACTTTTTGTTTTTGTTTGTTTGAAGTGAAATGGCATAACGGAAAATACTAACTTGCATCATAACAAGAGTATTGCTGATTTACAAAAGTCTTGTTTCAGCTGTATAATATACAGTATAGTACATGCATACTAGGTTATCATAAAAAAAAAAGTTTATAGCCACTGCTCAAGTAGATGGGTGATATGGTTTGTCTCTGTGTCCCCACCCAAATCTCATGTCAAATTGTAATCCTCAGTGTTGGAGGAGGGGCCTGATGGGAGGTGATTGAATCATGGGGGCGGACTCCCCTTGCTGTTCTCATAATAGTGAGTGACTTCTCATGAGATCTGGCTGTTTAAACGTATGTAACCCTTCCCCTTCGCTCTCTCTCTCCTGCTGTGCCATGTGAAGATGTGCCTGCTTCCCCTTTGTCTGCTGTGACTATAGGTTTCCTGAGGCCTCCCCAGCCATGCATCCTGTACAGCCTGTGGAACTGTGAGTCAATTAAACTTCTTTTCTTCATAAATTACCCAGTCTTAGGTAGTTTCTTATAGCAATGTGAGAACAGTCTAATGCAATGGCCCTCATTGCTTTGCTAGCAAGGGTATTCATGAAGTCTATTATGGGATTATAATGGAGAGGAGAAAAGAAAGCTAATCATCTTTGCATTCTATTTCTTCTCAAACTGCATGATATTTCAAACCCGAGAGCTGCTTTCCCCCTTCCCTCTCCCCCAAAGAAAAGGAGATGGTTAAAAAGGCTGAGGTGGGCGGATCACCTGAGGTCAGAAGTTCAAGACCAGCCTGGCCAACATGGTGAAAGCCTGTCTTTACTAAAAAAATACACAAATTAGCTGGGTGTGGTGGTGTGTGCCTGTATCCCCAGCTACTCAGGAGGCCAAGGCACGAGAATCACTTGAACCTGGGAAGCGGAGGTTGCAGTGAGCCAAGATTGCAGCACTGCACTCCAGCCTGGGTGACAAAGCAAGACTCTGTCTCAAAAAAAAAAAGGTAAAAGTTTAAAAAGAGTAAATAATATAGAAGGAATGAAAGAAATTTTGGAAAACAGATAATCTTTTGCCTATTCCAAAGTGCAGTAAAATAATTGCACTTAATATATCTAATCTGGATTTTAAAATCCTCCAAAAGCTGCCCTCCAACCCCCTCCCCACCTAACTTTTCCAACTTTATTTCCATATCCTCTCCTAAAGGAAGTCTTTGCTCTAGTCAGTTAAGCATAGGACACATGACATTGAGGACACAAGACATTGAGCAGTTTGTCTATGAAAAGCACTATGCAAGGGGCAATGAAGAATTCATTCAAGATGAAAAACTGGGGCCCTTAACTTCCCAGCCTTTACATGCTAATGGGTAGGCTAGACAAGAATAAATCACCCAAACCCCTGACAAACTATATAGAGAGTTATCAAGTGGTAAAATCATGCCGTAAAACTATAATGCAAGGAGTCATTGCTATCAGCTGGAGAGATCTTAGAAGGCTTCTTAGAAGAGATGAGACTAGAGTTGAATCTGGAAAGAAAAGTGGTATTCCCATGAAGCAGATAGAGAGAAAAGAATGTCCTGGGCTGAAGCATTAACTCTGGCAAAGATGAGAAGGCTAGAGAGTAAGGATCTTGTTAGGGTTTGTGAGAAGAACCAAAAGACTAAACTGTTAAAACCCAGCAAATTTGGATCCATTGGCCTTTTTTCTATTTTGTATTTTTTATTTTTTTATTATACTTTAAGTTCTGGGATACATGCACAGAACGCGCAGGTTTGTTACATAGGTATACATGTGCCATTGGCCTTTTTTCACAATGCATGGAACCATTAGGATGATCACATGGTGGCAGTGATAAGATGTGCCTGAGAAGAACATTCTGGAGGCAACATGGAGGATGAATTAAGGTAAAAAGAAACTGAAGGCAGAGACCAGTTAGAAAGCTACTGCAGTTCACTTAACTACTGCTTATGAGATTCTGAAATAGGGCTGTGGCTATGGCCATGAAAACGAGCATTCAAGAAATGCTGTGTATAGATTAGCAGAAAAGCCATCAGGGTTGCGAAGCAATAGAAAAATCAATTCAAACTGGCTTAAATGATAAAGGGCTTGCAAATCCAAAAAGGTTTAGAGCCATCAAATACAGCTCCAGCTTCATTTCTCTACTTTTCTCTCAACTCAGCCCAATTTTATGTCAGGCTAACTCCCTCATGATACCAAGATGGCTACCAGTAAAAATGGAAGCAATCACTCTTTTGTTTGCCTCTAGACGGAGATAGCTGTTGGTGCCCCCTGAACCTTGAAACTAAAGCCTCAGCTGAGGTGAGACTGGACCATTTTAGGAATATACTTGCCTTTGACTCAAATTATGTCATGACTGGTTTACATTCATCCCTAAGTAATTATGTTGCTGAGACTCAAATCTATCAAAGCCTACCCTTGGAGCTGAGTGAAGATTATCCTACATAATACCCAAGGCTTCTCAACTGGTGGGGAGGGAAGATGAGTGTTGAAGAGAAAGCTCAAGATTTTCCAAGCTTTCTTGGCATCTGTGCTACAATGCATTTGTTCTCAGATATTTCCTTCCATGATCCAACTTCCCTCTTGCAGTTTCCCTGTGCAGGTTCCAGCCTTCCATCAAATCCACCTCAATTCTTCCCTCCCCTCTGAAGTCTGCTCTGACTTCTTGACCTTCACCCATCACTCAGTGCTCTGAACTCATTTACTTATTATACTTAACACAAAAACTTGAGAAAAAAAGAAAGCTGCAGACTGGGTGCAATGGCTCATGCCTGTAATCCCAGCACTTTGGGAGGCCGAGGCGGGCAGATCACTTGAGGCCAGGAGTTCAAGACCAGCCTGGCCAACATGGTGAAACCCCGTCTCTACTAAAAATACAAAAATTAGCTGGGTGTGGTGGTGGGCACCTGTAGCCCCAGCTACAAGGGAGTCTAAGGCAGGAGAATCACTTGAACCCAGGAGGCAGGGATTGCGGTGAGCCGAGATCGTGCCACTGCACTCCAGCCTGGGTGACAGAGTGAGAGTCTTATCGCAAAACAAAAAACTGTGGTACAATATATGTATGATAAAAAGTGAAAAACTGTACAGCTCGATAAATTTTTACTTATATATACATCAGTGTAACCACTACCCAGATCAAGATATGAAACATTTCCAACAACCCAGAAGGCTTCCTCCTTCTGCTTCATAGTGAATACCCATCCCATTGAACTTCTGTTGCCACTGATTAGTTTTGCCTGTTCTTGAACTTGGAACATCATCCAGTGGAATATATCATCCAGTGTATATTCAACTCCATGTGGCTTCTGTCACTCATTGTATCTGTGAGATTTGTCCATGTGGTTGCCTGTAGGAGAAGGCTGTTTTTTTTTATTGCTGTGTAATACTCCATTGTAGATATACAACAATTTGTCTACTCAATTTTCCCCAAAATTTAGGTTTTCCAGGTTTTGGTTACTATGAGTAGAGCTGCCTTGAACATTCTATATACATATTTTTGTGGATACAGCACTTGTTTCTTTTGAATATGTACCTAGGATACACCTATTACATGCCTAGAATTGCTAGGTCACAGATAGGCACATTTTAGTTTTAGTAGACACCAGCAAACTGTTTTCCAAAGTGGCTTTACCAATTTGCAATCATACCAGCAATGTATGAGATGAACATATTGCTTCTAATATAAATTATTATGATGTATAGATTTATATATTGCTGCTGCCTCCTCAATTAGACTCTAAACCTCTAAAGGGCCAGTACTGTCCTAGAGTGCTTCATTGTTCCAATGTCTAATATTGTGTTCTACACAGGGACAGTGGAACCGTACACATGGACTCCAATATTATCCACTTTGTCCATTCTCACGGGTGTGAACTCTGGGCAAAGGAAGGTTGTTCAAATGTGCTTTCCACCTCAGCTACACCTGGACCAGAAGTGGTCACCCTCATGTACTCCTAGGCCACAGTATACAGGCTTTGCCACCCAGATAGGTTCTTCTACCCTCTGGTGGCATTCCTCTTTGGGACCATTGGAGTGCAGTTGACTGTCCTTATTTGGGGGTTCCAACATCTGTGGATTCAACCAGCCACAGATCAAAAATACTGTATTCAAAAAAATTCTGTATTGAACATATAAGACTATTTTTTGGCCATTATTTCCTACGCAATAGAGTGTAACAAGTATTTACAAAGAATTTACATTGCATTAGGTATTACTAGTAATCTGGAGATGATTTAAAGTATATGGGGGGATGGCACTGGTTATATGCAGATACTGTGCCATTTTATATCAGGGACTTGAGCACCTGTGGAGTCTGATATCCGCAGGAAGGCCCAGAACAATCACCCTCAGATACAGAGAAATGCCTGTATATTCTTTCCAATAGACCTCAGACATGACCATGTTAATACAGTAGACAGGTTCTAACCACGTTACACACTCAAAAGAAATAAGTGCTGTATCCACAAAAATACATATATAGAATGTTCAAAGCAGCTGTGCTCATAATAGCCAAAACTGGGAAAACCTAAATTTGAGGGACAATTGAGTAGATAAATCATATAATCTACAGTGGAGTATTGTATAGTAACCAACAAGATGCCTGTCCTTCCAGAGGGCTCCTTGAACCCCTGCACCATCTGCCCACCTCTTCCCAAGTGACCAGATTCACATTCCAAAGGATCTTGGGAGAGGTGGCCTTTGAAGGAACTTAAAAGGTCTTTCTGTGCCCTTTCCCTGAGGCCCAACTGGACTTCTGATTTTACATTCCATAACTGAGAAAAAAAAAAAAAAAGGAAAGGAAAGTCTGATTCAAGCTGGGTGCGGTGGCTCACGCCTGTAATCCCAGCACTTTGGGAGGCCAAGGCGGGCAGATCACTTGAGGTCAGGAGTTTAAGACCAGCCTGACCAACATGGTGAAACCCTGTCTCTACTGAAAATACAAAAATTAGCTGGGTGCGGTGGTGGGCACCTGTAATCCCAACTACTTGGGAGGCTGAGGCAGGAGAATCACTTAAACCCGGCAGGCAGAGGTTGCAGTGAGCCGAGATCATGCCACTGCACTCCAGTCTGGGCCATCAGAGTGAGACTCTGTCTTAAAAAAGAAAAAAAGAAGGTCGGCTTCAAGGTGACAAGTATTCACCTACTCCCAAACCGGAAAGTGATTGTAAACTTCTCTCATGGAATAAAAAGGCTTCAAGTTCTTCCTCACTGTGCAACTTATAAGTCACCTGTCTAGTCATTAGGGATTTTTAAAATATAAATGCGCCAGTGTGATAATTATGGCTCTGTGATTTTCTTTCGTTTCTTTTTCTTTTTCTCACTTAACGGGATGTCATGCCATGTTTTCACATCACTATACATAGGTTTGCCGGATTCACGTTAATGCCTACAAAATATAGAAAATATATAGCACTATCACACTTACTATGTGGCAGGCACATTTTAAGATACATTTAGTTCTCAGCACCACCCTATATGGTAGGTATTATATACACTCCCATTTTATAGTTGAGGAAACTGAGGCAGAGAGAAATTAAGTAACTTGCTCAATTAAGTAACTTGCTCAAGATCATAACATTAGTAAGCTTTCAGGGTCAGGGTCAGAACCCCGGCTGTCTGGCTCTGGTATCCACGCCCTCAACTCTCCTGCCCTTGGCTAGGAGATGCCTATACCACAGCTTTTTTAGCCATTCCTTTACTAATCTTGTTCCAATTTTTAATCTTTGTTGGCATCCGCCACTGACTAGCACATTCTTGGATGCCTCTCCTGCCTCACAGTGATGTGTATTTAGGGAATTAAAAATAACTGCTATAGTAGCTTACCTCAAAATTAAAGTGATTATTAGATAGATGACTCTCCTTTTAAAAAGTGTTTCATATTCCAAATCTCAATAAAAATGACTTTTCGATTATCAGCAGCATTGGCAAGTTCACATTACATCCACGGGCCATTACCATCAATAATTGAGAACACACACACATGCTAATCAATCATTTACTCCTGCTTCCCATCTCTCTTACATGGTTTTAGATGTTGTCTATCTTAGTCTTAGAATTGAGAAACACAGGAAAATTTATCACCCTTTGTAGTCCAAAAAATTGTAATTGCAGACACAACAGAGTTTGATAAAGTTGCAAAGAGGTGGAAATTATGCTGAAAGATTTTCCAGAATCACTAGGTATGATTTTATATTATAGCAACATTTCATTGTCTACTAAAGGCAAAATTTCCGCCCCTTCCCCAGAGCTCAGGAAAAAGGGAAACCAAAATGAACATAATGTAAAATGTAATAGGTGATGCTTCCCCATTCAATTCAAGATGAAAGCTTTACAGTTGGGGGACATAGAAAGATACTAGATTTAGAGTAATATACCTGGGTTCAGATTTTACCAGCTTTGTGACCCTAGAGCAGCTTTTCTTAACCTTGGCACTATTGATATTTCAGGCTGGAAAATTCTTTGACGTGGAAGTATATCCTGGCCATTACATACAGTATGTTTAACAGCATACCTGGCTTCTACCCACCAAATGCCCGTAGTCACCCTCTGTGCCCCTCAAGTTGAGGCAACCAAAAATGCTCCCAGATATTGCCAAACGTCCCTCAGTAATTAGTCACCCTGGCTGAGATCTAGGCAAAGCTCTGAACTTCTCAGAGGTACAGTTTATCCATAACGATGAAGATTATTTTATTTGCTTCATAGAGTTATTATAAAGAGCTCATGTATTCGTACCAGTTTTATAAATTATGAATTGTTACTTAAGAATTAAGTTAGGTATTATTATTATTATTTATTGAGCTCATTCTATTTTGAAGAATGCCAGATATGATCTGAAATATAGAATTGTCAAACCCAGAATGTATTTCTGTGCATACTTCTAAGAGAGATTGTTAAAATAGTTAATAACAGGTGGAACAGGCGACACAAACTCCTCACTATTGTCCATAAACTAATAGTAAAAATGACTCCATTTCATAACCACAGGCTGCATCTCTGCTGCTGGTTAACCCATTTAGAAGAGAGCTGCTATCAACCCCAAGGGAAAACATGTACACAGAATATATAGAATAGATGCTTACTGTCCCTGTGAGCAGAGAAAAACACCACAGAGAGCATGTCTCATTTGTTAGGAGGCCAGGAGATCATGGCACAGCATGGGAACAATTCCTCCTGAGGAGAAAACAATTTCTCCGAGCTCTGGGTTGAATAGCTCTATGGTCCTCCTATGGGGCTCATCATTCAGAACCTTGAACTGCTGTGACAGATCCTCACGTCATCAATGTCGTGTCTTTGGAGCTCCCTACTTGACCCAAAGCATCCATGGGGTGGATTCCTTGCGCCATTCTTCCCATAACTGTCACTGGCACATAGAACAGTCCTTACTCAGAACAAGCGTTGGACACATTTTTATTGAATGACTGGGTAATTATTATTTTGCTATATCTTAACAACAATGATTTTTTAAAAGCACTAGATATAGATTCTGCACACAAATATTGAGGGAAAGTTTTAACTCTGCCACTTCATCAGTTTTTTGTTTTTTTTTAAAAAAAGCCGATTCTTCCCTTTTTCTGCCATTCTCCCACCCCCACCCCAGAATCCTTGGAGAAACTGCTCCATTGTGTGTCAAGGACACACACTAGGAAGTTTTTGGTTTGGGTTGGGGCAAGTTTCCTTCCTTTCCTTGTCTTCCTCTTTTTTCTTCCTCTGGTGGGGGTGAGATGGGCCTTGCTGTGCCTTCTGTTGGAAAGTTACGGAAGGGTTAAGAAAGGAGGGAGTGCAAGAGGCCTGCTTGGAACTGGCTCTGGTTCAGCTTTTAACAGAGAGGACAAAGAGGATCTTTGCTTTTAGCGCATTGCCCACCCAGTTGCAAAGAGTGAAATGTTGCAGGGATTCTGCATGGTGAGCAAATGGCAGAGTGTGTGGCAAGACCGGATCTCACTAGGAAAGGGGACAAGGAAAACCTCCACATCTCAAGTAATGGATAGATGAAAAACCAACTTCTGTAAAGGATCAGCAGTATCCTCAGTTGCAAGAGCCCCATGTCATCACCTGGGAGAGCAGAGTGGAGTTATAAGAAGGTTGGTGGTCATTGGTAATGGCTACTAGTTAGGGACAGCCTCCTACTTGCTACGACTTTTCCAGTAGAGCCAGGGGAATGGGAAGAAGTGGGGATGGTCGGCAAAATCACTGAAGGCAGGCCATTGAGGGAGGTAAGCTGACATAAGCATTGAGGACCAATCTTGAAATAAAACAATTGAAATTCCAGCCCTTTTCCCTTTTTAGGTTATTAGAAGATTTCAGATGTACAAGCACAGACCCAGGGAGGACAGCTGGAACACCTCACTGGGGTCCTGTTGAGGAGAACTGAGATTGCAGAATGGGCACCCTAAGTCACACAAGAGCATTCATCTCAAGAAAAGGGGGAGTCAAGACTGGTAACCCTGGCACCATAACATGGTCTGGAGGTTGGGCCAGGTAGCAGTGGGTGCTGGCATTAGCACAGCATGTGGCCTAGACTGAAAACCCATCATACCCAATTGCCCTGTACAGTGGCACATTTTAGGGAAATAACAGCGTATGTGTGTGAGCTGAAAGAGCCGCAATCTTGGATCCTAAGTTTGGGGCACCACTGTGGCCTGTAACGAAACTTGGTCTAGCAAGAGCATTGTACAGATGAAAAATTCCATCCGATGGTGTGAGCTGAGTTTCAAATGGTGACATTGTGTGGTGGAGCAGAAATAAAGGTCAGTGGGCTGATTAGACTCTGAGGTTCTCTCTTCTAGAGTTGGAAGGTGGACTGTTCTTCAAACTGAGTAAACTCCTGAGATATATGTTTTGGGGGAAGGAGGTGGTCTCAAGAGGCAGACATTGAACATCTATCTACATTGGACAAGTGGAGGTAGGAATGATTAACTGGAAACATAAAAAAGACGGACTTGCATTAGTACTCCAAGTTGATGAAGGAAATCATACCAGTTGCATATGCATTTTTCATACACTTACATAAAGATGCGGCTACAATCACATATAGTTTCACACATACTCCAAAACCTGATGAGGCAGATATTAGTACTCCGCATTTTGTACATGAGCAAATAGGGGCAACAGAGGCAAATAACCTAAGAAGCGGTGGAGCCACAGCTGAAACAGGTTTTGCATTCCAAAATATGTTTCACTTTTGCTGTGCTGCTTTCAAGAGCAGTGGTTCCCAAAAAGTGGTTCTCAGACCAATTGTGTCAGTATCAGCTGTGAACTTATTAGAAATGCAAATCCTTGGGTCCCACCCATACCTCCTGATCAGAAACTCCGGGGTGGGCCCAGCAATCTATTTAACAAGTCCTCGTGGTGCTTCTGATGAATGCTCAAGTTTGAAAATCACTGCTCTGAAAAGTGAGATTATGCTTCTGCAGTTAGGGTGCTTCCCCATTCCAGTCCCTAATACAGTATGAGATTCAATAACGGTAACTACCCTCAAGCACTTACTATTTGAATAAGTAGTTGCTTGAGCGACACATTTCTAACCAAGGAGATGAGAGAAGATGAGAGTAAAATAACACACACTTTCTTCCTTTGTCTACACATTTGGTCTAAAGTTACGGGGAACATCTTTATCCCATTACTTTTGAGAGTGTGAAAATGTGATGATTGCTCTTTTACCCCTTTCTGTTCTTCCACTGTGGGAATATTAACGGAAATGTTTCTCTTCTTCTCTGTTCTGAGCCTAATTCACAGCCCAGAACCATAACTCAAAGACATAATTTGAAGCTATCTACTTTCTTTCAAAGTGCCATTGTCATTTTATCCTGGACACAGGCTAGATTTTTGTGAAAGTAATAATATGGATTTATAACTCAGCAATGTTTTCATCTGTGGAATTATTTTGTCAACCCAAAGTTTGGGGCAGATAAAGGTAGAAATTTCATTTCAAACAACAGGTAATATCTATAACTTAAGCAGGGTAAATATTTTTCCAGGCAAAACAAAACAAAACAAAAACTAGATTAAAATAAACCAATAATCAGACTTGATCCTGATGAAAATCGTATTTATTCAGTAATACTTGTTCTCCTGGTGACAACTGAATGACAATTGAAATGATGGAGAATATTTCTCTATTGTAATGATTATATTAAATTAATTCATAATATTTGCTCAATAACATTGTTTGCATATACTCCCATGGCTAGGAAAGTGCT
The DNA here is from genome assembly GCF_000001405.40 of Homo sapiens. NCBI lineage: Eukaryota > Metazoa > Chordata > Mammalia > Primates > Hominidae > Homo > Homo sapiens. The sequence continues at coordinate 55,606,889 of NC_000018.10, forward strand.
ACCTAGTTCATTTTTCACACATCAAAATCTGGTAACTTGATATCATTATATTATCCTCCCTAGAAATGCTGATGGGGTCTGGTCTGCACATCTCAGAGGGAAGGGGGAATGAGAACAGTGGGTGACACCAGGCACCATATGTTCGGCAATACCTACAGCACAGTAGGCACAATGGGTAGAGGTGAGCATGTTCATGCCTCATCTCTTCATTGTTGGGGGATGTGATAAAAGTTACGTTCAGATTTTATTTATTTTCCAAGTATTGTATTTTCTCTTACGCTTTTCTAAAAAAATAAATTCATGGCACATCAGAATATACTCCCATCTTCTCGAGGAACCTGTAAACCAGTGGAAGTACTTTTGATTATCTGACAGTGTCTAACAAAGCATCTGATAAAAATGTGTTGTTCTTAAAAGTCAGTAGGTCAAACGATCAATTGAATTTGATGCTGAATTTTAAGATAAATTTTCCAACAAATTATGAGAAAAAGGTGTGTATAAGGTGGAGTGGAGATTTCTCCCATGTTACAAGGCCAGTGGATCCAAAAAATGATAATTTCTACTGTTAACCCTGCTCCAGGCTGCCTTTCTTCAGCAAATTTAGTCTCCTAAGGGAACTGCCAAACAATCAACAGGACAAAACTCAGGAGAAGCTATTTCCTAAGGGACTAAACAAAGATTTTGGAATTACATGCCTTGAGTCCTAGCCCTAGGTCTGTCAAAGAGCTTCATATGCCACTGTTCACACGTTCCATTTTCTAGTTTTTAAAAATCAGAATAACTATATCATCTCCCATTCTCAGCACTCAATTAACAATGAAAAGGTTGTTGCGGATCCAAATGCTATCATTCCGTCAATAATGATAATCATAAGGATTTAAAATGTGCTAATTCCATTTAAGGAATGAATTCAAGGAAAGAAAATGCCAAGATTTTTTCAATGTGAGTTAACAGCAGTGCAGACTGTAGAATGCCACACTCAAAGGTGTGGGCTGTGTTTATGCTTCAGTTACATTTTCACTAGACAAATACAATTTCCCTGCCCAGCTTTTCATTCAAGTGGTGACTCCTAACACCTGTGAACAAATGTGCTTTGCCCTGCTAATGCTGATAAAAACTACAAATCTGTCTCCTTCACTGTTGATCTACAAATGGAAGCTGCGTGCCACATGCTTCGTCTCACTGTAACCTTAATGGAAAAGCAGCAGGGCTGTTAGCAGAATTTCCTAGACCACAAAAAGATAATATTAATTCAAGCACTTTAGGAAAATTCTCAAAATTTATTTTCTTCTCCTTGATAACATTATAGAAGATTTTAATATACTGATATTTTGAGGGGTTAAGTACTATGGCTTACTAGCAATGCAATTTATTAAACAGTCACGTTAAATGGTCAACCATCTTAAACTCCCACTCCCAATAGCTTTAAAGATTTATAATGCAGGGAGAAAATTAGACCGATCTAGCATCTTGCCACAGTATTTTTTTTTTTTTTTTTTTTTGCAATATGGGGCTTTAGTTGTCACAGGTCAAAATGCCATCTTGGAAATAAATGGACCTTGAGTATGTTTTAGAGGAAGGCATTGAGTTAAATACGCATCTCCATTCCAATTAGTCTGTATGAGCCATTTAAAGAATAAAAGAGATGAGCACATTTATTTTTGGTTCCACAAAATTCTGCTTTGTGACTTGTCTCAAGATTTGCATATTTTTATAGAGCATGTTAGGCAAAGAAAGCACTGTGCTATGGGCCGTGGGAATAATGGTGACTAAGACAGCGTCCCGCCTTCAAAGAAGGTATTATCCTTTTGAATATAAGCTCCCAAGGGCAGGAGTCTATTTTATTCATTGAGAGCCTATAATACACCCTCAATAAATAGTTGTGAAACCAATGAATAAATGGTGGGGTGGAGTGGGCGGTAGGAGGTATGGACATTAATGTATACAAATGCCAGTAGCTAAATTGGAAAAAGGTGGGTACTTTGGACTAAATGCTTGTATCACCTCAAAATTCATGTGTTGAAGGCTAATCCCCAATGTGATGGCATTTGGAGGTGAGGAGGTAACGAGGTCAGGAAGGTAGAGCACTCAGGAATGGAATTAATGCCCTTATATAAAGAGGAAGAGACACAGGCTCTTTCTCTCTGTTCTCTGCTATATGAAGATACAATGAGAAGACAGCCACCTGCAAACCAGGAAGTGGGCTGGGCTCTTACCAGACATCAGATCTGTCCATACCTTACTCTTGGACTTCCCAGCCCACAGAACTGTGAGAAAAAGATGTTTGTCGTTTAAGCCAACTGTTCTGTAGACATTTGTTACAGCAGCCCAAGGTAAGATGGTCGGAGAAGGCTGTGCTAAGTATGAACTAAATATGCCAGTGGTCAGCCATATATTCTCAATGAAGCCACTGCTGCTGGGAAGACTCATACGGGGGGCAGGTTTTTCATGAAAATCCTTGAGGCAATAGTCTAGGAGTGTCCTTCACCACACACATATTCAGAATTTGCTTTCTGAATGGCATTTGCTGGGTGCCTGATGAATTCAGAGAAATGTAATGAAGAGAGATGCTGTTCCCACCAGCAGTTTTCAGGCTCTGAGCAAAGGTGAGGCAGCCTCAGAACTACTGAAACGGGTGTGCTTATGGCTTGTGTGTACAGAGGAACGTGATAGCTGTGAGCACCAGAGTTGCAGTAAAATTGCTGAGTCTGAATTTTAAAACACAAACAAAAAAGGCAGGAGTATCATGACATGAACATGTCATAACCCTGAAGACACAGATGATATGTGAACTTGGCTCACTCATTCTGTTCCAGCCACTTTAGACTCTGCATTTTCCCTAGCATAACAAGCATCCTTCCTCAGGGCCTTTGCACTTGCTGTTCGCTCTGCTTGGTGCACTTTTTCCCTAAATATCTGCAGGGCTCCTTTTCCTACCTCTGTTGGGCCTTTCTTCTAATGTTACCTTCCCAGAGAGGCTTCCCTAGTTACTTTGTTTGATATCACAACTTCCACACTCACCCCCTGTTTGTTTTCTTTTTCTCAATAGCACTTTTCACCATCTGTAGTACCATATGTTTTACTTATTTGCTTATTTTTTTTTTTAGTCTTCTCTGCCAAAAATATAATCTCCATGAAGGCAGGGTTTTTGTCTGTTTCTTCACCTAGTAGCACCTAGACCTGTGCCTAGCCTGTAACAGGCACTGGCCAAATATTTTTGGAATGAGTGAATGAATAGAACTTGGATCCAGAAAAGTAGATTTTATAGGTCTACATGCCAAACCCTGACAAACGTGTTTGTAAAAACCCATCATAAACATGCAGATGAATGCATTTATATAGGTGCAGAGGTCAGGAGGAATATCCATTTCCCTGGCCTAATGTTTTCATGCAGAGGGACTTCTGCCAGGGTAACCGACCTTTTCCCTATGCCTTACTCCTGCGGGTTAATTTGGTTTGAGTTTGGTTGGCATTTCTGAGCATTTTCAGTGCCTTGTTGGACTCCTTTGTCTTTGGAGGATGCCACAGGACATGGAGGCTCTGATCCTTTTGTTCCTGCACTCAGTTTGGAGTAGACCTTTGCTGTCCAGCTCTGTTGGTGACTTGGTGAGTGTTTCATTGATGAGTGAAGTATTAGGGAGATTTCTGGGCCACTAATCAAAAGCCACATTCTCTCACCATCTGTCTGACTCCTGGATCTGTTTTTCCATTGATTCCAAATTCAGAAGATGATAAAAAGGGATGTTATATATTAACTACTTAACAGCTACAACAGGAAGATATCCATCAAGATGGAAAGATTACACCCAGGGAAGTGGTTCACATGGCAGCCCAAGACATTGCAGAGGGAAGAGTCTGGGAGAGTACAATTTAACCGCAAAACTTGGCTCTGCCTTTTGTGACATTTGTTTTGCTTTGCAATTTCAACAGCATTTTACATGAGCTGGATTTAATATAATTGATGAAAATGGAACACTACCTACCATGTACTGAAACGCAGCAATTTTGCCAGTACAGTAGGTACTGATGCCCCTTCTTTTCTTATGGTGAAGAGTTAGACAGTGGGCCCAAGAAAAGCTTCCAAGATTCATTGACACTTACCAATTTCAAACAGTGTGGCACAACACTAGCTGACTGAGAAATAAGAGCAGAAGAGAGAGCATTATGGTGCACAGGAGTTTGGCATGAGGCAAGGCTTTGGGGAGATTGAGATTTTAATCCACAGAGTCAAAAGCTGCGGCTGCTGCTCCAAATCTTGCTTTGGTAATAGTTGCAAGATAAGCAGCTGATTGGGCCCAGACTACTCTGGGCTGGCTCCATCTTACATGACTGCCACAAACAGCTGCAGGAGTGTGACAGATCACAACACTAGCATTGTACCTCAAAATATGCTTGTACCCTAAGGCACAAGAACTGGTTTGACTTACAAAACTGATCTCAGAGTTGGGATCAAAGTTTTTCTACCACTCTACTATGAGTTCATGATCGGCTCCTTTTTCTTCCTAATCACCATCTGCTACCCTGCCAAGGCCAATTTTTCTTCAACTATCACCACAAGATTCTATCCATGACACCCTACCTAGAGCCTTCCACCCTTTTACAAAACCAAAGCTATATAGCACCATGATTATAACACAAGTTAATGATTTTCCGAAGTTGTCATAACAAAAAGCATAACATTGCTTTCCCCAGTAGGATTTAAATCAGTGCTTTCTGACAGAAAGATAATACAAGACACGTGTATAATTTGAAATCTTCTAGGAATTACATTGAAAAAGTAAAAATAAGCAAGTAAAATTAATTTGATAATATATTTTATTGAACATAGTATATGCGAAATATTATAATTTCAACATAAAATCAATGTAAAAATATTTTTATTTATTTATTTATTTTTTGAGACGGAGTGTTGCTCTGTTACCCAGGCTGGAGTGCAGTGGCACAATCTTGGGTCACTGCAACCTCTGCCTCTCGAATTCAAGCGATTCTCTTGCCTCAGCCTCCCAAGTAGCTGGGAATACAGGCACTCGTCACCATGCCCAGCTCATTTTTTTGTATTTTTAGTAGAGATGGGATTTCAGCATGTTGGCCAGGCTGGTCTCAAACTCCTGACCTCAGGTAATCCACCCGCCTTGGCCTCCCAAAGTGCTGGGATTACAGGTGCAAGCCACTGCACCCGGCCAATGTACAAATTATTAATGAGCTATTTACATCTTCAGAAACTGGGCTGTATCTTATAATACCACTTCTCAATTTGGATGAGCCACATTTCTACTGCTCAGTAGCACAGATGGCTAGAGCCTACTGCATTGGACAGGGCAGACTGAGGTGTTACCTCACATTTCTAGGGGGATTGGGAATTGGGAATGATGGGCACTCTTGAATTGAGTGAGAGTTGCTTCGGGATATGAGGGGGGAGAGTGAGAAAGCAGGAATGGAAATGCTTGAGGACCAACGTAATGAAGTGAGGTCTATCTTTTATTTTATTTGCTTTTAAGGAATTCCATATCGTGTTTGTTGCCAAAGCTTATCTGACATTGAGCAAAGTAATATGTTGAGCCTCAGTTTTATCATAGATTACATGGGAACAATAATAATGTAAAACAATAATATGATAAAAATAATCATGATATGTAGCTCACTGTATTGTTGTAATGAAAAAAAAACATGGGAAAGTGAAACACTCCACACTATTAATAATTTATTTTGTGACAATTTGGCTGTTTTATTTTTTTAAATTGTATACATTTAGGAGGTACAGGTGCAGTTTCGATACAAGAATATATAGTTAGCCAGGCCCGGTAATCCCAGCGCTATGGGAGGCTGAGGCCGGCGGATCACCTGAGGTGAGGAGTTCAAGACCAGACTGGCCAACATGGTGAAATCCCATCTCTACTGAAAATACAAAAATTACTTGGGCGTGGTGGTGCGTGCCTGTAATCCCAGCTACTAGGGAGGCCGAGGCACGAGAATCGCTTGAATTCAGGAGGCAGAGGTTGCAGTGAGCCGAGATCATGCCACTGCACTCCAGCCTGGGCAACAGAGCAAGACTCTGTCTCAAAAAATATATATATATTGTTTAGTACTGAAGTCTAGGTTTCAATGTCACCATCACCCCAATAGTGTACTTTGTACCAATTAAGTAATATCTCATTGCTCATGCCCCTCCTACCTTATTTCATATTCTTAAAAAGTAGCTCTGTTGAGGTGTATAAGTGTCAAATATATTTGACATTCAATAAACTGCACATATTTAAGTGTACAATTTAATATGCTTTGATATATATATATATGCCCATGAATAAGAAAATGCACATGTCACCCCAAAAGCTTCCTCATGCCCCTATGTTATCCCTCCTTCCCAATCCTGCCTTCCACTTTCCTTGCCTCCCATCTCAATCCCCAGGCAACCAATAGTCTGCTTTCTGCCACCATGAATAGTTGGGATTTTTTTTGGAATTTTATACATATGGAATCATACAGTGTATATTTTTTGTTTTATTCTTTTGGTCTGGCTTTTTAAACTCAGAATAATTATTTTATGATTCATCCATGTTGTTTCAGGTGTCCATAGTCCATTCCTTTTTATTGCTGGGTAGTATTTTCTGTATTAGTCTGTTCTCACACTGCTATAAAGAGCTAAATGAGACTGGGTAATTTATAAAGAAAAGAGGTTTAATTGACTCAGTTCCACATGGCTGGGAGGCGTCAAGAAACTTACAGTTATGGCAGAAAGCAAAGGGGAAGCAAGTACCTTCTTCACATGGTCAGCAGGAGAGCAAGAGCAAAGGGGGAAGTGTTACACACTTCTGAACAGCTAGATCTCACAAGAACTATCACACGAACAGCAAGGTGAGAAATCTGCCCCATGATCCAAACGCCTCCCACCAAATCTCTCCTACAACATTGGGAATTAAAATTTGACATGAGATTTGGGTCGGGATACAGCGTCAAACCATAGCATATTTCACTGCATGTATGCCACAATTTGTTTATCCATTTACCTGTTAATGGTCATTTGGGTTGTTTCCAGTTTTAGGCTATTATTTATTTACTTATTCAGGCTGTCACTCAGGCTGGACAGCAGTGTCATGATCATAGCTCACTGCGGCCTGGGCTCAAGTAATCCTCTGGTCTTAGCCTCCCAATCACATACCACTGCATCCAGCTAATTTTTAATTTTTTTGTAGAGACGAGGGTCTCACTGTATTGCTCAGACTGGTCTTGAACTCCTATTCTCAAGTGAGCCTCCCGCCTTAGCCTTCCAATGTGCGGGGACTACAAGCATAAGCCACTAGACCCAGTGTGGGACTATTACGAATAAAGCTGCTGTGAACATTTGTACACGAGTCTTTGTATGAACATGTGCCTTCTTTTCACTTAGTTACATATCTAGGAGTAGAATGAGTGCTATATATGGTTAGGTGTGTGTCTTAGGAAATTGTCTCACTGTTTTCCAAAGTGGTTGTACCATTTTAAATTCCCACTGGCAGTATAAGTAGTGTGTAGTGTGTAAGAGTTCTAATTCCTCCACATCCCTAAAGCATAAGATATGGATGATCATTTTAATTTTAACAATTGTAATAGGTGTGTAGTAGTGTTTCACTGTGGTTTTAATTTGCATTTCCTCATTGACTAATATTGTTGGATCTTTTCATATGATTATTTGGCATCAGTATAAAGGTCTGTTCAAATCATTTTCTCTTTTAAAATTGGGTTCTTAAAATTTTTTTTGAGTTTTAAAAGTACTGTATATATTCTGGACACAGTTCTTTTATAATACATATAATCTGGAAGTATTTTCTAGCAGTCTGTGACTTATCTTTTTATTCTCTTAACCATGTTCTTTGAACAGCAGATTTTAATTTTGATGAAGTCCATTGTACTAATTTATTCTGTTTTGGATCATGCTTTTGGTATGGTATCCAATAAATCTTTGCCTAATCAAAGGTCACACAGATTTTCTCCTAGATATTCTGTCAATTTAGCTTTTCCACTTAAGTCTGTGACCCATTCTGAGTTAATTTTTATATATGTTCCAAAGTATGAATCAAAGTTATTATTTTTATTATTATGATTTTGCTTAAGGATATCCATCATTGGTGGAAAAAAGTGAGTTTTCTTTATGTGTGCATCTATTTTTGGACCCCCAACTCTGTTCTTTGTCTGCATTGTGGTAAATACCTCAGTGACTTGATAATAAATTAGAAATATTTTGTCAATTTCTACATAGCCTTCTAAGATTTTCATTGGGACCATGTTGAATCTATAGATTAATTTGGGGAGAATTGACATGTTAACAGGTCTTTGATGAATGAACAGGCTATATCTCTTCATTTAATTAGATCTCTAATTTTTCTCAGCAATGATTTCTAGTTTTCAGTGTACAACACTTGCACATTTTTGTTAGATGTATCTATACATGTACACTTTATTAAATTTAAATTTCTAATTGTTCTTAGTATATAGAAATGTAACCAATTTTTGCATAAGTTATCTTGTATCCTGAACCTGGCTAAACTCAAACTTGCTTTTTTTTTTAAGATTCCACCAGATTTGCTACATAGGTGATCATGTCTTTAGAACAAAACAATTCTACTCCTTCATTTCCAATCTTGATGCCTTTTATTCCTTTCCTTGCCTTATTACATTGGCTATAACCTTAAATGCAATGTTGAATAAAAATAGCAAGACCATCTTTACCTCCTTCCTGATTTTAGAGGGAAAGCACTCAGTCTTTCACTATTAAGTGTGATGTTAGTTGTAGACTTCCATCAATAACCTTTATCAGATTGTGGAAGTCTTCTTCTATTTTTAGTTTGCTGGGGAGTTTAGTTAGGAATAGATGTTGGAATTGTCAACATCAAATGAATTTTCTTTAAAATTTTGGTTTTAATATGGTGAATTATACTGACTGATTTTCAATTGTTAAAACCAGCCTTGAATTCCTGGAATTAATTCCACTGGATCATGATATATTGTCCATTTTATGTAATGTTGAATTTGATATGCTAAAATTTTGTTTAGAACTTTTATATCTGTGTTCATGAAGCATATTGGTCTTTAGTTTTGTTTTTTTATTGTGTTAAGAAAACTTCACATAAAACCTACCCTCTAATTAAAGAAGTTTTTCAGTGCACATAGAGTATTGTGAACTATAAACTCAATGCTGTACAACAGATCTCTAGAACTTGTTCATCTTGCATAACTGAATCTTTGCACCCATTGAGCATCAGTTCCCCATTACTTTCCTTCCCAGCCGCTGGCAACCATCATTCTACTCTCTGCTTCTATGAATGTAACCATTTTACATACTTTATATAAGTTGAGTTATGAAGTATTTGTCCTTCTGTGACTGGCTTATTTCACTAGCATAATGTCCTCCAGGTTCATCCATGTGGTCACACATGACAGGATTTTTTTAAGGTTGAGTAATATTCCATGGTGTATATGCCACATTCTCTTTATCTGTTCATCCATTGATAGAGATTAAGATTGTTTGGATGTGTTGGCTATGTGAATAATGCTGCAATAAACAGGAGATTGAATATCAATTTGAGATCCTGATTTCAGTTCTTTTGGATATATACCAGAAGTGGGATTACTGGATCATATGGTGTTTCTATTTTTAATTCTTTAAGGAGTCTGTATACTGTTTTCCATAGCAGCTGCACCATTTTACCATCCCACCAACAGTGCACAAGGGTTCCAATTTCTTCACATCCTCACCAACATTTATCTTTTCTTTTTTTAATAATTGCCATCCTAACAGGTGTGAGGTGATATCTCATTTGCATTCTCTTGATGACTAGTCATGTTGAGCATCTTTCATATACCTGTTGTCCATTTATATGTCTCTTTTTGAGAAATGTCCATCCAGTCTTTTGCCCATTAAAAGTACTTTTTCTTGCTATTGTGTTGCAGGAGTTCCCTATATACTTTTTATATTAACCTTCTATCAGATATATGGTTTGCAGACATTTTATACCATTTGGTAGGTTGCTTTTTCATTTTGTTGTTTTCTTAGCTGTGCAGAAACTTTTTAGTTTTATGTAGTTCTACTTGTCCATTTTTGCTTTTGCTGCTTGTGTTTTGCTGTCATATCTAATAAATCATTGCCAAGACCAATATTGTGAAGTTTTTCCCCAATGTTTTCTTCTAGGCATTTTACAGTTTATGAATTTGTAAAATTTTAGGGGCTGAAAAATTACATTTAAATCTCAAATTTTCCTGTGTAAGGTAATGGTCCAATGTCATTCTTTTGTGTGGGTATATGCAGTTTTCTCGACATCATTTGTTGAAGAGATTGACCTTTCCCCACTGTGTTTTGTTGGCACCCTTGTTAAAGATCAGTTGACTGTATATGCATACCTTTATTTCCAGGTTCTCTGTTCTATTGGTCTATAGATCTTTTTTATACCAGTACCATACTGTTTTAATTACTGTTGCTTTGTAATATATTTTGAAATCAGAAAGTGTGATGCCTCCAACTTTGTTCTTTCTCAAGATTTCTTTGGCTATTTGAGATCTTTTGTGGTTACATAAGAATTCTAGGATTTTTTTTTCCATTTCTGTAAAGAAAATGCCATTGGAATTTTTATAGGGGTTCCTTTGAATCTGTAGGTCACTTTGAGTACTATGAACATTTAAGCAATATTGTCTTCCAATCCATGAATATGGGATAGCTTTTCATTTATTTGTGTCATCTTCAATTTCTCTCATCAACATTGTGTAGTTTTCAGTATACAAGTCTGTCACTTCCTTGGTTATGTTTATTTCTATTTTATTCTTTTTGATGCTATTATAAATTGGATTGTTTTCTTAGTTTTCTTTTTTTGGTAGTTTGTTACTGTATAGAAACACAACCGGCTCTTTAATGCTGCTTTTGTATCCTGAAACTTTAGTGAATTCATTAATTCTAACTGTGTGTGTGTGTGTGTGTGTGTGTGTGTGTGTGTGTGTAGTCTTTAGAGTTTTCTACATGTAAGATCATATCATCTGAAACCAGAAAAAATTTTACTTCTTCCTTTCCAGCTTGGATGCCTTTTATTTCCTGCTCTTGTATAATTGCTTTGTCTAGAACTTCCAGTACCGTGTTGAATAGAACTGGTAAGAGTGGGCATCCTTTCTTAGTCCTAATCTTAGAGGAAAAGTTTTCAGTTATTCGCCATTGAGTACAATGTTAGCTATGGGCTTGTCATATGTGGCCTTTATTATGTTGTGGCAAATTCCTTCTATACTTAGCTTTTTGAGAGTATAATTATAGCGTTCATTATATTACAAAAGTTTTGAATTTCATCAAATACTTCTTCTTCATCTATTGAAATGATGATGTGATTTTAAAATTCATCATTCTTAGTGTGATCTATCACATTAATTGATTTACATATGTTGAGCCATCCTTGCATCCCAGGGATAAATCTCATTTGGTCTTAGTGTGTGATCTTTACATTTCTAAGAATCTATCCATTTCTTAAAGATTATCCAATTTGTTGATATATACTTGTTCATAATTGTCTTTTATGATTTTTCTTATCTCTTTGTATCAGTTGTAATGTTTCCTCTTTAATTTCTGACTTTATTTGAGTTTTCTCTCTTTTTTGTTAGTCTATCTAAGGGTTTGTCAATTTTATCTTTTTAAAACATCAACTCAATTTCATTGGTATTTTTCTACAATTTTTCTTTTCTCTTTTTTTTTTGTTTGTTTTTTTGAGACAGGTTCTCCCTCTATGACCCAGGATAAAGTGCAGTGGCATGAGCACAGCTCATTGCAGCCTTGACCTCCTAGGCTGAAGTGATCTTCCCACCTCAGCGTCATAACTAACTGGGACCACAGGCACATGACACCATGGCTGGCTAATTAATTTTTTTTTTTTTTTGTAGAGACAGAGTCTTGCCATGTTGCCCAAGCTGGTCTCAGACTCCTGGGCTCAGGCTATCCTCCTGCCTCAACTTCCTAAAGTGCTGGGTTTACAGGTGTGAGTTGCCTTGCCTGACCTCTATTCTTTATTTTGTTTATTTCTGGTCTAATCTTTAAGGTTTTCTTCCTTCTGCTAATTTTGGGCTTAGTTTGTTCTTTTTTTTTCTTGTAATGTCTTTGTCTGGTTTTGGTATCAGAGCAGTGCTGGATTCATAGAATGAGATTAAGGTTATTCCTTCCTATATCATTTAAATGTTTAGTAGAATTCACTAGCAAAGCTATCTGGATTTGTGGTCCTGTGGTTTTGGGTTTTGTTTTGGGTTGTTTTATGTTTGTTTGTTTGTTTGTTTGTTTTGGTGGTGAGATTAAGGAGGTTTTAAAGTACAAATGCTCTTTCTTTAATATATACAGGGGTGTTCAGATCATCTTATCTATTTCTTCTTAGGAAGCATTGGTCATTTGTAACTTTTGAGAAATCCTAACCCATTTCCTCTAACTTGCCAAAATTATTGGCACAAAATTGCTAATCATATTAGCTTATTTTCCTTTTAATATTTATGGAATACGTAGTGCTGTCATTCTCTTATTCCTGATACTGGTAATTTGTGGCTTTTATTCTGTCTTTGTATGCTCTATTTTGGATAGTTTCTATTTCAGTATATTCAAGTTCATAAATCTTTTCTTTTACAATGTCTAATCTACCATTAATTTCAGACATTGTTGTTTTCAGCTCTAAAAGTTTGATTTGGTTCTTTGAAAATATATACATATCCCTTCTATGTCTTTGCCTAACTTTTAGAAGAAATGGGATATAGTTTTAAAAAGTGCCTTAATGTCCTTGTATTATAATTCTATCATCTATGTCACTTCTGAATCAGTTTCAATTACTTAATTTTTTTCATTCCTAATTACTTGTTATATTTTCTTCCTTTTTGACATACCCAGTCATGTTTGTTTCCATTTCAGGCATCTTGAATTTTACTTAGCTGGGTGCTGGATGTTTTTGTATACCTATAGACCTTCTTAAGCTTTTTTCCTTCCCTGGAGTGTGGTTACATCATTTGGAAACTGTTTGATCCTGGAGGATTCATATGGTTAGGCTTTGTGTCCCCACCCAAATCTCACCTTGAATTGTAATCCCCATAATCCCCACGTGCCAAGGGAGAGACCAGGTGAAAGCAATTGAACTGTGGGGGTGGTTTCCTCCATGCTGTTCTCGTGACAGTGAGTGAGTTCTCATGAGATCTAATCATTTTATAAATGTTTGGTAGTTCTTCCTGCATTCATTCTTCTTCCTGCCACCTTGTGAAGAAGGTGCTTTGCTTCCCCTTCACCTTCCACCATGATTGTAGGGTTCCTGAGGCCTCCCCAGCCATGCTGAACTATGAGTCAATTAAACTTCTTTCCTTTATAAGTCACCCAGTCTTGGGCAGTTCTTTATAGCAGTGTGAAATGTTCTAATACAAGGACCTAACTTTTAAAATTTGTTAAGTGGGACCAAATCTGTGCTTAATTGAGAGCTAATATTTCCGACTAACAATGCAAGACCCTTATGAATACTCTGCCCATCGTCCTCTAAATTATGAGGTTTCTTTAGACTGGCTGGTGGTTATAGACACTATTCCTGGTCTTGTGAGAGTACTGAGTAATGTTCCTTCTAATCCTTTCAAATGGTTCATTCCTGGACCATAGGTTGTTTCATTACATGTGTTCCTCAGTACTTTGCTAAATACCTTTTGGTCTGATTCTCTGTTCTACGAACTCAGGTGGCTTTGGTCTTCCCCACTTTCAACTCTGTCTCAACTCAGAGAGCCTACTGAGTTCTGCTTAGGTTTTATCTTCCTGCACTGCAGATCTGAAACTGCCTTAAGCTATTAGGCTGGGCAATCATAGGACTCCCCTTGCTTGTTTCTTATCTTTTAATGATCAGTATTCTTTGTCGTCCATTGCCCAGCAAAGTGAAATTATTATCTCATATATTTTGTCCAGTTCTTTTTTTTTTTTTTGGTTCTTGCAGGTGGCTGGATAAATCCAGTCCATACTCTTCATCTTGGTTGGGAACAGGGTTTCTTTCCTTCTTGCAACAAACATTTATGTACCAGACAATGTGATTTTCCTTAGAAAATTATAATACCACTTTTGTAGTGGCTGAAAGAAAAATATTATTGTTGATAGAGTGGGCCAATAGTATGCACAATCAGCTATTGTGATCTGGTAGTAATACCAGAAATCCTTATAAAAATAAAGAAATCAGAGCTTAGTTATCTATAATGTTGATTCTAAAAGGTTACGACTCTTTATGGAACATAACCCAGACTCTATCTTACATTTCTTCATATAGTTACACTAGCTGTGGGACACAGGTCTCTAGGCCTTCATTTTTTCATCTAGAAAATGGGGATAATTATAGCAACTCCTCATAGGGTTCATAGTGAGGAATAAATGAAATAGTATCTGCAGTGCTATTAGATTCAGGCCTAATGCACAGTAAATGCTCAAAAAGATTAGAAAATATTTAACATATCTTTTTCTTTTTAAGTAATAAAAAAGATACTTTCTTTAAACTTATGGGGTACTGCCTGGTATATGGGGTACTGCCTGATATATATATTATATATAATATATAAAAATATATATATAATATATATAATATATAATATATATAAAAATATAATATATATTATATAATGTACATTATATATATATTATATAATATTATATAATATATATATTATATTATATATTATGTACATTATATAATATTATATAATATATATATTATATTATATATTATGTACATTATATAATATTATATATAATATATATATTATATAATATACATTATATAATATACATTATATAATATACATTATATATTATATTATATAATATATATTATATAATATATAATTATATTTATAATTATACAATTGTATTTATAATTATAATTATAACATATAATATATAATATAATATATATTATATATTATATGTTATATTATATATTATATTATATAATATATATACACTATATACAATGTATGTATTATATTATATATACACTATATATAATATATACATTATATATTATATATACACTATATATTATATATACACTATATACTATATATACACTATATATATTATATATACACTATATATTATATATTATATATACACTATATATTATATATACACTATATATATTATATACACTATATATTATATATACACTATATATAATATATATACACTGTATATATAATATATATATACACACTATTATTTAATGTCCAAAATGGTCTACATTCACTTTATCCTTAGCCCTCATCCTTCAAGATTACACACACACACACACACACACGCACTCACACACACACCCTCTTCTTTTCTTTTATGTAGACTTAAGAGTAACTGTGGCCGGGAGTGGTGGACCATGCCTGTAATCCCAGCACTTTGGGAGGCCAAGGTGGGCAGATCACGAGGTCAGGAGATCGAGACCATCCTGCCCAACAGGGTGAAACCCCGTCTCTACTAAAATACAAAAAATTAGCTGGGCGTGGTGGTGTATGCCCGTGGTCCCAGCTACTCGGGAGGCTGACGCAGGAGAGTCGCTTGAACCCGAGGCAGAGGTTGCAGTGAGCCGAGATCACATCACTGCACTTCAGCCTGGCAACAGAGCGAGACTCAATCTTAAAAAAAAAAAAAAAAAAAAAAGTAACTGCTTTGTTTAGTTTATCATAATAGTGATATTCTAATTGTAGGCATCCATTTTCAGAGTTGGACATGCACTTAGTGACTATCTTATCTAATTCCTGCTTTGAATGAAATTGCAATTTAGAGAAAGCAAGTGATCCGCCCAAAGTCATAAAGTTGGTTGCTGATGAAACTGGGTCTCCAGATTTTCCATCCAGATGCTCTTTCCACACAACAATGTTACCTCTCTTTCTCATTCTCTAGGCCTCTTTCAGTTCCGGCAAATACTTTGATTGACAAATAGGAATTTCACAGAATATTATACATGCATTTGCACGAGAGTTCTCTATCAGATTTAAAAACTTCTTTCTCCACTCTGTGTGTGTGTGTGTGTGTGTGTTGTGGAGATGGTGGGAGTGGGGGAAATGGGAAAATCTAACCAGACACAATGTAAACCAAATTAGTTATTACAACAGAAAACCATAGAGTGGCAGACAAGAGATTCCCAAGTCCATCTCACTCATTTTATAGCTAATAAAATTGTGAATTTGGAAATTTAAGTGACTTGTCTTAGTTTGGAATTTGAGTAAGTTAAATTTTGGTCTGAAATACTTTCCATTAAACACACTGTCTTTTGTTTTTTAATAGTGTGTAACTTCTTGGATAGTTACCATGGATGATTATAATAATGTGTGGTCACTATGTCAAAATTTCTATAATTTCTTTAAAGAAATTCTTTGAGAAGTTTAGATCACCACACAACTTTAAATATTAACACTATTAGTTATTTATACTTTCTTTTTCCCTTTTATATTTAACATACCTCAAGAACAACAAAAATAGTTCTTAAAGCTTTAGCATTATGATCGTAGTGTCTACAGAAATAATAAACAGAAAATGTATCTAGAATTAGATTTTGGCTTTAGGATATGTTTGTAAATAAGACACATTTTTTAAACTGTATATATGTTTTTACAACATTCAAATCATCTTGCAATGGAAGTATGAATTTTATTACATCACAAATGAATACTATGTGAATGCAAAATTGGATGCTGTTTAATCTTAGACAGTCTGGTTTTTAGAATAATTATGTGACTGAAATTGCATGAATAATGATAATTTGTTTGGTAGTGGATCGATATTTTTTTTTGAAAGTGAATCCATCATTTTCTTTAACACGCCTGATCCTTGGATCCTTGGGCATAAATTTTCGGTACAGCACATGGGGATTTAGCTATGTGAGTCCCATTAGTGTGAATTGGAGTTTTGCAGCTAGATCCATGAGCTGAGCAGTTGCTTTTTAATGTTATTTTAATATTTAATGGTTATTGCAGGGCTGTCAAGCTGGGACTATTTCAATGAGAGAGATTTCCAGAACTTATGAGAGAGATTTTAAACATCTATTCAGAGGATATTGCAATATCCTTTATTAGAAGAGGAAAATTCTTTAGAGAGAAACCTCCCAATTCAAAAGAGAGTTTCTCTTTAATTGTGGCAAATTTGAGAATGAGATAATACATTTCTTATTTTTATTAGAATTATCCAAAGGATTTATTAAATTGCTTTCATCAGGTAACTTAGACATTAATTTTGTGAAGTTTTAGTATTAGATAGAGTGAGCAATAAAGGGGTTTTTATTTTTGTGTTTGTTAATGGTCATTGTTTTCATCATTAATTTTATATAAATTTTTTAGTTAATTGGTACTCTTGGTTTTTCTTAAAATTCTGTAGGCAGAATTTTCACAGATCATTGTATTTGAAGAGACCTCCACGAAGAATCAGCAGTTTTTACTGCAAGGTAGATTATTTAATAATTTCAGAGAAGGGTCTCATTATAAGGGACACAAGGCTGCCTTCCTCTCACTGGGCATCTCCCTAAATGCCTGGTGGCCCTCAGGAAGTCAGTGCATGTTCAAGTGTTCTGGAAGAGTAGGAACATCTGGGCTTCAGTCCTTAAAACATATCACATATTATTTTGATCAGTTTTAATAAACATGAATTCTTATGTCTGAGCTAGCCCAAGAAATCAGTCAAAGTCACCAGGGAGAAGTTGTGGAAAGACCCAGATTAAAAAAAAAAAAAAAAAGAATAGCCATATGTATCCATCGCTTATCCCTTTTTTCTCCTGAAGCTCAAACTTTCCTTCTCTTCTTTGACTCCACTTGTCAACCTGTGCAAGTTTCTACATTCTGAAAACAAACCAACCCTTTCTCCAGGCAGCTCTCCCTCTAGCTATGTTCTTACATCCTTCGTTTCATTTACTACCCAACTCCTTGAGATAGCCATCTAAAAAGCACTTTGTCCCTATGTCAGGTATAGTAGGTATTAATCGTACCATTTTGGCATTTATCTTTTTAAGTACCTCTCTGCAACATGCCACAAACTCTTCAGTGTCAAATGCCTGACCCTTCCTCATCCTAGTACCAGTCCTCACTCAATAATGTCTTGGAATGACTCCTATAAAAATAGCCGACTTTTTTTTGGTACAAAGTACTACAGATTGTTTCTAGAAATTATGACCATAGAGATAAATATTTTCATAAAAATCATGGCTTTCTATATTCAAAGTCTGGTATTTTAGAGAATAAAGAATTGTTTTTTGAAAGTTGAGGAATTTTCATAATAGTTTGGAGTATCAATTATTAAAAATCTTATACAAATATTTCATAATCCATATACAGTTATACAAATGTTAATCTTTATTAATGTTATTGTTGCTGCTCAAGCTACAACTTTTTTTTTTTTTTTTGAGATGGGAACTTGCTTTGTCGCCCAGGCTGGAGTGCAGTGGCCTGATCTCGGCTCACTGCAACCTCTGCCTCCTGGGTTCAAGTGATCCTCCTGCCTCAGCCTCCTGAGTAGCTGGGACTACAGGCGCACACCACCATGCCCAGCTAATTTTTGTATGTTTAGTAGAGACGGGGTTTCACCATATTGGCCAGGATGGTCTCGATTTCCTGACCTTGTGGTCCACCCGCCTTGGCCTCCCAAAGTGCTGGGATTGCAAGCGTGAGCCACTGTGCCCAGCCAAGCTACAACTCTTAAAAGTACCACTGTTAAAAGTATTGCCATAAAACTGTTTTTAAAAGAAAGTTGTCCCACCGATGAGAGAATTTTAGTCCCAGCAATGTAAGTTTATTTTACCTCCCAAAGAATGTATTTTCTGATATATTTTTGTAAATATTTTTGTTGATGATATGAAGTCTTTTGTTTTGCTATCATTGTTTTTGCAGTAAAATTCAACAGTTTTCCTTGACCTCTACATTCCTATGATTTTTAAAAAATAGAAGAAAGGAAGTATTTTTTATTTCTTTCCTTTGATATATCCATCCAAATACGATTTCTCGTTCCACCTTCATAAGATGTGTTCTTTTCACTGAATGTAATCCTGGAGATAAACTCAGATTCAGGCAAGTGGACTGGCAGCCTTCCATAGTGGACTACTTTATGACAGAGAATAGTATTTCCGTCCCTTTCCTATTAATTTCTATCAAAAGCCTGCTTTACTTTCTTGTTTCCCAGTGGAACTATTTCTATTTGATTTCAATTAAAAATGAAATGTCAGCATTTCAGGATGTGTTGTACTATTTTATGGTGCACACTATTCCAACTCATTAGGGAGAAGGCAGCATATTTGGAGGAAGCCCAGTTGGGATGGAAAAATAGATGTCTGTTTCACATTTTCATTAGAAATAGAAATCAAAATGTATTTTATCACAACCACTACTTAAAGGAAGAATCTGGGCAATCGGTTTTCCAATTCCCATATATTCACTATCTTGAACTTACCTGGAGGTTTCCTTTATTAGATCATATTTTCCATATTCCCCAGCTAAATTTATCTAGAAACAATCTCGCCTTCATTTCTTGTCTGTGAATACTATATCCTGTTGAAAAAAAGTTCCTAGAGGTTGGTGAAGTAGTTAGAGCTGTTAAAAAGTTGAGGACATCACAGGTGGAATTTTATATATGTTTGGTGTTCCAGGAGCAAACTTCCATGCTTCAATTTTTGACAATCTGAGACTTGACATATAAAAATTCAAACGTGTATGAAACTTCAGGAAAGTTAGCATCACTCTGTTTCTTCTTTCTCAAAGAAATGGGCATATGTAGGTAGTTATGGAAATGCTTTGGTAGTGATGACAGCTTGACCAGGAGTGTAAAAGGTACGATAACAGGATCACTTCTAAAAATTTCAACAAGATATCTCTAATATTTCCTGAAGTACCAGCATCCATCTGGAAAATGAAATGTCTTTCCACTTAAAGGCAAATAATATAATTTTTCCAGTTTTCTTTTTTGTAAGAGGAAAATGATAAAGGAATGTGCTTTCTGACTGTATCATATTTGACAGTACAGAGCACATAAACTGGGAGAAGCACAAATTGTGTAGGCAAATTTCACAGAAAATTAAAATCACTAAACACTGAAATAATCGGGCACCAGCTTCTGTATATGGACAAAAGCTTGAACAAAAAATATACTGACCCTTTCTTTGGTGCCAATGTTCAGCTAATCGATGTGATTACAGTGTGAAGGCTTGAGGTGCTGGGTGAATGGTTAATGTTGCTGTTCAACTTTTGCAGCCCTGCCTCAAATTGAGTCAGAGATTTTTTGCTCAAAATGAGTGGTTCTAATTTGGTAACTCCAATGGCTCCCTTTTCACAGTTACTTGCTGAGTGTACTGCTGCTGAAGGCTGTGTGTTCATTCTATGAACATGTCCAGAAGAATGTTTTTGTCAACAAACATATTGAGCATTGACTGAGTGCTAGATATTGTGTGGAGTGATAGAGAGAAAAGCCATAGAATTCCTGGGAATGCAGGCATTATGGTGCAGTAGAGGAAACAGACCAATATATACATACATGAAAAAAAGTCTCATAGATGTCCCAATAATGGCTTCCACAGGGTACAATGGCAATGCAGGAAGACAGTGGCCACGTGTATTCAGAAGAGTCAAGAAAGGCTTCATAGGCTGGGCGCAGTGGCTCACACCTGTAATCTCAGCACTTTGGGAGGCCAAGGCGGGTGGATCACTTGAGGTCAGGAGTTCGAGACCAGCCTGCCCAACATGGTGAAACCCCCGTCTTTACTGAAAATACAAAAATTTGCTGGGAGTGGTGGCAGGTGCCTGTAATCCCAGCTACTCGGAAGGCTGAGGCAGGACAATTGCTTGAACCCAGGAGGTGGCAGTTGCAGTGAGCCGAGATCATGCCACTGCATTCCAGCCTGGGTGACAGAGTGAGACTCCATCTCAAAAAACAAAACAAGGCCGGGTGCAGTGGCTCACGCCTGTAATCCCAGCACTTTGGGAGGCCGAGGCGGGCGGATCACGAGGTTAGGAGATCGATACCATCCTGGCCAACACGGTGAAACCCTGTCTCTACTAAAAATACAAAAAATTAGCAGGGCGTGGTGGCAGGCGCCTGTAGTCCCAGCTACTCGGGAGACTGAGGGAGAAGAATGGCGTGAACCCGGGAGGCGGAGCTTGCAGTGAGCCATGATCGCGCCACTGCACTCCAGCCTGTGCGACAGAGCGAGACTGTCTAAAAAACAAACAAACAAACAAAGAACAGCTTCATAGAGGACATTCAAGCCACTAGTTTTTAATGAGGATCATTTCAAGGCTGACAACTACCTGGCTTCAGGACTTGGTGGTGATAGTGACCTTGACTTCCTCTCTTGCCCCGTATATTCAGAAGGAACACTAGCAAAACTTCTCTAGGAACTGGATGACATTAAGAAGGAAGGCTGAACTCTCATGTGTACATATGGGAATTTGAGAGAGGCACTGCTTTCCTGGCATCTGGTTTGGCCACTAACATCACAATGATGCATCTTCCAATGAAAATCCTGCTGTTCTTATTTCTGTGTTCAAATTTCAGGCTGAATTTGACAGAATTTAATTCTTTTTAAAAAAACTTTTTAAAAAGTTTTTTAATTGATGTACCACTTAATCTTTTTAATAATCTTTTTTTCACTAATATAGAGTTAACTTATTTTTAAATGTTGTGTTTAGTGGGCCTCCTGTCTTTCATTATACACAGAAAAGCCTTGGAAAAAAATTAAAATACCAGATAATGTCCATTAGTGATGGTCATTGGAAAACACATTCTGTAGGCATGATGTTATATAAAATAAGTATGATCATGCCCTAGGTTGATGTGCAAAATATTTTTCTAGGCCAGAATTAACCAAAACTTCACACCCTTGAAGGAAGCTTTAAAATATTTCGATCAATTTCTACAAAAGAACCATTATTTTGTATGTCTTTGTTTTGCAAAAACACTCATCTGGTTTAAGATAGCAATTTGTATGCATTTGAGGCTGACAAACGGACATCACTAGTTCTATGAAAAGAGTGCATATGTAGTAAAATGCCAGACTAGACAGAAACAAGGAATAATCCTCTAGAAAAATAGACATAAGTCGACAGACTTCAAAAGAATTGAGAACACAATTGTTGCTAAATATTTCTTTATACATTTATAAATAAGTAGTAAATAATTTCATAAATGCACAAAGTTCCCATGTAATAAATATTGTATGCAATGCAAAATTCACAATCTTATATTTTACATAACAATCTTATAAAAAATAATATTTTGTGTGTGTGATACTTTCTTATTTCAATGTGAAAAAAACTTTCATGATTCTACAAATGTCTGGAAAATTCATGACAAGGCCTGTTGATATATTTGGTATGCTGACAAGAAGTCCTAAGATCACTATCAATTGAGACACTCCTACTGTCAAGTGGAAATGTAAAATTCATACCAATATTTATAGCTCTCTGGCAAAGCATTGGCTATTATGCCTCCTGGATATACCAAATTAAAATATCTGGATGGTGATGACGAATGAAAGTTAACTAAATTTAGGGAGGTCTGCAGTGTAAATCATGCTCCAACAAGCCTAAAAACCTGGTGGCAAAGATCATAAACATAATACCAGGAGATGTTTGACAGCCTCTTCCTGAAAGTAAGGTATAAGATACTATGGGGCTTGGGTGCTAAAATACAACAAACTTATTTCATAAAAATGGCAAAGATAAGAAGATTGCTGAAACTCAGAACCCGGGTGAGTGAACGCCTGTGTGCAGCTGCTATAAAACTGGATGATTCTAACAGTTGGACAAGGTTGTGGAGCTATAGTATTGTGCTTGAAGCCAGCGTAGAAACTACAAAGCTGTTCTTCGTAGAAGTACAGAAGAGACCAACAAAGGCACAGGAGTGAAATCTATCTAAAAACTTTTATGTAAAATCACTCTCTTAAACTAAAGTCTTGAACCATGCACAATTGAAATGTAAGACAGACATCACTATTCTGGTTGCTATAATCTTGGACCACGGGGCTTTTGTAAAACAAATGATTTCTAAGTGCTTAAGGTCAAAGTGGAAAAAAAAAGGCATTTTATCAAACTTATTCAAAGGGAGAAAGATCCTCCAAGGTGAATGTCATGCCCTTGGCTCATGTATCATTCGTAGGGAATTCTTTGGGGCCTTTCTAAGATTTCACTGTATGTTTACCTCATCTGTGTAATTTAAACCATTTTGAGCACCATCTGAAGACATTTGTGTCTTCAGCTAAAGTAAAGCAAAGGTTTGTTTTTTAAAAATTACTATATCATTAATTTAAAATATAAAGGGCTGAAAATAATGAACTAACATCTCTGAAATTTTATATAGAATAATAATGTGTTAGATAATTATAACATTTAATTACTTGAGAAGAGCGTGCTTTCAAAGTTGTATACTACTTAGGGGCATTATTGAATTCACAAAATTTTACTACATTAACTATAATGGCACTAAGTTCTTAATCATTATCATGAAAAATAAAAATGTGTTGATTGCATACTATTTCAATGGCACTGTGCTAGACACTGGGAATTCAAAAATAACATAAAGGCCCCTGACCTTAATCAATGATATGCTAACTGAGACTACCAAGCCCATGGCAGAAAAGAAAGGAAATATGTCAGATGAATTACAAGTGTCAGAAGTCCACTGAAAGGGATAATCATTATAGGCTGATTTCTGGAAAGCTTGTTGAAATTTAATCAACATTCAATATGGCTCATTTATTCATTCTATAAAGAGCTATTAAATGTTTATTGTGTGGCAGAAACTCTTGCTAGGAGCATAGCATGCTATGCCTCTTTTCTTTTGGAGTTTATAACCCCAAAGAGGAGGCTTTACCAAATAATCCATAACACAGTGTGTAAAAGAAATCTAAGACTATGAGACCATATAAATAGAGTGCTGACCTAGTTTGATGGCAAGGAAGGCTTCTTGGAGGAATTTGACTTGTTTTCTGTAGGATGAGTGGTGATTAAATGGACAGAATTGGGAAGAGGACTGATGCAGATAGGAGCATCAGCATATGCAAAGGCTTTGTCCTATTTGAAAATAGCAAAGGAGGCCAGAGTGGCCAGGAAACACAGAAAAGAAGGAGCACAATGCAAGATGGCACTGGGTCAGTACATACAAGGCCTTGTTGGACATATGCAACATGTTTATCTTTATTGTAAGAGCAATGGGTTTTTTTTTTTTTTTTGAAATAGAATCTCACTCTGTCACCCAGGTTGCAGTGCAGTGGCATGATCTCGACTCACTGCAACCTCTGCCTCCTGGGTTCAAGCAATTCTCCTGCCTCAGCCTCTTGAGTAGTTGGGACTACAGGCACATGCCACCATACCCAGCTAATTTCTGTGTTTTTAGTAGAGACAGGATTTCATCATGTTGGCCAGGCTGTCTTGAACACCTGACCTCAGGTGATCCACCTACCTTGGCCTCCCAAAGTGCTGGGATTACAGGTGTGAGCCACCATGCCCGTCCAAGAGATAATGTTCTTAGATTGGTGTTTACAAAACATTTGCTGCAGGGTGGAGAAAAGATGGTGGACATGTTAGAATGAAGGCAGGTAGACAAGTTAGAAGATGGTACTGGTAGTCTGGGGAAGAAATGATAATGTTTTGGGTTAGGGTAATGCCCTACAGGGATGAAGACAAGTGCACAGAAACTCTTGACAAATGACTAAGCTGGTGAAAGGAATCACTTCTATCTGCTGCAAATACATAGACACACTTAAAATATATAGCTGAGCTGGAAAGCAAAAGGGAAATTGACGCATGTCAAAAACAAAGCCATTGTTGCAAGTTGAAGATTCAGTCTATTGAGTTCTGAGAGTAGGTGAGTGCCTTAGGAATGATGTTTAATGCCTGTCTTGGTAGTGGAATTCATCCTGGTAGCAGCAGTTATTTCGATTTGCAGTTGTTCCAAAACTTGCATAACCAACCTCGTTGCATCCCTCAGAAACGCTAGTACCAACAGGCCAGCAGACTCTGCTCAAAGGTATTAATTCCAATTCTGCAGGGCCCTTCCTCCAAGTTTCTAAATGTTAGTAATTCTAATCTCATCCTTTTAGTCCCTTAACCCTAGTGGGGTAGCATCCTTCTGCAGTTCCTTCCATGCCTCAATGCCCTCTTTTTGCCCTGATTAACAGTTCTTTTTGTTGTTGTTGTTGTTTTTGTTTTGTTTTGTTTTGAAACGTAGTCTCGCTCTGTGGCCCAGGCTGGAGTGCAGTGGCACGATCTCGGCTTGCTGCAAGCTCCGCCTCCCGGGTTCAGGCCATTCTCCTGCCTCAGCCTCCCGACTAGCTGGGACTACAGGCGCCTGCAACCACATCCTGCTAATTTTTTGTATTTTTAGTAGAGACGGGGTTTCACCATGTTAGCCAGGACGGTCTCCATCTCCTGACCTCGTGATTCACTCGCCTCGGCCTCCCAAAGTGCTGGGATTACAGGCATGAACCACCGCGCCCGGCCAACAGTTCTTTAGGTTAATTTTTGTCTACTAACATAACTGGTGTGTCTGACTGGACCCTAACTGTTATACAGGGAATAGAGACAAGAATCAAAAGGCAATATTCAGGGAGACGATGGAGTTTTTTGAGAGTTGAAGAGCTATATGTCTTCAGATTGTAAAGATCACACCAAGTCTTAGGTAGGATGAATAAAAGCAAACCCAGGTTTAGGCTCAAGGTTATTCAGAAAACATCAAAGGCTATCAGAAGGAAAGATAGATTACCTTCAAAGAATGATGCTCTTACAGAAGACTTCTCATGATCAGCAGATGCCAGAGACAATGAAAGAGCATCTCTATAGTACTGCTGGAGGGTAACATCCTGATTTAAAAACTACATATTAGTTAATTTGGCTGAAATTGATAATGGATTGAATATAGGGTGTGAAGGACAAAGAAGTATCACAGAAGGCCAGAGTTGTAGTTTATGGATTAAGCTCATTATGCCATTAACTGGGATAGGGAATATTGGAGGAAGATCCTGTCTGAGGGAAAGAGACCAAAGTCTCACACATGTTGGGTTTTAGATGCCTTTGAGATCTCTAGGAACAGATGTGGAATAGGTAGTTATATATGAAGGTATGAGGTCATAGGAGAGGTCCAGGCTGTGGTTGTATATTTGAGTCTTTGGTCAGTGGATGGTAAATGAAGGTTTTCTTATGTATTAGTTATCAATTGCTGTATAAGAAATTAACCTGAAGCTTAGTGGCTTAAAACAACATTAAGTATTTATTATCCTCACAGTTTCTATGGGTTGGGTATTTGGAATGTGGCTTAGCCAGATAGTTCTGGCTTACGGTCTGTTCTGAGGTTTGAGCCAAGATGTGGACTGGGCCTGCAAGTCAGCAAGTTCCTCTAAAGGATTGACCAAGCCTGCAGTATCAGCTTCTAAGGTGGCTCCCACATGCCTGGCAAGTTGGTGCTGGCTGTTGGCAGGAGGCCTCAGCTTCTCTCCATGTGGGACTCGCCACAGTCTGCTTGAGTGTCTTTATGATATGGGGGTTGGCTTCTTCCAGAATTAGTGATCTAAAAAGAGCAAAGTGGAAGCCACAGTGCCCTTTATGACCTAGTTTAAGAAGTCACACACTGACACCTCTGCCATGTCCTATTTGTTGCAAGCAAGTCACGAATTCCAGCCTATATTCAAGGGGATGGGGGCTCCACCTTTTGAAGTTAGTTTTGTTGGAGGATTTGTGGACATATTTTAAACCCAGAATACCTGGGGAGATACTATAGCATGAGTAAAGAAAGAGAGGCTAGAGCAGGGGTGGGCAAACTTTTTCTGTAAAGGGCCAGATAGCAAATTTTTTAAGCATTGCAGGCCATATGGTCTCTGTCACAATAATTCACCTTTGCTGTTGTAGCATACTTAATGACAATACTTAAATGAATAGGTATGTCTCGGTTAAGCCCAAAGTAGGTCTGTGGGCTATAGTTTGTCAACCCTTGATATAGAGCATAGCCAGGAGAAACAGCTGTATACAAAGGCTAAAAACCAAACCAAAACAAAAAAGGCACAAAACAACAACAACAACAACAACAACAACAACAACGAAGTCCAGGTGCAGCAGGGAAGTTTAGGATCTAACAAAAAACATAATACTATAATTTAGGCTGGGCGCAGTGGCTCACACCTGTAATCCCAGAACTTGGGGAGGCCAAGGCGGGCGGGTCACCTGAGGTCAGGAGTTCAAGACCAGCCTGGCCAACATGATGAAACCCCGTCTCTACTAAAAATACAAAAATTAGCCACGCGTGGTGGCAGGGGCCTGTAATCCCAGCTACATGGGAGGCTGAGACAGGAGAATGGCTTGAGCCCAGGAGGTGGAGGTTGCAGTGAGCCAAGATTGTGCCACTGCACTCCAGCCTGGGGCAACAGAGTGAGACTCCGTCTCAAAAAAAACAAAAACAAAAACAAAAAAAAAAACTAGAATTTATATGAAACAGTTCTATTAGCTATTAATGTCTCTGTTTTATTCACCTTTTTTCTTTTACTAATTTATAATATTTTACATATTTGTTTCTGTTTTTTTAGTTGTGAAAACTGAGGCTCATGTTGTTTTAGAAACTTATCCAAGTTAGAAGTAGCAGGGAATTTAAAACCAAATCTGTCTGATTCAAAGTTTATGTTCTTTCCATTTCAAAAAGAAAAAACATCCCATCTAGTGTGGAGGAATAGGTGCAAGCATGGTCAGAAAGATAGTTTGGGCCATACTGAAGGGCATTGGATGCCACGGGCTTTGTACTTTGGTGATGGGTTTTGAGCAATAAGTTGTGAGTCACATGATTGCAATTTTATCCTATATTAAACTGACAATGGTGTATTTATGACCTTGTGGTAGGGAGTAACAAAGTGAGGGATATTGAGCAAGAGGCTGATTCAATAATCTAGACAGGAAATTGTTAGGATCTGAACTTGAAAGATGTTAATTACGTAGAAGTGATATTGCACAGAAAAGTCCAACTGAACACTGGAAATAGACTGTTGAAGGAAGAACCAAAAATGATCCTGAAAATGGCAGCTAGATTGATAAAGGAAGTCGTAAGGGGGTGCTGTTTTATGCAGAAATTATGAGTTCCTTTTTAGATATATTGAATTTGAGATGCCAGCATGACATCCAAATGGAGGTGTATTAGAGAAAAAACACATGAGAGTGGTTAGGGCTGGAGATGTGGTTTTATAAATGTACATGCTGGCAGAGTTCTTGGAGAGAAAGAGGAACCATGGATTATGAATACTGAGAAGCAGCCAACTTTAGAATGTTGATGGGAAAGGAGACAGAGGAGCAGTGCAAAAGATTAGACAAGAGTCAACGCCTTGTACAGTCTCAGCAAGAATCTCAAGAAGGCAGGGCCATGCGTGGTGGCTCATGCCTGTAATCCCAGCACTTTGGGAGGCCGAGATGGACAGATCACTTGAAGTCAGGAATTCGAGGCCAGCCCAACCAACATGGCAAAACCCTGTCTCTACTAAAAATACAGAAGTTAGCCGGGCATTGTGGTGCATGCCTGTAATCTCAGCTACTTGGGAGGCTGAGGCATGAGAATTGCTAGAACCCGGGAGGCAGAGGCTGCAGTGAGCCAAGAATGTGCCATTGCACTCCAGCCTGTGAGACAGAGTGAGGCCCTGTCTCAAAAAAAAAAAAAGAAAAGAAAAAGAAAAAAAGAAAAGACTCTCAAGAGGGCAGGCCAAGTGCTGTGGAGATGTCAGGGAGAGAGGTTAGAGAGCTAGAAACTACCGTTATGTTTGGCCATGGTGGCCATGGGAGATCATTTTTGGTTTCAGTTTCTACTAAGATGCTAAAGTAGCCCAAATGCTGGTTCCTACCTCCAAGGGCCTCCTGGAGAAGCTCGAGTAGCAGTTCTCAACCCAAGTGCATGTTACAATGTCCTGAGAAGTTTTAAAAAATGATGGCTGGCTTTCAACTGCACCCTCCATCTTTGAGTAATTTGTCAAAATGATGAAGATGAAGGGAAAGAGGAGAGGCACCTGTGGTATTTTCTCCAGCCTTTTAGAAAACATGGTGTTGTTCCTTTGGCCGCATAAGTGCCAATCTACAAGAAAGGTGATACTGTAGACATCAAGAGAATGGGCACTGTTCGAAAAGGAATGCTGCACAAGTGTTACCATGGCAAAGCTGGAAGAGTCTACTGTGTAACCCAGCATGCTGTTGGCATTGTTGTAAACAAACAAGATAAGAGAAAGATTCTTGCCAAGAGAATTAATGTACATATTGAGCATATTAAGCACTCTAAGAGCTGAGATAGCATCCTGAAATGGTAGGAGGAAAATGATCAGAAAAAGAAGGAAGCCGAAGAGAAAGGGATCTAGGTTCAACCGAAAAACCAGCCTGCTCTGCCCAGAGAAGCACATTTTCTGAGACCCAAAGAAAAGGAGCTCGAGCTGCTAGAATCTATTCCCCATGAATTCATGGCATGATAGGCATAAACTAAATAAATAAAGACCTTGGGATGGTTAAAAAAAAAAAGAAAGAAAGAAAGAAAAAAGAAAAAAAACGATGTCTCAGTCTCATCCTAAGAACTTCTAAATTAATTGGTCTAGGAGTGTGGCTTGGGCATTGAGATTTTAAAAAATCTCCCCAAGTAATTCTAATACACAGCCAAAATTGAGACTTATGGCCATAGAGGAAAAATACCAAATTATGGAGAAAATTGTGGGAAGTTCCTGGGGTAATAGTAGCTGTTTTGAAGTTGTGTGTGTGTGTGTGTGTGTGTGTGTGTGTGTGTGTGTACCTTAGGGGGAGACATATCTGAGACCAGGGGTGGTGCAGCACTTCTGTGGGAGGTTAACATAGGAAGGGAATTTAGGAATTTTGCTCTTACTTTTCCAAACATTGCTTTGGGACGAATAATACCCAACCTTCTACTTGCAATGACTCTGATGCTTCAAACATAAGAGCAGGGCAGCATAAAAGTCTTGATCCTGTGAGATACTGAGAAGAACAGGTGTAGATTCACTAAACTAGGATCGCTTTTCTACCTCCTTTTTTCCATCTCAAAATCTGCAGATCTGGGGATTTACAGCATTGGAATGTCTCTTTTTTTTTTTTTTTCGGAGTCTCCCTCTTTCGCCCAGGTTGGAGTGCAGTGGTGCAGTGTCAGCTCACTGCAACTTCCACCTCCCGGGTTCAAGCGATTCTCCTGGCTCAGCATCCTGAGTAGCTGGGATTACAGGCACGTGCCACCATACTCGGCTAATTTTTGTATTTTTAGTAGAGATGGGATTTCACCATGTTGGTCAGGCTGGTCTCAAACTCCTGACCTCATGACCTGCCCGCCTCGGCCTCCCCAAGTGCTGGGATTACAGGTGTGAGCCACTGCACCCGAACGGAATGTCTCTTAATATGGTATCCCAAGAAGGGCAAACAGTAAAATCTTGACGAGCTGTTCTGTGGAACGAGGAATGATTAACTTTGGTTTTCTGGGGCCTCCACCAGAAAACTTTCCACACTAAGTCTCATTCATCCCACCCCTACCCCCATACTAAATACTCTGATGAGGGCTGAAATCCGGCTTCTCCCCACGTACACTGCCTGATGCCCTCGTGGGGAGATGAGTTCACAGTCCAAACTAATAGGTCTTATCAGGAGCACAACTATTTCAAAGGAAAAACAAACACTGGATTACATAGTTCATCAGAAGCAGCATTGTTAGAAAGACAAACGATTTAAAATTAGCCTAATAAAAATTCTAAGACATAAGAAACTAGTAGTAATATGAAATAAGAATAAAAAATATACTCAAGCAGCTATATTAGGTAAAAAACATGATAGCTGAAATAAAACTGTAATGAGATAAATGGCAGAATGAATACAACTGAAAAATAAATTAGAATTGGAAGAAAGGATTGAGGAAAGAATGAAGGAAAGTACAAACAAATTACAAATTTTTTTTAAAAAGCTATACAAAGGAAAGAAATAATGGTTATAAGTTCTGGCTAATAAGAGTCCAATAAAAGAAGTAATAATGAAAAGAAAACATGGAAGGAATACATTTCCCACAATTTAAAATACAAGGAAGAAAGACTTCAAATTGAAAGAGCCCTTAGAATAACAGATAAAGAAAACCTACAAGGAAACATATTTCAATTGAATAGTTTTGAAGAAAAAGAGAGTTCTAAAAAAGCAGATTACATACAGAGGAACAGGATCAGATTGATATGATAGTTTTTGAAAAACAATTTAAGAAATAGTGGTTTTTATTTTTGTTTTTTGTTTTTTTGTTTTCGTTTTTGTTTTTTGCCGGGCATGGTGATGCATGCCTGTAGTCCTAGCTACTGAGAAGGTTGAGGTGGGTGGATCACTTGAACCCGGAGAGGTCCAAGCCACAGTGAGCCACTGGCCATAATAGTGCCCCTGCCCTTCAGCCGGGGTGATAGAGTGAGACCCTGTCTCAATTTAAAAAAAATAGTGGTAGTAAAAATATTTAAGAAAAATAATTTAGAACTTGGAATTTTGTATCTACCCAAACTGTCATTTAAATATGAGGGCTAGATAAGAATATTCTCTCATACATAAGACCTCAGAAGGATCCCCACTCAAAGAGCATTATCAAAAAGAGTTTTAGATAAAGCACTTAAGGAAGTGAAGAGACAAATTCAGGAGAAGCTGCAATAAATATATGAAGTAAAAGTGATTTAATACTTTGGTAGCTTTTTATCACTGCTATTGTCTTTAAAGCATTACTAAGAAGAAAATAAAATTGTATATCCATAATAATCTTAAAAAGTATGAAAATATGAAGTAAAAGTGATTTAATACTTTGGTGGCTTTTTGTTATCACTGCTATTGTCTTTAAAGCATTACTAAGATAGAAGAAAATAAAATAGTGTATCCATAATAATCTTAAAATATGAAAATCTGGATAATGTCAACATAATGAGAGTTGAAGGGAAATGAAGTATATGAAAATGTCATATAAACACCCAAATACAAAAACAATCCAGAGAATGGATTAAGAAGACACATAGAAAATATGGGAAATAAATTAAGTGGGCTGGGCATGGTGGCTCATGCCTGTAGCTCCAGCACGTTGGGAAGCTGGGGTGGGCGGATCATTTGAGCTCAAGAGTTTGAGACCAGCCTGAGCAACATGGTGAAACCTGTCTCTACAAAAATTACAAAAATTAGCCAGGCCTGGTGGTACGTGCCTGTAGTCCCAGCTACTCCAGAGGCTGAAGTGGGAGAATCGCTTGAGCATGGGAGGTCAAGGCTGCAGTGAGCTGTGATCACGCCATTGTACTCCAGCCTAGGTGATAGAACAAGAACCTGTCTCAAAAATAAGCAGACAAACAAACAAATAAGTGGTAGACAGATGTTCAAAAAATTTAAAATTTTAATAAATAGAAATGGACAAAAATGTAAATATTGACAGATCAGGGAAAAAATATTTAAATTAGATAAAAATAAATAGACATTAAAATTTTTCAAAAGAGCATTTTTAGGGATACGAATAGTGAAAATTAATAAAAATGACCTCAAAATACATAAAGCAAAGTTGAAAGAGGCACCCCAATCTTTATGCTGGGATGATATCAGAGGAAGGTGAGTAGGGAGCCTAGGTCTTTATTTCTGTTGACAGTAATGAAGCCTGCTTCCCTGGTGGTGCCAGTAGAGACCATGTAGGGAGGCTGAATTTCCACCTCAACCTGGCAGTAATGATCTGCCCATCCCTTCTCTACTAGGGTGATATTAAGGAGGCCTAGTAGAGAGTTAGGTCTTCACCACCACCCATTAGTAATGAGGGCCCCACCATGGTGTCAGTGGAAGACAC
Source organism: Homo sapiens (assembly GCF_000001405.40). NCBI lineage: Eukaryota > Metazoa > Chordata > Mammalia > Primates > Hominidae > Homo > Homo sapiens. The sequence continues at coordinate 55,639,668 of NC_000018.10, forward strand.
CAGAGAATCTTTAGTGAGGCACCCCTACTCCTCCCTTCCAGGCAGATATCAGTGGAGGCCTCATGGGTAGCTGAACCTCCCACCCTTCCCTAACAGTAATAAGGAGCCCTTACCCCTCAGGTATCAATGGACATTTAAGAGAAACCTAGATGTCTACCCCCACCTGGCAGTAATAACACACCCTCCCCACACACACACACATATTTGCTTGAGTGGTATGAGAAGAAGTTGGCAAAAAAAGAGGCTTAATGCAATCCAGAGTCTCATAAAGTAAAATTGAAAATGACCAGGTTTCCAATTTTAAAATTGCTCATCAGATCAAGAACTGGGCAGATCTAATACTATATATATATATATTTTGAGACGGAGTCTCACTTCGTCACCAGGCTGGAGCACAGCGGCGCGATCTCGGCTCACTGCAACCTCTGCTTTCCAGGTTCAAGCAATTCTCCTGCCTCAGCCTCCCGAGTAGCTGGGATTACAGGCGCGTGCCACCACGCGCCTCTATTTTTAGTAGAGACGGGGTTTCACCATGCTGGTCAGGCTGGTCTCGATCTCGTGACCTTGTGATCCATCCGCCTCGGCCTCCCAAAGTGTTGGGATTACAGGCATGAGCCACCGCACCCGGCCTATATATCCGCACCTGGCCTATATATATGTTTTTTAATTAAAGGACAATTGGCCAGGCACGGTGGCTCACGTCTGTGATCCCAGCCCTTTGGGAGGCTGATATGGGCAGATCCTGTGAAGTCACAAGTTCAAGACCAGCCTGGTCAACATGGTGAAACCCTGCCTCTAATAAAAACATAAAAAATTAGCCGAGCATGGTGGCATGTGCCTGAAATCACAGCTACTTGGGAGGCTGAGGGAGGAGAATCACTTGAACCCAGGAGGCGGAGGTTGCAGTGAGCCGAGATTGTGCCACTGCACTCCAGCCTGGATGACAGAGCATGACTCTATTCCCCCCAACACCTCCCCACCAACAAAAAAAAAAAAAGAAAGAAAAGGACAATCAACTGATGTAAACATCAAAATAACAAAGATCTTTGAATTATCTAACAAAATTCTAAAGTAGCCATCTAAGAGTTTTAGAATGCTTCAGTGAGAAACTATAAGCTCACTTGAAACTAATAAAATAATAGCCTCGACAAATAAATAGAAGATTGTAAAGATGAACCAAATGAAAATTCTAGAGTTGCAAAATATAATAGCTAAAATAAAAACTTAATGGATGGACTCAACACTAGAGTGGAGGAACAGAGAGGAATGAATCAGTGTACTGGGAGATGAAACAATCGTAATTATCCAATCAGAATAACACAGAGAAAATAGTCTGGAAGAAAAGAAAGAACAGAGGTGAACAAAGATGCAGCGATCCATGTAATTATAACAAAAGATCTAAGTGCATTTCATCAGAGTCTTGGAAAGAGAAGAAATAGAATAGGGCTAAAAGGAACTTACAGAAATGATGACTGAAAACTTACAAACTTGGCAAAAGACATACACCTATGGATTTAAGAAGCTGAGCAAAGCCCAAACAAGATAACCACCCCCACCCCTAAAAAATGCACACCAAGAAACATTGTATTAGTTCGTTTTCACACTGCTGATAAAGACACACCCGAGACTGAGCAATTTATAAAGAAAAAGAGGCTTAATGGACTCACAGTTCCACGTGGCTGGGGAGGCCTCACAATCATGGTGGATGGTGAAAGGCGTGTCTCATATGGTGGCAGACAAGAGAGAATGAGAGCCAAGCAAAAGGGAAAACCCTTAAAAAACATCAGATCTCATGAGACTTATTCACTAACAGGAGAACAGTATGGGGGAAACCGCCTCCTCCCACCGAGTCCCTCCCACAACATGTGGGAATTATGTGAGCTACAATTCAAGATGAGATTTGGGTGGGGACACAGCCAAACCATATGATGCATTATAGTAAAACTTCTAAAACTAGACAAAGAAAAAATCTCCAAAGCAGCAATAAAGAAATGACAACTTAACTACAGGAGAAAACAGTTGGAATGACAGTCGATTTCTCATTAGAAACCACAGAAGCCAGAAGGAAGTAGCACAACATATTTCAAATGTCGAAAGAAAACAGCTGTTAACCCTGAATACAATATTCAGTGAAAATATCCTCTAGGAATGAAGGGGAAATCAGATGAGGGAAAATGAAGAGATTTACCCTAAAAGAATGACTAAAAGAAGTTCTACAGACTGAACGAAAATAATAAACCTTGGAACATAGTAGGGGAGAAAAAACACAGTAAGCAAAAATATGGGGTAAATACAAGAGACATTCCTTTTCTTGAGTTTTCTAAATTATGTTTGATAGCTGAGGCAAAAATTGTAACAATGTCTGGTGTGGTTCTGCATGTATGTAGAGAAAGTATTTAAGACAATCATGTTGTAAGTAGGGAGAGTAAAAGGACTTAACCTGGTGAAGTAACAACAGTAGAATGTGATGTTATAATGATATATAATGAAATGCCTAGAGTAACCACTAAAAAAGCTGTACAAAGAGCTATACTCAAAAACACTATAAATAAATCAAACGAAAAATTTTAAATGTCCCTGTAAGCCATAGAAAGGAAAAGAAAACAGAGAAATGAAAAACGGAAAGGACAAACAGAAAATAAAAAATATAAAATGGCAGATTTAAGCCCTAACATATCAATTACACTAAATGTGAATGGTCAAAACATATCAATTACAAGTCATAGATTTGCCTAGAATGAATGATAAAATTGATCCAACAATGAGCTCTCTGCATGAAACTCACTTTAAGTGTAATGATATAGATGGTTTGAAAGTAAAATAATGTAAAGTAATATATCATACAAATATTAATCAGAAGAAGTAGGAGTTGGCTATGTTAATATCAGATAAAATAGACACATGCAATTAAAATGAACAGGAATAAAAAGGTAAATCCACCAAGAAGACACAGCAATCTTAAATGTGCATGCTTCAAACAACAGAGCTGAAAAATTTGTGAGGCTGAAAAATATGTGAAGCAAAAACTGAAAGGAGAAATAGACAAATCCAACAAAAATTATAGTTGGAAACTTCAATACCTTTCTCTCAACAATTGATAGGACTAGATAAATATCAATTGCATAGAATAACTCAACAACAGCATCAACCAACAGGATCTAATTAATATTTACAGAACCCTCCACTCAAAAAAAGCAGAATACCTACTCTTTTCAAAAGCCCACAAAATACATACCAGTGTGAGCCACATCCTGGGCCATAAAACAAACCTCATCAAATTTAACATAACTGTTCTTTGACCACAGTGGAACCAAACTAGAAAACAGTGACAGAAGATAACAGGAAAATCTCCAAATACTGGTAAATGAAATTACAGATTTCTAAATAACTCACGACTTAACGAATAAGTCTTAAGAGAAATTTAAAAAATACATTGGACTGAATGGAAACAAAGTGACAACATATCAAAATTTGCGAGGCACAGCTAAAGCAGTGCTGATATGGAAATTTATAGTGCTAAATACATATATTAGAAAAAAAGTCTAAAATTGGTAATCTAAGTTCCCACCTCAATAGCTTAGAAAAAGAAGATTAAAATAAATTCAAAACAATAATAAGAAATAAAATAATAAATATAAGAACAGAAATCAATGAAATGGAAAACAAAAAATGATAGAGACAATCAATGAAACAAAGGGTTGGTTTTTTGAAAACAATAATAAAATTGACAAACCTATAGCATGAATGACAAAGAAAAAAGAGAGAGAGAACGCAAATTACTATTATCAGAAATTAAAGAGGGAATATCACTACAGACACTGCAGGCATCAAAAGGAGATAATAAGCGATATTATGAGCAACTCTATATACACAAATTTAACAATTTAGATAAAATTCTTCAAAAAATGCACCTGCCATTAAGTTCCCCAATAAAAGACAGATAATATGAATAGCCCTATAACTATTGAGAAAATTGAATTTGTAATTAAAGGACTTCCTCACAAAGAAATCTCCAGGCCCAGATGGTTTTATTGGAGAATTCTACCAAATGTTTCAGGAAGAATTAACAAGAATTGTATACAAACTTTTACAAAAAAATAGAAGAGGAAGAGACACTTTCCAATTCATTTTATGAAGCTAGTATTATCCTGATACTCAAATAAGATAAAGACAGTTTGAACAAAACAAAAAAAAAATTACAGAACAATAACCCCTAGGAATAAAGTTGCAAAATCATTAAGATAATAGAAAATAGAATTCAGCAATATACAAAAATATTTATGTATCATGATCAAATGAAGTTTATTCTAAGGATGCAAGGCAGTTTTAAAATTCGAAATGAGACAAGGATGCCCACATCACTACTTCTATTCAATATTTTATATGGAGGTCCTAGTCTGTGAAATAAAGCAAGAAAAATAAGATAACTTAAGAATTCGAACAAATAAAGTAAAGCTTTAATTGTTTGTGTAAAATGATTGCTAACATAGAAAATCTCAATTTACAAATTATTGGAAATAAATGGAGAGTTTAGCAAGATTAACATACAAACAGTTTTAGTTCTATAAACGCACAGCAAGCAACTAGAAAATTAAAGACAAGATATCACATGCAGTGTTGTCAGAGAGAATCACATCTCTAGAAAGAAATCTAACAAAACATGAGCAACATTTGTACAGGAATTATAAATTCTCATTGGCAGATATTGACAGAAACCTACACAAATGAAGAGATGTATCATGTTTATCAATAGGAAGAGTATTATTGCAAAGATGGTGTACTCTCTACATTGATTCAATGCAATTCCAATAAAGTTCTAAGATGGATTTTTATGAAAAGTAATAAAATCTTTCTAAAATTTATATGAAAGAATGAAAAGCCAAAAGTAGCCATGGCACTCTTGAAGAACAAGCAGAGAGAGGGGAATATGTCCTGCTAGGTGTTAAGGATTATTAGGAAATAATAGGAGATAAGACAGGATTGGTCCCAGCAATAGTGTACCTAAGTTAACAGGTACAAGAGTAGATGCCCAGAGGACACCTAACAATGGGACTTTGGAACTTGATAGAAATGGCAAATGAGATAAGCAGAGAAAGGCAAGGATGCCTAATAAATGAACCTTGAAAGATTGTTATTCATTTGCAAAAAGGTACTTTATACAAAAATAGCTTCAAATGAATTAAAAACTTAAATTTAAAAATTATAAAATTGGAAACCTTAAGAGAAAAAAATAGGTGAATATCTTTTATACCTTGAGATGAAAGATTAATTAACCCATTTTGTGTTTCCCCCGAGAAATGAGCGCTGGCAACAGGCTGCACTTTTTTTTTTTCTCTAAATGGGAAATGGGTTAGACAACACAGAAAACTGATTATAAAATATAAATAACTTTCTGTAAATTAGAGATAAGAATTTTGTTCACTAAATATACTTTAGTGATAATGAACAAAGTTCAAATTGGGTGAAGATATTTGCAATACACACAACAAATAAGGATTTAATTTGAGGAATATGTAACTAAGAGCTACAAATCAATAATACATTTCAAAGAATTGGTAGTAAAATGGGCAAAAGACATGAACAGACATTTTACTGAAAACACTCATGTTCACTAAATATATAGAAAGAACTTCAACATCATTAGTGATCAGGGAAATGCAAATATCAACATCTTACTTAGATAACATTTTGTATCACTTTCATTGGCAAAGATAAGTGTGGCAATATCAACTATTGGAGAGGATATAGAATCCTCTATTTACCATTGAAGGGAGTGCAAATCATTTTAACCACTTTAGAAAATAGGTTTGGTGGCCGCACATGGTGGCTCACGCCTTCAATCCCAGCACTTTGGGAGGCCAAGGCAGGCTGATCACGAGGTCAAGAGCTCCAGATCATCCTGGCCAACATGGTGAAACCCTCCCTCCCCTAAAAATACAAAAAATTAGCTGGGCATGGTGGCATGCCTGTAGTCTCAGCTACTCAGGAGGCTGAGGCAGGAGGATCGCTTGAACCCAGGAGGTGGAGGTTGCAGTGAGCCGAAATTGCGCCACTGCACTCCAACCTGGTGACAGAGCAAGACTCTGTCATCTCAAAAAAAAAAAAAAAAGAAAAGAAAAAAGAAAACAGATTTGGTGTTATTCCTTAAAGTTGGACATTTACATTCTTCACTCCTGCGTATTTATGGGACCATATTCAAGAACAACTTTTGCACATGCACAAAGATACATAGTGCACTCTTCAAACAGCAAAAATAGAAAACAGTCCAATTGTCCATTAACAGGAGAGTGGTTGAATGCACTGTGTTATATTTACAGAATGAAATATATTTTAGTTTATATAAATGAATTATAGTGACATGCAACCATATGGATGAATGTTAGCAATATAGTAAATGAGAAAGCTTACAAAGTATACTGTAAAAATGACTAAAAGTAAAATATGCTTTTAAGGAATGTATTTTGTTTTGAATTTTGTACTGTGTGTATGTATTATCTATTTTAAAAAGTGAAAAGTGAAGAGATGCTGCTCCAATAATTACCATAAAAGACTTTGTAAGAGCAGTATTTTGTTCTTTGGATCTCGAACACTGATATAGTGGATTATGTTTGTAAAGGTAAAGGAGCCTGCAAGGAAGAAAGGATTGAATATATATATATATAGCAACAATAACTGATGATGGGCAAGTTCAAGTATGTGAAAGGAATAGATATAATCAAGACTGAAGGGACCAAAGTGTTGGCCAGCTGCAAGAACAGAAATGGTGTTTCTTCCAAGTTTCTGGAAAATCCATAAGCATAAGTTTAATATTTTTGATTCTATGCTTTATTTTTTTAAAATTTATTTTCTTGAGTCTTTTTGGTAATTACTAGAATAATATTTCTGTAATGATTTGAAATACTTATTAATTAGGTTAGAATTCATTGTGTGTGTGCTTTGAAACATTTCAGAAATGAAATGATTTTAATATTTAATATTTAAATTTAGTATTTTTAGTGTGAATACTAATACTGAAAAACATGTATGTTTTGATTTTTTTGGGCTTTGTTGTAGTTTTCTCTAATAACCTACCATAAAGAAGATGATGAGTTTAATTGTTTTCTTTTGATATTTTTGCTGTTGTCATTTCCTGCTTAGTTATGTTTTGATAGATTCTCTAACTCTTATCTTTACTGAAGCATTTAAAATGTGGTGTCACTTTTACTAAGGAGTTATGCCTACAGGCACATATATATAGAATAAGTTAATTGCACACTCAAAAATAATGTAAATTATTTTACCACATATTGTTCATGGGCCATATGTGTTAAAATGCTGAGAGTAAAAATTGTGGTCATGCTGGAAGTGGAAAATAATCTGCCTATTCCATTCAATGTTGCTCCAGATATTAGAGTATGGAGTTTCGTTGAGTTCAAGTTGCCTACCAAAAAGATGAAGTAAGTGGGAGGAGCACAGGAGCTTTAGGTTAACCTGTACTCCCCAAAGCACAGCCTAAAGCTGCCTAGATCCTCCGTCCCATGGCCATTCCTCGTGTGCGACATATCCCTGGATAAGTCTTGCCAGAGAAGGTATATCTGAACAAACTTGCAAGTAGAAAAATTTCATCTTCTTAACTTTTTGGCACCTAGGATCTACCTCCTAAAGAAACATCCTCTGAAGAAAGAAAAAAAATCTCTTAAATCTAGGAATATGTAAATTTCAATAAGTTTAAATCATTTTCCCTCTTCCATGTGTCTGTGCATTTTGATACCTGCTATTGTGGAATGAAAAACTTACCTCCCAGATAAAGTTATTCCAAGCAGCAGACAGCCGCAGCAGGTGGGAGAAATTTGGCAGGAAGAGGAGTTGGGGCGTAGGAGCTTGTATTGTATCCCATAAGCTGATACCACATGCATTATGTCATGGGTGTCTGGACTCTCACTTGTTTGGGCTCCAGACGCCTACATCTGGGATAGAACTTTTTTCTTTTGGAGGAAGAGAGGGGCAAAAAGTGATATATTTAGTCCCTCCTCGGCTTTCAGAATGAAATCTAATTAGCCAAAATAGGAATTCTATAAGCAGCTTAAACCCAAATGGGAAAGCCACGCAGAGTGGAAAGCTAGATCAGATGAGTACAAAAGATTAAAGAGACATAGTGATGTCCTGTGGGATAAAAATGGCAAAACCAGAAGATTTTACACTTAAGCTGAAAGATGAAATAAGAATAAGAAAAGGATAAAGGCAAATATCCTTTAAGCAGATTCACATCAAGCAAAACACTCAATCAGGAGGTTGGCAATGAAAGTTACGAAGAACAGTAGAATGTTTTCATCTACTGGATACATTTGAATATACAGACTCTGATGTTTCAGGGTAGAAAAGAACTTCACTGAAGGAATACCAGCATCACTATCTTTCTGAGCATTCTTTGCTTAGAGAATTGATACTGTAAAAATTAATGGAAGACCAACATAATAGTAACATTTAAAAAGATATTGTTATGTAAATAGCAATTTGCATAAAAATGTAACACTAAATTTAAACTTTTACTAATACTGCCATATTTCACATTTCCCCTAAAGGCTTTCAATGGAGGAGAAATAGCGCTCTCTCTCTCTCTCTCTCTCTCTCTCTATATATATATACACATGTATATAAAATAGCTATATATTTTATAAAATAATAAAATAGCTATATATATAATTTAATAATATACTGATATATGAGTAGAAGAATGAGTACCACCATGTTGAGTATCTTATTTATAGAAATCTCTCTTCTCTGATTTGTGTGTGTGTGTGCACACATGCAAATACATGTTTATATCTTTCACTGTTTCATATATTAAACATATTACACACACACACATAAATCTTTGGGAAGAGAATGAATATAGCAAGGCAAATCATTAGTAAGAAAAACATTGATCTGGAATCTTAAATTCAGCTAAGAAAAATCAAAAAACAAAAACCATTAGCCATAAGATTCTGCCACTCAGCTCAAAGATTTATGATGTGCTTCAAGAAGAAGAAGGAGGCCACTAAGCACCTTCAAAAGGTGATAGAAGTAAAATTGAACTGTAGTGGGTTTTGAGCTACAGACCAAGCAGATCTTTAACAATGCCTATGCATAGGGTATAAGAATTGCACCTGCTAGGTCACATGGGTCATCCATGCACCTGGAACTACCACCACCTCTGATGGATGGACACTAGCACTCTCTTTGAAAAATGCACACATACATGCCATTTTCCTTTTTTCTTCTCCTTATGGCCTATCCTGAATATTGGGATTCCCACTCACTGTTCTCCTGCCCCACCTTTACAAGCCCTCCTGCTCCCCCACTTTCTGCTGAGAGCCAGTGGGGAGGGGAGATCTCATAAGAGACATGCACATTGTGATCAGAGAGAAGTATCAGCACCCAGCAGCACTCCTCACTCTAATCCCCTCCCTCCAACTGCTGCCGCTGTCCTTGTCCGGAGCTGGTCTCACAGGTGCCATCACTGCTTCCTCTCTGCACCTGGTGCACACTTGTAGAGTCGAGTCATGAGTTTGGTTGCTCTTCTGAGATGTAGGAGAATCTCACACCAGTCTTTCTTGCTCAGCATTACTACCGTGTGTATGCACAGTCTTTCTATCTCTCAGGGATCTCAGTAAAAAGAAATGAGGCAGGAAGGACAATGACTTGAGAGCTATTCTCTCCCTTTGAATCAGCCAGGGCTCAGTGCATGGGACAGAAACTAACCCACCACAGGGCTACAGCTCCTCAGGCCACCACTAGAGCTAGGCTGGAAGCAAGAAGCCACCTCTTCATCTTCAATGGCCCCTCATATCTGGGAAGCTGGAGAGTGGCCCCCAAATCAGTGACATAGAAATTAGAAACCACTACTGATGGTTTCCTTGCTCAATTTTTGTATTTCCCCACCTTCTTTGGTTGTGCGACTTTAAGCACCTTCCTGTGGGGTGAGTATACTTCCCTACCCAAATGGCATCAGGCTTGGCCATATGATTTATTTTAGCCATTGAAATATGAGTGTAAATGGCAATACAGGTTGAGCAACCCTAATCTGAAAATCCAAAATCCAAAATGTTTCAAAATCCCAAACTTTTTGAGTGCTGATATGACATCACAAGTGGAAAATTCCATACCTGACACCTTTGCCTTATGGCGATTCAATGTACACAAACTTTAGTTCATGCAGAAAATTATTTAAAATATTTTATAAAATTAAACTCAGGCTATCAGTTTAAATGTATATGAAACATAAATAAATTTCATGTTTAGATTTGGATCCCATTTCCAAGATATCTGATTACATATATTAAAATATTCTAAAATCCAATAACATTCAAAATCTGAAACACACCTGGTCTCAAGAATTTCAGATAAGGGATACTCAACCATGATGCCACACCCACACAGAAGTTTTAAGAGCATTACTTGCTTTAGCTCTTTGTCTTCATCCTCTGCCATGCCAGTTGCATGTCTAATAGTGGCTGTGTTTTAACCACGTCCTGAAATGTAGGCAGGTAGGAAGGAACTGCAGTTCTGTACCCAGCCTACTCCTGACATGTGATGTGAACTAGAAATTAACCTTTACGTTTGTAAGCCACTAAATATTTGGTATTGTTTATTACTGAGGTTGCTTTTGGTACCTTGAGAGTGGGTCCTGGATGAAGTGAGATTTTTTTTTAAACTTTGGGGGAAATAATAGAAATTTAGAAAACTATTCTTTCAAAACATACTGTATTGTAAAAAGGGGAGAAATAAACACAGCTTTTAACAAGAATATTTTTTAATGATGATTTTCAAAGATTTTTGGTAGCAAAATCTTTTACTCAAATAGAGACACTTGAGGACGAAAGGCATGTTCCTTCATGAAGAGGGTGGCCTATTCTGCTGTCAATCATCCTTTAAAGAGTGAGATTCTACAACAGGAAGTAAACGTTTGGAAGAACGATGATCAGAGCACTCCTTCTCTCTTGGCCTAGACTCTACAGAGTCCAGGCATACTCAAGAATATTTCCAGTCTCATGAGTCATGCCAGCAGCCAGGCTGAGAGGCAACTTGCAGCCTGGAGATCCTATAAGGATGACCTGGGGGCTATGGGTTCTGAGAGTGATCAAAAAGAATAGTTAGTTCTCACTCACTTTCTGTGTGCTGTTCTCCTTTCTTTTCCTGAAATCTTTAGCTAAGTCTTGTGAGCCTCATCTCACTGGTGCGGTCGAAGAAAATTAAGGGTAACAAAGGAAATGGAAGTTCTAAAAACGATCTGAGATGGGTGGAACGAGGTCTTGGGGAGGGATTTAGGTTGGCTGTGTGTTTCCAGGCATGTGGAGGCACAGGCTGCATCTTGGACAGACGAAAGAACACAGAAGATACCAACCACCTCTCATTCCGGGAAATTCTCTTTGACATACTGGAAAGAATAAGGAAACTTGAAAGTGGATGGAGGGCTGCCTGTTGGGCAGGAGGGGTACTGTGTTGTTGAAATGTAGATGAGCAGATATTTTGATAAGTTCTTCCATTTGTATCTCCAAGTTGATGAAGGTTGAGGATATAGCAGAATGAATTATTGGCCCTAGTACTTCACCCATGCCTCTATGTTTTGTCATATAAACATAAATGTCCTTCCCACAAAAGGTATAGTGTATTTATGCACCACTTGAATTTGGGCTTGGTCCTGTGACCTGCTTTGGCCCATGAGATGGTAATGCCAGTGACACAACAGGGGGTTGGAATGTGCTTGGACAGCCGGGCTTGCCCTTTTGAATTTTTGTTGTCCCATGAGAGGAACATGCCTGGGCTGGCCTGTTGGTCTGAGGAGGAGGATGAGAGAGGTGTGGAGCAGGGCTACCCCACTTACTGACTGAACAACAGAAAATAAATACTTGTTGATACCACTCAGATGTTGAGGTTGATTATTATGTAGCAATAGTTGACTAATACTGACAGATACTTGAATTATAATTCAAAAGTTCAGCAGTTGCTTTAGGGATGAAGAATGGGATAAAGACAGAAAACTGTTCTTTTTCTCAATAGACTGAAAGGGAGATGTCTCTGCGGGGAGTAATAGGTGGTTCAAGAGGAGAGGGATGAAGGCAGCCCACTCCCTGTGATAACCTTGAAGAAGAGAAAGGCAGAAGTTTTCCCAGATTTTATACATCTTGGAGACTAGCGCCTTCATGGATGAAGTGTCATCCCTGTAATTTTCCACGGATGAGTCAAGTCGAAGTGAACAAAACTGCAGATTTGAAGAGAAAAGGAAAGAAAAAAGGCTGACAGGAGGAGAACCACAATCCTAACGATTTCACTGCTATAGCCTTAAGACTGGAGAGGAAAGGTTTCTGGGCAAATAGAAACCTGGGGGAGGTACCTCAAAATACCCCCATCCCCCAAATCCTTATATTTCTTTTCATCTGATAACCCATCCAATTGCAAAAATCATTTGCTACCTTGCTGAATTTTTGCTCATTAACTATTATGTATTCTCTTAGAGGCAGATTGGGCATTCATATGAACCACACTGGGCAAATGGCATCAGGGGTCAGGGGTGGTTGGGGTAAGGGAGAAGCAGTGCTTTTCTATGGTGTGGCCCTCTTGTTTTTTTTTTGTTTTGTTTTGTTTTGTTTTTTCCTGGAGTGCAGTGGTAAGATCGCAGCTCACTACAACCTCTGCTCACTGCTGGGTTCAAGTGATCCTCCTACCTCAGACTCCCCAGTAGCTGGGACTACAGGCGGGCACTACGACGCCTGGCTAATTGTTTCTCCTTTTTGTACAGACAGGGGCTTGCCATGTTGCCCAGGCTGGTCTCAAACTCCTGGGTTCAAGCAATCCTCCCACCTTGGCCTCCCAAAGTGCTGGGATTACAGGCATAAGCCACTGCGTCCGGCCATGGTGAGTCCCTCTTTGATTCTCTTATTGTTAGAGAAAAAAATGCTTGTTAAACCCACAACTGAGGGATTCGTGTGAAGATCACAACAGACGAGTGATGGAGACCTCCCTTCTGCTCCCCTCTAAAGCCAAAGCATCGAAGTGAACAAAAGGGGTGATATGAAGCAAGTGAAACTCAAAGATGAGTTCCAAGAACAGAAATAATTTGATATTTTCTATAGACAAGGCATCACTGTTTTGAAAGCTGATGCCATTGTTGCAGAAAAATAAATTAGCACCTGCTTTATTTCTCCAAATGAATTAATCCCAACTAAGATCACATACAAAAGTGTTGAATGCACTATTAGGCACTGAAAATTTCACATTCAGAAAATATATATTTAGAGGGTTTTTGTAATAGATTTATTTCAAAGTATGATTTTGAATAAAATAAATTATTTTATTTGTTGTATGATATTCCAAATTGCTTGAGTAAGAAAAGGAAAAGAGAAATCTGAGATAATGAGATTTTTTTCTTAAAAAAGGCAGATGTGCCAGAGTTTGTACATTAAAATGTATAATCTGGGGGTATTTTCCAAAGTAATCTCTTAGGGAGGTTACACACTTATTTAGGTCAAACAACTTGACTCAAAATACTAAATACTCTTCCCATGTAGAAATGCTTTCAGGGCTTGCGGCTCATCATTATGAATATCCTTAATGATGGCATATGTTTAATTTTAAGGATGAATTTCATTTCTGAAAGTAGCTATCAGTTATTTTGAGTCAAGTTTTTGGGTGACCCAAAATAAAAGTTTTAGGCTGAGTTCCCGCATACGTTTAACATATTGTCTCAGATGCGTCTGTGGAATGAGTGACTACTCCCAGGGAGACTGACTTCATATGTTGATATATTGGATAAAATGAAATGAGTCTCACTGTGTAGTCACACTTTGTATCTGAATCAAAGGAGATCAATGATCATTTATGCAGCTTTTCACTTCTGGGCTTTCATTTTTCTTCTTTGAGTTCAATATGATACATCATTGCCCATCCTATCTTCAAGAAGAAAGCTAGTGATTAGGATGCAAGGTAAAAGGAGAATGAGTTGCTCATCTCTTGGTTGGTAGGAAAGGGAAGAAGCTGGCACTATGTGGACTAGGGGACTGGGAGAACTGACCTGGGAGTAGGCTTGACCCTGAATTATCTAGAATAGAGCCCAATTCTCATTTTCCAAAGGGACAGTAAATTAAGGCTTGGGTTCAGCAAGAATTGGTTTCCAAGGATAGTTTCAATGTGTTGGTGGGGTCAGGCAGTGGGGGGAAGACCACAGCAGAAAATCCACAGGAGAGCAGGGAGAAGTATAGGAAGGAGGATTCACCCCCCACAATTAGACATTAGACTGACCTGCAGAGGAAACACGCATATTGATTGGGTGGGGAAGCCAACATGGAAGCGCCAAGGAGAATGGAACAATATGGCTGGAGGAGGAAGAAGGTTTGCCTTAAGGCCCAGATTTCATCTGGGTCCATTTAATCCTGGGTCTTTGGCAGCTGAAGAACTTTCAGATTCGACCATCAGACATTTTTTTGAGCTCTCTTTATACACTAAACACTGTTCTCATCACTGAGGATACAAAAATGAGTGAGCCCCTAGACTAAAAATCTATTTCAAAGGGAAACAGTTAAGTATTTACTAACTGGACCATATTGCAATTCAGTGTTTTATTAAAGGGCAGAGCAGAGTAGAGGAGTCTCTCTCAGGCTGGGCATGCAGTTGAGGGTGAGGGAAGAAATCCCCAAAGCTATGACAGCTAACCAAAGTCCTGAAATACTGAAGAGGAGTTATCCAGGAAAAGAAGTGGAGGAGAGGTGTTTTAGAGAGCACGTGCCAAAAATGGAAGGTGTGAGAACGTGGTGTATTCTCGGAATTCAATGCAAATAGTTTAGTATAACTTGGGGGTGGAATGAAGTGGGGAATGATGCTGATGAACATCTTAACGAGTGCCCGCCAAGGGGTTTCGAAGTTTTCAGCAGGCAGGTCTCAGCAGCCAGGGATCAGGCTCCCAATTTACTTCTCTGCCTGAGATTGGCTCAGCTTGATGGAACTGAACCTGTGGGCACAGGGTGTAAGTGACTTCACCTGGGAGAGGCTGGCTAGGCCTGAGGATGGTATTTGGTTTTATCTTAGTAACTACTGAGAATAGTATAGACCAAGTTATGTTTCTCTATGAAGATTTCCATTTAAACAAAATAAGTGAGTTGTCTTGATTTAGTGTTTTGGCTATTTACTGTTTCAACACATTAACTTTTAACTGAATGTCTGCCAAGTTTATGTGTGATGGCTTCATCTACTTGAGAGATTTGTAAAATTAAGAGAATATTTGAAACTTAGATGCTATTTGACGATATTTCAAAATTTCTCTGAAGATTTGGTACCAGTTCCAGTGCTTTCCAACATGAGGTTTATTAAAAAAAACTTTAAATTTTGCCATGTGGTGTTTATTTGAGCTTTTTAATGTACAGACAGTTGGACTAGAGTTCATGAAATATTCCAAGTTCATTTTGTGATTGGTTGCCCCTTTATGGAATTTTAGCAATATAAGCAGGAGAAGCCAGTTAAGTTTGAAGGAGACTTGCCAAGGTCATTTCCAAGTTTATGTGCTCTGGGGTTGGGAATTGAGACTGGATATTTTATTGAGGAAATGCCTTTTCTCTATGACTGCATGGCTATTGTTCTGTATATTAGGAGGGCTTATGTGTTCTGATAATGTTTTAATAACAAATGATTCTGAATATTTCTAAAAGATTGTTTTTCCAAATAAACCTTAAAAATTATTTACTAACTTGTTACTTTGCCAGCTTTTCAATTTTCTGTCATTAAAGAAATAAATGCAGACAACAGTAGCAAATTGCAGCAGCATAAAACCCCTTTGTAATACTACTTTCTACAAAGTTGAATGGAGAATAAAATAGAATGGGATATACTAGATAGAGCAAGTAAATAGTAAGTATATTGAACATATTGAAACTTGCTTGGAAAATTAAAGAGTGATTCTCAAATGATAGTATTTTAGTCTGCAAATTTTCTGAATAGTAAAAATCAAAACAAAACTACAACACTAAAAGCATTCACAGCTAACATATAACTCAGAAACAGTTCCACAGATTTTTTTAAGCCTTTTTTGGTGACACCCCACCAAAGGAATAAGGTCCCCATTCTTCCTGTTCTAGAATTTTCTCAGAGTAGAGGAGAGTGGCAGATCTTTTCTTCCTGCTGATCCCTCATGACCTCGGAATCACTAATACGAAGAGGGTGGAGGATTCTAGGGGACTTCCTCAGACAAACTGACATAATGAGAGCAGTTTAAGTTATAATCAGGGTATCACTTAAAAATGTAAATAGCATGCAGAAAGCTCCCTCCATCATTTTATATATTTTGTGAGAATGTCTCCTTTAATTTCGAGGCCAAAAATGCTAATTTTAACACAAGTCATCAATGCTTTTATTTGG
Organism: Homo sapiens; assembly: GCF_000001405.40. Classification (NCBI taxonomy): domain Eukaryota; kingdom Metazoa; phylum Chordata; class Mammalia; order Primates; family Hominidae; genus Homo; species Homo sapiens. The sequence goes on from NC_000018.10 coordinate 55,656,033, forward strand.
ACTGGCAATAGGATATTGTTCTGACCAGTAGAAGAAGGCAAAGACAGTGTGGGGGTCGTCAGTTTTCAGTAAGCAGCCTTTCACTTGTTCTCTCTAGTTTTATCAAAATTCTTCAGCCATGGTGGAAGGTCAACCACATGTTCCCAACTCCAGAATCTTTGGGGATTCTGGGTTAATGGGAAAGAAGTAGTTTCCCACACAGTGGTGTTTATGGTGGAGAAGGGTTGAGGGGATCTGGGAGTTCGGTGTTCCTTTGAACACCTAGAACTGCTTGTGTTTTCAGCAACTCCAATCCTCAGTTTTTCTATGGCTCAGGGGGGCTAATTGGCTTACTTCTTGTTTATTTCCCCTTCTACAGGTGCCTAGTTTTTAACTTTCTCCTCTCTGCAAAGTCATTTGATACTTATCCTTGTTTTCAAGCCTCCAACATATTACTGACATCTCTTGGGCTACTGTCAGCTCCCTTCTTGGTTCATGATTGCTATGACTGCATTTCTGTTATTTTAAAAAAATCCTTTATTATCATTTTAATGGAGTATTGGAGGGAGCTGAAAGAAATGTGTTCAATCTCTTATGTTTAACTAGAAATCTCTAAAGCATTTTCTTTAAGAGACGGGGTCTCACTCTGTCACCCAGGCTGGAGTGCAGTGGTATGATCATAACCGCCAGCCTCAAACTCCTGGGCTCAAGTGATTTTTCCACCTCAGCCTCCCAAGTAGCTGGGACTATAGATGTATGCCACCGCTTCTGGCTACTTTTAGTATGTATGTATGTATGTATGTATTTTGCAGAGACAAGGTCTTGCTATGTTGCCCAGGCTGGTCTCAAACTCCTGGGTTCAAGCAATTCTCTCACCTTGGCCTCCCAAAGGGCTGGGATTATAGGTGTAAGTCACGGAGCCTGGTCTCTAAAGCATTTTTTTTAAATTTCAAGGTGACATGATGGTCATTCTCTTTCTCTTTTCACATCAGATTGCTGCAAGGGAGCTGGTTTGTACAGGAATGTGTTTTTCATCGATGTAGGATGCAATTGCTTGGGTATGTCCAGCAGAAAGTTGGAGTAGGGTATTTAAATGATGTTCTGAGAACCCTCTTGGGAAAGATGTCATCCAAAGGGCATAACAAGCTGAGCAAAGTTGGCCCAGAAACAAAGACTTAGATGTCGGAGGAAAGGGGGCTTCTGAATAGAGCAAGAATCTATCTTTTAAATTTATTTTCTGGCCCAGCCATTTATAGACTGTTATGTGATTCTTATTGGGAGAATAATAACTAGAAGCTTAAATGGAAAGCATTAAACTCTGAGAAATATTTGGATACCAGGAGTACTCCTTTAGAGCCCCCATTAACCCAGTTCAGTAAGGAGACCAACATACACCCTCAACTTGGCCACTAGATTAGTGACATGTGCTTAGTGGTCTGGAATTCTGGGCTGTAAATTTTGGGGAAACAGACCATGTATCCCTTGTTTCCTGTTGTGTCCCCAGAATCTAACACAGTGCCAGAGAATCAATAAATATTGGTTGAGTGACTGCTGGAACTGGTAGCCCACAAGTTCTTGTCATCATAAGAAGTAGACTTCATGGCAGAAGCAGGAGAAGCACCCAGAAGTGCTGACTAGGAAGGGAATCAGCTGGGCCACTGGAGGTGGAAGGGATGTGCTTTTGCACAGCTTCCTATCAAGCGTTTGCAGGAAACCTCATGGAGTATGGTCAGAGAAAGAGAGAAAGGAACTGAGAAACCATCAATCGCAGTGGGCAGATCTTGTTTGCAAAAGGCCTCCTGGGATCTCCTAGAAATAGTCAAGTGATATTTATCATGAAGTTTCAGTTTATGCAAAAGCAGGAGGGAATTGGAGCCATTGAAATACAGGTTATTAACTTGAATGTAACATAAACCACCACTGATGTAGCTGGGAAAGACATGAGTTGCCCAGTAGTTTGAATTATAATCAGGATCCAGGTTGTGGTAGCTAGACTTCAAGATGGCTCTGATAATCCTTGCCTCCTGGTATTCATGCCCTTGGGTAGCCTTACAACCCAATTTGAATGGGGCTAACTTGTGTAACCACTAGGATATTGCGGAATCAGGGTCTGTGACTTCTAAGTCTAGGTCACACAAGGGAATGTGGCTTCTACTTTGCTCCCTCTTTTGGGTCAATTGCTATAGGAGAAGGCAGCTGCCATGTTGTGAAGCAAGCAGCCCTACAGAGAGGCTCCCTTAGCAAAGACCTGAGACCACCTGCCAACAGCCAGAGAGGAACTGAGGCCTCCTGCTAACGGAGGACCCAGTTGACATCCTGACTGCATCCTCATACGAGACGGTGAGCCAGAATCACCCAGCTAGGCCACTCCCAAATTCCTGACCCACAAAAACAATGAGAGAACACATGTTTATTGCTTTAAGTGCCTAAGTTTTAGATCAATTTTTAATACAGGCAGAGGTAAATAATATACAGGGAAATATGTATCTATGAAGGTGACCAGGTCCCATGTGATGTAAATTCAACAGATAATGCAAGATTTTAATATTGGCTAAAAATAGCAATGATGAGAATCTATAAAATATAGACTCTGTGCCTTTACTATATATAGCAGAGATTCTTGACTCTGCTTTTGGGACACCCCAGTGTATCTCAAAGGCTGAATTTTAATTTGCTCAGATATGTGAAATAAATGACTGCCTTGTGATTTTGGATGCGGCAGCTGCAAAGAAAACCATGAGTAAAGCAAATAACTTCACAACATGGCAAATATTAGCATTCTTTACTAGTGCAGTATGAATATACAGGACACCAAGATGTTGTCCTTTTGTAAACAATTACCAAGGTGTATGTGTGTGTGTTCAATACACATCTACTCATCTACACGATATATTTAAAAAATTGTTATGGTTTTATACAGCTCACAAAGCACCATCACTCATTTGATTCTTAAAAATCTTTCCCATCAATCTGTGAATTAACCTAGGGAGAGCATTATTATCACCCATATATAAATAGCAGAAAACAGGCTCTGCCAGCAGCCTCAGCAATCCCACCTGGGGGGCTTAGATTTTGGACAACCCTCATTAATGGGACTTAGTCTGATCATACAGTCTGATCATAACTGTTAGAGGCTGCCCTGACCCCATATCTCTCTTGTGTCCAATTAGACATTGTACACAGGGTCTTGGGTACTATCTACTCCTTATATACTCTCTTTGCACTTCATTGACAGCCTGTTGACATTCCTTTTCATCTCATCATGTTCACTCTATCCTTCCTCCTGAAGTTTAATCTGTTTCCCTCCCCAGGACCATAGCCTCCCTCATTTCCCCTTTCCCTTACCTTCATATATACCTTCTCAATCTCCAAGACACTTAATTTCTCTCTGTCCAGTGGTTTTCTTCTCCATAGCCTTAAACATAGAGGCTCTTTGTTGGACCACCTCTGAAATCTGTTCATTTGCACTCTCGTTGAGCATCCACCCTCTTTATGCTATCCTGTGAAGGACTGAGTGGGCTGACATAACACAATGACAATTCTCATTGTCAAGGAAAGAACACCCTGGAGGGAGAAAAGATGTGTAATAACTAAGGCTGGGTGTAATAAGTGATAAATGTGATGGGGTGGTCCAGGCAAGATGGTGAAGGAGGATTTGAGCATTTCCAGATGAGGAGATTAAGAAATGTCCCATGGAGGCTGGGCATGGTGGCTCACACCTGTAATCCTAGCACTTTAGGAGGCTGAGAGGGGCAGATCACTTGAGGTCAGGAGTTTGAGACCAACCTGGCCAACAGGGTGACACCCTGTCTCTAATAAAAATACAAAAATTAGCTGGACATGGTGGCGCATGCCTGTAATTCCAGCTACTCAGGAGGCTGAGGCACAAGAATCACTTGAGCCTGGGAGGTGGAGGTTGCAGTGAGCTAAGATCATGCCAGTGCACTCCAGCCTGGGTGACAGAGTGAGACTCTGTTCAAGAAAAAAAAAAAAAAAAAAAAGCACCATGGAGATGGTAACATCCACATCCGAACTGGGCTTTGAAGAATGAGAAGGATTTTGTTAGATGAGAATGATGGTGTTGTGGGATGGTGCTGAGATGGATGAGAACGGCAAGGAAAAAAGCAAGTGTAAGCCAAGAGCTTGGAAAGGCTGCTGCACAGCTGTGAAGAGCCTCGGGACCAGACTTCAGTTCGGGGCGCATGGGATTTAGAAGAACAAGACCTAGGTTTGAATTTGATTCAGCCACTAAATGGCTGTGTGAGCTTCATTTCATCTGTAAAGTTAGCTGTGAAGGCAAGATGAGAATCAGGTGGGTGAAAGTATCAGGGAAGTATTGGCAGAAGGAAAACATTCAACCAATGTTAGTAAAATGCAGAAGAAAATTAGTTTGGAAAGACAGGCTGAGGTCATCTTATGGAAAGCCTTGCATGTTAGGCTGAGGAATCTTAGACAGTGGGAAACTGTTGATAACCAAAATGAGAATTGGTGAGGATTTCAATGGCATGCAAGATGGTTTGTGGGAGTAGACTTTGGAGCCAGGACTATTACTAAGGTGATTGTAACAAGTTACCTGTGAAATTATAAATACCTGAACTATTCTGGTGAAGGTGGGAAAGGAAAGAAGGGACACATGCCCAAAGGAACTATAATAGAAAAGTCAGGAACACTTGGCAAGAGCCAGGATTCTTCCTACATTTGCTTTTGCACTTAGGCTGAGGCTGAGAAGTACAAGTCAGGTTAAATTCTTGTAATAATGGCTAAAACAGCAACAAACACTCGTTAAGCAACTGCTATGCGTCGGACACAGTTCTAAGCACCATCAGTGCACCATCTCACGGAATCCCTCACAATGGCCCCGGAGGTGGGTACTAGTGTGGCTACCAGTTTACAAATGAGGATACTGAGGCTTGCAGAAGTTAAAGATGTTGCCAAAGTCGCATCCCTACACAACAGCACAGTCAGGATTAAAATCCAGATCTGCTTGACTTTAAAGCCCATGCTCTTAACCATTACACTACCTCCAAGTGCAAAACCAGGGTAACTGCATGAGTACGTATGCTTGCATTTACCCAATCCTGACCTTGTGCTCTGTGCTCTATAAATTGTTGGAAGTTTAGGGACTAAAGATTACCCTTCCTATACTTCCAGAGTTCAGGATGATAAGGGATACACAGAAGAGTGACCATTCCTAGGCAGACAAAAATATTGACATTTTAATGGGATGCAAGTGCCAAGCAATGCTCACAATACAGTGTCTGGTAAACAGAGGTCTCCTCTATTCTGTGCGAAATCTAAGCTTTCAGATATGCATGGAGGTTTGCCTTTAGGAAGAAATGGCTTGGTCAAGAAGGCTCAGTCCATTGACTCAGGCCTACAGTTTATCCATCCAGGAGGAGCAAGAGGAGTGACCACCTGGCCACTGCTCCTTCAGCGTTGGTGAGATCCCGCTGAAGTGGGGTTAGGAGGACAAGCTTTGCTTTTTCATGCTGATCGGACAGGCAGGGAAAAAAACAGAGGGAGGAGACCTTTCCTGTTTTTGAAGCACATTCAGGACCTCTGCAGGTGAGTTTGGCTAGATATATTTCTGATAGAAATCAAGGAATGTTTGTTTTGGGGGTCCACCACTGGGCACAGGGAGCAAGGTACAGATTAAAAGTCTTTATCCAGGATTTGTATTATGTGCAACACACTGAGAACCCTACCTCCTTCTAGGACTCAGGACCCACTCACACTTACATCAGAGAGCCAGCCTCCTCCCTCAGGAAGAAACAAACACTAGAGGCTTTGTCACCCCTCACCCCCATGTTCTGTGGACTCTTCTTCCTAGAAGGTTGACAAGAATTCTTCTAACACATATATTGCATAGTGTCTATTACTTCAACAGTTCTGCCCGGAAGGTATTTTTATAATCATCTCCATGACTTCATGGAGAAACTGAAGCTCAGAGAATTTAAGTGATTTGCCCAAGACACAGAGAAAGCATGTGGTAGAGCTGGAGTTCCAGCCCAGGTCGATATAGTTTCTAAGCTCACACTGTTTCCCCCACCCCTCTGTGCCTTCCATTAACAGCCGCCATGCAGGGAGCTGGACACTATGCTGAATGCTTTGTCTGTATTAACTCCAAACTTCACAACAACCTATATATATATATATTTGCATTTTATATATATATATATATAGTATAATTATACTATAAAATGGTAGTACCTTCCATGTTATACTCTCTCTCTATATATATACATATACACAAAATGGGAATGATAGTACCATATTATACTATCATTCCCATTTTCTAGATGATGAAAACTGTTCATTGAGGATAAGTACCTTACTCAAGGATGGGCAGCTACAGAAGGATACAGCCAGAGTTGGAAAGTAAGTCTGTTAACCCCAGGCCTGTGGATTTTCCACTTACTCATGTTTTGACTGACCTTCCATGACCACTATAATAATGTTTTAGACATATGTATAACATGCCTGATTTTTTTTTATTTTTTATTTTTTTTAGATCAGCACTTGCTTCATTGCCCAGGCTGGAGTGCAGTGGCGCGATCTTGGCTCACTACGACCTCTGCCGCCTGGGTTCAAGCGATTCTTGTGCCTCAGCCTCCCAAGTAGCTGGGATTACAGGCATGCCATCATGCCTGGCTAATTTTTGTATTTTTAGTAGAGACAGGGTTTCACCATGTTGGCCAGGCTAGTCTTGAACTCCTGACCTCAAGAGATCCACTCACCTCAGCCTCCCAAAGTGCTGGGATTACAGGCGTTAGCCACCATGCCCGGCCTTGTTTGTATTTTGTGGGTTTTTTTGTTTGTTTGTTTTGTTTGTTTTGAGGTAGGGTCTCGCTCTGTCACCCAGGGTGAAGTACAGTGGCATGAACATGGCTCACTGCAGACTTGACCTCCCCTGGGATGATTTGTATATCTCCATATAGATTATCTATCTATCTATATCCCACTTTTAAATAATGTTAATGTTTATTCTGTGACTTTTTGGTGGTGATTCATGCAAAATATAGACTAATTCTCTTTTTGTGCAAACTGTTTAGAAAAGATTGCAGCCTTCTACATTAATTTTATAAGCTCTATTGCCATAGAATCATTATATGGGTAGGAGCCTTGAAATGACTATTGCTATGTCCCCCTAACCCTGTGTACAATGCACTCAAACTAGTTCACAAAATTGCCTTTTCTGGGCAGAGACAGCTAAAAACACTGCGATGAGGACACATTATTTATACATTAAAACCTGTTAGTTGAGAGCCAACTACTTTAATATAGTTTAGTGGTTCAGCAAAATTTCACAAAGCATAGAGTTAAATAACCAAAACGATTTTCATAAATAAATGAAAACCTCTGTATACACTTAGTACTCAGTTTTAACAACGAATGTATGTGCTGACCTGATGATGGAGTCCCCACGATGAGGCATACTTAGGTAAGTTCTACCAGAGCTTCCTTACACTCATTTGTCTTTATGCCTCACATTTTTATGGCATCACAGCCTTGTTCTAACCATAACTTTTTGATTCTTGAAACATTTCCTTTGAGCAAGTGGGAATTACCATTTACAACAGCTTAACTGAAAATTAAATTAACTTTATATGAGGTAAAGTAACTTCTGCAAGATTGTGTAGAATAAACATAAGAAATCAGAGGTTTCTTGACACGTAGGGAGATAAAAATTTGTTCCTGGTATATTTTATTTTATATGGTATTTATGCTAAAAAGCCTGCATAACCTGAAGAAAGTACATGGCATAAAAGGGGAAAAAATAGTCATTATCAAGTGACATATCCCAAAAGAAATCTGCTAGATGATATAATTTCTTGTGATACCAGAAATGTTCCAGAAGACAATTCATTCATTGAAGCTGTTGTCTTTGTAAAATTATGATTATGGAGAAATAAATCTGTTGCCTCCCCACCACTCAAAAAAAAAAATTCTTAGAAGTGAGGACTCTCTCTGTCTTTTCTGACCACTTACCCATATTCATTTGCCAGCAGCAAAGACCAAAGTGAGGAGGTCAGAAGGTCAAAGGTGACAAACTGGTTTCATAAAGATAAGCGCTCGGATACAATGAAGTGACCAGTGACACCACATACATTCCATAGGGCAAAGTACAGTAAAGAGTCTTGGGACACATGAGCACCCCCAGCCAGGCCTCTGCTTTCACAACTTTTCCTTCTGAAAGGTGGGACTCTTTTTCTTCCCGTCACGGTTAAGGATCTTTATCTCACATTAGGGACAGAGCATTTGGCACATTTTAAAATTAGACTGAAACTTTCAGTATGTCAGTGATCCCATCCTGGACTAGAAATCTGGAGCCTCCGTCAGCTCAATGGCAGCTTTTCAGGCAGAAGAAAGAGAACCTCATAACACTGCGTAGGTTACAGGTGAGCCCAAGGCCAAGCACCAATTGGCTTAAGGTCTATTACTGACTTCACTGTCACTGAGCAGCTCTGTGCCCTTGGGATGCCACTTTGAAGCAGGAGAATAGGGTCTGGAGGCAGGGAACCTAAGGCCGATTCACGCTGACTTCCTAGAACTAAACCAAAAAGAAAACCCCAACTTTCCAAGCCCACGTAACAAAAGGACCAGAGGCTACTTCCTTTGAAACCTCCCCCTTTTCTGTGAGGCAGATGAAAAATTGAAAGTACCTCTGTTTGGTCCCCTCCTGCTCCTGTAACCAATTGAGAGGTGACAGCATGCTGGCAGCCCTCAGAGCCCTTGCTCGCTCTCATGCCTCCTCGGCGTCCGTGCCAATTCTGGCGGCGCTTGAGAAGCCCTTCAGCCCGCCGCGGCACTGTGGGAGCCCCTTCCTGGGATGGCCGAGGCGGGAGCCGGCTCCCTCAGCCTGCGGGGAGGTGTGGAGGGAGAGGCACCGGCGGGAACCGGGGCTGCGGGGGCGCGCTTGCGGGCCAGCTAGAGTTCCGGGTGGGCGTGGACTTGGCGGGCCCTGCATTCGGAGCCGCCGGCTGGCCCGCCGGCCCCTGGCAGTGAGGGGCTTAGTACCCGGGCCAGCAGCTCCGGAGGGTGCGCCGGGTCCCCCAGCAGTGCTGACCCACCGGCGCTGGGCTCGATATCTCGCCAGGCCTTAGCTGCCTCCCCGCGGGGCAGGGCTCGGTACCTGCAGCCCGCCATGCCTGACCAATCACCTGTCTGTAAAACAGACCAATCGGCTCTCTGTAAAATGGACCAATCAGCAGGATGTAGGTGGGGCCAGATACGAGAGAAAAAGCAGGCTGCCCGAGCCAGCAGTGGTAACCCTCTGGGGTCCCCTTCTACGCTGTGGAAGCTTTGTTCTTTCACTCTTTGCAATAAATCTTGCTGCTGCTCGCTCTTTGGGGCCACACTGCCTTTATGAGCTGTAACACTCACCGGGAGGGTCTGCAGCTTCACTCCTGAAGCCAGCGAGACCACCAACCCACCAGAAGGAAGAAACTCCGAACACGTCTGAACATCAGAAGGAAAAGACTCCGGACACGCCGCCTTTGAGAACTGTAACACTCACCGCGAGGGGCCACGGCTTCATTCTTGAAGTAAGTGAGACCAAGAACCCACCAATTCTGGACACACAGTCAGGCTGGTTGTGGGCCAAGTCTTCATTTGCATAGGAGTATAACTTTGTAACTTCTCTTCAGCCTCTAATTGGTCACTTTCCACAACCAATCAGATGATTGCATAGGGTGTAACTTTGTAACTTCGTTTTGGCCTCTGATTGGCCCCCTCCCACAACTAATCAGACTGACAACAGGCCACTACTTCATTTACATAGGGTGTACACCAAATAACCAATGGGAAACCTCTAGAGGGTATTTAAGTCCCAGAAAATTCTGTAACCGTGCTCTGGAGGCACTTGCTCAGCCTGCTCCCACCTAGTGGAATGTACTTTTGTTTTCAATAAATCTCTGCCTTTTTTTTTTTTTTTTTTGCGACGGAGTCTCGCTCTTCCACCTAGGCTGGACTGCAGTGGCGCTATCTTGGCTCACTGTAAGCTCTGCCTCCCAGGTTCACGCCATTCTCCTGCCTCAGCCTCTCTAGTAGCTGGGACTACAGGCGCCCGCCACCACGCCACGCCCGGCTAATTGTTTGTATTTTTAGTAGAGACGGGGTTTCACCATGTTAGCCAGGATGGTCTCGATCTCCTGACCTCGTGATCCACCCGCCTTGGCCTCCCAAAGTGCTGGGATTACAGACGTCATCCACTGTGTCCGGCCTAAATCTCTGCTTTTGATGCTTTATTCTTTCCTTGCTTTGTGCCTTTTGTCCAATTCTTTGTTCAAGACTCCAAGAACCTGGACACTCTCCACAGGTAACAGCTTTGTCTGCCTGCTCTTCATTTTCCACATGCATATAGACTAAGTGATTTCTAAGATCTTTTAATCTCAACAAGTTTGTAATTCTGGCTGTAAACCCCGGAGTGGGGAATGACGTAAGGAAATATGGGTAACGATAATGTTAATGTAAAACACTATCAAGGCATCTGAATGTAGGAGACAAATGACTTGTAGAATAATATGAGGAGTTTTTCTTTTTGCCAAGAACAAGTAACAGGGACCAGACTTACCATCCCATATGCAATAACTTGAAAACTAGACAAAATACGCTGGGCATGGTGGCTTATGCCTGTAATCCCGGCACTTTGGGAGGCCGAAGGGGAGCGGATCATTTGAGGTCAGGAGTTTGAGACCAGCCTGGCCAACATGGTGAAACCCCATCTCTACTGAAAATACAAAAATTAGGTGGGCATGGTGGTGCACCCTTGTAATTCCAGCTACTCGGGAGGCTGAGACAGGAGAATCACTTGAACCCAGCAGGTGGAGGTTGTAGTGAGCTGAGATTGTGCCACTGCACTCCAGCCTGGGCAACAGAGCAAGATTCCATCTCAAAAAAAAAAAAAACAAAACAAGACAAAATATGGAAAACAGTAATTTTGAAAACATTAAAATCAGGCAACAGACCATGCTGAGTGTGTGGAACAAATGAGGTGAGGTGATTGCCTCAGTGTATTGCCTTGATATTGTCTGCAGGGCATGCTGCAGGCTGCAGGAGCCGGGGCAGAGCCTGATTGTCTCCCTGAACTTGGTGGATGGAGTTAAAAATCCAGGGAGGCCGATGTGACTGGGCTGAACACAGGACAGGGGAGAAAGAAGGGAGAGAGATTTAAAAATTTGCAGAGGGTCTTTCTTGAATCTTCAGCTGAGTATTGATCAGTTTGTGCAGGTGAAGAAACATCTGAGGCTGAGGAAACAACTACCGGATAAGAGTAAAGGGAACAATCTTCAGAGCTCACGTGGGGCTTGGTCTAGCATCTATCCCCCCAAATCAGAGCGGACAACCTCATAATTCATAGGGTGTTGGGTCAGTAACTGGACAAAATAATCCCTAGACTAAATGCTGCTCTCATCCCACCTGACTAAGCTCTAAAGGAAGACCCAAAGTATTCAGATTTTTAAGTAACTTAATTATATCTCAAAACAAAGCCCCCTCCCAATTTTTATAGAAATATAAAAATACCCAGCACCCAACATGATTAAATTTGTAATGAGTGGCATCTAAGAAAAATTACTAGGCATTCAACAAAACACACATACACACACACCCCAAAACAAAAAGTAGGTTGGTACTTTTTGTATTTTTTTAATTGAATTGTTAACTACCAACAAATAATTTTTGTATTAGGAACTGAGTATAATTTCCAGAATGGGATCACATATTTTGATTAATTAGTTTTCTCAATATTTCAAAGGTAATGCAGTAAAGGAAGGATAATCTTTTCAAAAAATAGTGCCAGAACAATTGGATATCCATATGCAAAACAATTAACTTCATTCCATTTCTCACGGTGTAAACAAAAATTAACTCGAAGTCGTCTTGATCACCTGGCCTCAAGTGATCCTCCCATCTTGATGTCCCAGAATGCTGGGATTACAGGATCATAGAGTCAAACTTAAAGTTAAACATACCATCAAATTTAAAGCTATGAAACTTCTAGAAGAAAACATAGAAATTGTTTTGATCTTGGACTAGGCAAAAGCATTGTCCATTAAAAAGAAAAGATAAATTAGGCTTCATCAAAATTCAGAACTTCTGCTGTTCAAAAGACACCATTAGAGAATGAAAAGACGAGCCAAAAACTGGAAGAAAATATTTATAAATTTTGTGTCTGATAAAGGCTTTGTATCCAGAATATATAATGAACTCTCAACTGTTATTGGTAATTAATAATGCAGTAAAAAACTGGCAAAAGATTTGAACAGAAATTTTTCACCAAGGAATATATATAATGGCAATTATACACTCCACTATACAAGTAGAGTGGCTAAAATTAAAAAGTCTGACCAAACAAGTGTTGATGAGGATGTGGAGCAAATGGGACTCTCATGTACTGCTGGTGGGAAGGTAAAATTGTGCAACCACTTTGGAAAACAGTTTGGAAGTTTCTTAAAAAGTTAAACATACATCCACCATATGATCCAGGCATTCTACTCCTAGATATTTACCCAAGAAAGATTACAGACTTGTAAATGAAGGTTCGTAACAGCTTTATTTGTTAACCCAAAGCTAGAAACAATCCAAATATTCAAACTAATTGTGATATATACATATGAGTATAATTGAAATCTTATCAGCAATAAGAAGAAATGAACCATTAATATGTGCTACAACATGAATGAATCTTAAAATAACTAAACGATTATTCCTGTTTTTCTCTTCTTGGATCCTGTTTTGTGTCAGGCATTGTGATGTAAATTCTATCATAAATTTTGTTGTAGAAATATGAATGGTAAATGTAATGATGCCCTTAAGATGTTTATAGCCATTGTTGAAGACAGACAAATAAATGATCCATTATAAAGGAGATAAAATATTTAAAAGCCTTTAATGATTTGACTTAAGAGCAGTTTTTAAATGCCTCGATAAATGGGTTTAATTGATATTTGTGTCCTAGGAAACTGAGTCCATAGCAGGTGATCCAGAAATATTTGTTGATTGGCAATGGATGAATGGATAAAGAAATTGTGGTGTATATACACAATGAAATATGAGTAAACTTTAAAAAAGAAATTCTGTTATTTGTAAGACTGTGGATGAACCTGGAGATCATTATGCTAAGTGAAGTAAGCCAGATACAGAAAGCCAAATGCCACTCAATCTCATTTACATGTGGAATCTAAAAGTCAAACTCATAGAAGTAGAGTGTAGCAAGGTGGTTACCAGAGGCTGATGGGAGAGAATGGGGAATGGGGAGATGTTGTGCAAAGGGTACCAAGTTTCAGTTGGGCAGGAGGAATAAATTTTAGAGACTGATTGCATATCATGGTGACTATAGTTAATAATGCATTGTATACTTCAAAAATTGCTAGAAGGGTAGATTTTAAATGTAATAGTCCCCAAAATTTAGCATGTAGAGGAGTTGTTAATTGGCTTTATTTAATCATTCCACAATGTAAACGTATAAAGACATTACATTGCACCCCTAAATTTATACAATTATTATTGGCAATTAAAAATGAAATTTAAAAAATTTGTTGATTGAAGAAGATTCCAGTCACATATGTTGAGTCATATAAAACATAATTGCAATGTATTATATTTGATAATTTATTTAATGAATATTTTTATTTGCTACACATAAAAACTACAAACTTAATTGTCAGAGCCCTTACCTTTAAGTCTACATAGTAGATCACAAGTAACAAATAATAATAATATGATAGAATGTGTATACATGCTAAGATAGAAGTTCCCATGAAGGAAGGAGCAAACAAGAGGATTGGAATGAGGATAAGTTGGTATGGGAGATATCACTGCCTCGGAACTCAGGGTATAAGGCTGCAACTCGCTCCTTATACAATTGCTGCACAAGCAGGAAGGCGACTTGCCACAAAGCCCAAGGCAAGAACCCTGTTACCAGAATCAGGGGTGAGATAACAGGATCAGCAGCAGCTCTGAAGCCTTTGTCTCTAGCTCCTTAAATCTTCCTCTCTTCCTCCCCACCAGAGACAACTCAATTGTTTCTAGAGTTTCAGGTGAAAGATTTTGGTCCCAGTTTTAGGTATTGGGAGTGAAATTCAACTACTACATCAATGGACTGACTCTAATTTTTGAGAAAACGTAACTTCATGTTGGCAATGTCTCTATCAGAACAATATCAGGTGAGGTAGAGTGAAGATACAAAGTAGAGGTCCGAAAGGGTGTGATATGATTTGGTTCTGTGTCCCCACCCAAATATCTTCTTGAATTGTAATTGCCAGATGTTGAGTGGGAGACCTGGTGGGAGGTGATTGGATCATGGGGGCAATTTTCCCCATGCTATTCTTGTGATAGTGAGGGAGTTCTCACAAGATCTGATGGTTTTATAAATGGCAGTTGCCCCTGGGCTTTGCATGCTCTCTCTTGCCTGCTGCCATATAAGACGTGCCTCTTTCCCTTCCACCATGATTCTAAGTTTCTTGAGGCCTCCCCAGCCATGTGGAACTGTGAGCCAATTAAACCTCTTTCCTTTATAAATTACCCAGTCTTGGGTATTTCTTTATAGCTGTGTGAGAATGGACTAATACAGGGTGCTATGTGAGCTATCAATCAATGGCACTGGAGCCATCAATTTTGACTGCAGCCAGGGTCAGAAATGGTTTCAAAGATGAAGAAGTTCTGAGTTGCATCTTGAAAAGCAAATAAAATTTCAACATGGGAAAACCGTGTTCAGCCAGAGGGCTTATTACCTGTTGGAAGTTCAGGGTGCTCAAAAAAAAACGAGGTATGAAGAAACATAATTTGTTGGAGTAAGATGAATGTCTATGTGATACACAGAAGAGAATAAATGCTTTTGTCCAGCATTTTTAGTTAATACAATATTCTGCTTAATGAAATAGAGGATTGCTGTGTATTTCATTCATAGATTTCAAATTATAATAAAACACATTTGTATCAGTTAGAATTCAGTTGTAAAAAATGAACTGCTCCATGGATCTTAAGCAGAAAACAGTTGGGAAGACTGGAGGAGACTCCAGGTTGACTAGTCTGCTGGGTCAGGGGGTAAATGTAACACACCATAGCTTACATGCATTTTCATTTTATGATGCAGGAACTCTAGAATTTTTCAGTGCCTCAGTTTGCCTAGAATTAACACATATGAGACACCCCAGAAATGTTGAATAAATGAATGAACATATGTGAAGGTCAACATTCCATAAAAGTACAGACATACTCATTAATAGAAATTTCATTTCTTAATCTCCCAAGAGCCTTGCACAATGACTTATACATAGTAGGCAATTCATCAATATTTGTTGAATGAATTTCAGAAGAAAGCAAATAAAGTTGATATTTATTTCTGTGGTGATTTCAAATAAATCAAGTCCATTTTTGTCATTCTTTAAAAAGGATGATGTATATCTAACCTTGCAATCATGTCAGACATGGTTAACAATACGATGCTGTTTGCATAATAGTAATTCATGATAAAAGCAGAAGTCCTTGTTTTTTAAACCCAAAAGTGATGTCAAGGAAAAAGACGTTTAAGTCATTGAATGTTGCTATCTGTTGGTTTAAGAAATGTGCCTAAACACATCTGATCTTATTCAGGTTGGGTGGCTGCCTCAACACATACCCAGAAATGGAGGAAAACACTTGGCTAATAACATCCTAACTCCCCTTAATGTTTTTGTTTACTCCAGCCTTGCATGACCAGCAGCAGGGTAATTGTGTTAAGTCTGGGTAAAATAGTTCTCATCACACAGACCCCCAGCAGGGCACAGGAAGTTAGTTTAACTAAACTGTATCTATTTTGGAACAGAAATACACAGGCTGAAATAAAAAGAGAGAAAATCTCTTTCACATTAAGGACATTAAAAAGCCAAATGGACTTGGCTGGTGGATGAGTTAATCTAAGGTGAATGTCACCACTTAAAAACTTCTTATTATTTAGGAATTTTGAGAGTCATCTTTACATATATATGACATATCTCATATGATATGATAGTATACATAATGTGTGTATATATGTGTATATCCATAAATCAAATATCAGCCTTTAAATATTTTTTGAAGTAATTATTTTGTAGCACTAGGAAAAAAGTTTCAAAGTCTATTTGGAGGAACATTATCTCTAAATACCCTAGAACAGTGTCAGAAACAGCCATTGAACTAGAAGTCAAAGCAAAACTACACCAAATGATGTACTCTGGCTTTTTCCCACTTCCCCGAGTGATTTCATCTCCTATTCTAAAAATAGGATAAAATGGAGATGGCTTCACGTGCTTCCACCTCCCACATATGTCCCAATCTTCTCCATTTGGATTAGAAAAAAAAAACTCTGCTTGCAAATGAATCGTTAATTCTATAAGAAGCCTTCTTCTGTTTTCCTGCACAGGTAACATTTTGTTTTGCAAGTAACAGAGTCACTTCGTATTTTGGGCTTGGCTTTTTTTATATATATATAATAAACCACATTGCTCATAAATATGAGCAACACTTTGGGTTGTTTGTTCCAATTTGTTTTCCTTTTTTGAATCGATGCACTTCAATCTTTGCTAATGTTGAAAAGCTGACAAGCTGGCCCAATTAGGTGTCGCTAAAGGTTCAGACTTTGATAACCTGTTCTGATTGTGTGTGTATTTAACTTCTACTAAGGCTCTGAATGAAGATAAGTTCTCTATGACTCTGTTAGAAATTAGATAAATTGGAATCAGATGATGTCTACAGAACTGAGTTTCTAATAAAGGAATTTGTAAACACCCCATTCCTCTCTCCTCACTATAACCGAGGGATTCATGAGGGGAACTCACCAGTGTGCCAGCTTTTCCAGGAACCTCTGAGGCTTCAGTGTCACTCCTATCTTTCATAAAGGAAAGGGGCTATTATCTGTGCACTATTTTCATTAGGAATACAGTGGGAACATCTTTATTAGAAACATAGCGTGTGCTTGATGTGCTCAGTTGTGATAATGAGGGGAAGGGTGTGAATGAGAAGATAAGAGGAGCAAGTATTTAACTGGAAGCATTCCACCTGGCTTCGGCTTCATGTTATTTAATTGGATGAGGAACATTTTCTGCCGTGAAAACAGCCAAATGTCCCAGATTGGGAGTCGAGAAGCCAGGATTTGAGGACATCATCGATAGCAATGCTTCATGTCCCTCTTCCTCCTCCCTAGGGGTGGCTTACTAACCTTAACCTTTAAAAGAGCACATGCACTGCACACAGGACATTTGGGAATATAAGAACGACGTAGTTTAGGTGGAAAAAGCACGGTCGTCTTTTCACTGCCAGACATGAACGAAATTGTGAACTAGATAAATTCTATTTTCAAGCCTTATAAGGTTACCTCTCTGGATTTCTCTTCCACTTTTAGCACCTCTAGGCTTAATATCTATGTATTTATATATATCTCTCTCCCTTATAAAAACTTAACTCTCCTGTGTCCTGCTCCTTCACATCTGTGCTAAATGATGTTATAAATTAGTAGGTTTATCAGATTTCGTACGTATAAATAACTGGATGCCTGGGTAAATTTTCATATCAGATACACAACAAATAAAATTTTAGTTTAAGTATGTCCAGTGCAATATTATTCCTTGTATATCTGATTCTAATTTAACCAGAGGGTGCTTTGTATTGTATCTGACAATCCTAAAATCCTGTATTGTATCTGACAATCCTAAAAATAATTTTTCTTTTTGAAAAATTTTTTATTTCTAATTTTTATGGGTACATGATAGGTGTATATATTTATGGTATACATGAGATATTTTGATACAGGCATGCAATGTCTAATAAGCGCATCAGGAAAAATGGGGTATCCATCACCTCAAACATTTATCCTTTTTTGTGTTACAAACATTCCGCTACTACTCTTTTAGTTATTTAAAAATGTGTAATAAATTTTTAACTGTAATCACTCTGTTGTGCCATCAAATACTAGATCTTATTCATTCTAACTACATCTTTGTACCCATTAACCACCCCATTTCCCCTCCCCCCATTAACCCTTCCCAGCCTCTAGTAAACATCATTCTACTCTCTATCTCCATGAGATCAATTGTTTTAATTTTTAGCTCCCACAAGTGAGTGGGAACATGTGAAGTTTGTCTTACTGTGCCTGGCTTATTTCACTTAATGTCTTCCAGTTCCATTAATGTTGTTGCAAATGACAAGATCTCATTCTTTTTTTTATAGCTGAATAGTATTCCACGGTGTGTATGTACCACATTTTCATTATCCATTGTCTGTTGATGTACACTCAGGTTGCTTCCAAATCTTGGCTCTTGTGAATAATGCTGAAGTAAACAGGAGTGCAGGTATCTTTTCGATATATTGATTTCTTTTCTTTTGGGTATATACCTAGCAGTGGGATTGCTGGATCATATGGTAGTTCTATTTTCTGTTTTCTGAGAAACTTCCATGCTGTTCTCCATAGTGGCTGTACTAATTTACATTCCCACCAAGAGTGTGTGAGGGTTCCCTTTTCTCTACATCCTTGCCAGCAATCATTATTGCCTATCATTTGGATAAATGCTATTTAGCTGGGGTGAGATTATATCTCATTGTAATTTTGATTTGCATTTCTCTGATTATGAATGACGGTGATCTTTTCATATACTTGTTTTCCATTTGTATGTCTTCTTTTGCAAAAGGTCTATTCAGGTCTTTTGCCCATTTTTAATTTTTTCCTATTTATTTGAATTCCTTATATATTCTGGTTATTAATCCCTTGTCAAATGGATAGTTGCAGATGTTTTCTTCCATTCTGTGGGTTTTCTCTTCAGTTTGTTGATTGTTTTATTTGCTGTTCAGAAGCTTTTTAACTTGATGTGATACTATTTGTCCATTTTAGCTTTGGTTACCTGTGCAAAGATACTCAAGAAATCTTTGCCCAATCCAATGTCCTGGAGAGGTTCCCCAATGTTTTTTTAAGTAGTTTCATAGTCTGAAGTCTTAGATTTAAGTTTTTAATCCATTTTGATTTGATTTTTGTATATAGTGAGAGATAGGGGTCTAGTTTCATTCTTCTGCACGTGGATATCCAGTTTTTCTAGCACCATTTACTGAAAAAGCTGTCTTTTCCCCAATGTATGTTCCTTGGCACCTTTGTTGAAAATGAGTTCACTGTAGATATATGGATTTATTTCTGGATTCTCTATTCTATTTTGTTGGTCTATGTGTCTGTTTTTATGCCAGTACCATGCTGTTTTGGTTACTCTAGCTCTGTAGTATAATTTGAAGTCAGGTAATATGATTCCTCCAGTTTTGTTCTTTTGCTCAGGATGGCTTTGGCTATTCTGGGTCTTTTGTGGTTCCATATAAATTTTAGTACTCTTTTTTCTATTTCTGTGAAGAATATCATTGGTATTTTGACAAGGATTGCATTAAATCTGTGGGTTGCTTTGGTAGTATGGACTTTTTAACAATATTGATTATTCCAATTCATGGACATGGAATATCTTTCCATTTTTTGGTGTCCTGTTCAATGTATTGCATGTGTTTTATAGTTTTCATTGTAGAGATCTTTCACTTCTTTGGTTAAGTTTATTCCTAGGTGTCTTGTTTTATTAGCAGCTGTTGTAATTGGAATTTCTTTATTCATTTCTTTTTCAGATTGTTCATTGCTGGCATATAGAAATACTACTGTTTTTTTATGTTGATTTTGTATCCTGCAACTTTACTGAATTTGTTTATCAGTTCAAATAATTTTTTGATGGAGTCTTTAGGTTTTTCCAAATATAAGATCCTATCATCTGCAAACAAGAATAATTTGACTTCTTCCTTTCCAATTTGGATGTCCTTTATTTCTTTCTCTTGTCTTTTTGCTTCTGCTAGTACCTCCAGTACTACGTTGAATAGCAGTGATGAAAGGGGACATCCTTGTTGTGTTCCCAGTCTTAAAGGAAGGGCTTTCAGTTTTTTCCCATTCAGTATGATGCTAACTGTGGTTGTCATATATGGCTTTTATTGTGTTGAGGTATGTTCCTTCTATACCCAGTTTTTTGAGGGTTTTAATTTTATCATGAGGGATGTTGAAATCTATCAAATGCTTTTTCATTATTAATTGAAACAATTATATGTTTTTTTCCTTCATTCTGTTGATATGTTACATCACGTTGATTGGTTTGTGTATGTTGAATCATCCTGGCATCCCAGGGATGAATCCCACTTGGTCATGATGAATGCTGTTTTTAATGTGTTGTTGAATTTGGTTTGCTAATACTTTGTCAAGGATTTTTCCATCAATATTCCTCAGAGATATTGGCCTACAGTTTTCTTTTTTGATATGTCTTTGTCTACTTTTGGTATCAGGGTAGGCTTCATAGGATGAGTTTGGAAGTATTCCCTCTTCCTCTATTTTTCAGAATTGTTTGAGTGGGATTGGTATTAGTTCTTCTTTAAGTGTTTGGTAAAATTCAGCAATGAAGCTGTATTGTCCGTTTTCATGCTGTTGATAAAGACATACCCAGGACTGGGCAATTTACAAAAGAAAGATGTTTATTGGACTTACAGTTCCACATGGCTGGGGAGGCCTTACAATCATGGCAGAAGGTGAAAGGCATGTCTCACATGGTGGCAGGCAAGAGAAGAGAGCTTGTGCAGGGAAACTCCCCTGTTTAAAACCAGCAGATCTTGTGAGACTTATTCGCTATCATGAGAACAGCATGGGAAAGACCTGCCCCCATGATTCAATTACGTCCCACTGGGTCCCTCCCACAACACATGGAAATTCCAGATGAGATTGGGGTGGGGACACAGCCAAACCATATCAGAAGCCATCAAGTCCTGGGCTTTTCTTCTCTGGGAGGCTTTTTATTATAGCTTCAATCTCATTTCTTGTTAATGGTCTATTCAGATTTTGGGTTTCTTCATGTTTCAATCTTGGTAGGTTGTATGTGTCTAGGAATTTATCCATTTATTCTATATTTTCCAATTTATTGACATAGTCACAGTAGTTTCTAATGATCCTTTAAATTTCTGTGGTATCAGTTGTAATCTACTTTTTCATCTCTGAGAAATGTGGTGGTGGGGGGTGGTGGTTAATGGCTGCCACAGGGATAAGAGGGAGGTGAAGAGAATGAGGTACTGGCTCTTCCTCCAGTGTTCAAGTGGAGAAGCTCTGTTTTCATCTGAATATTGGCATTGGGCATTTGATTTCACTGGATAAAAGTCCTTTGATTCTAAGAAAAGAAGTCTGAAAATTGCTGGTTGGCTTGACTCTCTTGTGTGCCTCTATAGATCCACTTCTGTCTTTCTTTACCCTGCTCTGGGTCCCTGGGGACAGACTATAGGTCAGTGGGCTCTCTCGCCCTCTGTCTTCTATAGAACTGGGAAGAGATTGAAGGTGGGCAGAGAGGAAGGTGAGGCCAGGGTATTTTTCCTCTGGCTTTTTTCCTACAGAAAAAAATTCAGGATTTTTTTTTTTTTTTTTTTTTTTTGACAGAGTCTCTCTCTGCCAGCCAGGCTGGAGTGTAGTGGCGCAATCTCAGCTCACAGCAACCTCTGCCTCCTGGGTTCAAGCAATTCTCATGCCTTAGCCTCCCAAGTAACTGGGACTACAGTGCATGCATGCCCCACACTTGGCTGTTTGTATTTTTTAGTAGAGATAGGCTTTCACCATGTTGGCCAGGCTGGTCTTGAACTCATGACCTCAAGGTGATCCACCCACCTTAACTTCCCAAAGTTTTGGGATTAGAGGCCTGAGCCACCACACCCAGCCAAAAATTCAGGTCTTTTAAAATTTTGTGTCAAAAGGAATTCTCTTAGCTGCAGGTAAAGAAGAACCCAACTCACTTGGCTTATGCAAATAAAAATGTATTTTTCTCACATACTAAAACTCTGGAGGTGGGAGCAGCTGGCAGCATTTCAGTGGCTCAATGTCTGGCCAGCATCTCTGAGATCTCTGTGATATTTCCCTCATCGTTAAAAGATGGCTGCCCAAATTCCAAAAGCAAGTACATATTCAAGGCAGAAAGGAAGAAAAGAAAAAATCTGCCATGTCCAACTCTTTACTAGGAAAGCAAAAGTTTCCTTGAAGTTTCCCTGTAGACTTCATTTACGTTTCATTGGCCAGATCTTTGTTGTATGATGCCCTGGATGTAGAGGGTGCTGGGAGCTTAAGTGCTGTATTTAGTTTTATCAGACTCTAAAGAGTGCAAGAGAGAAGGGAGTTAGGAATGGTGTTGGCTTAATCACTTAACAGTGTCCAGAAGGATTTTGTTCTTGACAAGGAAAATCTCAGAAGTCAATGTCTCAATCCTAAGGAATAGCTTGTTCATGGAATAAGTTACAGACATTCATGAAATATTTAAAGTGAGGGTATTTGATCATGGTCCCTAAATGTATACCATGTACCTGACTATATCTATTCTTTAACTTTGGT
The DNA here is from genome assembly GCF_000001405.40 of Homo sapiens. Taxonomy (NCBI): domain Eukaryota; kingdom Metazoa; phylum Chordata; class Mammalia; order Primates; family Hominidae; genus Homo; species Homo sapiens. The sequence goes on from NC_000018.10 coordinate 55,678,384, forward strand.
CAGAACTTGAAAGGCAGAATAACCTCAGTGGCTTAAGGCCCTGGTCAAATGACAAATTGCAAATCCATCCATACCCTCTTTACACTTTCATTTTTTGTTTGTTTATTTCCTGAACATACAGGCAAAATCAGGGTAATACGAACACAAAATCATGGAAAAAAACATGGGTCTAGAAATTAATCCTATGAGTCATCTATTTTACCCCCCACATTGCCACAAAGTAACTATGTATTAAGAGAGTTTTGCCTGTTTGAACCCCTCTTCCTTATCTATAAAAAGAGGGTTATGGGCCGGGCGCGGTGGCTCAAGCCTGTAATCCCAGCACTTTGAGAGGCCGAGGCGGGCGATCACGAGGTCAGGAGATTGAGACCCCGGTGAAACCCCGTCTCTACTAAAAATACAAAAAATTAGCCAGACGCGGTGGCGGGCGCCTTAGTCTCAGCTACTCAGGAGGCTGAGGCAGGAGAATGGCGTGAACCCGGGAGGTGGAGCTTGCAGTGAGCCGAGATTGCGCCACTGCACTCCCCCCTGGGCGACAGAGCGAGACGCCGTTTCAAAAAAAAAAAAAAAAAAAAAAAAAAAAAAAGAGGGTTATGCTGGACTAGTTGATCATTTTGTTCAACAAATATTTATTGAGCATCTGCTATGAAACATACCCTCTAGGTACCAGGGTTTGATAGGGTGGTGATGATATAGACAAGGTCCTTGCTCTCAGGGAGCTTACATTCTATTTGGCAGAGACTGACAATAAGAAAATAAACAAGCAATAAAAGGTAACAGTGAGTGATCAGTGCTATGCAGAGAAACGAAATACAGTGATGTGACACTCAGTGCACAGGTACCTATCTCAGATAGTGTAGTCCCAGGAGGCCTCTCTGTGGAGGCAACGTTTAGGCTGAGACCGGAAAGTCAAGAAAAAGTCAGATCCTGAATTACAGGGTTGAACAGCTCCAGGAAGAGGGAGCTACAATAAAAAGGCTCTAAGAGCGATCACACTTGGCATGTTTAAGGAAGAAACAGAAAGCAAGGGAGATATTGAATTTAATCATCACTGCATTTTTCATGACTATAGTTCCCATCTGGAAATGCAAATTTACAAATTAAAACATCAATAACATTCTTTCCTAGGATAACTGAGGATCTCTCTGCCACAGACTTAATGCTCCTGTGCATAAAGTGAGTGTGAAGTTTGAGAATGTTGCTCTGGTTGAACCTGGTGGTGAGTTTCAAGTCTCTGTGTAACTGATGGAGTTTCATAGAGAGCCCATGGCTGCTGCTCTACCTTTTACAGCTCTATCTTTCACATGTCTGTTAAATCATTGAAGCCAGATGCAGTGGCTCACGCCTCTCATCCCAGCACTTTGTGAGTCTAAGGTGGGAGAATCACATGAGCCCAGGAATTTGAGACCCACCTGAGCAACAAAGTGAGACCACATCTCTATAAAAACTACAGAAAAATTAGTGGTCCCAACTACTTGGAAGGCTGAGCTGGGAGGATTGCTTGACTCCCTAGAAGTCAAGCCTGCAGTGAGCCAGTATGTATGATATATATATATACACACATAGACACACATACATATATGATGTACATATATATACACACATAGATATATGTAGATACAATCTACATATATATACACATACCTATTATCGCTTCCTTCCTTTCATTTCTTCCCACTGATTGCCTTCAAAAATATCTTGTATTACACATGGTTTCAGGTATGAAGATGAATGAGATGGAGCACACAATGAAATAGATCTAAAAATATATGTACATATATATGTAGATCATATGTGTATATCTCATTGATCTCTAATACTCTAAAGAAAATTAATTCCATGGGTCCATTGTCTTTGTAGTGCTCATTAGCTTACTCTCCACTACTTATTGTTGCTTCTATTTGCCCTAAGCTTACTGCCCCGCTCTTTTTAATATCCTGGAAGTGATGATCTAGGGCATTAGCTCCCTAATACCAGTTTGTAAATTAAGCACCCATCTATGGACTCGTGGAGGTCCCTGATGAAGTTCACACCAGTCAGCAGCAAAATGGGAAACTGAGGCCAGAGAAATGATTTTTCATAAAGCTAAATTTATGTAACTTCAAAATATTTGTTCTCTCTGAAATAAGGTCCCATGTTTTCTGCATTTTAAGGGTTTTTGCCACAATGACATAATGTAAATGATATTTCTTTTGAGAAAAATAAACTATTTGTTACCTTATATCAGAAACCCATTTTTCCTTCTAACAGAACTCATTGGGCCTTGAAATCCAAGGGCCTGAGCACCAAGGAACTGGTCAAAGCCCATGCATGCATGCCTACAGAGCCTTATATTGTGTCTCTTGTCAGGAACCCTATGAATATTAACCCATTCTTCCATGATCTGAGTATTAATGGAATGGAATGTGTGTGTGGGAAGGAAATTTGATTTCAAGGCTTCAACTCTGTTATCTGTTCCATTTGCAAAAAGCCATCCCCATTGATAACTCTCATTTGTGTACTTTTGAGGGTTTGCTCCTCATAGCTCTGCTTTCGTTATCTTCTAAAATGTATTTAATACTGAAATAAAATACAGCCGTAGCTTAGATGTATGATTCACTCTAACAAACATTGTGTGAATTTTTATCCCCCTGAGCTTCTTGGAAGTGTTATTACATAAGATAGTGGCATGGATGTCATCTTACCTATGCTTGCTTGATAAATAAATGAAACTTTTTTTTTCATCTCTGCTTTCTTTCTTCTGTCTCCTTATTCATCCATTTACTAAGTACCAATTGAATGCTCAATCCTGACATCAGGGCAATCCAGATCCTTCTGAGGGATGCACATGCAAAACAAATGACCTACCTGAGAGGAAAGAGGTGCACCGGACACAAAGTGGGAAGACCCATTCCTTCTGCCTGGGGAAATCCATAGAGAAGAAATGGGCAATCTGACAAACTTCCCATTCTCTATGCCCATTTTTGGGAGGGAGCTAGAATTCTCCCATCTCTTCTTGGCAGCAGAATTTGGGATTAATATCATGAAACTGTGAGTCTGAGAGATTGGGATTGGATTGCTGCTATCCAGTTGTGTGACCACTAAGATCAGGCCACTTAAGTTTTCTATGTTTGTTTGTAAACCAGGGATAACATACCTATTATCACTTCCTTCCTTTCCTTATTTCTTTCCACTCTTTCCTTCAAAAATATCTTGTATCACACACAGTGTCAGGTATGAAGATGAATGAGATAGAGCTTGCCATGCACACAGGGTGAGATAGATCTAAAAACAGAGAAATTACAACACAACCTCTGAGTGCCATTTTAGAGGAATGCCTGTCTCACAAAGTTACGGGAAGGCAGCAGGGAAATTCTTGTGAAAGTATTTTTGAAAATCAGGCATACAACATGGATGAGCTCATGGTGGTAGTAAAGGAGGAATTGGATTAAGGGTGAGATGAAGGGCTGAAGACCAGCATATAAAACTCTAGAATCCTACTGACCACCTGTAGGGACTTTGGGAAAAATATGTCCACTGGGAAGTCAATTCATTACTCCTAGCTGGTTCCTAAAATTATCAATTTTTATGTTAAGTTGGCACAGAGGAATATTAGCTTTAAATGCTTAAAAGGATTTATTTATTAGAGGCTGGGCACCGTGGCTCATGCCTGTAATCCCAGCACTTTGGGAGGTGAGGCAGGTGGATCACTTTAGGTCAGGAGTTTGAGACCAGCCTTGTCAACATGTTGAAACCCTGTCTCTACCAAAAAATACACAAATTAGCCAGGTATAGTGGTGTGTGCCTGTAGTCTCAGCTACTCGAGTGGCTGAGGCGCAAGAATTGCTTGAACCTGGGAAGCGGAGGTTGCAGTGAGCCAAGATCATCACTGCACTCCAGCCTTGGCGACAGAGTGAGACCCCGTCTCAAAAAAAAAAAAAAAAAAAAAAAGAAAAAAGATTTATTTATTGGAATCAAATCCAAAAAAGCACTATCAGAAGGAACTTCAACAGTAAAGAAATTTCCATATTTTCCTTGGAAAGTTGCTCTTCCTTGAGTTTACAAAGATGTAATGCAGTCATACCTATATTCCCCTCTGGTCATCTCCAAGCTGACTTTAGCTTGAGTGCATCTTCAAACAAACATTGTGATTAGCGTCATGGAATTTTCTCTAAGAGCTATCACCACTCATGATGAAAGATTACTTTTTTCTGGTTTATTATTATATTGTTATTATCAATCTGGTTCTGGTGGAATTTCCACCTGTCCACTCTAGTGGGGCCGAATCACAGGCACTGGAAATTCTTGGGTTAGAGGTTTTTAGGCAGAGTCCTCGTGCCACCAGCACAGGGAAGGACAGTTTGAAAGTAGACAGGGTGTGGTCCAGCTCCACCTGTGTGCTCCCTTTGAGGATTTCCTAACTCTCTTCAGTTCTCAACACACCTGAGGACTTGCTAGAACACAACAGGAACTGAGGGGAAGGGATGCTACTCTGTCTTTCTCATGGGTCTCAACTATTTTTGGACAGCTAGCGATCTTTATCTATCGACAGTCTTTTCAGAATCTCAGCTCTCAGCCTCATTAGGGAGTCTGAGGAAATGTCTGGACAGAGACAGCGTCAGGAAGCCCTGCGTGGAGTTGGACTCTCCATCTTGTTTTCTGTTTTAACTCAGGCATGGCTTTGAACTCTCCGAGCTTCATTTTCTTTAGCTGTCAGCAGACATCATATTATACGTCTTGTGTACTCACAGACGTGTTGTAAAGATCAAAATGAGATAATCTGTGGAGCAACATGTTTGAAAAATATATAAAACATTATATAAACCTTCACATATAAATAGAGTGTTTAGTCACACTACTTCATGATTATATCCCATATAATATAGACGTATCCGCGGGCATGCAGAAACTTGCTGTATCCACCCCCTCAATGTAAACGGTAACAGGCATGGAGAGCACAAAGGTGTTTTCATAAAGCAACAAGATGTCCTGAAGTCCTGGGAAGGAAACTACGTTCTGTATCAAGGGCCTCATGCCCCCTTCAGTAAAGATAATGGGAAAAATGGTTGGTCTACTATCTCCCATTATCCTAGATGGTCACCCAGTGTTAAGTCATTCTCCGGTCTGGTTTAGCCAAATAAAGCACAGAGATCGGAACAGAAGTAGAGAAGTGAACCTCTGTCTCCTGCCCTTCTGACTCTCTTTGTAGGACTCCCATCACCCCATCCTTGATGAGCCCAGGTAAACATACTTTGAAAACCCAGGCCCAATACACAAAAAGAGATGGTTAGTAGTTTCCCTTTCTAGCCCACTTGCTTTATATTACTGTAGTCATCATCCTACTAAATGTACACCTTTTGGGCCGGGCGCGGTGGCTTACTCCTGTAATCCCAGCACTTTGGGAGGCCGAGGCAGGCGGATCACGAGGTCAGGAGTTTGAGACCAGCCTGGCCAACATAGTGAAACCCCGTCTCTACTAAAAATACAAAAATTAGCTGGGCGTGGTGGTAGGGAGCCTGTAATCCTAGCTACTCGGGAGGCGGAGGCAGGAGAATCATTTGAACCCGGAAGGCGGAGCTTGCAGTGAGCCCAGATCACGCCATTGCACTCCACCCAGGGTGACAGAGTGGGACTATGTCTCAAAAAATAAATAAATAGATAAATGTCCACCTTTCTTAAATGCTATTCTTTTTTGCTTCTCTGACAGCTGGGCATAACTTTGATTTAATATTTATTCCTGTAGACTCCAAGTTTTAAATATCTGATTAGCCTTGCAGACTAATCTTCTTAAAGGTAAGGTCTGATTTCTATTTGTATCCTCCACACTTTGAAAGGGTCTGGAAGGTTTCTCATTCATTGAACAAAAGGATGAATGAATGAATGAATGAATGAATGAATCTAAATTATTTCAGTGGAGTGTTCATGTTTGATTTATGGGTCTTTTTTCTTTACTTAGTTCATTTCCTTTCTTTGTTTCTCCCAACAGCAAACTGTTTGTAGCAGGCCCTCAATAAACATTTGTTTGGCTAACACATGAATTGTGTATTTCGCTGCATTGGGTAACAATGGGTAGTGTTATTCATCTGGTCTATTTCCATGTCTGCTAACGCTGGGAATTATCTTCCTTCACTGTCAGCTGACCCAAGAGCTACCTGTACTCCTAAAGTGGCTGATAGTGCACTGACCTGAGTGAGGGTTTCAGGAACGTGGCTCCGTTTTTAGCCATGACATTGAATCATGTCCTGGCCTTAAGCAATTGCTACCCCATTCATTAAATGAGGGTGGAGACAATCTTTCCCACTTTCTTAAAGATGTTATGAAGATTAATGAGGTAATGTCTGCCAAGCACCCTGGAAGAAAGGTGCTAAATACTTAGTATTATGGTGACTTTGCTTTCAACTGTGTTACCCATTGGTGCTCATTCAGCAAGATGGGAAAGTAGGAGAGGGACTGAAGCAGTGGAATTTGAGAGAAGGGTTCATGGCCCTTTTCTGAGCACTGCTGATTACTGATCCTGTGCGCGGGTCATCCTTCTGATTCCAACTCTTCTGTCTATAAAAGGTTGCCATAACATAGCACTTAACCAGAGTCAAAAGCATGTGTGGTAAATTAACAAATTTGTTCTCGTAAAGTGGATGGGTCCTTGGATAAAAAGCTTTGTAAAGCCACAAGATACTATTTCAGTCCGAGGTTTCTGTATCTCTGCCTCTCTTTCAAAAGGATATTCACTGAGCTTATCACTTTCTCAGGATTTTTTTAAATTACCCTTAACTCAGTCTTTTATGTACAGCTGTTTATTTCTATTGAACTGCTTTGTTTCCCTCCAGAGAGGTTACTGTTTGAAATTTCTGTCATTTTTCTGTTTGTTTGCTTATAAACTAATAATCCAACAAACAGTCTTTGGACAACAGTGTCTTTTTTATAGAGGCATTATTTTTATAAGTCACAGTGCTTTTGAAATGTGTTTATTTATTAATTTATAAATGCCTCTCATCACACATTGCACCTGTGTGACTTATATTAATTAGAATAATAATGCAATGAGACATGAATAGGCTGTTTGTACCTTTGATTTCAGTGGTGTTTCATTTAAACCCAATGCGTAGTATTTGAGAATTGGATTGTCAACTACAACTCAGAAGAATACAGTAGAATGAGAGCAGTCTATGTTATCCTGTGTTTAGGAAGATTTTAGAATTGTACTAGATAAATGTCATCCAGAGTTTATACTAATTTTAAAATAAATAATATTAAGTCAATTATAATAAATAATATATATCAATAGTATATAATTCTTTGTACTATGTTTTTCTCCCTACAAGTAAAGCATCCAAAATGCAAGATCTGTCAATGCAATGGCATATTTAGTAATATACTAATTCAGAATTTTGAGTTTAAGCAATCAGAAATAGTTGAGTGCTTATGTTGTGCCTGGCACAATGAGTTAGTCTACTCACTATGACTTACCAGGTAATTGCTTCACCTAGACTCCAGTGTTGCAATGGAAAGACTGAAACAATTGGACAGTTATCTGGATCAGGGCACTTATTAATTTGTAAGAAAAGGAAAGGATTCATTTGTCTGAAATTGCCATCTTGAAGGTTTTCATTGATCTAAGATAAATTCCACCTCATTCCTGCAGACACAGACTTGTTCTGAATTTAAAAGGAAGAGATTGCTGTTTTTAAAGACAAAAATTATAAGGCTGGGTGTGGTGGCTCATACCTGTAATCCCAACACATTCAGAAGCTGAGGAGGGATAATTGCTTGAGGCCAGGAGTTCATGATCAGCCTGGGCAACATCATGAGACCCCATCTCTACAAAAAATAAAAAGTTGGCCAGACATGGTAGGCACTCATAGTCCCAGCTACTTGGGAGGCTGAGTTGGGAGGATCGCTTGAGCCCAGGAGGTCAAGATTGTAATGAGGTATGATCATGCCACTGTACTCCAGCCTGGGCCACAGAGTAAGACCCTGTCTCTTAAAAAAAAAAAGAAAAAATTATATTTCTAACCCCAAAGATATATCAGTGTACTACTGATTAGCTAAAACAAACCCATAATTTTACAGAAAATTGAAATGCTGAAATATCATGAAGTTAAATGATTGCCCAAGGTCACATGACCAGTTAGTAACAGAACTAGGACCTAAGTATCCTGTTTTCTGGTTAGTAGTAATACCAGCTATATTGATTCAGATGGCAATATCCAGACAATAGCTCCCACTCATGAGATGACTGAATTAGGCAGTAGGCAGACAGAGGCCAGGCACTGGATACAGAGCAGATAACCTGGTTCCATCATGAAATAATTATTTATCTTTAGGAATGTTCCCAAACTCTTCAGTTTTCTCATCTTTCATATTCAGAAATTTTACTGGTTAATGTCTAACTTCCCTCCTAATTCTGAGATTCTGGTTTAATGAATAAAATTGAACCAGAAAATGGATATCACAGATGTGTTTGCACACAATCACATCCATTTACTGTCTACTAATATATCCTAAAAAATACAATAGTTGTAAAGTCTGATACAAGTCAAGTATGTAATGTCTCTTGAGCCGAATTCTCCTTCACAGAAATACATAGTTTTTTTGGTTTTTTTGTTTTTTGAGACGGAGTCTTGCTCTGTTGCCCAGGCTGGAGTGCAGTGGCACCATCTCGGCTCACTGCAGCCTCCACTTCCCAGGAATATGTAGTCTTTTGTTATGGAATTTGGTTATAAGGAGTACAACAGAAGTCACATTTACTACCCTTAGGAGTTTCCATAAGCTAATGCCCATTACTAATACCTAATACCCAGTAACTGGTATGTCCCAGATACTCTGCTAGGTGCTGCTGGGCACCAGAGGTATTATAAAGCTTCTGCATCTACCCATTTTGAGCAGATGCAATAACATGAACAGTCTTTATCTGATCATCCCATCTCGAATCATCTCACATCCTCAAGCCATAGTATTTAGAACTAGAAAGAGGTTAGTGGTTTTCCGTTGCTCATCATTCATTTTACAGTTGAAGAAACTGAAGCCTTTTATCTGACAAGTCAGCTTTACCCCTAGCAGAATGTATACAATATTTTTAATATATAAAGATATATATTTCACAGTCACAGTGTTACACAGGTAGATAATCTTTTCCCTTCGTGGTTCCACACAACTGTATTTCATTCTAGATACAGGTCTTTGCATTTGGTGTCTTCTTTCAGAGTGCTTCTTATCTCCCATGGCTGACATTTTGATGAAAATCTTGGCTGACAGAGGAAAATATGTAGAGGTCACTAATCTATTTTGTTATAAGAAATCAAAGAAAATTATTTTCCGAAGTTTTCATCAAATATCTTCCATAAAACCAATAATGTTAAAAAATGTTGGTGATCTGATATACATTTAGGTTGGTTGGAAGGGGTTTCTTATTTGGAATATTTAATTGGGCATGAACTACTTGGGGTATTCTTGTCTACCGTAGTGGGGTCACAGATGTGCTCATACTGTATTTTATGTAGAAAGAAAATATAGCTTCTATATTTTCAACAAAGTAAGCTGCTTTTTTCCTTAAGAAACCACACCTTAATCGGTCTCAGGAAACTTACACTTATCAATTAAAAATAGGTCAATGTCTTCTGGTTTAATTGGACTCCTTTCAGTCCAATTAAAGTTCAACTCCCTTTGTTTCCATGGTCTCGTTATACTTGATCTCTGTAGGAAATCTGCCTCATTCATTATCTTTTCTGCAATTCGACACTGGTAGGGAGGTCTGAGTGTTTGACTATATGCACCGGGTAACAGAGGAGTACATACTTACACTTCCTTGTTTGGGAGTGGCTGGATGGTTAACTAGTGAGCTGGCTTGAGCAGGGTCCTTGGGCATCTTCTGATGCTGGTGACGGTGGCCTCATTCATTTGCATCTGGTGTCTGCATGCACTGCAGCCTCTTGTGCTCTCATTCCAAGCATCCCTGGGTCCTCTACTACCCTCTGCACCTCTAGGACTATCATGGCAGCAAGGAGAACTTCTAATTTTTTGCATTCTCTGCCTCAGGGACATTTATCCAAGCCTCCTCTTACCATCACCTCCATGTTGAGTGAAGTGTCCAGCCAAAAGCTTAGTACTTCCAGGAGCCCTAGGCATCCACCAATTCTGATGCTTTCAGACTTCTTCTGATCCACCCTCATGTTTCCATGGCCATCTCCCCAGCTCAAGGTTTGGTCTTGAGGGATGTGGGACAGCATTTATTTTACTTGTCTGTCCTGGCATTTGATTTTTATTTGACTTTCCCTAAGTCATGGCCTTCTCCTTCTGATTTTATCCTCATGACTCAATCCTAAAAACTAGCTAGTGTGCAGAGAGAGAAACCAGCATCCCAACCGAGGAACACAAATTACAGGGCATTTCCAAATCAACATGTCTGCTTCCTGTTTTATAGACCTGTATAAAGCCTCCTCATCCTTCTCCTCCCTGTCTCACTCCCAAACAGTTCTTATCCCTTCATCTCTAATTTCTTTCCTCTTGCCTTTTTTTCTCCCCCTTACTTTTCTCCTTCTCCTCTTTTTTATTCCTTCACCTCCTTCTTTTTCTTTTTCTTTTTCTTTTTCTTTTCCTCCTCCTCCTCTCACTCTCTCCCTCTTTCTCTTTCTTTCTGTCTCTGCTGGGAATACTTGTGAAAATCAGTTTACATTTTTCATCTTAGTTTCTCCACCTCTTAAGTAGGGAAAGGAAAACTGAGATCAATTTTTAATTTCTCTGGAATCATAAAGGAATAATTAGTTAGCAGTTAGAGATTATCTTGAACAACTTGGATAAAATTAACAGCACAAGTATTATTAATATTGCTCAAAGTATCAGACTTTGAAGAGGTTGTAGGGGCAATGGATGACTCTATTACAAAGAATGCACTTAGAAGATGGACAAAGTGTCTCCTGACCTGGGTTTCTAAGACCAAAGAAGGTGGAGAGAAACTCAACAAGTATGCAAAATTATCCTTACCTAAGGAATACAAAAACATAGTTATCTACTTTATCTGAAAATATGTTTATCAGTCATTTTGTGAGATCTATTTAAAAAATTTTTTAAATAAATCTAAAACATACATACGAATATGTACACATAAAATTTATAGCATAATAAATTATCTCACATTGAACACATCTATGTAACCAGCTCTCAACTCAAGAAATAAACATGACCAGGGCCACAGAGGTGCGTTGTCTTCCCCATTCTAAGCACTACCACCTGAAGGGAACCATACCCTGGTTTCTAATGCCAAATATTAATCTTGCCTGCTTTTAAACTTGATTTGGATAGAGCCATGCAATGTGTACCCTTTGGGGTTTACCTTTTGCTCAGCATCTTGTTTATGAACTTCATTCATTTTCCTGTGAGTAATTGTGGTTCATCCGTTCTCATTGCTGCATAAAGTTGTTCCAGTTTTTTGCTCCTACACATAGTACTTCTATACACATTCCTGTATGGAGCTTTTGGGGAACACATATGTTCTCATTTCCAAGTATACTTATATAGATTTGAAAGACAAAGTAGAGGTCTGTGCTGGGAATATAAATTTGGAATTTGTCATTGGAATAAAGATGATTAGAAAGGGATAGATTGCAAAGGATTTAGGTCACAGCCATGGCAAAATTTGAAAGTTAAGTCTTTGAGAAAATAGTTACTAGTGGATACAACTTCTCATTGCATTTAAAGTACCAGAAGGATAGCATCTTTGAATGGCCATCTGATGTCTCTCTTTCCTTTTGTGTTCTCCCCAGTGAACCACCTTCGGGTTTATCCTCTTGGAGACTGCCAAGTTGCAAACTTTCCCCATCTCTGTCGTTTGCCCCCACAGAAACATATCCTTTCCCAGTCAGTACTCAGGCTCTGTTACTTGGTGTCTTTCAAAAAGTCAAAGAATATCTCTGAAACTAATCTCTTCAAGTGAGAGATAGAGAAAAACCAACCCTACAGGGGATGTTCCCAGGTAATACGGGAGCATTTGATATCTATCTATCTATCTATCTATCTATCCATCCATCCATCTAATATATCTATCTATCATCTTATCTACCTATTTGTCTATCCATCATCTATCATTTTTATCAGTGTAACCTAAGCTGGTTATAACAATTCACACATTACAGAAATATATAATGTAGAAATTAAGGTTTCATGGAATTTCTTCAATACTCTCATAACCACTGATGTGTATTATTGTCATACTGTTTTCTATGTTGTTGCTGTTTCAGCAAAAATGGTCACCACACTACTTAAGCACTATTCTATAACTTGCTTTATTTACTTACTGTAGCTGGGCTATCCTTCCTTTGTATAGCTTTAATAATTACTTAAGGGATCTAGGTTTGATAAACCAGTCTTCATTAACTAATTCTAAATGGCAATTCTTATGGTTGAAATTTCGGAATAAGTAGCAAGGGAAGATAAAACCATAGTAGTCCATGAAACTGAAATTCTGAGGGCTGGCAGACCATTTATCCATTTTCTCTATGCTAAGCTGGAGGTAAGATATTAAACTCTATGGCTTTTTCCTTACCAAGCATTAGTTAGCACACAGCAAATTCACAAATTTTAATCTTCACTAAAACTAACTGCCTTGCATGTTATATTTTCTCTTGAATTTATTGAATTAATTAAGTTGGCTCATTGTTCTTGTTTTGACCCCGTGGTCATTGGAGGTTATTATTATTTCTATGTACTAGAGAATATGTCTTTGTCCATTTTGTGGTCAGATCTGTTAGCGGAACCAAACCAGTAGTTAGTGCTTAGATTCTGGAGTGAGAGGGCCTAGGGTTGCATCACAGCTCCAACACATTCTAGCTTTGTGACCTTGTGCAAAGGACAGCGGGTTTTTTTAACCTCAGTTTCTATATCTATAAAATTGGCACAACATATAACAGCATTTACCCTAAAAGATGGTGGTTGTGGGAAAGGCTAAAAAATGAAGGCTATTTTCTTGTCTATTGGTAGCTTTCATGGTAATCTTTAGCATTTTCAAATTCACTGGTCAGGAAGCATAGCTCATGAGCTACACAGAGTAGTCCATGAGGCAGGACACTGCAGTGATAAGGAGGGCAGCCTCTGAAATCAGAATGCCTGAATTCCTCCTGAGTCTGCCAACTCCTTGCTTTGTGACCTTGAGGAAGTTCTTATTCCTCTGTGCTTCCTTTTTCTTATGTGTAAAATTGGGTAATCATTATTTTATCAGAAGATAACTGAGACAATTAAAAGATATGTCAAGTAAATCATTTAGAATTGCATTGTTCAACATGGAAGCCACTGACCACATGTGGCTATTGAGTATTTGAACCGTGGCCAGTCCAAACGGAGATGTGCTGTATGTGTAAATGACACACCAGATTTAGAACATTCGGCAGAAAAAAGGATGTAACATACCTCATTAATAATTTTTTAATTGATTACGTATCACAAAGATAATGTTTTGGATAGACTATGTTAAAGAAAATACAGTATGATAATTAAATTTACTTCTTTCTTTTAAAAAAATGTGGCTACTAGTAAATTTGACATTCTCTATGTGGCTACCATTTATCACTTGCATTATATGTCTTTTGGACAGCTCCAGTCTAGCGTGTGGCAAACATTCAAAACTGATCAGCTATTGTTTTAGGGGACTTCTTCCAGGTAAACAAACAATTCTTGTTTGATATACCTGTTTGTGGTCCGCTTTTCACTCTGACCCCATAGGAAAAATCATCGTGATATCATAGCTGTAGTAAAGGTGAGAGTTTGATATGGATTTGGGGGAAGGATTGTCCTGAATTTTGTTCACTGATAGAAATGCTTTTGGTGTGATCAAATCAAGGTTTTTCTCCAACAGTGGACTGAGTAATGATTGCAAACTAATTACAGCCTGCATATTGCACTTTGCTTTTCAGTAACAGCTTTCTACCAGCTGTTTCCTTTAGCAGTTGTTCATTTCAAGTAGGTACCAATGCTGTTGGAAGTGTGGGCTGCCAGAAAGCAGTTTCAACTCTTTGCTTCAAATTGAAATCTGTATTTTTTTTTTACATATTTTTTTTTCTTAACGGCCCTTCAAAATCTACATAACTCTAAGGCTAATTTCATAGCACCCTTTCTGGTCTCTTTTTCAGAAAAAAAATCTTTTGAAGATTGTACACAGAATGGTACAAAATCTCAAGTTTAATTAAGCTTTAGCAAAAATATCCTTTAACCACTACATTTGTTTCTCGCTTTATTCCCTCATAGCCTGCAACGCTTCTGAAGTATACTTTCAAGTAGAGATTCAATAGAGCCATTTAGAGTAGTCGTTACTGTAGATTAAATAACTATTCCCATCTGGCTCATGAAATATATAATCTGTATTCCTCTCTGGATAATAAATACAGTAAGTAACTACTTACCATCCCTTAGACCATCACTTTTGTCTGTTCCGGTGGGTTTTTCTTTATTATCTATCAATGAGGTATTTTCATTAACGCTTTCCTTACAAAGAAACATTCCCTATGGGCTTCTTTCTACAGAGAAAGGCATTATCCTGGTTCCTCAGACCCCAGCAGGCTTCAGATGTCTAATGGTGACGAGTAATGATTGGTATTTATTGAGCACCTACTGTGTAGTAGGCACAAAAACATAGAGACAATGCTAAATGATTTGTATACATCATCTCATGCAAATATTTTAAAAAACTATTTGCGGGGCATTCTTATGCTTTTAGAGTCTAGGAAACTGAGATTCAGAATCCCAAAGCCTGTAAGTAGCTAAACTGAGATTCTAATCTAGATTTGTTTGACTCTGTATTAGCTTTTTCTCATGCTGCTAATAGACGTACTCGCAACTGGGTAATTTATAAAGAAAAGAGGTTTAATGGACTGATAGCTCCACATGGCTGAGGAGGCCTCACAATTATGGCAGAAGGAGAAGGGAAAGCAAAGTCACATCTTACATGGTAGCAGGCAAGAGGCCTTGTGCAGGGGAACTTTCCTTTATAAAACCATCAGATCTTATGAGACTTATTCACTATCATGAGAACAGCATAAGAAAAACCTATCCCCGTGATTCAGTTACCTCCCGCCGGGTCCCTCACATGACACATAGGGATTATTATAATTCACACTGAGATTTGGGTGGGGACACAGAGCCAAACAAAATCAGACTCCAAGTCCAATGATCGTCACTTCTAAGTCAGGGGCTGCAAATGGGACTGAGCACCATAGGAGCTAGATGATACATTGAGGTGTGGGAACAGCACATGAACACTTGTATTTCGATATATGTTTACTTATCTTTTTGAAATTTCTATGCTTACATATGTTTTACAATGTATAAGATAGATCAGTACAACATCAACTATAAGAAACAGCTGCAAAAGCCTGGGTGCAGTGGCTCACACCTGTAATTCCAGCACTTTGGGAGGCCGAGGCAGGTGGATCACGAGGTCAGAAGACTGAGACCATCCTGGCTAACATGGTGAAACCCCGTCTCTACCAAAAAAAAAAAAAAAAAGTATAAAAAATTGGCTGGACGTGGTGGCTGGTGCCTGTAGTCCCAGCCACTCAAGAGGCTGAGGCAGGAGAATGGTGTGAGCCCAGGAGGTGGAGCTTGCAGTGAGCCGAGATCCCGCCACTGCACTCCACTGGGTGACAAGAGTGAAACTCCGTCTCAAAAAAAAAAAAAAAAAAGAAAGGAAATAGCTGCAAAAGTTTACAGGTGTTGGGAATGTACTCTCGATTTTTTTCTTTTCTGATAAGTTTTCATCTCTGCAAAAAAAAAAAAAAAAAAAAAAAAAAAAAAAAGGTCTCACATTTTACCACAGCCTTGGAGGAACTAACGAGAATTGCACCATCCAAAACTGTAATGCATGAAATGTATGGTGATAATAAATATGATCCAACATTTAAAACTTTTAAAACTGATCTACATTCTTTGTCCTTGTCTTTACTATAACTTAAACAAACATTCATGTATAAGGGGGTACATTCCCTTGGGGTTAACCACATTTTTCTCACCTTCGTTCCTAAGTAAATGGATGCTGTAGCCACTTCTAACCACTGCTGCCTGTTCCTACCACCTATTCTCAGCTCACCTTGGACCTCTGCTTGCTTTACTGCTTACTTCTGCTTCCTGGAATCTGAGATGAATAATTGCCCATGTTGCAATGTTGCCACAACCATGCTGGCCTCAACTAGGCAAAGAAGACTATGATGCATTTTATTGCCTTGGGCTCTAGGTATCTTCATGCAACTAACACAAGTTGGCTTTCTGTGCAACAGCCTTTATTAAAAGTTAGTGGCTGTGAAGAGAAGCAACTAAATAGGACTAGCTCCAGAAACCAAGGGAAAGGGAAAAACTTTGCCTCCTTGCCTTAAGAATCTCACAGTTTTCTTCTTTCTTTTCTTCCTCCTCCTTCTCCTTTTTTTGACTCAGAGATGCAGAGATAGAGAAAGATATATATATGTATATGAAGAAAGTCCTCTCTCTCTCTCTCCATATATATATGGAGTCCCATATATATATATATATATATATATATATATATATATATATATATATATGATTTTCCTAAAGAGGAATGGAAGTTACATTGTGAGATATTGAAGAAAGACCTCTCCCTCTCTCCCTCTCTCTCTCTCTATCTATCTATCTATCTATCTATCTATATATATATATATATAGCCACATAGAGAGAGAAAGAGAGGGAGAAAGGGAAAGAAGGAGAGGTCTTTCTTCATATACATATAGAGAGAGAGAGAGAAAGAGAGAGAGAGAGAGGTCTTTCTTCAGTATCTCACAACATAATTTCCATTCCTCTTCAGGAAAATCTTATCTCTAGCCCACTGGCATGGTCTCACATCTTCCCACATCAGGATAATCCATGTGTATAATAATTAACAGTAGCAAAAGTCCACAGATGAGTCACTGAGTCTAGAATAAGGACTTGAACAGAACCACCAGGGTGGGATTTACATTCCAACTGTGGTTCTTGAAAGCCTTTTCCATGAGCAGGAAGCAAAGATTTGTGCCTGCCCTTCATCTAGTGTCATTTTGGTCTCCTGTGGGGAATTCTTGGTGGGCACATGCATACACACACACACTTCTCCAAAGTAAACAGTAATTCTCTAAGGTGGTAGAATTTAAACCCACACTAAAGAGGAGAATCATTATTTGAAAACCATATTGCCTGAATGATTATCCTTGCCATAATGTAGAGGTATTTTGCTTTTTGTTTTGTTTTGTTTTGTTTTTTTGAGACGGAGTTTTGCTCTGTTACCAGGCTGGAGTGCAGTGGCGTGATCTTGGCTCAGTGCAACCTCTGACTCCCTGGTTCAAGCGATTCTCCTGCCTCAGCCTCCCAAGTAGCTGGGATTACAGGTATGTGCCACCATGCCCAGCTAATTTTTGTATTTTTAGTGGAGACTGGGTTTCACCATGTTGGCCAGGGTGGTCTCGATCTCCTGACCTTGTGATCTGCCTGCCTCACCTCCCAACCTGCTGGGATTACAGGTGTGAGCAACCGCACCCGGCCTATTTTGCATTATTTTGCAGTCCTTATTTTCTCATATGCCACACCCATTCTATCACTTTCACTTTTATCAAATTTAACAATCAATTTTTTTTTTTTTTTTTTTTTTTGGAGATGGAGTCTCACTCTGTTGCCTGGGCTGGAGTGCAGATTGTAGTGCGTGATCTGTCTCCCGGTTTCAAGTGATTCTCCTGCCTCAGCCTCCTGACTAGCTGTGACTACAGGCACGTGCCACCACACCTGGCTAATTTTTGTAACATTAATAGAGACAGGGTTTTGCCAGACTGGTCTCAAACTCCTGACCTCAGGTGATCCACCTGCCTTGGCCTCTCAAAGTGCTGGGATTACAGGCATGAGCCACTTCACCTGGCCACAATCACTTTTTTGATACCTAGTTTGAGTCAAGTCCTGAGATACTGAGTTGATTTCAATAAACAGTGCTTATCCATAAGTATCTTACACGCTCAAGCAGATAGACAGATATACATAAGTTGCTAAAACAGTGTGATTTGTTGTGTACTTATGTGCAAAAGGCTTTGCAAATATTGAAAAGAAGCAAGATATTTTTCTTGGGGGAGTAGAAAATGATTTATGGAAGAGAGAACAGTGGTGCCAGGGTTAAATGAACATAATAGATTTCACTGGCAAGGGATGTAGGACAGAGCACTTAAAGTAAACCTTGCTCCTTGCTTGTCTGTTTCACATTTTAAATATCCCATTTTCTATCCATTTGTCCAAAATTGGCCCATTTCAAGTAGCATTTCTAAATTGGATTTTTTTTTCCATGCTGGTTGATGCCTTTACCATTCATTTGAAAGTTTTCCTATTCTACCTAGAGTTAGTTTTTTTTCAAGCTACATAGCCATCATCTCCCCAAGACACATTATATAGAAATGTACATAATCACATATATATGGACAAATGGCTCTTTCTAACTCCCTAGCCTGGGGATTTGCATATGGTAGACATTCAAACAGGTTTTGTTGATCACAGTAAACCCAAAGTCCCAGTTTGTATAGAGAGCCACATCCAGAGTTGAAGACACTGAGGTTGGTATCATATTTGGAAAAAAATGCAAAATAAAAACAAAAGGGAGCAGCATAAAGCAAGCCAACAAAAATATTCCCCATGCACGCTTGTCATAAGCCTCACTCTCCTCAGGAATTTTGCAGGAATCACTGATTCTCATGGCTTTTGCTATACATCCCTCCATAAAGATAGATGCTGCTGCTTCCTCCGTGTCCCTAAAGAATTTGTCATGGAGTTTTGAGGGACAACTGGAAACGGGGGAAGGAGCCCTCATTTGCTAGGATGGCCATGACAAAGTAGGACTGACTGGGTGGCTTAAACAACAGAAATTCATTTTCTCGCAGTTCTGGAGGCTAGAAGTCTGAATCACGCTGACAACAAAGTTGGTTTCTTCTGGGGCCTATCTCCTTGGCCTTCAGATGGACAATGGCTCTCTGTGCCCTCACATAGTCTTCCCTCTGTGCATGCCTGTGCCCTGATGTCCTCTTGTTGTAGACACCAGTCATATTGTTTTAAAGCTCATTCAAAAAGCTTCATTTTAACTTAATTGCCTGTAAAGACCCTGTGTCCAAATACTGTCACATTCTGAGTTAGTGGGGGTGAGAACATCAACATACGAATTTGATGGAACACAATTCAGCCCATAACAGGGACTAAGAGCCCCACAGCAGGACTAGAAGATAAAAGCAAAGCAGTGACTAGAGCCCATGGGGGATTGTAACAGGGACTGAGTCAGGGCCACAACTGGAGATTCATGGGGTTTACTGCAGTAATTGGGAAGCAACAAAAGAAATCCAAACACAGTGTTAGTGTTCAAACCAGAAGAGAGGGTCCCAAACTCCATTTCAAGAGTCTCATCTTGTAACAGGTGCCGGTCAATCAAGGTATTGCCAACAGTCACCTGCTGGGTAAATAGATGGTGAGGCTGGGTGCTGCAGTACTTCTGATCTTGATAACAGGCATGGGGTACAGAGAAATGAAGTCACTGCATCAGGAGTTGAGGGCTTGGTAACCTAAGAAATGGGCAAAAACTGTAAGGCCACAGGGCAGAGAGGCCATGAGAGAGGCAAGGCTATTCATGCAAAGGGTTAGCAGCAGGCCTGGCAGGCTGATCAAGCAGGTGGGGAGACAGAGGCAGGGCAGATTCCCCAGGAAGCAGTATAGAAGAGAGAGCTTTTCATGGGACACATGGGACCAGTCCTGTGGATGCCCAGTGAGCTTGGAAAGCTGCTGAGCTGGTTCTGGGGAGGTGGCAAGACTCAGGCACTGAGACCATGAAGTGGAGTGGTCATAGCATTAACTGTTTTCAAAGATAGGTCTCCTTTTTAAGGCCAAGAAGTCGGCTTAGTGAGAAGATGGTGGAGTTGACAATAGTTTTGAGTTGGTGAAGATTATCGGGCAGGGTAGAATCTTACAATTTGCATATAGTAGACATTCAAACACGGTTTGTTGATCACAGGCTTGCGTTTAGAGCAGTGGTCGTCAATCTTGAGGATGCATCAGAATTACCTGGACGACAAGTGAGACACAGGTTACTGGGCCCCACCCATAAAGTTTCTAATTCAGTAGGTCCGGAGTCAGGCCTGAAAATTTGTATTTTTAACAGGTTTTTAGGTAACGCAGATGCTGTTGGTCCAAGGATCAAACTTCGAGAATCACTGCTTTAGGTGCAAGGTTTTCAACCCTAGACATACATTAGAATCACCTGAGAAGCTTAAAAAATATATCGCCAAGCCTAGGCTACATTCCAGACCAATTGAATATAAATTACTAGGTGTGGGACCCTGGCATTAGAACTTTTCAAAGCTCCGCAGGTGATTCTAATACAGCCATGTTGGAAAACAAGTTGTATCTTGATTTAGTGGGAAATTATTTGGATATTGGCGTTGGCTAGTAGCATGTATTATGTCATATTCTCACTACATAATACCACAAAGTTTAGTATCTTATGCCACAATGTAAAGTTGTTCTCTGTGAGTTAAAACAGCTGCCATTCATCAGTCCTATACCCCTTAACAGGTGGAGGTGGAGGAAAAATCCCACGGCCATTGACCAGCATTGAAGGGTCATGTGATATGCTCCAATGAGAGCAAAATCACCACCAATTTTAGCAGCAAGGAAGTTATTTGCTGCTTAGCACTTACTCTACAATCACTGTGCTGCAAACCAAGAAATAAATATAGTTTAGTAACGTAGAGAGCAGTAAATAACACATAAAGAGTGAGAATTGCTTTAATTTCCTCTGTGCTAGTCCCAAAGTCAGCAAATGTTCTTGAGCCTCTTAAAGGGGGCAAAGGATTTGGGAGACTGGCTTTGGCTGGTGCTTTTCAATTTGATTTTCCTTTATGGGTTGAAAAAAGCCCCCAGAGAGAGGTATTCATGTGAAACTTAAACGAAAAATTAATGCAACTTTAGGAACCAAATTTATGACCCAGTGCCACACTTTCGATGGTTTACTGAGCTTGCCTCCCTTCCTGTTCCTTTTCCCTTCCCAGGAGAACCCACTTTTGGTCAGATCTCATCTCTTCTTCCTTTGGCCACCTGCTGACAAGAGCTGGTGTAGGTCCATGTTGTTGGTTTCATTTTTCTTGTGAATGAATTATATGTGTGTGGGCATGTGAAGAAATTCAGGCTGGAGAAGTGGGAGGAGAAATACACAAGGAAGGATTACTTGACAATTACAGGAGGCAAACAGAAAGATATGCAGTCTTTTTTCTGCATGTGGTCATGGCTCCACGGTCACCATCTCAGAGCTTTGAGGGGTGCTGCTCTGAGAATAAACGCAGAATAGAAAGATGATCCCGCTCAGTCTGAATTGACTATCCCCAGAGAACATCTTGTTATATGAGATAATAAATGCCTTATTGTTTAAGTCAGTTGAGTCAGGGTTTCTTATTCCTTGCAGCTGAAGGCACAACAACTGATACATTTGGTTTCCTGAGCATGTTTGTGAGAGTTAAGCCCAACCCAACATTTGCCAAGATGGAAAGATATTATAGAAAAACCAGTATATCATATTGCCACCCTGCTTTACAATTCCTTACAGAAACTGTTCTTTAATTTAAAAATAACTTCCTGTCCTACATTTTACTTTTTTCTTTCCATTTAACTTAATCTGAGCAATTATCCTGACAGATTTAAGGTAAAGTACTTCATTCATATAATAAAATTTGATTGACAGTTTTAATGTGTGGAAGAGGTTTAGATGTGACTTTAGCATTAATAAGCTTTTAAGCTTTACATAGTACAAGCCAAACATACGTTTAGAAAAATGGATCCAAACCATGAAAGTCTCCCTAAGTATTACCAAGAAAAATTGTCTCCAAAATTACTCTTAGTCGCTGTGAATGTTCATTTTTACATCTTTCATATTTATTTATTAAACTTTTGTGAGGTGTTATTTATATACAGTAAGATGCACACATTATAAGTGCACAGTTTAAGTTTTGACAAATGTGTATATTCATGTAACCACTTATCCAATCAATCAGCCCAGAAAATTCCCTTTTGCTTTTTAGGGGTCAAACCTCCTCACCCCACCCTCAGCCTCATACCAAGCAGCCAGTATATCACTATAGATTAGTTAGGCTAGTTCTTTTATGTAATAGAATTCAACACATAACACTCTTTTGTGTCTGGTTTACTTCTCTCAGCATAACATTACTGAGAGTCTTCCATATTGTTGAGTGTATTACCAGTTTGTTACTTTTAATAGGTGACTAGAATTCTATTGTATGAACATACCATAGTTTACTAACCCATTTACCAGGTGAAGGACACGTAGGTGGTTTCTAGTATTTGGCTATTACAGACAAAACCACTATACATTTGTGTACAAGGTTTAGTGGATATATTTTTTTCCTGGGTCATACAGTAAATCTATATTTAACTGTGTAGGAAACTGCCAAGCTGTTTTCCAAAGTAGTCCTACCATTTTCTATTCTAATCAGGAGTGTATGAGAATTCTTTTGTTTGTTCTTTGAGATGAAGTCTCACTCTGTCACCCAGGCTGGAGTGCAGTGGCGCGATCCTGGGTTCCAGTGATTCTCATGTCTCAGCCTCCCAAGTATCTGGGATTACAGGCACCCGCCACAATGCCCAGCTAATTTTTGTATTTTTAGTAGAGATAGGGTTTCGCCATGTTGGCCAGGCTGGTCTCGAACTCCTAACCTCAAGTGATCTGCCCACTTCAGCCTCCCAAAGTGCTGGGATTACAGGTATGAGTCACCAGCCTGGCCTACATTTTTTTTTTTAATTTTTGTGGGTACATTGTAGGTATATATATTTGTGGGGCACATAAGATGTTTTGACACATGCAGGCAATGTGAAATAATCATGTCATGGAAAATGGGGTACCCATCCCCTCAAGCATCTATCTTTTGTGTTACAAACAATCCTATTACACTCTTTTAGTTATTTTAAAATGTACAATTAAGTTATTATTGACTATAGTCACATGGTTGTGTGATCAAATAGTATGTCTCATTCATTCTTTTTTTTTTTATTTTGGACCCATTAACCATCCCCACCTCCTCCCCAGTGCCCCCCCGCCCCACCACCCTTTGCAACCTCTGGCAACCATCCTTCTACTCTCTATGCCCATGAGTGGATATAAGTTCTTTTTCAAGTATATGTATAGCAAATATTTTTCCCGTGTGTGGCTTCCTCTTCATCCATTTTCTTTTCTTTTAAAATTTGAGACAGAGTCTCGCTCTGTTCCCCAGGCTGGAGAGCAGTGGCATGATCTCAGCTCACTACAACCTTCTCCTCCTGGGTTTAAGCGATTCTTCTGCCTCAGACTCCCAAGTAGCTGGAATTATAGGCACCCATCACCACTCCCAGCTAATTTTTGTATTTTTAGTAGAGATGGGGTTTCGCCATGTTGGCCAGTCTGGTCTTGAACTCCTGACCTCAGGTGATCCGCCCACCTTGGCCTCCCAAAGTGCTGGGATTACACGCATCAGCTACCGTGCCCAGTCTTTATCCGTTTTCTTAATGATGTCTTTGAAGAGCAGAAGATTTAAATTTTGATGAAGTCCAACTTACCAAATATTAAAATAGTAATTGGTGCCTTTTTGTATCCTTTCCAAGAAATCTTTGCCTACTACAGAGTCATGATTATTTTTTTCCTAGATGTTTTCTTCTAAGGGGTTTATATCCAACATTTATAATGAATCCTTGCAATTCAATAGAAGTAAAACAGATAACCCAATTAAAAATGGGCAAAAGACTTGAACAGACATTTCTTCAAAGAAATAAAATTGGCCAACAGTCATATGAAAAAAGTGCTCAACATCACTAATCATCAGGAAAATGCCAATTAAAACCACAATATTACCTCACATTTATTAAGTTGGCTATTATCAAAAGGACAAGAGATAACAAATTTTGGCAAACAAACAAACAAAAAAATTACACCAAGATAAACTTGTACTACCTTGTTATAACATGTATGAATAGGATCTACTCTGAGGTGCTAAGAAGGATAAGACATCAGTTTGAAAAGAGCCCTTGTGAGAGCAACATTTCTGCTAACATTAAAGCAAGAAAAAACATCAAACTTACGGTGAAGCTTGGATTTAGGAATGGTGAAATCATTGATGCTTTACAAAAAGTTTATAGGAACAATGCCTCAAATAAATCAACAGTTTATGAATGCATAACTCCTTTTAAGAAGGAATAAGACATTGTTGAAATGAAGTGAAAATGAAGCCCATAATGGCAGGCCATCCACATCAATTTGTGGGGAAAAATTTAATCTTGTTCATGCCCTAATTAAATAAGACTGATGATTAACAGCAGAAACAATAGCCACCTCCACAGACATCTCAATCGGTTCAGCTTACACAATCCTGACTGAAAAAATTAAAGTTGAGCAAATTTTCCACCTGATGGGTGTCAAAATTGTTGCACTCAGATCAGCTGCAGACAAGAGCAGAGCTTTCAATGGAAATTTTAAACAAGTGGGATCCAGATCCTGAAGCATTTCTTCAAATAATTGTATCAGGAGATGAAATATGAGTTTACCAGTATGATCCTGAAAATAAAGCACAGTCAAAGCAATGGCTACCAAGAGGTGGCAGTGGTGCAGTCACAGCCAAAGTGGGCCTGTCAAAAGCAAAGGTCACGGCAACGGCTTTTTGGGAAGCTCAAGGAATTTTGCTTCTTGACTTTCTGGAAGGCCAATGAATGATAACATCTACTCATTATGAGAACATAGCCAAAGCTTTAGCAGAAAATCACCTGGGAAAGCTTCACTAGAGAGTCATCTACCGTGACAATGCTCCTGCTCATCTATCTCATCAAACAAGGGCAAATTTACAAGAATTTAAATGGGAAATCATTAGGCATCCATCTTACAGTTCTGATCTGGTCCCGTCTGACTTCTTTTTGTTCCTTAATCTTAAACAAATCTTTAAAGAGCACCCATTTTTCTTCAGCTAATAATGTAAAAAAGACTACATTGACATAATTAAATTCCCAGGACCCTCAGTTCTTTAGGGATGGACTAAATGGCTGGTATCATCACTTACAAAAGTGTCTTGAACTTGAGGTAGCTTATGTTGAGAAATAAGTTTATAATTTTTATTTTTATCTTTTAGTTCTATTTTCCATGAACTTTTTGAAGTCACTTTATACACACACACACACACACACACACACACACACACACACACACACAGAGAGAGTGGAATTTTATTCAGCCTTAAAAGTGAATGAGACCCTGTCATTTGCCACAATATGGGAAAACCTGGAGGGTGGACATGGCTAAATGAAATAAGCCAGATACAGAAAGAAAAACATTGCATGATCTCACTTATATTTTATATGAAATCATTATAATTTTATGTTGCCTAAGCATCCATTTTGAAAGTAGATTCAGGTTTAGCATTCTTGTACCAGGACAGGGCTCAATTACCATTGACTCAGTTTCTAGTTCTACATCACACAAAAATGGCTTAAGCCAGTGGCCAGAGATAAGAACTTGAAGGTGTCTCTCCTGACTAGCTGACTGGGCTCACCACCTTCCTGTCACTTACTTTGAAGGAGCCATTAAGATATTTGCCCATGAACTTAGTGTGACCACACCCTATTCTTCAATATACCCAGTTAATTGTAATGTTCTCTTCTCTCTGCCCGCCTGTACTGCCTGAGTTTTCTCTCTCTCTCTCTGTGCCTCTGTGTGTGTGTGTGTGTGTGTGTGTGTGTGTGTGTGTGTGTATGCAGTCACTCTCCAGGGTCTGTAAGTACTACAAACTCTAAAATGTTCACATTGTAATTACATCATTGAAGCTGTCCCCACAATCTAACACCTGATGGTGAGGACACCCCAAAGGGACCCATGCAGGTGGTCCCCTTCTGGTGTTCTTTTGTGGCTGCTGGTAGCTTCTGAGGACAGTAGCTACCAGCTAAGTGGCTAAACTCTGTTTTATTCAAAACATATGTGAACTAGTGAAATCAGAGGTGGGGATGGGGAGGAAAAATGGGGAGATGTAAGTCAAAGGATACAAAGTAGCAGATATGTAGGAAGAAGTCTAGAAATCTAATGTATGAGGACTACAGTGAATAAAATTGCATTGTGTTAGATTTCAGCTGCTCTTTTGAAACACATAAAAAGTAACTATGTGAGATGAATTTCCTTCACTATGGTAGCCATTTTACTATTTATGCATATCCCAAGCCAAGGCAGGATTGCTTGAGCCCACAAGTTTGAGTCCAGCCTGGACAACATAGTGAGATCCCAACTCAACAAAAAATAAAAAATTAGCCAGGTGGTGTGTACCTGTAGTCCTAACTACTCAGGAGGCTGAGGCTGGAGGATTGCTTGAGCCCAGGAGTTCAAGGCTTCACTGAGGCAAAATCACACCACTGCACTCCAGCCTGGCTGGCAGAGTGAGACTCTGTCTCAAAAAACAAAAATAAAATAAAATAAAATAAATCCCATAACATCATGTTGTAAGCCTCAAATACACACAATAAAATTTATTTTGCAAAAAAGTTCCTTCTAGAAGTTTTATGGTTTAGCTTTTATATTCAGATCTATAATCTATTTCAAATTAAAATTTGCATATGTGATTATATAAGGATTGGAATTGATTTTTTAAAATATGAATATCTAATTGTTTCATTACAATTTATTGAAAAGAATATCCTTTACCCATTGAACTACATTGACACTTATGTCAAAAATCAACTGAACATACATGTGTGGATCTATTTCTGGGCTCTCTACTCTGTTCCATTGATCTGTTATTCTATCCTTATGCCCCTATTACACTTCCTTGATTAGAGTATTTATAATAAATCTTAAAATCAGGTAGTGCAATCCTTCCAACTTTGGTTTTCCTTTTTCAAAATTGTTTTAGTTATTTTAGGTTCTATGTATTTCCATTTAAGTCCAAGAATTATCTTGTCAATTTTTTTAAAAAGATGCCTGCTGGAATTCTGATTGGAATTCATTGACTTTATCCATCTATGTGGGGAAAATTGACATCTTACCAATATTAACTCTTCTCATCCATGAACATGGTATATTTCCCCATTTATCTAAACCTTATTTTAATTTCTGTCATCAATATTTTTGTACTTTTTAGTATATACAAATTTACATATTTTTCATTAAATCTATTCCTAAGTGTTTTACGGTTTTTGATGACACTGAAAACTATTTTCCAGTTGTTTTTTGCTTATATACAGATACAATTAATTCGTATGTATTGACCTTCTATCCTACAACTTTGTTACAATTACATTTTGATGCAAAAAACTTTAAACAAAGAGCACAGTTGAAATGAAACCATATTAAACATTCATGTACCCACCATCTAGAGACCAATTATTAACATTTTGCTATATTTTATTTATCACATATATATCCATCTATTCTTCTATCTTACTTTTTTTGGTATTTAAAAAATAAATTACAGGCATCAGTATATTTCATCCCAAACAATTCAATATTTGTATCATTAACTGGAATTTAATTACTCTTTTTTTTTTTGAGACAGAATCTTGCTCTATAGCCCAGGCTGGAGTGCAGTGGCTGGCACAATCTCAGCCTCTTCCAAACACCATGCCTCCTGGGTTCAAGTGATTCTTGTACCTCAGCCTCCTGAGTAGCACGGGTTACAGGCATGAGCCACCACCCCTGGGTAATTTTTGTATTTTTAGTAGAGACGGGGTTCTGCTTTCTTGGCCAGGCTGGTCTGGAACTCCTGGCCTCAAATAATCCTCCTGCCTCAGCCTCCCAAAGTGCTGGGATTACAGGAGTGTGCTACAATGCCCAGCCTCAATTACTCTTTATATTTTCTTTAAGTAAAATATACCTGCAGTGTAATGTATAAATCTTAAGTGTACTATGTGATACCTCTTGACAAGTACATAATATCCATGTTCTCTGTTTTTTTTTTTTTTTTTTTTGAGATGGAGTCTTGCTCTGTTGCCCAGGCTGAAGTGCAGTGGCACGATCTCGGCTCACTGCGAGCTCCGCCTCCCGGGTTCACGCCATTCTCCTGCCTCAGCCTTCTGAGTAGCTGGGACTACAGGCATCCGCCACCACGCCTGGCTAATTTTTTGTATTTTTAGTAGAGACAGAGTTTCACCGTGTTAGCCAGGATGGTCTCGATCTCCTGACCTCGTGATCCACCCGCCTCGGCCTCCCAAAGTGCTGGAATTACAGGCGTGAGCCACCGTGCCCAGCCTCCGTGTTCTCTTATGTTCCTTCTAAGTCAATCTCTGCTCCTAAACCCCCAGAAGCAACTGCTGTTTTGACTTTAAAAAAAGAAAAAGAAAAACCTATATATTAGTTTAGCCTCTTTTAGAACTTAAACAAATATATTCATGTAGTATGGATTCTTTTGGGGAAAGTTTCTTTCCATCAGCATCATGTTTTTGAGTTTCATCCGTGTTTTGCATTCAGCTTTTAAAAAAATTGCTAATAGTATTTCGTTGTATGAATATGCCAGTGTTTGCTTATTCATTCTCCTAATAATGGACATGTGTTGTTTGCAATTTTTGGTACCATGAGTAAAACTATGAGCACTCTTGTACACGTCTTTGGTAAAATATGCTTTAATATCTCTTGGGAAAATACCTACGAGTGGAATTGCTAGAATAGATCTATGTTTGGTTATATGAGAAACAGCCAGGCCCATTTTCCAAAGCAGTTTTAACATTCTACACTCTCACCAACAATGTATGGAATTTGAGGTTGCATTACATCCTTGCTAACATTTGGTGTTGTCAGTCTCTAATTTTAGCCATTTCAGTGGGTGTGTAATGGTATCTCATTGTGGTTTTAATTTACATTTCCCTAGTGACTAATAATGCTGAGCTCTTTTTCATGTGCTTTTCTTTGTGAAGTGTCTGTTCAAGTATTTTTTTCGCTGATTTTTAAGAATTTGGTTCTTTTTTGTTTTTGAATTGTATGAACTCTTTATATTCCCTGGACACCAAAACTTTGTCAGATATTTGTTTTGGAAATATTTTCTCCCTTTTTTTTGGCGTGCCTATTATCTCCTTAATGGTATCTTTTGATGAACAGAATTTTAAATATTTGGATGAAGTGTAATTTATGACATTTTTCTTTTATATTTATTGTCTTTTGTATTCAAGTTAAAGAAACTTTTCCAGATTCCAATCATAAAAGTATTCTTCTATGCTTTCTTCTGTAAGCTTCTATAATACCTTTAGGTTTTATATTTTGGGCTATGATTTATTTCTAATTAATTTTATATACACTATGAAATAGGAGTTGAGTTTCCTTCCTTTTTTTCCATACAGACCTACATTTATACTAGCATCATTTGTTGAAAGTCTTCCATTTCCCCATTTAATTGCTTTGGTACCTTTGTCAAAAGTCAATTGGCTGTATAATTGTGGGTCCATTCAGGACTCTATATTTGGTTCTGTTGATCTATTTATTATTTTTATGCCTCTACTACCCACTCTGGATCACTGCAAATTTACAATAAGGCCTGAAGTAGTATAAGTAGTAGTATACATCCTCCAAGTACTATAAGTCCTCCAACTACTTTTTAAAGGTTGCTTTGTGCATCCAGGTCCTTAGCATTTCTGTATGAATTTTAGAATCAGCTTGTGAATTTCTATTTAAAAAGATTGATGAGATTATAATTGAGATTGCTTTGACTATGTAGATCAGTATGAGAGAATTGATATCTTAATACTGATCTTTCCAGTTCATGAAGAGGGCATATCTCTCCATTTGTTTAGGTTGCTTTTAACTTATCTCACCAGTATTTTGCATTTTTCAGCAGATATGTCTTCTCATCTTTTGCTGAATTTACTTCTAAGTCATTTATGTTTTTGATGCCATTATATGGGTTGTTATTTTAATAATTTTTATTTCAAATTTTGCTTTTCATATTGATGGAAGCTAGCATATAGAGACATAATTGATTTTTGTACATTAGTTTTGTATCCTGCAAACCAGCAAAATTCACTAAATGATTCTTGTAGGTTTTTTTCGCCTAAATCCTAAATCTTAAATTTCTTAGAATTTTCTGCAAATAAAGTTTTGCTTGTTATCGTGCAGCCTGTATGTCTTTTATTTCTTTTCCTTACCTTATTGTACTGGCCAGAATGCCAATACAATGTTGAATAGAAGTGATAAGAGTGGGCATCTTTGTTTTTTGTTGATGTTAGGAAAAACTCTTCAACCTCTCACCAATAATTATTATGTTAGCTATAGTACTTTTTTTGTAGAGACACCTTTTTCAGGCTGAGGAAGCTCCCTTTCATTCCTAGTTTGGTGAACTTTCATCATAAAAGATGTTGAATTTTTTCAAATGCTTTTTCCACAAATATTAAGATGATCATAGGTCTTTCTCCCTTATTCTATTAGGATAGTGATTTATGCTGATTGACTTTCAAATGTTAAACCAATACACTTCTGGGATAAACCACATCTTTTCATGATATGCTATCCTTGTTTGTAGCTATATTCTATTTGTCAGTTATTTTAAAGATTTTTTCATTTATATTAATGAGTAGAATTGGCTTAAATATTTTGTTTGTTGTTTTTTAATTTTTTTTGGTGATGTTAAAACATTTTTCTCAGGTTTTCATGTCCTGTAAAATTAGTTGGAATATGATTTTCCTCCTTTATTTTATAAAAGGATTTGTATAAGATTGGTGTTATCTCTTTGTTAAATATATGATGAACTCACTAGGGAAATAATTTGGACCTTGAATTTTCTCCAGTGAAGGATTTTGATCATGGCATTAACTTCATTAGTAGACATACAGCTATTCAGATAGCTTATTTCTTCTGGAGTCAGCTTAGGGTAAATTGTGCTTTCTAAAAAATTTATCCAGTTTGTGTGAGGAAAAAAAAGCAAAAGTAAGTGCGAGTAAATAATAAGCATAGTAACAAAAATCAGTGAAATAGAAAACAGACACAAACAGAAAACTAGCAAATCCAAAAGTTACCTTTTTGGAAGATTAATAAACTTGATAGAGCAGACAGAGAACACAAATTATTATTATCATGAAAGAAAGAAATCTATCTATCTATCTATATATATATAGACATTAAAAAGATCATAAGATGGATTATACCAACAAATTTGACTTTAATTTCCTCTTAAATTTTGGTCTTTGATTTTAAGTCAAGTTTTGTCTATGATGTAAGGCATGGTTCAAACTTAATGCTTTTATATATGGATATTTCCCAGCATCATTTATTGAAGTGACTGTCTTTTCTCCATTGAATCACCTTGGTAACTTTGTTGAAAATCAACTGGCTGTGTATTTGAGGATTTCTTTCTAGATTCTCTCTTCTATTCTATTGGCCTATATGTCTATCCTTATACCATTATCACACTCTTGATTACTACAGCTTCCTGGTGAGTCTTATAATTGGGGAGGTGTGGATCTTCCAACTTTGCTCTTCTTTTTCAAGACCATTTTGGCTATTCAGAATCCTTTGAAATTCCGTATGAATTTTAGGATGGGTTTTGCTATTTCTGTAAAAAAAAAAATACTGTTGAGATTTTGATAGGGATTCCATTGAATCTGTAGATCACTTTGAGGACTCTTGTCAACTCTATATTAAATCTCCCAATCCATAATCACAAGATGTCTTTTCATTTATTTAGGTCTTTCTCAATATTTCTTTCAGTGATATTTTGTTGTTTTCAGTGTACATGTCTTGTGACTCCTTAGTTTAACTTATTCCTAAAGTATTTTATTCATTTTAATGCTATTATAAAGGCATTGGTTTCTTAATTTCTCTTTCATATTGTTCATTGCTAGCATATAGAAATACGATTAATTTTTTGTGTTGATTTTGAATCTTGCAACTTGCTGAATTTGTTCATTAGCTCTACCAGTTTTGTGTGTGTGTGTGTGTGTGTGTGTGCTTATTCTTAGAGTGTGCTTATTCATATCATTTGTGAAACAAAAGTAAGTAGGAATAGAAGGGAAAATACTCAACATAATAAAGATTGCGTGTAAAGAAAAAGACCCCACAGTAAACATCATAGTCAATCACAAAATACTGAAAACTTTTCCCTTAAGATCAGGATCAAGACCAGGAATAAGCATTCACACTTCGGTTCAGCATAGTACTGGAAGTTCTAGCCAGAGAAAATTAGGCAGAAAAAAGAAAAACAAGTCATTCAAATTGCAAAGGAAGGTGTGAATAAATTTAAGTCTTATCATCTTGTTTAGTTTTTAATTGTCTCTTCTATTTTTTGTTCTTCTTTTGCTTCTTTTATATTTTCTTTTGAGGTAATCACATA
Source organism: Homo sapiens (assembly GCF_000001405.40). NCBI lineage: Eukaryota > Metazoa > Chordata > Mammalia > Primates > Hominidae > Homo > Homo sapiens. The sequence continues at coordinate 55,710,661 of NC_000018.10, forward strand.
ATTTTTAGTGTTCTATATTACTTATCTATTGGAATCTTAGCTATACATTTAAAGTTTGTATTTGTTATTCTGGGACAAAGAGTAGGCATTTTAACTTATCAAAGTCTATTTATAGTCACTGTTGTCCCACTTTCTCCTTCCCACTTCACACCTGATTCTTCACACTTCCTACTTCCCAATTCTCACATACAGTTCTCTCTTTCCATTTCCCACTTGTCTCTATGCACTTCACACGTCACATTTCCTACTTACCACTTCACAAATATAATACTGTTATGACAGTATAATTCCATTTACCTACATTTTTTGTCCTTTGTGTTATTGTTGTCATATCTTTTCAAACCCCACCATACAATGTTGTTTGTTTAAATAGTTCTTTTAAAATAAATTTGTAAGAAGGAACATAATATTTTATATTTACCCATTTATTTCAAATTTCTAATGACTTTCTTTCCTATATACCTGAGTTTTCTTCAGCTATTATTTCTATTCAGCTGGAAGAATAAACAGTATATAGAATTTCCTGTAGAACAGCTCTGCTTGTACAAATTTTCTCAGCTAACATTTATATAAAAATATATTACTTCCCCTTCATTTTTGAAGAACATTTTAATTGGATATAGAATTGTGAATCTTTTTTTTTTTTTTTTTTTTTTTTACTTTTACCACTTTCAAGGTGTCATTCTTATATCTTCGGGTCTCTTGTGTTTTTGATGAAGAGTCATTGCCATTCTCATATTTGTTCTCCCATAAGTGTTTTATTCCCAGTGTCTTTTCTTCCTCTGGATTCTTTCAAATTTTTCTTTTTTTGATAATTAATGAATTGTCTATGATGTGCCCATATGTGGTATTCATTGTACATAGCCTTTGTGCAGTTATTTGAACTTCTTGGATCTTCGGTTTGACATTGTTCATTAATTTTAAGAAAATCTTAGCCATGATTCTAAAAAACATACTATCTTATTTTCATTCTCTTTTCCTTTGGAATCTCCTAGGCTATTTGATATTGTCCCACTGGTTCCAGACTCTTCATTTTTCTTCACACTTTTATCTCTGTTCCTCAAATCAGGTAATTTCTCTCAATCCATCTTCAACTCACCTAGTCTTCTATAACCTCTAATCTGCTATTTAGCCCATCTAGTGAATTTTTCATTTTACTTATTGTATTTTTCAGAATTTCCATTTGCTTTTTAAAAGCATGATTTACAGAAAAATGCTCAGATCTTAAAAATATCATTCAGTCAGTTTTCATAAGTTGTCACCAAGATTCAAAATATTTGCATTACTCAGATAGTTCTCCTGTATCCCACAGTAGTATCCATAAGTTATTTTGGATTATTCTAGAATATCATTTAAATGGAATTATACAATATGGATTTTTGTGTGTATGTGTCCAGATTCTTTCAGTCAGTGTCATATTTTTAACATACATTAATGTTGTTGCATGTAGCATTATTTCATTTCTTTTTATTACTGAATAGTTTTCCATTGTAGGAATATATCAGTTTCTTTATTCTATTGATGGAGACCTGAGCTATTTTTAACTTTTTACTATTGTGAATGAAGCTGCTACAAACATTTTTGTACAAGGCTTTTAGTGGGAATATATTTTAAATTCATTTAGAGGAATACACATTCTGAGTTATAATATAGAAGCATGTTTAATTTTTTTAATTAAAAATTTTATTTTGGGCCAGGTATGCTGACTCATGCCTGTAATCCCAGCCCTTTGGGAGGCCGAGGCAGGCGTATCACCTGAGGTCAAGAATTGGAGACCAGCCTGGCCAACATGGGGAAACCCTGTCTCTACTAAAAATACAAAAATTAGCCAGGCACTCCCCTGTAATCCCACCTACTACTCAGGAGGCTGAGGTGGGAGAATCACTTGAACTCAGGAGGTGGAGGTTGCAGTGAGCTGAAATCTTGCCACTGCACTCCAGCCTGGGTGACAGAACAAGACTCCATCTCAAAAAATTTATTTTGAGATAATTGTAGAATATTCAGTTTGAATGAATCTCTAATACAGAGAGGTTTCATTTTAGAACATTTTTATTTTTTAAATTGACTAATAAATATACATATTCATGGAATACATAGTGATATTTCTATACATAAAATGTATAATGATCAGATCAGGGTAATTAGCATGTCCATCACCTCAAACATCATTTCTTTTTGTTGGGAACATTCAATATCCTTCTAGCTATTTAAAACTATATATTACTGGTAATATATTAAATATATTCTAATATCATAATATATAATAATAATATACTATTAAACATTACTGCTAAATATAGTTACCTACAGTGCTGTAGAACAATAGACCGTATTCCTCCTATTTAGCTATAATTTTGTATCATTTAACAAATCTCTCTCTGTCCTTACCTTCCCCCTATTCTTTATTTCTATGAGAGTAAGTTTTTTTAGCTTCCACATATGAGTGAGAACATGTGGTGTTTAACTTCTGTTCCTGGTTTATCTCACTTAACATATCCAGTTTCCCCAATGGTAACATCTTGCAAAATGATGGTACAACATTATATCCAGAATATAGGCATTGATGCAGTCAAGATACAGAACAGCCTATTCACCACAAAGATTCCTCATGTTTCTCATTTAAAACAGCATTCACCTTCCTCCTTCCTGCTCAGCCCCTATTTCTAGCCCCTGACAATAATCAGTATGCTCTCCATATTTATAATTTTGTCATTTCAAGAATATTACATAAGTTGAATCCCACAGTATGTAACATTTTGGGATTGACTTTTTCACTCAGCATAATCCTCTGGTGATTTATGCAAGTTGTTTTTTATCAATAGCTGATTCCTTTTTTAGTTGTTGAGTAATCATTCATATGTTTAACTTTTAAGAAACTACAAAATAGTTTTTCAAAGGGGTTATACCATTTTACAATTTCCCCGTAAATGTACTTCTAATTTACAGCTTTTATTTCTCCAGTGAGATTTCTTATCTATTCACTCATTAAGACCATATTTTAAACAAATTTTTTGAACACATTTTATTTTCATTCTTTAAACATATTTATAATAGCTATAATATATATAGCTATAAAAGCTATGTTATAATAGCTTTAATATGTTTATCTGATACATAATATCTGAGCCATGTTAGGTGTAGTTCTATTGACTATTTTTACTTTCTTGATTGTGAGTCATATATTCCTTTGTCTGCATATCTAGTAATTTTCATTGTATTCTGGACATTGTACATGATATTAGATTCTGTTGTTTTCCTTTGAAAAGTGATGATTTTTGTTCTAGTAGCAACTTTAATTACTGGCTTATCATGCTGTATTGTGTAAGCTTGCTTTATATTTTGTTATGATTGATTTTAGCCAAACCCATGATGTTTCCCAAACTCCCTTTACTTGATGTGACTGTCTCTGCTCAGCAGATCCTGTCAGGACTTGGTTTTATTCTGCTCTGGAGGGATTGAAAGTGGGATTTGCTTTAAGACATAGGTTTTACTTTTATGGTACAGCCTTTCTGATGTTCCAGCTGGATGCCATATGACATGATATGGTGTTAAAGAGATTTCCACACTCTGACTGGGTAGACAATTCAACTACCACAGAACTACTCAACTTCTAGTGTGTCTGTCATTCTCTTAATACTATAAGCAATTGCTCTCTTGTAAGCCTAAAGTAGTTTCACCCTGCATCCTTGGCCAAAAACTTATAGGGGAACCCCATATAGACTCTGGAGCTCCTTACTGGGCCTGTTTTCATCCTTTCTAATGTCCTGCCTTGCACATTTCAGTCACTCCAGCTGCTGCTGATGCTTATCTCTGCCTTCCTCACTTCACTGAGACCACTTTACTTATTTTAGATTCTAGCACTCTACACCACAGATGAGAAGGTGTCCCACAGCAAAGGTCTCAATTGATTGTAGAGCTTCCCTTGAGAGTTACCTAGTGCTCAAGGGTCATAGTCTTGCATTGCCTGCTTTCCGATGTCTGGAGTATTTGTCCAGTTTTACAGTGGTTTAACATAGGAGGGCTAGTTTGCTACCAGCTACTCAATCATGGCTGAAAGTAAAAGCTCAGAGTTCACATTTTTAACCATTTGTTGAATATTTTAAGTAGTCAGTGTTATTTATATAAAACTCATATCTATTTTATGAGGGCAGAGTAAAAATTGCAGGCTAAAGAATAACACCATGCAATTTGAATTATAGACTTCAGAATTGTGGAGTGAAAAGGAATATTTTTGCAGTCATTGATTCACATGTTCTCCTGTAATGAATGAGGAAACAGGTCCAGAGAGATTAAGTGATTTACTATAGGTTGCATAGATTGTTCGTGATTTAAAGCACCTGCTCATAGAGACAATAAATATCATAAAGCTGTACCATGTTAATGAGTGGAAGCTGCTTTATCTTTGCACTGTATATGAAAAACAAAAGATTCTAATGCTAAGCATTCTAAAACTGTAAAGACTGCAAAAGGAATGCTTAGCCTGACTACACTGCTTCCAAGTTTCTAAAATTCCTATAGTCACACTCTTTTACATAAAGCATCAAATGTGCTAATTAGAAAAGATTCAGATCTACAAAACAAAAGGTCTCTACTAGGCAAAATTATAAGTAATAAATTAAAATTCTTCAAATAATTCTGCTTTGTCCACCACTCCTCCCCCAAAACAGTAAATACTGTAATTTTGACACCTTTTGAATTTTTGAATTTGACATAAAATAAAATCTATATCATTTTGTAAATTGGTACTTCAATTTTATTCATTAGTTTTTAAATAAACGCATTGAAGGTAATTTTATTTTTATTTTTTTTCTGGTTTTTTTTTTCTTTTTTTTTTTTAAATAACTTTAAGTTTTAGGGTACATGTGCACATTGTGCAGGTTAGTTACATATGTATACATGTGCCATGCTGGTGCGCTGCACCCACTAACTCGTCATCTAGCATTAGGTATATCTCCCGATGCTATCCCTCCCCCCTCCCCCCACCCCACAACAGTCCCCACAGTGTGATATTCCCCTTCCTGTGTCCATGTGATCTCATTGTTCAATTCCCACCTATGAGTGAGAATATGCGGTGTTTGGTTTTTTGTTCTTGCGATAGTTTACAGAGAGTGATGATTTCCAATTTCATCCATGTCATGAACTCATCATGAACATGTCATGAACAAAGGACATGAACTCATCATTTTTTATGGCTGCATAGTATTCCATGGTGTATATGTGCCACATTTTCTTAATCCAGTCTATCATTGTTGGACATTTGGGTTGGTTCCAAGTCTTTGCTATTGTGAATAATGCCGCAATAAACATACGTGTGCATGTGTCTTTACAGCAGCAATGATTTATAGTCCTTTGGGTATATACCCAGTAATGGGATGGCTGGGTCAAATGGTATTTCTAGTTCTAGATCCCTGAGGAATCGCCACACTGACTTCCACAATGGTTGAACTAGTTTACAGTCCCACCAACAGTGTAAAAGTGTTCCTATTTCTCCACATCCTCTCCAGCACCTGTTGTTTCCTGACTTTTTAATGATTGCCATTCTAACTGGTGTGAGATGGTATCTCATTGTGGTTCTGATTTGCATTTCTCTGATGGCCAGTGATGATGAGCATTTTTTCATGTGTTTTTTGGCTGCATAAATGTCTTCTTTTGAGAAGTGTCTGTTCATGTCCTTCGCCCACTTTTTGATGGGGTTGTTTGTAAATTTGTTTGAGTTCACTGTAGATTCTGGATATTAGCCCTTTGTCAGATGAGTAGGTTGCAAAAATTTTCTCCCATTGTGTAGGTTGCCTGTTCACTCTGATGGTAGTTTCTTTTGCTGTGCAGAAGCTCTTTAGTTTAATTAGATCCCATTTGTCAATTTTGTTTTTTGTTGCCATTGCTTTTGGTGTTTTAGACATGAAGTCCTTGCCCATGCCTATGTCCTGAATGGTAATGCCTAGGTTTTCTTCTAGGGTTTCTATGGTTTTAGGTCTAACGTTTAAGTCTTTAATCCATCTTGAATTGATTTTTGTATAAGGTATAAGGAAGGGATCCAGTTTCAGCTTTCTACATATGGCTAGCCAGTTTTCCCAACACCATTTATTAAATAGGGAATCCTTTCCCCATTGCTTGTTTTTCTCAGGTTTGTCAAAGATCAGATAGCTGTAGATATGTGGCGTTATTTCTGAGGGCTCTGTTCTGTTCCATTGATCTATATCTCTGTTTTGGTACCAGTACCATGCTGTTTTGGTTACTGTAGCCTTGTAGTATAGTTTGAAGTCAGGTAGTGTGATGCCTCCAGCTTTGTTCTTTTGGCTTAGGATGGACTTGGCGATGCGGGCTCTTTTTTGGTTCCATATGAACTTTAAAGTAGTTTTTTCCAATTCTGTGAAGAAAGTCATTGGTAGCTTGATGGGGATGGCATTGAATCTGTAAATTACCTTGGGCGGTATGGCCATTTTCACGATATTGATTCTTCCTACCCATGAGCATGGAATGTTATTCCATTTGTTTGTATCCTTTTTTATTTCCTTGAGCAGTGGTTTGTAGTTCTCCTTGAAGAGGTCCTTCACATCCCTTGTAAGTTGGATTCCTAGGTTTTGTATTCTCTTTGAAGCAATTGTGAATGGGAGTTCACTCATGATTTGGCTCTCTGTTTGTCTGTTGTTGGCGTATAAGAATGCTTGTGATTTTTGTACATTGATTTTGTATCCTGAGACTTTGCTGAAGTTGCTTACCAGCTTAAGGAGATTTTGGGCTGAGACAATGGGGTTTTCTAGATATACAATCATGTCGTCTGCAAACAGGGACAATTTGACTTCCTCTTTTCCTAATTGAATACCCTTTATTTCCTTCTCCAGCCTAATTGCCCTGGCCAGAACTTCCAACACTATGTTGAATAGGAGTGGTGAGAGAGGGCATCCCTGTCTTGTGCCAGTTTTCAAAGGGAATGCTTCCAGTTTTTGCCCATTCAGTATGATATTGGCTGTGTGTTTGTCATAGATAGCTCTTATTATTTTGAAATACATCCCATCAATACCTAATTTACTGAGAGTTTTTAGCATGAAGGGTTGTTGAATTTTGTCAAAGGCCTTTTCTGCATCTATTGAGATAATCATGTGGTTTTTGTCTTTGGCTCTGTTTATATGCTGGATTACATTTATTGATTTGCATATATTGAACCAGCCTTGCATCCCAGGGATGAAGCCCACTTGATCATGGTGGATAAGCTTTTTGATGTGCTGCTGGATTCGTTTTGCCAGTATTTTATTGAGGATTTTTGCATCAATGTTCATCAAGGATATTGGTCTAAAATTCTCTTTTTTTGTTGTTTCTCTTCCTGGCTTTGGTATCAGAATGATGCTGGCCTCATAAAATGAGTTAGGGAGGATTCCCTCTTTTTCTATTGATTGGAATAGTTTCAGAAGGAATGGTACCAGTTCCTCCTTGTACCTCTGGTAGAATTCGGCTGTGAATCCATCTGGTCCTGGACTCTTTTTGGTTGGTAAGCTATTGATTATTGCCACAATTTCAGATCCTGTTATTGGTCTATTCAGAGATTCAACTTCTTCCTGGTTTAGTCTTGGGAGAGTGTATGTGTCGAGGAATTTATGCATTTCTTCTAGATTTTCTAGTTTATTTGCATAGAGGTGTTTGTAGTATTCTCTGATGGTAGTTTGTATTTCTGTGGGATCAGTGGTGATATCCCCTTTATCATTTTTTATTGCGTCTATTTGATTCTTCTCTCTTTTTTTCTTTATTAGTCTTGCTAGCGGTCTATCAATTTTGTTGATCCTTTCAAAAAACCAGCTCCTGGATTCATTAATTTTTTGAAGTGTTTTTTGTGTCTCTATCTCCTTCAGTTCTGCTCTGATCTTAGTTATTTCTTGCCTTCTGCTAGCTTTTGAATGTGTTTGCTCTTGCTTTTCTAGTTCTTTTAATTGTGATGTTCGGGTGTCAATTTTGGATCTTTCCTGCTTTCTCTTGTGGGCATTTAGTGCTATAAATTTCCCTCTACACACGGCTTTGAATGCGTCCCAGAGATTCTGGTATGTTGTGTCTTTGTTCTCGTTGGTTTCAAAGAACATCTTTATCTCTGCCTTCATTTCGTTATGTACCCAGTAGTCATTCAGGAGCAGGTTGTTCAGTTTCCATGTATTTGAGCGGTTTTAAGTGAGATTCTTAATCCTGAGTTCTAGTTTGATTGCACTGTGGTCTGAGAGATAGTTTGTTATAATTTCTGTTCTTTTACATTTGCTGAGGAGAGCTTTACTTCCCAGTATGTGGTCAATTTTGGAATCGGTGTGGTGTGGTGCTGAAAAAAATGTATATTCTGTTGATTTGGGGTGGAGAGTTCTGTAGATGTCTATTAGGTCCGCTTGGTGTAGAGCTGAGTTCAATTCCTGGGTATCCTTGTTGACTTTCTGTCTTGTTGATCTGTCTAATGTTGACAGTGGGGTGTTAAAGTCTCCCATTATTAATGTGTGGGAGTCTAAGTCTCTTTGTAGGTCACTCAGGACTTGCTTTATGAATCTTGGTGCTCCTGTATTGGGTGCATATATATTTAGGATAGTTAGCTCTTCTTGTTGAATTGATCCCTTTAGCATTATGTAATGGCCTTCTTTGTCTCTTTTGATCTTTGTTGGTTTAAAGTCTGTTTTATCAGAGACTAGGATTGCAACCCCTGCCTTTTTTTGTTTTCCATTGGCTTGGTAGATCTTCCTCCATCCTTTTATTTTGAGCCTATGTGTGTCTCTGCACGTGAGATGGGTTTCCTGAATACAGCACACTGATGGGTCTTGACTCTTTATCCAATTTGCCAGTCTGTGTCTTTTAATTGGAGCATTTAGTCCATTTACATTTAAAGTTAATATTGTTATGTGTGAATTTGATCCTGTCATGATGATCTTAGCTGGTTATTTTGCTCATTAGTTGATGCAGTTTCTTCCTAGTCTCGATGGTCTTTACATTTTGGCATGATTTTGCAGCGGCTGGTACTGGTTGTTCCTTTCCATGTTTAGTGCTTCCTTCAGGAGCTCTTGTAAGGTAGGCCTGGAGGTGACAAAATCTCTCAGCATTTGCTTGTCTGTAAAGGATTTTATTTCTCCTTCACTTTTGAAGCTTAGTTTGGCTGGATATGAAATTCTGGGTTGAAAATTCTTTTCTTTAAGAATGTTGAATATTGGCCCCCACTCTCTTCTGGCTTGTAGGGTTTCTGCCGAGAGATCCGCTGTTAGTCTGATGGGCTTCCCTTTGAGAGTAACCCGACCTTTCTCTCTGGCTGCCCTTAACATTTTTTCCTTCATTTCAACTTTGGTGAATCTGACAATTATGTGTCTTGGAGTTGCTCTTCTCGAGGAGTATCTTTGTGGCGTTCTCTGTATTTCCTGAATCTGAACGTTGGCCTGCCTTGCTAGATTGGGGAAGTTCTCCTGGATAATATCCTGCAGAGTGTTTTCCAACTTGGTTCCATTCTCCCCATCACTTTCAGGTACACCAATCAGACGTAGATTTGGTCTTTACACATAGTCCCATATTTCTTGGAGGCTTTGCTCATTTCTTTTTATTCTTTTTTCTCTCAACTTCCCTTCTCGCTTCATTTCATTCATTTCGTCTTCCATCGCTGATACCCTTTCTTCCAGTTGATCGCATTGGCTCCTGAGGCTTCTGCATTCTTCACGTAGTTCTCGAGCCTTGGTTTTCAGCTCCATCAGCTCCTTTATGCACTTCTCTGTATTGGTTATTCTAGTTATACATTCTTCTAAATTTTTTTCAAAGTTTTCAACTTCTTTGCCTTTGGTTTGAATGTCCTCCCGTAGCTCAGAGTAATTTGATCGTCTGAAGCCTTCTTCTCTCAACTCATCAAAGTCATTCTCCATCCAGCTTTGTTCTGTTGCTGGTGAGGAACTGCGTTCCTTTGGAGGAGGAGAGGCGCTCTGCTTTTTAGAGTTTCCAGTTTTTCTGTTCTATTTTTTCCCCATCTTTGTGGTTTTATCTACTTTTGGTCTTTGATGATGGTGATGTACAGATGGGTTTTTGGTGTGGATGTCCTTTCTGTTTGTTAGTTTTCCTTCTAACAGAGAGGACCCTCAGCTGCAGGTCTGTTGGAATACCCTGCTGTGTGAGGTGTCAGTGTGCCCCTGGTGGGGGGTGCCTCCCAGTTAGGCTGCCCGGGGGTCAAGGGTCAGGGACCCACTTGAGGAGGCAGTCTGCCCGTTCTCAGATCTCCAGCTGCGTGCTGGGAGAACCACTGCTCTCTTCAAAGCTGTCAGACAGGGACATTTAAGTCTGCAGAGGTTACTGCTGTCTTTTTGTTTGTCTGTGCCCTGCCCCCAGAGGTGGAGCCTACAGAGGCAGGCAGGCCTCCTTGAGCTGTGGTGGGCTCCACCCAGTTCCAGCTTCCAGGCTGCTTTGTTTACCTAATCAAGCCTGGGCAATGGCGGGCGCCCCTCCCCCAGCCTCGCTGCCGCCTTGCAGTTTGATCTCAGACTGCTGTGCTAGCAATCAGCGAGACTCCCTGGGCATAGGACCCTACGAGCCAGGTGCGGGATATAATCTCGTGTTGCACCGTTTTTTAAGCCTGTCGGAAAAGCGCAGTATTCTGGTGGGAGTGACCCGATTTTCCAGGTGCCGTCCATCACTCCTTTCTTTGACTCAGAAAGGGAACTCCCTGACCCCTTGCGCTTCCCAAGTGAGGCAATGCCTCGCCCTGCTTCGGCTCGCGCACGGTGCACGCACCCACTGACCTGCGCCCACTGTCTGGCACTCCCTAGTGAGATGAACCCGGTACCTCAGATGGAAATGCAGAAATCACCCGTCTTCTGCGTCGCTCACGCTGGGAGCTGTAGACCGGAGCTGTTCCTATTCGGCCATCTTGGCTCCTCCCTCTGAAGGTAATTTTAAACTTACTTTCTAAACTAGTATATAGGTATAAGTCTCAACTTTTTGATTCTTATTTTAATGCTTGTTTTTATTAACCTTCACTTAGATGATTGCTTAATGTATCAATAGGCTGTTCCTTTAAATATACTTTTGTCATAGTGATATCTACTATGGTATATAAGTACCCTACAGCATAATGCAAAAGGAAAGAAATGTAAATTTGAGCATTTTCTTTTTCTTTTTTTTTTGAGACAGAGTCTGGCTCTGTTGCCTAGGCTGGAGTGCAGTGGCATGATCTCAGATCACGGCAACCTCTGCATCCTAGGTTCAAGCAATTCTCATGCCTCAGCCTTCTGACTAGCTGAGACTAAAGGCACATACCACCACGTCCCGCTAACTTTTTGTATTTTTAGTAGAGATGGGGTTTTGCCATGTTGGCCAGGCTGGTCATGAACGCCTAACCTCAAATGATCTGCCTGTCTCAGCCTCCCAACGTGTTGGGATTATAAGTGTGTGCCACCACGCCCAGCTGAGTTTGAGCATTTTCTTAAAAGATCACCCACAGATAAACTGCTAATATAATTTTTAAAATACTGAGAAATTAAGAACAACTGCAAGTCTATAACATTTACAAAATACCCACTGTGTGCCGAGGACTAGATGTTATTTTAGAAATTAAAAAATCTAATAATGGAGAGAGAACATTGTAAAAATAACCAGTTAGAAAATGCAATGAAAAAATAAATCCCATATGATACTCATAAAACCTTATGAAGCTAGGAATTAGGAAATGTGTAGACCCTCTATGAAGAAGACAACTTTCCTAAAAGACATTAAAAAGAAAAAGGGAAAGAACAAATGTTCATAGGTGGGAAGGCTCAGTATTGTACCAATGCCAATGTTCCCCCACAATCCATTTTTAGATTCAATACAGTTCAACATCATAACATCATAATGGAATTACATTTTGGACTTGTCATTACTTAAAATTAAAAGACAAATTACACTGCCAAAAATAAAAAGAGATGCCAAACATTGAAGATAAAAATTACATTATATTTGAGAAATGACTAAAAATTTTAAATTTATGGGAGTCTTTGCAAACCTTGATGGAAAAATATGAATAATCCATAGAAAAAACTAACAAACAACATGTACAAGCAATTTACAAAATGACTAATAAAAGTATTAAAAATCATCTATCTCACAATCTAAAATAGAAACATTTAATAACAGAATAAAAATGTTCAGATACCAATTTGGTAAAGGTGAAAACAAACAACTTAATGTTGGCAAAGGTTTAGGAAAATAAGTTCTTTCATTTTCTTGGCCAGAAGTGTGATTCAATTTAACAAGATGGCAGTAAACCATCATATTCCCTTTAACTGAGTAACTCAACTTTGGAAATTTATATTAAGTAAATAGACATACTCCCAAAGATTTCAATAAAATAGTGTTCATAACAGACTTATTTATGACAATGAAACTTTGAAAGTTTAAAAATAAGGTGAAATATATTTATGCATGGTCTATATTTATATAATGGGATGCCAGACACTTTTTCAAGTCATTTGAAAATATTTAGGGGATAGAAAATGTTACTTATAAAGTTTTTTATTCAATAGTATTAAATTTATTTGAAAATATAAAAGCTGGCTGGGTGCAGTGGCTCACACCTGTAATCCCAGCACTGTGGGAAGCCCAGGCAGGAGGATCACATGAGGCCAGGGGTTTGAGACCAGCCTGGGCAACATGACAAAACCCCATGTCTACAAAAAAAAAAAAGCCAGGCATGATGGTGCCTGCCTGTTGTCTCAGCTACCTGGGAGGCTGAGGTGGGAGGATCGCTTCAGCCTAGGAGATCAAGGCTGCAGTGAGCTGTGATCACACCACTGCACTCCAACCTGGGTGAGAGAGTAAGACCCCGCCTTAGATAAATAAAAAATAAAAATAAAAACATAATAAAAAATATAGGCTGAGCAGGGTGGCTAATTCCTGTAATCCCAGCACTTTGGGAGGGCGAGGTGGGTGGATCCCTTGAGATCAAGAGTTAGAGATCAGCCTGGCCAACATGGTGAAAATTAGCTGGGCATGGTGGCATATGCCTGTAGTACCAGCTACTCGGGAGGCTGAGGCATGAGAATTGCTTGAACCCGGAGGTCGGAAGTTGTGTTTGAACCCTGGGGTCAGTGGTTGCAGTGAGCCGAGATTGCACCACTGGACTCCAGCCTGGGTGACAAATCGAGACATTGTCTCAAAAACAAAAAACAACAAAAAACCTCACGTGTGTGTGTGTGTGTGTGTGTGTATAATGCTAATATGCATAAGCTACCAAAAATCAAAATGTTAACTGGGCTGCTTCTAAGGGGCATGTTTATGGATTTCATTTTTCAGATTATCTTCAAAGACATATTAATTTTGTAATCATTAATTTGTGCAAAGAAGAGTGAATTTATACAAATATGCATCTATAATACAAATCACTCTAACAGTTGAGATATGTATTCTTAGAGGGACACACAGAATCATCAAGGGCAATGATTCTTAAGTAGGCTGTGAATTTGTCCCACAGGGGACGCTTGTCAATATCTGAGGACATTTTTGTAGTTACAACTAGGAGAAGGAGGAGGTTGCTATTGGTTTCAAGTGGGCAGAGGCCAGGATATAGAATGCTAAACATCCTACAATGCCCAGGCCAAAGACTTATCCAGCCCAAAATGTCAATAGTGTTGAGATCAAGGAACCCTGATGTAGTGAAAAGATCATGAAGTTAGGATTCTGAGAACTGCATTTCTCTCTAGAGTCTATCAGTACCTTACTGACTTTGAGAAAATCACTTGCGGGGGCCGGGCGTGGTGGCTCACGCCTGTAATCCCAGCACTTTGTGAGGCCGAGGCACGTGGATCACGAGGTCAGGAGATCGAGACCATCCTGGCTAACACAGTGAAACCCCGTCTCTACTAAAAATACAAAAAATTAGCCGGGCGTGGTGGCAGGCGCCTGTAGTCCCAGCTACTCAGGAGGCTGAGGTAGGAGAATGGCTTGAACCCGGGAGGCAGAGCTTGCAGTGAGCCGAGATCGCGCCACTGTACTCCAGCCTGGGCAACAGAGCGAGACTCCATCTCAAATAATAATATAATAATAATAATAATAATAATAATAATAACAATAATAATAATAATGAGAAAATCACTTGCAATCCTGTGTCTCAGTTCTCTCATCCATAAAATGGAGCTAACAATATTCTTAAAGAGGTTAGATGACTGAAAATTAGATTGTGAGAATATGTAGAGATAACAGATGTATGACAGTGTTTTGGAGGTAAATCCTATTTGAGAGTAGGAGTACTCACTAGCATTATTTTTTTCTCTTTGCTTTGAAGCAGGCTTACAAGGATTTAAGTGTTGGATAAAGGTTTTGAGGACTGTGTGAATCTGACTCTGATTAAAATGTATCTCCTGTCTTATGCATTAAACACATGAAAGAAGAATTTCCTGCAGCCCATTACAATGGTCATTAAAAAACTATGATAAATTTCAAGCACATATTGCCCTACTCTCTTTATTCTCAACTGGGAGTATTTTGAAACTATAGAAAGAGAATTTCTTTCCTACCTGAATATCCGGATCTCAGTTTTCTTGCCTTTTTCATTCTAAAAATTATAAGTTCTTTGAAACTAAAAACATTTGTCATTTTTAATAAGAAGATGCTAAATTTTTTAAAAAGGGCTTTTGTGATTTTTATTTAGAAAATCTAGAGCCAAAATTTTAGCATTTGATGCTTTATGCATTCACTAATTCCACCTAAGAAATTCTTTATTGTCCATTAAAAATTAGGCTAATAATGTTTACTTCATGGTCATCAGTATTAAATCCAATTAGACAAATAGACTATGTAGGACAGTACCTGAAATTGAGACTTGATGTGAAGAGTTAGCTCTCAATGGCTTCCCATTGTCCTTAGGATCAGAACCCAGTCTTTGACATGAACTTCTTTAATCTGGTTTCTTTTGCCCTCCTTTCCTTCAGGGGCCACTCTTCCCTTTCTACCAGGGAAGTTCCTAATCATTCTTCATGTGTCACCTGAAGGTCACTCCTCCAAGAGGATCTTCTCCGTCCTCTAGATTAGGTTAGATTCCTATCTGCAACCATAGCATCTTATACTTCCCCAAACACATTACCTTTACAATTGATTATTTCTTCAACGTTTGACTTCTCTTTCTGACTATAAACTAAGGTGGAGAAAGAGGGAGTAGAATCATATATACGTTATTCATTGCTGCATGCATATCCAGTCCTTGGATCCACATCTAGGGCATAATATGTTCTCAGTAAATACTGAGTTGAAGGGAGCAATGCATGATATGATTATAACCCTCCAAAAGTAATAACTGAAAGCTGATTCCTTCTAATAAAATGAGATATTTAATTTGCATACAGTTTTGTGGCACCTGTAACAATTGTGGCATGTGGGTTGACCTTGGACAGTATGTTGGAATTTGCTTAGGTTGCCAGAGCAGTGCCTAGAGCCAGAGGGGAGGGAAAGATGGCAGTGGAGAAAGCAGTATGGGGCCCCCAGGCCTTGGGAGATACCCTTCAGGGCTCACATTCCCTAAGGCTTTGCCTTACCTGCAGGGTTTCTGGCCAGCAGAGTTCGTATGCCAAGATGGTCCTGTGGCTGAAACAGCACTCCTGCCTGGATACCTTATGAACCCGTTTTCCATCACTTAGAACATTATCAAATTTTTTGTTACCATCAGGAAGCTATATTCTGGAGGTCTCTTCATACAGTTTCTTGGAGTAAAAATTTTTGAAGGAAATTAACTTACATTATTTTGATTAGAAATTAATAATGATTATCAAATCTATCAGAGAAGGTGGTTGTATTAATCTGTTCTCATGCTGCTATAAAGACTGGGTAATTTATAAAGGAAAGAGGTTTAATTGACTCACAGTTCTCTGCAGGGCTGGGGAGGCCTCAGGAAACTTGCAATCGTAGCAGAAAGGGAAGCAAACACATCCTTCTTCACATGGTGGCAGGAAGGAGATGTGCTGAGCAAAGGGGGAAGCCCCTTATAAAACCATCAGGTCTTGTGAGAACTCACTCACTATGACAAGAAAAGTATGGGGGAAACTGCCCCTATGATTTAATGATCTCCACCTGGTCCTGCCCTTGACCTGTGGGGATTATTACAATTCAAGAGGAAATTTAGATGGGTACACAGAGCCAAACCATATCAGTGGCTGAATATCTTTTCTCCTCTCCAACAACATACTCATATGATTTGGGGTCCTTTAGTGCCAGCTATCATCAAAACTAAGAAAAAAGGGCCGGGTGTGGTGGCTCATGCCTGTAGTCCCAGCACTTTGAGAGGCTGAGGCAGGTGGATTGCTTCAGCTCAGGAGTTCAAGACCAGCCTGGGCAACATGGTGAAACCCTGTGACATATATATATATATATATATATATATATATATATATATATATATATATATATATAGTATAAATATATATATGTATGTATATTTAGAGAGAGAGATATGTGTATATATAGAGATATATGTATATATGTATGTATATTAAGAGAGAGAGAGAGCTGGGTATGGTGGCTCTTGCTTATAGTCACAGCTACTTGGGAGACTGAGGTGGGAGGATCAATTGAGTCTTAAGACATTGAGGTTGTGGTGAGCTGTGTTCATGCCACTGCACTCAGCCTAGGTGAAAGAGTGAAGCCCTGTCTCAAAAAAAAAAAGAAAGAAAGAAAACAAAAAAATTGAGAAAAAGAACTACATTGTTGGTGTAAAACTCAACTCTGTCTTAAACCACACAACACAAAACCAAATAATCTTGTACTACTGACTGATCCTATCCCATTCCAGTTCTCCTCATTGAGGGACTTAATTTTCAGATGTACGTTTTGAAAGTTGACTACCTTTTTACAAACTTTTATTTCCTTATTTATTTTCATTTTTAAAACATGATGATATTGTTTTAACTGTATTTATGTCCTAAAATAAATACAACTTATACTTCTATGTACAACATATAAAACCAGTTTTTAATTTACTAATATGTTGAGTTTCTTTTTTCTTTTTTTTTTTTTTTGGCTCTGTCACCCAAGCTGGAGTGCAGTGGTGCAATCACGTCTCCCTGCAACCTCTGCTTCCCGGGTTCAAGCAGTTCTTCTGCCTCAGCCTCCCGAGTGGCTGGGACTACAGGCGCATGCCAGCACGCACAGCTAATTTTTGAATTATTATTATTAATATTATTTTTAGTAGAGACGGGTTTTCGCCATGTTGGTCAGGCAGGTCTCGAGCTCGAGACCTCAGGTGATCCACCCCCTTCAGCCTCCCAAAGTGCTGGGATTATAAGCTTGAGCCACCGTGTCTGGCCAACGAAAGTGTTGAGTATCTATTTACAATAAAATTGCTTACTTAAAGCAAATGAATGAGAAACATACTAAGTACAGATCATCTGTTAATAAAACAAAAATTTGAAATTGGCATATGAACGATTGAATTTAGGAATAGAGTGTTGTAAATTTTTTACAGGATAAAATACTTCCTCCTGGCTTGTAAGCAATGTGATGGGCACTTTATAACTAAAGAGAGTTTAGGCAGCATTTAAATAATCTAAAGGTCTTCATGATCTTTTGTTTCCTGTTGTATCATAAGCACTACGGCTGTTCTAACTGTAGGATCTGAAATCCTAGACCCTGGGGAGTAAAGGGTATCCACTCTTCCCCAACAAATCCAGACATTGACATATAGTGACTACCCTATGTTCCCATGTAATTTACTATTTATATGGTTCAACCTGTTATGTTAATAGTGTTAGAGACCATTTAAGGCTTCATAAAGCACTTAACAAATGGGTAACACAAAGTAACAAATGGGTCAGTGCTGAAGAGTTGTTGACAGTAAAATCACATTCTTTTGTAAAATACTACAGGGAAGAATTGGGCTTTAGAGTCTTTATTTAAACTTGAACTCTCTTTATTAGCTCTGTAACCTGAGGCAAGGGACTTAACCTCTTAAAATGGAAGTTTCTCAATCTATCAAATGAGGGATAATATTGCTTGCTGTGAGAATATGTGAGATAATACGTAGAGTATGTACAATTACATGGCTATTGTAGTTGGTTGTTATTACTACTACTAATTGTTATGGGTTGAATTGTATCTCCCAAAAAGACATGTTGAAATCCTCACCTCTAATACTGTATGTGACTTATTTGGAAATAGGGTGGTTGTAGATGTAATTAGTTAAGGTGAGATCACACTGGAGTAGGGTGGGGCACTTAATCTGATATGACTGGTGTCCTTATAAGAACGAAGGGGATATGAAGACAGGCACACAAGAAGGATGCTGTGTGATGAAGAGGCAGAGATTGGAATGGTGCAGCTGCAAGCCAAGGAACCCCAAGGATTGCTGGCCTCCTGGAAGAGACAGGAGAGAATTCTACCAGAGTTTTGGAGGGTGCATGGCCCTGTTGGCACCTTGATTTCAGACTTCCAGCCTCCAGAACTCAGAGAATAAATTTCTGTTTATTTTCGCTATCCAAAGTACTTTGTAGCAATAGTCCTAGGAAACCAATCCAATGACACTAAAGCTATAGATTTCACAAAACAGAAATCACCCACATAACAAATTCTTCCCCTTTCTCTTTTTTCTGCTTAACCCAACTTTCCTAACACCTCCTTAGTTCTCCATGCTCCTCTTTGTACTCATTTTATTTTTCCCTTATATCTTTTCTTTTTTTTTTTTTTTGAGACAGAGTCTTGCTCTGTCGCCCAGGCTGGAGTACAGTGGCGTGATCTCGGCTCACTGCAACCTCCGCCTCCCGGGTTCAAGCTATTCTCATGCCTCAGCCTCCAGAGTATCTGGGATTACAGGTGCGCACCACCACACCCGGCTAATTTTTGTATTTTTAGTAGAGGTGGGTTTTCACTACGTTGGCCAGGCTGGTCTCAAACTCCTGACCTCAAGTGGTCAGCCTGCCTCAGCCTCCCAAAATGCTGGGATTACAGGCATGAGCCACTGCACCTGGCCCCTTATATCTTTTCTAAGTTTAAAATCGTATGTTAAAAGACACTGGCTTTAAAATATGGTTTAAAAAAAGCAATTTAGCAAACAAAAAAAGCCCACCAACTAAACAACAGGACAAAACAAGAAAGGACCATGTGAGAGGTAGAAAGGGTAATTTTGCTAAGCCTGAAGGTTTGGGAAAAGAATAGATGAGTGAATAACATGAAGTAAATAGAAGTTGGACATGAAAACCATTATTTAGATGAGTACACAAATGAAACCTTCCCTTAACCGATTCTCGCAAGCCTGTGTTTAGGAAGGGAATTTTTATATTATAATTTCTACATGCTGAGTATAGTATAGAAACTAAATTTCTTCTCATTTGTTTTTCGAGATTAGTTTCTAAATTTTGTTCACTTGTGCATTTTGGAAACATTTGGGTTAGTTTTCGCAGGACAAGTCTTAACCCTTTCATAAATGAACACATGAGAATAGAAGGGTACTTTTTTGCCTGTCTCCCCAGGAAAAGTAACTACAAGCAAGACACAAAGTCTTACGAGAAGGGACAAGGCAAGCCCCTCAAGCAAATGATTCACATTCCACTCTTATGCTTCCCCTAAATCCTGGAGTGTTCTTCATCTTCAACTTCCCAGGTTCAGACTGGCAGTTTGGATTCCTTTGGTGTCTCTTTGAATCACTGGAGGATTTAGTCTTGAACATATGAGCTGTGGGAATATGCAGTGTAGATAGCAAATTTACATACGTATATATTTAATATATATTAAATTATTAAAATAATTTAAACATATTTATATGTTTAAATACATATAATATGCATGCGTATGTATATATATGTTTTTAAATTGTATTATTCTGATCATGTAATTCTAGTCCCAATTTACTAAAAAATACTGGTTTGATTTTCTTCTTTATTTTTTACTTTTTCTTTTCTTTCTCTGCCTCTATCTCCCCACTTTATTTTTCAGGAAAGGATGGAAAAGTAGGGGTGGAGGGCGAAGAGGTTGGAGAGGAGAAGGAGGCAGGGCCTGCAAACAAAATACATGAATTTAACACTTAATTATAGTTAAAGTAAGCACTATTTTGGGTCATAGGAAAACATGCTCAACGCTTCAATATAAATATTTGTAAGGGCATTGCCTACCATTTTTTATAATTATAATAAAAATTATCTTATGGTACAGCAAAAAAATTACATAAGACTGATTACTGTCCTTGAGATATCTTTTAAAAAATCAAGTATGTAGGCAGATCTAGGAATTTAAAAAAATACAGTATGCTGCTGTATTGACATCTTAACATGCAGACAATCAGATGTAATATACAAGTTTGCCTTAATTTCTGGAACATGTACATTCTTGAAAACTTCATTATTCACTGAACAAACACTTATTTGACACTTCGCATTATTTTAAGGGCCTTACAAATATTTAGTTATTTAATTTTTCTAACAATTTCATGAGTTAGGTATTATTACGCTGTATTTTAAGACAGGGAAACTGAGAAACAAAGAGGTTAAGGAACTTACCCAAGGTCACACAGCCAAGTACGGGACTCGAACCCTGGCAATCTGGCTCCATGGCTGTGCCCTTAACCACTGTGCTATGCCACATCTCACAAATCACATTTTTATTAGTCAAAATTTTTATTTCTATTTTCTTATTAGGAGAAATCCCATGGTAAATTGGAAACACAAAAGACCATTTTGTTAAGTGGATTTTTACCCATCAAATTCATCTTACATGAAAACTACTTTTTCATGATGGTTTCTCTTAAAACAAGATCTAAGTATAATTTCAAATATTATCTTTGTAATAGATACAAAATGCAAGCATACAGAATTTTCCCTTTGACATAACAAATAATTTTGATAATCACATACAGCAGACTCCTGTCTGCCATAAAGATGCAAAGCCTTATATCTGAACTTTGTGTTTAAAAATTCTAAAATTTCTTTGGCATTTCTATGCTTCATTTGAATCATGCAATATGTGATATTAAGAAGTGCTGGCTCTCAGTTTGGCCCTTTCTTTAAGAAAGGTAACCTTATCCACAGTTCTCATTTTTTTCCCTTCCCCTCTGGGTTATTTTCCTGTGGAGTAAGGGAATCATCAAGGAAGACTGCCACGTGGTAACAGAGAGCAATTTCAAACACACCCACCAGTGATGATCAGGCCACCAATGATGAGGTGACTTTCCATTTATGACTCGATAAGGACAAGTAGTATCCTTGTGTACGGATAGTGCATGTTGTAACATAGAAACTGAGAGCTCGGTTTTGAATCCAAGGCAATTTTGACTGGCTGCTAGTGCAAAAATATGAATAGTTACACTTGCAGCCAGATGACAGAGAGATGATACACATCTAGTCATATCTATATATGAAAAACCTTGTTTGGGGAATTTATAAAAAAATCACCAGAATTTCCCTACAGTTTCTAGGTGTTTTCTTTCCTATGAAACACACACAGATGCTTTTCTGTTGCTCTTGGACAAAAAGCATATGCAATGAGAACGTGTATGCTTTTCTTTCACTGCACATGCTATTTTAATGATTGGAAGTTTAGTAGAATTGCTAGGATTTGTTTGGTGCTGGATATCTTTAGGTATAAAAAGGAGAGGCGTCAGACACAGAGCTGGAGAGACTGATCTTATTCATCAAGACCCAAATTTTTTTAAAAAAAGTATTACTTTCCCTCTATGCTGTCTCCCCCACCTCAAAGAAACAACATCCTAAAACCACAAACCCTTATCTCCACTCCCATAGGACTGTGGGAGTTAGATGACTCAGGTCTTCAAAAAGAAAACACAACATCTTAGAGAACAAGCTGTTTCTTTTAGTTGGAACAACAAGACAATAGCAAACAATAATACATAATAATAGCCAAGGTAATGCCATGAGCATATGACCTCACTCCCATTGTGATTTTCCTTAAGGACTTTTCTGGGAAGGTCCCAAGAGCAGATTTTTCTAAACAGCTGTGCAATATTCTCCAGAAAGGCCCAGGTCTTTTACTTCTCCTCTTTTCATGAGTGCACTGTGATTGGAAGGAGACCAACTGAGTGAGGGTGTCATCTTCAACAATCACCAGGCTTTCACTACAGATTTCAAAAGAATGTAGCCCAACCACAGTAAGCCCTGATACAGGAGTCCTGAGAAAGATCCATTGGATTTTTGAATTATAGCTTCAGTTCTATAAAAAGTAGCAACTGTACCCACTGACAAAGCAGGCCAGTTCTCCAGTAATTTTAGCCCATGGTGTGTTACTTCTCATGTTGGCAGTTACCCGCTAGTGACCTGCTTGCTCTGGTTTTAGTAGTAGCTTTGAGCTGAGCTGGTTGATGTTGATTGAGGTATGAGAGAGGACAATTTTCAACTGCTGAAATGATGCAATGATGGCCAAGAATCAGCAAATTCCTTTCCTTCTTGAGGAGATTGGCTATTGGTTCATTTATGGCTGAGAAATTGGAGATGATCATTTCTGATGAGTCCTGGGAACACTAGTGACATCTGGGCCGCTTGGATAGTCTAGGACTTCTCCCTCCAGGACTGCTAATACCACAATGGGCAAGGTAAGGAGGCCGACATTCCTGCAATGGCCCATAGCCAGACTTTTACAGTTGGTCTCAATCTGATCAAATATAGGGTTCCTATGAGTCCTCACCCAAGAAACAAATACAGATACCATTTAGGTCAATAATAACCCTTCTGTTTGGGAAATTAAGCATCACCTTCGTTAGCTATGGGGCCCCATTTCACAAAGCATGACTGTGTGAACTGGTCTGGGTGTTGCAGGTTGATTTTCCCAGGAAGCAGACATTGAGATGGAGGTTGGCATGCAGGAATTTATTAGGCACTGTTTTGGGATCAACACCTAGGGGAGGAAAGGTAAGGAGGAGTAGGGAAGGATTTGGAAGGAGTAGTTGGGTTGTGATGCTGTCTCAGTGTAGGCTTCAGCCAATCTTATGGAGTCTGGAGGATGGGAAGACCCTTCAGAGTTTCCCATATTGGGATGAGGGGCCAGACATCAAACCCCTACTTCGGCCTATTGATTTGGGGGCAGAGGCCATTAAAAAAAATACTCAGATCTGTGTTTGCTGCCGGAACTGGGGCTGTGTATAACGTGGAAAATTAGATGGAAGTCAAAGGTGAACTTGATAAGCTCAGAGAATTTACTGGCATTTTCAAAATACATTGGAGGGTCAGAAGCAGGAAGGTGATGAAGTGATGCAGGTACACAATATAGAGCCTTAACCTGTACAGAGAATGGTTGGTGTTTACTATGCATAGGTGTTATCATGGGCAATATTCTAGGCATCATAATTAAATTATTATTTGTAATATGATTAAATTTTTAAATTCTTACAACAACTTAATGACATATATATAACTGTTCCCATCTTTTTACAGTTGGGGAAACTGATGCAGGGTTTGTAGACAGTAAAGACAAGGTGCTACCTTGGAAATCTGGACACATGGCCCAGGCTCTTGACCACTGTCTTATATTGGCTCTCCTGATGCACTTGCCCTTGCCTTTCATGCATGCCCTTCAGGGTTACATGTGACTGGACTCCATTAGGGTGGAAGAGGGTTAACAGAACTTGCAAACAATGATGTGCAGAAATGGAACAACTAGAGTGGGACTATGTCAGGGTGAGGAGGCCTGGTACTGGGAGAAACAGGATCTCATGATCCTAGAGAGGATGAAATCCAGGGTACAGGTGAAGGAATTAAATATAACAGGAAGGGACAGGATACTTACGGAGTAGGAATAAGAATAGGTCTTGTCATCTCTTAAGGACAGATAATGTTTGGCTGTGTCCCCAACCAAATCTCATTTTGAATTGTAGCTCTCCTGATTCCCATGTGTTGTGGGAGGGGCACAGAGGGAGATAATTGAATCATGGGAGCAGTTCCCCCATGCTGTTTTCATGGTAGTGAATAAGTCTCATGAGATCTGGTGGTTTTATAAGGGATTTCCGCTTTTGCTGGGCCCTCATTCTCTCTTACCTGCTGCCATGTAAGACGTGCATTTCACCTTCTGCCGTGATTGTGAGGCCTCCCCAGCCACGTGGAACTGTGAGTCCATTAAACCTCTTTTTCTTTATAAATTACCCAGTCTCAAGTATGTCTTTATCAGCAGCATGAAAATAGACTAATACAAGGACACACTGATGTAAATTTCTTTCATTTATGTGTCAATCACTTCCATCCATAATGTTGTTCTTGGTCTACTCTGGAGTCAGGCTTCTTAGGTTTGGCTGTTTCTAGCACAACTTTCTGAGATTCCACTTCTTCATCTATAAAATAGGATGGGGATTGAATAAAAGAATTCATCTGAAGTGCCTAGTACTGTGCCCAGTGCACCTAAGGCCCTGAATAAATAATGCCTATTTCCTCTCTTTAGTCATCCTCTGCTCTCCCCCATTCTATCTTTCTGTATATAATAGATGTCCGGTAGATATGTGATGATTGGCTAGGTCAAGTCTAGTCCTGTATTAATGTCTACATTCCTGTAGGCTCCATTAGGAAACTGAGCAAATTAACATATTCACAAGTGTCCCTTCATCTCCTTCCATCGAGGAGCAGCTGGTAACTAACTGCATTAGAGGCAAAGTCAAGCCTGGTGTTGACAGACACAGATTCTGCACGAGCTTTAGCAGCCGTGTCAGCACTAGACACCCAAGATGACAATTAGGAAAAAGAACAAACAACTTCAGGGAAAAAGTGTTCTTAAAAGTAGTGAGCGGCAGAGTAAACAAGCAAACAGATATAAAGGAATCAATCACTCAATCACCACTGATAGCCTGCACTGTCTGGGGGATATTATCTGTTGGATGCAGCTGTGGAAAGGTGATCTCAAGACTAGCTTTGGATTCCCAGGCCTGTCTTAGGCCCCTTCTCTAGTCCTAAGAAAAATCATTTCACCTCCTTTTTGCTTTCAGTTTCATTAATAACAGCTCACCATTATTGAGCATGTACTATATGGCAGGCATTGTTTGATTTTAATTGTAACTGTAAAAAGGAGGTACTATTGTTTAGTTCAAAGGCACATGTGGGGAAAGTGAGTCACAGAGATGTTGAACAATGCTGGCATTCAAAGCAGGACAGTTTGGTTCCACAGTTCATGTGCATAAACACCAAGCTTTATTGTCTCTTATGTGCTCAAAGGACAAGTGAAACTTCACAAAATGAGTGAAGCAAATTTGTTATTGAGTGTTTGGAACTATGCTTGGAGTCCTTGCATTTAAAGGCTGAACAATGTTAACAACTGTTAAGTGGGAAGGGTAGACTAACTTCTTCAAGTGCTTGTAACTACAAGCATGGTCCTGATGCATTTCAGTCTATTAGATGAAGTGACCTAATCTATCCTTAATACTGTATTGAAAATTACGATCGGGGATTCGTACATTGCTCATCTCGAGCTGGTGAGTGCCCAGAACAGTTTTCTTTATTCTCACAAGACTAGAATTTAATGGAACCAGCCCTCCAACTACCATGAAAGCTTCAAGACGAGGTACAACATCAGTGCACACCTGCATGTCATCAGTGAAGTCATTAAGTGAGCAGACAAGAACAGCCTGCCATCATGCCTGTTTATTGTCAACACTGAAGAGGTATTGACAGTGTTGAGACAGGCTGTCACTGAGGAAGCTGAGATTGAATCAACAACCAGCAGAACATCCACCCCAATGGAAACCCTTTCCTTGAGAAGCATCAAAACAAAATGTACAGAGGGCCCATGTATTCAGGGAATCTCCCATTTTGCTTGCTCAGACACAAAGGACATGGGTTACATGAAAAGCAGATAAAGTATTGCATGGCTGCATGAAGAAATGACTGCTGAGCTGAGTTAAAACTCAGAATGTAAGTGGGTTCAGCATCTATTTCTGTGATTTATTTATTATTTATTGAATCTTCCATCCCTCATATCTACACATCAAATAGGGAACACTAAAAAGCCATGTTATGGCCAGGCGTGGTGGGTCACACCTGTAATCCCAGCACTTTGGGAGGCAGAGGAGGGTGGATCACCTGAGGTCGGGAGTTCGAGACCAGCCTGACCAACATGGAGAAATCCCATCTCTACTAAAAAAAAAAAAATACAAAATTAGCCAGGCGTGGTGGCACATGCCTGTAATCACAGCTGCTTGGGAGGCTGAGGCAGGAGAAGTGCTTGAACCCGGGAGGCAGAGGTTGCAGTGAGCCAAGATCGTGCCATTGCACTGCAGCCTTGGCAACAAGAGCGAAACTACGTCTCACTCAAATAAATAAATAAATAAATAAATAAATAAAGCCATGTTATGACCTTGTCAAAAGAGCAGCCCATTTCCTGTTCTTCAGAACGTATTAAGAATTCACAGCATTTTTGGAGGAAGCCAAGCCTTACTCTCAGAAAGATTGCGTTAATTATGTGGGCATATTTTTAAAGGAATTGATCCTAAATGGATCACCAGCATTTTAGAATGAACATTCTTAGTGACATAAGCAACTTAGTAGATTTTGAAATAGTAAATAATAAAAAAAAAAATTCAGAGTAGCTGAGAATTCAGGTAATGTGGAAGAAATAAGGAAAATATATAATTTATTTCCATAACTGGAGTAAATGAGAGAAGAGGAAACAGAGAGAGAGCGAGCGCACGCACAGATGTGCACATTCCACTTGTGCATAAAACGTGTCCCATGTTAGCTTGGATTTCCAATGGATTAAGGGGATCCACAGTAGGTCAGCCTGTTCCAGATCTTATGGAATATAGGTGCCTCCTCTATTGTTAGAAGTTAGACTCTGCCAGCAGTGGAGGGAAAATTTTAAACACAATTACACTATCGAGATGTCTAGTCAAAGGCCTAGACCAGCCTGGCCTGAGATGATAGAATCAGAGATGGGTCATAAATCTCTGGCTGCGTCAGAGCGTTATTTGGATGCAGAATGAGTTGGTGGCCCTGGATGCGACAATAACTCCTCAGGGGTGATGGATGAGCCAGACTGACATCAGAACAGGTGAGAATATTACAAGGAATATTAACAAGAAGCTTGATGGAAGAGCCCCAGCAATCAACTCCATGGGAAAGGTTTAATTCAAATCATAAAAGACACTGTGGATAGCAGATATTTTTCTATCTGACCAATTAAAAAAGGCAGGCCATAATTGTGCACTGGTAACCTCAAAATTGTTCTAATAAGTCTATGAAATACTGTGTTATTAGAATTAAAATTTGAGCTTTGGTTTTTTTCCCAAATATTTGGTTGACTAGGTGACTACTCTCTAAATTACTGGTTGCTTTCACTTAACTACATATCCCTACAATTCATAAAGCTGTTATTGATCATAATCTTACGAAGAAGAACAGGGATTAGTTATGTTGATATGATCTGTCTGGTGTCTAGGGAAGAGTTAGTCAAAGTATGAAGCCAAATGGCACCTGAGGCCATAGTAGATGTTATCCTGTAATTCCTGTCTTGTTTCTTTCCTCCCCTTCCCTCCTCCCTTCCCCTCTCCTCTTACCTTCCCCTCCCCTTCTCTTCCCTTTCTCCTTTATTTTCTCCCTTTCCTTCTGCTTCCTATCTTTCCCTACTTCCTCCACAATTTTATCCAGTCTTCTACTCCTTTCTCTTCCTTGTCAACACTCCCTAACTTTTGGCTGTCTCCAGGCTTCCACAGGCATCACTTTGTGTCTCTGATATGACTCAGGGCTGAAGTTATGGCTGAGCTTTTAATGATTCTGAATCTCTTAGTATGGAGATTCACCTGCCTCTGGGGCCAGAAACTTGTACTTTTTGCAGTGCTGACCATCTGAGATAGGGCTAAGGAAGGATGGAGGCAACCATCCCAGACTATAGAGCCATCTGCATGGAAATGGTTGTGAAATATTGAGAGAGTGAACTGCCCAGCTGCTAAAGTTAAAAAGAATGTTTAATAGACACATGCAGGATATATCCTAGGGTTGATTTTTTCCCCTAAAATGAAGAATCCATTTCCACCTCACATTAAGTCTGAAAGCCACTTTCCTTGCCAAAAATGAAAACAAAGTATAAGACACCCATCTTATCTCTTCTGGAGCAGGCAGAACACATTATATGAGGGCAGAGCACAGAGACAACTAGCAATGTCAATAAAGGCTCCAATGAGAGAGACAAGGGCAGGGAGAGAGACAGACAGGGAGGGAGGGAGATAGTGCACGAAAGAGGTAACAGAGCTGCGGTATTGTATAAGTAGAAGTATAAACAGCTGATGTCAGACTTTTAGCACAATATGCATTGTAAGAAGCCAACTGTTCTAATGCTGTTAATAAAGACCTTACTTGTGTCATCATTGAGCAATGGAATAAGTAGAACATGCAATGGAATGCAATATAGTGTGATAAGGAATCTGATAGGCAGGAGCAGCATCCCAGCATGGACCAGTGCATGACAAAAAAGAAAGTGGGCACCTAGAGGAACCTGGATGAAACAAGAGAAATCCAGGCTTTGATCAGAACAGTGATGATTCTCTAGTAGTTACTGATAATTCCTTAATGACAGGAAATTAAGACGTGATATTCAAAATCCAATCCGGGTCCTGTGTAGTTTTCTGTATATAATTATGCTTAAGGGCCAGGCATGGTGGCTCATGCCTATAATCCCAGCACTTGGGGAGGCCAAGGAGGGAAGACCACTTGTGACCAGGAGTTTGAGACCAGCCTGGTCAACAGAACAAGACCCAATCTCTACAAAAAATAAAAATAAAAGTAATAATTATGCTTAAGATTATTTCAGAGCAGGAATAATCTTCTCAAACTTGGCTATACTTTAGAAACCATCAGGAATCTTTGATTCCTGGGCCTTAGCTCAGAACCATAGAATCAGAACACCTCAGAGTGTGAGCTGGCCATTAATATATTTTTTAAAGTCTCCAGGTGATTCAGTCAAGACTGGAAATGATGGTTATAAAGTAAAGTGTATTTTTATTTGACTTGATAATGTGAGATCAGGCCTTTGCAACAAAATTTTTGTTGTTTTCATAAAGTACTGAGCTGAGCAACCCTTTCCAAAGTGGGTCCCATAGAGCACCAGGCCTTTGACATCCCAGAGAAAAATAACTTATTATTTGGTCAAGAAGTCTGGGAAGACGATGTACTCTGCCTCACAATGCTTATTAGCATGTTACAGGCTCTGAGAAGTCCTGCAAAATTGAATTCTGCCTAATTGAATACAACTTCCCCTTTAAAAAAGAAAGACTATTTTTTTAAAGAGAAGTTTTAGGTTCACAGCAAAATTGAGAGGAAAGTATAGAAAGTTCCTATATAAATGCCAGCCGCACACATGCACAGTTTCCCCCATTTTCAACACCCTCTACCAGAGTGGTGGATTTATTACAATGGATGAACCCACATTGACACATCATTATCACCCAGAGTCCACAATTTACATTAGGGTTCGCTCTTGGTGATGTACATTCTATGCATTTGGGCAAATGTGAAATGACAGTTATCTACTATTGTTTGTATCATGCAGAATAGTTTCACCACCCTAAAAATCCTGTGTTTCCTCTCTTCCCTTTACTTTTGGGGAATACGTATTGCCACGTAGAACTGGTATTCTACACTTGAAAATCATTTTAGGGAAATTTACTTCTGAGTATGAAGACACAGAATGAGTGGACTCCTTTGGGAGTTGCAAGCATGATTCTGGGGCCAGAATGGGCAGACCAAGAAAGCCCCACAGCCTGAAGCTGGTTCAGGTGGTGATTTACTTGGGCTGCCAGGGTTTGAACCCTGACTCTGACACTTACCAGCTCTACGTCCTTGGGCAATTGACTAAATCTCAGTGTTCTTCAGTTTCCTCATCTGTGAAATGGAGAAAATTACATTTAAAAGTTTGAATATTAAATTAAATAAAGAAAAGCACAGCAAGGGAATTGAATGAACATTCACCAGTATTAAAAAGTGGAAAGCACTCTAAAGTTTTATTACATTTCTAGTTTCCTATTAAACATCATGACTTTAATGTCTCACTGACTACTCAGTCTCAGCAAGATTAAACCAGAAGTTATTTGATTTTTTCATTGAAACAAGTTTCTCTGCTTGATTTTCATATTTTTCACTCTAGTACCATCATTCTTATAGTCACTTAATCTCAAAATCTTCCTGTCATCTGTAAATTCTTTTACTTCTTGCAGTTTGAATTTAATCTCATTTCTGCTTTCTTAATTTTATTCACAATAGTCATTGCATCTACAATTCACTTTCTATTCCTGGTGCTCTCCATTCAGTACCAGGAATTTCTTTAAACCTGAACTATTGAAATAGTCTCAATTAGTTTTTCTTTTCTTTTCTTTTTTTCTGAGGCAAAGTCTCACTCTGTCACCCAGGCTGGAGTTCAGTGGCACGATCTCAGCTCACTGTAACCTCCACCTCCCAGATTCAAGTGATTCTCCTGTCTCAGTCTCCGAAGCAGCTGGGATTACAGGCGCCCACCACCATGCCCAGTTAATTTTTTCTATTTTTAGTAGAGACGGGATTTCGCCGTATTGGCCAGGCTAGTCTCAATCTCCTGACCTCATGATCTGCCTGCCTCAGCCTCCCAAAGTGCTGGGATTACAGGCTCGAGCCACCGTGCCTGGCCTAGTTTTTCTTTCTTCTAAGACCTCCAGCTTAGCAGTAGCAGGTTAATCTAATAAATGTCTTCAGCTATGCATTTGAAGTCCTGATGCCCAAGGACTTTACAGAGGAGTGAGCAAACAAACAGGTAAACAATTGCTAGCCTATGTACAATGATGAAATTTTACAACATGCTTTGTGAGTGTGAGTGAATATGGGTGAAATTGTGTGTGTCTTCTTGAGTGCAATCAATTTTCTCTGGGGAAGGAAGACTTCAAAGGGGTGTCGTTTAACTGAGTGCTTACATGGCAGACCTAGTGCAGGTGCGTGGGAATGATAGGTTAATCTGCTTTCCTTTCACATTTCCATGTGGGTCCCAACCCAACCAGCTTAACTCAGACCTCAGTAATCTTTCCCATTAGGAATCCAATTATTCTACTCCCCATTTTCCGTATATGCCTTGGCCATATACAGACCTCTCTGCTCATTCCATTTTCTCTGCTGATAATGCTCCCTTCCTCCACTCTGTCCATTTCATTCAAAAGACATCTGTTAAGCTCCTCTAGCATCTGTATGTTTTATGTGTTGAGGCACTCCTCAGATTAACAATAGAGGTGATCAGTATCTACCTTTCAACTTGTACACATCTGTGTCAATGAGATATTGTGTTTGGCTGTTACAATAGATGTTGTGTTTGGCTGTAACATGGACTAAAAAATAATGGCGAAAACAAGAGATGGCATTTTTTCTCTCATATAAGCAGAAATCTAAAGATAAGCAGCCTACAGCTGGGATGGTCAGCAGAAATCTTGGCTCATTCTAGTTCTTTGACTGTAGGCTTAAAGAAAGGCCTTTATCCTCATGCTGAAAAAATGGCTGCCATAGTTCCAGCTATTATATTGGAGGTCCCATGTATAAACAAAGAAGGAAAGTAAAGGGGCAAAAGGAGCTGCCCAGCTGAGTTAACCCCCTTTAAAGAACTTTCTGAGAGGCCCCAATTACCAGAATTGGCCTTGGACTTGGGCTTTCCAGGACCTGCCCTGGCCCTCCCCTGGCTGTGTCCTCTGCATTGAGGCCACTAGACTAAAGAAAAATGCCCACCAAGAGCCTACCCACTTCTTCTAGAGAATGCTGTGGGCACTCTGGAATTTTAGCCCACTTGTAGGTCTATGTGGGCCTCTTTCATGGGTCCATCCTTCTAACAGCAGAATGTGCCAGTGGTGCACACACCCACAGGCTAAGAGGAGATTGTACTTGGGAGGCAGGTGGGCAGAAGTGGATGAAACTTGGACTTGAGTAGTGGAATGTCCATGTGCATGTTCTTGAGTCCCCTTGTTGTATGGGTTGGAGTTGAGGGTAGAAAGAGAAAGGACCCAGGCCACTGGACTGAAAAGCCGCATGGCTTGGAACTTGAAAGAGGTGAGTATTCCAGGCCTTCCAGATATTATGAAGATATACTAGTCACAGCAGGGGTATAGAAGCTATTCTATTCAACAGCATGGGAACTCAATTTATAATCTTTAAATATTTAGGCATCTAGTATATGGACCTCTATTTGTAGCCTTGTGCCTGTCACACCAAAACCAGGGGAAGGAAGGCTTGCATGTACTCATTTCCATTTATAACTCCTTGACCATCACATGTGCGAGGAAGTGCCGTTCTCTCCCTCTCTTTAAGCTGGAAGACAAGCAATGGATATGAGATATTGAGTAGAAAGTCAGCATTTTATGCCATTTGGGTTTATGAGGGAGATTGGAAGAAAAGTCTTAGCTTTATCCCAAAGGGATTGGCATTTGCATCCCTATTGTAATAAATGGCAAATATAAAAACAGAATTCACAGAGTAAGATGCACAGGTAATTTTGAGTATACAGCAATTTGGCAGCAGGCCTTACATTAAGGATAAAGATGAATATTAAAAACAAAAAAACAAAATCCCCAAAACTTGCAACCCATCTAAAAGGAAGGTGTGTGGATGTGTGGAAATGCAGAACTGGAGCACCTAAGAGAACTGATAGTGTGCTGGCTCTTGGAGGGGTAGCCTAGGACACCCCATTGGTCAGAGAGAAGGTGCTGTGATAACAGCTTCCAAGTGGTCAAGAGAGGAATTCAGGGTGATGAGGGGTAATTGAGGTGTAGGGAGCTGCAGTGCAGGGAGGAAGCACCGTCTAAACTGACGCATGGATAATTTGATTGAGTAGGCACTTGCATGTTAAACATTCTCATTTTCACTGGTAGAAGTTAGTCATGAGCAAAATATTTTTAAATAAAGGTTACAGTAGATCCAAAAGGGAGCATTTAATGTGGTTTTGGATAGTTAGTATATAATAATTTTCTTTCTGTCTGTTGATCCCTTGGGTAATTGATGTTAACAAAAACAACCCCAAAAGATATATAATCTGCAAACATCAGTAATAAATGTTTGTGATTTGTGAACCCAGTGTTAGGACAAACTGAAAAGAACACATTTCCTTAAAAAAACAAAAAGCTTCCAATGCTGGTGATTCTTTAATAGAGATGTTCTAAGCAAGAAAGACAATCTCTCTTTGTACTTCTTTGGTGAGGAGAACAGAAACGCAAAGTGTCAATAAGGCATGGGTATTGGATAAGCCGAGAAGCTGAATGTCTTGAGTAAAGATGTGTTTCTTGCATGAATAACTTCCTAACAATCTGCTGAAGGAGTGATTTTGTATCAAGCTGAAACCCCAAACCAGCATCATTTTAATTTGCCAAGCACCTGTGAAGGAATACAGCTGCAAGGCCATGGGAAAACAATAGAAACTGTGACAGTTCATTAATATAAACCAGCAACTAGATTTATTTGGAAAAGTCATTGATATAGAATTACCCTGGAGGATGCAATGGCATTCCTGATGCAGGCCAGCAAGCAGCTAACTAAGATTATAGATGTGTGCACATCATTTGAAACCGAACAGTAATTTGGTAACTATTACGATTTATTGTGTATGTCAAACAGAATAACAAATGTGTAAAGAGCCGTGATTGCTTCAGGAAAGTTAGGTTTGTGTTGCATTCAGTTGTTTGGCTTTTTTGCATGCAAAGTTATTTTGTTTTGGAAAATCAAGATAATGGTGTTGCCTCTAAAATGATTATTTCTGGGTATAGGCATAGAAGGAAAATATGAAAGTACACATTCTTGTCTAACAACTCTGAGTCTTAGTATAATGCTGGTAACAAGTTCAAGAAGCTGTTTATTGCAATCAAATCATCGCAGTCTTGTGTCATTGGTGACCACAAATATATGAGTTATGGTAGGTAACTCATAAGCAACTGGCTTGCATAAAATGAAAGGCATCAGCAGATCTGGAGGCAGAGAAATGGATCTGCTAACCACTTACTTTTATAGCAAACAGTAAAATGTAACCGTAAAAAATGGGAGGAAAGCAAGATTCTTTCATATATTTAAAGCATCTGGGAAAATCTTGGTGTGTGACATAAAGGCAATATGCCTGTTTCACGGAACTTGTTCCCAGCCATGAGACAGGCCACATGCCTAATAATATGGGAGCTAATGAAGAGAATGCCCCCACCCCTTAATGTTTTCTCTTTCAATGGAAAGGAAAACTCAACAATCCTCCAGCTAATTTCCTTAGTTGGTTTTCTTAATCTTCTTACCACCAGTAGTTAGATTGCCTGGTATTCTTATAATCATTGGAAACTGATTAACCTGAAGAGCTGGTTTTAAAGAGTTAAGTTTTATAGCGACCACTGAGGACTTGCTGACTGGGTAGTGATGGGTAGGGGGCTTCTCTCATGGGCACCATAACAATATATTGCCAACCACTGGGGCCAATGCCATTTTCATGAGCCCCCATAAAAGTGGTCATTATATGATGGGGTTGGAAAGAGGCATGGGAAATGCACCAAGAACCTGTGGGATAACCTGTCGCTGAGTGGGAACAGTTTACAGACCAAGAGCATCTCCCTGGCCCTTGAAAGTATTGTCTTCATTTTTTTTGTAAGATACTAAATCTCTTTCTTACACTAAAAAAATATTTAAAATGATCTAAAATCCAGGATATTCCTGATTTGAAACAGAAAATTCTAAGATTTGGGTTGAGAATGTGGGGGGATCCATTAAGAGGCTATTTAAATGTATGACTGTAAAGGACAGCTCATTAAAATCTCAGAAATTGAAGACTAAATTATTTGTACTACATTGTTCTTAATTTTAACACCACTTTCATCTTCTTTTCAAGCCCTCTGATCCTAAAAGACGTTTCCAGTGTTTGGAGCTGCAAAGTGCATTCTGTCCAAGGGCTGGTTCTCATTTTGTTAAATTCTCTAATGGCATTGCTCAAAGACATAACTTGTAAACACACACCAGAATTTTGTTTCTTTGTTTGGTTTTCACATCACAATTGAAAAACATTCTGAAAATATGAAGCCGTTATAACATTCTCCAGGTTCCCCTATAACAATAATGCTAAAACATTCAAAACAAAGGCAAATAACATAATTAGTAAGGGAAAGATTTTGAATTTCAAATAAGATTGCAGCCACCCCATCATCTTTGGGCCTTCAAAACAACTAGACATGCTCTGCTGTGAACTGCAGGCACTGCCCTTGTTTTTGCTAACTCATTCGAACACCTTTTGTGTGGGGGAAAACTCTGTGTCTGGCTAATTTGTAAAAATGCAAGTCCTGAATTGCAAATCCCCCTGACATTTTGAGGAAAAGAAAACATGGGATGAAACCTAGAAACCAAATTTGGTGTATGGACATAGTCTATTTAGATTTTACCTATTAATTGGTTGACAACATTTCCAAGTTTGGAGTTTCACATAAAAAAAAATCAGATTTCCAGTTTTTTTGTTTTGAAAAATTAGAAGATATCACGCCTAAGCCCACCATTCTTTATTAAAACTCTCAAGCAGAGGGGAGGAGCAGTACTCCTTAGGTGGAGCATAGCTCTCTGTTAATTTTTCCAGTGACTTTTTTTTTTTTTTTTTGAGACGGAGTCTCGCTCTGTCGCCCATGCTAGAGTGCAGTGGTGCAATCTCGGCTCACCTCAACCTCTACCACCCGAGTTCAAGCGATTCTCCTGCCTCAGCCTCCTGAGTAGCTAGGGTTACAGGAGCCTGCCACCATGCCCAGCTAATTTTTTTTTTTTTTTTTTTTTGTAGATTTTATTAGACATGGGGTTTCGCCATCTCGGCCAGGCTGGTCTTGAACTCCTGACTTCGTGATCCACCCGCCTCGGCCTCCCAAAGTGCTGGGATGACAGGCATGAGCCACCACACCCGGCCAATTTTTCCAGTGACTCTTGATGCCAATTTCACTCTGATTTCAGCAATTTACACATGCTATTGGGACAGATAATCAGTGTTACAAGCCTCACGTCTCCAAAAATGGCCCAGTGCCCTATTCAACACCAACCACATAATTTGTGAGGCCTGGTGCAGAATGCAAATGTGGGGCCTCAGGTTCACAAATTATTAAGAATTTCAATATGGGGCAATTCTTTTCAATTCACTATTTCAATGGTGACAACAGAGTGTTAAACTCAGTATGGGGTCCTATGTGACACCAAGAAGCCAGCTCTGGACATAAGAATAGCTTTGGATCCACTCTGACAACTCAAAAACTATGTTCAGTGGTTTACTAGAAAGGTAAATAATTCTATAAGACTCATGCCTGTAATCCCAGCATTTGAGAGGCAGAGGCGGGCTGATCACCTGAGGTCGGGAGTTTGAGACCAGCCTGACCAACAGGGAGAAACCCTGTGTCTACTAAAAATACAAAATTAGCCGAGTGGAGTGGCGCATACCTGTAATCCCAGCTACTTTGGAGGCTGAGGCAGGAGAATCACTTGAACCCGGGAGGCGGAGGCTGCAGTGAGCCAAGATTGTGCCATTGCACTCCAGACTGGGCAACAAGAGTGAAACTCCGTCTCAAAACAAAAAAAAAAGAGAAGAAAAAAGAAAGTGAATTCTAGAAGAACAAATGGGATCATACTATATTTAACACCAGAACTTTTTCAAAAGATAATTTTAATGTAACTTGGAAAATATGCTATTATTAGTACATTAGAACACCTTATTCTCTTAAACTATATTGCATGCTATTCCATTTCACATATACATAAACTTATTTAACACAGTCTGAAAAGACAAACAACATTATTTTCAATATTTTGTTTGTGGGTTTCTTTTGCTATTATACATCCCCATTGTTGAAATAAACATGTCCTTTGCCTAAGAGTCTGTCTCTCTAGATCTTCTCATGGGCCTTTTAACCACAACTCAGTTCCTGTTCAAATGTCACCTTCTCAGAGAGAAACTCCCTCTGTCATTCTTTTTCTTCCTAATTTATTTCATAGCACTTATCAGTATCCGAAATTAAATAACACGATTCGCTTATTTGTTCATATAACTTTTGTGAGGGCAGGGATTTTTCTGCCTTGTTCATTACTATATTTCTAATAGTGACACCAGCACTTTGTCATGTGTGGGGATGCAGGAAATATTTGCTTAATAAATGAGTGAAACCCTCCAATACATTTTTTCTCTGTAGGCTAGAGTTATACATTGTGGAAATGCAAAGTCAAAGGTTACACACAGATAATTTTTTGCCAGATAGTAGCAAATTG
Source organism: Homo sapiens (assembly GCF_000001405.40). NCBI lineage: Eukaryota > Metazoa > Chordata > Mammalia > Primates > Hominidae > Homo > Homo sapiens. Next base: position 55,747,761 of record NC_000018.10, read on the forward strand.
CTTTACCAAAGGTTGTACCAATTTAGATTCTCACTGACATTCTTGTTTCCTCTCACTCTAGTCAACATTGTTTTTAGAAATACTTTTCAATCTTCAGCAAGTTGTTATATTTGCATGTCTTTAAATATGGCATATATTCATGGAAAATAGCTAGTTTTCGCTTGTATGAGGTTGGTGGGGGGAAGTGGATGGAGGCGTCTGGTAAAATGATACACCTCCTTGCTGTGGAATGTACTGCACCAACTTGGGCGTTTAATGCCACCACACCTTGGTGATGGCTGGAGAATTCATCATCCCTTCTCTGCCAAACAACATCCTAGTCATTCTTCGTTCAAGGACCTGCTCAGAGGCTGCCATTATTCCTATGAAGTCTTCATTCCTCCCCGTTCCCCCATCTCACCCAGTCAGAACCAACCACTTTTCCTCAGTGTTCCCACAGTACGACCACAGTGACTCTACCTAGTCTGACTTGGCCAGCTGAAGGCTTGTCTGACCCTGCCTTCCACACAGTGCCTCCCACCTATCTGTAGTGTCTTCCAATGATAACAAAACACAGCATTCTTGAGACCCAAGGGCACTTTCTCTCTTCAGAGAGTCTGGCTGACTAACAAGCTGCCAAACTCTCACTCTACTCTCTTTGGAGTGCTCCCGCCTGACCTGGCCCCTGAGGGTGCTGAGCACACGGCCATAGAGATAACACTAACATGGAGCATAGTAGCGGGTCAGCCCTGAATGTCATCAGCCTCCAACACTCCCAGGCATGAGGAGGCATTTTAAGCCCACCTGGGGCTTTTGTCAGTACTTTATCTGTGTCACCCATATCTCCTCAAAGTATGGGAAAACAAAACCACAGTGGCTTATCAGGAGTCGTAATTCCTTACATCTCCCTTATCACCTAAGATTACCCAATCCTACCAGAGCTTTCAGGGATCTGTGTGGAGGATAACAAAACCTCTCAGTAGCAAGTGGTCTTATCACCCTAGCAGCCCTTGAAGGGTCGAGAGAGGCTTTAATTTCTACCCTGGTATTTTTCCTGATATACTTTCCACTTTTCTAAGAGGCCTGGTCTTATAGCATAGTTTGATTGTCTTTAGAAAACTTCTAGCCTCAAATTTCTATGGCTTGTAAGTTAGGAGCAAGTATGTAGCCACAGCTGTGATTTAGTAAGTGTTTCCTATGTTTCAGTCTCAAATTGATCTCATTTCATCTTCACAACTACCCTGGGAAAAGATACTAGTGCCATTGTATATAGTTTTAGAGACGGGGTCTCACTGTGTTGCTCAGGCTAGTCTCAAACTCCTAGCCTCAAGTGATCTTCCTGCCTCATCCACCCATGTAATTGGGATTACAGCTGGGAGCCACCACACCCAGCTTAGTGCCATTTAATAAATGAGGAAACTGAGGCTCTGAACAAGGAAATGGTTCTTCCAAAGTCACACAACTTTTAAATGTCAGAGCATGAATCTGAAGCCAAGTCTGCTATGGACTGCCAAGCCTAACATAACCACTGTGCTAGGTAAGAGGTAGTACTGAGTAGGGGTTAGCATGCTGGATTCTGGAACCTGGCTGTCTGAGTTTGAATTTTGACACTGCTGTTTACTAGCTGTGTAACCTTGGGCAAGTTACTTAACTTCTCTGTCCCCCCAGTCCCTCACCTATAAAATTAGATTAATAATACCTATTTCATGGAGTTGAGAAAAAACACACACAAATATACATACATCCTCGGTTCAGTGTCTACTCTATAAATGACAGCTATTACTAATTGATTTCCATTATCAAATGGAACCTGCTGCCTCTTTGAAACAAGGTAAAGAAGAATTAAAGCAGTTACCCAGATGAGTCAAAAAAAAAAAGTCAATATATAGAAGAAAGGAGAAAGACATAAGACAAAATAGCAGTGTTCATGTTTGATTGGTTGCCTTGTTTCTTCTTTCTTCTATTCTTCCTTTTTTGTGGAAGTATAACCATTTCCCTTTTTCTTTGAAAATAGAGGTCTGTTCTTCCTTTGACTTTCTACTCTAGACTTCTCATTACATTGGGAAAAAAATGTACTGCAATACACAGAAATGTAATTTTAGCCAACATGCACTTTTCTCCTCCATACCTCCCTCCTTCATATGCACTTACAGACACATACTTACAGGCACACGTGCATACACTGACACACACACACTCCCGCATAGACACCCATCCAGACATCACTCACACATAGATACAGACACACTGATGCCTTTTGTTGGCATCTGAGCTCAGGCTATTCCACTCCCACAAGGATTTTGTGCGTGTATGTGTGTGTATGTGTGACAGAAATCAATTCCTCACTTGTTATCACAGGTGCAGTGGCTTGCTTTCATGAAGTTAAATATTTGTCTCCCTCACAAACTCCTACACTTTCAGGTTTGGGAGAGATCATTAAAGTCACCTGGTCCAACCACCCTTCTGATGTTTGAATTGCCTCTGACAACATCCTGGCTAGATGGTAAACTTGTCTACATTTGAACGTTTCGAATGACAAGAAGCTCGCTAGCTGCCAAGAAACTCAATTTCATCCTTTTCATCTTGTTAAGATCTGTAGTCAAAGGTGGCGCTGGTGCTCTAACCCTTCCAGCTTAACAGGGAACATGTATTTTAATCAAGCTGTAGAATCATTTTTGGTAGGAAAAGCCATTTTCAAAACATCTGATAAAGGGTTAACGATGCTACTGCACAAAAAGAACTTTCAAGTTATGAGAAAATGACAATGACTCCAATTTTTTTAAAATGATAAGAGACATACAGAAGAGGAAATACCAATGACCAAAATGTATGTGGAAGATATTCAACCTCAATAGTAGTCAAATAGATGCCAATAAAAGCAACAACTAATCCTTTGTTAGAGTTTAGATTGATGAGGATTAAGAAAAAAAGACCTTTGATTAAACTCAGCATTGATGATGAAGATGTAAATGGGGGAAGGGGCAGTCTCTATCACACCTGGGGATGGTGTAAACTGATTTAAAACAGTGTTTCTAAAAGGCAATTTAACAATATGGATCAACGTTTAAAATGGGCAGGTACCCAGAAATCCCATTTGTAGGAGCCTTTTTTTAAAAAATTTATTTAGGAGATTTTTCTTTAGAAAATAATTGAAGAAGTGTGCAGATATATAGGTTTATGTATGCATATATGTGTGTATGTGTGTCTGTGTGTGTGCCTAATTGTGTTGTTGCTTTACCAAAACACTGGAAATGATCTAAATGATTAAGTAATCATGGTAGAACTATGCAATGGTATACTGGAGAGCTCTTTAAAAAGATGACATATAGGCTGGGCGCAGTGGCTCGTGCCTGTAATCCTAGCACTTTGGGAGGCCGAGTCGGGTGGATCACGAGATCAGGAGTTCAAGACCAGCCTGGCCAAGATGGTGAAACCCCGTCTCTACTAAAAATACAAAAATTAGCTGGGCATGGTGGCGGGTGCCTGTAATCCCAGCTACTCGGGATGCTGAGGCAGAGAATTCCTTGAACCCAGGAAGCAGAGGTTGCAGTGAACCGAGATCGCACCACTGCACTCCAGCTTGGGCGACAGAGCGAGACTTTGTCTTAAAAAAAAAAAAAAGATAACACATATAAGTTTTCATCAACAAGGAAAAAGATCCAAGACTACTTTTGCATGAAATGCCACGTTACCAAACAGCATGAATAGTATGGTCTCATTTACATAAACTTTATTTTTGTAAATATATCTTAATCCCAAACTCAAGTATAAAAGAACTAATTATTTATATATGTATGTACATATAGATATATAACAGCAGATATATATGTATCAGCTTTTTTGAGATATAATTCATATATCATAAAATTCACGCTTTTAATGTGTCCAAATCAGTGGTTTCTAGTATATTCACGGAGTTGCGCAACCATCACTGCCATCTAATTTTAGAACACTTTCTAAATGACCTGTAAGAAACCTTGTAGTCTCTAGAGGTTATTCCCCATTCTTCCCTCCCTGCTTCTTGGCTACCACTAATCTACTTTCCTTCTCTATGGATTTGCCTATTCTGGACATTCCTATAAATAGAATCATATAATATGTGGCCTTTTGTGACCATCTTTTCGCTTAGTGTAATGTTTTCATGCCCCATCCGCATTTTAGCATGTATCAGTACTTCATTCCTCTTATGGCCGAATAATATTCCTTTGTATCGATAAGCCACATTTTGTTTACCCATTCATTAGTTGGTGGACATTTGGATCATTTTCACATTTTGGCTATTATGAATAATGCCGCTATGAAAATTTGTATACAAGCATTTGTGTGGATGTATGTTTTCAATTCTCTCGAGTAGATACCCAGGAGTAAAGTTGCTTTGTCAAATAGTAACTCTATATTTCACATTTCGAGGAACTTCCAAACTGTTTTCCAAAGTGGCTGCATCATTTTACGTTCCCATTAACAATGAAGAAGCGATCTAATTTCTCCATGTCACCTATAACGGTTGTTTTATGTGTCTTTTTGATTATAACCATCGTAGTGGGCGTGAAGTGGTTACATACAAATGTTTTCAATCAACACAATTCCAATTCCAAGCCTCTTTCCCTATGCATTAGGATAAAATTCAAATTTTGTAATTCTTGGGGGCCCATCTTCTACAGGCTTGTATCAACATGGAAAGAATCAGAGGAGGAGATGACCAGGAAAGAACAGTAAAGAAATGTTAGGGTGGGCTAGACAGGAAGTCTCAGGAATTAATTTTTGATTCCAGGTCATCATGCCCCAGATCAATTTGCTTAATAATCAAATTGCTGAACTTAGCTATTTACCAAAAAGTATGTTTATTTCAACTCTTACTTACAGCAGTTTTTATTGAGTGGGATTGTTTTAACAGATTTGGAAGATTCTATAAAACTAATTAGTTGATGGTTTTTTGCTGTCTTCATAGCAGTATTTTAAGTCACGTTCTGTAAGTAAATTGCTAATGGTCATAAGGTGGTTTAACTTTCTTATTAAATGTTAAATATCCAGAAAATGTATTTCCTAATTAGGTGCCAAATTTCATATATATATATTCTGTTCATATTATTTTTGTTTGAGTTGGTGTCTCACTATACTGCCAGGTTGGTCTCAAACTCCTGGGCTCAAGTGATCCTCCTGCCCCAGCCTGTTGAGTAGTTGGGATTATAGGCCCAAGCCAACACATCTGACTTCATTCAGTTTGTATTGATTTCTTTCAGATCTTGTAAAAATTGCTTTCTGCTTTGCCACTTTTTTTGTTTCTTTTGCCAATTTTTCTTTCACCCATCCTTTCACAGTTTTTTGATTTTAAACCAATTTATTTTTAATCTTTTCTTTACAATTCCACATTTATAGTTCATGTATATCAAATTTGAAGTATTAATCAATTGAATCATTACATGCATCCTGTTAGAAAACTTCAATTTTTTTGAACAGTTTTACAATTTCAACTCATATCTTTTTATAAGAGCTTAATAAGTCAATATCCCAACTGCTCTTTTTTAGAAAACAATTTTTTTCATTTCATAGAATTCAAGAAATTTTGAAATTTTTAATATGAAATTTCTTGCAAATCACAGGATTTGTTGGGGTTTTTTGAAGTTTTAGGTTTAATCTGGTTTATTTTGGATTTAGTTGAGGCTCAGTGCAATCATTTTACTAAGTGGTTTTACAGTAGATTTGTCAGACCAGCTTAGCTGAATATCCATTTCATGTGTGATTCAAATTTCAGACACTGATCATTTCTTAAATGCTTGAAACACATGCAAGATATCCATTTCATTAAGCTGATTTATGTAACTGTAAATTTTAACAAGTACAAATGGCAATATAGCATGCATTACTTTATAAAAATAACCTATTTGGATCTTGAATAGTTAAATGTTCATGATTAGGTGTCCATCATATGAATTGCTTCCAAATCTACTTTTTTAGTAAACATTTTTGGAGAAAATTGCGACTATGTTTATAGTATTATAGCATTCTTAAAATTAGATTTTATCTGAATATACTTACTTGGGCATGACCTGTTAGTGCTGCTGCAAACTGAATAAGCAGGATGTTTATTCTTAGATAGTGCCCTCTGTGGAAATAAGTTTCGGTTAGTGACTAATCTAGGATGATGTAGAAATGAATCAATAAAAAGGTAAATCAAAATGAATTATTTTGATTTCAGATCACGTGGTTTCCTTTAAAGTTGACTTGTAAAATATAACTTCCTGATAATGATAGAAATGAGGATCTGGTTAGAGCTAATATCTGGCAATAAGTTGGAAAATTCTAAAATGAGGCTTTATACCCATAGGTGTTATGCTGTAGTGACACAATGGGCATATGACTCACTTTGGGAATGACAGCAGCTCCTTACCCAACACAAGACGTGAAACAAGGGCAGTGACTGCTGACTGGAGGTGATGAAAATGAAGATGGTATTGTGGGCTCTGATTCTAGGAAATGTCCATAGATGCAGATAAGGCTGCTTAATTCTGATGTAAGGAAGAGACAATGAATTAATTCACCCCAGGGACCTTTGTGTGGATCGAATTATGTCCTCCCCACCCAAATTTATATGTTGAAGTCCTAACACTCAGGACCTTGGAATGTGACTGCATTTGGACATAGGGTCTTTAAAGAGGTTATTAATTAAATTAAAATGAGATCATTAGAGTGGGCCCTAATCCAATCTGGCTGGTATCCTTACAAGAAGAGGAAATTTGGACATCAATATACAGAGGGAAGACCACATGTAGACACGAAGAGAAGACAGCCACCTACAAGTCAAGGAGAGAGGCCTGGGAAGAAACCAACCCTGCTGACCCCTTGATCTGTGATTTCTAGCCTTCAGAATTGTGATGAAACTAATTTTTGTTGTTTAAGCCACCCATTCTGTAGTACCTTGTTATGGTTTTCTTACCAAACTAATGCAATCTTAACTTCAAATACTGTTTTATGACATTGAGTTGCTGTGGAATGGATTTTATTTTATTTTATTAATTTTTTTGAAATGGAGGAGTCTTGCTCTGTCACCAGGCTGGAGTGCAGTGGCATGATCTCAGCTCATTGCAGCCTCCGCCTCCTGGGTTCAAGCGATTCTCCTGCCACAGCCTCCCGAGTAGCTGCTATCACAGGTGCACCACATGCAGGCCACCACACCTGGCTGATTTTTGTACTTTTAGTAGAGACAGAGTTTCACTATGTTGGCCAGGCTGGTCTTGAACTCCTGACCTCAGATGATCTGCCCTCCTCGGCCTCCCAAAGTGCTGGGATTACAGGTGTGAGCCACTGCGCCCGGCCTATGGAATGAATTTTAATAAATAATTATAAGTAGATATTTTTTCATTTTAAGACACAAAGCAATGTCATTAGAATCTCCTCTTGGGCAGTAGGTGTCAACGAGGTGGGTTTGGTTTTCACTGGCAAAGTGCAAGAAGTCTCCTGCAGGATTCAAGGACAAGCATTGCCGTTTGCTTGTCTTACGCAAGGCAGCAGGGTTTAGGCAGTGCAGAGCTATGGTTATAAATACAACCTCTGGAGTTCAAAAGCACCGACCTCACTAGGTCATTATGAGGCCTAACTTCATTAAGATGTCACACAGTGTCTGCCACACCATGAATGCTGCGTAAGTGGTAGCTCTTGTTCTTATTCATGGAGTCAAAAGAATTGGAGATGAAAGTGACTTTCAAATTTATGATTACTGTGAGCAGTAGTAATGATAAACTAAACAAGTAACACCGAGAAATTAACTAAGTTATAGTGGAGATGTGATAGTTGCTAGCCTTTGAGGGGTAGCCCATACCATTTGTTACTACCTCTTTTTCTAATTTAACAGCTTCCTTTGATATCTGTTCTCAAGTTCTTTTAAACCTTAACTGAATTTTCACCCTTGGTCTCCTCACACATCCTTTGAGCTCTTTCAGTGCATTGTTTTCTTCAATTGAATCTTGAACTCCTTACATCTTCCCTGTTCTAACCTCCAGCACAAGAATCTGACTCAGGGCTCAGTTGTTTCCTAGAGTCCTCTCTATCCAGAACCTGTTTGAACAAATGAAATCCTCAATGCTTCTACCTTAGAGGAAGACAACGCCAACATAAAGAAATTACAGTGTCTTGTGGGTTACCTCAAGACCTAAAATATGATCAATTTATAGCTTTTAAGCCTCAAAGCAATCGTGACCATATCCAAGGGTGGTTGGTGTTCTGCTTTAGTTCATGGCAACTTTCAGCTTCAATCTTAGAAATCCAAATTATTTCTGGTTTACATGGGAGGTCTCATGTTTTTCAGAGACTTTGGGGAAGCAATCCATCTATTTTTGTTTTGTTTTGTTTTGTTTTGTTTTGTTTTGTTTTGTTTTTGAGATGGAGTCTTGCTCTGTCGCCCAGGCTGGAGTGCAGTGACGCGATCTCGGCTCACTGCAACTTTCGCCTCCTGGGTTCAAGTGATTCCCTTGCCTCAGCCTCCCGAGTAGCTGGGACTACAGGCACGCACCACCATGCCCGGCTATTTTTTTTGTATTTTAGTAGAGACGGGGTTTCACCATGTTGGCCAGGCTGGTCTTGATCTCCTGACCTCATGATCTGCCCACCTCAACCTCTCAAAGTGCTGGGATTACAGGTGTGAGATACCGTGCCCAGCTGGGAGCAATCAGTCATTCTGTAAATGAGTTCGATTTAAATTTACTTATATAGTGAAACAAATAATTTTAAAAAATCAACCATTTTACAGCACTTTTCTTTGAGATGCCCACGTAGTGGGGATCAAGGGCAGAAAGGTTGGGAAAATGAGCTTTAGGTTTCTTTCTTCAACTTGTCCCAAGATGTGTCAATGGAATGAAGACCTGCCACGGGCTTGCTCTGTGAGGAGTTTAGGAAATTAACAAACTTTATACCATCTCCACCCCCTGCCACCCCCACCCCACCCCCCGCAATTCTTCAGCTTGAGTGAGACTGCTGTCGCTAGAACTGCAGTCTCATTGATATCTCATGGTATCCTAGCTTCAGGACCCAATCTTCAGGGAAAAGCCAGCCACTGGCAGCCAGGTTTGAAGTATATGGAATTTGGGCTCAGCATCACTGCTTTTCTGTGAGTTCTGTCCTCCGGAATTGTGCAGTGCACAGTATACACCACTATGCTTAGTAGCCCTCTTCCAACTCTGGCTTAAGTGCCCTGGCTCTCTTTGAATATCTTTCACTGAATACCTTGGCCCTCATCTTGCTTCCTGGTGACCCAGACCCTCTCCTGGGGAACTTTCTATGGGCTCTTCATCCCCTGCCCAGGAACTGATATGCTTCCCAACCCTGTCTCTTTTCTTTGATACTTATCAGTCCTTTAGATATTGGCATTATAAAACGTTGGACTAATGTAAAAAACCGATTTATAAGAAGTTGAGGATTATTGCTGATATAATAAATGTATATCAAACAGTACAGTGCCTGACTTTGAATAAGAATTCAGGGAGAGTTATTATTCTTATTGATTCTCAAATTATAATTTTTTTTTACTCTTTATTGTTTTACCAATGTTATTTATTTGCCTTTTAACAGAAGTCTTCAGGGTAAAATGGCTTGACTGAAGAAATGAATGTCTAAGAGTAGAAGCTGTTGATTTGGGGGGAAATTTTCATATAAGAATGATATTTCAAGGGCAGTTTAATCTTTAAAACATGACTTTTATCTGATGTGTTGCAACATCAGGAGTTTAGCTATTAGGTGTCTTAGTCCATTTTCTGTTGCTATAATAAAATAATGCAGGCTTGGTAATTTAAAAAAGAAAAAAAGTTTATTTTGGCCCATGGTTCTGAAGGCTGGGAAGTCTAAGAGCATGGCACTGGCACCTGCTCAACTTCTGAGGAGGGCCTTCTTGCTGCTTCATAACACTGTGGAAAGCATCACATGGCAAGAGAACAAGAGCATGTGTATCAGCTCAGGTCTCTCTTCCTCTTCTTATAAAACCACCAGACCCATCTTGGAGGCCCCACCTTTATACCTTATCTAATCCTAATTATCCTTCAAAGGCCTCACCTCCAATCAATGTATGAATTTAGGGATTAAGTTTCTAACACTTGAAATTTGGGAGACACATTTAAACCATAGCATTAGGTAAATGGCTCCTTTTAATGAGTAGAAACATTGTATAGTGATGTGGTGCTTAAACTCAAGAGAGCATTAAATGATGGGGAAAACTTGTTAAAATCCAGAGTCTGGTCTGCACCCCCGATGCAGGAGTCTGGGGTGAAAATGGAGAATTTGCATACCTAACAATTTCCTAGGTAATGTTGATGCTTCTGGTCAAGGGACCACTTTGAGAACCACTCACACAGTAGAAAGAACAGTGGGTCAGCCAAGGAGATATGTGCTCTAGTCCAGTCTCACTCTCCCAAACATGTTGTGAGATCCCAAGCAAGTTTCTTAATTTTCCAGGGCCTCGGTCTTCTCACCTGTAAACCAGGAGATAGATTGGACAGTCTCCACGTTTTCCTCTGGCTCACATTCGTCCCCATTCAAATTCTGAGCTACACACAACATGTGTGTGGTGTCTGTCCAAGAGGGAGGAGGGACCAGCCACAGCCTCACTGGAAGCAGCGTCCTTTCTTTGTGGTGACCCTCATTATATACATAGGCTCAGCTTCTTCCTTTGGTGGGGCAATCAGGGGAGAATTTTCTCCAGCTGAGTGTGCCCTGACAGAACAGAGGTGAGAGCCCAGGGCCACTGATGCTGCATCCACCGGACTTCACTGCTCTCCTCATTCAGGTGTCCTGAATGAGGTCATTATGGGCAAAGGGAGTGGAGCATGGAGTGATGGCAGCCACTGAGGCAGGGTGGAAATCTCTGAGCCAGCCTTCTGCTAAGAGCTGCAGGATTTTCACCAAGCAGAGCACTGGATGTGAAAAGCAAAAGAGAGGGGAAACTTGCAAATGGGGATAAAAGATGCCGAATGGTACAGAGTGCTCCCTCCTGCCAATGATGTTACTGCTGCATTTTGTCCAGCTGACTGAAATACCTTTGGATAAAACATATTGTGTAGATTGAACTTTGCAATATTGTTTTATTGTAGGCATTCCATTCATCCACCTGGCTGCAGAACCAGTTTTTATGGGATTTAAAGCTTCCATAAATTGGAGGAATGCTGTTTGAGAAAAATAATACAAAATTATAAATATAATATCAGTTATAGGGCCTTAGAAGGGACAGCTGCAAATGAGATACTTTGAAGTTTCTGTTTCATTAGCTTTGGTGTAAATCCACCTCTACCTCCACTCATTCATTCATTTGCTTCATTCAGGCTACAGACACTTATTGAGCATCTACTAGATGCCAAATTCTGTGCTGCTGCTACAATCCATTGAGACTTTAACACCCACATGGAATACGCAATTGGGAGAGAGTGAAGGAGTACTGAAGGCAAACTCAGGGGCTACACTTCACAAAAATAGGAGATTTGGAATTTACAAAGAAGAAGAGGAGAAAGAGGAGGAGGAGGGGAAGGAGGAAGAAAAAGAAGAGGAAAAAGAGTAACAACAACATAAAGCCATAAGTCAAAGAAGAGTGTAGGGTTGGATGATGTTTTTCAAACATTTTTGCCTGTGACTTACACTAAGAAATATACATCTACACAGTGACCAGCTAATGCTCCTCCCATAATTCACACACAGATGACTAAAACAGAAGTTTCACAGAACAATATTTATCTTTCGTGAGGCACGCTGATATTTTCTTTTTAATTTCTATTCATTTATATTATTTTCTGTATTTTTCACTTAAAGACATGCCAGTTGTGGCCTACTGGATTGATTTTCCTGCCCCAGTTGAACACAGACAGGAATAGAGGTCCTTCGTGCATGCATGTGGATTGTGGTTACTGAAGGGTCACAGGAGACTGCACAGGAGGAGGGGACAACTCACGACAGCAGAGTGGGGGCCACAGAGCCAAGGGCAAGCACGGAGGCCCAGGAAGGAAGGATGGAAAAGATGGTGCTGAGAACCTGGAAGTGTCGTATTGAGAACAGAAAACGTACAGGCCATTGACTGAACATTCTGCTTGTTAATTACATATTTTGGGATTTTGAAGAAAAAGACAAAATGTGTAAGAAGCAGATTAAAATTAGAAACATGAGCAAGAGTAGGTGGTGGGAAAGTTAAATGTAAGGAAATAAACTGTTCCAGGACTTTTTTTTTTTAAAGGCTTTTATTTCAAGGTCAGAAAAATGTCACGGAAGGAAAAAAATTATTATTTATTTAAAAAGAAAACTGAAATGTAAAAGATATGACAGAACTCTTCGGGAGGTAGAGAGAGTGAGGAAGAAAAGTGAGTACAAAGCAGAGAGGAAGAATATTGTTGCAGAAAATCATTGGTTCTAATTCCCAATTTCTGCCCAGCATTGATGAGGGAGGTAAGTCATCTTCTGTGGAGTGTTTTTTTCTGAAAAACATGGGTAGATGTATGTAAAGTAACTAGAAGAAGAGAAAATACTGTACAAACCTAAATTCCCATTTGTTAAGCAGCAGTAAATCTAATGTGACTTCATAGGTTCTTAAGGATGTGTGAGGAGGATAAATATGTGAGACTATCTTTTAGATAAGAATAAAGAAATAAAGCAAATGGTACATGATATGCAAAAAGGATGGAATATTTGACAATTTAAGGTAAACATTAAATGGAAAACACAAAATTCAAACAGCAGAGGAAGGCTAAGGGAAGACTCCTTTCACTTCTTTTTCCTTCTCCTTTAATTTTTCGTCTTTATTTCCTCTCTCCATCAGACCCTCCTCCTTCTTCTTTCCATTCCTATTTTTCTTTCTTCCTGCTTCTCCTTTTTACAAATTTTTTTTTCAGTGGCATGATCTTGGCTCACTGCAACCTCTGCCTCCTGGGTTCAAGCAATTCTCCTGCCTCAGCCTCCTGAGTAGCTGGGATTACAGGTACGCGCCAACGCGCCCGGCCAATTTTTGTATTTTTAGTAGAGACAGGGTTTTGCCATGTTGGCCAGGCCAGTATCAAACTCCTGTCCTCCGGTGGTCTGCCTGCCTCGGCCTCCCAAAATGCTGGGATTATAGGTGTGAGCCACCGGACCTGGCCCTTTTGAAAAGTTTCCATCAATGTGTTCATAAGTGCCCCTTATCTGTCAGCCATACATGCAAACTTAGAGCACAGAGGTTACAGAAGACACAGTTTGGTCCGGAAGAGTGAGACACATTTGCAAAGTGCCATTTGAGTGCCCAAACTGAGGAGCACAGGTTTGTAGAAGGTAGAAGCCCCCCTTGCTAATAACCGAAGGATAGGTTGGCTCTGAGTAGCCAAGAAGCACAGACAGCGATCATTCCTGAAAAGGAAAGATAAAGGCTACAGAAGTGCAATTCACTTTTGAAGAATAGTTTACATGGACAGAATTATAACATCTATGTTGGGAAGTTGTAGATAAAGCCAAAAGGAAAATTTTGGCCATTTCTCTTTCTGGTGGTCTTCAGAATGCCGTGAAGACCCTCTGAGAAATTTTGAGTAGAATTTTGACAGGCATCACCTTTTAAAATGGAGTTTTATTTGCCAGAAAGCAATGTAGAAGACAGATTGGAAGACTAGAAGACAGTCCGGAGGCCCCAGAGGAAGCTAATGGTCTGAAATAACAGCTTAAGAACAAAGAACTGTGAATAGTTGCTCACCTCTGAAAAATTCTCGAAGGAATAGGTGATCATTGGGTTGAAGACGAACAGAAGATGATAAACTTGGAAGATAATAAACTTAAAAGTTATGCCTTTCTTATATGGTAAAAGGACTTTCTCCTGAAATGCAATAAACTTGAGATGACTAGGTATGCAAACAAACAAAAGTAGTTAGGGTTTTCATTCTGGTTTCTATAAATATCCCCAATAACTCTCTTGCTAGTTTCCAATCTAAAATTTTCAAAATCATGGTTTTTTTTTTGTTGTTGTTGTTTGCTGGTGGAATTAGTTTTTCTCTTTACTATTTTAATTTTAAAATCAGTATCATTTCCCTGAATTTGTTTATTAAATGCTCTAATTTCTATGAGGGTTAACTTAAATGAAACCTGGGCTTATTTTTTTCTTACATAGTTGACAAAAAAATGGCCAAGGTTAGATCCCTGTTGCCTCAATAGATGAATTTATCATTTTAGTTCCTATTTTTCCACCTTACTTATCAAGTCCATAAATATATCATTAAAGACATGTTAATGCCATAATGGAATCCAGATACAATATTGTTATATCTTTCATTAATTGATTAGTCTTATTTTAAAAATGGATTTTTGGATTTACTTGTTTTTAGTGAAATATATAGCTCCCAGTGATCAGTTCTTCTTGTCAAAGTTTATTCACGTCAACTGTTAAGAATTCATTAGAAAATGTTAATGAAGATAAGGATTAAACTCAGTAGTCCCTAGTTTCTGAAATTTGCATTTTTTCCTACCCCCGTCCTCCCCCAACTTTTATTTTTTGGAAAGAAAATGTTTTCTTATATTGTTCTGGTATGTATCTCTCCCCTTCTCCATTATTTTTCAAAGACTGTTGACATTGGTTTTGTGATCATACCTCTAAAGCACTTTAAGCATCCAGAGATGTAATTTGTTTGAGCCTGGAGATTTGAATGCAGTCAACATGTTTAGGTGCAATCATTGCTCCAAGCTTACTTAATGCTATTTATTCTGTCTATTCAAGGTTGATGATCATGATCCTGTAGTGAGCACATAAGTAAAGTAGGAGTTAAGCAGTGTTGCTTTCCTTAGAGTCTTTTACCCAGAATAACATTTAACCTATTAACAACCCTATGGCAGGGGAATGAACACGCAATGGAAGCTGGAGATAGACATCTGGGAGGCCTCTGTAGGGTAAGTGCTTGCTCGCTGAATATCAGGCCTCTTTTATCCTAAAGGAGATCTCAGGGGCTTCAGCTCTTTCTTGTTCGCCTAACTATAAACATAAGTCATTGTAGTGTTGCCCTGTAGTAAATTCCACACACTGATAGGAACCTGTTTGGGCTTTAGCTTATCTTTTTCTGCATTTGTTTTGATTTCACTATAGATTGTTAGCTACTTGAAAACACTCACTCTTTCTTAGACCACTTTTTGTCACCCTAGTTCATAGCAACCCGTATTTGGCACTGATGATGGACATGCCTGTCATATTTTGATTAAATTATTTCTTAATGAAAATTCTAATAATTATTTTAAAAGCTTGGACATTGGAGCTTTTTGGCCTAAAAAAACTCTTTATATAGAAGCGTATCTTTGGTTATTAACCTTTCCCTCCATTTTCCCTAATACACACAAATTCCTGTAAATGTCTTGCAAATTCTGCTTGGCCAAACACCATCTTAAGAGTTCAAGTGGAAGTTTAGGATCACATTTCTATTATATCTTTGGAAACTTGGGCAGTCTGGATTTGGATGCCGCAATTAATCTGATGAACATTTGATTTTTAGAAAGGTTTACTATATACTTCAGATTCAATGGTAAAACTGGAGCTCAAAGAGAGATAAGAGATCAGAGAATCACAGTGGAAAGAAAAAAAAATTACACACACACAAAACCAAACCTCAGAGGAGAGGCTTAGCCTGGTGTGTCATCACATTTGTCTTGCAGAAATGAATGGTTTAATAGATCCTAGAACTCGGGTCAGCAGGATCCACCTGCTGATGGAGCTCTGGCTGTTCTAGGGTGGGCCAGAGTGGGTGAGACACCTGCTCATTTAAGTTCCAAAGGTTTCCTGAGTCATATTACAAACACATTCCTGAAGAATTGCATTGAGCTGCTTTTAAAGCAGTTTATATCACTGCAGTAATGGGTAAACTAGCTATTTTGACACATTGTAAAAGAATGTTTTTGAAAAGAGAAACACTAGTGGTGAAAACAGAAAAATGATTGAGGGACGTTGCATTGTAGCTGCACTCAGTGTTGATGTAGGTGTTTAAACAGCCAGTTCCCAACTCACTATTTAAATACCTATATTCTGAATTAGTTATTCACCAGGGAGAGATGTTGAAGAGAAGCAAAAATGATACAATTAAGTTACAAATATAGGAGATACAGTCCAAAATATCCCAACTGTCCTCTTTTTCTTCTTTAACGAGTGTCATTATATTTTGATGTGTTTAATAATACGGCAGAGGTTAAATGAAACATGAAAAAGGGATGTACATTAAAATTGAGATAACTCTTCCTTCAGTGAAGTGGAACCCAGCAGATGTAGCAGCACACTGTAATTGCTGCCTGTTTCCTGTCAGTCTGATTAAGTTGCATTGTCCCAGCTCCAAGTGTAAGAATCAGTGGCTTCCCATAGGGCACAGCATGGGATGACGGGCTGAGACAGAGGCATAACTACATGCACTCCTGCTTCTCCTGGTAATAGTGTAGACATACAATATACATTGATGACATATAAAGTCAATAGGCTGTGTAGTGCATTAGGAGCACACGATAATCTATCTTCTTGGAGTTCCATCCCAGGAAAGCCAAATCCACAATAACACCCTGAAATCTAAGGCTCAGTGGACTAACCTACTAGGTCCAGAGTCAGTGACTTGAACATTCATTTTTTTAAAGAAACACATAGATTTAAATGTAATCTAAATTTGGCCAGAGCTGAAGCCTGCCTATTGCTTTTCATTCCCCCGCTCCGCCCCACACACTAACTGTGTACTGTGTTTTCTAAACCAGCCAGTCAATCGACAAGTATTTATTGGGCACAAAAAGAAGTCCAACATTGTGCTCGGATTTGTAGGGGATAGATACCAGACAGTTTATGATCCACTTGGGAAGACAACACTAACGTAACATGAAACAGTTAGAGCGCTATTAAGAGATACACTGTGTGAGCCAGAGTTCAGGGAAGGGACAGCTTGGTGTAGCCTGGAGTCCTGTGAAAGGGGCTTCTTGTGGGTGGAGCTTGAACTAGGCCTTGAAGAATAGCCAGAGTTTACATAAGGGATGGGGGAGAGGGAAGCTCTCCCCCAAGCTGTGAAATCATGATGACTAAAACTGTCCAGGTTGAAAAAAGCTTGGGAGACCTTAAAGAAGTAGGTCTAACTGTAGTGGCTGATATACGAATAAAGTTAAATAAGGATTTATTGTGAGAAATTCCAATAAAGGTACCACCCTGCAGTGATCTTTCACCTTGTAGAAAAAGAAATACAATAATGATAGCTATCAGTAGAAGCTCTCCATTGATTTAGTCTCACTGACAAAGTCTCTGAGGAGGAAGGCAAAGTGCATTTTTGTATTTAATTTAAGAAAAGGCATTGGTGGCCAGGCACTGTTCACGCCTGTAATCCCAGCACTTTGGGAGGCCGAGGCAGGCGGATCATGAGGTCAGGAGTTCGAGACCAGCCTGACCAACATGGTGAAACCACATCTTTACTAAAAATACAAAAATTAGCCGGGCGTGGTGGCATGCGCCTGTAATCTCAGCTGCTCAGGAGGCTGAGGCAGGAGAATCACTTGAACACAGGAGGTGCAGATTGCAGTGAGCCGAGATCATGCCATTGCACTCCAGCCTGGGTGACAGAGTGAGACTCTGTCTCAAAAAAATAAAAATAAACAAATAAATAAATAAAAGGCATTGGTGGCAATGCAAGGGGTTGAAAAGTAGGAAGAAAGTAATCATTTGATTTGGATATTTGGTTCATATGAACTGATCTATTTTTTTTTCTGATTGTGTTAGAGAGATGTGTTGATCTCATGTACATAGAGCCAACACTGACATACAGCGAGTAAATCAAAATATGCTATCTCACGTGACTGTAAACACTTTGGACTCCTCACCTAAAAGAGGATATAAGGATATTTAGTTCTCAAACCTGCCGTCAGTGTGCTTCCTTAGTAAGGCTGGGAGAGGAGGTAAAAACTATATGTAAATGATTCTAATACCATCTAGATAGGACTAAGAGGACAGTGACTAAGGAAATTCAGAGGAGAGAGATGACTTCCAGCTACCAGCAATCAGTGCATACAATTTCTTGTCTGCATGTTTAAGTTTGACTTCGAGCTCACGTCTTTAGACAGTATGCTTTAGTTGGGGGCCCTGCAATCAATTCCTGGATGTCAATGGAGATTCGACTTACTAACTTGAAATCTAATGAGAAAATTTTAGGTCTTGGATAAAGAAAAAAAAAATCAGCCATTCAATTGATTATTAAGGCTGTGTAATACCTTGAAATAACTTTGAAATAATCGTGGTCCTTTAGATGTCTAGAAAAGAAATACTTCCTTTGACTTGTTGTAGACGCGAAGTGACTGAATTGAAATTGAATTAAGTAGAGTCATGTGTATAGAAGCTCAGATGGAAGGGGGCCAGGCTGATTTAGATATGCTTAATGCTGACAACCAGTTTCCCTGAGTCTCACTGTTTTTCCAGCTCATCCTCCTCCAGTGTGACTGGAGGAATTCCAGGGACTCTTCATTAATTTCCAACTTTGCACTCTCAAGAGAGTTCACCTGTGCTTGCGAATGCAATGCCACTGGCTTCCATGTGGCACCAGCATTTCTCCTTGTGCTTAGCGCTTGGCACTGACCTTGTGGTCCTCTTTCTTCAGCATGCTGCTCGTAAGTGGCTTGATCTGATGGCCATGGTCAGCTGACAGGATCAGAGTATTAGTCCGTTCTCACGCTGCTTATAAAAACATCCCCAGGACTGGGTAATTTATAAAGGAAAGAGGTTTAATTGACTCACAGTTAGGTTAGGCATGGCTGGGGAAGCCTCAGGAAACTTACAATCATGACAGAAGGGGAAGCAAACATGTCCTTCTTCCCATGGTGGCAGAAGAGAGAAGTGCCGAGCAAAAGGACCAACATGATGTGACTTTACTCTTTCTTTAGTGGAATGTACCTTTCTAAGTTATACTAGGTCCTTCTTAAATAGATGCATGACAGAACAAAAGACTCTACTGTCCATATAAATCATACCTGCTGTTTTTAAAATCATGCTGTCTTCTTACATGAAGTAAGGCTAACATTTATTAGGAGAGTCTAGGTATCTGAAACTTCACTTGCTTAAGAGAAAAACACAAAAGCATAATAAAAAGCGATGATGCTTTGTGTATGTAGCAGTGTTGACACTTTTTGCATTATCTATGAAGCATGTTGAGCATTATTTTATTCTTTTGGATAATTCAGTATCATTGATGTAACTACCTTATGACTCCATTCTCACCACTGAAAAAGTGTGGGTGATGTGAAAGTGTTGGAAATCTGGGGGAAAAGATGACAACATGCTGGGACCATAATCATGAAGAGCCTTGGTATCTTAGACTTTAGGAAAATAAATGTTAAAAAGTGAAAGAAACAATAAATACTATGCCTTGGCCAAAGTTTCTAAAAGAGGGATTATTAACAGGCAAGTGGATCTTAAAAGGGAAATCCTGATGATAAGTAAAAATTGCTTTAAATGAAAAGTTGAGAGCCTTTAAAGACAGAAAGTGAGGTCATTTTGAGATCAGCTGGAGTCATGAAGACCTGGATGAAGTTCTCGCTTTCTCTTCTACTCCTGAGGTTACCGTAGTGCAGGGTTTCTCAGGCATGGTCCTAGTGACATTTGGGCCAGATAATTCTTTGTTGTGGGTGGCTTTCCTATGCATTATAGGATTAGCAACATCATTGGCGTCTATCCACTACAGGCCAGAAGCACCCCACTCCCCAGTTACAATAAACAAAAACATCTCCGAACATTGCCAAATGTCTTTTAAGAGGTGGGGGACAAAAACCACCTGGTTGAGAATCACCACTTTATGCAAATTACTAAAAAAAATGTATTTTTAAATACAGAACTATTCTTCAGCAATCGTGCTTAAAACTAGAGCAAACATTATAGCTAGGGAACTAAAACTAATAATTGGGAAAAGGGTGAATCGATCACATTAAATTATTTCATGTTTCTTACAAATTGAAGATTTTTACATAAAATCTCCATATCAGCTGGTAATCTTTGTAAAATGATAGAGAGTTTTGCAAGCTATGGCATGGTGGGATTGATAAAGATTCATGGCAAAATTACATAGCGCATCATTACAGAGGTGACTTAATTTAGAAAAGAAAGTATAATTGTAGGAGCTAAGATGGGTTTACAAGAATTAAGCAAGACAAACAACCTAGTTGTTTTTTCTTTTATTTTGCATAGATTATTAATTTGAGAAGTACTCAGACACCAAATGGGTGTACTGCAATACAATTCTGTTGTTAACCACCTGGAGTTAGTGTCAGACTCACAAGTAAAGGGTTCAATCCTTCACAAGATTATTCTCACTTCAGATGCCAGTTCTAAATGGTGTCTCCTGGGCCACCCATGCTTCTGATAAACTGGCTACTAATCCAGGAGGTCACCATGATGCCATTCGGGGATCAATAGAACAACTCACAAAACTCAGGAAAGCACTATACCTATGGTTAGTTTTATTATAAAAGATACACCCAGGGCAAAGTCTGGGAGGGACCACAGAGCTTCCATGCCCTCTCCATGGAGTAGGCCTATCACTCACCTGGTATATCAATGTGTTTACTGACCAGGAGCCTCCACTGGGCTTTGGTTTTTATTGGGGTTTCATTAGATAGGCATGATTAATTAAATCATGGGCCATGTGACTGAACTCAATCTCCAGTCCCCCTCCCTTCCCTGGAGGTCAGGCAAGTCAAAAATCGCAATTCTCTAATCATGTGACCAGCCACCATCCGGAAGCTATCTAGGGTCTCACCATGAGTCACCTCATTAGCGTAACAGAGCTATTCCTGTCATTCAGGAAATTCCAAGGGTTTCGAAGCTCCCTGTCAAGAACCTGGGATGAAGACCAGATATTATAACACCGGTAGATTTAAGGAGAATTTTAAAAATCTAGGCTCTCTTTACTTTAGTAAGGTAGTTGATAGAGTGTTTCTACCTTGGTGGAAAATACATAAAATATTGACTACATAAGAGGATGGTCAGTGAAATTTATAGTTAGTGAATCATTATATCCAAAGGTTTTTAATTAATGGATTAACCTGGAGGAATAAAAATTAAGTTGGGCCAAAGAAAGCATGCCTGTCAAATTTTCAAATGATATAAGACTATGAGGTATAGCTAACATTTTGGCAAACCAAATAAAAATTCAAAAGCATTTCACACTTAAAAAGAAGTGCGAAGACAGATATCTTCATAGTCACCAAAGATTCAGTCTTCATCTCTCTTTCTTCTCCACCATCTTTCTTTTCATTCTCAAAATTACTTCATCATCCAAAATAACTACTGGAGCTTCAACCATAACATTTACATTCTAGGAAGGAGGAAGAAAGAAGGAAAAGGGAGAAATGGGTATACCTCCCACCTGCTTTAGTTCCCATTAAAAAGCCTTTCCTGAAGTACCCACAAACTTTCCATTGTAACTTATGGCCTTGAACTTAGTCACTTAGCTGTAAGAGAGGTTAGGCAATACAATTTTTTTTTTGACTGAGCACAAGGCTGTTCTCCCTCCAAAAACAAACAAACAAACACACACACACATAATCTTAAAATGGTTGAAAAGGGATAAAAACTAACAAAGTGAAATTCAGAAAATAAATGAAGATAAATAAATCATCATGATTTTATACTGAAATGAGTTAAAAATTTAACAAGCACAATTTTAGTGTAAATGCAAACATTTTCTAAATATAGTACTAGCAAATTAATATAGTAATGTAAAGGAATTGTAATCATCAGAGTAGGAATTATTTTAAAAATGCAAAAGTGGTTTAATATCTAATTCCAATTTGTCACTTCTGTGCTCAAAATTCAGCTACATTGGGTCCTCTCTTGACATAGGCAATTTTTTTTGTTCTCATTCTTCAAAATTATAAGCAATGCTGCAGTGATACAAACAGTGCTGCAATAAACATCTGTCTATATCTTTTGGAACAATTTATAGTTATAATTCTTGAAAATAAAATTGGTAGGTCGAATTGCAGGCATATTTTTACTTTGTTAAATCTGGCTATTTGCCCTTCAAAAAGACAGTGTCAATTCACAATCTCTCAGCATTGTGTGAGTGCTTGTTTTTCTATAATATTACCTAATCCTGATTATTATCACGTTTAAAAAGATCTTTCACAATGAAATAATGGAAGAAAAGTGATAGTTCATTGTGGTTTCAATTAGTATTTCTTTCTTTTTTTTTTTTTCTTGAAACGGAGTCTCGCTCTGTGTCCCAGGCTGGAGGGCAGTGGTGCAATCTCGGCTCACTGCAACCTCTGCCTCTTGGATTCAAGTGATTCTCCTGCCTCAGCCTCCCAAGTAGCTGGGATTACGGGCAGGAGTCTCGCTCTGTCTCCCAGGCTGGAGTGCAGTGGTGCAGTCTCGGCTCACTGCAACCTCTGCCTCTCGGGTTCAAGTGATTCTCCTGCCTCAGACTCCCAAGTAGCTGGGATTACAGGCACCCGCTACCATGCCTGGCTTTTTTTTTTTTTTTTTTTTTAGTAAGAGACGTGCTTTCACTGTATTGGCCAGGCTGGTCTCAAACTCCTGACCTCAGGTAATCTGTGCTCTTTGGCCTCCCAAAGTGCTGGAATTACAGGCATGAGCCACCGGGCCCGGCCTACTATTTCATTAGGAATAGAACTGTCATCTTTCAAATGCCTACTTGCTGTTTTTTTTCTTTTCCATTGATCACATCTTCTTGTCCATTCCTCCTCCTTTTACATCTTTCTCTTGCTGATTTGGAGAAATACTTTCTATACTAAACATACTTTTTCCAGTTAGTTATTTACCTTTAATCATATATAGCATGTTTTTCTCTAGGGAATCTTTAAAAATTTTAGTTTTAAAATTTATTCCATCTTTTTCTCTTTTTCTTTGTGGCAACTAGTTTTAGAATCATGCTACAGAAAGGCTTCACTACAATCAGAGTAGAATACGTGTTTAAATGGTTACTTCCAGTATTCTTTCCTCTTTAAAAAAAAATTTAGGCCGGGTGCGGTGGCTCACGCCTGTAATCCCAGCACTTTGGGAGGCCGAGATGGGTGGATCACGAGGTCAGGAGATGGAGACCATCCTGGCTAACACGGTGAAGCCCCGTCTCTACTAAAAATACAAAAAATTAGCCAGGTGTGGTGGCAGGCGCCTGTAGTCCCAGCTACCCGGGAGGCTGAGGCAGGAGAATGGTGTGAACCCGGGAGGCAGAGCTTGCAGTGAGCCAAGCTCACACGACTGTACTCCAGCCTGGGCGACAGAGCGAGACTCCATCTCAAAAATAAAATAAAATTAAGTTAAATTAAATGCTTAATCCATTTGAGTTCTGCCTTTTTGAATGGTATGAGATGGCTTTCCCCCATAAATATTTCGGTATTTTCCTAATGCTTACTGAAAATTCCATCTTTGTAATATATTAAAGTCACATTTATATCTAGAAGTAAATTTTAGCATAAATGTTTAGGACCTATATGAAGAAAATTATAAAACTTAAGACCAATTAGTACAACTTGAATAAATGGAGAGTCATTCCATATTTTGACACTGGAAGGATCAATATTACGTGAGCTTCCATTCTTCCCAATTCATGTATAGATTAAATGCCACTCCAAGAAAAGCCCAGTAGAATATTTTTGGAACATAACAAAATGATTTGAAATTTCATCTGAAATAGTTAACCAAACCAAGGAGAATAGGAAAAGAAAGAATTATGAAGGGAAGTTAATTTTATGGCATAGAAAAATATAAAGGTAGAATAAATAAAATATAGCAAGGTGATCTGTGCAGAAGGAGACAGGCATATGGACAGAATAAAAAGCCAAGAAATATAGTGGTTTCTGGGGGCTACAGGTTGGAGAGATGTTGGTTTTTTTTAATTAAAAGGAGAAAAGAAAAGAGAAGCCAAGAAATAGATTCTAGTATTAGTAATTGGTAAAAGAGCATTTCAAAACAGGAAATGCATAAAAATAAAAATTATTTATTTTTTTTAAAATGAGGGGCCTGAAATATTGTGATCCAGTTACTTCAGTAAAAATGTAGTTAGATTTTTACACCATACACATGGATAGCTTAGAGAGCTAAATATAAAACAATACAAAACCAACAATAAGTTAGAAAAAATCTGTAGGTGAGTGTGTATGTGGTATTATCAAAGATATGGCCTTTCTAAACTTTCAGATAAAGAAAAAAATCATGAAAGAAAATTTCCCTATATTGCATTATATAAACTGTAAAACTTTCATACATCAAAATACCTTATACCAAAAATACAAAGCAGATTACCAGCTGTGAATGATATTATTAATATTATAAAGATTAATAATTAATAATACCCAATCAACAGAAAAATGGGCAAAAGAAGTGGCAGGAAAAATATAAAAAATATATAAAAAAGAAAGATAAATGACCAATAAAGACAAAAATGTCTTCCTCACTACTAATCAAAGAAATTCAGCTTAATGCAATAGGGGTAATTTTTATCCCCCAATTTTGCAAAGACTAAGACATAATAATGGACATTTTTTTGCAAAGATGAGATAAAAAACAAACAGGTATTCTGCCAGTGGGCTATAAATTGTTTCTGGCTTCCTAGAGGGCAATTTGGCATATACTTCAAAAGCTTTAAATATTTTTTTCCATTTCTACTCAGTAGTTCTACTTTTAGCAAATTATTTTAAAGAAATAAATGTATGTTTAATCTATCTATCTATCTATCTATCTATCTATCTATCTATCTATCTATATAAATGGCTCACTATAGTATTGTTTTTAAAATTTATTACGAGCTATTTAATACATACAAAAAGCACGAAGATTAATGCAGTGAACATCCATGTACCCAACTGATATAGTTTGGCTGTGTCCCCACTCAAAATCTCATCTTGAATTGTAATACTCCCCATGTGTCAAGGGCAGGACTAGGTGGAGATAATTGAAACATGGGGTGGTTTCCCCCATACTGTTCTTATGATAGTAAGTGAGTTCTCACAAGATCTGATGGTTTTATAAGGGGCTTCTCCCTTTGTGCAGGCTCTCATTCTTCTTTCTGACACCATGTGAAGAAGGACATGTTGGCTTCCCCTTCTGCCATGATTGTAAGTTTCCTGAGGCCTCCCCAGCCATGCTGAACTATGAGTCAATTTAACCTCTTTCCTTTGTAAATTACCCAATCTTGGGTTTGTCTTTATTAGAGGCATGAGAATGAACTAATACACCAACATCCAGAGAAAATATAAATCATTATTGATAGAGATATACCCTTTATTCATCTTTCCCCCAATGTCTTTACTTCTTTACCTCCAGAGATGAATGTGGTGTTCATGATGTGGCATTATTTATTACAAACTTCCTATATGTCCAAGCTTGAGGAAATTAATTAAATAAATTATGGTACCTTTAAGTGGTGAAATATCATTTATTTAATGAATTAAATATTTTTATTACAATTATAATACATATACATTATTAGACATTTAGAAAAGTAGAGTCTCGAAACAAAACTAAAAAATCACTCATGATTCCTTCAACCAGATGTAACCATTTTAGCTTTTGTGCCATCTAATCTTTCTTAATAGATATAATTACATATTATTTAAAAAGTAAATGCTGTATATACAGTTTTATAATTTTCTTTTTCTCTTAATTCATTGATACAACTTTTTTATGTTATAAAATATTATTTTAAAAACAATTTAGCGGCTGCATTGTACTTCATTGTTTAGGTAAGTATTTACTCTTGATATTTTTGTATTATGTCAGTTATTTATTATTATAAATGAAACTGCTATAAACTTCTTTGTAGCTAAATATTTGCAATGATAACTATTTATTAGGTAAATTTCTAGAAGTGGAATATTTTGGTTTAAAATTCTAACCAAAAGCATCATTCTTTGCAGAATATTTAATGGCATGATATATTGCTACATGAAAAAAATTGACTACTAAACAATATATGTAGCATATTTGCAAATGTTAAAAGATGTATGCAAAGCGATGGGGGTGAACTATTTTTATTTGCATCTTTATGCTTTTCTGAACTGTCCAGTTTTTCTACAGCAAGCATACATTACCTTATTGATCAGAAACAAAATAATAGTTTTTAAAATAATTGAATAAATATTGAATAAACCTAACAAATACCAGGGTCCCCGGAATAGTAGCTTTACAATTGTCCTTGTGAGAAAGACCTGAAGGTCTTAGTGAGCCACAAGCTCAAAGTCAGCAAGGTATTGAAGCTGTTTAAGAATAAAATGCCCGGATTACATTGTTAAGAACAAAATGAAATAAGAGTACTTCCACAGCCTAAGTCTGTGGGACTATAAATACCACAGTGTATTCTGTAGAGATGATATAGTGTGTTCACATAAGTAGGACCAAGTTGCTTAAGGGGATCAGAAGCTGGTATAAATTACTGGGCCCAGCCATCCAGAAAAGCAACAGGAATTGATTATATTGCATGTCAACAAAAATCTACCATTACTGGGGATGCATGAAAATAATTTTTTCATTAGGCTTCTAACCCCCTTCTTGGCAGCTTTCTCTTTTGAGAGTGGAAGTAACTAATAGTCTGAGTCTCTGTGTTGAAGGAGGAATGA
This sequence comes from Homo sapiens, assembly GCF_000001405.40. Taxonomy (NCBI): domain Eukaryota; kingdom Metazoa; phylum Chordata; class Mammalia; order Primates; family Hominidae; genus Homo; species Homo sapiens. The sequence goes on from NC_000018.10 coordinate 55,774,272, forward strand.
CAAACTCAAGCTGAATCAAGGCTATCATTTCACTCCATAGGAATACAATCTGGGGGATGGGAAATTCAGACTTTCAAGAGGATGGTTAGGGAAAGGTAAGTGACAGCACCATGATTGCAGTTGATGTGCTGTTTCAGAACAGGCATTGGGAGAGAACTCAGTCCCCAGCAAGAACAGGTTAACCTTTCAGGGAATGGCGGGAATCTAGTACTGTAGTCACGCTTGAACACAGCAAGGTTTACACTGCACAAAAATAAATGTCTATACCTAGGGCCCATACTAGTGTCATTGTGATAATCAAGATGACCAAGAAATGTAAAATATCTGTATTGTTTTTTACTAAACTCAGTTTTTATTTTGAGTTACCATTCTGCCAAGTGCCAGAAAACCTAATCTGGTTAATCTCTGCTAATTGGATGACGTCAACATTTTCCTCCTCATTTTCGGTCAATTCATAGACACTTTGGGGCCCCATTTCTCTCCCATGCTCTGTGGCAAGGACCTGCTTGGTTCTGTACACTCCTTCTCCCCGGGATAGAGTCTGGCTCTGGTAGCAGTCTCATGGTTGTTGTTCGTTTTCCAGGCTCTGGAGTCACAATTGACCCGTGAATTCCTCACCCTTTGTTCCTCCTAATGATGGATTCTTCTGCTCCACTTGTCCATCCAATGTTGGACCCTTGGGAATTCCCAGATGTCAGATCCCAGCAGAGTCCCGATCCTCTCACCCCATCTACAATGGGTGGGCACCAGTGAATCAACAAGTCTTCCTTAACAGGAACAATTGGTCTATTGCTGTCTTATTCTTATATTAGCATATTATATATAGAATAGTATTGTTCTAATATAAGAATATAATATATAGAATATTATTTTTATAATAGAACAATATTGACATTCTATAGTATACTGGGCAAAACCACAAAATCTGATTTCCTCCTTTGATTTCAAAAGTTCAGTAACCTAATTGCATAAAGATTCGATAGAAATATAATTTCTTTATTAATCTTTCTTGAAGTGATTTAAATTATTTCAAAGCAAAAGGAAAGATAGAATGTAAAATTGGGACATCCTTCTGGTATTGTTATCATGAAAAAGAAAATTCAGAAATATATGCAAAATAAAGCCACCTGAAAAGTGTAGCAAATAATCCAATTCTTTAAGGAGCAGACAAACTATGAGAACAGATGGACAAACCAAAGACTTACAATGTCTATCAACTAATAAGCAGACCAAATTACCGGCAGATGCAATTTGTGTCATATTAGGAAAGGATGAGTTGACCGGGAATGTATCCCAAAGAACAGTAACAATTATTGTAATGAAAGAGAAATGATGTGACATCAATAATAGAAAATTGGTACTACCACTTAATGTGAATTTCACTGAGCTCAGTAGCATTTTTTGACAATATGAGAAAGACACACACAGAAAGAGAGAAATAGGGAGATTATCTATCTATTTATCTGTCTATCTATCATCTATCTGTCTGTCTGTTTAGAGTCTCTCTCTCTCTCTCACCTATTGAGATACTAAAACAGAACCTGTCCATAGGGGTGGCTTAACTAGTGTTTGTTGAATGAACACAATGAAACTAATGTAAACTCCACGTGCTCCAAATGAAACTTACAGGAGAGTCCCCCTTTAAACATGTTAAGTTAATTTAAACATATCCTTCTTTGAAAGGAAACCACTTTTGTTGCATGCAGGAACTTCTTAGGTCCCATTTGCAATTTTGGTCCTCACCTGGGATGTGCTTGCTGGCCCAATCTGATGCTTATGACTGGTTCCGATTAGTTGATCCTCATATATTGCTCTGGCTGTTAATAACTGTACTGTGAAGAGCATCCCTGCATCTTTATCAACCAAAAGAGGTCTCTGATGTGGAGGCACAGTAAATCAGCTAGGGGGAGATGGACACTGAGTTGACGGTATTGGAAAAACTGCCTAGCTATTTGAGGGAAAAATCAGATTCTTAACTCACAATGCAATAAAGTACAAAAGCAATAAAGACTTAAATGTAAAAACAAGCTCATAAAAATGCAAGTAGAAAAAAATAGGTGAATATCTAGGTGATTTTCTGTAGAGCAACATAAAAAAATTAAAAAATACTTGATACATTTATCTAAATAAATCTTTAACATTTTTATGTATCAAAAATCATGAATAACATTAAAATGCAAAAAGTAAAATGGGAAAAAACTGCCACAATTACAACAAAGGGCTGATACGTGGGGTTTATATAAATACAGTTAAAAAAATTAAGGCCTCAATAGAAAAACAGGCAAAGGACAGTAATAGATAGTTCACAAAAGAGAAAATGGCTAATGAACATCTGGAAAAGCTGTTCAATGGCAGTAGCCCTCCCAAAATACAAATAAAACAACAAGATCTTTTCTTTAGCCTATCAAATTAGAAAAGATTTGTTTTTTTTGTTGTTGTTTTTTTTTTTTGTTTTGGCTGTGGTATCAGTCACTATGACTAGAGGCATTAGGAGAGAACAGCTCTCTTCATCTATTGCTGCTTGGACTGAAAACTGCTAAAATCAATACGACAATATATTTCAAAAGCATTAGAAGTATTATATGAACCTAGTAATTCTTGTTATAGAAGTCTATCTTAACGAAATAATCTTAAACTCAGAGATTTATGCACACAGATTTTTGTTTAGCATAATTTACAATAGCAAAAACTGGGACTCACAGACACTCAACAATAGAGAATTCTCTATTGTTTCTTAAAAAATGATACTAATATATCATATTGGTATGATATAAAATTAGACAGTCACTAAAAATGTTACAGATCCTTTTTAGTTACATGGGAGAAAATAAATATAAAAACAAGAATGCACAATTTTATACTCCATAGGTTCGTACCAAGGCTAAAAAAATAAAGGGTAAAAAGACTGAAAGAAATCATCAAAATATTAAAAGTGGTTAACTCTTACTGGTGAGAATAAGGGTGTTCTCGTTTGCTCCTTTATAGCTTGTTCTCTCATTTTATACTAAATTGTCCATAATGAACGTGTATTACTTTCATAATCAGGAAAAAAAAATCATTATTTTCAAAGAAAATCTCCAGAAGTAATCTTGCCTTTACCTGGTAAAAAATATCAGAGGAAAACATTTTGATGAATTGTTTCATAGTACTTTTTAAAGCAGGATTTCGCAGTTCTATTCAAACATAAGTCCTGAAGTAATAACTAATTTTTGGCAGGGCAGTTAGTAAACAGTAACTAGGCAAAAATTGTGTCTTAAAAAATGATTAAACTATTAAAAAACACTAAAGAAAAAAATCCCTTATTTGTTCAAGATTTAAGTAAGAACAGAGACATTTCTGTTTTATTTACACCTTCATTATTAACTGACTTAAAAATTATACAGGGGGTATTTTGCTTCAGCCTTAATTTCTTGCTGTTTCTGAAAGTGTTGTTGTTTGATCTCAAGATCAGGAAGACTTATGATGTGGGGATAACTTTCCATAACCATTCTCCTCCACCTTCCCAGACTTCACTGCTTGCTTTTATAACTGTCTGTCCTTTCAAGGAAGTAACTGAAGATTCACATACTCGTGAGAATCCAAGTCTATTCCCCAGAGCCAGCCCCAGGCAAAATTGTTGAAGAGCTGAAGTTAGTGGTGCTCCCTATCCTGCTCTCAAATGCTTTAATTAAATGAAACATTGCTAACTCTGTTGAGTATCTGCTACATATCAGGCATTCTGTTAAGGACTTTCACCCATACTCTTTTATTTTATCATCACAAGCGTCTTGCAAGGGCTTATTTGTCTCATTTTAAAGACGAGGACTCAGAGGCCCAGAGAGGTTAAGAAAGTTGCCCTTGGTCACACAGCTAGGCACAGTCACCATTCAAATTCATAGCCAGATCTGTATCATTTGAAAGCTGTGCTTGCTCTCACTGAGTGGGATCAATACTTCGTAATAGTCTTTCCATGCCTTTTAAACTCAATCATACAGATAGTTTATCCGCTTTCCAACTAAAATTCAAATTGTCCTTAATTTGAAACAGTCTAAAGCTTTTCAGTTTTCTTCTCAAATAATAGAAGCTTCCAGAAGAAAATGGATATCTGCCTAATTATATCTGGTAGCTCTATCAGTTTAAACAGAACCTTATTAAAGGAATTTCAGCACTTTTCAGTTTTCTCAAATTGTCACACCTTTCACCAAACCACTTCATAGATAACAAGAAAATTCACGGGCTTGTCTTTCTTTGGGCTTAACATAATTTCCCCACTAATCTAAAGATCCCCCCAAAAGTTAATTAATTTCTCAGATTCCCTTGGTAACTAATCGAGAGTTTAAAACATTAATTCTCAAAGAATTTTTGACTCTTTAATCAATTCTAATTCTGTCCTAAGTAGCTATATGCCCTCAGGCAATTTACTTTGGGCCTCTGAGATACAAATTTCTTGTCTGTAAAAACCCGAATTAAAAGTATCGCCCTTCCTCTTGGGTTGTGGGTAGAATTAGATGAGATAATGTAAGTAAAGTTCTTGATACATGGGGGGTGGGGGCGGGAGGGCTCAGCAAGGCACACCTTATTTCACACGTGCCTCTCCTTTGCATATTCATGTGTCCTCTATTTAAAGGCCAGTGTGTCATACTAAGGGTTTTCTCTTTCTTTTTCTCCAGGACACATTATATTTCCTACTCCTTAACTCTCTTCTAAGAGACCTTGTTTGTCAATCATGTACTTATGCAACTTCTCCATTCTACATTACACTGAAGAACAAGACCTAACAGGATTTGATAAAACCAGTAACAGAACACTCTTCCATCTCCCTATCCACTTCCCCCTTCCCCTCCCCCCAAAACCAAAACCAAAACCAAAAAAACCTTACAAACAAACGGGGGGAAAAAAACCCCAGTGTGACAGAGAAAACCCAAAAGTTATCAATTCAGTAATCTCCATTTAGTGTTAAAAAAAGAATGTCAAAAGGGTAGCTTGCAAGTAAGAATAAAAGAGGTTTTTCATGACCAGCTTTTCCCATTCTCTATTATCCCTCAGCGGCAGCTTTTGGTGTCTCTGGTACGAGGCAAGGTGTCGAGGGGGGCCATATTAACCCCCTGTGAATGCCTGGCCGATAATTAACATCTTGGGTCCAAGAACCGATACAATGAGCTGGGGGAACGGAATCTTTCTCAACCAGTAATAGGTAATTGAACGCTTTTGCTGATTTGATTATAAGGAATAACTCTCGGTGATCAAAACCAAAGCTGGGTTAAAATCCTAAAGCTGGGGGACAGCTGAAGCACCCACTTCACGACTTAACGTTTCAGGAATATGAATTCTATGTTCAGAAAATTTCCCCACACTCTTCTTCGCTGGCACATTCACTGATGTAGAAAATGCCAGGAGCCCCGGGGGTGTGATGTTTCCGGTGGATAATGTCTCCCGTTCCCTGCCCCGGGGCCCAGACAGTTGGTGCTTAAGCGTCTACAATGTAGAGTTTCCTGCATTTTCCTCGGGCCGCCATTTGTCTACTTGTCCCATCCAGGACATCTCCCTAAATAATCTCTAAGTGGAAAAATCACGGTCCTCTAGGAGATTTATCCGGGAACGAACGTGCGTGGGGCAGTTCAAATTCCTGAGCTCAGATTTCGTTTCCCGCGGTCAGATGGTGCGGTCGGTGGGGCCCGAGGGATGCGCACAGCTGTGCCTGAGAGGTGCTGCTCTCCCGCCACCGAAGTCGCTGGGAAATTCTGCTGCACTGAGACATTTTAATGTCGGATGTTCTAATCCTGCGGGCAAAAAAAAAAAAAAAGTTTGAACCAGGTACTGGGCTTTTGTCACGGTGAACCCCACCCGCGCCCCGCGCCGTCCCTTCATTCACTCAGGCGAGGTGGCTTGGATTTGCACCTCGTTGAAGAAGCCTCCCATGCGACATCTCCGCCAGCACCCCGCGCGGACTTGGCTGGGCGGCGGCGGGGAGTCAGCTTGTCACCGCACGGCGGCCGGGACCGCAGCCCCTGGGTGCGCAGTGCGCCTCTCGCTGCGCCCTCCTAGAGCGCGGGTCCCGTGCCTGTGCCCGGCGCGACGCGATCTCCCTGCTAGTCGGGCTCCGCGTGCTCCCCGCGCTTCCCGCAGCCTCCGCGCAGCCCGCAGCGCCCTCCAGCCCCGCCTCGCGGCCGCGGGAACCCGGCGCCTGCAGCCCCGCCCGGAACCGACCGCCAGGCGCTGTTGCCGCCGGCCACGCAACGCGGGGCCTCTGCCTGGCACCAGCCCCAGGTGCCTTGTCTCGGGTCGTGCTGTCGCGCGACACTGGGGACCCAACAGGCCGCCGGCTACTCAGCTGGCCCCGCAGCTTCCCTGCGGCTCAGCGGCCTCCCACCCAGGAGAAAACCACATTTGATGAGAGTTTTGAATCAAGCCGAGCGTTCCCCCAGATGTTCAGCTACCTCAATTTCTAATGATTCCACAATCCCTTGTGATTCATCTCTTTCCTCCTAAGGGTTGCCAATGGCTCAAAGTTTAGACTTGGGATATAAAAAACGCTATTCACAGCCTTATTAGGAGGAGTAGGTGGGGAAGGGGAACTGGATACTGAATGGATTTTTTAATCTACGGAGAAAAATCACTCAACTGAGACCCGGCCTCTTTAATTTTCCTTTCTGAATCTCAGTGACTTCCTCTATAAAATAAAATGCAAAACAATGATATCTCACCTGCGTCAGAAAGTTGGTCACATGGTCTCATGAAGTCTCTTTCAAGGCTAAGATCTCTATGATTTTGTGATCAGTAGATTGAAATTTAAGATTAGAAACAGGTTATTTCTTGAAAGCAGTAAATGGAGGGCATTATGTGTGAATCAAGTACCAGAAGCAGGGGGTCTTTGTCTCTCCCTCTCCCCAGATGGGGCAGGGTCTCCACACTCTGAAATGTTAGTGTCAGTAACACATAATCAGGAAGTCGAATATGCGGATTATCTAGTCCTTTAGGATTCTTTGCACCATTGATTCTTTCCACTAATATTGATAACCCAAAGTTAATGACATATTGTGAGTTTCTCTTCTTTGCCTTCATGTTTTCAATCCTGGAGACAGAAAAAGGAACTAATTCTCTTCTTTTAAAACAAAAACAAAAACAGAAAAAATCAATCCCATTGATCAATGTGGAAAACCAAAGACCCAAGACTCCCCTGTGCCAAATCCCTCCCATGACCCTCCACTGTGATTCAAATTGGAGTGTTCTGGAAAATGCCGGTTCGAATTGCAAGGAGGCAGAATCAATCTCTCTCTCTCTCTTCAAAGGAGACACAGGCTCTTCTCAGGGACATTCCCTTATGTCTTTTTGATGCAGGAGGTTTAAGAGTCTCCATCTTAAAGCCCGCTGAGTTGGCTGAATGCTGACTTTAGGTGCCCACTATGAGCAGTGTAGTGCCCAGTCCTCAGAAAGAATCTAGAGTATTTTTACAGAACGAATTGCCTTTGTTTACCTTTCTGAATCATTTCATGCATGTTGTTGTTTTTGACCCACCCTTTTGCTAGGATACAAGAGCCAACCTTCTGTAAGAGGGGGAGAAAAAGAAGGAAGATGTGTGAGCTCCCCCTGGTGCTTTCCCGCATTCAGGCCAACTGAAAGGAGCTGCAAGGAAACACGTCTACACAGGCATCAGGAAAAAGAAAATATCTGGATTATTTCCTTTAAAAAGGCCTGTTTCCATGCTGATGGGCCTCAGAGCAAGACTTCCAGGCTTCGGGCCTGAATTCTGTATGTCATCTTAGGAGGAATTCTTGCCTTGTCAGAGAACGTGTTTCTAAAACAAAATTTCAAGTGGGGGATTTGCCAAGCTGTCCTGCGGACAGGATTACTCTTGGAATCAAACGGGATTACTTTTTGTCCAGAATTGTTCCCTTTGTTAGGCTAGTTATTCTTTGACTGAATAATTTTCACACACTTCTCTTTGTATGTGTTGACAGCACAAAGATATCACAGGAATCTGGTACCAGCCAATTTGACTGGTGGTGACTTTAATTCCAGACAATATCTCCTATCCTAATAATAACCTGTATTCGTAATGGCCTCTTTAACACTGGGGGTCAGGGACTTCTGTGGACTCCAGTCATCTGTGAAGATCGTCGGGGAGATTTCACTCAGTCTATTCAGTATATCCAGTATAGTGGCCTGAAACAATTTATCAACGTGTAGTCAGTCAGTCCTGCTCTTGGTCCATACAGTGGAGAGTCTAAAAGATGTGTGAAATACATTCCCTACCTACACATGGGCAAATCACTTAAAGGAGCAAACTTTAATGTTCACTAACATAGTTAAAATGGATGGGCCAACATTATCATGGTTCTTTCACCTCCTAAGTAAATGCAAAGCTTTTCTTCACTCCATTTTGTATGTGTAATTTTGATTGAGTGGGAATCTTGTAAAGCCAAAAATGGAACTGAAAGCCCACTCATAAGACCATAAGTTTTTTTTTTAATTTTTAATTTTTCTTTTCAGGCAGGGTATTGCTGTGTCGCCCAGGCTTGAGTGCAGTGGTGCCATCATGGCTCACTGCAACCTCTGCCTCCCAGGATCAAGCGATCCTCCCACCTCAGCCTCCTGAGTAGCTGGGACTTACTGTTGTGCACCACCACAGCTGGCTAATTGTTAGAATTTTAATTTTTATTTTTTTGTAGAGACAAGGTTTTACCATGTTGTCCAGGCTAGTCTTGAACTCATGGACTCAGGTTAACCACCTGCCCCAGCCTCCCAGAGTGCTGGGATTACAGGCATGAGCCACCACGCCTGGCCAAGACCATAAATCTTAATTAATCTAGTTCATAGTCTCAAATTCATTCTACTCTCTGATTTTTATTTCTCCCAACTTACTGTGTGCACGCACCCCCCCTTTTTAATGACATTTCTCTGATTTGCACTGCCATCCTCTCTCCTACTTCAGTGATCCAGCATCCACAATTCATTTTGTCATAGGTGAGGCTTACCTCTTTCCTGTCAGTTCTTCACCTGTACAGATTGCTTCCTTTTCTCTTTTTGCACTTATTGTTTGCAACACCCAATGACTTCTTGTAGAGAGCCCAATTCTGTAGTTGATAAAACCCACACATGCACGTATGTTACATCTGGCTCGGAATTGGAAGCTCCATGGAGAAAGGAAATGGCTTTTGTTTCTTCAGTATCTTCACACTCCCAAATGTGCTGATATCTTTAGTCGTTCTTAGCTAAATGAGTCAATTGAAATAATAATCTGGAGGGATTTTTTTAAATCTCAAAAATTTTCTAAGTCCCATGTCTCTTAAATGAAAAATTGTCAAATGAAGGAGCCATTTTCAGGATTTTAATTTATGTATTAATGGTACTCTACTTCCACCCCAAAAGGATTTAAGGTGAGCTTAAAATATTATGAAAATAAGATAAGATTATTAATTCCATCCATGCAAGCTCTAAAATCTTCTATTTCTAGATACTAATCTAAACAATGAAGAGGTTATTTTTTAAAGACAAAAGGTGTGCTTTATAATATCTCTCATTATCATGTTAAGAAAAAAAACCAAAAACACAGATAAAAAATTTCAGAAATATTTTTGCGTTTTCTTTGCATATCATACACATACACACACACACATACATACATACACAGTCACACTAGAACTGTACTGGCAGTGAACATAGGTTGTTTAAAGTATAGCTATTCAACTGTCATATAAAGTGAAATCTATATTTTCTCTCTCCCTATATGACTATATATTTAACATCTCTATGCATATGTGTGTGCATACATATGTATATGTTATATACACACACTCCACATTATTATTTCAAAGGGGATTTTGCTCCTTCTGGCTACCAGCAATAACTAGTCAATATTTACACTCTTGAATATCGATGACATCATGCATACACAGGAAAGCTGTGGAAAACATCTCCATTTTCAAACAGAGTTTTAATTATTTGTAAAGACTTCAATTGTTCACTAATGTCATGGATTGGTCCTCACAGTGTGAAGTGCAACTGCCCAGATCCCCCACAGTATTATAAATAGTCTTCTAAAGCCGGGTTGATTGATGTTTGGCATAAAACTCTATTCCTCTGAGCACATATATTCCTTCTGTTCACTATTTTCATAGAAAAATACCAGGGCTGATTTTTTATTCAAATCTCCAATTTATGCAGGGTTTAAACTACTAAATACTTAAAGCCGTTTTCAGATCTTTCCCCCCTTTTCTGTTAGGTAGGTAACTAAATCTTTGGCTTCAATGCAAATAAGAATTGGAGATTTAGCAGATTCCTGTGGGGGAGAGGAAGAGTTTATTAATTATATTGAGAATCAAATAATATGCTTCTTTGACACTAATGTTCCATCTTTCTCCACCCCAAGTATCCTATGGGACAACTTTAAAGCCTTTATCAGGGTCTAAATTACTGCATTTATGGTTCCTTAGAAGTAGGAATTTAATGAATGGCATTCTGAGTTGAAGAGAGAATTTGAAGGTTTAAGCTGCAACGGTGAAGCAATTTTTTTCAAAGTATGTGGCAGGGATTGTAATATAAAACATCAAAAAAAGCACAATAAAATACATTTTCATGAGTGTTAATAAATTTTTAATACTGATGAAATGTAAATTTTTCCTTCATGACCCTTATCTGCATTTGACAGAGTCCAACAGAAAATTTTAAGTACCTGTTTAAAGCAATTTACAAGATACTGTGGAGATTCCCAGCAATAAAGAATGGTAAGTGATCTTCTTAAAAATTTTTATATTGACAATATTAAAACCAAGTACCTTATCCAGATTCAACTGGTTTTGGCCAGTGCCTGTATTGGTACCTTTATCAAGAGTGCATACTTACTTTATAGGCTCTATATTAGAAACAAATTCTGCTTGAATACAATTCTGAAAGTGCTGTTACCTGATGGATAGCAATAATTGTTAATTATTATATGATACTTATTACATGCCAGACACTGTGCTGGGCACATTCCATGTATGATTGCATTAAGTTTTTGTAACTATAATCTTCTCTCAGTATCTGTAGGAGACTGGTTCCCGGACCCCCGCAAATACCAAAATCAGTGGATGCTCAAGTCCCTGATAGAAAATGGCATAGTATTTATATATAATCTATGCACATTTTCCTGTATACTTAAACTATCTCTAGATTATTTATAATACCAGATATAAGGTAAATGATATGTAAATACTTTCTATAATGTGTTATTTATGGAATAAAGAAAAGAAAAAAAGTCTGTACCTGTTAAGCACAGACAAAATATTTCCCCCATATATTTTCGATTCATGATTGGTTGAATCTACAGATGTAGAACCTGTAGATATGGAGGATTGATTACTCCACGAAGGAAATTATATTATTATCACAGTTTAAATGATGAGAATTCTGAGGCATAAAGAGTTAAAGTGGTTTGCCTAAACTTACCTGCTTAGTAAGGATAGGAACAGAGCTCTTAGGATAGTGGACAGTCTGACCCCCCTATGCACTACCTTAGGAGTCAGTGAACTTTTTCCATAAAGGAACAGAGAGTAAATATTTTAGGGTTTGCAGGCCATGCAGTCTTTGTCACAACTATTTAGCTCTGCCACTGTAGTGTGAAAGCAGTTCTACATAATATGTAAATAAATTGTGGTGTTCTGTTCCAATAAATCTTTATTTAAAAAAACAAAAACCAAGTGGTGGGCCAGATTTGCCTTATGGGCCATAGTTTGCTGGCCCCTCTGCTATTCTATTCTGCCTGCATCCTTGGTGCAAAGAAAACCAACCAAATGGACATCACGTTGGAACAGGTAAATCTCTGTGCTGGTTCTGTCTTCTGAGTAGGCAAAAGCAGAAGATGTGAACTGAGGGCCTCAAAAACTGCCTCCCACCTTGGCATTTGACCCTAGGCATCATTGTTGGACACTTTGGAAGGCTCCAGTTAGAACATACTTATAGGCTGGGTGTGGTGGTACATGGTTGTAATCCAGGCTACTCAGGAGAGTGAGGTGGGAGGATCTCTTGAGACCAGGAGTTTATGTTGACCAGCCTGGGCAACATAATGAGAGCTTGTTTCTACAAAAAAACAAAACAAAACAAAACAAAAACTTAAAAATTAGCCAGCGCGGTGGTGTGCACCTATAGTCCCAGCTACTTGAGAGGCTGAGATGAGATGATTGCTTGAGACCAGGAGATGGAAGCTGCAGTGAGATGTGATCAGGCCATTGCACTCCAACTCGGATGACAGAGCAAGGTCCTGTCTCTCTGAAAAAAAAAAAAAAGAATGTACTTGAAAGGATAATGTCTTGCATTAATGTATGTGTCCTAATTATTATTGCATTGTGGTTTACTAGTACTATAGTTAAGCTGGAATCCAACTCCTGAATTTCTGGAGCCCTGAAGACCACTTAGTCTTACTCACAAGGTGAGCTTTCTTCGTTCTCTAGGAATTATTGGAGCCCCAAGTTACACTTACTGCAGAGCCTATTTTGTTTAATTGAAGTTTTAATCTGTTTCCCTGGATCTGTGTGGCTGAGATGGTGACTCACTGGTTTTCTAGTCCACTGGCTTGAAGATACGTCTTACATTTCCAAGTCTCTGAACCAGATAGGCCAAGGATTAAGTCTCATCCACCTATTGGCCAACTTTTCTGGTGCTGGCTGCCTCTGTGGAATTCTATTTCCACCTGCTCCTAGATCCTTCATTACCACAGTGCATCCATGGCCATGTGTTAGGAAGTAGATACTATTTCCCCTGCCAGTGTCAACCCATTGTGCTCCCCATCAGATGCTGTATTCTTCAGGACAAATCAAACTTCTTAGCCACTGAAGCTTATCAGGAGCAGCCAGCCAGGCCCAGTGGACAGATGAAAGCCCAGTCTCCTGGGTCCTTTCAGCTGGCTCTGTCCAAGGTAGGCCATGGGGCACAGATAGCAAAATGGGGTGGGGTCAAGAAAGCAAGCTCCCTTACCCTACAGCTTTGCCTAAAGTGAAATATTTCCTTTCTCTCATACTCAAAAGCTAAATAAGATGACTATAAGAGTATTCTTATTATAAGAAAATTGCACAAGGATTTGGCCTGACATTTCTCTGAAATATCAGAATAATGGGAATACAGTTTTGGCCTGACTAGCAAAATTTCAGATGCAATTTGGTGAAAGAAAAACCAAAATGATAGTTGATAATTAAAAAGAACCAAGGTGAAAACTTAGCTGTCATATGACCAACAATGCTTTCTCTCCTCTTTCCATACAAACATCTTTTAAAATCAATTTTTATCAAAAATCTCAGTGATTAT